>NC_000003.12:23760000-25010000 GCF_000001405.40 Homo sapiens
TGGAGGTTTTGGAGAGCTGAGATTGCGCCACTGCACTCCAGCCTGGGCAACAAGAGCAAAACTTTGTCTCAAAAAAAAAAAAAAAAAAAAAAAAGTAGTCACTAACATGTATTGAACCATCATTCTATGTCTGACCATGTGTTGAGAGCTTAACATAGACCACTGCAATTAACTCTCCCCAGACTTGTAAAGGTAAAGGCTGTTATTATCTTGCATTTTACAGAGAAGCAAACAGAGGCTCCAGGATGTTAAGTAATGTACTGAAGTTTTCTTAGTCTTTGGAGGAGTCAAGATTTACTTCAAGCATTTAACTACTAAACTATCCACGCTATAAAAGCGCTATGAGGACAGAATGGTATTCTATAAATATAGGCATCAGCATTATTATATTTCCCTGTGTATGCTCTGAACTCCCAAAGACACTGAATGATAAAGCAGAAATTATTAACAGGTCTTTTTTATGTGTATGACTGGTTGTTTGGACCCCAAAATATTCCACTAGTGGCACCCAGTGGCACCCATAGGCATTGATTAACCCCACTCAGAGTCTCTAGGCCTTGGAAGACCAATTTGACTGTGAGTGGTAAGATAGAAGCAGACTAACTCACCCCAAAGAACATTTTACATGGTCCCCAAGCCCTCCCCCAGCAGCTCTGGCAGAGATGAACCTAGTCACTCTGCCCTCACTATTGCAGGCCAAAGTGGCGGGGGCCAGGCACAATGACCTAAAAGGAAATTTGGTTCTGATAGACTAACAGAGGAGATAGGATATGTGTGGGGTTCTGTGCTTGGCGCTAGAATTTGTGGTTGGCAAATGCAAAGAGGCTGTTAAGTGCCCGCATATAAGATGATGAAGAATACTTCTTCCCTGTAAGTCTATTCTCAGCACTGGCAGGGGCCCCCTGCAGCAGGAAACGTTGGGTTTACAGGGCAGGGTCCCTTCCTCTGCTGCAGATGCCCCTGTTTAATGGCCCTCCCTCTGCTCAGGCTGAGAGGGCCTGACCCTCACGGGACAGAAGTCAGCCACTGCTGAGCTTTGCATTTTCAGGTCTTTCAAATGCATTGTGTTTGTCCCCAGCCAGCTTCTGCAGGGGCCCAGGTTGGTGAGTGGGTGCTAATTTGCCTAACAGGCAAAAGGGGGTTTGTGTATCACCAATGTCTTTTGGGAGGGAAATTACAACCTGCTGAAGGGGGAGCTGGAGGTGATCAAATGTGACTAAATGCGGTAAAACCAGCAACTTCACAACTTCTTGTTGTGAATGCGGTAAAACCACCAACTAAATGCGGTAAAACCGACTAAATGCGGTAAAACCACCAACTTCACCAACTTCTTCTGAGGAGACCAGCTGGGGGAAGGGGGCTGGAGGTAGAATTATACTTGTTGGCACAAACAGTGGGAAACTGGGAGAAAAGAAAGACCCCCAAACCACAGGCCTCCTTCTAATCTGGACCTTGAGTAGGAAGGAAGGATTTTGGGAAGGGTCCCCTTATCCTACAAATGAGGAAGCTGATATCTAAAAAAGCCTCAGGACTACAGCAAGTATGCCCTCATAGTAAACACAGAGCTGCAATCAATCCCAGGCCTCCTGGGCCCCAGGTCTGGACTTTTCCATCCCAGTGCTCCCTCTATGGGTTAACATCACACACCCAAGTTTGAGCAAACATTTAGTTGTAAAATGGCTGATGTGCACGTTCTAATGAATAAGCCACAGTTTAAGCACGTCAGGCAAGAAAACTTGGGGTAAGGCATCTATTTTAGAATGGTTGGGGGTGGATGTGGAGGACATATGTTGGTTTTCCTGCCCACCAGTGCCACCACTTACAGTGTTCAGGTGTCTGTCACACAGCACAATGTTGTCCTGCCAAGGAGTCAATTGAGTCAATATCCACCTTTAGTTCTGCTCACTCAACTATCTGTCCTAGGTGTGGGTTTTCTTCTGCCCAGAGGAAGGCAGGTCAAAGGTGCCATCTGCTCCCCAAGAAGTGGGGGCATAGGTCTGCATCAGCCTGGAGGGGGTGCCTGTTTCCAACTCACAAGGGTCCCACATAGGCTAGCTATGGCATCTTGCATCCATCCCTTCTTCTTTTGAAGCTGAAACACAATTTTCTTTCGTGGAGTCAGGCCCTACCCAATCTCAGTCCTGTGGTTTGATGGAGCAGACCCCACTCTCATCTTCAGGAATGGACCACTGACCCAAGCCTGTAGCCATTTTAAGGATGGGCACCTGACTTAGTGAGAATAACTACAGAATTATTGCTGGAACTGTTGATACCAAGCCAATCCTTTTCTTGGAGTTGCTAATCTCGGGAGAGGTGGAGGGAGCAGAAAAGAAGATAGCATTGCAAGAAGCCTCGGAATCAGTTGAGTCTGACCAGATTCGTCTTCTTATGGTTAGTTATACGAACCAATTCTCTGTTTTACTCAGGCTGGGTTAGGTTGACTCTCCCTGGCAACCAAGAGAATTCTCACCAATACAATGAGAAAGCGGAAGTTTCACCTTAAATGAAAGCTCCTCTAGCATCCTCTAGCAGATTTGTCAAGAGATCGTTCCAAATCTGAACCCATCCTAAAAAGGCATCCCTGTCCCCCCGGGCTTGTTGGAAAGACAGGATTGTGAAGGGCCTGTCCCACAGGCATGTAAATTACGTTGAGGTTTATTTGCCTACACTTGCAATATCTATTCTTTCACTTCTGGTGGTTCTAGAAGATGCTGGAGCACTTATCCCTCAGGTCACTAACAACACTGTCAAGAAAAGACCCACATTTTAAATTCCATTTAGTCCATTTCTGCAGAGCTGGGTAACCAAATGAGACAGCCATGGAAAATATATGACTTCCATTATTATGACGTGGAAAACAGAGCTGTCTAATTGCTTTTGTCCACTGGTGTATAAAGATTGAGACCAGATGTGTTTAAAAAAAAAAAAAGGAAAAGAAAGAAAGAAAAAAAAGGGCTTGAGTTGGCCGTTGCTTTGAACAAAGCAGTCTGATTTCCTCTCTTTCTCTCTCTCTCTCTCTCTGGGAAAGACGACATGAAAGTGTTTTAACTGCTTGTAATTTTTCATAGCCTCGTTGATTTTGCTTTTCACAGAAGATGAAATTGTGAAATTGGCCTTGAAAACTTTATTTTCGCTTTCCTCAATTCAAAGGGACAATTGTGGAAGGAAAGAACTGAGCTGCTTGCCAGACCCAGCGCACTCCTTTTTCTCTGGACAGCTGCTGCTTTGCAGAGGGTCGTGGGAGGAGGTGAGTCCTAACGCAGATCAGACCCTCCTTCCCTCAGCCAGCCGCTGGGGAGTAGAGTCTTCGCATGTAAATCCACAGGAATGGATGAGATGATGATCGGCTTTAAATAGAACCACCCAGGGCCCAGCTTCTGTGTTTCATTTTCCAGAAGAGCCCCTAAATCTGCTTCAACATTTTTTTAACCTCTCCAGTTATTTTTAGCACACGCAGCCAACAGAGCTCAGCAGGCCCGTGGAGGCGCTAACATGTCCCCCAGTTCATCTCCTTCTGCAAAGGTGCATTTGAAGCATGAAAAATAAAAAATAAAAAATACGTGCGGACCCAAAGAGGTGATGATTTAGAAGCCAGGTTACATGGCCCTGCTGCTCTGTATCAAGCGAGTGCTGCCCACTGGAAATACAATTCTTTTAAAGATTATATCATTATTTTCAAAATTAATTTTTGAGGCCGGGCGCGGTGGCTCACGCCTGTAATCCCAGCACTTTGGGGGACCGAGGCGGGCGGATCACGAGGTCAGGAGATGGAGACCATCCTGGCTAACACGGTGAAACCCCGTCTCTACTAAAAACACAAAAATTAGCCGGGCATGGTGGCAGGCGCCTGTAGTCCCAGCTACTGGGGAGGCTGAGGCAGGAGATTGGCATGAACCCGGGAGGCGGAGCTTGCAGTGAGCCGAGATCGCGCACTGCACTCCAGCCTGGGCGACAGAGCGAGACTCCATCAAAATAATAATAATAATAATAATAATTATTATTATTATTATTATTATTATTGTCTGAAGACTAATAAGAGTATGCATGGTAGATTGGGAAAAGAGGAGGCTCCCACAGCAGCAATTTCCTGAGGGTCGCAGTAACCATGGATCACGGTGTTGAGCCAAACCTGGGAAATGGGAAGGAACGGAAGCAGGATTCCTCCAGAAAACCTCATAGGGCTTCTGCAGCCCCGCTCCCAGTGGCCAGCAGAGTCACTTTCTCATTTACTGGAGAAGTTGGTAATTTACTGCTCCCTATGCAGGGGTTTCCCTCCCATTCCAGGGTCTGAAGCTATGTAGTTGCATCTCAGAATATTTACAGGGATCTCATAGTTCCACAGGGGTCTTTGCTATTCTCTGCTAGAGCCCCCCATAGTTCATCTCTAATTGGGGCAAAATAAATACTTTTAATTAATTTCCCTCACATTTTTATAGGCAACAAATCCTCAGTGATACCATAGAGAAGAAAAGATTGTGCAAAAGAATGTAAGATGCTAAATGCTTCTGCTGGAATGGGTAAGTTTCCCCAGCACTTACTCCACACATCCATTTCCCTGTACTTATGTGTATTATCATTCCAAATCAGGGCTCCACAAAATCCAGGCCTCCCTTTTCTCCCAGTGCCCTTGGCTTTCAATTAATTCTGACATGATTTCCATAGGGAGTGATTAATGTGTAGCATGAATGGGAACAGCCATTACAGAGCAATTGCAGTGGAGAAGACTGGGCTCATTGGTGCTGTACTTAGGAGCCAGGTGACCTTGGGCAAGTAATTTAGCCTCTATTAGCCCCGACTTCCTCCTCCATGGAATGGACTCCTTTGCAGCATTGTTATAAGGATTAAAGGAGAAGGCCAGGCGCAGTGGCTTACGCCAGTAATCCCAGCACTTCGGGAGGCCAAGGCGGGCGATCACCTGAGGTCAGGAGTTCCAGACCAGCCTAACCAACGTGGCAAAACCCCATCTCTACTTAAAAAAAAAAAAAGCAAGACAATTAGCCAGGCATGGTGGTGCCAGCCTGTAATCCCAGCTACTCGGGAGGCCGAGGCAGGAGAAACATTTGAACTCAGGAGGTAGAGGTTGCAGTGAGCTGAGATCATCCCACCGCACTCCAGCCTAGGCGAAAGAGCAAGACTCCATCTAGAAAAAAAAAAATTAAACGAGAAAATGAAAGTGGTGCTCAACGAATAGGACTGCTACTATGATTAAATCATTGCCAGAGCCTCCTTAGAACATGACCCCAGGATTCATGCTGTATGTCCCCTTAAAAGTGTGACTACCTTACAGGGAGTTTGGCACTTTGATAAATGGAACACAGGCTCGGGTACAATGTGAAACCCAGGATTCCATTGCATTCTCCTCCAAGGGCCTGTGCAAGAGAGGTCTGCTCAAATATGCTCCTTCTAAGGGAGGCTGTTGCTCCACCAGCTCGCTAGAGACACTGAACGAACAGGGCTTGGAGGACAGGTTTTGAATCTTGTGGCGCTACCCACCCTTCCCACCTTTCCAAGACACCAACATATCAGATCAGGGAGAGACGCCTAACCTAATACCAGCACTTTCTCAGGCAGGCCAGCAACCTTTGAATACTTGGGAATTTGAATTGTGAAACCTGGAAAGACGTCCCCATAACAGTGGGGTCCAAAGCTGAGGGTCATGAAGTTGGGAGTAAAGAGAAATCCTGGGAAGCAAGAACAGCTAGAGGAAGAATGATAGAGCAGGCCTGTTCTCCAGTTCTCCCTTCTGTCTACCTATCTTTTTAGCACAAATCGCCTTTCTCCCGGGGCAGAGGAAATAAGGAGCGCTCCATGCCTCATGGAGTGAGCTGAATTATGGCCCCAAAAAGACATGTCCACATCTTAACCCCTGAAACCTGTCAATGTGACCTTATTTGGAAAAAGCATTTTTACAAATGTAATTAAGTTAAGGCTCTTGAAATGAGATCATCTTGGATTATCTGGGTGGGCCCTAAATCCAATCGCAAGTGTTCTCAGAGAGACAGAAAAGGAGAAAACATGGAGAGACACAGGAAAGAAGGCAGATGAAAGATGAACACTGCGTTTGGCATAAAGCAGAGAATCAGTAAAGCTTTAGCTTTCTTTTTCTTCTTCTTTCTTCTATTTTTTGAAACAGAGTCTTGCTGTGTCACCCAGGCTAGTGTTCAGTGGCGCAATCTTGGCTCACTGCAAGCTCCACCTCCCGGGTTCACGCCATTCTCCTGCCTCAGCCTCCCAAGTAGCTGGGACTACAGGTGCCCGCCACCATGCCAGGCTAATTTTTTGTACTTTTTAGTAGAGACGGGGTTTTACCGTGTTAGCCAGGATGGTCTCAATCTCCTGACCTCGTGATCTGCCCGCCTCGGCCTCCCAAAGTGCTGGGATTACAGGTGTGAGCCACTGCGCCTGGCCCTTTTTCTTCTTCTTTTTGAGACAGTCTCACTCTGTTGCTCAGGCTAGAGCGCAGTAGCACAATCACTGCTCACTGCAGCCTCTATCTCCAGGCTCAAGCAATCCTCCTACCTCAGCCTCCCAAGTAGCTGGGACTACAGGTGTGCAGCACCACTCCTGGCTAATTTTTTTTTTTTTTTTTTTTTAAGTAGAGAGGGGATCTCATCATGTTGCCCAGGCTGGTCTCGAACTCCTGGGCTGAAGCTATTCTCCTGCCTTGGCCCCTCAAAGTGCTGAAATTGTAGGCATCCCACAGGCCAAAGCTTTGTCTGAGATGAGAGAAAGCCTGATCCTGAGCCTGGCAGTCCTCCAGAAACAGTGCATCTCAGAGATCCTTGAACTAACATCCAGTCATGCAAAACGATATCTTATAGTCTCTCGTCTCTCCAGGAGGTAGATTTCCCCCTTTGTCCTTTGTCTTCCTTTCTTTTTCTTTCTTTTTTTTTTTCCGAGATGGAGTCTTGCTCTGTTGCCCAGGCTGGAGTACAATGGCGCTATCTCGGCTCACTGCAACCTCTGCCTCCTCAGTTCAAGTGATTCTTCTGTCTCAGCCTCTCGAGTAGCTGGGATTACAGGCACGCGCCACCAGGCCCAGCTAATTTTTGTACTTTTTTTTTTTTAGTAGAGATGGGGTTTCACCATGGTGGCCCGGCTGGTCTCAAACTCCTGACCTCAGGTGATCTGCCTGCCTTGGCCTCCCAAAGTGCTGGGATTACAGGCGTGAGCCATCTTGCCCGGCCTCCCCATTTGTCTTTATTTTACTTTATTTATTTTTTAAGAGATTTTCTTCATCTGTTGCCCAGACTGGAGTGCAGTGGTGCAATCATAGCTCACTGCAGCCTCGAACTCCTGAGTTCAAGGGATCCTCCTGCCTCAGCGTCCCAAGTCACTGGGATTACAGGCATGTGCCACCACACCAGGATCCCCTTTTCCTTTAAAGCTACGCATTTGAAGTATTGCTTAACAAACTTTTCTGATCAGGAGACTCATCTGGAGAATTCACATTCCAGGGCCTCACCATAGAGTCATTGAATTAATCTCCACTAAGGGAAGCAAGAGAACTGGAATTATTTAATAAGTAGTCCCAGATGGTTGTTATAGTTAGAAAAGTTTAGGTATCTCTGCATTAAAGCAGCATTACCCAAATTTTAATAGGCCTGCCAATCACCTGGGGATCTTGTTGAAATGCAGATTCTGGTTCAGACTTCTAGGCTGGCCTGAGAGTCTGCATTTCTCACAAGTTCCCAGGGAGTACCAAGTGGCTGGTTGGGGGACCACATTCTCAGGAGGAAGAGGAACTAACAATGGTGTGAACCGAATGTAGAGGCCTTAGTTATAATCCTCATTCATTGTCTATCAGTGCTTTATGACTTTGCAGAACTTTCACACTCGTATCCTCTTTTAACCATCAAAACTAGCAATCAGGCAGACTTCTGTAAGGAAAATTGCAGTTTCCCATGGATGCCCATTTATAAAAGGGAGACCATGCTCACTCATGCATGTAGTCAACAAATGGATTGTGCACCCATAGAGCTGCTAATGATGCCCCCAAAGGGGAAGAGAAAGGCTGGGCACATGGGTTCTCTCCACCTGCCCAGGGCTGGGTTTCTTATTATGGAAGTGCTTTAATAGCACTTTTAAACTGTGTCATCCTTTACAAAAATTTTCACTCTGGAAACTTCCATTAAGCTGCCTATGCCAGTCATTCTAACCATCTGAGTTCACACGCAGGTCTGGCCTGTTGGATGAAGCTCACTCATCACTTCCCTACTTTTGTGCACTTAGGTGTCCTTCTGCCTGAGTATGCACATACTAATTTTTTTTTTTTTTACTTTGAAATAATTTTAGACTTTGAGGAGAGTTGTAAGAACAGTACAAACCATAAAATGATGCAGCCACTTTAGAAAACAATTTGGTAGTTTCTTTAAAAGTTAAATATACATTCACCATATGATACAGCAATTTCACTCCTAGCTATATACCAAAAGAATTAAAAACAGGTGCTCAAACAAATTCTTGTATGTGAATGTTCATAGTAGCACTGTTCATAATAGCCAAAAAGCAGAAACAACCCAAGTGCCCATCAACGGATGAATGAAAAAACAAAATAGGTACATTTGTACAATGAAATATTATTCAACTATAAAAAGGAATGAAGTATTGATGCATGCTACAGTGAGGATGGAACTCAAAAACATGTTAAGTAAAAAAAGCCAGACACAAAAGGCCCCATATTGCATGATTCCATTTATATGAAATACCCAGAATAGGTACATCCATAGAGATAGAAGATAGCTTGGCGGTTGCTAGGGACTCATGGGAAGGGGAAATGGGACATGACTGTTTAATAGGTCTGAGGTTTCCTTCTGGAGTTCGTAGAGGTGGTAGTTGCACCACATTGTGAATGTTTTTTGTTTTTTGTGTTTTTTTTGAGACGCATTCTCACTCTGTCACACAGATCGTGCAGTGGCGCGATCTTGGCTCATTGCAAGCTCTGCCTCCTGGGTTCATGCCATTCTCCTGCCTCAGCCTCCTGTGTAGCTGGGACTATAGGTGCCTGCCACCACGCCTAGGTTTTTGTATTTTTAGTAGAGACAGGGTTTCACCCTGTTAGCCAGGATGCTCTTGATCTCCTGACCTCGGGATCTGCCCGTCTCAGCCTCCCAAAGTGCTGGGATTACAGGCGTGAGCCACCACGCCCAGCCATGAATGTATTAAAGGTCACTGAATTGTACACTTTAAAATGGTGAATCTGACCAGGCATGGTGGCTCAAGCCTATAACCCAATACTTTGGGAGGCTAAGGTGGGAGGATTGCTTGGGGCCAGGAGTTTGAGTTCAGCCTAGGCAACACAGCAATACTCCCTCTCTATATAAAATAAAAATTTAAAAATTAGCCAGGTGTGGTGGCACGCACCTGTAGTCCCAGTTACTTAGGAGACTGAGATAGAAGGATCACTTGAGCCCAGGAGTTTGAAGTTCACATTCATATTCTCTTTCAACCATCAAAACTATTGTATGACATAGATATTATCCCCTTTTTACATACAAGGGTCCCAGTAAACCATGATCATGCCACTGTACTCTAGCCTGGGTGGCAGAGCAAGACTTTGTCTCTAAAAAATAAAATAAAATAATTAATTTTATCTTATGTGAATTTCACCTCAATTTCTTAAAACTGCACGTAGGGCCGGGTACAGTGGCTCATGCCTGTAATCCCCGCATTTTGGGAGGCTGAAGCGGGCGAATCACAAGGTCAGGAGTTCAAGACCAGCCTGGTCAACATAGTGAAAACTGTCTCTACTAAAAATACAAAAATTAGCAGGGCGTGGTGGCAGGCACCTGTAATCCCAGCTACTGGGGAGGCTGAGACAGGAGAATCGCTTGAACCCGGGAGGTGGAGGTTGCAGTGAGCCAATATCACTGCACTCTAGCTTGGGTGACAGAGCGAGACTCTGTCTCAAAAAGTAAAACTGCACTTAGACTTGTGGTAGTCTATGTTTGTTGAACCATTTATACCAACCAAATATTTCAGCATGTATACCCTAAAAACAAATACATTATCTCATATGGTTCTGGGAAAATGATCAAATTCAGAAAGTTGAACATTCATGCAATACTATGATTTAAGCTACAGTCCACATTCAAATTTTGCCAGTTTCTCAATGATGTTATTTAAAGCAATTTTCTGGCCAATTTAGAATCCAAGATCATAAAATACATTTAGGTGCCAAGCCTCTTCTTTAATCTGGAAGCACCTCTCAGTGTTTAAATGTTTTTTATTGATTTATTTTTTGTTCTTTCCTGACATTGCCATTTTTGAAGGGTACAGGCCTGTTGCTTTGCAAACTGTCTCTTCTTTTGGGTCTGTCTACTGTTTCCTCATGAGTAGAGTCAGGTTATGCATCTTTTGTAGGAATACCCCGGAATTGACACTGTCCTTCTTCATGCGTCACATCAATCTGTCCCATTAATGATTATGTCCACTTTAATCACTTGGATTAGGTGGTGTCTGCCAGGTTTCTCCACTGCAAAACTTTTTTTCCTCTTTGTACTTAACAATAGTGTATGCTGGCTAAAAAGGAGAAACCCCGTCTCTACTAAAAATACCAAAAAAAATTAGCCGATCGTGGTGGCGGGCGCCTGTAGTCCCAGCTACTCGGGAGGCTGAGGCAGGAGAATGGCGTAAGCTTGGGAGGCGGAGCTTGCAGTGAGCCGAGATTGCGCCACCGCACTCCAGCCTGGGCGACAGAGTGAGACTCCGTCTCAAAAAAAATAAATAAATAAAAATTAGAAAAAAAATAGTGTATGCTATTTCTAAGGTCTAACAAAACTAATTCATAAAATCATTTTTTTTGGTGCCAGCTGCTATTTTTATCACTCAGCCATTCATTCAATCTCTACCTAGTCCAGGGTGGACATAAAGCTATAGTGCATAGAATAGTCCTTGCCTTCAAAGAACTCATTGCTCTGTCAGGGAGCCAGGTTCTAAAGCCCCCAAACTCTGGAGTATCAAGTCTGTTCTTTATATTAGCTATGTTTTAAAGTCAATTCTGGCCAGGCGAGGGGACTCACACCTCTAATCCTGGCACTTTGGAAGGCCGAGGCGGGAGGATCACCTGAGGTCAGGAGCTCAAGATCAGCCTGGTCAACATGACAAAACCCCGTCTCTGCCAAAAATACAAAAATTAGCCGGCTGTGGTGGTGGGTGGCTGTAATCCCAGCTACTCGGGAGGCTGAGACAGGGGAGTTGCTCAAACCTGGGAGGCAGAGGTTGCAGTGAGCCAAGATTGCGCCACTGCACTCCAGCCTGGGTGACAGAGTGAGACTCCTTCTCAAATAAATAAATAAATTCTGTAAGCTGAATGCAAAAGAGAGCTGTATGAGAACCAAAGACAGAGCATAATCATGTTGGCCGTGAAAACCAAGCAGTTGTTAAACTCTCATAAACACTAGAGCTAATGAGTGTAGAATATTCCACTGGATTGAGCAAAGAGCTGAAATAATAACACATAGGCTCATGCACAGACTTTTGTTGTAAAACCTATTTCAATATTTTGTGCCTTTGGCATAATAATTGCTTTTTTTATAGTTTAATATTTTTAATAGACTGATTCTTGAATTGTTGGAATAAAACTTGAATTAAAAGGGATACTGAGAGAGTAATGATAAATAAGTACCCAACCTGGAGGCACAGTTAAGCTGCTGTTATGTGACTGCCAATGGACTTGTTTTCACTTATTCACTTTCCCTTGTGTGATTAATCTTTATTGTCCCCAGTGTGAATTGTCAAAAGGAGGGGGGGAAGCATACTGACAAAAATACATTTCTTGTGCAACTCCTAAGTATTTATCATACTGTGTTGCTTTATTAATTTTGAGTGCTGGGAAAATGGTAAAAATACAATGTAGAATTAAAGAATAACATATATATGTGTAAAATCTCAGATATTTGAAAAGATTATAGCCTCAGTTTCTAACAATTTTGCAGCAGTTTCTAATAAATGCACTGCACCATCATCGTTTCAGTGCCTTATCTAGAAGAGAACTGCATCCTCACCACCACATACCTGATGAAGACACAAGAGCAGGCAGCCCAGAGGAGGGTGGTCAGTGGGTATTTTAAGCCATTGCTTTTTTTTTTTGAGATGGAGTCTTGCTCTGTCGTCCAGGCTGGAGTGCAGTGGCGCAATCTTGGTTCACTGCAACCCCTGCCTCCCGGGTTCAAGCGATTCTCCTGCCTCAGCCTCCGGAGTAGCTGGTACTACAGGCACACGCCACCACACCCGGCTAATTTTTTGTATTTTTAGTAGAGACGGGGTTTCACCAGGTTGGCCAGTCTGTTCTTGAACTCCTGGCCTCAAGTGATCCACCTGCCTCGGCCTCCCAAAGTGCTGAGATTACAGGTGTGAGCAGCTGCGACCAGCCAAGTCATTGCTTTTTTTTTTTGAGATGGAGTTTCGCTCTTGTTGCCCAGGCTGGAGTGCAGTGGTACGATCTCAGCTCACTGCAATCTCCACCTTCCGGTTTCAAGCGATTCTCCTGCCTCAGCCTCCTGAGTAGCTGGGATTACAGGCACCCACCCCCATGGACAGCTAATTTTCATAGTTTTAGTAGAGACAGGGTTTCACTGTGTTGGCCAGGCTGGTCTCAAACCCCTGACCTTGTGATCCACCCACCTCAGCCTCCCAAAGTGCTGGGATTACAAGTGTGAGCCACCAAGCCCAGCCGTCATTGCTTTTTAAACTGAAAAAAAAAAAAAAATGCTTCTTCTTTGCTCTCAACCTGCTTTCTCAGGCCTGGTTACATTTTTTTTTTTTTTTTAGATAAAATAAAAAATTTTAATACTTCATTAAAAAAAATAAGCCTTTGGCACTCCTACGGCCTGGTTACATTTCTAGATCTGTTAGTTGTGATGTTGTTTTTTTAAAAATAGTAATTATTGAGCTAGGCATGGTGGCTCGTGCCTATAATCCCAGCTACTCAGGAGGCTGAGGTGAGGGGATTGCTGGAGGCTAGGTGTTTGGGGCTGCAGTGAGCTATGATTGTTCCATGATTGTTCCACTGTATTCCAGTTTGGGTGACACAGCGAGATCTTGTCTGTCTCCAGAAAAAAAGTCATCATTTTGTTTTGCTTAAGTAATGCATGTTTATCATAGAAAATGTAGACTGTAGCACATTAAAAGAAAAAAATTACTCATAAATCCCATCCAGAAACAATTATATATAAATAACTCTATATACAAAATTTTAAGGCATGTTGAGTTCCAGTTCCCTTTCATATGATAAAATATATGCAGATGGTCCCTGACTTATAATGATTCCACTTTTTTTTTTTTTTTTGAGACAGGGTCTCACTCTGTCCCCCAGGCTGGAATACAATGACATGATCATGGTTCACTGTAGCCTTGACTGCCTGGGCTCAAGCAATCCTCCAACCTCAGCATCCTGTGTAGCTGGGACTGCAGACACATATCACCATGCTTACCTATTTTTATTTTTTGTAGAGACAGGATCTCACTATGTTGCCCAGACCAGTCTCAAACTCCTGGGCTCAAGTATTCCTTCTGCCTCAGCCTCCCCAAGTGCTGAGATTATAGGTGTGAGCCACCAGGCACGGTCCACTTACTGGATTTTTTGACTTCAGGATGGTGTGAAAACAATAAGCATTCAGTAGAAACTTCAAATACCCATACAACCATTCTGTTTTTCACTTTCAATACACTATGCAATAAATTACATGGGGGCTGGGTGCGGCGGCTTATGCCTGTAATCCCAACACTTTGGGATGCCAAGGCGGGGGGATCACCTGAAGTCAGGAGTTTGAGACCAGCTTGGCCAATATGGTGAAACCCCGTCTCTACTAAAAATACAAAAATTAGCTGGGTGTGGTGGCATGTGTCTGTAATCCCAGCTACTCGAGAGGCTAAGTAAAGTAGGAGAATCGCTTGAACCCGGGAGGCGGAGGTTGCAGTGAGCCAAGATCACACCACTACACTTCAGCCTAGGAGACAGAGCAAGACTCCATCTCAAAATTAAAAAAAAAAAATTCCATGAAATATTCAACACTACTATAAAATAGGTTTTGGCCAGGCATGGTGGCTTATGCCTGTAATCCCAGCATTTTGTGCGGGCTGAAGAGGTAGGATTGCTTGAGCTGAGGAGTTCAAGACCAGGCTGGGCAACATAGGGAGACCCTATCTCTACAAAAATTAGCCAGGCATGGTAGCACACGTCTGTAGTTCTAGCTACTTCGAGAGGCTAAAGCAGAAGGATCGCTTGAGCACAGAAATTTGAGGCTGCAGTGAACTATGATTATACCACTTCACTCCAGCCTGGGTGACAGAGCAAGACTCTGTTTCTAAAAATAAATAAATAAGTAAATAATAACATAAAATAGGCTTTGTGTGAGATGATTTTGCCTAACAGTAGGCTAATGTAAGTGTTCTGAGCACATTTAAAGCAGGGTAGGCTAAGCTATGATGTTCAGTAAGTTAGGTGTATTAAACGCATTTTGACTTGCATTTTTGGCTTACATTTTTAATTTGCAATGGATTTGTCAGAATGTAACTCCATGATAAGTCAAGGAGAATCTGTATACAGTATAATACACACGTGTGTGTGCACACTCACATGACATTTAAGCCAAGTCTTTGTAAACTCTACTGTGAAGAAACTGCGAATCCCTACGGCAAATGTAAAGTCACCTCCATCCCTCCCCTGGCCAAACCTCTTTGCAGGTTATTTGAGACACAACTACTGGTGCGCTCTCTTGTTTGCAAGCAAAGACAGCTTTTTCTACTCTTTGATTTCCCAGTGTACAAATGAGGGGCTGGTCCCCCTGGGCCCTAAGCAGCACCCTCTCACAACTCAACTACTGGGCGGGTAGAAGTGTGCCAAGGCAGAAGACATATCTTGCCAGTTGCTACCCTGCATCTTTGACTTGCTGCATCTCAACTTAAAAGGTGACAGTGATATCTTCAACGTCCTCTGGACAAATGAAAACAAGCCACAAGCCTCTTTCTTTGGACCTATATGTTTGTGCTGTAGGCAAAAAGTCAGGAACTCCCAAGAAAATAAAAGAAATGGCAAAACTGCAAACAAAATCCTAGGGCAAAAACTGCTGAGTGGTTCCAGTAATAATAACCAGTATTTAACAAGTGCTGCTACAAGCTGCTCCTTATGCTGAGGACTTAGCAGGCCTTTATATATATATATATATATATCATCCTTCCTATGAGATAAAAACTATGATGACCTTACTTTTCAAAACAGTACATGAAGCTTCGAGAGTATAGCAGATGCTGCCATTGTTCTGCCCACATCCCTTTACCATTTTGGTGCACCCCAGGCCGGCTCCCAATGGCCATCCCCTGCGTCTCTGTGAGAGCTGCCTTTGCGCTTTGTCCATGAACATGACAGGCCAGAAGTGTCTGGGTCTTCACTGCCCCCTCAGGAAGCCCTTAACATGTGTCTGCCAGGTGTGGGGGTATATATATCCCAGCTCCCTCTCCACTTGGCTGGAATGATTGTAAGCTGTGTATTCTACTCTGTTTCCCAGAGTTTTCCTGAAGGTTTAAGCTTCAGCTGCCCATTGTGGTAGCTGGCTTTAAAATGCACCCTTATTAGCTTCCTTCCGTCCACCTTCCCTAATCCATTCCGTCACCTCCCTAATAATTGACTGCACTGAATCCTCATCTTAGGGTAGGAATCTGTCAGAGGTTCAACTAAAAGAAATGTTGAGCAACTTGCAATTTGGCCACACAGGCAGTAAATAGCTGAGCTAAGGTTGGAACTGTGAAAACTCTTTCCAAAGCCAATTCTCTTAACTATTTTTTTTTTTTTTTTTTTTTGAGATGGAGTCTTGCTCTGTCACGGAGGCTGGAGTGCAGTGACGCGATCTCGGCTCACTACAAGCTCCGCCTCCCGGGTTCACGCCATTCTCCAGCCTCAGCCTCCCGAGTAGCTGGGACTACAGGCGCCCGCCACCAGGCCCGGCTAATTTTTTGTATTTTTAGTAGAGACGAGGTTTCACCATGTTAGCCAGGATGGTCTCGACTTCCTGACCTCATATCCGCCAGCCTCAGCCTCTGAAAGTGCTGGGATTACAGGTGTGAGCCACAGCGCCCGGCTGCCAATTTTCATAACTTCTAAGAGGTATAACCGTCCCTGATTTGGGGGCTTCCATGGGGATCCTGAACTTTAGGCTGGCAGGGATTCAAAGAAGTCAGGGAGAAGGAAGTCGCTTTCTCAGGTACGGTTACAAAGGTTCCTCTGCTGAGCCCATAAAACTCACCACCACTTTCATGGCTACTCCAGCAAAGGAGACATTCCCCCTCAGCCCCCATGTCACACACTTGTCAGACCATACACTATCCTTCCATCTGTTAAACTAAGGTGGCTATACTGGCTTTTCAAACCTCACACTGCTGTATATAAACGCCCAGGCTCAGGCATGGGGTGGCCTGAGGCTCGTGCCTAGGCAGCTCACTCACAGCTCGGGACAGGAGCAAGGGCTGTCTTTGTTCCTGAGCAGCGTTCCTATTGCTGTGGCCTGGCAGAAGCACCTTGCCCTCCATGTGGCAGATGGGCAGAAAGTTTGGGCAGACTGTATGCCTGGCTCAAAGCCCCAGAAGGACACACAAATGTCTTTGTGGTGGACGCCAGGGCTGAACTGTGCCACAGAGAGCCTTGTGATATCTTTTAAAAAGGACGAGGCATCTTTCCTTTCAAAGGAAAACCCATGTTTCAGAACCACTAGGGAGTAAGTAGCCAGACAACATGAAATCATTATCCTTTGTCCCTCTGGGACTGAGTGTGAGGTTGCAAATTTCCCAAGGAAAGCATGTGATTTCTTTCTGTAAGGAGTGATTCATTTGAGAAAAGTCTACTTTGTTCTGCTAGTGTCAGGGAATTAGAATGAGCAGCCTGAACATATAAACCAGAGCAATGTCCCCTATGATCACACTGAAAAAAAAGAGCCCAAATCTTTAAAAACTTTGTGAAACAGGAGGGAGTAATGATGTTCAGAGTTTCCCGATGCAGACTCTTTTAAATATTTTAATGTTGCTTAACATAATGTCAACTTGATGCTTAAAAGTCAGATTTATATTCATTCTAAAGTGGCAATACATTGCTGCTGAGTTTTAACATTGTTAGCTTAGATTTGGAAAGAACCATTATTCCATTTTAAATTAAAATCTCACGTTAGCCCTCATTCTGAATCCACAGGTCCTTACTTAAAATCTGTTGTGCCAAACATGAGCCTGGTGTGAGCAGAAGGTAGCTTCATTTATTTTTCACGGTGGCTCATCTGGATTTGCAGGAAGGAACCAGGTCAGCATAGGGCAGTCAGCTGCCCTCCACCCAGAGGCCAGGATGCCACCTGGGAAGTTCTGAGGCAACACATCTTTAGGACAAACTTTAACTGAAGGGTACCTAGGCCCTCCTCTTGGGAAGAGGCCATGTCTTCATTACCTTGCCCCAAGTCCCAAGAAGTAAGACCACTTTCCTTTCCTCTCTCCCCCAGCACCATCCTCCCCAGCTCTTTTTTTTTTTTTTGCAACCTGGTTTGAACACACTATCTCCAGCTCTTGGGGTCTCCCCTCCTGTCAAGCCTGGTGCTACCTTCCCAGATTACCTTTCTTTATTGTCCTTGTAGAAAAGCCCATGAGCTCTTTCCATGTAATATTTTTACGATTTACTGCAGACAGACTGAAAGAAAGTCAACAAATATGGGAAAAAAGTTTTTTTAAAAAAATCATAAAATTGCAGAATGATTATTATAAGAATGAAAATGAGGTCATATAGAAAAAGTTTCCAACCCAAGAAAATAAAAGAATTGGTAGAGCCAGGCATGGTGGCTCATGCCTGTAATTCCAGCACTTTGGGTGGCTGAGGCGGGTGGATCGCTTGAGCTCATGAATTCAAGACTAGCCTGGGCAATATGGTGAAACCCCATCTCTACAAAAAATACAAAAAAAATTAGCCAGGTGTGTTAGTGCATGCCTGTGGTCCCAGCTACTCAGGAGGCTGAGATGGGAGGATCACTTGAGCCCAGGAGGCAGAGGTTGCAGTGAGCTGAGATCTTGCCACTGCACTCCAGCCTGGGCAATGGAGCCAGACTTTGTCTCAAAAAAAAAAAAAAAAAAAAAATGGTAGAATTGCAAAGGAAAGTCCTGGTGTGGGACATACTAAGCTGAGCTGTCTCAGTAATAATGGCCACCTCACAGTGTTCACACTCTAAGTGTCTAACTCAGCAGTGTGCAATAGAAATATAATGCCAACCACATATGTAGTAAAACTTTCTAGCAGCCACATTTTTAAAAAGTAAAAAAACACAGGTAAAATTTATTTTAATAACATGTCTTATTTAACCAGAAATGATCATTTCAACATGTAATCAATATAAAAAGTTAATAAGATAGCTTATGCTGTGGTTTGAATGTCCCCTCCAAAACTCATGTTAAAATTTAATTGCCAATGTAATGGTATCAGGAGGTGGGGATTTTAAGAGGTGATTGGGTTTCGAGGGCTCTGCCCTAGGATTAATGCAGTTAATTGTGGAAGTGGGTTAGTTATTTTGGAAGTGGGCTCCTGATAAAAGGATGAAGTTTAGCCCCCATCTCTCTCCCATGTGCTTGCTTTCCTTTCTACCATGATATGATTCAGCAAGAAGAATTTCACCAGATGCAATCCCTCAATCTTGGCCTTCTCAGCCTCCAGAACTGTGAGCCAAATAAACTTCTATTGTTTATAAATTACACAAATTACCCATTCTGTGGTATTCTATTACAGCAGCAGAAAACAGACTTGCAATTTTATTTTTATTTTTATTTTTTTAACAGAAGGTCTTGCTCTGTCACTCAGGCTGGCGTACAGTGGCACAATCATAGCTCACTGCAGCCTTGAACTCCTGGGCTCAAGCAATCCTCCCGCCTGAGCCTCCCAAGTAGTTGGGACTATACTATAGGCGCAGGCCACTATGCCCAGCTGCAATCTTTTTTACATACTAAGTCTATGAACTCTTTTTTCTTCATCTTTTTTCTTTTTATTTGTGTTTTGTTTGTCCTAGTCTACGAACACTTTTTTTTTTTTTTTTTGAGGTGGAGTTTTGCTCTGTCGTCCAGGCTGGAGTGCAGTGGCACTGTCTTGCCTCACTGCAACCTCTGTCTCCCGGGTTGAAGTGATTCTCCTGCCTTCACCTCCCGAGTAGCTGGGATTACAGGTGCCCACCACCATGCCCAGCTAATTTTTGCATTTTTAGTAGAGACGGGGTTTCACCATGTTGGCCAGGCTGGTCTCGAACTCCTTCCTGACCTCAGGCGATCCGCCTTGCCTTGACCTCCCAAAATGCTGGGATTACAGGTGTGAGCCACCACGCCTGGCCTTGTGAACTCTTATATGTATTTTACTTGTAGAGCATGTCTCGATTTGGACCAGCCACATTTCAAGTGCCCTACAGCTACATATGGATAGTAGGTGTCATACCAGACAGCACAGGCCTAACATGTCTTATTTTATTTAATCCTCCCCACAAGATGAGAACTATTACTATTGCCATTTTATAAACAGGGAAACTGAGGCTAGGAGCAGTAAGTAACTTGTCAAAAGTGATCAGTAATGAACAGTGGTTTTATTAAACAGAGTCCTATTTGAATCATGGTTTTGCCACTTCCTACTTTCTTTTTCTTTTTTTGAGACGGAGTCTTGCTCTGTCGCCCAGACTGGAGTGCAGTGATGCGATCTTGGCTCACTGCAACCTCCACCTCCCAGGTTCAAGCGATTCTCCTGCCTCATCCTCCTGAGTAACTGGGATTACAGGTGCCTGCCACCACGGCTAGCTAATTTTGTATTTTTAGTAGAGACGGGTTCACCATGTTGACCAGGCTGGTCTCGAACTCCTGACCTCAAGTGATCTGCCCTCCTCGGCTTCCCAAAGTGCTAGGATTACAGGCATGAGCCACCGTGCCCAGCCCACTTCCTACTTTCATAACCTTAAGCAGGTTGCTTCAAGTCCCTTAGCCTCAATGTCCCCCTGACTGGAGTAAATGAGATAAAACAATACCTACTGTTAGAGTGGTTGCAAGGATGAGAGATCATGTATGTGGAGGCCTATCAAGTGGCTGGCACATAAAAAAGGCTTAATAAGTGTTGGTTGTTCTAATAGAAAGGACTGGGCATCATGTCTCTGCTCAAGGTAAATGAATAACTGCTTCCTCAGTCTATGAGCCTGAAATGGGCACCTCCTCCTCTTGTCAACAATCTTTCCCCATGCCCAGCACCCTCATGCACACTCTTGGCTGCCCCAGACCCAAACTGTCCAGTCACCAGTTCCTGCCTCCCAGAACAGCCCCACATTCCTCCTCAGACCCAGTAATCTCCCCGACCCCTGTCCTTTTCTCTGAGAGACCTGCTTTCTACCGTTAAGCTAATGGAATGTGTCTATTCCAGTTATCTATTACTACATAAACATAACCCCCAAATTTAGTGACTTAAAACAACAACACTTACTTTGTTCACAAATCTGCAACTTGGGCATAAATTCAATGGCCAAATTTGAGAGGTAGTTTGTGTACCTATTCAGTGCCAGGCACTATGCAGGTTCTGTGGACATAGAAATGAAGCAGATTTAGAATCCCAGCCTCGAGGAAAATAAGAATCTGGCAGGAATCTTCTCATGGAGGTGCCGCTTTGCCCCCCATGTCAGCCATTCTGCTCCTCAGGAAGGTCACGCCTCAAGGATTCCTTGTGAATCCAGGTAGCATCAGTGACTATACTTCCACAGACTTGAGAACCCATGGTGAGGCCGGAAGACTGTAATGTAGATAAGGGTTTAGGTGGGACAGCTGTTTGGAAAATGTGCTAAAAGGGATTCCTATTAAATGATTCCATCTTATTCCTGAAGCTGGATTTTTTTTTTTTTTTTTTTTTACTTAAAAAACTTAGCTATGGTTATACTTCCTCATAATTGTACTTTTAAATATCCCCTATTCTACTTTAGGTAAAAATGGTTAATTTAAAAATTTCAACATCTTCTAGGGGCTTTTGGTTCAAGATGGCTGCCTAAACATGTGTGTATATCTCTTCCTTACTTAATCTTTGTGAAATGGCGGAAGAAATATAACAATGACACTAACCAACAGCAGTGCTGGGAGCTGGGTGGAATGCCACCAAGAGATGAGAGAACAGTGAGGAACAGAGGTGGGATGAGCAGCAAAATCTTATGAAACTGAAGGACTCAGCCTTATATAACCCAGAGAAAGTGCTCCCCACAAAAGTAAAATTTCCCAGCAGAACCAAGGAAAAACCCTAAGAAAAGAGGAGTCAGAGCCAGAGGAAGGAGTGAGCAATGGGTAGTCCAGTAGATCATTAATGAAAGGGCAGCAAAACTAGGCCCTCCCCTTCAGAGGCTAACTCTGGAATAAGCCCCTTGGGAAATGCTGTGAGGACCTAGTTATAAAAAGAAGGTTCCCCTCAGGAAACTCCCTGAGTGGTATTGGGTGTACTACTCCTTGGATAGTGCCTTAGGTAACCTTTGCTGCCAGCAGGACCTGGTAGCTCCATATCTAGGAGACACTGGAGAGGAGAGACCACTTGGTTGCATATGCTGCCTCCTGTCCCTTCACCTCTTTCTGGAGCAAAGGCTCACCTCATAAGAACATGCATTGGCTGTCAGGGGAACAAGGAGTGTACCATTCCATCTAGACCATCATCTACAAATAGAAACAGACACCCAAACATTATCAGATACTTGAGGAAAATCAATAGCATGGAAGAGAGTCATCTAAATTAATACAAGAAAGAAGAAAGCCTTAAATTATGTATCGTGAGTCTCCTCAGAGAAAGTCAAAGTTAGAAGACCCATAATAGACCTGGAGAACACATTCATAAGTTATATAAAGAAAGGACTATTATCCACAATATACAAAGAGAGCCTACAAGTCAATAAATGAAAAACAAACATCCTGATAGAAAACTGAGCAAAACTGAGTTTTCTATCAGTTTCCTGATAGATACCTGGGCAACATAGCAAGACCCCATCTCCACTAGAAACAACAACAAAAAAAGCCAGGCGTGGTGGCATATGCTTGTAGTCCTAATTACTTGGGAGGCTGAGGTGGGAGGATCCCTTGATCCCAGAAGGTTGACAGTATAGTGAGCTATAATCATGTCACTGCACTCCAGCCTGGGCAACAGAGTGAGACCCTGTCTCTCAAAAGACAAAACAAAACAAAAATAACAACAAAAACTGAGCAAAGGGTAAGAATAGGGAATTAATGGGAAAAAGAAATGCAGGCAACCTGTAAAAGGAAACACTTAGTTTTATTGGCAATTAGGGAGGTACAAATTAAATGAGATAATTTTGCTAATCAAATTGGTAAGTTTAAAAGGTTAATAAAATACAGTATTGGTGAAGATGTATGTAAGCAGGAACTCTCATATGCTCTTGATGTTATAAGGTAGCAAAGCTGTTTTGGGAAGGCAATTTGGCAATGCCTATCAAAATTTTAAATGTTCATAGTCTCTGACCTAGCAGTTCTACTTCAAGTAATCTAATTTACAGAAATAATTGCACACATGCACAAAGATACAAGTAAGAGGAAATTTATTGCCTCAGTTTTTTTCAACAGTAAAAAACAAAATGTAAACAACCCAAACGTTCAATAATTCAGGCATGATTAACTACATGTAGTAATACACGTGCAGTGTCTGCAGCAATGCAGTTGCTTTTTAAAAGTGACAGAACTATATATTCTGACATAGAAAGACCTCTAACTGTATTTAGTAGAAAACAAAAAAGTCACATGTAGTGTGATCCCACTTCTTTCATTCATTCAACAAATGTATTGACTTATGGCTATGTGGTGGACCCTGGGGTAGAGGATGGGGATTCATCAGTGAAGGTAATGTTCTAGTGGGAGTGCTAGACAACAAACAAATCAATGAATACATCACAAGACAACCACGGCTTGTGAGCAGCTCTATGAGAGAATAAAGTGGGCAAAGAAAGGGGGTGATTGGGGAAACCACTCTGGGGCAGGCTGGGAAGGCTGCTCTGAAAGGTGACATTTTTAGGAGATGTTGAAGGATTCGAATAATTCAGCTGAGTGGGGAGCTATACAGAGACCCTCTTGGGCAGAGAGAAAATAAGCACAAAGGCCTTCAAGAGGCAAAGAGCTTAGCGTCTTCAAGCAAGAGAAAGGAGCAAACACAGTGACGGCAGACATGGTGTGAGGAGGCAGAAGAGGACAGGGGACAGCCCGACAGTAGAATGTGTGGAGAAATGGCTGGTGCAACCAAGTCAAAGTTGCAAGCAGGGGAGCAGGCACTGGGGTGGGGACAAGGCACTGATAGGCTGAGTACTGAACATTCCTGACGTGGGTGTCAACATTACCAACAATGAGGACAGGCCTCAAATGTAAGGAAAACGGTAAGCCGGGAGATTAAATACTCCATGAAGCAAGTAAATGAGAAGGCAGCTGGTGGAGGGCTGTGTGAGGTGATGCCAGGGGGTAGAGGGAGCTGTCAAGCCCTTCCAAAGTTGTTTAGGTATTTGCAAGAGGAAGGAGGTGGCATGGTTTAGCAATAGCTCTGGGGATCAAAGTGGACATCAACTCTCTTCCCATCCTAATGCCCGCTCCCCCCCACATTTTTTAATGCATAGAAAATGGCCTGAAATGATATGCACCAATCTAGTAACCATAGATACTTTGGGTGTGGAGCTGGAAGTGGAAAGGGATTGAAGGGGATTTTCTCTTTTGACTTTATATTTCTGTTTGGTTGGTTTTTTTAAAACAATGAATGGATATGCATGACTTGTGCCTTTTTAAAAAAATAAAAATGGAGGATAGGATTAATGGTGGGGGAAGCCAACATAACATTACACCACCCCCATGAAAACTATTAACAGAATAATTTTCACAGAGAATAGTAATTTTTGGAGTATATGAGTTCTCATTACTGAGTTCCTCCAATCCTATAAAATCACCAACTAGACTCCTTTGATGGCGGAGCTACCTTCATGTTCCTGGTCCTTGTTCTAACGCCAGAAATAAACAGTGGGGGCCTATTTAATAACTGATTGGGTATCAAGACATTCTCAAGTTTTTTATTTTTATTTTTATTTTTTTGAGACAGGGTCTCACTCTGTCTCCCAGGCTGGTATGCAGTGATCATGGCTCACTGCCTCAACCTCCCAGGCTCAAGTGATCCTTTCACCTCAGCCTCCCCAGTAGCTGGGACTACAGGTGTGCACAACTTCACCCGGTTAACTTTTCCTTGTTTTTAGAGATGGGGTACTATGTTGCCCAGGCTGGTCTCGAACTCGCGGTCTTAAGCGATCTGCCTGACTCAGCCTCCCAAAGTGTTGGGATTACAGGTGTGAGCCACCATGACCATTCTCAAGTTTTAAAAGAAAAGTGTCACTATGAATCTGTCATCCTAAAACTTAACTTGATAAAGTGAAAAAGAATTATCTTTTGAAGCTATAATCAAAAAAGGAGAGTTGTGAGATGTTGGATGATTCTGAATCTGTCTCTATTAAAGTACAATATCATTGGGTGTCTCCGCAATCCTCTACCTGTCTTCCTTTCTGGGGAGACACCTTTATTGGGCGCCAGCAGAACAGTCCAAGAGAAAGAACTGTCTTAATGATGAACATCTTTCAGGAGCCATCTCCCTGTGCAGAGCTGCCTCCCTAGCAGCGTTTGTGGTTTAGGTTGAGTGTGGTTCCCGCCTGCATGTGGTTTACAATCTATCAGGCTTCTCAGGAGGAGGCTGTGCCAGACACCCTCAGAATGCTAGCATTTCAATGCTGCTCTCTAGCCCCTCCCCAAAATGTTTCGAATCCAGATCACTATGAGTGGGGCTCAGGAATCTACACTTTTAACAAGATTCCCTAAGCGACTCTTCTGCACAGTGAAGTTTGAGAAATATTGATGTAGGGGCTGGACTAAGGTTGTGAAGGGTCATTTCAGGGCATAATCATCAGCATTTGTGCAGTTCATAAAGTTTGCTTTCCTTCTTCCTGGGCATGTAGTTTGACAAGTGCCATTTATTAAGTTATATACTTAAACATAAAGAAGTAAAGAAAATTATCGGGACAAAGTTGTTGCATTGTTTCTGAAGTTAGACAAAAAAAATTTAATGTAAGCTAAATTGAAACAGGATGTATCTGTTGAGTTTTACATGTGATTAAATGGATTTTCAAATATTTTCCAAAAGTCAAGTTAAGAAAAGTCATCTCTCAAATTCCTGAGTGCTCTGAACTCTGGTGTTTAACCTTTAGATCCTCGTACTCAGTTCCCAAATCCAGAGGCTAAACCTGAAATGACAATGCCAGATGTTTTCACACACACACACACACACACACACACACGATATTTTGCTCTTCTTAAAATAAACAAGGAAATTTAGGCACACGAGGCAGAATCGGATCCCAGCTATTACATAGCCTTGTTTGTGGAGCAAATGAAAAAATCATTACATGTTTTATTACCCTTCAGAATCTATTTACAACCATGTAGTCATTCTGAGTTTGGATTTTCCTTTGAAATAAAAAGCCCTGTAACAAAAAATAAAAGAGAGGGATACTGTGTTGGAAGACTGGCGATGAAACTATAAGAAAATCAAAATAAATTATACCATTGTTATTGTTTAAGATTCGTTCAATATTCACTTAAAAAAATAGGATCCAGGCAACATTCTAGGCACTCAACAACAGCAGTGAATAAAACTAAACAATCATCCTTATTCTTGTGGGGTCTTATTCTAGTTGGAAAGGAGATAAATACACAAATATATAGAATATCGTGTGTTGAGAGATGCTATGAAGAAAGATTAAAGCAGGGTTAGGGAGAATTGAACAAGGTAGAGGGGACACTTAAACAGAAAGGTGGCTTAGTAAACCTGGGCTTGCTCTAGGCTATGCCCTTATGGAGAAATCTTTTGTAAGTCAGCTCTTTAGGTGACAACCAAGAGGAAGCAAGTTCTGCTCTTTACCAGTCTTCTAAGAGAAAGTCTCCAAGTTGTGGGGTTGCACTCTTTCCCATGCCAGATTATTCCATCTTTGCCAGGAGGAACAATGTCACCCATAAAGAATTTTTATTGGGAAGAGTCCATTGACTGACCTCTCTGCTCTCCATTCCCTGAGCTTTTAATGGCAAAGTCTCCTTGCTTCCGGGGAAAACACCCTCGATGGGCACACAATTGCTTTATAAATATTTAAAAGGACAGAGAACTTGGCTTAGGAAGCTGGTTTACCTAGAACAGTATTGACTATGCCAAACTGTAGGAAATCCCCTTCCTAAAATCCCAGCATCAATGTATTTGCAAAGGCTGTTTAACGGAAACAGGTAGCCCTCTGAGGGATGCTTGCTTTTGGTGAAAAAAAAAAGTGTAAAAAAAGACTGGCTGGAAAAAATAATCTCATGGTGGAACTTGAGGCATGGAGAGGAGCTGTTTGAGGCCAAAGTGGGATTGTAAGAAGATGTCTAATTCACATCAATAGGCACCTGTCCACCTTCTCCACTTTATTCATTCATTCATCCATTCACTCACTAATTCATTTATTGATTCATTCATCCATCAACTTTTTTTTTTTTTTGAGATGCTCTTGTTGCCCAGGCTGGAGTGCAGTGGTGCAATCTCGGCTCACCGCAACTTCCACCTCCCGGGCTCAAGTGATTCTCCTACCTCAGCCTCCCGAGTAGCTTGGATTACAAGAATGAGCCACCATGCCCAACTAATTTTGTATTTTTAGTAGAGACAGGGTTTCTCCGTGTTGGTCAGGCTGGTCTCAAACTCCCGACCTCAGGTGATCTGCCTGCCTCAGCCTCCCAAAGTGCTGGGATTACAGGCATGAGCCACCGCACCCGGCCTTCATCCATCAACTTTATTGATACCTACTATGTGTCAGGCCAAGTTCTGAGCCCTGGGGCATAGAGATGTAACAACAAAAGCAAAAACAAAAAAAAATAATTCCTATTTTGAAGGAGCTTGCATAGTTGGAATGTCACTTCTCATTCTGTGTCCCTAAGGTCAAAGCTACCGTTAAGAGAGGTGTTGCAGTACCCAGAACAAACATAGGTCCTCTACAGAGCCTTAGAACTGCTGAACCCCAAGAGTCTCCTGGGTCGGCCTTCAATCCAACCCCCATGCAGTTCTTTCTCTAAGCATGGAGTCCACCACTGAAATACTCAAACACAGGGCAGTTCCCATCTGAATTATTGGTTTTTGTTTTCTTTCTTTTTTTTTTTTTTTTTTTTTACTGTTGTTTCTATTTATGTATTTTTTTTTTAATTCTTTTATTGAGACGGAGTCTAGCTCTGTAGCCCAGGCTGGATTGCAGTGGTGCAGTCACAACTCACTGCAACCTGGACCTCCCAGGCTCAATGAATCCATTCACCTCAGCCTCTTGAGTATCTGGGACTACAGATGTGAGCCCCCATGCCCAGCTGTATTTTTTTTAGAGATGGGGTCTTGCCATGTTGCCAAAGCTGGTCTTGAACTCCTGAGCTCAAGTGATCCGCCCTCTTGGCCTTCCAAAATTCTGAGATTACAGGCATGATCCACCGCGTCCAGCCCCCATCTGAATTCTAAAACAGCTGCTGAAGGAATCAAAACTCGATGGAAAGAACTTTTTGATCCAGAGTCTGAGCCTTAAAAAGCAGCTTGTGTATTCATCAATTTAACTATTTCAAAAATGCTCATCCTGAAAATATGAAGAGAAAAAATTTCAGTATGTAAAGGTACACATACAAAATGATCCCCATATATATATACACACACACTGACACACGCACACACATATGCACATATGTGTAGAGAAAATATTGGACGGAGTCTCGCTCTGTCACCCAGGCTAGAGTGCAGTGGCGTGATCTTGGCTCACTGCAAGCTCCACCTTCTGGGTTCAAGCGATTCTCCTGCCTCAGCCTCCTGAGCAGCTGGGACTACAGGTGTGTGCCACCACGCCCAGCTAGTTTTTGTATTTTTAGTAAAGACGGGGTTTCATCATATTGGCCAGGCTGGTCTCAAACTCCTGACCTCGCGATCCACCTGCCTCGGCCTCCCGAAGTGCTGAGATTACAGGCGTGAGCCTCTGCGCCTGGCTTTTTTTTTTTTTTTTTTTTTTGAGTCAGAGCCTTTCTCTGTCACACAGGCTGGAGTGCAATGGTGCAATCTCGACTCACTGCAACCTCCGACCCCCGGATTCAAATGATTCTCGTGCCTCAGCCTCCTGAGTAGCTGGGATTACAGTCACGCAGAACCACGCCCAGCTATTTTTTGTATTTGTAGTAGAGACGGGGTTTCGCCATGTTATCCAGGCCGGTCTCAAACTCCTGACCTCAAATGATCCACCTGCCTCGGCCTCCCAAAGTGCTGGGATGACAGGCTTGAGCCACTGCATCCGGCCTTCAGGATGGTGTTTTTATGAGCGAACTTTTATGTTTTCTTCATTTTCCAAGTTTCCTGTATTAAGTGTGTATTATTTCTATTACTATTGAAAAGTAATTTTTTTAAAGAGATGGTGTCTCACTGTTGCCCACACTGGAGTGCAGTGGCACAATCATAGCTTATTGTAACCTCGAACTCCTGGGCTCAAGCAATCCGCCTGCTTCAGCTTCCCAAGCAGCTGGGACTACTGACACCATGCCTGACTAATTAAAAAAAAAAATTGTAGGGTCGGGCATGGTGGCTCACACCTGTAATCCCAGCACTTTGGAAGGCTGAGTCAGGGGGATCACTTGAGCTCAGGATTCAAGACCAGCCTGGGCAAAATAGGGAGGCACCATCTTTACTAAAAATTTAAAAAAATTAGCGCAGCCTGGTAGCACATGCCTGTAGTCCCAGCTACTAGGGAGGCTGAGGTGGGAGGATCGTTTGAGTCTGGAAGGTTGAGGCTGCAGTGAGCTGTGATTGCATCACTGCACTCCAGCCTGGGCAACAGAATGAGACTCTGTTCTATTAAAAAAAATTGTTTTTTTGAAAAAAAAATGTTACATATTGCTACTGTTTACATAGGAGCCATTTACTCAAATTTTTCACCTCAGGTATGTGAAAAACAGGGTCCCAGGAGCATCAGAATAAAAAGCTATGCTCAGGGCAGCCAATATACTTAGCAATCAAGAACAGCACTAGAATGTGTACACTGATTGTCTGGGGGCTTGTTAAGGTGCAGACTCTGACTCAAAAGGTCTAGGACAGGGCTTGAGATTTTGCATTTCTAACAAGCTCCATACGCTGCTGGTCCCTGGACACACAGGAGTGGCAGGGCAGGGAGTCAGAGGGCTTGTGTTAGAATTTCAACTCTAAAACTGATCAGCTGTGATTTCAGATCCCTTACCTCTCTATGTCCCAGTTTCCTCATCTGTAAATCAGGAATTTAGTTTCTACCTTGTGGGGTGGTTACGAAGATAAAACAAGAAGATGATATCTGTAGAACATTCCACACAATGCCAGGTTCACGTGAATATCCTATAAATGTTAGACATTTTTCAGAAACCCAGTGCCTGTCCCCCAAGTTATACCATCCTTACCCTTCTTCAATGCCCACAAGGCTTACTGGAATCTATCAATGCCTCTCTTATTCCAACTGCCCCAAGCACAGTCCCAACTCACCTACATGTAGATGTAAATATTGTCTAAGAGGCCTCTGTTTGCATGAAGGACTGGGAAAATACTAGGTCTTTCTTTACTGGAGAAATTTACTTTGCACTTTTTTTTAAGAAGGTAAGGAATCCCTGGTTGAAATGTTAGGTTGGGGGCTGAGAATTAAAAAGTATGTTCCCGAACCCACCAAAACAATCTGCTGTGAAAACGTGTTTTAAAAACTAGTGCAAAGAAACTTGGAGGAAGAAACGAAGAAACTTGTTTGTTTCACAGATATGTCAAAGGGTTTCCTCTTCCACAGATGGAAGGAGCGGGTGGTGACTGGGAGAAAGCGGAGAGGACAGAGAAGGGGGGAAGTCAGGAAGACGCCACAGAGAGGGAGCATCCATTTACAAACTTTCTGGCACATTATGTCTTTTCTGCAAGATCTGACTGTTTGGGGAATAGAGCTTCCTGAGCAAATGTTAATTGTCTCACTTGCTAAGGTAAATCTTAACAAGGAGGAAGAAGCAAATTAGAATGAATCAAATAAAAGTTCACCTAAGTTTTGGTCCCCATGCCCCCCGCCTTTCCCCCCACCCCCCCCAACAGTGGAGGAGGATGAATGGAGAGCGGAAGGTGGGCTCTGCCTTCTGATGATGACAGGAACATGCGCACCTAGGCAGGTGCTGTGGCTCAAGCCCAGCATTTTCCTCCAGGATGACTGTCTCAAGGGCAATTGCATGGCTTAATTATACAATCTAGTTGTCAGCTGTCAGTCAGAGCCTTGACTGAAGGGTGGTTATGGCTGAGATGGAGACAAGGAAGAGCGAGATGATTCCAAAGATTTCTGGGGCTTTTCTCAGATTTTCCTAAGGTGCAACTCAGCTGCTGGCCTTCCTTGCGCTGTGGTCCACCTGCCGCAGCCTGGCATCATGAAAGTCCTTCTCAGGCTATAGTTTTGTTTTGTTCCCATGAGTGGCATCAGGGACCCCTGAATTTTTTCCAGAATACTCTCCTTTTTTTTTTTTTTTTTTTTTTTTTTTGAGATGAGTTTCACTCGCTTTCCAGGCTGGAGTGCAATGGCGCGATCTCAGCTCACTGCAACCTCTGCCTCCCAGGTTCAAGCGATTCTCCTGCCTCAGCCTCCAGAGTAGCTGGGATTATAGGCATGTGCCACCACACCTGGCTAATTTTTTTTTGTATTTTTAGTAGAGACGAGGTTTCTCCATGTTGGTCAGGCTCGTCTCGAACTCCCGACCTCAGGTGATCCACCCGCCTTGACCTCCCAAAGTGTTGGGACTACATGTGTGAGCCACTGCGCCCGACCTAATGCTCTCCTTCTTGAACAATGCATTTAGGCCCGCCCAACTAGATGTACAAAGACTACAAATATCAGGGGCCAATAAATGCATGATGATGACAGCATCCAAAGGCACTGTATAGTTTACAGAGCACCCCCTCCTACCCACAACGTGACCTTATTTGATCCTTAGTGCAGCCCGTGAGGCATGGCTTCATAGCATCATATTATAACTGAGGAAACAAGGACCAGGGAGATGAAGTGACTTGACCCAATCACACAGAAAGTGAAGTGTTGAATAATACTGAGGAAACCAAGTTTGAAATATGAAAAAGATAACATGATATCTGGTACAGAATAAATGTTCCCCAACTTAACATGAAGTTTGGTGGAATTTACATTCTGGTCAGGCTATTTTAGGCGACCAGCTTACTATTTATGTACCTCTGCTGACTTTCTCTTCTGTGGCTAGTTTGACAGCTGTTTATTCATTCACTCATTCATTCATTTATTCATTCAACAAATATTTATTGATTGACTCCTGGCTGAAACCCAAGGCGATGGGAAAGAAGACACACTCACTGCCTGCCAGAGCCTTGAGGGGGGAGGCGGAAAGGGCAATGCGGGGTGCAGAGCAGCTGTAGACACCAGGGCGGCTGTGAGCATCTTCATGAATAATGCCCACAGACTACCCAGGGGAGTGAGAAGGAGAGAAAACCTCTGGGAGTGGCAAGAATTCTCTTCCACTGCTGATGCAGGAAACAGGAGTTTGAGTTCCAGCTTCTAAAACTGCATTTTATAACTCAATTCCTCGTGTTGTGTAGTTCTGGGTTTAGCAAAAGGCATTCTACTAGGTTTTGAGTTTGCATCTTTTTCGAGTTTGAAATTCAGTTGATGAAAATTGTTTTCATTATTTATTGTCATCTGTGCGCAGCTGGGAGGTTGGGCTCTGGAGTCAGATAGTCCTGACTCTGCTGCCTAACCTCCATGTGACTTGGTTTAACTACTTAACCTCTCTAAGCCTCAGTCTTCTCATCTGTAAATTGGGGATAATAAATGCAGCTACCTTACAGGGCTGATTAAGTGAAACAGTGCAGGTGAAGTGCTCAGAACTAGTAAGAAAACAGTATGTATCAGCTAGTATTAACACTGTACAAACCCACACCCAAAGATAATGTTTAGAAGCTTTTGAGTAGAAATAAGCTATATGAAATTTCATGAAACCACTTTTTTTCTCTTATAGCCATTTAGGCATCATAAAAGACAGTTCTGATTTTTAAATTTTGTCATATCATTAGTTACCTTACCATAGCTTGCTGATCTTTGGAGTTTGGTTTCCTTCCTCCAATGGGTGATGTATATATTTTTAAATTGATTTCAAAGGTCTTAATGGCTTTCATATAAAGTCATAATAAATATTTCCAGGATTAGGACTATTACAGCTACCAAATTAAACATTTTATATTTCTAATAGTTGAAACAGAAGGGGAAGGCAGGAGAAAAAAAACCTCTTAGTGACTTTAGTGGCAAAGAGCTTCTGGGGAATGCACACAGTATTCACAGCTATCTTTACCGTGTGTGGGCATAAAACATGATGGCTTTGGCTGAGGTTTCTAGGGGCTCAGATACTGTTTGCCAAGTATGATTTCACACCTTGGAGAAGACCGATGCTCATCTAAGAGGTTAACACAGAGGGCACATTGGGCAGTGTCTCTTTAGATACCGTAAACATAACCTTTAAAAAAGAAACTGTGGCCGGACCTGGTGGCTCACACCTGTAATCCCAACACTTTGGGAGTCCAAGGTGGGTAGATCACCTGAGGTTAGGAGTTTGAGACCAGCCTGGCCAACATGGTGAAACCCTGTCTCTACTAAAAATACAAAAATTAGTGGGGCATGGTGGCGTGCACCCGTTGTCCCAGCTACTAGGGAGGCTGAGGCAGGAGAATGGCTTGAACCCAGGAGTCATAGGCTGCAGTGAGCTGAGATCGTGCCACTGCACCCCAGCCTGGGTGACAGAGCAGACACCATCTCAAAAAATAATAATAATAAATTAAATAAATAAATAATAAAATTAAAATAAAGAAATTGCATGGTCACTTTGTTTGGGTATAATTGACCAACCATCTTGATTCAAAAACCAAGATTAAAAAAAATCCTTTAAAAAAAAAAGGACTTTTTTTTAAAAACAGAAACAGCAGAATGGATCCTTCCAGAACCACATGGTCCCTTAATATTGTTTTAGGACCAACTAAAGCTATTTGGAAATCAATATTTAAACATTTTTATGAAGTGAGCCATATGTCAAACAGGACAAAAGGAGTAGAATTGTAAAGAAGAAAGCATAGAATAACTGTTTATGGTGTTAGTTCCTATGTCTATTTGCCTCTAGGCAAAGTTTTTTTTTTATTATTGTTGATGTGATTCCTTTTATTCTGTTGTCAGTACCACTAGAGCAGGTACTTAATAAATGATTCTGATTGTTACTTTATATTCATATTGCATGTCTCACTTTAAGTACCTATTTGTTTTACGGTTATTAAAGTAATACAGTAGCAGCAATGGAAGTCTGAAAAACAGAGAAAAACAAAATAAAAATGTCTTCTCCATCCTCTAATACAACAACTGGTACTTCTGGGTCATTGCTTTACTTTTGTATGATACATACGATTTCCTACGGAGTCTCTGCAGCCAGGCTGGCTGGCTTTCCATCCCACCTCCCCCTCTTACCAGCTGTTTGACCTTGGCCAAGTTGCTTGAACTCTCTGTGGCTCAGTATCCTCACCTATACAATGGAGGTGATAATAGTACTCATCTCTCATGGTTATTGTGGGGATTAGCTGAAATAGTGAGTGGCAAGCTCTTGCACAGGGCTTGACATAGTGATTGCTCAATAAATGATAGGTATTGGTGGTGGTGTTATTATGATGTTGCTGTCATCGTCTCCTGTGGTTTTTATCATACCTTGTGAAGTTAGAGAGACTAGTATTAGTTTTGTCTCTCATAGAAAACTGATAAAAGAGGCTAAATGATGTTCACAGTTCCAGCTTCAGCTCCAGTGGTGGTAAGACAAATGAGAAATGGTAGATATTGCTCCTTCTCAAGAGACGGTTTTTAAGTGGCAAGCAGTCATCACTTCCTGATGTGATACAATGGGACATACACAGTGTCACTTATGCTATGACTTGACTATCTTGCCAAAAATGTGTAACTGGCATCGAATCACGCCTTACTATGAAACCCTAAATTATAAGACATAGAAGAGATAGAGTTCCTCAAAAGAGAAGGTTGCAGAAAAAAAAGAAAAAAACTAGAAAAAAAAAAGAGATAGAGGGGTCATGTTAAATGGTAGCGTGTAGAAAAACAATCAAGCTAATCCAGAATGTGGGACATTCTGCAATACAAACTAGCCATACATCTTTTCAACAAGTCAATGCTACAAATAAAAGAAAGGCAAAAGAGGTGGAATAATTGGGGTTTGTTCTAAATTAAAAGAAACATAACAGGCCCAGTGTAGTGGCTCATGCCTGTAATTCCAGCATTTTGGAACGCTGAGGCAGGTGGATTGCTTGAGGCCAGGAGTTCAAGACCAGCCTGGGCAACATGGCAAGATCCCATCTCTATAAAAAATACAAAAATTAGCTGGGTATGGTGGCTCACGTGGGTAGTCCCAGCTATTTGGGAGGCTGAGGTGGAAGGATCACTTGAGCCTGGGAGATCGAGGCTGCAATGAGCCATGTTTGTGCTGCTGCATTCCAGCCTGGGCGACAGAGTGAGAGACAAAACAAACAAAAGCAGTGTTCATGATCTTTAGTAGAATAGTGATTTGAACCTAAAAGAAAATTAGAGAATTAAATATGGACAGAATATTTATACAATACCAGGGACCTATTGCTAGTTTTGTCAAATGTGATAATAGTGTGTCTAGCTTTTGAAAAATCATGTTGAAGAATTTAAGGGTAAATTATCTTTTTTTTTTTTGAGACACAGTCTCGCTCTGTTGCCCAACTGGAGTGCAGTGACACAATCTCGGCTCACCGCAACCTCCGCCTCACAGGTTCAAGCAATTCTCCTGCCTCATCCTCCTGAGTAGCTGGGATTACAGGCTCATGCCACCACACCTGGCTCATTTTTGTGTATTTAGTAGAGATGGGGTTTCACCATGTTGGCCAGGCTGGTCTCAAACTCCTGACTTCAGGTGATCCGCCCACCTCGGCCTCCCAAAGGGCTGGGATTACAGGCATGAGCCACTGTGCCTGGCTGGGTAAATTATCTTGATATCTATAATTTACATTAAAATGATTTAGCAAAAAAATGATTTGAAAATTTTTGATAATAAAAAGTAAACAAAATTTAAAAGAACCATTTTAGAAAGCAGAAGTTATGTGTCAAAGTTGTTCAGGACATGACCCAGCACAGTGCCATATCCAAATGTCCATTTGGTGATGGTGACACACAACACAGCTCTGCCTTCCACATCTTACACAATTAGGAGTTCATGTACATTTCATGAGGAGAGGACACAAAAATCCTACATTTAAGGGGGAGAAAACACCCCACCTTATACTCCTAAGGAAAACCTCTTTAGCCATTCCTACAAAGGGTCAAACCTAAATTCTCTAGTTTGGGGGCCTGTGTAGCACTTAGATGTGCAATAAATAAATGATAGGATAAAATTAATAATATGGGTTTATAATATAAACACATTGGAACTGTAAGTACTTTAAAAAAAATCAGAGCATAGTTAATAGTCTGGGTAAAGATTGATTCACAAGCAGAGACAGAGCTAAGAAAAATCTATAGGATTTGAATTCCCAACTCTAGGATCTGCACTAAGCCACTCATTTACAAGTGAGAAAGTTTGGGGAGAGTAAATGTATTCACCTCCCAGTTCATAAAATCTTTATTTTACTTTCAAGCCAAGTTTGAGAAAAATCACAAGTTTTCATTTTATTCTCTAGCAGTTTCCAAAAATAACATCTTAAATATATACCTCATAGACCAACCCACCACCCCAAAGATTTATTTTAAGCTAAGACACAACTGGAACCAAGTGAACTCTCAGCACTGGAACATAAATCTCAGTGTTAGAAAGAATCCTCATCTATCTTTCTATACTAGTCACAGATACACTGGTACCAAGGAGTGATCGAGAAATTGGGGGTACTGGCTTTTTTTTTTATTATTTGAGGGTTTCTGAATAGAAATCTTAACTTTTTATAATTACGAGAAAAAAACTGTTTTCAAAAAAAGTTGTGGCTCTCAACCCCTCAATATAGTAAAAATTAAGAACCCTAAGAAGAGAGCAAATGTTTCCTCAAATTATCCAGTCTTAAGTCTCTCTTCTAGATTAGACGTAAGAACCTGAATAACTCACAGATGTTTCTGAGAATGGCCTTTTCAAACAAAAAGTGCTGATTATGATAGGTGTATTGCTTCCAAGAATAAATGAGCAAATCTTACAGAGGAGAATTAGCCTGTTAAGAAGCCTAAATATTTTCACCAACATTTTCCATACTTGCCCACCTTGTGATTGACAAACTTCCCAGGGAAGTTTTTTTGTGTTTTAAACTTTGAAAATCCTAACTTGCTCACAGCCAGCTGTTTTTTAGATCTCTCGATTTAACATTTCTAAGAGGCTGGACTATCCTTCCATCTAAAGAGAAAGAGAATTAATTCCAGTAATGGACATAAATCCTTTGAAAACATCCTTCTCTTGATAGTTTTCCAGAACAACTTAAGCAGAAGCATCACGTACATGGGCCATTCTGATTCACTCATTTAGAGGGGAACATTTCTGGGCAAACCCCAGATGTTTTCTGACCTACCTGTTTGTTCATGCTCTTTCAGGGCCCTTGTCAGTGTAATAATCAATCAACAGGTGGTTACTCAGCTCCAGGAATGAGCTTGGCACTGGGGTGGAGCTGGAATACAGCAGGGATCCTGGCCTCCCTTTGCTTGCAACTTCTTGACCAGCAGGAAACAACACAAAATAGTATATAAGTGAGATTCGGCTGCATGCATTCTTGTAGTAACTAAAGCTTTCATTCTTAGCAACTCTGGATCAGCCAAAGAAAGGTCGCTGAACTGAACGTTGAAACAATACGTTAGGCCAGGAGACATGTTAGACTGGACTGGTAACAGCTACTTTTTTTTTTTTTTGAGACGGAGTCTCGCCCTGTTGCCCAGGCTGGAGTGCTGTGGCGCGATCTCGGCTCACTACAAGCTCCGCCTCCTGGGTTCAAGCCATTCTCCTGCTTCAGCCTCCCAAGCAGCTGGGACCACAGGCGCCCGCCACCACGCCCGGCTAATTTTTTTTGTATTTTTAGTAGAGACGGGGGTTTCACAATGTTAGCCAGGATGGTCTCTATCTCCTGACCTCGTGATCTACCCGCCTTGCCTTGGCCTCCCAAAGTGCTGGGATTACAGACGTGAGCCACCGCGCCGGGCCAACAGCTACTATTTATTGGGTAGTTAGGCCGTGCCAGGAACAGGACTAAGCATTTTACAGATGTTTCTCATTTACCCTTCAAAAAAACCTTATGAAGTGAGTTTTATTTTCCCAGTTTTACATATGCAGCAACAAAGTTTCAGGCAGATTTTATAACTTTCCAAGGATGCGTAGCCAGTAAGCAGCAAGGCAGGTATGAAAACTCAGGTCTGTTCATTCTCATAACTACCCTGAGCTGGGCTCTTCTCTGGGATGGAGGAGTGGAGAAAAACGAAGCAATGGGGAAAAGGGGGCAAGGATACTGCTTAAGTTTCTGCCCCTGACAATCTGTGGAGAACCCAGTGGTGATGTGTGTAGTTTCAGCCACAAAACCAAAGTGATTACGCTCACCATTTTCCTGTTTCCTACTACTTCACCAAGATCTGAAGAGACTTTTCAAGATGACTAAAGTCAGAGATGAAAAGGGGATGTAGGAATCTTTGCTTCTATCCTCTCAATCACGTTGGGAAAGTATCTGTGTGGGCTTCTTTTTTTTTTTTTTCTTTTTGAGGCGGAATCTTGCTCTGTCACCCAGGCTGGAGTGCAGTGGTGTGATCTAGGTTCACTGCAACCTCCACGTCCCAGGTTCAAGCCATTCTCCTGCCTCAGCCTCCGGAGTAGCTGGGACTACAGGCACACGCCACCATGCCCAGATAATTTTTGTATTTTTAGTAGAGACGGGGTTTCACCATATCGGCCAGGCTGGTCTCGAACTCCTGAACTTGTGATCCACCTGCCTCAGCCTCCCAAAGTGCTGGGATTACAGGCTTGAGCCACCACGCCCAGCCTTAGGTTAACTTTCAGTTAAGTAATTCAGGAAACAAGGGGTGTGTGTGTGTGTGTGTGTGTGTGTGTGTCCAGCCCAATGCTCACTACTGGGTGGACATCAAAGACTATGAGACAGCCCAGATCCTGGAAAGCAGTAGTAGCTGGGTAGATAGAATGAGAACATGCCTCCATGGAGCTTTCCTCTTGCTTCTGTAGTCCCTGCCTGCTGCTCCATGCTTGAAGTATAGAGATGTGGATTCCACAAGTCCCCATAGTCAACTTTGGTTCCCTCAAGGGAAAGGTCTCGGTTCTGCTGCTACCTACTTGCCTGACCTCAGAAAACTCATCCTTTCTTCCTGCACCTTAGTGTCTTCAACTGTCAAAAGAACGGGGAACACCTGATGGTCTCTAGAGTTCTTCCGGTTTGGAATTCTGTGACTCTGATGTCAAGGCTTTAATTCCTTACAATGCTGGGGGTTGGGGGGTGGCGGTCACTTTAGGCTTCACCTTGGGGTCACCCACCCTCTTTCAGTGAACAACACCCACCCACACGTTCCTTGTCAACTGCTTGATGGTGTAATCATGTATGCATGAATCACGGAACATCAGAAGAGATGGGGAAAAGAGAAAGAAAGGAATAGTACTAAAGGCAAGGATATCTTTCATTCCCTACCTTGGTTAACTTTTTCTTGCATGCCTACTAAGGGCCAAGCACTGTTCTAAAAACAGTTCTAAGCAGACAAATTCTCTAACATGGGACTTAGATTCCCAGAGCTTCAACATTAAACAGTGATTAATTAAAATAAGTACGGAGAATTAGGAATTAGGAGCTGCTTCCCCAAGCCTAGACTTCCTCAATGGCGTCTTTCCTTGGTTTCCTTGACTCCTTTCTGGCTTTTCTATCAAACTAATCTTCTTAAAATACCCAGAGGCTAAAATGCCTGTAATGTTTATCCCTTGTACTTTTTATCCTGTAATGAAATCCAGGCTTCTTAGCTCACTGTTGAGCCCCTCCACAAGCTCTTGGTACCTACTTTTCATCCTTCTTCCTCTCTGTTCACTTAGTTTTCTGAGTCTTTCAACCAAATTAGTCTATTCATGGTCTTCCTAATCGCTTTCTGCATTTTTCTGCTTCCATAGATATTTTTTGTTCTTTAAAGATTCAGTGGTTGGATTTTAAAAGTATACTAAAGTAATGCACATTTATTTTAAGAAATGATACAGAAATATGTAATGAGTTAGCAATCTCTCCTTCATTCCACTCCGTTTCATTTCCTCTGAGGTAACTACATATTTATATTTTTTAAGTTTTGAACTTATGGAAAAGTCACAAAAATAATACAGAAAACGTCCATATACCCTTTACCCAGATTTACCAATTAGTAACATTTTTTAACTCTTTGAAATAGTTTGCAGATATCACGTGCCTTTACACCTTCATAGCTCAGTGTCTATTTCCCAAAAGCAAAAATATTCTTCATATAGTTATCAACTTCAGGAAATTTAACATTGATACAATACTTTAATCTAACTTCCATACTCTAATTTTTTCAATTGACCCAATTCTGTTCTTCATAATTTTTTTGCCGTTCAGTACAGTGTCTGATCAGGATCACATATTATATTTAGTTCTTGTGCTTCTTTAGTCTCCTTTAATCTAAAGTCTCAATTTTTCCTTGTCTTTCATGCCAGTGATGCTTTTAAAGAATAAAGGCCAGTTTCTTTTTGTTTCTAATAAAATACTATTTTGATAATATATTTTACAGTTTATAATTTATATATATGTAATTTTATATTTTAATAATAGTCTATTTCAGGTCTGATGTTTTTCCACATCATTTTCAACGTCATTTCAATACCTGAGAATGTCTCTTCATTTTCCCAAGCCCTACTTGTCGTTCTAGGCTCAGCTCTAATCCCTTTTCCTCTGGTCCTTACTGGAGGCCAGAGGGTACCTCTTGGAACTCTTTACATCTTGGGTCCAGTGTGGTAGCTCATGCCTGTAATCCCAGTGACTCCACTGGGGAGGCCAAAGCAAGAGGATTGCTTGATCCCAGGAGTTTGAGGTTACAGCGAGCTATGATTGAGCCACTTCACTCTAGCCTGGGTGACAGAGCAAGACCCTGTCTCTAAAAAGAAAAGAAAAAAAAGAAACAACTTTTTACATCTGTCATAGCACTTAGCACTGTACTTAGCCTACACAGACTAATTAATAAATATTTGTTGATTAATTTATTTGAGGCACAGCCATGAGTTCAATCAGTGGCAAAGACAGAACTTGTCCTGTAGGCTTAGCAAGTCGAGATTGGTATCTTTGCTGCCAATTGCTTCTGGGGTTTACAATTATTGAGGTAAATTTTGGATTCAAATTGGATCCTTGACTATAGATTTGCCACACCATGGAACTGTGGAGAAGTTGATATTTTTTAAAAGTTTCACAATAGATAATTAAGAACATGAAATAAAAATATTTATTCCCTACTATTTTATTCCTCCAAATTTCAGTAAACTGGAAGAGTGTTCAATTCAGGAAAAGGTTTCAGAGACTAATGAACCAAACTGCTCAAATTATAATCCTACATATTCTAATATAGTCTATTCTTGTGTGATCAATGTATAGAAAGTTGAAGAAGGCTAGTTTGTTTAAAAAATAGGTCCTACAGAGGAGATGCTACATTATAAACTGAGAAGAGTACTTTCATACTAATCACTATCCTTTTGTGGACATCAAATCAACCTTTTTGCCCTTGCCTGAGACAACATTAGACTCTTACCAAGTCTTGATAAATTTTGAAAATCACATGGTTGTTCAATGCCTCCATGTGGTAGAAAAAAATAATTTAGCTCTGTCCTACCTTCCTGTGTTAGCAACATTCAGGCCAATAAAGTACGATAGTGCTTAGGGCCCTTCAATGGGATCAGTGCTATTTTATTTTTTTTAAAAGGCCTATGGAAAAATGACCCAAATTGAAGGTAAATGCCCCAGATCACATTCGTCTTTATGGAATCGACCCTTGTTTTTGAACTTTCCTTATCTTTCTTACAAGGAATGGATTTTTCAGCCAAAGGAGAATTATAAAATGAAACAAGTCGATTGAAATCCAGTGAGTCCATTTTTCCCAGAAAGGCTTTATATAAATTCTTTATAAGTTGCAAACACAAGATTTTTTTTTCTTTGGATGGAAAAAGGAAATCTTTTCTTTTTCTTTTTTTTTTTTATGGAGTCTCACTCTGTCACCAAGGCTGGAGTGCAATGGCATGATCTCGGCTCACTGCAACCTCTGTCTCCTGGGTTCAAGAGATTCTCCTGCCTCAGCCTCCCGAGTAGCTGGGATTACAGGCACTCATCACCACACCCAGCTAATTTTTGTATTTTTAGTAGAGACGGGGTTTCACCATGTTGGCCAGGGTGGTCTCAAACTCCTGACCTCAGGTGATCCGCCCACCTCAGCCTCCCAAAGTGCTGGGATTACCAGTGTGAGCCACCACGCCCAGCAAAGGAAATCCTTTCTATTCAGCAATAAGGTAAGTTAAAAAACTATATTAACCAACGTTAACTTGCTTGACAATTCTTTGGACATGAAATTGGCCAAAGAGAATCTTTATGAAATACTTGAATTTCAGTGTAAGCAACAAGTCAAAAAGTTAAACCAAGTCTCCCTCTTTCAACTGTATTATTTCACCTCCTAGGGATCAACTAGCACCTTGATCTTCAAGTGTTTCTACTTAAATGTACTTGATACACTAAAGATGACTTGAAGGAGAGTTGGGTCATTCTGAAAACCAGGAATAGGTATTAATAAAAACTGGAGCCCACTTTCTCAAAGTCCACAGGATGTCACAGTGTAATACTACTTGGGCTTCTGTGACTGGCTGGTTTTCTAAAATGTAAATTGAGCATTACTATCAAAGCATTCAGTGCATATGTATGCATTTGCTTTACACATGCATAGACTACAACCGAAAACTGCTTTCTCCAAAGGAAATTAGGGGTGGGGGAAGGGGCAGAAAGATATTTTCGTGGCATACTCTCTGGTTTCTTTAGAATAATATAGCATGAAAATGTATTATCTATTTAAAATATATCCATATAGGCAAAATAAATAAATAATGAGGACTATTCTCAGGATGAGGGTGGGGTTGGGGAACTTCAATAGCAGTCATTAGTTCAAGCAACCATGTTACAAATTCAGTGATTCCCTTAGCTTGCTTCCATGTTCCCACTTTCCCAGCTGTCTTGATTGTTAATATATTCTCGAAAATATTATCAGAGACTACTATATTTATTTTATTTATTTACTTATTTTGAGACAGGGTCTCACTCCCACCACCCAGGTTGGAGTACAGTGGCACAATCACAGCTCACTGCAGCCTCAACCTCTGGGGCTCAGGTGATTCTCCCACCTCAACCTCCCAAGTATCTGGGACCACAGGCATGTGCCACCAGGCCTGGCTAATTTTTGCATTTTTTGTAGAGACAGTCTTGCCATGTTGCCCAGGCTGGTCTTGAACTCCTGGGCTCAAGGAGTCTGCCTGCCTTGGCCTCCCAAAGTGCTGGAATTACAGGCGTGAGCCACTGCACCCGGCCCTTTTATATTTAATACATTTTTCTGCAATGTAATTGAGGCTCTTCTCCCACTCCAATATTGCCAGAACTGACAAGATCATCTGTGGATAGCATGGGTCATAACAACAATTTTGCCACCAACTTACTGCATGACCTTGGATAAGACATACTGGCTTTTTTTTTTTTTTTTTTTTTTTTTTTTTTGAGACAGAGTCTTGCTCTGTCCCCAGGCTGAAGTGCAGTGGCGCGATCTCGGCTCACTGCAACCTCCAATCAAGACTCGCTGGTTCAAGAGATTCTCTTGCCTCAGCCTCCCGAGTAGCTGGGATTCCAGGCACATGTCACCAAGCCTAGATAATTTTTGTATTTTTAGTAGAGACGGGGTTTCACCATCTTGGCCAGGATGGTCTCAATCTCCTGACCTCGTGTTCCACCTGCTTTGGCCTCTCAAAGTGCTGGGATTACAGGCATGAGCCACCACGCCCGGCCAACATACCGGCCAACATAACTTTCTTTGCTTTGATTTCTTTATCTGTAACATGAAGAGTGTGAACTAGAAGATATCTTAGGCCCCTTCTAGGCATAAAATACTATGATTCCTTGAGTATATGTTTCTCCTGGAAGGTTTCTTATATTTTCATCAATTCTAAGTTATAAAAACCCCATGTCCTCTTTTCTGCCCTGGTGACGAAAAACAAAAACATAAAAGCAACAAATAACCCCAAACCCATGAACTAAGAAAATTCCACTAGAGTGGAATTATTAATAATTTACTTTGCGTAACAGCTAATAAATCACCTTACTTACAGATACATATTTGACCTTGCCAGTCAGTAGAGCACAGGTATTTCTGCCCTTTATGGATGAGGGAACTGAGGCTCAGGGAGGTCAATTTAGCTTTTTAGGCCTTGTAGTTAATAAGAAGGAGAGATAGAAAGTTGTGTATGAATTTTTTTTCCCCTAAGACAGCTGCATACAGGTCTTAAAAATAATTCGACATAAAGATTAGTCTTTTGAGAGGACTGGATTCTTTTCTAAACATTTTGAAGTTTTTATTCCCTGTCATCAGGTCATTCCAAAACGATAAAGCACTAACTTAAGCTAGCTGGAATTAGAGATTAGGGGGAACAGTACACAAAAGAGGGCAAGAAACCTTCCAGACAGGTGGTTGGGAAATCACTTTTCCTTATAGGAGGAGCTGTTAGATTTCATGATTTCTTTCACAAGGAATCAGTCCAACCCAAGCATCAGTAACACAACACAAAATATCATGTTCTGTTACAAAAGAATTCTTATTATAGCTGGTAGGCAATTTATGCAAACCAATATTAAAGAAAAAATTCACCTACTGTCCTGATCACTTCAGCAAATCAAACCTTTTATTTTCCTGTGATCTCTGCTAGTTCTTGTCTTTATAACACATGATTTTTTTACTGGTTGTATTCATAATGTAGACATATATTTTTAAGTATCAGAAATCCAAATTTTCATAGGAGGAAATTTCAATTTTAATAACTATTTTTAGATTATTTTCCTCATCCTGAGTTTATTTCATCTTCTTATTGTTTTCTTCTGAATTTACATCTTTTCATCAGAACAAAAAGAATACAATCAGTTTTTCAGAAGTTTAAAAAATTTTTTCAAATATATAGCAAAGAATGTCATCATTTTTATATACTCTACCAGGACTCCTGAAACCAAACACTTAAGAAAGGTTATGTCTGGAAATTTTTTCAAAATCTATATGCATTTCAGTGGTGGAGAAATAGTTCTGTCTGGAAGCAGGAGGCTGAAATTATGACCCTGAAGATTTCTTCCAGCTTTTGAACTTCTTATTCTATGACAACTCCTGGTAGATACAGGTTTCCTGGTAGGGATTGAGCAAGAAGCATGCACAATTACTTTATGAGTCTTGATAAAGCTGGAATTTCAGGTTGATGGTTAGAAGGAGTTCGGCTGGGTCGTGAGAATGCTTGTTTTCCTGGTTACTGGATATGCCATGGGCTGTATATCTTGTGTTGTCCTGTGGTAACTGAAGCCACTGTTGCTGTGGAAAATGATGGCAGTTTGAATGAGATAATTTAGAGTGACCTATGGAAATCTGAGGCTGTCTCCTTAATGTACAAGACCTTGTATGTGTGGCACTGTTGTATTTGAATGGCACACATCTCTTTAGTTCCCTTCAACTGAAATGACAAAAGGTGAGAAACTGAATCGTAATTTGATGGCTTAATATTAAAAAAAAATTGGCAAAAATGCTAAATAAGGAACAATTCAGAAGAATTGCTGATCATTTCAAAAATATTATTTGCATAGCATTTATAGGTAGCTAAAGAAAGAGAAAAATGGCTTAATATTTTAAAAATAATTTGGTCAATTTAGCGATCTGGGGATTCTGCGATCCCCAGAACTTTGCATCCAATTTCCAAAAACCAAACCTTACATCTAATGTAAAATGACACAAAAAATTCTAAATCCAGTCTAATTCAGTAGTATATAGCTTATTCCCAGTGATGTCTCACATTCGCAAGCCCGTTACACGTTGGTTTTACCTGTCACCAAAACCTTTGTATCACTCTTATAAAAAACCACATCACTTTCTATAAAAAGTGAGTGGAAGAATCTAATATTGTAAAACTGCACGTGCCTCGCGTGACCTGAGCAGAAAATTCCTAGTTTGGGATTTTCTCACAGGCATACCTAAACTGACCTCTGCTCCTAGCAGGTAAATTGCTAGAAGGAGAAGCAAGTGTCAGTCCAAAGAAAACCCTTGTTGTGTGATTTTTTTTTTCTCTTTAATCGCTTTTTAGGTGGAGTACCCGCTGCATTCTCTAAAGTCTTTGCCACCACCAGATTACCAACGTTTTCACCAATTTGCCACCTCCCTACTCCTCTCCTTTCCAAAAGCCCTCATTGGAAAGAACTTTCTCTCGTGACCCCCCTATTCCATCTAGTTCCAATCACTCCCAGCGCCCCCCATCTCCATCGGCTTCCCCTCTCCCGCCCAGAATCCAGGTTCCCAAACCACTTAAGAGAAAATTCACAACCCTCGCCCCCTTCCCGGGCGTCCGGAGGAGGCGCTGGGGTGGGGGTGTCTGTGGGGGACAGGGTTTCCTGGGGTCTCCTGGGTCTTCCTCGCGCACCCCCAGGAGGTGTTGCAGGGGGAGGGGAGCGCGGGTGGGTGGGACCGGGCCGGGTGGGGGAGGGGTGAGGGCGAGGAGGAGGAGGAGGAGGAGGCGGCGGCGGAGGAGTGGTGTGTGTGCGAGCGTGTGTGGCTGGGGGAAGCCATTGCCTGTTTAATAGTTGCTGTTGCTGCACTTCCGCTTCTCTCCCAGCGAGAGAGAGACACGAGTGGCCAGGCCCAGCCGCAGCCGCAGCAGCAGCCGCCGCGGCGGCACGGAGGAGCCAGACACAAAGAGAGGTACGGGGATCCCCCCAGCGGCCCGCCGCCCCCCGGCCGCGCCGCCGGGCCTCGGGGACACCCCTCGCCGCCTCCCCCGACTCGCGCCGCCGGGGCCGCCGGGCCGCAGGGCACGGGGCCGGCGCGGGGGGGGAGCGGAGAGGGGCTGGGGAGCCCCAGGGGTCCGGGGCCCGCCCGCGGGGGATGGGCAGGGACCCCGGGCCGCGTGGGGTGCGGGGGCCGCCCGCATTGAGGACGGGGGTCATTGTGGCTCGAACTGTCAGCGCTGCCCCAAGAGCCCCCCACTGGCCACCGAGGGGCCCGGGAGCGGGGGTGGGAGGGAGTTGGGGGAGCCCCGTTTTCCCCAGGGGCGGGGGTTCGCGGGGATTAACCCCTCCGGGGCGGAAGGGCTCATTGTTATGTCTTCGCTGCGGAGGCCGACCCCCCCATTCCCCGCCGCAGCCCCTATCCCCCTACAGGAGTGGCGATCGGGCGTGTGCTCCGGACCCCCGCCCGGCCGCATAGCTGTGAGCAGGGCGGCCAGAGGCAGGCAGGCCGGGAGGGGCGTCGGGGCGCGGCGCGGGGGGGCCTCGGGCCTCGTCGCCCCTGCCCCCCGCCGGCCTCTCCCTTCCCCCACCCGGGCACCCGCTCCCCGCCTCCGTCCCCCTGTTTCGGCTTCCTCTCTTACTCCTTCCCGCCCCTCCTCTCTTCCCGACCTCGCCAAACTCCGCTCGTGGCCCCACAGTCTCACCCGGGCCACCGGCCCCTCACGACCCCCGGAAAGCGGACAAAAACAGCCCCGAGGCCGGCCGGCCGCCGGGACCTTCCCTCCCTGCCCCGCCGTGGCGCCCCGCGCCCCCCGCCCTGCCCTCCTTCGCCTCCCGGGCTACTCCCTCCCTGCCCAGCGGAGAGCCCCGGGGGGCGAGGGAGGGGCCTCTCTCCTAGCTCCAGACCGTTTTCCCACAGCGTTCCCCACTTGGGGCCAAAAATAAACAAGCCGCGTCCGATTTGCAAAAGCCTTAATGGGCCTGCAGACTTTGAAAAGCGAGTGGAGGGCGGTGGGCGGCCGCGTGCGCCCCTGGTCAATGCCCTCCTGACAGCACCCGAGTTCCTTATTTACACTGGCTGCATGGTTTGTGTGTTTCTGTTTTGTTTCTCTCCCCCTGCAGGGGCTGTTTGCGGGGTGGGGTGGGGGGTTCGCTATGTCGGATGACGATTCGAGGGCCAGCACCAGCTCCTCCTCATCTTCGTCTTCCAACCAGCAAACCGAGAAAGAAACAAACACCCCCAAGAAGAAGGAGAGTAAAGTCAGCATGAGCAAAAACTCCAAACTCCTCTCCACCAGCGCCAAGAGGTACTGTGCTCTTTTTTTTTTCCACAGGCTTCCTATTTCCGAACTGCCTCTTGCTGCATTTGGTCTGCCTCCCAATGAGGATAGCTTAAACGCTCCTCATGGTTTATGTGTTCTTAAAAATGAAAGAAGGGCCTTGGAAGCCCTAATTATTTTCTCTATTGCTGCTTCTGTTTTTAAATCATTGCTCACATGCAGCTGTTGCGGCTTGCCTCTCGCATTTCTTGCTGAAGTTTGTAAGATTCCTCGTTACTTTTATTAGTGACCCCCAAATCTGATTTCAGATTTCTTGTCCTACTAATGGTTAATCTGTGACCTTCCCCAAGGCCATGATCCCATTTCTTAATTACTAATACCAGCCCAGAGAACTGCATCAAAATGAATTCTGTGACCATTTTACCTTCTCCTCACCTGTTGCATGGATGATCTTTTCTAAATAGAGCTTTCTTCACAAATTGCATAAGGAATAAGAAACTCATATTAGCAGGTACAAAATTTAGTAGGTGAAGACAGATGTTTTCTGGTGGAATTTAAAGAGATTTTTCTGAGAGTTGAGGCAAATGAATGAATCAGTAAGTGACTATAAAATGGTTATTCTAGGTTATTTTTGTGGTTCTCTTTAAAAACTTCAGTTTACCAATTTCAGGGAGACTTGTCTTTTTTTCATGCTATTTGCTGTCCTCATGCTGTGAAAATGTTACTTTGCCTTATTTTTTCAATTTAAGTGGTCTCCCTTTTACTTTATTCTTTTCCTCTTAAGGCCCTGAAGGTAGCTACTTTTTATCCCTGCCATCCTAAGCGGTCACCCTTTTTCTTTATTCTTTTCCTCTTAAGCCTCTGGAGGTAGCTACTTTTTACCCCTGCCATCCTTCAGTAATATCCTCTGATCGCCATGACCCTCAAAATCATCTTTAGTGGATTCCTAGGAGCTCTGAGACACCCTTTCATAAATCCTTCTGCTCTCAGAGTTAGGCAGTTGTTAAAAAGGTGGCAAACCAGGAAGATAGTAAGAACTCCAAATGATGGGATAGGGATACCCTTCTTAAAAATTTTTAAAATAAAGTAGAACATGAGACTTTAGATCTCTCCACTGAGTAGTGAGCCTGGAAGTCAGGGTTTGAGAGTTTGTTCTGTCATTCTCCCTGACTTGTAATTTGAAAACTTGGCAGTGTTTTGGTGACCTAACCATGGGCTGATGAAGGAGTGACTTTTAAAAAATAGTGTGGAGGTCTTAAGTGGCAAGGTGCCTCTGCAAGATTGTTCTCATTTTTATAGGTTTGGTTTGATTGTACAGCTTCTCAGGAGGCCTGACTGACCCTCACTGATTAGCCCTGTGCGGTTTTCCTGGAACCTGACATCTACTCTGCCCACTTGGGACGGGCCCTTCCTTAATACTGCGCCCCACCTCAATCCTCTAGGCTCTCTGATCCTCATTCACGTTTTGGCCTCACGTGCTCAAGCCAGGATACTTGCTTTTGGTAATTTGCATTTTTATATTTTGCTAGATATCCCTGGTGTACATGAATATATTTGGGGGTAAAGACACAGGTATCAAATAGAAAATACTCTGCTTTTGTTGTGAGTGAATTACAGAGAGGGGGATTTTTTTCACTAGACATACTTTGTTTATTTTAAACAAGTTAAGAATTTATTTGGAAGTTCTGGAAAAGAGATGATAGGTGTAGAAAAATGAAAGGTGGGAAGCTACAAATAGTAATTTTACCTATAAATTAACATCAGGGCTTTTGTTTTGTTTTTGCAATGAATTTAGCTCCTTGATAATCTTGCTGAAAGAGTAGCTATTAGTGTTAAAGCAGACCTAAAGTTAATAGAAAAAGGTAAAAAAATGGAGAGGGACAGTGTATCCAGGAAAGAGAATGGGGAAAATTGATGTTAGTGGGACCCTATAGAGGCTGTTCTGTGAAGTATATTGATTTGGAAGGTAGGTGTTGCCCATAGAATTGGAAGGGGCACATTCACCAGGAGTAGGAGTGAAAAAGAAGCCTGAATTGGCAGACTAACAGGCTGCTAACTGCATGTTGGAAAGTGGTTTCTAAACCGTGGGTAGAGGAAAGCCCCCATTGCAAGTGGTCTGAACAAGAATGACTCTCTGGAAATAGGTATGAGTTACTCCTGCAAATCTCTTGCCAGTTTTTTGGAAATGCAAATGCTGTCTGTCAAGATGAAGTTGATAAAGCTTTTTGGTATTAACGCTTCTTAGGTATTAAAGAAACAACTACCTTTTTTTGTGACTATTTTATAGTGGGAGTTGGGTTGGCAAGGAGGACTGAAGTCAATATGTATTTTTATATGCGTTGTGCTCCGGGGAGGAAATTTTTGCCTACGTGTGTAGGTCTTAAAATACAGTTATTTGAAAAGATTCAGGTAAAGAATCAGGAAACCAATTTTCCAAACTTTGAGTCTAATGTACAGTCATGAGTCAAACAGCGGGAGTATGAATGTCTCAGAAATGAAACGCTTTTTGATAGTAGAATTTAGCAGGACACAAATACGTGTCAATTGAGATTGTGAACAAACCCCTTTCTAAAGTTGACAGATACGTAGGGACAGGAAATGTCCTCCAGTAGGAAGGTTTATAGAACCTCCCCCAGTCGTCGTCCTTAAAACCTGTTCCTCATTACATATAGCTCGTCCGTCCTCCTACCCGCAGAAAACCTTTGGAAAGGAAAACGTATCCTTTGTGAATTAGATTGCTCTGTGTGTGTGTTTAAAATTTTTTTAACTACAGTGCTGCCTCGGTGAGATTTTTAAGTTGTAACATAGCCCCATTGGGCTTTATATGATAGGAGGAGGAAAGGTTATAAAATTAGGCACCGTTTAGAAGGTGGAAGAAGCTTAGAGGCCCTAAACTGTCGTATTAATTGATGCTCTAAGTGCCTAGGTAAGCAAAAGACAAAGGCCAGGGCTTGGTGTGAACTGCCTGGTGGCTTCGGCCTATGAGTGGGGGATGGGGCCCTTTGTGAAGTCGAGGGTTGGTGCGGAGGGAGAAAACTGCAGGTCTCCAGTCTATCCCCAGTGTGAGCTAGAGAGCGGACCATGAAGGAAGTGGGCAGACCCCGGGAAGTTAGAGGACGCCCGGGGAAAAGCAGGTCCGGGGAGGTGGGCCGAGAGTCCCGGCCAGCGTGCGGGGCGGAGGCAGGGTCCGGTGCACCTGTGCGGCCGCGGGCCGGCCACTTGGGGTCTGTGGTGCCCGAGTGGCGGGCGGGGGTGTTCGCGCCCTGCTTTCGCGCGCGGTCTCGGGCCAAGGTTCTGGGCGCCGGGAGAGGAGAGCTGGGGCGGCGCGGAGCAGCCCCCGTGCGGGCACCCTGTTCCCCTCCCCCGCCCGCAACTTCACCGGCGCGGCGCGAGCCGTCGGGGGCGCGCGCGGGGTGGGGGCGGCGTGGCCGGGCGGTGGCAGCCCACCGCTGGGGAGCGACCTGCGGTCTGGGCCTCCCGGGCACCCCGCCACGGCTGGCAGGTCACTCGGGCCCGAGGGGCCTCGTGGGGAGCGGCCATGTTGGCTTCGTCACTGAGGACTCCGGGCGGGTCGGGTGTTGAGCGAGGCCTCGGACCTTCGGCCTGTCGGGGGCGCCCTGCCGGGGTGGGCATGGGGGCATCTGAGGGGTGAAAGGGGCAAGGGAGGCTGGAGGCTGGCGTCCTTCCCACGCACCGATGGCTGTGATCTCTCCGTGCTGGGGAGAGGTGCAGGGGAGGGACTGAGGAAACCGGTCGGCAAGTGAGAAACTTTAAAATTAGGTCCTACATGGAAAACACCGAGGAATAGAACTGCCCTGGTGTGCGAGGCAAGGTTGGAAGCCAAACTTTGCAGATGAGAACAGGAGATTCCAGGCTGCCTCACTTCCTCCGTGAAAAGTTTTTTTCCTAAACTAGGGACCTGAAGTTCTTGATGTGTAGTTCCTCTTTGCCCAGTAGAATCCAGTGATCGCGCTTAGGTTTATCTGCAGACCTGCACGCTACAGGTGGGAGGCTTCCGCGCCTTAATGCTTCTTGTGTTTGTCTTTCCCATTTCTCCCACTCCAGAATTCAGAAGGAGCTGGCGGACATCACTTTAGACCCTCCACCTAATTGCAGGTGAGTTGCTTTTCGGATTTTTTCCATTTTTAAAATTCTTCTAACCTTTGTCTTGGGTTTTTCTTTTTATTATATACTTTTTCTTTGATTCTTTGGCTAATGCTTGTTATGGCACTAACATCACGTAACAGCTGAAATTTATTAACCTGAGTATAATGTTTTGATGAGCCTCTGACAAGCTCAGTACTGTTGAGAAGAAGTAATGGATTTATTTGGAGTGGATTTTTACATATATGAAACAAAACTAAAGTAAATTTAAAGGTGTCTCCTTGCCTAATCATGGGTCTTTGATATGCCATTAAAGATGATGTAAAACCTTTCAGATGCGAAGGACATTTTGGTTTGGAAAACTGCTTTGCTACAGTAATCTCTTATTCAATCTCTGCTAAGCTAAGAGAACATTAGAGTTAAACACTGGATCTTCAAACTTACTCCATAGCATATAGATTTTTTATTAGACTTTTGGCAGAGCAATTCAGGAAACAATTTCTGGCTTTGATAAAGGTTTTCTTTTAAATTGTAGAGTTAAACTTTCATGGGGTGTTTTTTTCACTTGCTTTATTCAGACTGTATACATATGTGTGTTTCAGTTTCAAAACAAATTGAAACCAGCTTTCTAAGGGTTTGTTGATCACAGCTTTATTTAGAGAAGCCATTTTGCTACTGTTGAGTCAAGGTGGAAGACTTGATGACTTTACTAGATCAACAATGAAGTGAGGGTAACTTACAACTATGTATTAGAATAGAACCATTTATTTAAGGGAGGTCCTGTAACTCCCATACTTTAAAAATTAAGTATAACATTTAACCTAGTTCTCAAGATCGGCGTTGGAAAGGGATGTGAGATTTCAGAAATACTCTAAACTTATTGGTAGGAGTAGAAGTTACTGACAAAGTATTCAGCGGCTATACACAATTTTTAAGATGAGTGTGTGGGAATAGGTTGAAAAGCTAAATGAAGTATTTTGTTTAGTAACAGTGAACTTTGGAAACTAATTAGTGGATTAAATACAAAACTATTGCCGTTTTGGTTACATTCATTCTTAATGTTGATTAGGTGTGGGATGCTCTTCCGTGAAACTTTGTCCTGTTTTGTAAGGAAAGTCATTTTGAGTTTGAAATGCTCTTAAACTATAGTTTATAATTGGAACACTTAATCATTCTGGGGAATTCTTTCCTGGCTAATAATCTCTCAAGATGGTTGAGAAGTGGAAAAACCATAAGACTTAGGCCTAACTCATTATTTTGATGGTGGTGGTTCACGTGGAAGCCTGTAGCTTCCCTTGGTTGTTTGTGTGGAATCCATGTACATTCCCCAAGGTGGTTCTGTGCTGTCTAGTTATTGCTCCTGCTTGGTATTGTGTGTCTCCTATGTGTGTGTTATTAATAACATTGATTAAAACATATAATGGCTTTCTTGTGAATAAGCACAGTCAAATCTAAAATTGTAAACCATTTGAAGATTTTCATGGGATTAAGCATTTAAAAAAAAAAAACAGTGTAAGTACACTTCAGTTTCACATCGTTTTAACTGAGTTTATGTGTGAAAGATTTATGCTCCTGAGGCATGTGGAACTTTTTTATCTTTGGGAAACCCTCCCAATTACCCCTTCAAGGTGAAACGTTTGGGAATTACCTGTGGTCAGGGGATGCACCAAACTGGGTGGCTGTTGGGTGATTGGTGTTACGGAGTCAAAGCTCAAAATACTAAATTTTAAGAAAAATCTCTGATTTGAGAGAAAATACGAGGCATCTTCATTTTGCAAGAGAATGTATATTACATTGTCTTTTAACAATAAAGATGACTTTATTTTCTGAAGATATTTTCCAGTGGGGCCGTTTGAGTAATGTGAATTAAAATTTTTACTTTTGGTTGGCTAATGGTGCTGTCTTAATGTTATATAGTAGTCCCAATATTCAGCTCTCTTAAAAGAGTTCGGTTTTACGTTTTGTGCTGTTACCTTTTGGAATTTAATTATTTAGTATTTTAATGTACTTTATTGGAGATAAAGATGGATTATTTATTTATTTATTTATTTATTTTCTTTTTGAGACGGAGTCTTGCTCTGTAGCCCAGGCTGGAGTGCAGTGGCATGATTTCGGCTCATTGCAACCTCCACCTCCCGGGTCCTGGTTCAAGCAATTCTCCTGCCTCCTGAGTAGCTGGGATTATAGGCACGTGCCACCATGCCCAGCTAATTTTTGTATTTTGGGTAGAGATGGGGTTTCACCATGTTGGCCAGGCAGGTCTTGAACTCCTGACCTTGTGATCTGCCCGCCTTGGCCTCCCAAAGTGCTGGGGTTACGGGCGTGAGCCACTGCACCTGGCCTTGGGGATACTTTTTGAAGTCAGCGTCCAATGAAAATCTATGAATTAAGTGATATATTAAGTGCGTACATGTTTAAAATTACCCTCAGCATGAAAGCATGAGATTTGAATGAGTTAAATAATTGGTTTTCAATTAGTCTGTCTTATATTTTTACCCTTTGCCATACTTCCTTTCTTCAGTCAGCATTCAGTGTGTAGTTTTAAACACGTTATTAAAATATGGCACTTGGCACATAGTAACTTCTCAGTAAATACAAAAATTAGCCGGGCATGGTGATGCACTCCAGCCTGGGCGACAGAGTGAGACCCTGTCTCAAAAAAAAAAGTTGATTATTGCAAATCAGTAGAATTGCTCCTCTTGAAGGAAGGTGCACTGTTTGTGTTCACTAATTTTGGCACTTGGCAAAAATATTTGAAGTTACTGAGCATCAAAACTTATGTGAAATGCAATTGCTCAATATGTTATAATGTATGAAAACATAAAATTAAATTCTTAATGTTGTATATTATGTTGGGTGGATATTTTTTAGAACACAGTACAGATTGTGTTCAATGACCTGGTCCAAAGTCATTTTAAGTAAGTATTTTCAAACTGCTTTATGTTGCCATAGAAATCAAATTCTTAATTTTAGTATCTGTGATTTGTGTGTGTGTGTATATATATGCATACACACACACACAAAATAGTTTCCCAACTCACTCTTCATTTTGGTTAGGCTTTTATTCCCATATCATTTAGCTCTATTCTTTTAGGGAAAAAAATATGTTAACTTTGTAATGATTCCCTAAAGCGTGCCAGATCTTAGATTGTAAAATTATGCCTTTTAGATAGCTGATGAACTCTGGGCCACCAGAGTCAGTTTTGCAGCTGTTATTTATAGCCCAGGGCTCAAACTTTGCTAAATTGACTAGTTATAACTAGCCTGTAGACACGAATATCTGTAGACAGTATGTCTATACAGACTAAATGGCATATTTTGCCTAAGTCCTTTAAACTTCAGATTTTATTTAATGGATATATTTGTTTCATGAGTAAATGTCTCAGTGACTTAACCTAGAAATTCAGATGGGGTGCTATTTTAGGATAAAATGTCTGAAAAGTCATTAAACACTTCAAGCATGGGTGAGAATAATAAAAATACATTTCTTTCTTTCTCACTTTTTTTTTGAGACAGGGTCTCATTTTGTCACCCAGGCTGGAGTGCAGTGGTGCTCACTGCAGCCTTGACCTCCTGGGCTTAAGCTGTCCTCCTGCTTCAGGCCCCCAAGTAGCAGGAACTACAGGCGTTCGACACTACACTCGGTTAATTTTTTGTATTTTTTTGTAGAGACCAGGTTTTACCTATTGGCCAGGCTGATCTTAAACTCCTGGCCTCAAGCCGTCCACCCACTTTGCCCTTCCAGAGTGCTGGGATTACAGGCGTGAGCCATGGTGCCTGGCCCTGATACTAGTTTTTCTGTATGTGACAGAATTTCCATTTAGCCTTCTTTTGATAGCTTTTTTTTCCCTAACACTGCCTATATTTTAAATAGTTTTAAGCCATTATATTATACAAGAATGCATGTTTTTGAAAAATTCAAATACAGAAGTTTGTGGAGTAAAAGGCAAAAGATAGTCCTGATGACCTCTTCTGATCCTGCTCCTTGCACACAGATGCTCCAAGTTAGCACTTTGTATACTTCCACGTAGTTTCTGTGAATTTACATTGTGTTTTTCTGGCATTCCAATACCTCCTCGAATTGGTGGTAATGGTAATGAGATGTCAGTTCAGAAGTCCCAGGCTGCTCATCATGGTTCACAATGGAAAGAGATCCTTTTCTTGCAACAGTGGAGTGTTACATACCTCGTCCAGGTTCAGCATGTTTTAAATGGTTGTTTGGGTATAAGAAATAGGTTCAGCAGAAGTCATCCTTTATAAAACCCTGTATCTTATGTGCTAAAAAGTATTCTTCCTTTTAGCATCTTTCATTTATCTGATGTTACTAAATGCGTTAAGGATAGAAGTGTGACTTAAACATCTGAATGATGTTTAGTTTCACCATTGCAGTGTGTATACCTTTATGCATGTAAAGGCAGTGTTGAAAAATTGTGACAACCAGGAGACTGGGGTTTCAGCACGATCAAAACAGCACCCATACTAGGGTCAGGCTGTTGGGAATTAGATCATCACTGGGGCCTTTCCTATTAGAGAGGAAAGAAACCCTATCTGGAGATGAATTGCCTTTCAAATGAGCAGGAAGTCTTGTGGCGGTTGTGTTTACCAAAAGACTATATCTGGATTGTAAAACTGTACTATTGTTATTCCTCAGAAAGCTAAACAGAATTACCGTATGACCCAGTAATTTTACTGCTATCTATGTACCCTGAATAATTAAAAACAGAGGCTCAAACAGATAACCTGTATGTCAGTATTCATAGCATTATTCATAGTAGCCAAAAAGTGGAAAAAACCCAAGTGTCTGTCAACAGATGAGTGGATAAACAAAATTTGGTTAATCTATAAACTGGAATATTCATCTATAAAAAGGAATGAAGTTGTGATGCATGGATACAACATGGTTGAACCTTAATGTTATACTAAGTGGGCTGGGCGCAGTGGATTACGCTTGTAATCCCAGCACTTTGGGAGGCTGAGGCAGGCGGATCACGAGGTCAGGAGATCGACACCATCGTGGCGAACACAGTGAAACCCCGTCTCTACTAAAAATACAAAAAAATTAGCCGGGCATGGTGGCGGGCACCTGTAGTCCCAGCTACTCAGGAGGCTGAGGCAGGAGAATGGTGTGAACCCAGGAGGCGGAGCTTGCTGTGAGCAGAGATCGCACCACTGCACTCCAGCCTGGGCAACAAAGCGAGGCTCCATCTCAAAAAAAAAGGTTATACTAAGTGAAATAAACTAGAACCAAAAAGACAAATAGCGTATGATTCCACTTACATGAAATACCTAGAATAGGCAAACTCATAAGGACAGACAGTAGATTAGAGGTTTTCAGGGACTGAGGGGAGGGGAGAATGGGGAGTTATTTCTTAATGAATACAGTTTCTTTTTGAGGTGGTGAAAGTTTTGGAAATAATGGTGATGGTTGCGCAATATTGTGAATGTAATTAATGCCACTAAATTGTACACTTAAAATGGTTAAAATGGCAAATTTCATGTTATATATATTTTATCACAATAAACAGTTATACCACTGTTAAAATATTAATCAGTATTTTGAGAAAAATGCTTATAGCTTAGAAGGCAATACTCACAGTTTTTGGGGATTCTTGTTAAATTCCTGTCACAAACTTTGAGGGCCTGTTATAAATGAAAAGGCACAAGCTGGGCATGGTGGCTCACGCCTGTAATCCCAGCACTTTGGGAGGCCAAGGCGGGTAGATCACCTGAGGTCAGCAGTTTGACACCAGACTGGCCAACTAAAAATACAAAAATTAGCCGGGCGTGGTGACGCGCGCCCGTAATCCCAGCTACTTGGGAGGCTGAGGCAGGAGAATTGCTTGAACCCTGGAGGCAGAGGTTGCAGTGAGCCAAGATTACGCCACTGCACTCCAGCCTGGTTGACAGAGTGAGACTCTGTCTCAAAAAAAAAAAAAAAAAGAAAGAAAAGAAAAGGCACTGCCTTCAAGGAGTTCATAATCTAGTCAAGATGTTAAGACATGCACACACATATTTTGAATGGTACTTGGAAATATAAATATTATTTGGAAAATAATAAAATGCAGATATCATGTTATAAAGTTTCAGAGGAGTGAGAGATTACTTTGACTTGGGTTTGAGGGATTGTGGCTGGAGTACTTAGTGATCTGGGAAGGCTTCATGGAAGAGGTGAGAAGTGGGGTGGGGAAGAATAAGGGATATTCGTGATGGAACAGTGTAAGCCAAGACAGCAGAGGGAAGACAGAAAAAGGGCACTATTGGGCAGAAGTGAGTAAAAGCTGTGTCTAGAGAGGAAGAAACATTAGTGGGAGAATAAATAGTAATAGATAAAGCTTGTGTTCTTCAGTGTCAGGCTAAGTCTTTAAATTTTATTATGTAGATGCTGGAGAATCATTAAAAACCTTTTGAGTAGGGGCTGTCATTCAGATAGAGTTGGCTATCTGGATAGAGACAGAGTAAGGATTGAGTGGAGCTTGGTAGGAACCAGGAGACTTGGAGATTGCTACAGTAGTTAAGGTGGAAGGTCAAGAGGGTCTGGGGTGTAAGTGGTGGCCTTCAAAGTGGAGAGGAAAGAGAGGTAGAAGACAGTAGAATCCATAGAACTTAGCCACTGATTTCGATATGGAGGACTTGAAAAGGAGTCGGGTTCTTCTGGGTGTTGGGGAAGTTGGTGGTGCATTAACAGAAATAAATAAGGCAGGAGGATGAACTGGCTTGAGGGAAAAAGGTTTTGTTACTTGCTTCGTTGATCACATGCAATGCTTAGCATGTTGCTGCCACTTAGTAGGTCCTCAGTAAATATTTGCAGTTTGACTATATATTTGAGTTTATTATTAAATCAGTCATTGAACTCCCAGATCTACATGGCCTACTTTTAGATTAGATTAGACAAATTAAATAGATTATAAACTTCCTAAAAGGGAAGGACAATGATTTCTGTCTTTGATTCTGACCCTACATGTTCTTCCCAACTGCTTTAGTTTGACGATTTTCACAGCTACAGGAGATGTTAAAAGAATGATACAGCAAGCGCCCACCCTTCACCGTGATTCCTCAGCAAAATTACACCATGTTTGCTCTGTCTCTCTCTTATCTCTATATGATAATTTTGTGGAGTCATTTGAAAGTGAGCATTTTGATGCTTCCGTGTGTTTAGCTTTGCACACATTGAATCTGAGGTGGCCTGACGGTGGAGCTGAGGCTGGAACTGGTTTTGGTAGTCCACATTAGATTTGAAAGTTTGGGTGATGTTAAAGTGCACAAGATTGCTGAGATTGGAGGAGGAAAGAATTGTGCTCTGAAGGATGTCTTCAGATGGAGGATGGGAAATGAAGAGGACTTGGAGAAAGGAGTAGGAGGAAAGCCACAAGGTTGCAAAAGTCCCTAGAGGGAGATCAAGGAAATTTTCTCTTGGGGCTCTAAAGTGTAAGAACTTAGGTGTATGTTTTGTAGGCTGAGAGGAAGAAGCAAATATAGAGAGAAAAAGAGTAAAAATTGCTAGAGAGTCCGGGCACGGTGGCTTACGCCTGTAGTCCCAGCACTTTGGGAGGAAGAGGCAGGCGGATCATGAGGTCAGGAGATTGAGACCATCCTGGCTAACATGGTGAAACCCCATCTCTATTAAAAATCCAAAAAATTAGCCAGGCGTGGTGGCACGCGCCTGTAGTCCCAGCTACTCAGGAGGCTGAGGCAGGAGAATCGCTTGAACCCGGGAGACAGGGGTTGCAGTGAACCAAGATTGCGCCACTGCACTCCAGCCTGGGTGACAGAGCGAGACGCCATCTCAAAATAAATAAATAAATAAATAAATAAATTGCTAGAGAGGCAGATGTAATGTTTTATAACATAATTGTAGAGAAACTGATGGCCCTAGAGAACTTAGGCCCTAAGTGGGAGAATGTATGTTTAGAAAGGCTGGTAGCCTGGAATTTTCTAGACGATTAGAAGCATTTTTGGTGCTTGAGTAGCACTCTAGGTATTTGTATAGAACTGAAAAGAAGCAGCATCTTTCTGGTGTTATTTGGTTTGTGTTCTTTCCCAGCAGACTTTAAGTTCCTCGAGAGTAGGGATTATTATGTCTTTATATCCCTACAGTGTCCGAGAAAGGGTAGGTAAACAATACATATTTGTTAAAACACAAAAACCTAATTTGGTCGGATGGTTTAATAGAACATCTTCATTACCCTCTTCAGAAAATAGTGGAAATTGCTGGGGAAATTGCTGTCACATTTTACAGCTGTCCATTGCTGGCAGTCTTTCTGAGTTGGCACCCAAGCAGTTTTGGCAATTTTGACCTTCCTGCAATCACAGAGAAGCTCTGGACGTCAGTGTGGCAAAAAAGATGTGATCTCTGCTGCAGGCTCGATTGAGAAAAGATGTATTGGAGAAAATATAACACCTTTGAATTGCTTGTTTTGACTTCATGTAAGGTTTATCATCTATGTAATGTGGCATAGACTCTTAGTCTACAGAGTTACAAATGGTAACCTTATTATAAAGTTACCTTATGTTAACAAGTGAGCAAGGGTCTAGGGGTGCTAAATACAGTGGGTTCCTAGAGATGGTCCCCCAAGTCCTAAAGCTATTCCAGATAGTTGGTTATGTTAGAGTTGCTGGCACCCGCCTGAGACATCTGACACATCCCATGTCACCAGTGAAGTGAAACTGGGTTTCATAATAAGCCCATTCTTATTCAGCCTCTTTTATGCAGCCATGCTCTAAAGTGAAACAAAAGACCTAGTAACTGGTGTCAGAATATGCTTCTAATCCTCTGGGAAACCTCCTCCTTTATAGGCTAAAAGCTCATCAAAGTCCCTGCTTGAGAACCGTAATCCAGGAACTTTGCTGTATGCTAATGGCTCTTTTCTTGAAACATATACACAGTGATTATGGATTGCTTTGTAGAGTCCATGCCACATTACATAGATGATCAACCTTTGGAAGGCCAAGTTGATGTCCCATCCCACTCAGGAAATCTTACAAAGCCAAAGGTTTTCACATACAGAACATATTTAAGTTGTCACTGGGTTTTGCTACAGTGACAGCAAACCATTGGGGCAGTGTGTTGTTCACTAATACTTTTAACAGAGTAGTTAAAAACTGAATTCTGTCTGCTCTCCAAAGTACATGCTGACCCAAATATGACAAAGTGAATGCAAAGCCCTCTTATATAGCATTCAAAGGCAGATTTGCCACAGGTGCCACATCTGACTTGTCTGTAGTGATCTGAGTCATTATTAAATTTTAAATAGTAATACAACGGAGTAGTCTTAGTAGAGTCTACTAGCATTGAAATGATGATCATTATCCATACTGCCAGTACATTGGCCATTTGTATTTATTAAAATTGATCGATGGAAAATTGGTGTGGGATGGACCTCTAGTAAATTCTACAGAAAAAGGCATTGAGGCACATTTCCAAACAGATGAGAGTAAATAGAGTAACTTGGGATGATCTTACTTGGAGAAAAGTTTTAGATGTGATGCAGCTCAAAAAGTCAGCATTATTATGAAGCAATGTTGTACATGTGACAGCAGCATGAGTAGATCAGATCGTAATCATTTAAAACATTAGAGTGTCTGCTGTGTGCTAGGCATTGTTCTGTAGGTGACTAAAACAGACCTGGCCTCTGGCTTGTGAAACCTGAATTTTAGTAGACAGTGCAAACAGCAGCTAAGCAAAAGGATTAGTACAAGTTGTAATGGCTAGTAGGAAAGAAATTGACAGAGTGCAGTGATGGAGAATAATTGGGGAGGGTGTGAGGGTTACCTAGAGAAGCCTTACAAAGACATTTGGTCAAAGACCTAAAAGATAGGAAAGGAAATGGCCTTGTGAAAAGTACCAGAAGACATCTGGGACAGAGGGAAGGTAAAAACAGGCCCTGAGGCGGGGACAAGTCAGGTGATGCTGATTATGTAAACCGTGCTAAGTAGAGAGTTTGGATTTTTCTCAATAATGCTTTAAAAGTCTTTTCCCACCCTCCCTGCTGCATGGAAAATAGCTGGGAGGAAGATGCTAGTGGAAGAAGGGAGACCAGAAAGGAGGGTATTGCTCTGTTTCAAGCTAGCTGGTGCAGGTGGCTAGGATTAAGGTAGTGGCAGTGGAGATATGGTAGAACACTGGGACCTGTTGTTGGATTGCATGTGAGAGATGAGGGACAGGAACAAAAATGACTCCAAGTTTCTGTGTTTTTTTGCAATTGGCTAGATGATAGTGATGTTTTACTGATAGGTAGACTCCTAGGCCTAGAATAGGGCCGTAGGGCGCGTGTGTGGTGGGTGGCAGGGGAGATGAGGGCAGGGTGGAAATGACTCCTTTTTGGACTTGATAGATTTGAAATCTGTTCCCATGAGGCATCCAAATGAAGGTGTCAAAAATAAGTTAGACATAGGTAATTGGAGCTCTGAGATACATACACATTTGTAAAGGAGACCTTACCAAACAGAGGCTCTTGGGTGTCTTGGGAATGCCTTTCTCTCTCCTAGAAAGGAAAGGCATCATGAGAAGAGTGCCCAGGATGAAGACTCAGGCATCTGGCATTTAGAAGTGTACACTAGGAAAAGCCAGCAAAGGAGACAGAAGGAAAATCAAGAGAGTGTGGTATTAGAAAGCAGTGAGTGGAAAGTTTTGAGGTAGAGTGATCAAGTGGGAAATGGTGCTGTGCAGTAGAAAAAGATGAAGACCAGCAAGTAACCACTAGATTTTACCTCAGGTTTGTTGGTGACCTTCACGTGTCAAACCTGGTTTAGAGGAGAGACAATGGAAAAGGAGGAATGATTTTCAAGAATGAAAATGTGTTTGTATTACTCTTCCTAGTTAAAATATTTCATTGTATTTATCCAGAAAAGTGATCTGGTGTTATCTACTTTCTACACTTTAGGGCAGAATTTCTTAACATAGTATATATAATTTTGTGGGGAGGATGGGGAAAGGGCCCACCATTTTCAGTGGATTCTCAAAGGAGTTTTTTTTTTCTGATCTCCCCTCTTTCCTCACCAAAAAAAGTTAACTTCTACTTTACGAGATTCAAGTCCTTTGTGATCTTTAGGTTAACGTTGTACCATGCATGTTACAAGTAAATAGTGTCAGGTTCATGTATTACATCTTGATGAATCTCTTTTTCAAGACTTGGTTTGAAATTACTGGATAAATTGGAAAATCAGTAAATTGCTGCTGCCATCCTTAAAAATATTTTACATGCTTTGATTTGCATCGACCTTTTGTATTCTGTTCAAGCTGGAGAATGCACTAGAATGAGTTGGATATATGTATTTACTTTTAACACAGCATAAGTTACTCATCATATTTAATGTTTTTCATCCCCTCCCCCATCCCCCCACCCCCAACCCCCGCCACCGCCCTTCCAGAGACGGAGCCTTGCTCTGTCGCCCAGGCTGGAGTGCAGTGGTGCCTTCTTGGCTCACTGTTACCTGTGCCTCCCGGGTTCTAGCGATTCTCCTGTCTCAGTCTCCTGAGTAGCTGGGGTTACAGGCATGTGCCACCACGCCCAGCTAATTTTTGTATTTTTAGTGGAGATGGGGTTTCACCATGTTGGCCAGGCTAGTCGAAAACTCCTGACCTTGTGATCCACCTGCCTTGGCCTCCCAAAGTGCTGGGATTACAGGCATGAGCCTCTGCGCCCATCCTGTTTTTCATCCTTTTAATATGGGCTGTTATGTTAATGCTTTACATTGGATATACTTAGAACTCTTAAAGCAATCATATAAGCATTGTCTTTTTAATTGTCCACTGATCATGTCTTAATAATTTGTTTCAGATTATGCCAGATACTCTTGGTCCTGCTTACCTTGATAATTGAGGGTAGAATTAAGAAAGTTTTAGGATTAGGAATCATTCTTCTAATTCAGAGAGTAATTAGTTGGAATCACAAAAGCATTAGGTGCTGAACTGCCAGAGACAAGCAACAAATAATATGTGGAACCACAACTGTTTTGGCTACGTAGGAATTTTGCTCCACAAGTAATTTAAATTGTTCCTACTACCACTTACAACCTTTCCTCCTCTATGGGGGTACATCTCAATTTTTAAGTTAATATATTAGAATTGGTGTTATAAAAATTTATTTCTTAGCAGACTTTGCTACAACACATTTATCCTAAATAAAAGGAGATTGTTGACTTTGCAGAGAAAAAGACCCTAAAAGAAAACATTTGTTTTATTACAAGCACCCAGGAGGATTTTTTATAAACATGAAAGATAACTTTCCTCTAACCTAAGTAAATATTTCAGAACCAACGTATGTTAAGTGATTATAGTAATGTGTGTGCAGAGACTGGCAGTAAAGTTAGCAGCGTCATATACTACTTGCTAGTATATCACACTGCTTTGGCCTTTTTCTGAGTAACCCTCTCTCTGGAAGTCTTCAGAATGCCTAACTTCATCCTTCAGGGAGACTGGTAGCCCCCGAAAAGACATTTATTTTTTGTAGCTTGGTATTCTGAGATGTTCTCACATCCAAAGTAAACACTGTCAAGTGATTTGGACCAGTCCTAAAGTAAATCATATATTGAGGACACAGTTCTTGTTAAAACTGAAATTTGAAGTTGTTGCCATTTTCTGCATTCACACTACTGGATTCTTTGTAGATGCGGGGATTTCTACTTCTACATTTTACTGTAACTATTTACATTTACCTGTATTGGGAGGAAATTCTATATTGTAGCAAGTTAAAACACATGATTTTGGTAAAAAAGTAAAAACTGTTAAGATCTTGGAGCCCAGACTTATTTGTTATGGAGATTTGGAGCTAGGAGGGACCCGATGCTCCCTTCTCTGTCTCTGTGTCCTGTTTATTGTGAGGTGTATATTGATAATGAATTTGTGAAGAAAGGCATTCTTTGATGACTTAGCAGAGAAAAAAGTGATAGTAATTTTATCCATTCTGTCTCCAGATGACTGGTACTATGTTTTACTTTCTCCTCTTTTCTCCAGAGCCACTCTTAAAATCTTTCTGCAGTTAATGGTTTGTTATAGTCCAATTTTCATTGCTTTCCAAGATTTGAACTTTCTATCTGAATGTAAGTCCCCCTCCAAAAGCAGTCATCTTTCAGTTCTGTAGCTCCTCTGATACTCTTCAAGCCCCTCAAGGAGCATTAGGTTTGAGGATGGTAACATTTACTCGTTGTCCTTTGACCTGAAGATGCGTAGAAAGAAATGCTATGTTGGATCTCAGTATACCTAATAACAGTCTTGCAGGCTGAATTTGCATTTTCCTTTCTGGTTGAAATCTTGTCAGTTTACTCATGCATTTCTGACTTTCTCCCATTCTGGTGTGCTTCCTCCCCTTCCTGCTCCCTTAAGAAAAAAAAAATGGTTAGCCAGTTCGGTGAAGTTTTCTCAGAAATTTCTTGTGGACAGTGCTAACTTAAGCCGGAAAACAGTTTGTGACACTTGACTTTTCAAGGAGGAGATAAGATTTTGTGTACCCAGACTGTATATATCAATTATTATGGGGCTAAACTTTGAAAGTATGACTAGTTCCCCAACAAGTATATACGAAACCTTGTAGGATTAGTAATTATATTTCTTGAATTAATTTTAAAAATATGTAACATACTACACACACATCATTTGCACCATGAGAATTGTCCATACTAATAAGAGATTTTTGTTTGTTCCAGTTAAATCTTACTCCTAGTTTTGCAAGTGTATTCAGGCCTGCATGGTTGTCAGTGACTCAGGTGGGGTGGGCAGGGCAGTCTCCAACCTGCCCCACCTGTGTTTCTCTGCCTGTTTACTTGTGACCTTGGCTGAGCAGTACAAATCATTGACAACACTGGCAGTGCTTTGGTCTGTGCCTGCCCTGGCTTATTCCATTTTTTGGCCCTTTGATTGAAGATGCAGTTACAACCAGTGGCTCCTGACTGTATTTAGTCATTCGTTCTGATATTTATCGGCCATTTATTGTTGTGCCAGGTACTGAAGATACAGCAGCAAAAAAGACACTGTCTCTGTGCTCATGGAGATTTTATTCATATAGAGGGAGGTACAATAAAAGAAACAAATGTACAAAAGTAATTTCAGAAAACAGTACCAAGAAATTAAAATAGAGTAAAATGGCTTGGTGAGTGACTGCGCAGGTTGGGACATTGGTTGGTGCCACATTGGGGAAATGACCCTGAATGATGACAAGGACCCAACCATGAGAAGGGCATTTTAGGCTGAAGGACAGCAGATAGAAAGGTGCTGAGTGGGGTAGGCCAGTGTGGCTGGACATAGTGAATGAGGGTGAGAGTGGTAGGAAATGAGGTAGGCAGGGGTCAGATTTTATTTGAATTTCAGTAGAAAGCCGTGGGAGAGCTTTAAATGGAGGAGTGAAATACGAGGTATTTGGAGAATACCTCACGTAAAATTTCCTACTCATGAAAAGAGAGAAGGCAGGTGCAGTGGGGCATGCCTATATTCCCCGCTGTTAGGAGACTGAGGCTGGAGGATCACTCAAGGCTGGGAGTTTGAAGCTGTGGTGTGTACTATGATTGCACCTGTGAGTGGCCACTGTGCTCCAGCCTGGGCAACATAGTGAGATCCTCATTTAAAAAATAGTATTCTGTTCAGTGTTTTGAAAAAATTGTATTAAAAAATAGAGGTTATGCAGATACTCTGTAAAACTTTTTTGGCATTATATGCAGTTTTACTGACCTTTATGTAACAGTTCTATTATATCTAGATATCTGTGTATCTAACAAATTTAGACATTTTGCAAAAACTGAAGACATGTTACCAAAAATTGGTGCCTCAACCAGTGAAAGGAAGTATAGCATTACTCAGCTGGTCTTGACGTAAAGGTTGGATGAAGTGTGAATGTTTGTAATGCATACATAATATTTAAAGCTAACAGAAACAACTTCTTAGTTGTCTTTGTAGTGTGCTTGCCTTGGTTCCTGGCTGTTCACCTGAAGTGAAGACAGCCTGAGTCTGGCAGTAGGGAAGCATCAAGAGTTTGGCTTCCTCCTCCTTCAGAGCAACAACAGCAAATGACACAGCAGGGAAACTAGGAGAGTTGGGCAGCTTGGAAACAGGGAACCTCAGCAGTCTGGGAGGCAGCTTGCCAGAACTCCTCCCAGCCCTCACTTGGTTATCTGTGATATCTAAAAGATTTATCTCTACAGTGTGAAGCCCCAAATCTGTGATATGACTATGGAGGGAGAATGCTTTCCAATTTTCTTGATTTGGTAGATACTTTTGTGGAGTTGTCATTTTTTCATAGTTTTTTGTTATGATAGCTGAAATATTTGTTCTGAAGGGGAGGTCTAAACACATGTAATAAGGCTAATGAAGAGATTGGAGTAGCAGTGTAATCATTCCTACACGTGTATTTTAAACTTTAGGTACTAAATCCCTTTTTGATATATATGCTATAAAAATGACTTATAAAATGAAATGTAATTCTAGCATATCTTAAACTGTTGCCAGGAGGTTTTTGGGTTGCACTGATAAGAAATTACATGATTTCTTGCAGAAGGGTCATTTGTCTTGCTAAAGGACCAGTTTCTCATGACTCCTCCCTCTCCCCACTAATAAACAGCTAAGAAAAGGGCCCTTAGGACATTTTTTTTCACTTATCCATTATAAAAAGTTATTCACAATTCTTAAAGGGACAAAATTTCAATGCAGACATAACATGGCTATTTGCTCAAAGGGAAAAACCACCAAATAATAAAAAAAATCAAAATACAAAAAAAAAATCCTGTATTTTATATTTTGCTTTGGGGTGAATTTTGGTAATTCTAAAATGATATGAATGCATGAATATATCCAGTATTCTGGGTGTTCATTCACTTTATACAGAATAATGAAGGAACAGTAGAAAGCCTGATTTATGATATTCTGGACAGCTTTTTAGATTTACTATACAAATTTTAGCTTAGTTTCTTTTTGCTTCACACTGTGTGCGGTGGAGATTTTAAAAATAGGATAAAGCTTTAATAATAACAGCTAACTTTATTAAGTATGTCAATATGATTGTTATTCTCATTTTATAAATGAGGAAAGAGAACCTTAAAATGCTTAAGTACCTTGCCCAAGGTCACTAGGCTCTTAAGTGGAGAAGCTGGTATTTAGGCCCTGGCCTTCAAAGCCTAACCATTATACTCTACTGCCTCTTATAGTGGCTTTATGAATTATAGACCTTCTTTTGAGTTGTTGATGTTAAATTTTACTCATATGCAGAGCTGTATTTAAATTTAAAAAGAGGCTTATTTTATAACATAGCCACTAATATTTTTCATTGGAATTGCCATCTACCTCTACTTGTTCTCCAGTGTAGATTTAATTCTTATATTCTTTTGTTTAAAAATCTAAGGTCCTAACTGCCCTTAGAATTAAGTGCCCAAAATCTTATGTAGTATTCAGATCCCCTACAACCTGATCCCAGCTTTTATATTTCCATCTTATTTCCTCTCTCTGTAACTTGCTGTTTTCAGTATGCCCCCTAGGATGTTCTCTCTCCCAGCTTCTTTGCTTTTTATTTTTCAAAGCTCTGATAAAAATGATTCACTCCACACAGCTCTCATCTGTGTCCCAGGGCACTTTAAATACATACCTCTTTAAAACATTTATCACATTGAGTTACGGTCATTTGTGTTTGTCTCTCTGTCAAGACCGAGTTTTTAAAAAATATGATTATTTTTATTTCTTGTACCTAACACCAGAAGATGCCTAAAAAGTATGAATGATTACTGAAACAAATTAAAATACAGCATTTAGTAGTAGTTGTATAAATGTTACCAGTTACTTCATTTAGATGTTACCATCAATCACAGAAACATGTAGGCTGAAGCAATGAAATCATAAATACAGTGTTTTAATCTTCCATTGTGTAAAAAGATCAATTTCTATATTGTATGTAAATGTAATATAACATTTTAAATATAGGTTTAATTTTTGAGAAGATACACAGTATACTTAGTGATTAAAAAGTTAGGTATTTAAATCTATGAGAAAATGGGATCATTATTTGGATATTTACCAGTGCTAATCGAAGCAGTTGCTGGTAAAGGCGTTGGAGTTGATGCATATAGATAGAAGTTACTTTTGCAATAAAACATTAGAGTCACCATCAGAACAGAAGACTTGAAAAATTTTATTTGACTCAAATTACAAACTGAGCATTTATGGGTGTCTGTGTGTGCATAGCACTGAATTAGATCATCTGGAGATACAAAAGTGTGATAGATGCTTTCAATATAAAATAAACGTTACATAGCTACTGAACAAGACATTATATAAAGGTTCGTTAATGACCTAAGATGTAAATTTGTTTATAATTTTTATCATAGTTCAATTTCATCTAAACCTTATGTGATTTCAGTGTTTTCCTCAGATTTGTCTCACACTCTAGTCTGGTGATTTCCAGGCTTGTGCCTGTCCCAGCACACCTAAGGAAGAGGGAAAATGTCCATCAATAAGTAACAGGGGTTTACTTTCAGTGGACAGGGTGGATGGAAGGAGAGATTAGCAAATTTGGGGTGAAAAATAAAAGCCCTCCAGTGGTTCTGACAAGCTGTAGCTAGAGGGGGGTGGCAGTTGCAGAAGGGGCAGTTTCTCCGTCTTGTATTTTTTATTTTTTTCTTTGATTCTTGAAAATAAGTTCTTATTTTTGATAAGATGGAGGATTATTATTATTATTATTTTGAGACAGGGCCTCAAAAAAAAAAAAAAAAGAGAGGGCCTCGCTTTGTTGCCTAGGCTGGAATGCAATGGTGTGATCATAGCTCACTGCAGCCTTGAACTCCTGGGGTCAAGCGATCCTCCCACCTCAGCCTCCTAAGTAGCTGGGACAACAGGTGCACTCCACAAAGTCCAGCTTTTTTTTTTTTTTTAATAGAGACAGGATCTCACTATGTTGCCCAGGCTGGTCTGGAACTCCTAAGCTCAGATGATCCTCCTGCCTCAGCCTCCCAAAGTGCTGGGATTACAGGTGTGAATCACCACACCCAGACCCAGCTGTTTTCTAAATTTTTTTGGAGAGGTGGGGTCTTGCTGTGTTGCCTGGGCTAGTCTCAAACTCCTGGTCTCAAGCAGTCCTTCTGCCTCAACCTCCCAAAGCACGGGGTTTACCAGTAGCCTGAGCCCCCATACCTGCCCCTCTCCTGGAAAAGTGCTGAAGTGGGAAAGTTTACAGATTTAGGGAGTCCAAGGAAAAGGTTGAGGTCGAGCTAATAAGAGAAGGAGAAAGGAAAGAGGAACTGAGAAAGGAAAGGGGTCTAGAAGAGCGGTTAGAAATGGGGACTTTGGTTTTCCCCTCAGGCTTAGCTCACTACTTTCTATAAATAAGAGATGTCTGAAAGAGAAGCAGATAAAAGGAGAAAGCCTTCAGCAAATTTGTGAGTTGATAAGCATGGATTGATTGGCTCTGTTGGCCTGGGTTCTTGAGGAGTTTGCTGCTATTTCGGAATTTCTGTAGAGAAACCCTGGCATTGTCAGGATATGGGTATGCCACATGTTTCCCTTCCTCCCCCTTCCCTCCACTCCTTCTTATTACCTAGCTAGCTACACCTGGAATTTTGGTTCTAGAATAATTTAAAAGATACTTTGTCAAGAAAATATCTTTGGAAAAATCATGCATATATTATTTTTCCTTTTTTCTTTTTAACTACTTCCTGGTTCTTTAGGCTCCTCTAATTCTTACATGCATGTGCTTGATCTCTGGGCCATGCTTGCTTCTAGTTAAGTAGCCTTTCAGGATGGTGTTTAATTTATTCTGAGCCCTTTATAATATCCCCTGACAAGAGCATGGAGTGGATAGAGGGAGTCTTAGTCAATATGTATTATAAATAGATTTAGGGTTCACAAAGGTCAGCAGCCTTCATCTCTTGCCCTACCCCCATCACACACAAAAATAAAAATCACAAATAATAAAGGATTTTAAGAGTTATACCAGTCGGGAGTGGGTTCATTTTTTTGTTTTTGTTTTTGTTTGTTTTTGGCAAGCTGAAGTCATCTGTTGGATCCAAAAATGCATAAAAATCTTCAGGCTTATAGAACCAACAGCATCAAAGGAAGAGCAGTGTGACTCAATATTGGGGTGGGGGCAGGTTTGGGGTTTTGGTTGTGTAGAAGCTCCTTATGAGAGAACAGTGTGATGCTTGGAGCTGTGGAGAATCCAGCCACTGCTTTTTCTCTCTTCCTTACCTTATTACTCTTCTTGATTCACCTGGATGTGGAAACTGTCCCTGTTTAAGAGTGGCCTTGTCAATGCTCTCTGTGTATCATGTGTACAGTAGGGAATGTGTCAAGCCAGATGAGTGGTCTCATTGAAACATCAGCAAATCAGTATATCGTAGAATTTAGATCCCCCTTGGAGGTGGTGGTGATAGCTAACTTCTGTTGCGGTCTTAACTGTGGGTCAAGTTTTGTTCTAAGGACTTTGAACATTAGAAACTCATTTAAAACTTAAACCATTCCTGTTGGTGGTCATGTAATCCCATTTTACAGATTATGAAATCAACATTAAGGTTATGTGCAGCTTAGTAAGTGGAGAAGCCAGAAGAACCCACGTGATCTGGCTTCAGGGCCGATACTCAACCACTGTACTTTGGAGAGAATTAGTCATTCTGATACCACTTTTGTTATTAGCTAAGACTCTTTATGTTGCAGGTAACAGCAGTCTAATTAATTCATTTAAATAAAAAGATAATATTATAGGGATATTTGAGTGTGTGTCTGATAACCCAGGAACTGAAATGTTCTGGATATCAGAAACAACAGAAACCAGGAATTCTCTCCAACTCTCATCTATGCTCTCACTCCAAGTGCGCTTTATTTTTTCTCACATCGCAGATTGCTCCTGGCTGCCCACAGCCTGCCTGAAGAACATGACCACAGGCACCCAGAGAGAAACTTACTTTTGGCCAGTTGTAAAACTCTTGGGCGAGGGACCAGTTAGTCTAACTTGATTGAGTTTTGGATCAGTCAGCTATTTTGGTAATTAAAGTGAAAGGGTCCAGATGACACTAATATTGGGAGCTAGTTTGACAAAATATTTAACAAAATGAATACTTTTTTTTTTTTTTTCGAGACATGGTCCCACTCTGTTGCCCAGGCTGGAGTGCAGTGGTGTGATCACAGCTCACTGCAGCCTTGATGTCCCAGGCTCAGGTGATCCCCTCCCACCTTAGCCTCCTAAGTAGCTAGGACTACAGGCACGTGCTACCACACCCAGCTAAGTTTTGTATTTCTTTTTTTTTTTTTCTGTGAGACAGAGTCTCACTCTGTTGCCCAGGCTGGAATGCAGTGGTGCGATCTCAGCTCAGTGCAACCTCTGCCTTCCAGGTTCAAGCCATTCTCCTGCCTCAGCCTCCCAAATGCTGGAATTACAGGTGCCCGCCACTATGCCTGGATAATTTTTGTATTTTTTGTAGAGGCAGGGTTTCACCATGTTGGCCAGACTGGTCTTGAATGCCTGACTGAGCTCAGGTGATTCGCCTGCCTCCGCCTCCGCCTCCCAAAGTGCTGAGGTTACAGACATGAGCTACCATGCCCAGCCAAATACTTTTTTCTAAAGGAAGAAAACTTAGTCATTTATTTAGCTTTAATAATTGGCTTTTTGAGTTTGTTCAATACTTTAAGCTCTGTGAGCATATGGATCATGTCAGCCATCTAGCACAGGGTTTAGAAAACAGTAACTGCTCAAACTTTTGCTGTGAATGAATGAAGGAGCAAATGAATGATTTTCCTGAAAGGGAAATAAAAACAGAATTCAGTTTCTGATCATTGTCCAGGGAATGGCTTGGACACAAATAGTTGACCTGTTGGAAGAGAATATACATTTTTAATAAAGGAGAAGGGACTGTGTTTTTCCTGGAGGGAGGAGACCTGTAAAGAAAAATATAGAGGTGTGGGGGGCTGGGCGCAGTGGCTCACGCCTGTAATCCCAGCACTTTGGGAGGCCGAGGTGGGCAGATCACCTGAGCTCGGGAGTTTGAGACCAGCCTGGTCACCATGGCAAAACCCCATCTCTACTAAAAGTACAAAAATTAGCCAGGCGTGGTGGTGGGCACCTGTAATCCCAGCTACTCAGGAGGCTGAGGCAGGAGAATCGCTTGAACCCGGGAGGTGGAGGTTGCAGTCAGCCGAGAGAGAATCGCTTGAACTCAGTGGGTAGAGGTTGCAGTGAGCTGAGAGAGAATCGCTTGAAGCCGGGAGGCGAAGGTTACAGTGAGCCAAGATCTTGCCACTGCGCTCCAGCCTGGACAACAGAGCGAGACTTTGTCTCAAAAAAAGAAAAATACAGGGATGTGGTGACTCACACCTGTAATCTCAGCACTTTGGTTAGCTAAGGCGGGTGGATTGCTTGAGCCCAGGAGTTTGAGACCAGTCTGAGCAACATGGTGAAACCCCCATCTCTACAAAACAAATTTTAAAAAATAATCCAGGTGTGGTGGTGTGCCTGTCATCCCATGTACTTGGGAGGCTGAGGCAGGAAGATTGCTTGAGCCCAGGAGATTGATGCTGCAGTGAGCTGTGTTTGTGCCATTGTACTCCAGCCTGGGCGACAAAGTGAGACCCTGTCTCAAAAAGTGGGAGAAAAAGAAAAATATAAAGTATTCAAGTTAATTTTAACTATATAACACCATACCTTTTGGTCAATTTTTCAATTTTTGTCCCTTTTCTCCCATTTTTCCTCAGTCTCCATATATTTGTCTCTTAGCACTTCCTTTTATTTTCCATAACGTACCTCTCAGTAGAGTATAAAATGGAGATATTTTTTATTTTTAAAATATGAGTTTTGTGTTGCTTGTTCCTAACCTTAAAAAATGATTGGTATATGGTATGTGCCTTTCTTGACAGTGAACTATTTGATAGTCATATATTTAAAATTAAGAATTTAATAGACCTTCCCACTAGGGAAGCATTTGTTTCCTAGGCACCTTTGGAAGGTGCTACATTAATGAATTAGTTTTATTATTTTAGATAAATTGTTTTTCCCTATTTTTAGAATATTAATAGAGTCAGGTTGGAAGATACAAATAAACACTGATTCAGAACGCCACATGAGAGTCTGAAAGCCATGTCATAGCAGTAGTTAAACAGAGTATTAAATGCAGATGAACAAGATGTCGGAAAGCAATGGTAATGTTAGCAAAGCTAGAGAGAAGATAATTTCTTATATTTTACAGCAAATGTTGTTGTCTATGTAAAGAAAATTATAGGCATGACTGTGAAGAAATGAGGTTTATTTAAGATGCCAAAAGTGGCTGGGCGTGATGGCTTATGCCTGTAATCCCATCGCTTTGGGAGGCCAAGGCAGAAGGATTTCTTGGGGCTAGAAGTTCAAGACAAACCTGAGCAACACAGCGAGACCCTATCTCTACAGAAAATTTAGGAAATTAGCTGGGCATGGTGGCATGTGCCTGTAGTCCCAGCTACTCGAGAGGCTGAGGTGGGAGGATCACTTGAGCCCGACAGGTTGACGCTGCAGTCAGCCGTGTTTGTACCACTGCACTCCAGCCCTGTCTCAAAAAAAAATAAAAATAAAAAGATGCCAGAAGTTTTGTATCAGAAAATTTCAACAGTGCAAAAAAGCCTTATGGTAAAAAATAAATAAAAAGAAATAAAATAAAACTTCAAGAGGTTAACTCTTGGTCCATTATTTAAAACATTTTTTGAAGTGTCTTTGGACAAGGCCTTTTACAGCTCATTTGTGATAGTCATACAGTTTTCTTTGCTGTAATAAAAGCTTGGTTTTGAGTCTCACCATTGAGTTCAAATCTTAACTCTGCCTCTTGATGGCACTATAATCTTGGGCAGATCATTTAACCTCTAGCAGCTTTATTTTCTCATCTATAAATCAGAGCTAATAACCCCCATCAAATTCTCCTTCAGAGGACAAATGTTTGTCACCATTTAGGGTGATTTTTCTAAAATATGTCTAATTGTTCTACTTGCCCACTTAAAATTCCCCCATCTTTCTCACATAACCTCTGTAGCATGTCCCATTACTCTGTAGCTTTTCTGTGTTTGCTTCTAACCTTCCTTCCTCCTGTGCTTTTTCCAAGTTCTTTTCCCTGAACAGCACTGCTAGCTGCTCCTGGCAGCTTTTTATTTAAAAAATGAAAAAAAGGCCAGGTGCCATGGTTCAAGCCTGTAATCTTAGTGCTTTGGGGAGCTGAGATGGGAGGATTTCTTGACCCCAGGAGTTTGAGGCTGCAGTGGGCTGTGATTGCATCACTGCACTCCTTCCTGGATGACAGAGCGAGACCCCGTCTCTAAAAATAAAAAAGGAAAAAAAAACTTACACTGCTCTTTTTAATACTAGGAAAGCTCTTTGAGATTAGAAATTGGCTGATGTTTTTTCTTACAGTTTTGTTTTATAAATTTTTTAACTTAAAATATTAATGTAATGAAAGAAATCACTTTGGAGGAAATTTAAAACTAAAATGAATTCATACTGAATTATGTTTTAAGACTTGTGGTATTCCCTGTAATGCATAAAAAGCAATGTGAGGAATCACTGCTCAAATTGATAATGTTTAAAATGGAGAATAAGAGCATAGAAAAAAAAATACGGGACTAATTGTACAATATTTTAACATTTTTAGGTTTTACATATTGAGTTAACCTGATCACCTACTTGAAGCAGTCTAGCATTAACTGTTAAATGTTTAATGAAGTAGTTCTCAACCTTGGCTGCTATCTCAGTTACATGTAATGTTTTAAAAAAATGCAGGCCAGGTTGGGTGGCTCATGCTTGTAATCTCAGCACTTTGGGAGGTTGAGGCAGGAGGATTGCTTGAGCCCAGGAGTTTAAGAGCAGCCTGGGCAGTATAGCAAGATCCTGTCTACAAAAAATTTAAAAATTAGCTAGATGTGCTGGTGCGCACCTGTGGTCCTAGCTACTCAGGAGGCTGAGGTGGGAAGATCACTTGAGCCCAGGAGGTCGAGGCTAAGTGAGCTAGGATCATGCCAGTACACTCCAGCCTGAGCCACAGAACAAGACCTGCCTCAAAACAAAAACCAGAACAAAAAACAGTCACACCAGGGCCCCATCCTATTGGAATCATCTCTAGGGGAGGTTCCCACACCTGCATTAAAACAAAACTCAGAAGCCAAGGGTAAGAACCAAGGAAGTAATGTATACTTTTAAAGTAATGTATACGTTTTAAAATTTGCATACAGTGTACCTCTGGTAATTTCCAGGCTTTTATGACATATAATCATCAATTATTCAAAATAAAAAGTGAATCAATTTTAGAAACTCCCCTCCTCCCCCCTTTTTTTAGACATTAGAAGTTAAATCTCACGGTTTACCTGTATCAATTTGCAGATTATTGTTTGAAAAATTCTGGTGAATTGAGACTGCATTAAATTTCTCTGGATAATCTACATAAATAATCCTCAAAATAAAAGGTTCATTTCAACACGTAATAGCTTTATATTTAAAGGCATTAGGAAAGGGGGAGGCAGGGAGGGAAAGTTAGCATCTGTTTCCTGTGAGTTTTAAGCTATTTCTAATAACTTCTTTTCAGCTGCTGCTTTTATGATCTAGTTTATGGCACAGATAAGATATATATTTCAGAAAAAATGTTTTGAGCTTTTGCTGTTGATGTTAAGATTACGATTTTTCTGTTAAATAGGACATTTGGAACAAGAACTGTTTAGGATATAGATGAAATACATTGAAACAGCAAGAAGTTAAAGCATTTTAAAAAGCCTTGTGAATAAATCTTTACAAGAGAGTTTTTATAACTAAAGTTAATAGGAATATCTAAAATGAATATCCAGCTAGTAAAATTAGCCATCCATTCATGAATTTAGGAAATAACTGATTTAGAATGCTATATAAAAAAAGAGTTTCTCTTTTCACTTAGTCCTCACAAGTTTTCACCTATAATGTATTTACTCATTAAACATCAGATGTCTTCCACATGCCATGTGCTGTACTGGGGAAGACATAAACAGGAGAGACTAGGTCCAGACTCTGTTGGAGCCCTTAGTCTAGGGGAGTAAGGGATTTTAAGTAAGCAATAGAAGAGATGTGTGTGTTCCTCTGAAAACTGCAAGGTATTTCAGTGAGGCAGCTCTTTTGTTCTTTTTCCAAAAGAGTGACATTGGCTTTTCTTGGAAGTTTTAGAGCTGAAAGGGAACTTAGATCTAGTTCAGTTCCTCATTTTACAAATGAACACACTCAGATCTAGGGAAGTGAGGTGACTTTCCTAAAATGGCTCAGCTGAGGACTGGTATGGTTGGGATAGAACATGGGTCTTCTGATTCTTAACCATTGTACACTCTCTACCGTGTCCCTCAGGGGCATGTGAAAGTAAATGACATATGACAGACAGAATCATGCCCAGGAATCTATTCATTCTGCACACTATGATTGATCTAGTTTATGTTCTCTTTGTGCTAGATGGTGGCATCACTCATGATGAAGAAGATAAAGCTCTTGTTAAGTAGTTTATGGTCTATCATGAAAAGATGGGCAATTTGGGAAATCTGTGGCTTGTTAACTTGTTTGGCATATTGAGTAACATGGCAGGTTCTGGAGCCAGACTGAGTTAAAATCCTAGCTCTCACATAATAGCTATGTAATTTGGGGAAGGAACATAAATCTCTACTCTGTTTCCTTATCTGTAAGATAGGGATAATAATGCCTACCTCATAGAGTTTTTAGGATTTAGAAATGTATATAAAGCACTTGGAACAGTGCCTGGCTCACAGTAAGCACTAACACTAACAAAAAAGTTATACTATTATTTTCACCTCAGTTATACAGGTGAGGAAGTTGAAACATAAAAAAGTTAAGTAACTTGCCTGTGATCATAAAGCTAGAAAGTTTGGGAGCCAGAATTAAAATACAGGAGTCTGAGTGCTCTGTTTAGATTTAGGACCTGAGCCAGGGAGTGTGTTCCAAACCCAGCACTAATACTTGAGAAGCTCTCAAAACTGTAAGTATCCCCAGGATACTGGTGTCTCAAAAAGATAGTAATGTGTTAACTGTAAGCTATTTAGTGATACATTTGCTTTCTTCTGCAGAGAGGAGGGACTGAATTTTGGGACTGTTGCCTGCACCATCCCAGTCCAACTTGCTATGTGTTTTTATTTTTAGCCATTGGCTGATTCCAATTTGAAATTCAGAGGATTTGTGATATATTATGTGATATGTTTTAAAAATTACTAGCTCCTTGCTGCATTTTATAAAGCGTTGGAGATAGTTTTTCTTTGGTTGGCTGATTGGTTTTGGTGTTTTGTTTTTTAGAGGACTAGCCTACACCTGGTTTGAGTAAGAAAGTTTTGTTTGAGAAGCAGCGTTTTTACCACCTTCAATCTTTTGAGGAACTTTTGGCATGTGGAAAATTAAATACTACAAACTTTCAATAGAAGGTAGACAGGTAATATGGAGAACTGAGAATTAGAAATCTTGACCATGCTGTTGGGAATTTCCCTTTTCTTTCTGCTTGTCCACTAATCTGCATTGCTTATTAAAACAGGTTGATACTTTTAAGGCTCTGCAAAGAAGTTCTTTTCATTGGTTAGTATCTAATAAGTGATAGCTGGTACAGGACTTTAAAAATATATAATAGGGGTTTATTTTCTTTATTTTTATTATTTATTTTATTTTTTTTTGAGACAAGGTCTTGTTCTGTTGCCCAGGCTATAGTGCAGTGGCACAATTACAGCCTACTGCAGTCTCAGCCTCCCGGGCTCAAGTAATCCTCCTACCTCAGCCTCCTAAGTAGCTGGGACTATAAACGTGAGCCACCACACCTGGTTAATTTTTGAACTTCTTGGTAGAAAATGTTTCGCCATGTTGCCCAAGCTAGTCTTGAACTTCTGGGCTCAAGTGATCCTCCCTCCTAGGCCTTCCAAAGTGCTGGGATTACAGGCATGAACCACCATGCCTGGACTAGCGGTTTCTTTTAAACAGCATATAATTGGGACTTGCTTGTTTTTCCAATCTGACAATCTTTGCTTTTAAATTGGAATGGTTAGACCATTAACATTTAATGTTATTGTTGACATGATTGGATTTATTTATTTATTTTTATTTTTTGAGATGGAGTCTTACCCTGTCACCCAGGCCGGAGTGCAGTGGCCTGATCTCAGCTCACTGCAACCTCCGCCCTGCAGGGTTCAGGAGATTTCTCCTGCCTCAGCCTCCTAAGTAGCTGGGATTACAGGCATGCACCAGCACTCCTGGCTAAATTTTGTATTTTTAGTAGAAATGGAGTTTCACCATGTTGGCCAGGCTGTTCGCAAACTCCTGAGCTGAAGGGATCTGCCTGCCTCGGCCTCCCAGAGTGCCGGGATTACAGGTGTGAGCCACTACCGTGCCAGGCCTGATATAATTAGATTTAAATTAATTTTCAATTTATCCTATTTGTATTTCCTTTTTTCATGCTTGCTTTTGGGTTGAGTTTTTTTTTTTTTAATGATACTATATTAATTAATTTCTCTTCTGTATTACCAGCTATAACTTTTTTTGTTTGTTTTTTAGTGGTTGCTTTAGAATACATCTTTATAGAATACATCTTTAGCTTATCACAGACTACGTTCACGTGATAATTATACCCCTTCACCCACAGCGACCCCTCAACAATCCCTCTCCCAGCATTAGTGCTGTTATTGTCATATATTTTATTCTGCATGTTATAAACCCCAAAATATATTGTTACTATTTTTGCTTTAAACATTATCTTTTAAGAGATTTAAAAAATAATTTAGCCGGGTGCGGTGGCTCATGCCTGTAATCCCAGCACTTTGGGAGGCTGAGGCGGGTGGATCACGAGGTCAGGAGATCGAGACCATCCTGGCTAACACGGTGAAACCCTGTCTCTACTAAAAATACAAAAAAATTAGCCGGGCATGGTGACATGCGCATGTAGTCTCAGCTACTTGGGAGGCTGAGGTAGGAGAATCACTTGAACCCAAGAGGCAGAGGTTGCAGTGAGCCAAGATCACTCCACTGTACTCCAGCCTTGGCAACAGAGAGAGAGTCTGTCTCAAAAAAAGAAAATAATAATAATAATAATAATAATTTAAAATTTTATATTTTCCACACATTTATTACCATTTCTGGTGTTCTTTTTTTCTTTGTATAGTTTCAGATATTCACTCACTGACATCTCCTTCTGCCTGAGAGACTTCCTTTAACATTTCTTGCAGTCAGGTCTGCTGGTGACAAATTCTTTGTTTTATTATGTCTGAAAAAAATCTTTGTCTTTTTTTTTGGAAATGTTCCTGTTGGATATAGGATTTTAGGCTGACAGTTTTGTTTTTTACTTAAAGATGCTATGTAACTGTCTTCTGACTTGCATTGTTTCCAGTGAGAACTCTGTAATCCTTAGTTTGTTTCTCCATATAATGTGTCATCTTTTTGTCTGGCTACTTTTAAGAATTACTCTTTATCACTGGTTTTACACAGTTAGATTATGATATACCTTTTGATGTAGTTTTTTTATTTTTTGTATTTCTTGTGCTTGGTGTTTGTTCAGTTTCTTGGCTCTATGAGCTTATAGTTTCATCATATTTGGAAAGAAAGTTTGTTTTCTGTGTTTCATTTGAATAATTTTTATGGCTGACTTCAAGTTTCTTATTTTTCCTTTGCATAGTCTAACATGCTGTTAATTTCAGTATATGTTTAATCTCAGTTGTTGTATTTCTTCATATCTGGAAGTTTGATTTGGATCTTTTTATAATTTCTATGAGTCCACTTACCATGGTCAGGTATTTATCATTTTAAATTTATGATTACAGTTATAACAAGCGTTTACTGTCTTTTTGTCCACTAATTTCATTATCTGGGTCATTTCTGGATCAGTTTCTATTGATTGGTTTTTTACCTTATATTTTCAAGCCCCTGCACATGCGTGATAATTTTTTGTTGGATACCAAACATTGTGAATTTTGCCTTTTTGAGTGCTGCCTTTTTGTATTCTTAAAAATATTCTTGAGCTTTGTCGTAAGGTGCAGTTAAGTTGGAACTTAGTCTGATCCTTTTGAGGCCTGCTTTTAAGCTTTTAAGGCCTCCTTTTGAAGCCTGCTTTTGAGAGTGACCAGAACAGCTATTAAGGCTAATTTTTACCATTCACTGAGGCATCACCATTCTGAGTATTCTGCTGGATGGCCCATAAGTTACCAGGGTCTTTTTCTTTCTGACTAATGGCAATGCAAACTATTCTCAGCCCTGTGCGAGCTCTGGGGAGTGTTCTCTCTGTTCTCTGGTGATTCTTTCCCTGGCATTGCGTAGTGTCCTCTCATGCATGTGCTAATTCATGCTTAGGTAAATACTTGACGGGACCCTCTACAGATCTCCGGAGTTCTGTCTCTGTGCAGCTCTGGTACTTGTGAACTCTGACCACTTAGGTTATTCCTTCCTGCACCACAGGCGATTGTAGGTCTCAATATATTTAGTTTTCCTTTCTCAGAGATCACTGCCTTGCACTACCTGATGTCCAGTGTATGGAAACTGCTGTTTTATATATTTTGTCAGTTTTTTTGTTGTTTAAGTGGTAGGGCAGATTTAGTATCTGATATACCATCTTGGTTAGAAGCTGAAGTGACTTTACAGCCCATGATACTTTTTGTAAATAAAGATTAGTCGTTAGAAAACAATACTTTCATGCTGTTTCAGCTTTTATACATCTATAATGATATTATTTACTTTTAGAGATGCGGGTGAACTGTTTGAAAAGATTGAAAAGATATAAAGAGTTATTGGATTCTTTACATCATGAGCGAGGAAAAAAATTAAGCTCGTCTTAAATGGCTATGTTTCAATTTTATCTGCTATAAATGGGTAAGAGTTAGATTTTATTTAAAATTCATCTTGGCATTTAGAGACTGATACTGTTTCTGGCCATATCAGCTGAACTGTGTCATTAGAATTTTTAATTGTTTTAGGGTTTTTTTTTTAAGAATAGATGATTGATTTTTTTCTGTCTCTCTACTCTTCTTACTCAGAATTAGATGTGCTTTGAGCACGTATTAATTCTAATACGATTAAAGGTCAAGCCATACCACAAGAATATTTATATTATATGTGTTGATTAGAGTTGGACTTGTAATGGCCGCATTGTTAGAGATTGCATTTCTACTTTCCATGAATTCTGTTGGATTTGCAGATAAAATGTTTTCTGTCTAATAGGGAGAAAATATAAATATCATGCATTCATCTCTCATACTTTTTCATGTATCATGCCATTCACAGTTCTAGGATTCTGGAGCCACATTTGTAGCCACCATTAACCAAAACAAAAACAATCCCACATGACTATTACCTTTGAATTCAGTATTGTACTGTATTATTCTGACACAGAAATTTGAAATCCAATGGGTTGGTGAGTGAAAAAGTCACATGCAGCTGACAGTCACAGTTTTTATATGACTCTCCTAGATCTTTTTGTTTTGTGGACGTATGTTTGGGGGTAGATGGTTTAGAGTTCTATTAGGAGAGAGATGAAGGTATTCTAGGTGAGTGTTGAGTGGCTGACTGCTGTTAGAGGGCAAAATGGGATAATCTTTTACAAAAAACTTGAGGTACATGATTTAGTACTTTGATTATCCTAGTGATTGTTACACTGAATCAGAAAATGCATTTACCTTAAAACCTTTATTGTAACTAGGTGAAAGTAAATGTGGTGTAACTTTTGGTTTGACTATAATGGGCAGTGGAATCTCAGATGTTAGGATCAGGTAAGAAGAAAGATTGAACTATGTCATGACCCAGTAAGTGAAGGGGTGTGTGTGTGTGTGTGTGTGTGTGTGTGTGTGTGTGTGTGTGTGTGTGTGGTGTTGTTGTTGTTGGCGACAGGGTCTCAATTCGTCGCCTAGGCTGGGATGCAGTGGTGCAGTCACGACTCACTGCAGCCTCAACCTCATGGGCTCAGGCAGTCCTCCCACCTCGCCTCCTGAGTAGCTGGGATGACAGGCACATGCCACGATTCCCAGCTAATTTTTCTATTTTTTTGTGGAGACGGAGTCGTGCCATGTTGCCCGGCCTGTTGTTCGTTTTTCTTTGAAGAATATACCTTTTTATTTTATTATCATTTGCTATAAATATCACTAAACTTTGTCATCCTAAGTGAGATAATAAGGCAAGATATTTCAAGGCCTCCTTTTGTTATGTAAGCTGAATTCATAGCTTGAGGAAATAAGTCGGAGTCTCATACCTCTGTGTCAACACTGAACAGCATTTTTTGTGACGTAAAATCTCATTATCACAAATTACAAGTGCGCTATTCGGTTTTTAAAAATTTTAATTTTGGTTTTTGAAGTCACACATAAGTTTTTATACTTTTTGAGGGAATAAAGATTTCTAATTGTACAACAGTAAATGGAATAAACAATAATAACTTTGAGTCTTCTGGAATAGATGTTCAAAAGATCAAATTTTCCATATCTCTGTAATCTAACTATAACCTCTGAGGGCAAGGGCTTGTTTTATTTGAATAAAGAACCCTATAGTAGCATGATTATGGTAGTTATGGTATAACTTTATACCATAAAATATCCCATGTGCTATTATACTGTGGCATAGCATATATACTATATATGTTACAGTTACATATAAAAATATATATTATAGTAGTATATAGTATGATTATTTGGCTTAAAGCTTTTTTTTTTTTTAGCAGGAGCATAGTTCAAGGACAATTTTTTTCAGATTAAAATGGACTTTCTTTGGGAAGCCATCTGTCCCCCCAGACTAAGTTTTGTTGAGAGTAGTGACAGGGACAGAGGCAAGACCATTAGGTTACCATAATACCTGGACTTAGTTTGTATAATCGAGGTTAATGCCAGTCTTGTTGACTGCAGGACATACAGTTCCTAACATATTGCTTAGCATATAATATGTGTTAAATATTTGTTGACATTCGGAACTGTGCACAATGTTTTATGAGTCAGGACCATTGAGTTGCACAACTGTGGCACACCATTCACATAATGATAATATAGATTTTCTCAGTTCTGAGTTTGCTTGCTGCATAAATGTCTTAAGTCTTTGGCACCTACTGCTGTTAGAATATAGTGGCATTTGAACACACAATTAAGTATTTAGCTTATGTTACACATAATCAACTTTCAATAAATGAGATCTATAATAATTTGCCTACTCCACTCTCACCTTCCACAGTCATTTCTCCCCTGCTTCCTATTGGTTGTTTTGTTTTGAACCAGCACCCTTCCAACTCCCCCAGAGCATCCCACATCATTAGCTTCACAAGCATCTTCCATACCAGTGTCATCTTTAACAACTGTGTGGCAGTTTGGACAATGACAATCCAAATGACCCTCAGATGTATTCTAGCTATTCTTGACTGCCTTCTGGAGTCAGTATTTTCAGCCAAACAGTGAAAATTAACAACAAACTGTGTCCAAAACTTAAAACTTAATTCTTCTTTCACCCAAATGCTTTTCCTGTGTTTTTATATTTTTATCTCTTTAATGTATTTTTTTCTGGTTGCCCGAGTTACAGATATTGCCATCTTTATCCTGCAGTTGTACTGACTTAACGATATCTTCTTGATATTTCTTCCACCATGTGTAATTTTTTATGCTCTTAGGGCTCCTTTAATGAAGGCAACTCATATGTAAAATGGGAGTATGTAAAAATAATTTGTGGGAGAGCCATGTGGGTGGGGTTTGTGAGTAGTCTCTAAGGCGCAGGCTACAGCTAGCTAGCCTAGTGTTTGTGAGCCCTCCCCTTCCCCCAGTAAAGGTTGATTCCTTTTTCTCCTCTTTCCTGCTTGTTTATTTTATTCTATTTTATCCTCATTTTCTACTTCTGCCCCAAAAGCACCCATTCTAATGCCTTTCACTATATTGTTTGTGTTCTTGTAAAATGTATTTAGTGTTTGTATTTTTAACTTACATAAATGATGCCTAATTCTTTCTTACATTTTTCTAAGCACAATGTTTTAAGCTCTCTCCCTGTTGCTATGCAAGCATCTAATTCATTGCGTTGAACAGCCACATAGTATTCCAAGGGGTATACTCATTTTATCTTATAGAAGACCAGATCGTTTCCAGCTCTCCATCCCCACTAACAGTGAACATTCTGGTCCGTAATCTTTTTTGGACCTCTGTAAGAATTAAGCAGAACTGCAAGGGGATCATAGGGCTTACTTAAATTTGATTTGACTTAAGTTGTACCAGATTGTTCCCCAGAATGGCTGTACTCATCTCCATGCCCACCAGTAGCAGAGCATGAGAATTCCTGTGTCCTCTTAGGTGCGTTCTGATTTTCTAATTTTTGCCAATCATACTCTACACTTACATATGGAGAATATGTTCATGAACATGTAGGTCAGTCTTAGGTGTTATGCGTGGGAGATGGGTTGTTGCTCTCCCAGATATGAAGACGTGCTCCAATAATACTACACTGTATTTATTACCGTAGCCCTGTGGTAAGGTAAACAGACCAATGAAGCTGACTTGGAGCACCCAGAGATGGACATGTGTATATGTAGGATTTTAATATATAATATATAATTTATGGCAGCACCAAACACTGAGGACAAGATGGGATTGTTCATAGATGGTATAGGGAAATTGACTCACCACAAGGAGGTAAATAAAACCGGATTCCTACTTAATACCATATATGAAGGTAGACTAGGTAGATTAAAAGCTCACATGTGAAATTTTAAAACTATACAATGAAGAAAGAAAATGCGACCCACAGGCCAGGAAGGATTTCCTAAGTGTAGCTTCAAAATCACAAATCTTGACAATAAACTAAAGCAAATTTTATGTGAAATTAAAATTTTCTTCTTAATGGACAGGATATTTTCTTCTTTTTACCTCAAGATCTGTGTGTCTGGCAGAATGCATTGCACACTCTTCAGGAGTGGGGAGGCTGAATTGGCTATGCACATATATACTCTCTTGATAGAAGGAAGAAAGCCTCTGTTTACCAAGTTGCCCCCATTTTATTTAGCAATGAAATTGTAAGCCACATGACAATTCCCTTTTTCTAAGCATATGTAGGAGTAGAGTGTAGATCAGTGTTTTCTGAATATATTGTCTGTATCAGAATTACTTGAGGCAGTTGTTAAAAATGGAAATTCCTCTTTTGTCCATCTCCCCACTGTTTTGGTTTCTCTCTCTCTCTCTCTCTCTCTCTCTCTGTGTGTGTGTGTGTGTGTGTGTGTGTATGTGTGTGTATGTATATATATAATTTTTCTTTTTAAACAAAACCTCTCTAGGGTGGAGTTTGGCAAAGTTATTTAGCAGAAGTCCAAGTAGTAAATATTCTAGGCGTCATAGGCCATTTGATCTCTGTTAGAACCGTTCAACTCTACCCATAGTACAAAAGCAGCCATATACAATTCATAAATGAAAAAATGTGGTTGTGTTCCAATACAGCTTTATTACGGACACCGATTTCAATTTAATAATTCAATATAAAATTTATTAATAGTTTTCACGTGTCATAAAATACTAGTTTTCTTTAGATTTTTTTAATCACTTAAAAATGTGAAAACCTTTCTTAACTAGTAGACCAAACAGAAACAGGTTGAGGGCCTGATTTGGCCCATGTGAGTCATAGTTTGCCAACTCTTGCTCCTTAGGCAACTAAGGTTTTCAAACCAGTGCCCTAGCTTATCTGATAGTTAACTGTCATTCTCTGTATTATTTGGGAAAAGTTCTTACATCAGTAACATGAATTTTCAGTACCTGTAAGAGAAAGTAGTTCTTAATGGTCAGGAAGGGATAATTAAATAAATGTCTTACATAAATCTAGTTTAAGGTAAATGTAATGTTGAAACATTTGGTTTTTTAAATTCCTTTTAAGCCTATTCAAGAGTGGGTAATAGAGCTGGGTGCAGTGGCCCATTCCTGTAGTCCTAGCTACTTGGGAGGCTTGAGGTAGGAGGATTGCTTGAGGCTAGGAGTTTGAGTTCAGCCTGGGCAACATGGCAAGGCCACAGTCTCTTAAAAAAGAGAATGGGGCCAGGTGCAGTGGCTTGCACCTGTAATCCCAGCACTTTGGGAGGCCGAGGTGGGCAGATCACCTGAGGTCAGGAGTTTGAAACCAGCTGGCCAACATGGTGAAACCCCATCTTTACTAAAAATACAAAATTTATCCGGGTATGGTGGCACATGCCTGTGGTCCCAGCTACTCGGGAGGCTGAGGCCCGGCAATCACTTGAACCCAGGGGGCGGAGGCTGCAGTGAGCTGAGATCGTGCCACTGCACTGCAGCCTGGGCGACAGAGCGAGACTCCATCTCATCAAAAAAAAAAAAAAAAAAAAGGGAATGGGTAATAGAGATGGAAAATGGAATGTTTAAGCTGTATTTAATAAGTCTTGGAGTATACCATTTGAGATGGAATTGTTAAAGATGGGACATAGAGAAACAGTCTTTTTAACTGCCTATAGTAAAAATAGCTAGGTGTTTAGCTACTTTTTTTTTTCTTTTTAAATCGATTTATCAAGATGAATAAATAGCTGCTATCTTGAAATATTCTAAGGGCAGGGGCCAGGTAGGCTGTGCGAGGTCAATATGTTAATCATGTTATTACACGTTTTAAGAAGATAAGCTAATTCTTGAAACTCACCAAAGAGGAATTCATTGTACAAAAGAATATAGTTTATCCCTAAATTTGATGGAATGGTCTTTGATTGATGTTATAAGAAGAATAGACTTATTTTCCCTTTGGTTCATCAGTAGGGCGATCATATAATTACTAATAATTACATCAGGGCAGTAGGCATAAACCAAGATTGTCTTGGGCAAACCAGGACATGTAGTGATCTTATACACCAGTCACATATAGTACTTTTAATATAAAGGGTAGATAAGTCTTTTAACTTCCTAGATGAAAAGAAGACATCCATTAATGTCATGACATCAGTAGTACGTAGTGAAAAGAGCATTTTCAAAGAAAAAAGGTGATAAACATTAGTATGATAACTATGACTGAAATGAAGCTTATTTTTACACCCTTAAGGGTAGAAATACCCTGTGGTATTAATAGTTTTAAAAATATATTTCATATCTGTGTGTGTACATGTACTTTAAATTTTTTTTTTTTTTTTTTTTTTTTGAGACAGAGTCTCGCTCTGTCACCCAGGCTGGAGTGCAGTGGTGCGATCTCAGCTCACTGCAAGCTCCGTCTCCCAGGTTCATGCCATTCTCTTGCCTCAGCCTCCCGAGTAGCTGGGACTACAGGTGCCCACCACCACACTCGGCTAATTTTTTCTAATTTTTATTAGAGACGGGGTTTCACCGTGTTAGCCAGGATGGTCTCGATCTTCTGACCTCGTGATCCACCCACCTCGGCCTCCCAAAGTGCTGGGATTACAGGCATGAGCCACCATGCTCAGCCTTAAAATTGTTATTTGGAAATAATGCACGTGATAGACAACTCAAAACAGTAGAAAGGGATATATAGAAAAAGTAAGTTTTCCCATTTCCAGCCCCAAAGGCAATAGCTGTTATCAGTTTCTTGTGCATCCTGTGTGAATTACTTTAGATATACTTAATCTATAATAATAGATTATACACCCCTTTCCCCTACCTCCTTTTTTAAATAAACACAAATGGTAACTTGCTGTAAACACTGTTCTGTACCTTGGTTTTTTAACTTCAGATATCTTGGACTTTCCCCAGTGTTTTCACAATAAACCTGTGCAGTAATTTCCTTATTTACAAATGAAGAAAGTCAGGCTCAGAGTTTAAAGTAACTTGCTTTAAGGAAAAACGTATATTAAATATCTAGGCTGGGCGTAATAGCTGATGCCTGTAATCACAGCACTTTGGGAGGCCAAGGCGGATGGATCACTTGAGGTCAGGAGTTTGAGACCAGCCTGGCCAACATGATGAAACCTTGTCTCTCTTAAAAATACAAAAATTAGCTGGGTGTGGTGGCCACATGCTTGTAATTCCACCTTCTTGGGATGCTGAGGCAGGAGAATCACCTGAACTCGGAAGATGGAGGTTGCAGTGAGCTGAGATCGTGCCCCTGCACTCCAGCCTGCGTAGCAGAGTGAGACTCTGTCTCAAAAAAAAAAAAACAAAAAACAAAAAACTTTAGCTAAGCAGGTACTTAGTAAATGTTAGTTTCCATCACGTTCTCTTACCCAAATATGTCCTTATGCTTAATAAGCTTGGAGGAAGATAATCACAATTTTAGAAAAAAAAATACAATATACTTAAATGCCCACATAATGTGATATAATCAGTAACTACCCTGACAGTTCAGATATGGGAGAAATCAAGTGGTTTGGTTGGGGAAAACTTCATAGAAGAATATAGAGAGATTAGGAAAGAATTTAAACAGAAGGCCAAAAGGGAGGGCATCTAAGAAAGGAAGAGGGAATAGCATTAGCAAGAAAGTCCTAACTGGAATCAAAGGGGGAGAGGTGTTGGTAAGCCAAGGGGGCCTAATAAGCAGTGAAGACCATGAGTTCATGTGGTCTTTAGTGAGTGGCTTCTTTCACTTAGTACAGTGTTCTCAAGGTTCATCCATGTTGTGTCATGTATCAGTACTTGATTTCTTTTTATGGCTGAATAATACATATTTCATTGTAGGGATATACCATGTTTATCCATATGGTGGACATTTGGTTGTTTCCACCTTCAGCTGTTAAAATAATGTTGCCATGAACATTCATGTGCAAGTTTTTGCATGGCTATATTTTATTTTATTTTTTTAGGAACCTGGGAGTGGTTTTGCTGGGTCAGATGTTAATGATTATGTTTAACATTTTGAGGAGCTGCAAAACTGTTTTCCTAAGTGCATTGTTTTACATTCCCATCTAGCCAGTTCCCATCTTGCTATTATCCATGGTTTTTATTGTAGTTAGCCTAGTGAGTGTGAAGTGTTGTTTCATTGTGTCTTTGATTTTCTTTCTTTTTAAAAAAATTTTTAAATTTCTTTTTGAATTTTACTTTAAGTTTTGGGATACATGTGCAGAATGTGCAGGTTTGTTACATAGGTATACATGTGCCATGGTGATTTGCTGCACCTATCAACCTGTCATCTAGGTTTTAAGCCCCTCATACATTAGGTGTTTGTTCTAATGCTCTCCCTCCCCTTACCCCTCACCCTCTGACAGGCCCTAGTGTGTGATGTTTCCCTCCCTGTGTCCATGTGTTTTCATTGCTCATCTCCCACTTATTTGTGAGAACATGCAGTGTTTGGTTTTCTGTTCCTGTGTTAATTTGCAGAGGATGATGGTTTCCAGCTTCATCCATGTTGCTGCAAATAACATGAACTGATTCTTTTTTATGGCTGCATAGTATTCCATGGTGTATATGTGCCACGTTTTCTTTATCCAGTCTATCATTGATGGGAATTTGGGTTGGTTCCAAGCCTTTGGTATTGTAAATAGTGCTGCAATAAACGTATGTGTGCAGTGTCTTTATAGTAGAATTATTTATAATCCTTTGGATATATACCCAGTAATGGAATTGCTGGGTCAAATGGTATTTCTGGCTCTAGATCCTTGAGGAATTGCCACACTGTCTCCAACAATGGTGTGTCTTTGATTTTCATTTTTAAAAAATGACATTCAGAATTGTATTTTTCTAATAGCAATGATGTTGAACATCTTTTTCATGTGATTATTGGGTATCTTCATTGGATCAAAATTGACATATTCTCATTGGAAAAATGTCTTTTAGATATTTTGCCTGTTTTATTAATAAAATTCAGGCTTTTTAATGGCTGAATTTTAAAAGTTCTTATTTATCTATCTAATATATCAATCTATTAAGACAAGGTTTCACTATATTGCCCAGGCTGGTATTGAACTCCTGGCCTCAAGTGATTCTCCTGCCTCAGCCTCCCAAAGTGCTGGGATTACACGTGTGAGCCACTGTGCCTGGCCATTAAAAATTATTTTTATTCCAGATAAAAGTACTTTATTAGATACATGATTTACAAGTGTTTTCTACCCTGTCTGTGGGTTGTCTTTTTATTTTCTTGATGGTATTGCTTGCAGTACAAAAGTTTGTGGTTTCAATGAAGTCCAGTTTACCTATTTTTCTTTTGTTGCATGTGTTTTGGAATTGTATTTAAGAAACCATTATCTACTCCTCTTTATTATTATTATTATTTTTTTTTGAGATAGGGTCTTGTTCAGTCACCAGAGCAGTGGTGCAATCCTAGCTCACTGCAGCCTCAAACTCCTGAGCTCAGGTGATGGTCCTGCCTCAGCCAAGTAGCTGGGACTACATGCATGCACCACTGCATCCGGCACACCTGATTGTTTTTTTTTTTTTTTTTTTTGAGATAGGGTCTCTTTCTGTCACCCATGCCAGAGCTGTGGCATGATCATGGCTGTCTGCAGCCTCAGGCTCAAGCAGTCCTCCCACCTCAGCCTCTCCAGTAGCAGGGACTACAGATGTGCGCCACCACACCCAGCTTTTTTTTTTTTTTTTTTTTTTTAAGAGACAGGGTTTTGCCGTGTTGCCCGTTGCCCAGATTGGTCTTGAATTCCTGGGCCCAAGCAGTTTACCTGCCTCAGCCTCCCAAAGTGCTGGGATTACAGGCATGAGCCACCATGCCCAGCCTATTCCTATATTTTCTTCTAAGAGTTTCATACTTTTAGTTTTTCGATTTGGATCAGTAATCCATTTTGAGTTAATTTTTGTGTGTGGTGTGAAGAAGGGTTCAGTTTCATTTTTTTGTTTGTGGCTATTCTTTTGTTCCCAACACCATTTGATAAAAAAGACTATTCTGTCTCCATTGAGCTGATTTGGCACTCTTGTCAAAAATCAATTTACCTGTAAATGTAAGAGTTTATTTCTGGGCTCTTAATTAGGTTCCATTGATCTTTGTATCTATCCTTTTGCTGGTACTACGATGTCTTAATTTCTGTGGCTTCATAGTAAGTTTTGAAATTGAGAAGGAAGTCCTCTAGCTTCGTTCTTTTTAAAGATTGTTTGGCTATTCTATGTTCCTTGCATTTCCATATGAATTTTAGGATCCGCTTGTCAATTTCTGTTTTTCATTTTGTTTTTTTTTAAACAGTCCAGCTGGGGTTTTTACAGGGTTTATGTTGAATCTGTACACCAGTTTGAGAAGTATTCCCATATTAATTTTAGGCTGGGTACAGTGGCTCATGCCTACTATATTCCCAGCACTTTGAGAGACCAAGGTGGAAAGATCACTTGAGGCCAGGAGTTTGAGATGAGCCTGATTAACAAAGTGAGACCCTCTTCTCTATAAAGAATAAAATAAGCCAGCCATGGTGGTGCACATCTGTAGTGCCAGCTAGTCAAGAGGCTGAGGTGGGAAGATCAGTTGAGCCCAGGAGTTCGAGGCTGCAGTGATTGCACCACTGCACTTCAGCCTGGGTGACAGAGACCCTGTCTCTAAAAAATAAAAAAAAAATTAAAATTCAGATCTGTACAGTTTGGATGTTTGTCCCCTCCAAATCCTGTGTTGAAATGTGATCCCCAGCATTGGAGGTGGGGCCTGGTGGGAGGTGTTTGGGTCACAGGGACAGACCCTTCATGTATGGCTTGGTGCTGCTCTCACGGTAATGAGTGAGTTTTCACTTGCTTTGTTCATGCAAGATCTCATTGTTTAAACAATGTCTGGGACCTCCCCACTCTCTCATGCTCCCTTTCCTGTCATGTCACATGCCTGCTCTCCCTTCATCTTCTGCCATGAGTGGAAGCTTCCTGAGGCCTCACCAGAAGCAGATGCTGGCACTATGCTTCTTGTACAACCTGGAGAACCATGAGCTAAATAAACCTTTTTTCTTTATAAATTACCTAGCCTTAGATACTCCTTTATAGCAACACAAAATGGACTAACACATGATTCATGAACATTAAATGTCTTTTCAGTTATTTATATTTCCCTTAATTTATTTCAATGATGGTTTTTAGTCTGCAGTGTACATATTTTATGCTTATGTTAAATTTATTCTTATGTATTTTACTCAGATACTATTGTAAATTTGAATTTTTAAAAATTACATTTTCTGATTACTCACGGGTAGTATATAGCGATGGTTGGTTTTTGTGTATTAATTTTGTATCCTACAGCTTTGTTCAGCTTGTTTATTGGTCCTAAGAGCTTTTTAGTGGATTTGAGTTTTCTCTCTACAAGATCATGTCATCTGCAAATACAGATCGTGTTACTTCTTTTCCAATCTGAATACTTTTTATTTCTCTTTTTTCTTTTTTTGAGACAGGGTCTCACTTTGTCATCCAGACTGGAGTGCAGTGGTGCAATCTCAACTCAGTGCAGCCATGACCTTCTGGGCTCAAGCGATCCTCCCACCTCAGCCTCCCCAGTAGCTGGGACTTACAGGCACGTGCCACTGCACCCAGCACACCCAGCTAGGTTTTTGTATTTTTGTAGAGCAGGGGTCTCACCATGTTGCCCAGGCTGGTCACGAACTCCTGGGTTCAAGTGATCCTCCCACCTTGGCGTCCCAGAGTGCTAGGATTATGGGCATGAGCCACCATGCCCAGCCTTATTTTGTTTTGTTTTTTTTTTTGTTTTGAGATGGAGTTTCACTCTTGTTACCCAGGCTGGAATGCAATGGCATGATCTCGGCTCACCACAACTTACGCCTCCTGAGTTCAAGTGATTCTCCTGCCTCAGCCTCCCAAGTAGCTGGGATTACAGGCATGCGGCACCACACCCAGCTAATTTTATTTTTTGTTGGTCAGGCTGGTCTCGAACTCCCAACCTCAGGTGATCTGCCCACCTTGGCCTCCCAGAGTGCTGGGATTACAGGCGTGAGCCACCGCGCCCAGCTGCCTTATTTCTTTTTCTTGCTGTAATTCACCTGGCTACAACTTCCAGTAAAATATTGAATAGAAGTAGTAAGGGTATCAAGTTCTTTTGCTCTGAAAAAAATGAAAAATAAAATAAGTAGTAGTGAGGGTGGACATGTTTGTCTTGTTCCTCATCTTAGTCCTCAGAAATCATTTTCTTGTCACCATTAAGTATGGTGTTGGCTGTGGGTTTATCATTAGTGTCTGTTTAAGAGCCAAGCATTTTAATTTTGATGAAGCCCAGTTTGTCAGTTTTTTCTTGTGTGATTCATGCTTTTGTCTCCTCAGAAATCTGCCTACCCAAAGATTACAAAGATTTTTCTTCTGTTGTTTTTTTTTAATATAAGTTTTATGGTTTTAGCTGTTAAATTTAGGTCTCTTCATTTCTGTTCACAATTCAGTCTTTAAATGCATATAGGAGAGTTGGAGGGGAGAGGAGACACTTGTCCCTCTTAACTTGTTTCTTGGTAATGAGTGAATTGGTGAAAATAACTACATGTACACCTGTAGTCTTGCTTTGTACAGGTTTTGCATTTGGTAGTCTGCCAGTGCTCAAAAATTCCTGGTGGTGGTTTTTCAGGGATACCACCCAGTGACCATCTGTGGTGGTCATATGTTATTTGTTCACCCAACATCCCCCTGGGGTACCAACACTCCTCATTTTATAATAATTCGTTTTATCCACATGGTTCAAGTGGGTCTTTTTTTACCCTCCAGTGGTGATAGGCTGACCCAAGCCCAGGCCCATCAGAATGCTTTATCTTGGTCAGGCATGGTGGCTCATGCCTGTAATCCCAGCACTTTGGGAGACCGAGGTGCATGGATCACCTGAGGTCAGGAGTTTGAGACCAGTCTGGCCAACATGGCGAAACCCCACGTCTACTAAAAATAGAAAAATTAACCGATTGTGGTAGTGCATGCCTATAGTCCCAGCTACTCGGGAGGCTGAGGCAGGAGAATCGCTTGAACCTGAGAGGCAGAGGTTGCAGTGAGCCAAAATTGTGCCTGGGCAACAGAGAGAGACTCAGTCTCAAAAAAAAAAAAAAAAAAAAGCTTTATGCATCTACCCACAGTGATTGGTTCAGAGAGGGTATTTAACTTAATCTGAACTGATGAGAGATATACCAAAGTATTTGGGAGGGATGTTTTTAAAGCTTACCTCTTTTCCTGAGATATATTATCTTTTCCAAGCTATCCTATGTGGAGAGCCAGTCTCAAAATGAAGTCAACCCAAAATTGAGGGGTTAGTGAGAAACTCTTAATGACACTGTCTGTCCCTTCGGGTCCATCCTTGGCCTGAAGCCTTCTCATGGCCTTTTTGATGATGTGGGCCAGTTTATCTTTTGGCCCAGGCTCTTTTGAGTCAGGTATCTATACTTGTAACAGAAAAAGCCCTAACTAATAAGCTATTAGTCTTCTTGAATAAATTTTTAATATGTAGGAGTTACAAATACATTAGGCTCTGTCTTATTAATGGACAGTAAAAGGACAATAACTTTTGTGTGTGCTCTTGGAAGTAGCAGCTCCTTGTGGCTTTAAAGAAATTCTGTTAAATACGTAGGATTATGATACTGTTTTGTGGAAGGCTGAATTTAAGTCCTAAGGTTACATGAGAATTCACTGAGAAGCATATCTTTAAATGTCTGCTTTTAATGAAGATATAGATTAATTATTCACTTGACAAACTTGTTGGTATTTTATGGGAGAATTCAGTGCATATAGAGGCTTCAAAAGGCAGATTGTCCACTGACAGGTTAGGATTCTCAAGTGTAATTTTTTATTACTTTAGAGCCGTAATTATTTTGTGAGAGACAGTATCTTTGAATTAAAATGAGAAATGTTTTTCAACTTAGAGATTCAACTCATTTCAGGGATGTGTTTAATCCAAAAATAGAGAGTTCATTATGTAGTGGTGAAATTAAAACATTTATTAAAAGCAGTCTTTGGGTTTAAGTAGGTAGATCTCAAAAGTGTCTTTTTCCTTCTTATTGGTTAACTAAGGGACACAAATACACAACCTTCTCTAGGAAACACTTCTACCATTCTTACTAGTTTATGTTTTAATTTTTCAATTTTATTAAATTAGTACATCTTGATACGTTAATTTTCATATTGTTTCATTTCATTATAATACCTTCATTAGTTATATGGGATTTTACTATGTTAATTTTAACCTTTAAAGTGAAAAGACTAACTGTTGATTATTGGAAAGCAAAAATATAGCTTTAGATTTTTGTGACAGCCGTTATTAATACATAGTTAAGCAGTCATTATTTCTTTGGAAGAGTTAGCACTTGTTCCTTAAAAATAATTGTATGCATAGAAATAGTGCTTTAGGCCGGGCGCGGTGGCTCACACCTGTAATCCCAGCACTTTGGGAGGCCGAGGTGGGCGGATCACGAGGTCAGGAGATCGAGACCATCCTGGCTAACATGATGAAACCCCGTCTCTACTAAAAATACAAAAAAATTAGCTGGGCGTGGTGGTGGGCGCCTGTAGTCCCAGCTACTCAGGAGGCTGAGGCAGGAGAATGGCGTGAACCCGGGAGGCGGAGCTTGCAGTGAGCCAAGATCATGCCACTGCACTCCAGCCTGGGCGACAGAGTAAGACTCCGTCTCAAAAAAATAAAAATAAAAAATAAAAAAAAGAAGTAGTGCTTTAGGGCTTAAAGGCACTTACATAGCTTATTTCCTTCAAGGTTCAGTTCCGTGAGGTGTGGTATGTGGAATAGCATTAGCTGTGTTTTCCAGATGAGGAAACTGAGGACTGAACTGGAATTTGCATGCTGTTCAGATTTTTTAAGTTCCCTGTGTGGTTTTTCTTTTCTTTTCTTTTTTTGAGACAGAGTCTCGCTCTGTAGCCCAGAGTGCAGTGGCATGATCTCGGCTCACTGCAACCTCCACCTCCTGGGTTCAAGCAATTCTCCTGCCTCAGCCTCCCGAGTAACTGGGATTACAGGCAGGTACCACCATGCCTTGCTAATTTTTTTTGTATTTTTAGTAGAGACAGGGTTTCACCATATTGGCCAGGCTGGTCTCAAACTCCTGACCTTGTGATCCACCCACCTTGGCCTCCCAAAATGCTGGGATTACAGGCATGAGCCCAGCTGTGGTTTCTTATATCATACTGTTAAGTGTACTTTTAAAGCTTTAAAAAGCAGTGTTAACCCTTTCTTAAAACAGATTTCAGGGAAGACAGACGTTTAAAACATTAGCCTTCTCTCCCCATCTGGAGTATGGTTTGGAAGTCATTGCTTTGTAGTAAGGCATTATTTTCCTGGTACATTGCCAAGGACCAACAACTGTTAAATCAACAAACTAAGATTTTCTTCTAGATTTGTATCGGATTGTGACTTTGCTTTCTCCCTTTCATCACCCATTAATGCTTAGTAAAGCCACTATGGACCTCACGTATCTAAACCCTTCCCTGAAATGCATCTCTCTTTTCATACCACTCCAATGGGAACTCCTGTTGATTTGTTTCTGGGCCCTGACAGATTAGCAGGAAAAGAAAGCGCTTTAGAAAAGTGAGAGGGGAGTTCAGAGGTTAGAGGGGAATCAGAAAATTAATGTCATGATTATCAAGAATGTTTCCAGAAGGCAGGGCTCATCAGTCCTTGACAAAAAGGCTGATGAAAAAAATGGAGTTGAGTGCAGCCGATCACCTCAATAATCCTAGCAGTTTGGCAAGCTGAGGCAGGAGGATCACTTAAGTCCCGGATTTTGAGGTTGCAGTGCGCTGTGATCACAACACTGCACTCGGCCTGGGTGACAGAGCTAGGCTGTCTCTTAAAAAAAAAAAAAAAAAAGAGAGAGAATGAGAAATGCCATTTAATTTTGAGCCTGGCAGGTCTTTGGTGACTTTTGAGACTAGTTTACTGTGGAATGTTGAGGTAAAGTAGGACTGAATCACATGTAGAGGGATCTGTGTGTATTTAGGAGAAGCATCAGGAAATTGGCACTGAAGGGCAGGAGAAAGCTGGCCCAGCAGCCTGGAGGGGTAGAGGTGTTCAGGAGTATGTTTTAGAGTCTGGTGGTTTTTTTTTTCTTTCTGCATAGGAAAGTTTGAACTTTTTGTAACCAAGTGTTCTATTCACTGTTAAAGTAAAAGAGGAATTAGGTAAAGACCACATGTTTATCTTAGAAAGAAGCACACATTTTTGTGAAATGAAAGAAGAGAGGAGTGAAAATAGAAATTTTCATGTGGGAAGAATTGAAGTTGAGGTAGCAAGGAATACCAAGACAACTGAGAAGTCCTTATAAAGAACACATTCAGTACTTTTAAGATGTTATTTTCCAAAACATACACTTTTGGGTTGCCTGTCAGACTGGAGATGTATGCCTGTCGAGTCACGTTACACTGAATTTATTTAGGAAATAGTCTGACATACAGAAGTTTCACTTCTCCTGCCACTTGTGAAGGATTTGTCTCATTGGTGTGGTGTCAGCCTGGTGAGATAGGACTTGCTTGTGGTTTGGAAGCTGTCTGTGGGCAACTCCAAGAGCTGTTGTGCTCTGCCTCTTTATGAACCTTCTGTGCTTATGGAAATGGTTCCCAGCGTGTGCTCCTCAGGAATGAGTCTGAGTGACAGAGGTGCCAGTAGGCTATGAGATGGTAGCAATGACCTTAGCTAGTCTTTTTTGTTTGTTTTGTTTTGAGACAGAGTCTCGCTCCGTTGCCCAGGCTGGAGTGCAGTGGTGCGATCTCGGCTCACTGCAACCTCTGTCACCCAGGTTCAACCTCTGTCACCCAGGTTCATGCCACCGTGCCTGGCTAATTTTTGTATTTTTATTGGAGATGGGGTTTCACCATATTGGCCTGGCTGACCTTAGCTAGTCTTTCTTAAGAGGCTGGGAGCCTGAGGACAGTTGAGAGGTACTGAGCTAGTTAAACCTCAGGCGCTTTCCCTGCGAAGGCTCTATGGCAGATACCACTTGGGGCTATAGAAGCTGTTACCTACAGTGTAAATTCTGGATTTCAATGCAGAGGGCAGACATAGGGCTACTAATTTTATTTTGTTTTGCAAGGACATTGAAAAAAAGTCATTGTTTACTGTCGTCAGCATTTTATAAAAGGGAGGATACTTTTTAATCACAAAATATGAAGAAGTTTATTATTTGTTTTTTGAGATGGAGTCTCGCTCTGTCATCCAGGCTGGAGTGCAATGGCATGATCTCGGCTCACTGCAACCTCTGCCTCCTGGGTTCAAGCAATTCTCCTGCCTCAGCCTCCCGAGTAGCTGGGATTACAGGCATGCACCACCACGCCCAGCTGATTTTTGTATTTTTTGTAGAGACAGGATTTCGCCATGTTGGTCAGGCTGGTCTTGAACTCCTGACCTCAGATGATCCACCCACCTTGGCCTCCCAAAGTGCTAGGATTACAGGAGTGACCCACTGCGCCCGGCCAGGAACTTTATGACAATGGAAGACAAACCTTTATATTGAGTAAATTAAAATTTATGAAAAAAATGTAATGCTTTCTCTTATTCTTACCACTCGTGTGTAAGAACAACTGACCTGCAGCACTGAAGCTATTCATTTTTGAGAAACTTGTCCTAAATACTTGTCCTCCCTCCTCCCCACTTTCTCACAAGTAAAAGAAAGGGAGCTTGAAAGCTGGCATGCTATCTGCTTACATGTGAGGGAGAGGAGGGTTGCCCATAGGAAATTTTTATATTGGGCCCATTTCTAAGCCACCCTCACTTGAGCTCGTCTTTAACAATTTACCTCATATCAAATACCTCGTATTTTAATCATTTATTGTTGGACAGTCCCCCACCCCCCAATTTGGCTGGTAGTTTTATGAGAAAAGGCATTAATTATTTACCATTTTTGTGTATCTTACTAGAATTTTGCCATATTCATTAAATGGAACTGATTGCTAGTCTAAACTTACTACCAGTTACCTCACTAAACACTCCTGGCCAAACAATATCTAGTGCCAGCTCTAGTTCAGCCTGCCTTTGCCTGAGGCCAGATCCTTCTGCTCTGCCCGTGGAAGCTGGTTGAGAGGAAGTGATGTTTAATCCTTGACCTACTTTTCATCTTCCCAGAGAGTAATGTGCCTGCAGCTGTTCTTTCACTCTCTTGTTAAATTCTTGCTTTCTTTTACTCCTTAAGGGAGGTATGAGGCATGGAAATTTTCCTCCATCTCCAACACTGCTACCTCCTCACTTCACCTGAGCACATGCCCCATGACTCTCCATATTACCTGCTCCCACCCTTGTGACTTTGATATCCATGTGGATGACCCATATCTATCTGCTTACCAGTGTCTGCTTACCAGGTTCTTCATCCAGAAACATTAGCCCAAATGAAGCTTCTCTCACCTGAGCAACAGTTGGCCATGCCATAGCAAATGGAGTGGCCTTTGTAATACAGAGATTTGAGTCCAGTCTTTGCCAGTTAGCAGCTGAATGGCCTTAAGGTTAATTACTTAAAGTCTCTGGGCCTCAGTTTCCTCTAATGCAAAACAGAGATATTCTCTCCAAAATGGTGTTGAAGAACTTGCTGTGGCTTTGCCTTACCCAGTTCATTGAGGGTAAACTGTCTTCCCTGGTTTTTAAAGCCCTTAATGATTTGGCCTCAACCTGCCCATCCAGCAGGCAAAATTCTTTGGTACCTAGCATAGTATTGAACAAATACTAAGTATGAATATGTATTTTTATTGGTTTATTATATTATTATAAAGCATATAAGGATTTATTTCGTACTCTCATTGTTTCATGCCTAACAGTCCCGACTGCTGGAGCCACTGAAATTTTCATTTACTTTGTTTTGAAGAAGCAGTTCAGAACCACGTCCTGTGTGCAGGTTTTGCACACAGCAGATGTGTAAGGATGTCTTGAAATAAGGGATGGTTCTTCTGACATTGCTGAAGGAGAAAATCATTTTGCTCTACCAGACTGAAATTCAGAGCTCAGCCCTTTGCTGCCAGCTTGCTCTCACAGCTGTCTGTCCTTGGTTTCTGGGTGCTTTCACCTTGGCTAGATGAAGATGAACGTTCTGACCCGCTCAGGTTTCTGTAGGGTTGAGACTCTGCTGCCACTACTGCTCCTTTGATGCTGGTGACTGCACCTCACTAAATTAGCTGTTCGGCTAGACAAATCTTTAGCGCTCTGGTTTTACCTTTTTAGCAATGTTTTAGCTGGTATGCTTCCTTGTGGCTTTGTGGGGCTCATTGTTAATGGAAGCGCACATTAACAAAACACTAAAATGGCCAAACATCAACAATGACTTTAGTTAACAAAATTCTGAGAGAGGTACAATTAGTAGTCAGAAATGGACTGTATTAAAGTGGCTATCCTATGAGTTTATCTTGATACTATCTTACCTCATGCTTACGTGGTGTTGAATGTGCCTTGTATCTAAAGCTGTGGGTCCTGGCTCTTAACAACAAGCACAACCCAACCAACGTATCAAGTGAACTGACTAAAAGTATTCATTTTGCTTAAATGTGTTTCTTTCCCATACACTTACCTCTTTATTTGCTATAAGCCATAAACATCAAAATGGTGTTTTTTAAAGAATATGAAGCCTTATTTTTTAACTTCTTGAAATAAAACTAGGTAGTACCTAAAATAGCATGTACACTATATTTAAACTATTGCATATAATAGTAAATGAATTCACTAGGGATGTAACTAATGGTGAACATTCTTTGAACTAAAATGAAGGTACATGATTTGATTGTTTTTCGAAATGTTAATATATAAACAGACAAGGAGATATATATATGTAAAGTCACATTTTATTTATTTAGTAAGTGATGACTGCACCAAATGCTACACAGCCATGCTTGGAGTGATGCTTGGGATGTCTATTTAACAATACCGCAGGGAGACTGCACAGGCCAGAAAAAGACAGTTTGCATTCCCTTCTGCTCCTTAAAGGTAGAATGTAGACATCTTATTTGTATATGTGTTGATGCCTTCGGAGGATCTGTGGTTTATTGATAACTCTTTAGTATTGTTACTATGAAGTAGTTATGATTTCCCCAGAGACAATTTTGTTTCCATTGCCAGTGCTCTTGTCCAGGTTGTTAGACCTCCTATAGCCTCTTTAATTAGGCTCTCTGCTTCACTTATTGAAGGCTCTAAGTAGCTTCTTGTTTCTGAATTGTTTGATGTTTTCAGTGTTTGGAGTTACCTATTTCTGAAGACAGTGACTAGTTTTCTGTTACCTCACTCCTGATACGGAAGGGAGACAGGGAAGTGCTGGGAGGAGAAGGGTGGGTCCCTGGCGAGGGCTCCACCCCCGGGCCTGTGCCCACAGACCTAGGTGAAGACAGGCACTCCAGCCTTCACGTCCAAATGTTGCATTTCCCAAGACCACTTTGACCCGCCACGCCCCCATTCTGTGCCTATAAAAACCCCAAGACCCTAGCAGGAAGACACACAAGCTGGATGCCGAGAGAAACACATTGGCGAAGGAATACACAGGTGGATGGACGTCGAGAGGAATGCACTGGTGTAGGAGCACACTGGGATGCCAGCAGGCCATCGACTGGTGGAATGACACAAAGTTTGGCTGGGGCAGTTGGAGAAGAGTTGGGCCACCAAGCGGCCAGACTCCAGGGGAAAACCATTTCCCTTCTGGCTGCCCCATCTGCTGAGAGCTGCTTCCACTCAATAAAACCTCGCACTCATTCTCCAAGCCCACATGTGATCCTATTCTTCTGGTATGCCAAAGCCAGGATACAGAAAGCCCTCTGTCCTTGCCATAAGGCAGGGGTCTAATTGAGCTGGTTAACAGAAGCCGCCTATGGACGGCTAAACTAAAAGAGCATCCTGTAACATATGCCCACTGGGGCTTCAGCTGTAAACATTTACCCCTAGACACTGCCGTGGGGTCGGCGCCTCACAGCCCGCCTGTCTGTATGCTCCCCTAGAGGTTTGAGCAGCGGGACACTGAAGAATTGAGCCACACCCCCATCACACACCTGCAAGTGGGACAAGGGAACCTTTCCCATTTCACTGCTGTGACAGTGCAAAGCTATTAAAATCTGAATTGCTTAGCAGGCATGTAAGGTCCTCTCTGCTCTGGTCTCATTTAATCTTTCAGGTTCTATCTTCACCTTCATTTCTGCAGGAGAAACACATCTCTGTACCAAAAGTTCTTCGGTTTGGTCACCCTTTCCCCTGAAAAAAACGTATTAAGCTCTGTAAGCATAACTTAGATACCATTACACTGTGAAACCTTCTCAGTTTTCCATAGAATACATTTCTGTGTTCTGTCTGTTCCTTTGAAAACATTTTTTTAGTTTGTATTGTACTATATGTGGTGCAGTGTGCAATGAACTATATGTCCCTGGCATATAGTTATCCCTGAATTATGTGGTGAATCTATAATATTAAGCTAATATGTTATGCTTGATTTCTGGGGACCAAGTAGATGATCATTTGGAAAAATATACCACCATTGTGCATGGCAGAGGAACTTCATTTGGTAAAGAATTGTGTCACATGGTTATAGGTTGTAAGATACTATCTTTTTCCTTTCCGTCTTATCTTTCTTATTATTTATTTTTTGAGACAGAGTCTTGCTCTGTCACCCAGGTTGGCATGTAGTGGTGCCATCACGGCTTACTGCAGCCTCAAACTCCTGGGCTCAGGCATTTCTCCCACCTCAGCCTTCCAAGTAGCTGGGGCTACAGGCATGCACCACCACACTCAGCTAATTTTTAAATTTTTTGTAGAGACAGGGTTTCCCTGTGTTGCCTAGGCTGGTCTTGAACTTGCGACCTCAAGCAATCCTCCCACCTTGGCCTCCCAATAGTTTTCATTTTTATTGAAATTATACACTAACATAGTTTAAAGGCTTTAATATTTCTTTGTTTGTTAAAAAAAAAAAAAAAAACTATTCCCAGCATTTTGCTCTCTAGTGGCAACTACTTGTACCTCCTTGAGCCGAGTACTTTGTTGTTTATATCCTGTTTTTAGGTATATACTCATATTACTTTATATTTCAGTTTTTACCAATAACTCTTGATTCATGACAATGGATGATGACAACTTAGTTCTTTCCTACCTAGTCACACTCTTCCTTTATCCTGTTTTGCTTAGATCAATGTTGATAAAATATTCACTGTTTATATTATGTGAGCATTATTCACATGTGGTTACTTTTCCTTCCTTGCTTGACTACCTCCCTCCCCAAGTTATTCTCTCACCTTTTCCCCTCTCCCTTTCTCCCTCTGTGCCCTTCCCTACCCACTACATATATATACTTGTCACAAATTCAACCCCAGATGCCTTCACAATTATCTAAAAGTCCTCAAAAGACATTCAGATGCATAGGTTTTATATAAATTTTATTTTACTTTTTATTTTTTTGAGACGGAGTTTCGCTCTTGTTGCGCAGGCTGGAGTGCAGTGGCGCGATCTCAACTCACCGCAACCTCCGCCTTCTGGGTTCAAGTGATTCTGCTGCCTCAGCCTCCCAAGTAGCTGAGATTACAGGCATGCGCCACCACGCCTGGCTAATTTTCTATTTTTAGTAGAGATGGGGTTTCTCCATGTTGGTCAGGCTGGTCTCAAACTCCCGATCTCAGGTCATCCACCCACCTCAGCCTCCCAAAGTGCTGGGATTACAGGCGTGAACCACCGCGCCCAGCCTGAATTTTATCTTTTTTGAAGAAATCTCTCCCCAGAGCCATCTGACCTCTTCTGGTTTTAACAGGCTACCTGCTAACTCTGTTTATAGCTGTCATACCGGATTCTCGTGTCACTGTCTTTTGGGGAATTCTCTTTACTATTCTACATAGAAGTTTTGTTTCCTTTATCTTTTTCTTGTTTATGCCCTTATTTTGCAGAGTACATCCCTCAGTAACTTCCTGAAAAAGGATTCTTGGGAGATAATTTTTTAGAGACCTCAAGTATCTGAAAAGATCTCTATTCTTCCCTAGCACTTGATTGATAGTTTGTCTGGTGTGGAATTTGTATTGGAAATCATTTTGAAGACATTGCTTCAGTGCCAGCTTACTCCCACTATTGCTTTTGAAATCTGAAGCCCGCTGATTTGGGGTTTCTTACACATTACTTTTTTTTTTCTCCCTGGAAACTTGATGTGCCACCTTGTGTAGGTCAGTTTTCCTCCAATGTACTGTGCCTTTTCAATGTGGAAACTCATGGCCTGGTAAGTTTTAAGTTATTTTGGACCTCCTCTCTGTTTACCCTTTCTGGATCACTCTCACTATTCAAATCTTTGTCCTTCCTATGGTCCTTTAATTGTTGTATCTTTTCTCTCCTATTTGCAGCCTTTCTTCTACTTTCTTGGGAGATTTCAACTTTATCTTTTATTGAGTTTTTGAAATCTTTTGTTTGCTTGCTTTTGTTTTTAATTTTCAAAAGCTACTTTTTCTCCTCTGAATGTTATTTTGTTTTGGCTTTATTCTTTTTTCATAAGTGCAATGTATTCTGTCTCTCTGGATATTAATAAGTTTATTTTGAAATTCTCCCTATAATTTCTGTTTTCTGTAGTTGGCTATCTTCTAGTTTGTTTTGATTTTTGATTTTTATGTTAGAAAAGAACCATGTTCCTCAGTTATCTGTTCCTTAGTTAGAAAGGTCTTTCCTCTGAGTCGCTCATATTCCCCAGAAGAGACTGCCTGGAGGGCGAAGGCCGGCCTGTGTTCTGGGAGCTGAGTGGAGAAAGAAAACTGGGGTCTTACTGTCCTGCATGCATAAGCTCTTTTTCAGTACAGCACCTCTGCCCTCATCCATGTTAATGACCACTGGTGCAGAGACCCTCTGTTTCAACTTCTTCTGAAAATAAATTTCAGACTGTCAGGATTTCTCTTTCTGTGTAACAAATTACTGCAAATTTAGCAGCCCAAAACAATACACACATTTAGTATCTCACAGTTACTGTGGGTCAGGAATCCAGGCATAGCTTAGCTGAGCCCTCTGCTCAGGGTCTCTCTTGGCTGTAGTCAAGGAGTCAGCTGGCCTGTGTCCTCATCTGTAGCTCTTACAAGGTCACATAGTTGTTGACAGAATTCAGTTCCTTGCAGCTATGGGACTGAGGCCCAGGCAACTCCTAGAGGCCGCTCATAGTTCTCTAGCCCTTTTCTTAGGTAGTTTATGTCATAGGAGCTTGCTTCTTCAAGGCTAGCAGGAGACTCTTCAGTCAGTTAAGACTTAGTCCTTTTTTTGAGATGGAGTTTCACTCTGTCACTCACCTAGGCCGGAGTGCAGTGGTGCAATCTCGGCTCACTGCAGCCTCAACTTCCTAGGGCTCAGGTGATCCTCCCGCCTTAGCCTCCCGAGTAACTGCGATGACAGGTGCATGCCACCATGCCCGGCTGTGTTTTGTATTTTTTTAGAGATGAGGTCTCACAATGTTGCCCATGCTGGTCCCTAACTCCTGGGCTCAAGCAGTCTGCCTGCCTCGGACTTCCAAAGTGCTGGCTCACACCTGTGAGCACTTGGCTGGAATAGGACATGTTTGTAAGTCAGCACCCTTCTCTGTTTGGGGATAATGCTTTGGACTTCTTGGTATTAAATGACTGTTTGAATCATTTTAGAAACCAACTGATACCAACATGAAGTAGCATATGACTCTGCCGTCTGTTAACTTACAAGCCAGTTTCGTGCCTGACCAGTGGCCACCAGTATTTGCTTACCAGTCATTCTAGGCTTGTTACGTTTAGGTAGCTGTGAAATGTCCCACATCAGCCCTCCATCTGTGGGCCTCTTTAGCTGCTGCTGCTGCTGCAGCATCTAGCCTTTTGAAAGCTATTGTCTACTGCTCAGCTAGAAGGGTGTGTGTAGACAGCAGGACCAAGGATTCGCCTGGGTGAAAGAGTTGGCAATGAGAAAGCAACCAGACCCTCCCCTCCAAGCCCAGCCCTGTATTTGACATGCAGGGCATAACCTCACTCATTCAGTCTCTCAGCCCTATGCAAATATAAACAGCCTTCCTCTTGTCTCTCCAGGCCAGCCGGGGCCAAGAAAGAAGCCAGTGATTCCCCCAAGTGCAGTAAATAGCTCTCCTCACCTCCTGACCCTGTTATTTCCTGGTAGTTCTGAGTTGTGGATCCTGCAGTGGAGAGGGAGGGAACAAAGAAGTTGCAGAGGCCTCAGCTTCACAGAGCATTGAGCAGTGGGTGATATTGTATCCTCAGGCAGGGGTTGACCTCACATTTCAGTGCAGGTCATTCTAATGACTGCTGGACCTCCCAGTGCCACTGTGAACTAGAATGGAATAGAGTGAAGTGGATCTGAATTCCTGGACTGTGGGACCAACCTAACTTCTGAGCTGGAGAAAGTAGGTCTCATGTTCTATACCTGCTTTTTTTTAGCTCTAGGGGGAAAAAAGAATTGTGCATCTTTCTTGTTCTCTTTGCAGCTTAGGGGCATAACGTTTGGACTGTAATTGAACTGATGCTTGTTTCCCCAAAATGTCTTTGGTTTTCATTAAGGTGGGGGATTCTCTGCATTTTTGGAGTTGTCACATTATTATCGAAATTCCTCTCCACACTAAGTACTGTGTGTGGTATGCTTTTATTTTCACCTAATTGATTTCTGCAAATAAAGTGATTTAATTTTTGGTATTAAGAAATTTAAATAACACCTTTTGGCAGATCACAAGATTTTCTTGTTCTTATTTAATCCTGGCTTCCATCCAAATGTGAAAGAGAAATGAAATAATAAGGTAGGAAAGGCAGACCAGTAATTGTGATTAAACAACTTTTGTGTTGAGTCCAAAGACAGGTAACTTTATTTTAAGCTTCATGGGTGTAGTAAAAATATATCACCTTAAGAAAACCTGGATTGCCATTAGCCAGAACTGACTTCCAGGCTTTCTGACTTTGTACAAACAAATCACTTAATCCTGAATCCTTCTCCTCATCTTTTTTTTTTTTCTCTTTGTTTGTTTTTAAATGTATTTCTTTATTTTGTATTACTTTCTTCTTGTCTTTTTTATATTTTATGTATTTTATTTTCCTCATCTTTAAAATGGATAAATGTTACCTTTCCTGATTCAAAGATTCTAGGCAAAGATCAAAAGAAGTCAAAGTTTGTGAAGGAACTTTGAAAATTATATATTTCTCTGCAATTGTGTTAGGGTACTTTTCTGTCTTTGATTTATGTTGGTTCTTGGAGTGATACTTTAGATGTACAAATAGTAGGTCAGAACAAACCTGTATGTAATAAATTCTGGAGAATTGAGTTCAAACTTTGGTTTTGCTTATATTTGGATAAATTATCATCAACTTTGTTGAGGTGTAATTTATACACAATTAAATTCACCCATTTCAAATCTTCCATGTGTTTTGACTGTTTAGATAAATTGACAAATAATTATCTTAGATAACAGTTGGTATTTCTACATTAAAGAAGGGAGAAAGAGCACCCTCTTTTGGCAAAAGTTTCTCCTGTGTGGGCTCTCCGGTCCCCCTGTCTCATTTCAAAATCAGATTTGCATCCTGCTGTTGGAGTACACTTGAGCCCTTTCATTTATACTGGTGCAGGTTTTGTAGTCTCTTAGAGATTCAGTATGTCAGTCCCATGTCTGAGAGCAAAGGAGAAGGAAGAGGGTAGGAAAGAGCACCTGAATTGAATAGAGAGGAGGGAGCAGAGAAGGCAGAACAGTGAGATAGTATCCATTTAGTCTGAGTATTTCCAAATTTTCCAATAAAATGTCAGTGGAAGCTTTTATCATAAGGCCAAAATCTGTCCTTCAATGTGACCACAGAGCCACAGGAGACCCAAACCCCTTGTAGTCACTGATGATTTTCATTGGGCTATAGATGGGAATGGCAGCAGTCATAAATATTTCCTATGAATGAGTGTTCTAGATATTTTTTACCCAAAGATGTAGCATATCAGTGGGTCACTATTGAAAACATGTTTGGAATGAAGCAGGAAAATAAGTCAAAAGATCTCCCCTCAGTTCCTAAGCAACTTTGTTGTAAAAATAACTGTGAAAACTGGGCTTAAATGAAACATACATTCGAATGCCTGGAGTAAGAATTATTGATAGCCCAGACTTAGTATCCCCCCCACCTTTCCAAGTCCTTAAAGCATTGGCTTTCTACTCAGAAACGCTGCTTACCCTAGGGTGACCATAGTTACTTTTATTTTTTATTTTTATTTATTTATTTATTTTTAGATGGAGTCTCCCTCTGTTGCTTAGGCTGGAGTGCAGTGACACGATCTCACTCACTGCAACCCCCACCTCCTGGGTTCAAGCTATTCTCCTGCCTCAGCCTCCTGAGTAGCTGGGACTACAGGCGCCCACTAACACACCCGGCTAATTTTTGAATTTTTATTAGAGATGGGGTTTCACCATATTGGCCAGGCTGGTCTCGATCTCCTGACCTTGTGATCCGCCTGCCTCAGCCTCCCAAAGTGCTGGGATTATAGCCATGAGTCACCATGCCTGGCCACTTTTACTTTCTCTTATTACTTTACTTTCTACATTAATAGGTAGATTAGATTCCATCTCTTCTACCTTTATTTTGTCCTTCAGAATAGAAATTGGGAAGTAAACACAGTGTTGTTTTTTTTTTTTAATCTCAATAATTGGAATCTGTTTGAAGGAGAAAATCCCCTGCATCTCATCCTGCAAGTATAACCACTATTAAGTTCGGGTATATTTATATCTTACAAAAATGTTTGTTTTGCATACTGTTGTGGAACTTGTTTCTTTCAATCCTTCTGGATTTCTTTCCTTGCTTAGTATGTATACCTCATTCTTATTTAAGAGCTGTACAGTATACTGTCATATGGTTGTACTCCAATGAACCTATCTCCTGTCAGTAAGTTAGCTCATTCCAAATTTTTTTCATCATATATAAGTAAGAGTCTCCAAAATATCCTTATACTATAGTCACATGCACGTGTCCAGTTATTTCCTTAGGGTAAGTTCCAAGAAGCAGAATTTCTATATCAAAGTGTTTACTGGAAATTTTTGCCATTCTGATAGGTAAAAGTACCAGAGTGTTTAACTTGTATTTCTTTGAGTCTAAGTAAGATTGTGCATCTGTTTATTTGCCATATGTTTATTTTCCACTTTTGAGAACTGCCTGTGTACTTTATCCATTATTATTATTTAAATTAGTCAAGATATTAGCCCTTAATCATGAACTGAAAATACCCCCTCCAACCTTTTTATAAACTTTATGGTATCCTTTTTTTTTTTTTTTTTTTTTTTTAAGGATTTTCAATTTTTATGTAGTCAGATCTGTTGGTCTTTTCCTGTGTGTGTGTGTGTGTGTGTGTGTTAACTTCAGTGATGTCTCAGTTTTGGTCATTCCTGCACTCCTGCCTGCCCCCTCACCCCAAGGTGACTTGTGAGATGAGAGTTCAAATACAAGTAGTTTATTTCCAGGTACAAAGAACAAAGGGAAGCTAAGGAAGAAAAGATAGTCAATAAAAGATGTCTCATCTGGGCTTAGTGGCTCATGCCTATAATCCCAGCACTTTGGGAGGCTGAGGCAGTCGGAGATTGCTTGAGCTCAGGGGTTCGAGACCAGCCCAGGCAATATAGTGAGACCCTGTGTCAAAAAAAAAAAAAAAAAAAAAAAAAAAAGATGTCTTATTAAGCCAAACCCCACAGGGAAAATTGCCTGTGTGGAAACTGGGAAATTGGGCAGAACACTTGCCTCAGAATGATCCCGCCCAAATTATCAGTTATTCATTGAGGGCTGCTCTTGGGGGGAGTGTTCCAGTTATTTATTGCTACATAACAAAATATTCTAAACAAAAACCACTATTTTTTATTATGATTATAATCTTTCATAGATATAGAGTTTGGGGCTGGGCTCAGCTGGTTGGTTCCTACTGAAGCTTTCTAATGCAGTTACAGGGGCTAGGACTGGAGTCATGTGAAGCCTTCCTCACTTTTACATGTCTGGTTTTCCACCTGGGCTGGGAAGGCCCACAGCTGAGGGCTGTAACACCTTGGGCTTCTTGGCTAATTCTCATTCTTGATGTGGTCTCTTCACACGGTCTCTGCAGTACTAGGCTTCTTATGTGATGTTTAGAGTTTCCAAGGCACATAGAAAGGGAGAGACAGACAGCTGCAGGATGAGATGGGGGGCCGGGGGGACCATAGCTCCTTTTTTTAAAAAAAGGAGCCAGTTGTGAAGTCACACTTATATCACTTTAGACTTAAATATCACCAGCCCATATTCAGAGGGAGGGGAATTAGACTCTGCCTCTTTGAGCAGTTTCAAACAATCTGTGGACGGTGTTGTAAAACTGCCACAGGGAGTTAATTTACCTGTATTTCTGCCTATTGCTATGGGCAGAGCAGCTTTAAGCACAGAGGCGCAGATAGGGGTAGCTAGAACTTGGCCACAGCACACCAGAATCCTAAGGGATGTGTTGGTGAGGCACTGACAGCTTCTGCTATAGTTTATCAGTGAGCTCAGGAGTTCAAGTGGCTTCTCTTATTTCCAAAACTATAAAACTGTTCACTTATATTTTCTTCAAGTTCCTATTTAAAATTCTTTTTTTATTTTATTTTATTTTATTGATCATTCTTGGGTGTTTCTCGCAGAGGGGTATTTGGCAGGGTCATAGGACAATAGTGGAGGGAAGGTCAGCAGATAAACAAGTGAACAAAGGTCTCTGGTTTTCCTAGGCAGAGGACCCTGCGGCCTTCCGCAGTGTTTGTGTCCCTGGGTACTTGAGATTAGGGAGTGGTGATGATTCTTAACGAGCATGCTGCCTTCAAGCATCTGTTTAACAAAGCACATCTTGCACCGCCCTTAATCCATTTAACCCTGAGTGGACACAGCACATGTTTCAGAGGGCACAGGGTTGGGGGTAAGGTCACAGATCAACAGGATCCCAAGGCAGAAGAATTTTTCTTAGTACAGAACAAAATGAAAAGTGTCCCATGTCTACCTCTTTCTACACAGACACGGCAACCATCCGATTTCTCAATCTTTTCCCCGCCTTTCCCCTCTTTCTATTCCACAAAACCGCCATTGTCATCATGGCCCGTTCTCAATGAGCTGTTGGGTACACCTCCCAGACGGGGTGGTGGCCGGGCAGAGGGGCTCCTCACTTCCCAGTAGGGGCGGCCGGGCAGAGGCGCCCCTCACCTCCCGGACTGGGCGGCTGGCCGGGCAGAGGAGCTCCTCACTTCTCAGTAGGGGCGGCAGGGCAGAGGCGCCCCTCACCTCCCGGACGGGGCGGCTGGCCGGGCGGGGGGCTGACCCCCCCACACCTCCCTCCCGGACAGGGCGGCTGGCCGGGCAGAGGAGCTCCTCACTTCTCAGTAGGGGCGGCAGGGCAGAGGCGCCCCTCACCTCCCGGACGGGGCGGCTGGCCTGGCGGGGGCTGACCCCCACCTCCCTCTCGGACGGGGTGGCTGCCGGGCGGAGACGCTCCTCACTTCCCAGACGGGGTGGCTGCCGGGCAGAGAGGCTCCTCACTTCTCAGACGGGGCGGTTGCCAGGCGGAGGGTCTCCTCGCTTCTCAGATGGGGCGGCCGGGCAGAGACACTCCTCACCTCCCAGACGGGGTCGCGGCCGGGTAGAGGTGCTCCTCACATCCCAGACGGGGCGGCGGGGCAAAGGCGCTCCCCACATCTCAGATGATGGGCGGCCGGGCAGAGACACTCCTCACTTCCTAGATGGGATGGCGGCCGGGAAGAGGCGCTCCTCACTTCCTAGATGGGATGGCGGCGGGGCAGAGACGCTCCTCACTTTCCAGACTGGGCAGCCAGGCAGAGGGGCTCCTCACGTCCCAGACGATGGGCGGCCAGGCAGAGACGCTCCTCACTTCCCAGACAGGGTGGCGGCTGGGCAGAGGCTGCAATCTCGGCACTTTGGGAGGCCAAGGCAGGCGGGTGGGAGGTGGAGGTTGTAGCCGGCCGAGATCACGCCACTGCGCTCCAGCCTGGGCACCATTGAGCACTGAGTGAACCAGACTCCGTCTGCAATCCCGGCACCTCGGGAGGCCGAGGCTGACAAATCACTCGCTGTTAGGAGCTGGAGACCAGCCCGGCCAACACAGCGAAACCCCGTCTCCACCAAAAAAATACGAAAACCAGTCAGGCGTGGCGGCGCGCGCCTGCAATCACAGGCACTCGGCAGGCTGAGGCAGGAGAATCAGGCAGGGAGGTTGCAGTGAGCCGAGATGGCAGCAGTACAGTCCAGCTTCGGCTCGGCATCAGAGGGAGACCGTGGAAAGAGGGGAGGGGGAGGGGGAGAGGGAGAGGGAGAGGCCTATTTAAAATTCTTAGTTTAACTTTTGTTTTTTAATGTCTGGGAGTAAGAATCAAGCACTTATTTTAATGGTTAACCAATTACACCAAAATACTTTAAAAATAATCTGCCCAGTGGTTCTCAAACTCTTTGGTTTCAGGACCCCATTACACTCTTAAAATTTATTTCAGGCCCCAGCAGCTTTTGATTATATGGTTAACAGTTATGGATTTTTACCATATTCACAATTAAAACAATTATTTAAAACATCTATGATTGATTTTAAAATAACAAAAAACATATTAATATAAATAACATTTTAAATGAAAACTGTTTTTCAAAATTAAACAGCCTAGGCTGGGCGCAGTGGCTCGTGCCTGTAATTCCAGCACTTTGGGAGGCCAAGGCAGGTGGATCATGAGGTCAGGAGATCGAGACCATCCTGGCTAACATGGTGACACCCCGTCTCTACTAAAAATACAAAAATTAGTCGGGCGTGGTGGCGCATGCCTGTAGTCCCAGCTACTCAGGAGGCTGAGGCAGGAGAATTGCTTGAACCTGGGAGGCAGAGGTTGCAGTGAGCCTAGATCACGCCACTGCACTCCAGCCTGGGCAACAGAGCGAGACTCCATCTCAAAAAAAAAAAAATTAACCTAGAAGACTGGTACTATTTCACATATTTGCAGATGACTTTAATGTCTGACTTCTTAGCAGACAGGTAGATTTTCATACCTGCTTCTGCATTCAGGCTGTGGCCCTCTCACACCTGGTGTAGATTCAGGAAAATCTCACAGTACAAATGTGAGAAAATGGGAGTAAAAATGGTAAGTCATGTTTTAGATTTATGAAAATAGTTTTGACTTTATGGGGCTCCCTTGAAAGGGTCTTGGGAGAACTGCCTAGTTTTTCCCTGATGATGTAAATGCTACCTTCAGCTGAAGGCATCTTTATCCTTCAAATTCACATGAGCTCTGTACTGAGGGAAGGTACAGGGAGCCGGACCTAGGATGAGAGACCCCATGGCCCTGGGAGGGTGCAGGTGGAGGTTGAGGTTGAAGCAGCAGCAAAATGTCAGAATTAGGCAGTCGGGCGCGGTGGCTCACGCCTGTAATCCCAGCACTTTGGGGAGGCTGAGGCAGGCAGATCATGAGATCAGGAGTTCGAGACCAGCCTGACCAACATGGTGACACCCCGTCTCTACTAAAAATACAAAAATTAGGCAGGCATGGTGGCGTGTGCCTGTAATCCCAGCTACTCGGGAGGCTGAGGCAGGAGAATCACTTGAACCCGGGAGGCGGAGGTTGCAGTGAGCCAAGATGGCACCACTGCACTCCAGCCTGGGCGACAGAGCGAGACTCCGTCTCAAGAAAAAAAAATAAGAGACCGGCAGGAGAGTTTCAGGCTGATTGACCAGTGCAGGGAGGTGTTCTGATTCCTTCATAAATAGGGTAACCATATAACATGCAAGTTGGAACACTTTTGAAAGCAAAAGTGGGCAACAAAAAACTGAAAATTATTATTACCAGATAAAGGTTTTGCCAAACAATAAAATAATAGATTCATATCACACAGTGAGCAAAAAATCACTGTGCAAGACTGTTCACACAACTCTGCTTTGTAGCAAGTTATTGAAGTCTGTTTCTTGAACTCTGTACTTGTGTCACTTCCCATGCTTCCCACTGACCTAGCAGCCCCCTGACTGCCCCACCTGGAGTTTGAGATTGGCAGCAGTTGCAGTGTGGAAGCTGCATAAGGAGCTGAGTGTAATGGGAGACCTTTAGCTAAAATTAATTTCGTAATCAAAGATGTGTGCCAGAATCTTTTCTTAGAATTGAGTAAAACCTGATAAGCTCCTTTAAGAGAATCTTGGTATCCTTTTAAAACTTTCTTTGTGACACTCTTGCTTTTGGGGATCAGCACTAAATGTGTGGAGGGTAGAGGTGTTAACAATACGTTCTCCCCTCAAAAAGTCTGAACAAGATGCTCTGCTTTTCCCCCAGCTGACTCTCACTTATGCACAATATAGTTAATCATCCCAATAGAAGAGTCAGTTGTGCCCTGTGAACTGAAGAACCAGGACTAATAACCCGTTGGTATTTACTCATTCAAATAGCAGTTTTGTGTATGGTAGCATAAGCATTGCAACTGAAGAATCTGGACTCCACCATAAGGCAGATTCCAGACACCCAAGCTCTGGATTCTTTAGTGGGAATAGAGGAGTCATCACCACACACACACAGCATTGGATTCTGTCCTGACTCGTTTTTTCTAACTTCTTGGGCGAAAGGGCAGATTAGAATTGTTCCAACTCAGGCTTGTATAATTCCTGCAGAAAAGACCTATTGTTGGATCCACCTTTATCCTGACTTACCTACATGTTTAATCTTATAGAGGAAAATGGCTTTCAAGACACAAGGGATACTGATCTTACTTTAATTCTAATCACTGCCGTACCCCCAACCCCTGCTTCTTTCAGGCACTTGGCATTGAACTAGTTTTGTCATTTTACTTGCTTGCCACCTACCCCCACGACTACCCTGACAGGCCAGAAGGGAAAGTGCGGTTCCTTAGCTCACTGTACTAATAACTCCTCATTCAGCCATCCCTAGTTAAGAGTGACCCCCTAATGTCCACATTTTTTAGGTCTGCTCTTCTTTTGTCATCCCTACCAGAGTAACTTAACCCTTTACTTACAAGTTACTTGGAAGTAGTTTTCTTTTAAAAACAGTGTCATCTAATTTTTTTCAATATTGGAATGTAAATTTCCAGATGTGCTGGACTGTCCCTAGAGCAGCAGCATATACAGTAAGACCTACGATTGAATGACTAACTGGGCAAGATTGAGCTTTTGTGATGTTTTAATTATTTTACCTAATATGGAAACACTGTTGTATAATCCCAAACAGTAGTACATATTTGATCATCTAATTAAATATTGGTAACTGTTAGTGTGCCAAGTCCTGTAGTATGTGTGGGAAATTACTACCCCCTAGAGACTTAAATTCGGATGTACAAAAGATTGTATCCAAATGACTATAGCAGTCTGTGTAAATACCCAGACAAATCTATTCTCTTCCTGGTTTGGAACAAATTTTAAAAATGAACTCTATAGCTTCCATAGGCCACAAATCATCCTTGTGCGTCACAAAAAGTTATGTCAAAAATTCCTTCGGAAGTTTATCTACTTTATGCTAGAGGAAGACAGTAGGCACCATTTCCTCAGTGTTGTTGTTACAAGACTTTTGGAGGGCTTTGTTAGAAGGCCATTAAATGGCCACACTGTTGGAGATCTTAAGTGCCTGGGATAGTCTCCTTCCCATAGTTAGGAAGATATATCCCCTATTTAGCCCCACCGTGTTCCAGTATAACTTCCTTGATACAGTGGATACCACTAATGTGAATTTTTTTTGAGACGGAGTCTCGCTCTGTCGCCCAGGCTGGAGTGCAGTGGCGTGATCTCATCTCACTGCAGCCTCCGCCTCCCAGGTTCAAGCGATTCTCCTGCCTCACCCTTCTGAGTAGCTGGGATTACAGGCGCTCGCCACCACGCCCAGCTAATTTTTGTGTTTTTAGTAGAGACGGGGTTTCACTGTGTTGGCCAGGATGGTCTCTATCTCTAGACCTCGTGATCTGCCCGCTTTGGCCTCACAAAGTGCTGGGATTACAGGCGTGAGCCACTGTGCCCAGCCAAATATGTGAATTCTTGTGTGTGGGTACTAGTTTTTCTGGGGAGCCCTTTAGGTTGGCTCTAGGTCTGCAAGTTCTTTCCAAGGGATAGTTAACCTGAATGGTACATTCCTCACAGTACCAGAGCCTCTTCCTTTCCTCTTCCCCTCACCTTAGGTGAGGAAGCCTTCTAACTTAGTTATTAGGACTATGGCAGTGGTCGCCCTGCTTTTTAATAGCACTTACAAAATCGTGTCACTACCCTGTTAGTTTCTTTAGTAAAGTTTTCTCATTTTTCAAGTTCCTTCTGCCACTCGCTTCTAGGTTACAAAAGGTTACTGTTTTATGAAGGGGTGCTGAGGGTAAGAATGTACCAAGTAGATCTCATGGAGAAGGCAGCTTTCACCCAGTATCTCTGGTAGATTGCTACCTTCATAGCTTATCTTCTCTATGAATTTCTTAGCAATAGAAGAGTAAATCAGGAGTGGATTTTTAGTAGTGTGTTTGTCATAGGGAATGTAGATGTAATTGGATTTTTTTTTCATATAAGCATTTTGTAAATTCAGTTTTGGGTTTTTTGTTTTTTGTTTCTTGTTTTTGTTTTTTGTCTTAATAGAGCTAGGCATTACCAGGGTTGATGCATATTTATTACTGCAAAGAGTTGTAGACAAGGGAGGAGGGAGCTAAATAATATTAATGGTAATTTAAATCTAGAAAATCAGAACTGTGGCTCACTACTGTAATGTCAGTGCTTTCAGAGGCCAAGCAGAAGTATCGCTTGAGCCCAGGAGTTCAAGACCAGTCTGGGTAACCTAGCAAGACCCTGTCTCTAAAAAAAATTTAAAAATTAGCCAGGTGTGGTGATGCACGCCTGTAATCCTAGCAACTCAGGAGGCTGAGATGGAAGGATCACTTGAGCCAGCTGTGATTGAGCCACTGCACTCCAGCTTGAGCAACAGAGTGAGACACTGTCTCAAAGAAAGAAACAGTTGGTATTCATTGCTCTTAATAATCCTCTGTAGCTGGCTTCTCAAACTTTAATGTGCATAAGAATCATTTGTTAACATGCACATTGATAGGGTCTGAGGTGGAGTCTGATGTCTGCATTTCTAACAAACTCCCAGGGGATGGATGCCGATGTTGCTTGTCCAGAGGCGGCACTTTGAATATCAGTCTACAGAACATTCAGGGTATATGCAAATTAACTTTTAATAATAACAACAGCAACCATATATATTGATCCTTTTTTGGTGTACCAGGCACAGAAAAATAAAATAAGACTGGGCACTGGAGTCTAACAGCTGGGATTCAGATTGAAGCTCTTCCCTTTACTAGCTTAACCCTGAGCAAATTTTCTCTAAGGCAGGGTTTCTCAGCCTTGGCACTGTTGACATTGTAGGCTGAGATCATTCTTTGTGGGGGCTGTCTGGTGCATTGTAGGATGTTTAGCAACATCCCTGGCCTCTATCCACCAGATGCCATTAGCACCTCCCTCCCGTTTGTGGCATTCAGAATGACTGCAAGCATTGCCAAACGTCAGGGGGTGGGGTAGGAGGCAAAATTACTTCCAGTTGAGAACCACTGCTCTAAGACTACTGTTGAAATATGGGTGTTTGGGGGGGTTTGTGATATGAATGATGTACTTTATGTAAGTGACATAGAAGCTTATCATGAAGCTTCCACAGACAAAAGGAGAATAGGCATGCAGTAGCTAATAAGCAGTCCGTGCCACATCTGGCTTTCTGAGGATGATGATAAAGCTTATTCCAAGTGCCAGTTCTTTATTTTTACGAAACATTAGTCATTGTACTATGAGATAATATCAGGAATTACTTGAGATTTTTAAATAGGTAGAACTGAGTTTCTAATTCAGTTGATCCCAAGCCTCTGCCCTTTTTTGAAATACGCTGGCACTGTTGCTACCCTGCCCCTGCCTCTGCCCCTTCCTTCATTCTTACTTCTGCTGCTGTCCGCATGTCTCTTTTTCCCCCCTACTCTTTAAAGTTTTATTTCACTAACTTGAGGTCAAATGTCACAACTGTGTTCTGGTCAATTTACTATCCTTGCTTGGCTTCCCCAAATGGTAGTACCAGAAGATTTGTGGGGTAGGGAGAAGAGACCACTTTAAGACGCACTACATTTACTCATCTTCCACAAGGCAACAGAGTTGGGCATCTGATTATTCAACAAAACAAAGCTTCAGTAGCACCCAGGAGGGCAGACAGGCAAACCAGGCTGTAGACACACTGCATTTGTCAAAATCAGACCAGAGAAAACCTACTCCCCACAGATTAAAAGGTAGCGATAGTCATCATTTCTTTTTCTGTTGCCACAACGTTTTTCTTCTTTTAATTATTATCATGTAGTTGTCTCAAGTCCTTCCTTTAGTCCAGGGTTCCCCAAAGCCTGGGCCACAGACCCCGTACTGGTCCCTGGCCCATTAGGAACCACGCACATAACAGATGAGCAGTGGGTGGGCAGGCCGGCCAGCTGAGTGAAGCTCCATCTGTATTTACAGCCACTGCCCATGGCTTGCATTACTGCCTGAGCTCCGCCTCCTGTCAGCTCAGATCAGCAATGGCATTAGGTTCTCATAGGCACACGCAAACCCTATTGTGAACTGCTCATGTGAGGGATCTAGGTTGCGTGCTCCTTATGAGAATCTAATGCCTGATGATCTGCTACTGTCACCCATCACCCCCACATGGGACTGTCTAGTTGCAGGAAAACAAGCTCGGGGGCTCCCCACTGATTCTACATTATGGTGAGTTGTATAATTATTTCATTCTATATCACAATGTAATACTAATAGAAATAGAGTGCACAATAAATACAATGCACTTGAATCATCCCAAACCATCCCACCCCCCATCTGTGGAAAAATTGTCTTCCACAAAAGCAGCCCCTGGTGCAGAAAAGGTTGTGGACTGCTGCTTTAGTCCATCTCCTATGATTGCACAGGTAAGCTGCAAATGCCAAGGACTTGATGAGCTCAGTTCACCCCTTGCCAACAATGTATCAGTTCCTGAGAGAATGAGTTCCTGAAGTCTTGCTGTTAGCAACTATAAGTAGAGGGACTGCTTGGTTTTCTATATCCTAGTTATTTTATGAAGTTAAGTTTTAGTTTCTTCCATCCTTCCACATCTAGAGTCCACAACAAATACAATGCCATCTGTGCATCTGGCATATGACTTCCACAGTGGCCTTACTTTGTCCTAAACACCTACATCCCAGAAGTGAAAAGGGACTGTTTTAGAATTTGCCAAGATTACCTTAATTTTCTCCGTGTTAAATCTTTTGGTAGGTACAGTATTTACAAATTCATGAGCTGCAGCCTGTATAAGACAGTTGTCTTGCTAGCACAGTACAAACCCAGGAAAACAGTGTGGAAAGACTGAAATGAAGGCCGACTGGACAGGATAGAAGTGTGGTCTGATAGTCCATTTCCCAATTTCCCACTGCAAATAAATGTCCCAAATTGAAATGCTTTCTTCTTGCTTTAGAACTTCTCTTCGTAGGTGATCCAGCTATAAGACTAACCATCCTTCCCTTCTCTTCACTCAGCGTCTGTCCTAACATCTGGGGAGGTGCTCTGATACCTGTCCGTGGGCACCAGGGAGGCCTGGGCCGCGGCGGAGGACAGGGCACCAGGTGGGTGCTGTGTGCCTGGCTGCTCTAACAGTGCTCGCCCAGCAGTCCGCAAGTCTGTTTCTAGCATGCTTATCTTCCTATCTTCCCAGCCTCTCATCCTTTCACTTTTTTTCTAGGGTATGACAGCAGATAACTAAGCCTTCTAAAATTATGCCTAGAATAATATCTGAACTATGGTTTATGTGTTTGTAGGCAAGGGTCCTGTCTCCCAATAAAAAATGTAAAAATTCATTTGATAGAAAGATACTTTTAAAAAATTGATTCTGGCCAGGCACAGTGGCTCACGCCTGTGAATCTCAGCACTTTGGGAGGCCCAGGTGGGAGGATCACTTGAGCCCAAGAATTTGAGACCAGCCTATGCAACCTGGTGAGAGCCTGTCTCTATGAAAAATGTAAAAATTAGGCTGGGCGCAGTGGCTCACGCCTGTAATCCCAGCACTTTGGGAGGCTGAGGCGGGCGGATCACCTGAGGTCAGGATTTCGAGACCAGCCTGGCCAACATGGTGAAACCCCATCTCTACTAAAAATACAAAAATTAGCTGGGTGTGGTGGCGGATGCCTGTAATCCCAGCTACTCAGGAGGCTGAGGCAGGAGAATTGCTTGAACCTGGGAGGCAGAGGTTGCAGTGAGCCAAGATGGCACCACTGCACTCTAGCCTGGATGACACAAGCGAAGCTCTGTCTTAAAAATAATAATAATGGATAAAATTTTTTAAAAATTAGCTGGGCATGGTGGCATGTGCCTTTAGTCCCAGCTACTAGGGAGGCTGAGGTGGGAGAATCACTTGAGCCCAGGAAGTCAAGGCTACTGTGAGCTGAGATCACATTGTGCTCCAGCCTGGGTGACACAGCAAGACTGTGACTCGAAAAATATCCTAAATTTCACTTTGCTTCAGGATGTTCTTTAAAAGAAATCAATAATGTCATTTGAAAATTGAAATGCAGATTTGGTTTCTGACCATTGAAATGGAAGAGCAGCAGAGTAGTCTGTAATAAGTCTGTACTGAGAATGGGAATGGGGAAAGACTCACAAAAACATGATTTTAAAACAAAAAGAAAACATGAATGTTACTTTGTGGAGTTACCCTGGAAGATTTTAAGTCAGTCCAGGGAACACAACAGATTCTAGTAAGACTGTGCTAATGACAGTCTTTGACAGTTGGTTTGTTAATACCTCAAATGATTTGTAGTACAGTTTATACTGTGCAGATGCTGTTTAAGACTGTATATGTGTAAAGCAAAAGTTACTACCAGTTGATAGTTTTTTACTTTGTATACTTATCAATATAATATTGAGGCATAAGATATGTAGCCACGCTGTCCAGTGGTCATTAGGGGGAAAATGTCTCCAGGATTGTAGGAAAAGCTGTCAGAAGTGAGTCCTTGTTAATTGCGTTTATTCAATGGAGAGTTTCCTATCAGTTAACAGACACAGCTTCCTGTATGACAGAAGTGTCGTGGCTCATGGCCATCCCCGCTCCTATTGTTTACATACCTGTGTGAAGTCAGAATCCTTTATAGAAAGAAGAAAATATTGTGTTAAAGTAGAAATTACTCATTTTTCTTAAAATCTGTATCAGAGTAATATTTATTTTGATTAGAAGAAAAAACTATGTTATCTTTTTCTTTTTGCCTTGTATGTATTTGCTTATATTTTGAAAAGTGCTTTTAGTTACAAATAAACCTTAAACCTCTGTGTAGAAAAATGTGAAAGGTATAGGCATGGTCTCTTCACTTCCTCAGTTACATCCTCTCATGCAGAGGTTCTAATCACAGTTAAATTTCAATGTCTTCAAACACGGATAAGTGGGTTTTTTTAAAAAGGCACAGTCTTATACTTATTTCTGTAACCCCAATCATACTTTGGTTGGCTGGTTTTAAAAAATCATGTTACACAAAACTGAGATGACCCAGTTTAGAGAATCCCAATTAAAATAAGTGCTCAGGTGAAGACAGGGTAGACTTAATGCAAAATTATGAAATGTACTTTTCTGCTCCCATTGTGTCCGGAATTGGTGGGTTCTTGGTCTCACTGACTTCAAGAATGAAGCCGCGGACCCTCACGGTGAGTGTTAACAGTTCTTAAAGATGGTGTATCCGGAGTTTGTTCCTTCTGATGTTCGGACGTGTTCAGAGTTTCTTCCTTCTGGTGGGTTCGTGGTCTCGCTGGCTTCAGGAGTGAAGCTGCAGACCTTCGTGGTGAGTGTTACAGCTTTTAAGGCAGCACGTCTGGAGCTGTTCGTTCCTCCCGTCCGGAGTTGTTTATTCCTTCTGGTGGGTTCGTGGTTTTGCTGGCCTCAGGAGTGAAGCTGCAGACCTTCGCGGTGAGTGTTACAGCTCACAAAGGCAGTGCGGACCCAAAGAGTGAGCAGCAGCAAGATTTATTGCAAGGAGTGAAAGAACAAAGCTTCCACAGTGTCAAAGGGGGCCTGAGCAGGTTGCCACTGCTGGCTCTGGCAGCCTGCTTTTTATTCCTTTATCTGGCCCCACCCACATGTTACTGATTGGTGCATTTTACAGAGAGCTGATTGGTTTTACAGAGAGCTGATTGGTCTGCTTTGACAGGGTGCTGATTGGTGCGTTTACAATCTCTGAGCTAGACACAAAAGTTCTCCAAGTCCCCACTAGATTAGCTCCACACAGAGCACTGATTGGTGCATTTACAAACCTTTAGCTAGACACAGAATGCTGATTGGTACATTTACAATCCTCCAGCTAGACGTAAAAGTTCTCCAAGTCCCCACTTAACTCAGGAGCCCAGTTGGCTTTGCCTAGTGGATCCTGTGCCGGGGCTGCGGGCGGAGCTGCCCGCCAGTCCCGCACTGTGCGCCCACACTCCTCAACCCTTGGGCAGGCGATGGGACCGGGAGCCGCGGAGCAGGGGGTGGTCCCCATCGGGGAGGCTCAGGCCACGTGGGAGCCCACTGCAGGGGTGGAGGGGAGGCTCGGGCCTGGCAGGCTGCACGTCTCAAGCCCTGCCCCACGGGGAGGCAGCTGAGGCCTGGCGAGAATTTGAGCCTGTTGCTGGCAGGCTGGCACTGCTGGGGGACCAGGCGCACCCTCTGCAGCTGCTGGCTGGGGTGCTAAGCCCCTCACTGCCTGGGGCCAGTGGCGCCGGCCGGCTGCTCCGAGTGCGGGGCTGCCAAGTCCACGCCCACCCGGAACTCTCGCTGTTCCATGAGCACTGCGCGCAGCCCCAGTTCCCACCCGCGCCTCTCCCTCCACACCTCCCTGCAAACAGAGGGAGCCAGCTCCAGCCTCAGCCAGCACAGAGAGGGGCTCCCACAGTGCAGCAGGGGGCTGAAGGGCTCCTCAAGCGCGGCCAGAGTGGGCACCAAGGCTGAGGAGGCACCAAGAGCGAGCGAGGGCTGCCAGCATGCTGTCACCTCTCCCCATCTTTTCTTTAGTATCAATTTCAACCCTCCTTTTCCCAATTCAGGATTTTCCATACTCTAATCATTTGGATTAATAATTTAAATTACATACCATTCTATGGTACACTTCAACCAGTATTTAAAATTAAAGTTGTATTTCTTGTTGTGGAACCAAAAGTATCTTCTGGAGGAGACAGGAGATTATTAAAGGGTGTACTTAGGTGACCTGAGGGCAAACCTGGTCAGTCATTTTATCGAGAAATAGGTGGGATGCTTGAACAGCCTCAAGTAAAGCTGAGTCTTACTCCCTATTCTTCTGACACTGGCCTTCTTATAGAGTTGTTAATATTGTCCTCCACCCCTGGGGATGGGACTGCCTGCCCACTTTGTAGACCAGCAGATCCTAACTTTTCCAATGAGAACTTAGGAAACAAATAAAATTGTACGCCCCTGCATCAGAATTTTTCTGTTTTATTCTCTGATTAAGAAAGTACACATGATAAAAAGCTACCTGAATTCATCCAATAGCAGCTTTAAGTGACTATCTAAAACTTGATATTCAGGGCTGAGCATGGTGGCTCACACCTGTAATCCCAGCACTTTGGCAGGCTGAGGCAGTCGGATCACAAGGTCAGGAGTTTGAGACCGGTCTAGCCAATATGGTGAAACCCCAGCTCTACTAAAAATACAAAAATTAGCTGGGCATGGCGGCGCACACCTGTAGTCCCAGCTGCTCCAGAGGCTGAGGCAAGAGAATCGCTTGAACCCACGAGGGGGAGGTTGCAGTGAGCTGAGATCATGCCACTGCACTCCAACCTGGGTGACAGATCTCAAAAAAAAAAAAAAAAAAAGTTTGATATTCAGGTAACAATGCTTGGTCTTTTCCAGTGGATTCTCAAGACCATTCACAGTAATTCCTGAGGGCCCACAGGTTAGGGATCCCTCACTACTGCATTTTCTTCAGGGTCAACTACATTTGATATTATTTCACTTAGCATTTAATTATTTTCATGTTATATTGCACCTTTATTCTCCAGTTTTGAAGTTTAATACAAGTGTAATACGTTTTTTGTCATTATGTAGTTGTACTTGATTTCTTTTCTGTTTTGTCTACTTTTTTCTGAACTTTCAAAAAAATTAACACCTAAATTGCAAACAGATTAGAGAGATAGCAATCTTAATTGGATTTCTGGTTATATCACAGGTGATAAGCTATCACAGGTGACAAACTGTAAAATGTTCAAACTTATGCTCCTAACTGGTTGTCCCACTAGTAACCTGTAGCAGTGGTTCCCAAATGCAAACTACCTGCTTAAAGGTCATTGTTGTGGGTGGGGCACTTAAATATATGGATTCTTGGGTCCCCTCTAGATATTCTCAATCATCGGGCCTGGGGTGGGGTCTAGAAATCTTTAGTCTTTAAAGTTCCATCGATTATTTTGATGCACAGTGAAATTTGGGAATCACCAATTTTCTGTACAATCCATAAATCTGCATGTAGTGACATACTGGTAAACCTTTATTTTTTTTGTATACTAAAGGACCAGCAGAATTGGGCCCATGCCAACATGTCACCTCTAGGGCCTAGACTGCCCTCACTTTTGTTTTTTTCTAGGTTGGTTTCTTAGCACTACCAAGTTGAACATGAACAGTACGACTCCTGCCTCTAGGAGGCAGCTTGGAATATTGTCAGTACTGGATTTTAGAGAGCCTGGCTTCTGTGAATGAACTCTTGGCCTTGGTTCCTCATCTGTAAAAAGATTTTAGAGTAGCCTTTTGCCTTTAAGTGTTTACCATAAACTAGATAAAAGAGCATTCCCCTTTATCTGCAACCCCTGTATTAGTGTTATTTTCATATATAGTCCACTTTTCATTAACTGCACTCCAGGTGTCATAGCTGTATCAGCCAGTGTCTCTAGACTTTCTTCAGTTTGCTATAACAAAGTACCATGAATTGGATGGCTTATAAACAACAGAAGTTTATTTCTCACAGTTCTGGAGGCTAGAAATATGAGATCAAGGTGCTGGCAGCTTCAGGTCTGGTGAGGATGCGTTTCTTGGTTTCCAGACAACTGTCTTCTTGCTGTATCCTCATATGGTAGAGAAAAGTTAGAGAGCTTTTGAGGTTCTCTTTAAGAACACTAATCCTTTTCATGAGGATTTCTACCCCCTAACCCAGTACCTTCAAAGGCTCCACCTCCTAATACCGTCACATTGAGGATTAGGATTTCAACATAAAAGTTTCGAGGGGATGCAAACATGTAGGCAGGTAGGCAAACTTATGATGACCAAGAACCGGTTCTAACCTCAGGAAATGAAGCAATAATGGTAATATCATTTCACTGGAGAAGTTTCTGCCTGTTTCCAGAGGGAGAGGGCTGATTAAGAGCTCTCCCTACATTCCACCTTGTGAAAATTGCCATCAGATATCGTGTAAAACTATGAAGTCATCTTTTTTAAACACAAAGTATGACTTCATGGTGTAGACAATGTTTAAAAAATCTCTGGCCGGGTGCGATGGCTCACACCTATAATCCCAGCACTCTGGGAGGCCGAGGCGGGCGGATCACCTGAGGTCGGGAGTTCAAGACCAGCCTGACCAACATGGTGAAACCCCATCTATACTAAAAATACAAAATTAGCCAGGCATAATGGCGCATGCCTGTAGTCCCAGTTACTCAGGAGGCTGAGGCAAGAGAATCGCTTGAACCCGGGAGGCGGAGGTTGCATTGAGCCGAGATCGTGCCATTGCACTCCAGCCTGGGCAACAAGAGCAAAACTCCGCCTTAAAAAACAAACAAAAAAAACAAAACAAACAAAAAAACTCTCTCTGTATCTAAAACAAACTTTTTGGTGGCTTACACTTATAATCCCAGCACTCTGGGAGGCTGAGGTAGGAGGATTGCTTGAGCCCAGGAGTTCAAGACCAGCCTGGGCAACATAGAGAGACCCCCATCTACACAAATTAAATAGAAAACATTAGCCAGGTATGGTGGTGCATGCCTGTAGTCTCGGCTACTCAGGTGGCTAAGGTGGGAGGATCACTTGAGCCTAGAAGTCAAGGCTACAGTGACCCGAGATCATGCCACTCACTGCATTCCAGCCTGGGTAGCAGATCAAGACTCTGTTTCAAAAATAAAAAATAAAACAAGTTTTTAATAGTTTTTGGTAATACCCATCACAAAGAGATATTAAAGAATTAATAATAATGGTGATCACTGCCGTTTAATGAGAGATACCCATGGGTGTGTTGCTCTACAGTTTCCTTCTTTCTCTCACTTAATTCTGAAAACATTCCTGTGAGGTGGACAGTGTCCGAGCTCTTTCTGCCTCTTGGCCAGTTTGGGCCCTGTTCTTCCCATTACCCGCTATTCGGTTGCCCATATTTTCTCCCTCCTTTTTTGCCATGTCATGTTTTCTTCCCCAACTTGTATTCTCCTCTGCTTTTCCTTTGTAATAAGCTCATTCCCCTAACCTGTTGCATCTCTCACACCAAATTTCAGACCAAAAGAAAAACCTGTGATGGGTTTGGGGAAAGTATAGGCCCATGGGTAGGCTTTTTATTCCCTCCCTCTTCATCTCTTCTGTCTCTTAAATGAAGGCATCAGACTTTGTAACCAGTTAGCAGAGGGCATCTTGAAGGAGTTTGTCTTGTTCAGCATCAAAACCCCTGACATTTAACCCTCTGCCTAGTACATGGGCATTCAGTAAGTGAGTGAATAAATCCAATTCACATCGTACATTTATTTAAAAGAGTAGTTTTGCTGGGTGCGGTGGCACTCTAGAAGCCAACACAATGCTTTAGAATGGTATTGTGGCCAAATTATGGTGTACCCAAGTGTATGTAACAGTGATTTATGATAACAGCTAACAGGGTTGGAGGAATGTCTCAAGTATTAGTATTTAGAGAACCCAATTATAGAATACACATTGAAATGAAAATTGAATAACCTGTAACTGGATACTTACCATTCTCCTCCCACCTAACATGGACATACTTTTTACATTATAAACCATCTATTAGATTCTTTTAAAGGTGAGATTATGGAGATAGAAGAGCAAGGAAGAGCCAGTTAGTGGGTCAGAAAATGAAACTTCTGTGCTTAAAATGGTCATAAGTGATGTAGCTGTGAGCAAAAACTGCTCGCATTTGTCACTAATTTCGCTTCTAGGTGCTGAGATGTGTTTCCCATTTTAAGTATTGTTTACACTTTCCTACGTGTCCAGGAGAGTTTTGAGAATTGAGGAAAGTTTCCTGCTTATTCGTAGCTAGGTAGGCTTAGAATGGTTTTAACATTCTTTTATCATCCAGTTTGCTTGACCAATGGCTATGGGTTTGTTGCAGTTCTGCATCCGTTTCTGTACTTGTTTTGTAAAGAGAATCCACACAGTAAACAAAAGAGAGGAGAGAGGTAATCTTTCCATCTCTTTTAATACACTGTAAAAATTGGGATAGTGCCACCATCTGCTTATTTGTTGACGTATTATTCACAGTGCTGGTCCCAAAGGCGATAACATCTATGAATGGAGATCAACCATTCTAGGGCCTCCAGGATCCGTGTATGAGGGTGGTGTATTCTTTCTCGATATCACTTTTACACCAGAATATCCCTTCAAGCCTCCAAAGGTAAGAAATCTCCCTGTATGCTCAAATTTACTAATTCCCACAAGAGAGCAACTGTTGAGGTTTTTCTAAATTTAATTTTTAATCACAGAAACTAGATTTATCTTATGTCCTAATAGATCTGAGTATTTTAACATATACAAAACACTTCTTTAGGTTGATTTTGCCTTATCTGGCAGAGACCATTCTAGGATTAAGTGCTTTGTTTTGATGGTGCTTAAAATTGTGCTATTTATAGTAATATTGTCAGCAACCTAGAATTAATCCCCTGTTTTCCAGCCCATAGAGAAATGTTTTTGAACCTTTCTCGAGGTTAAAAATGGTGTCAAGCCAGGTGCAGTGGTGTGCACCTGTAGTCCAGCTACTTGGGAGGATTGTTTGAGCCCAAGAGTTTGAGTCCAGTCTGGGCAACAAAGCAAGACCCCAAAAAAAGGCAGGGCAGGTCAGGGGGCCAAACAACTAGAGAATCAGAATCTCTTCCCAAAGCTTTGGATTCTGTTGTGCTCCCTGTCATGTTTTGGTCTTGTTCCTTTACCTCCAGGCCTCAGTTTTCTTTCTAGGACAGGTGAGGATTGCCCAAGTCACCCATCTCCTGTACTCAATCTATGATTCTCATTCAGTCAGAAAGAAAACCCCGTCTTGGGGATTAGGTAGACTGCCAGATAAAAGTACAACTGCAGCAACAAGAAGTAATCGAAAGTCACTTTTTTAAAAAATTGGTAAAATTACAGGTAATTTTTACTTTGTGTTTTGGTATATTTCACAAATAAAAATTAAGAGACCCAAATAACACCAGCTTATGTGACTTGTGTTCTGCTGTGGTCCTTGCCCATTACTGGCTCTGCATCCATGGACACTCGATTATATAATAGTAAATTCTGTGATGTAGGTAGACAGGATGTCTATAGGACCTGATGTAACGGTCAGAAAAAAGCAGAAATAGACTTCTCTTCAAATTTTGTTCAGCCTTTTGGGTGTAGTCATTGTTTGCTAAGTATGTTGTTTAATTATCTTTATGTACCCATTATGTTGCACTTCAGTTTTTAAGAGGTATTTATGATTCTCAGTATTTTAAAGCTTACTTTGAGGCAGTGTAGTACTACCAGCTAACACAAGAGGTCAGCAAACAATTAGCTATTCAAACTTGGAAATGTTAATATTTAAAAGATTTAAAATTGCTAAAGATGAAATTAGGAAGTACTGAACTTACCGTCAGTGGACATAACATTTTAAATGAAATTGACACAGTCCCTGAGATGGTATCAATGAACACTTTCTAATCAAATTTATTGTCTATCTTCTTGACAGCTTTAATTAAAACTGCTTTTAGTCACCTTCTTAAGGGTCATTCAGTTGAATATTTAGTAACAAGTTTGTTTGCTGTTTAAATATTGTCTGTCACTTGTTTTTTTTAGGTTACATTTCGGACAAGAATCTATCATTGTAATATTAACAGTCAAGGTGTTATTTGCTTGGACATATTGAAAGATAATTGGAGTCCAGCACTAACCATTTCTAAAGTCCTCCTTTCTATCTGCTCACTTCTTACAGACTGTAATCCTGGTAAGGTTCATAATTCTTTACCTTGTTTTATTCTTCCTTACCTGAAAAATACTTGTTTCCAAAAGCTTTCAAAGGACAAAACTAATTTTTCTGCACAAGTTTGTGAATACAAAAACTAATCGGCTTTTCAAAAGAAAGTTTTAATCAAGTTCAGTCTACTAGTTGAGACACACAACTTCATTAATCAGTATATTCTAGCAACAAGGTATTTTAAACTGAAGACTGACGTAAGTTTGCCTTGGGCTTTTAGTTTCAATTATTCTTCCTCCTTTTTTTTTCCTGTTGCTTAATTTCCCATAGAGTTCTTATAAAACAAATCAGACACTTCTAAATGTCGAGTCATCTGCCTGGCAAGCCTCACCTGTGCCTCTGGGGTTCAGTGAGCATGTGTCCCATAGCTGGTCACTGAGATGGCACTCAATTTTGAAAATGGTAGTTGTTAAATACTTAGTGACTATTGAATTGTGACTTTTTTGGGACTTCATTTCATTTAAAAAATATTTTTCTGTAGTCACAGCTACTAGGGTGGCTGAGGTGTCAGGATTGTTTGAACCCAGAAGGTCAAAGCTGCAGTGAGCCATGAGCATGTCACTGCACTGCATTCCAGCCTGGGTGGCAAAGCGAGACCCTGTCTCAAAAAATATATATATATACACATATGTATATATATACACACACACAGACAAATATATTTTCTAGGTAAACCAAATATAAATTTATTAAAGATCCTAAGATTCAGAGAAATACTATACTTAATTGGAGGTCCAGGTTTTGCCTGGCAACCTGGCTCTTTAACCAGCGTAAAGGTTAATAGTGTTGCACTGCAACAGCCCCGAAGACTTCACAGTATTCACAATGCCGTTAACTGGTGACATTGAGCTAAGGGTCACATGAACACAGCTGGATGTTCATTGCAGTCTGAAGCCTTGACCGTTCCAGTCTCTACTGAACTCAGCCTAACACATAAGAGTAAAGAAACTCCAATTGAGTGTTGTTTGTTGGGAGAAAAATGGAATGAACTAAGATAAAGACAGACCAGTACACTAAAGCCTAAGCATTCCCTCTTCCCCCAACGTTATGTTTTTTTGAAATTTTGATGGAAAAATATCCAGCATGGTGGAGTGGTGTTTCGAAGATGGGTTTGATCACACATACTTTGTCGTACGTATCTACCCAAGCTGTCACTATTCGCTAAAGTTTAAAATGTTCTTTTCCTTTCTCCAAAGTAATCTACATTCTTTTCTTCCAGCCGACCCCTTGGTGGGAAGTATTGCCACTCAGTATATGACCAACAGAGCAGAACATGACAGAATGGCCAGACAGTGGACCAAGAGATACGCTACATAAATTGGGGTTTCACAATTCTTACATTATTTGTCTGTCACAGAAGAGAGCTGCTTATGATTTTGAAGGGGTCAGGGAGGGTGGGAGTTGGTAAAGAGTAGGGTATTTCTATAACAGATATTATTCAGTCTTATTTCCTAAGATTTTGTTGTAACTTAAGGTATCTTGCTACAGTAGACAGAATTGGTAATAGCAACTTTTAAAATTGTCATTAGTTCTGCAATATTAGCTGAAATGTAGTACAGAAAAGAATGTACATTTAGACATTTGGGTTCAGTTGCTTGTAGTCTGTAAATTTAAAACAGCTTAATTTGGTACAGGTTACACATATGGCCATTTATGTAAAGTCCCTCTAAGACTACATACTTTTTGTTTAAAACAAAATTGGAATTTGTTTTCCCTTCTTGGAAGGGAACATTGATATTTAACAGAGTTTTTAGAGATTGTCATCTCATATATATAAAATGGACACGTGGCTATAAAACACCATATAAGAGATGAGTAGTGCGTTTTATTTTATATGCCAATCTACTTTGTTTAAAAAAGGTCTGAATCAGGACTTGTGAAAACCTGTAGTGAAATACCTTAAGCTGTTAACTAACTGTAAGGCGTGGAATAGGAGTTGCTCAGTGGATTGGTTCTATGTTGTGGACTACTTAAGTCTGCATTTGTTACTGTGCTAATAAACAATATTAAAAACCACCTAATAAACACTGCTGTGTTCATTTACTTTTCTTTTGCCTTTTGGTTGCCATTCGCAGATTCTTCTGAAATCGATAGGTATCTGCTTCTAAAACAAGCTAAAAATAATGCATATTTAGTAGGTATTAGTTAGTTACCTATATTAGGATCTGTACTTTACACAGCTGTAGATGAGGTATCCTAGAAAAGGTTAAATAATCTACCCCATTTAGGCTTCAAAGACGAACCCTACTGCATCTTTTTAAAAGCATTTTCTGACTTGCAGATGCTGTAGTAGCAAGTACATGAGAAATGGGTTCCGTCATGGATAAATTGGTACCCTGCCTTAGGGGGCATTTTGGCAGTACATGTCCTGACCCAGCAGTTCTGTTTCTGTATGTCTCTTTCAGAGAAACTTATCTGGATACACATACATTCATTACAGAATTTAAAAAGAATTGGTAACTGTTTGTACTAATATAGACTAAGTTGCATTAGTAGGAAACAAAGCAAACTGGAAGGTACTTATTTAAAAATCATTATGAAAGCATTTGTCCATCTATGTAACATGCATGGGTGGGAAGCTAGATTAATATTCAATAACCGGGGGAAAAGGGTAAGGGGGTGAGTTAGTGTCTGGTAATTTTTTTTTACCAAAAAATGAATTTATGATGAGAAATTTTGAAGAATTATACTGTAGCAGCAATAGCTGATTTGTAAGTATCGTCTTTTATATGTAGTAGTTCTTCACTAGAGCTCATGAAAAAAGTATTCCATTTAAGATGTTACAAATTACTTGATGTTTTAATATGTTCTTTGTTGAATAGCTTATTTTACATTTCAGTCAAAATAGTTATTTCACAGGTGAAACCACTAAGTAGCTTACTTCCTACCTTTTAAATTAATAAAGTTACAGTCAGCCACATTGCTTGAGTCTTGCCAAAATCTTTAGAGAAACAACACAAACTCAGACATCTAAGTCAGATCAAATTAGAGCCCAATATTTTTGATACTTTTATTGTATATGACTAGTTTTCTAGAAAACTATTCCAGAAGATACAGTCTTCCTTCCAGAAAATACAGCTTTACTGTCCTTAAGTGCCTAATCATTTTCAAGAGGAGGAGCAAACAGTTTGCCCTCAAGTATCTGGTCTATCAACAGGGGTCTGGCTAAGGAAAAAACGGCCTTAGAGCGTGATGAACCTACTTAACACTACCTGGTACCTCAACTCATGCTAAACATTCTAATTTGAGCAAAGCTAAATCATGGGTCTTAGTCTGTTTAGCAAAATCTCCACAAGATGAAATTTAGCTTACTACCCCAAACTGTTCAATGTTTTGGGTCCAATTTAGACACAAAAAAATGTTTTATAATCCTAGACATTAGATTAATGAACTTTTTAAAAACAAAGTCATGTTTGGGCTTAGAAGTTTGCATAATGTTACACAGAATGATTATGATATCTTCCGAAACAGCTTGGGGTTGGGGGGAAGTTACACATAGGTGCATTTGCATAACTATCCAAACTATTTTACTGTTTTCACAAGTACAACATAAATAACAAAGGTGCTAATTTCAAAGACAGGTTTCAAACAATGAGAATAAGAATATATTATTTCATATCAGGCAATAATAACCTTAGCCCAAATACTTTTAACATCTAAAGTGCATTAATTGACTTCCTTAGGAATTTTCCTAAGGACCAAAGGTAGATACAAATGGCCTATTTTAAATAGTAATATTACTCCATGTTCACAGACACTTAAAGGCAATCACTATTCAACATACAATTGTGGAAATTACTGATTTTTAGTTCTCAGAATTAGAGTTCCCTTTGTTTTTCCTCCCAGGCAAAGGAAAGCTTGATTTGCTCTGGGGTTGAGAAAGTTTACTGGCTAATAAAGTGAATGGTTCAATCAGAGTTTTCCGATCTGTAACAGTCACCTCCCACAGTCTTACTTTCTCACTTTTTGCCCACTGCTGTGCCACTTCAGCGTCCACTTGTCTCTGCTCAGAAAGGTCGATTTTGTTTCCTAATACCACAATTGCTACCTGAAAGAAAACGGATTGAAAAGATCATACTAGTACTTTGCCAACATCAGTTCCTGGGCAAAATGGAGACATAAGGAAAATTGTTCCACTTAACAAACCTGCTTCATTAAACTGATTCTCAAGTGTGACTGGATATTAGGATTTCACCTTACTCCTTAATGCATTTTTGTTAAAAATGGAGATGCTCGGCCGGGCGTGCTGGCTCATGCCTATATTCCCAGCACTTTGGGAGGCCGAGGCTCGTGGATCTCTTGAGGTCAGGAGTTCAAGACCACCCTGGCCAACACGGTGAAACCCCATCTCTACTGAAAATAAAAAAATTAGCCAGGCGTAGTGGTGTGCGCCTGTACTTGGGAGGCTGCGGCAGGAGAATCGCTGGAACCCGGGAGGCAGAGAGGGTGCAGTAAGCCGAGATGGCGCCACTGCACTCCAGCCTGGGTGACTGTGCAAGACTCCATCTCAAAAAAAAAAAAAAAAAAAAAAAATGCAGATGCTCTGTAGTTTGCTAACTGTAAAAAAAAAAAAATTAGCTCAGGTATGAATGGAAGATGGACTTGGGAAATTGGCATCTAGGATACAGACTGGTTTCAATGAGTCTGCATTTCAGTTTGGCTACACTTGATGTATGAGAGATTTGCAACATAGTACTTCAAAACAAGACAGCTGGAGCTGTGGGAGTTCTGTATCCATGAGAACAGGAATTGTTGTGTTCACATTATTCACAATACTAAAAAGGTGACTGCTAAGTGTCTGTTAAATGTATGGGCCAAAAACAAAAAAAGTATGTGCCAATAGGAACATTTTACACGAATGCTTACTATACACCAGACACTGCGCGTGACAGAATACAGCAGTCAAAGCTCGGGGAGGAGAAGAGACCCCAAACCAGATTTTCAGATAGTGCCCGTAAAGATTACACAAGACGATGTGACAGTAGACAATGGGCAGCAAGAACTGTCAAAGGCCTCTCTGAGGAGCAGCAGTGAACTCATCAGATCTTGGAACCACTACTGTCTTCCTTCCTGTCTGTACATTGAGCTTGAGCTCCCTGTGCTCCAGTAAGGCCATGCCTTGCTGGCAGGATGAAAGTGGGCCAGAGCTCCAGTTTTCTAGGGGAATCACATACTCTATCTCATCTTTCAAGCCCTCCTGTCATTCTTCATCACCCAGGGTTTCATCTTCATGTATCTCCCCCTACTGTGACCTCCATCTCCCTCTCCTCCCAACTGCAGAAACTCGTTCACTTTACCCCTTAGAATTCAGCAAGACTAACCCCCACTGCATCCTCCACCTCTGCGTCCTCCACCTCTGCTTTGAATGTTCCTTCACCTTTCCTAGTTGCCTTGCAGTCCTGCTTCCTCTATCACTCCCCTCCTACCACTACCACAAGGTTGGGGTAAGATGTCCTCCTTGTCCCTCAGTGCTACCTCCAATGGTGTCCTTCTCTAAAACCCCTGCAGAAAGCTGATGCTATCAGTCTGTTGTACCTACTAATCCCAGGCCGGCCCCCCAACTGCTCCTCATCACAGAGCTGACTCATGGTCAACCTGCTCTCGCCGTTACTCTGGTCATAATTCTTAGTGATTTCACTGGCCACGTAGATGCTGCTTCCAGTAACCTGGTCTCTTATTCTTTGACTTCTCCAATGGTCTCATCATCCTTACCTCAGCCATTCACCACTCCCGTGGTCATATCCTAGACCTTGTTTTGTTTGTTTTTTTTAAAGAGACAGGGTCTCTCTGTGTCACCCAGGATGGAGTGCAATGGCTTGATCATAGCTGGTTGCAGCCTTGATCTTCTGGGCTCAAGCGATCGTGATCCTCCTCCTCAGCCTGCCCAGCTATTTTTTTAATTTTTAGAGATGGGGTCTTACTTTATTGCTGGAGCTGGTCTCAAACTCCTTGCTTCAAGCAATCCTCCTGCCTCAGCTCCGCAAAGTGCTGGGATTACAGGCGTGAACTACCACATCCAGCCTAGACCTTGACATTGTAACTGCTCTCTATGATCTCAGTTCCAGGCATCCCACTCTGACTCCTGCCTTCCCAGTCATGCCTAATGCCCCCATTGCAAGAATTCCAAACACCACAAGGACGTACAACCTACTGGCTCTACTACCTTTATCATTGTCCTTCCACCCCACTCATGTCCTTAATTCCTCCCTACCCAGCTTAGATTATTTTTATTCACTCCCTTGCCCCCATTATCCCACCATATTCACCCGGCAAAACCCCTCCCTTGTTAAATTTAACTATTAACCAGACTCTGTGCCTACACCATTTAGCTGAATATGGCTGGAGAAAAACATACAACCCTGCTGGCCCAGATCATACCACTGATCTCAAATGAACTGATGTTCTCCGGCAAATGTATTACATTTTCTCCATTTACTCTGTAATGAGATATCGCATACCTTTGGTGCCCTTCTACAAGTTCCAGTATCTCCTCTTCCTTCCCCACTTTCCTTTCACCTGATGACCATATTGTTTCAGTAAGATACGCAATTAGAAGAGAATTTCAGCCAGGCACGGTGACTCACACCTGTAATCCCGTACTTTGGGAGGTGGAGGTGGGTGGATCATGAGGTCAGGAGATTGAGACCATCCTGGCTAACACGGTGAAACCCTATCTCTACTAAAAATACAAAAAAAATAGCCGGGCATGGTGGCGGGCGCCTGTAGTCCCAGCTACTTGGGAGGCTGAGGCAGGAGAATGGCATGAACCCGAGAGGCAGAGCTTGCAGTGAGCCGAGATCATGCCACTGCACTCCAGCCTGGGAGATGGAGCAAGACTCCATCTCAAAAAAAAAAAAAAAAAAAAAACTTCCACATTCTTCCGCCACCACATCTAACAACCTACCATCTTCCAAGCCCATTTGCTCTGCCTTAAAACCCATCCTCCTTCACCCGGACAAGGGTGTCACTCCAGCACTTAGTCCCCTCATCATCAATTTTCTCCCATTAGCATACAAACACAATCTTATCTAAATAAAACAAACGGCCGGGCATGGTGGCTAATGCCTGTAATCCCAGCACTTTGGGAGGCCCAGGTGGGTGGATCACCTGAGGTCAGTAGTTTGAGACCAGCCTGTCCAACATGGTGAAACCCTGTCGTCTAAAAATACAAAAATTAGCCAGGTGTGGTGGTGAACGCCTGTAATCCCAGCTACTCGGGAGGCTGAGGCAGGAAAATCGCTTGAACCTGGGAGGCGGAGGTTGCTGTGGGCTGAGATCATGCCACTGCACTCTAGCGTGGGCAATAGCAAGACTCCATCTCAAAAAAAACAAGGATGATACATCTATAGCCACAGGATGAATATTATACATTAGTTACCAAGAAAAAAAAACAGGGGTGGGTGGATGGGTGTGGTGGCTCACACCTGTAATCCCAACAGTGTGGGAGGCTGAGGAAGGAGGACTGTTTGAGACCAGGAGTTCAAGACTAGCCTGAACAACATAACAACACCTGTCTCTACAATTAAAAAAAAAAAAAATCTGGGTACTGATATGGAAACAACTCCAAGATATGTTACATGAAAAACAGAAGGTACAGGATAGTATGCCACCTGGTGTGAGAAAGGGAAAAAAGGCTAGGCACACGGTGGCTCACACTCATAATCCCAGCACTTTGGGAGGCCGAGGCAGGAGGATCACTTGAAGCCAGGAGTTGGGAGACCAGCCTGGGCAACAGAGCAAGACCTTGTCTTTGCAAAAAAATAAAAATAAAAATTAGGCAAGCATGGTGATGTACTCCTGTAGTCCCAGCTACTCAGGAGACTGAGGCAGGAGGTCACTGGAGCCTGGGAGTTTTAGGCTGCAATCATGCCATAGCTCTCAAGTCTGGGCAACAGAGCAAGACCCTGTCTGAAATAGGGAAAAAAAAAAAGGAGGAAAAATATTTTTAATGTATACTCCTATTTGCTTGCATTTATATAAAGAAACTCTGGATGACTGCCCCAAAACTAATAAAGGGGTAAAATATTTTAAAAAGCATGCTTAATGTACAGGATCTTGGTGGTTGAGGACAGCTGTGGGAACCAGACTGAACACAGTCCTTTTTACATATGATTGTCATTTTTGAACCATGTGCAAACATTACTTATTCAATTTTTTAAAACCAAACATGAAAATAAATAAATGCAACTTAAGCCATATCATGTCATTCCTTTGCCCCAAACCAGTGCTTTCTGATCTCACTAAAAGTGAAAGGCAAAGTGCCCCCATCACCTACAACACACCTCCTAGCCCACTCTGGCTTCACTGCCGATTCCTGAACATGGCAAGCAAATTCCGACCTCAGATCCTCGGTACTAGCTATTCCCTCCACCTGGAGCACTCTTCCTTCCAGACATCAGCTTTGTTCCCTCCCTCCTTACCTCCTTCAAATATCTGCTAAAGTCACCCTACAGAAAATAGCACCCTCATTCCCCATTCTGCTTTTCCACATAGCATCACTCATTGTAATGTATTAAATATATTTATTTACTGTCTCTCTCACTCCCAAAATAGAAGCTTTATTGGGATATGGACTGTTTTGTTCTCTACCACATTCCCTGTACCTAGAACAATGCCTGGCACATAGTAGTTGCTAAATAAGCATTCACGGAATTAATACGATTATGGGGATTGAAGAAGCATATGAGGAAGTTACTATTATTCTCCTTTTACAGATAAGGAAACTGAAGCAGAAAAGCTGAGAAGCAAAGCCAAGATTTAAGTATCTAGTACGTGAGTGTTCATTGACCTTTCAACTTTTGTGGGGCAGAGAGGGGTCTCTGGAGGATACCCAAGTAAATAATTACAGCATTTGCCTGTTTCGGTGGGAAAGATGGGAAATACGGGGGAGAGGAGCTTTCATGACTTCTTACATCTTTTCAAAACCTTGTGAATATGTTATCTATTCATAAAGTAAATTAGTATTCTAAATAAAATATCAATAACCCAGATGTCCTACAACAGATAAATGGTTAAAAAGAGTTTGGTACGTACCATGGAATACTACTCACCAAGAAAAAGAAATGAACTACTGATCCATGCAGTGACTTGGATGAATCTCCAGAGGATATGTGAGTAAAAAAAGCCAATCCCAAAAGATTACATATTGTATGATTTTTTTTTTTTTTTTCCGAGACAGAGTCTTGCTCTGTCACCCAGGCTGGAGTGCAATGGCATGATCTCAGCTCACTGCAACCTCTGCCTCCCGGGTTTCAAGCGATTCTCCTGCCTCGGCCTCCTGAGTAGCTGGGATTACAGGCGTGTGCTACCACGCCAGGCTAATTTTTGTATTTTTTTAGTAGAGACGGGGTTCCACCATGTTGGTCAAGCTGGACTCGAACTCCTGACCTCGTGATCTGCCCACCTCGGCCTCCCAAAATGCTGGGATTACAGGTGTGAATCACTGCACCTGGCCTGTATGATTTCTTTTATATCAGGGGTCCCCAACCCCTAGGTCATGCGCTGGTACCAGTCCAGGGCCTGTTAGGAACCGGGCCACACAACAGGAGGTGAGCAGGGAGCAAGCAAGCATTACCACCTGAGCTCCGCCTCCTGTCACATCAGTGGCATGAGGTTCTCACAGGAGCTGGAGAATCAAATTGTGAACTGCACATGTGAGGGATCTAGGTTGCATGCTCTTTTTGAGAATCTAATGCCTGATGATCTGAGGTGGAACAGCTTCATCCCCAAACCACCCCATCTCCATCTGTGGAAAAATTGTCATCCACAAAACCGGTCCCTGGTGCCAAAAAGACTGGGGACCACTGATTTATATAACAATCTTGAAATGACACAATTATAAAAATGGAGATCAGATGAGTGGTTACCAAGGGTTAAGGTGGGGGTGAAGATGGGAGGGAAGTGGGGCAGCTATAAAAGAGTAACATGAAGGATCTTTGTGGTGATGGAAACGTTCTGTGTCTTGACTGAATCAACACAAATACGGTGGTTATGATGTACTAGAGTTTTGAAGATGGTACCACTGGGGCAAACTGGGTAAGGGATCTCTCTCTGTTACTTCTTAAAACTGCATGTGACTCTATAATTGTCTCAAAATAAAAAGCTTAACAAAAAATATGCAAAAATCTAAGTTAAGAACATCTAGCCAGTACTTTTTGTTGTTGCTGTTTGTTTTGTTTTTTGTTTTTTTTCTACCATCTAGCCAGTACTGTTAATCAGTATATTATCTGGTTTCCTAGACAATGAAGAGTCCGCCACGTGAAGATCTGGAGAAAGATTTGAGATAAGAGAGTTCCAGACAGGGAAACAAGCAATTGAGAAAGCTTAATAGGAAAACAAAACTATCATGTTGAAAAAACAGAAAGTAGACTGGTGTCACTGGAGTATAGTGAGAGACAGGCAGATAATAAAGATGAGATGAAAAGGACAGGCATGGGCCAGGTAATCTAAATCTTTACAGACCACTGTAAGGCATATGAATCTTATGTTTAAGTGGTATATGGGTAGAATCCAATAATTATTAGGTTTCTTTTTTTGGTAAGCCTGAAGACAAGAATCCTATGTACCCAAGGAGATAATAAAAAGCCCAAGGAGGGCAGGCATGGTGGCTCATGCCTGTAATCTCAGCACTTTGGGAGGCCGAAGCAGGCGGATCACAAAGTCAGGAGATCGAGACCATCCTGGCTAACACGGTGAAACCCTGTTTCTACTAAAAATACAAAAAATTACTGGGCCTGGTAGCACACGCCTGTAGTCCCAGCTACTCAGGAGGCTGAGGCAGCAGAATCCCTTGAACCTGGGAGTTGGAGGTTGCAGTGAGCCAAGATCGTGCCACTGCACTCCAGCCTGGGTGAAAGAGAGAGACTCAGTCTCAAAAAAAACAAAAACAAAAACCCAAGGAAACAGCAATACCAAAGAACATAAAATGAATTATGTAGTACTTGAGATAAGAAGTCATTAAAATTCAACTTGTAGATGGTAACAAGCAAAAGGCAGAAAGTCAAATTCTGGTCCTAACTAAATTCAGTCAGACCTGTATTTCTTGGGTTAAGAAAAAAATTCTAGGCCAGGCAGAGCGGCTCACACGTGTAATCCCAGCACTTTGGGAGGCCAAGGCCGGCAAAGCACTTGAGGTTAGGAGTTCAAGACCAGCCTGGCCAACGCGGTAATACCCTGTCTCCACTAAAAATATAAAAATTAGCCGGGCATAGTGGCACACTCCTGTATTCCCAGCTACTTGGGAGGCTGAGGCAGGAGAATCGCTTGTACCCGGGAGGCGGAGGTTGCAGTGAGCCAAGATCGCATCATTGCACTTTCAACTCTTGCCTGGGAGACAGAGCGAGACTCCGTCTCAAAAAAAAAAAAAAAAGAAAAAGAAAAAGAAAAGAAAAAAATTGTAAAGGTTTTACAGATACTAAGAATATACTGTAATGATCTGAAAATAAACTACCCAAAAGTCTGTGCTATAATTTAAATGGTATTATAATTCACATTTGGCATTTTTAACATATCCACTTGCCTCTTTTTTGTCTTTGAACTTATCGATTTCTTTCTTCAGAAGCTCCACTCTTTGAAAGGATTCAAGGTTATTCACACTGTACACAAGAACGAAGCCATCAGCAAATGAAAAATAATGCTTTGGCAGCTCCACGCCTTCCTGTAGACCTCTGGTGTCATAAAGATGTAACTGTTCTTTTACTCCTCGGTCTGTTTCTACTGAAGCCATGTATACATCTTCCATTGTTTCGCAATCTTCCATTCCTGGGATTAAGAAAACAAATTACTCTTTTTGGCTAAGTCAGTGTCAACTGCTCCGTATTTTCTTGTCCTTTAGAAATTGGCTTTCTAGGTTTCTTATTTACCACATATAATAATCACATTTCTATTTTACTTTTTTTTTTTTTTTTTGAAACAGGGTCCTGTTCTGTTGCCCAGGCTGAAGTGCAGTGGCTCGATCTCAGCTCACTACAACCTCCGCCACCTGGGCTCAAGGGATCCTCCCACCTCAGCCTCCCAAGTAGTCCCTCCCAGCTGGGACTACAGGTGCCATCATGCCCAGTGAATTCTTGTACTTTTTGTAGAGACAGGGTTTCACCACGTGGCCCAGGCTGGTCTCGAACTCCTGGGCTCAAGCAATCTACCCACTTTGGCCTCTAAAGTGCTGGGATTACGGGTGTGAGGCACTGCACCTGGCGTAAACAAAATTCTTTTAAAAAATATTTCTTCTGCATAAAAATAAAAATCCCCTTCTTGTTTATGATCTTTTAAAAATGCATTTTACCACTTTGTTTCATTTGTGCAAGTTTTATCTCTTCAACTAGTCTCTAAGTTTATTAAGTGAAAGGAACCATTCTGTGTACACAGCAAATATTCAATAAGCCCTTACTGATAAAGGAATTAAAGGGAGAAGATTAACATTCTTAATTTTAATAAGTAGTGGAGAGACATGTGATAAGACAGGTAAGGTATAGTCCCAGTAACCACCTCCATATTTAAATATGAGGCCAGGCACGGTGGCTCACGCCTATAATCCCAGCACTTTGGGAGGCCTAGGTGGGCAGATCACCTGAGGTCAGGAGTTCAAGAACAGCCTGGCCAACATGGCCAAACCCCATCTCAACTAAAAATACAAAAATTCGCTGGGTGTGGTGGCGGGCACCTGTTATCCCAGCTACTCAGGAGGTTGAGGCAGGGAGAATTGCTTGAACCTGGGAGGCAGAGGTTGCAGTGAGCCGAGATCATGCCACTGCACTCCAGCTTGGATGACAGAGCAAGACTCCGTCTCAAAAAATAATAATAAAAAAATAAAAATAAATGAATGTGAGATACATCCAGAGGTAAAATCACATGGATAACATCCTATACCCCCCCCAATCATACTATGTTATAGTTTTTTTTAAACTAGTTACAGTTTTCCTAAACAACCTAAATACTGTAGAATGATTTGTTCCAGATGCCTTACATGAAATGTCCGTTAAGTATTAGATTACATAAAATCTCCACAAGTATTAGATTAAAAGGAATAATCACATGGTAATACATAGATTGGATCATTGAGAAACCAAAAATTTACTTTCATCAACATAACTCATAAGGAATGTATTCAGTGTTTAGAAAGGTAAAATTATTCATAAATCTGATTATGTATATACCTGTCTGTGTCATCCTGTCATAAATTAAGCCCTAAGGAAATTAAAGGTTATCTATTAAGACACAAACGTATTGGGCTTTGATTACAAATTAATTTAAAAGCAAAAACTACCAAGCATTTTGTCATGTGATTTTTTTATCCACCAAAAGCCAGTCCGGTTAGCCCACCTCCACCTGCCTCTCCAAAAGGGGGTCTAAAGTTTAGACCTTTTGATATTTTGGTACTCTAAAGATCAAATGAAGTCAAGAGTCTTCCACTAGTTCTCTAGATTTCCTCTCCCACTCCACGCTGCTGGGCAACTACCCATCTCGCACACCAGGGGAAGGCTTAAGGGTGCAATCTCTGGGGAGTATAAAATAGAGGCTGTCTAGACTGTGGGATAAAGGGAATGAGTTCCACCATGAAAACAGGGCAATTAAGTGACATGCCTGCGCACACACACATACTGAATGTTGAAGTCCTCCGGCTTTCCCTTTCTGCTCCCAAAACACTGGCAGCCAGCTCTTTATCCCCATCCAGGGGAATCTGGAGAATCTGGCCAACGGAAAAGGAAAAAATCCTAAATATACTGACATCTAGGTTTCCCCAATAAATGCCCCTGCCAGATCACTTTAGTGAAGCTCTAAGTCATGAACCCTATCCATATGCTTAGAGCTTCCAATTGGCTTTTTAAGTTGTATTTATTTATTTTTGAGACAGGGTCTCACTTTGTCATCTGGGCTGAAGTTCAGTGGGACAATCTCAGCTCATTGCAGCCTCAACCTCCTGGGCTCAAGCGATCCTCCCACCTCAGCCCTTCAAGTAGCTGGGACTACAGGTACATACCACCAAGCCCCACTAATTCTTGTATTTTTTTGTATAGATGGGGTTTCACCATGTTGCCCAGGCTGGTCTTGAACTCCTGAGCTCAAGCAATCTGCCTGCTTCTGCCTCCCAAAGTGCTAGGATTACAGGCATGAGCCACTGCACTGGGCCTAGGGGTCCATTTTTAATTATGAACAGATAACCAAGGTTTAGCAGACACCTGAAGAAAATAGAGACCAACAAGAAGAGACCGCTACAGAGAAACCAACTATACAAAGAAAAGAAAACAAAAACAAACAAACAAAAAACTACCTAATCTATCAAAAAAATAAGATAGTACATCCATGAAATAAGAACAGGATACTAACAAAAACTCAATAGAAGGGCTGGAAAATAAAGATAAGAATATCTACCAAAAAGTGGTACAAAAATATTGAGAGATGATAAACAGGAAAGGGGCAATAAGAAAATTCAAGGACTAGTCCAGAAGGTCCAGCATCCAAAAAGAGAGTTCCAGAAAACAAGGACAGAGAACACAGAGGAAAGAAAGCAATAACAAAATAATTCAAAACTGAAGAACATGCATTTCCATATAGAAGGGGCCCTCTAAGTGTCCAATACAGTAAATGAAAACAGACTGGCCAGGCTCGGGGGCTCACACCTGTAATACCAGCACTTTGGGAGGCCAAGGTGGGCGGATCACCTGAGGTCAGGAGTTCAAGACCAGCCTAGCCAACATGGTGAAACCCCATCTCTACTAAAAATACAAAAATTAGCTGGGCACGGTGGTGCGCACCTGTAATTGCAGCTACTTGGGAGGCTGAAGTGGGAGAATTGCCTGAACTCAGGATGCGGAGGCTGCAGTGAGCTGAGATCGTGCCACTGCACTCCAACCCGAGTAAAAAAAGAAAAAGAAAGAAAAGAAAAGATCAATTCTATGACGCATCACTGAAATTTCAGAACACTGGTGTCTTAGTCCATTTGTGCTTCTATAACAAAATACCACAGACTGGGTAATTTATAAATAGAAAATTTCTTTCTCACAGTTCTGGAGGCTGGGAAGTCCAAGATCAAGGTGCCAGTAGGTCTGGTGTGTTGTTATGGCACAGTCCCTACTGCAAGATGGAGCCTTGTTGCTGCATCCTTGGGAGGGGTCAAATGCTGTGTCCTCACATGGTGGGAGAGACAGAAGGGCAAGAGAGCACTCCCTTCAACCTCAAGCCCTTTTATAAGGATGCTAATCTTTCATGAGGGATTAGTCCTCATGAAGGTGAAGGGTGGAGCCCTCATGATTTAATCACCTCTTATAGGCCACAGTGCTTAATACTGTTACATTGGAGATTAAGTTTCAACATGAATTTTGGAGGAGACACTATCCTTCAAACCACAGCAACTAAGAACAAAGAAGAGAGCCTAAAAAAGTTTCCACAGACAAAGCATCAAGAATCATAATGGTTCCCAGATTCTCAAAAGTAGCACTAGAAGCAAGAAGACAATAGAAGCTGATAAAGTTAAAGAGACACACCTTCTATGAATCAGCAATTTCTAGATATGTATACCAGAATTTATCACATAATAGCCAGGATACATGTACAATAATGTTCCAGAGTAGCATTATTTCCAATAGCTCCAAACTGGAAAATAACCCAAATGTTCATGAAGACCTAACAGACAGAGGTAGTTTCATGCAATAGAATGTTACATCAATGAAAAGTAAACAACCACAGCTACGGCAAAATGGATGAATCTTTTATTTTTTTTTCTAAATAGAGATGGGGTCTCCTGATGTTGCCCAGGCTGATCTCAAACTCTGGGGCTCAAGTGATCTTCCCACCTCGGCCTCCCAAAGTGCTGGGATTCCAGTGGTGAGCCACCATGCCTGGCCTGATGTGTCTTACAAATATAATGTTGAGTAAAAGAAGCCAGACATGGATTAATTTAATTCATAGAAAATCCATAGGGCAAAAAATAAACTAGACCATTTAGTGACACACATATGTGGCAATTAAAAATAAAAAGAATGATTAACCAAAAGTCAAGGGAAGGAATGAGTTGCAACTGGACAGAGGAACACAGGGAGCCACTGGCCTGTCCTCAATGTTGTACTTTTTGATCCATGTGGAGATTATGTGAAGGTTTGTCTTATAATTATTAAACCATATATGCAATGCTTTCAAAATTCCGAAAGTATATTATTTTTGACCTAGAGTTCCATACCCATCAAAATTACAATTCAAATGTTAGTGTAAAATAAAGACAGTTTCAAACATGCAAAGCCTCAGAAAATGTATCACGTATATTTTCTCAGAAAACTATTTGAGGAGACCCTCCATAAAAACTAATATGTAATCATAGAAACAGGAAGAAACAGAACCTAACACAGATATGAAGTAAAGGAAATCACAAGCACAATTAGTAAATATCTCAATTCGGAAGCCCCAGGGTCACGACTACGTCCCAGGTAGAGGGCATGTTGAAGGCCATCATCACTGGATGTTCTGTTCTACTGTACAACCTTTTCAACCCCAGAAAAGTACTGGAAAATGTGCTCCAAAAAAAAAAAAAAAAGGTATAAGCCAAAAGAAGAAAAGAAGACAAGAGATCTAGGAAACAGGAAATCAAAACCAGGGAGAGGCCGGGTGCAGTGGCTCATGCCTATAATCCCAACATTTTGGGAGGCTGAGGCAGGCAGATTGCTTGAGGCCAGGAGTTCAAGACCAGCTGGAGCAACATGGTGAAACCCTGTCTCTACTAAAAACACAAAAATTAGCCAGGCATGATGGCGCATGACCGTAATCCCAGCTACTTGGGAGGCTGAGGCAGGAGAATCACTTGAACCTAGGAGGTGGAGGTTGCAGTGAGCCGAGATCGTGCCACTGCACTCCACCCTGGGTGACAGAGCGAGACTCCGTCTCAAAAAAAAAAAAAAAAAAAACCAAAGGGAGAAACAAAGGGGAAGTTCCATGATGATGGTGGCACAGTAGATAAGAGGACACAGAGCTCCTGAAAGGACACAGCCAAGAAAAAAAATAGATTATCTGATGGAGCTGACCTCATGCAGAACTGAGAAACATCTGGACTATGTGGAAAGAACTAGCAAAAGGTATAAACAAAACTAAAGAAATGACAAATACATGTTGGCTTCCATGAAAACAAAACAAAAAAAAGAATCACAGTATACTATACTGCTCTGCTGAGAATACCACTGACCCTTAAACAACACAGATTTGAACTTCACATGTCTTACATGTAGATTTTCTTTCTCCTCTGCCACCTGACACAGCAAGACCAATCCCTCCTCCTTCTCCTCAGTCTACTCCACATAAAAACAATGAGGATGAAGACCTTTACGATGAACCACTTCCAGTTAATAAATAGTAAATATATTTTTTCTTCCTTATGATTTTTTTTTTTTTTTTGAGATGGAGAATCACTTGAACCCAGGAGGTGGAGGCTGCAGTGAGGTGAGATGGCATCACTATACTCCAGTCTGGGAGACACAGATTTTATTTTATAGGCATTATCATCAAAGAGAGTGTCTTATATCCTTTGCAGTGGCTATTTTTCACTTACATTCTTCTTTTCAAATTTAAATAATGGTAACCTCTTATACATTTTAAAATAACCTTTATTTTTTAAAGCAGGTTTTTGTTTTGTTTTGTTTTGTTTTGATACAGTCTCGCTCTGTTGCCCAGGCTGGAGTGCAGTGGCGTGATCTTGGCTCACGATAAACTCTGCCTCCCGGGTTCAAGAGATTCTCATGACTCAGCCTCCTAGATAGCTGAGATTACAGGCACGTGCCACCATGCCCAGCTAATTTTTATATTTTTAGTAGAGATGGGGTTTCGCCATGTTGGCCATGCTGGTCTTGAACTCCTGACTTCAAGTGATCCGCCTGCCTCGGCCTCCCAAAGTGCTGGGATTACAGGCGTGAGCCACCACACCCGGCTTCTTCCTTATGATTTTAATAACATTTTCTTATCTCTAGCTTACTTTATTGTAAGAGTACAGTATATAATACACACAACATATAAGACATGGCAATTAACTGTTTATGTTATCAGGTTTAAGGCTTCTGGTCAACAGTAAGCTATGAGTAGTTAAGTTTCTGGGGGGACAAAAATTTGGTTGTCAACTGATGGGGGGGCGGTGTTGGCACCCCTAACCCGTGCACTGTTGAAGGGTCAATTGTACTGTATTTATATATGCCAGCAGCTCTCCAACTGTGGTCTGCAGATCTCATGAGGTCTCCTTTCAGGGGACCCACATGGGCAAAACTATATTCATACTACTACCAAAGCCATTTGCATTTTCCACTGTGTTGATATTTGTACTGATGTTGCAAAAGCAGTGGTGGGTAAAACTGCCGGTACCTTAGTGCAAATCGAGTCAGTGGCACTAAACGTATAGTTGCCATTAGATCCTCTCTTCACCATCCTGTGCTTGCAGTTAAAAAATTAAAAAGCCAGTTTTACTTAAGAATGTCCTTAATGAAGCAATAAAAATGACTAATTTTATTAAATCTCAAGCCTTGAGTATATATCTTTTCAATATTCTATGGAATTAAATGGAAACTATACATAAAGCATTTCTGCATGCAATTATGGTAACTGTCTTGAGGAAAATCTCTTGTGTGTTTTAAATTGCAAGCTGAACTAGCCATCATTTTTAAAAAGAAGAAATGACAGAAAAACTATGTATTTACAATATTTGACAAACATTTTCTCAAAAAGTAATAAAGGAAGCCTATCATTTCAAGGAAAGTAACTATGGTAACAGTATTTGTTGTCAATAAAATTTGAGCTTTCAGGCAAAAATCAGAATTGTATCCATCATCATGAACTTGACAGATTCCCAATACTGATGAAATTGGTATTTCATCAGATATTAACAAAAGTGATATGGAAGACTTCCTTAGCGAACCAAAATTTCCAAAATGACCAATTCACGATGCTAAAAAACTCTGCTTGGGTAAAAAGATCCATTTAAAATGCAGGATCAATCAATGAGATTTTAATTTAGCAGAGTAAAAAAGTTCACGAATATGATTTCAGATTCTACACTGCAATAACCTTTAAGTAACCATCACTTGTTAAGTTTTAGTGAAATACCAAAGAAAAATACCCATAATTACCTGAAAAGGCTATTAAAGTATTCCTCCTACCTTTTCCAACTACATATCTGTGTGCGGCTGGATTTTCTTCATATATTTCAACTGAAACACCTCATCACAGCAGATTACAAAGGCAAGTGTTAATAGATATGATAATTGCCTTCTATTAAGCTGGACATCAGAAAAGATTTTCTAAAAAGTAAATCAATGCCACCTTTCTATTTTGAAAATATAATTTTTTTCATAAAGTTATTTTAGGATATAATGAGTTTATTAGTGTCATTTAGAAAAAATAAGTAGTTTACAAATGTCTCCATTTTCCTTTTCTTTTTTTCTTTTTTCAGACAGGGTCTCCTAAGTTGGAACATACTGGTGTGATCATGGCTCACTGCAGCCTCAACCTCCCATGTGATTCTCCCACCCCAGCATCTCAAGTAACTGGAACCACAGGCACATGCCACCATGCCCACCTGGATAATTTCTTTCTTTCTTTTTTTTTTTTTTCTTTTTTTCATTTTGTTTTGTTTTTAGTGGAGATGAGGTCTCAGGCTAGTCTCAAACTCCTGAGCCCAGCTGATCTTCCCACCTTGGCCTCCCAAAGTGCTGAGATTACCAAGCTGTGAGCCATCACGCCTGGCCACGGTTTTAATTTCTAATACAGTAAATGTTGGAAGATACAGCCCACATAAACAGAAGTTGTTTGGGGTCCTCAGTAAGTTTTCACAGGGCAAAAGGATTCTGAAACCAAAAAATTTGAGAACTACTGACATAGGTATTATAATAAACACTAAATATGAATTTAACCACAATTGTTAAACATTATTTTAGAAAGCTAGAAGAGAAGCAGAGCACATAGAAATGGTTAATGAAAAACAGAAATGTGGGCCAGGCGCAGTGGCTCACGCCTGTAATCCCAGCACTTTGGGAGGCCGAGGCGGGGGGATCACTTGAGGTCAGGAGTTCGAGACCAGCCTGGCCAACGTGGTGAAACCCCGTCTCTACTAAAATAAAAATACAAAAATTAGCCAGACGTGGTAGCACGCACCCATAGTCCCAGTTACTCAGGAGGCTGAGAAAGGAGAATTGGCTGAACCTGGGAGGCGGAAGTTGCAGTGAGCCGAGATTGCACCACTGCACTCAAGCCTGGGAGACAGGGTGAGACTCCATCTCAGAAAAACAGAAATGTGCTTTAAGTTACTTGCCAGAAAAAAATGCTTTGATGATCTCTGTTTACTTATCTAACACAAACGTCATTTCATTCTAACCTGTGATATCTATCTTCCTTACTAAGCCATGACCTCCAGAGATGCTATCTTCACCTCTGTAACCCAAGGCCTGATTACACGTATCATATACCAATTAATAAATAATTATTTGACTCAGCGAATGAATAAATGAATGAGGTAGCCCAATTCACAAAATTAAGTCATACTCACCAAACAACTGTTTCTTCCATTTTTAAAAATCTACATACAGCAGCTCTGCAAAGTTGTTTTTGTTTTTTTTTGTTTTTTTTTTTTTGAGATGGAGTCTCGCTCTGTCGCCAGGCTGGAGTGCAGTGGTGCAATCTCAGCTCGCTGCAACCTCTGCCTGTCACATTCAAGCGATTCTCCTACCTCAACCTCCTGAGTAGCTGCGACTACAGGCGTGCACCGCCACACCCAGCTAATTTTTGTATTTTTAGTAGAGACGGGGTTTCACCATGTTGTCCAGGATGGTCTTGATCTCTTGACCTCATGATCTGCCTGCCTCGGCCTCCCAAAGCGTTTGGATTACTGGTGTGAGCCACTGCGCTCGGCCTTTTTTTTTTTTTTTTTTTGAGACAGAGTCTCGCTCTGTAGCCCAGGCTGGAGTGTAGTAACACCATCTTGGCTCACTGCAACCTCAGCCTCCCAGGTTCAAGAGATTCTCCTGCCTCACCCCCTCAAGTAGCAGGATTACAGCCACCTGCTACTATGCCTGGCTAATGTTGTATTTTTAGTAGAGACAGGTTTCACCATGTTGGCCAGGCTGGTCTTGAACTCCTGACATCAGGTGATCCGCCTGCCTCGGCCTCCCAAAGTGCTGGAATTACAGGCCTGAGCCACCATGCCCACTGGAAAGTTATGTTTTCTTAAATCAGTGATTCTATGATTTGTAATGTAATGAATTTACACCATTCATTATGTAAATACACGGAAAACCACATATATACAAAGGAATATATATCCATATTGATCTATCTATATTGGCCATTTCTTTCCTTACCTGTGATAACTTACAGCAGGCACTCTTGAATTTCAATAACACTAAGACTTTTTTCCCTCCTCTTTTCTTACCTCTTAATCTCTTTTGGTCCCTCTGGATTATACCTCCCCTTTATGTACCATCAACCACCTTTAGTTTAGCATGACCAACAAAAGACCCCTGATAGCTCCCAGAACCTAGAGACAAACTAGAGAAAAACAATCTTACCAATAGTATGATTTCCATAAAGGAGCTGCTCCAAAATTGCAGTTTTCCCCACAGATAACAATCCACAAACCACAACCTTGCAGCCCTTTCCCATCTTCTCTCAGGATATCACTGTGGAGAGAATAACAGGTCTTTTAAATTGTATACTGTTGAAATTAACCATTTCTTTTTCTTTCAGTATTTCAATTTAATATGTAACACATGCACAGGGGAAATTTTCAAATACAGAAAAGGAGATATAGAATAAGGTATAGCCTTCCAAACCCCATTCCCCAGTCTCCCATTTCCTCCCTTAGAGCAATAAGCATTATCAGTTTCTTATATATCTCACGGAGACAATGTAGATAAATATAAGAATACAGGCCAGGCACAGTGGCTCATGCCTGCAATCCTACCACTTTGGGAGTCCAAGGCGGGTGGATCACCTGAGGTCAAGAGTTCGGCACCAGCCTGGCCAACATGGTGAAACCCCATCTCTACTAAAAATACAAAAATTAGCCAGGCGTGGTGGCACTCACCTGTAATCCCAGCTACTGGGGAGGCTGAGGCAGGAGAATCACTTGAACCCAGGGGGCGGAGGTTGCACTGAGCTGAGATTGCACCACTTCACTCCAGCCTGGGTGAAAGAGCTAGACTCTGTCTGAAAACAAACAAACAAAAAAACACATGGATAGGTATGAATACATCTTTGTTTTCAAAAAGAATAAATACATTTTATATGAAGAATATTTCAATACTGATTAAGTCTATAGCAATCCAACAGACTCTTAAATCCTTGAAAGAGACTGCCTACTCATCAATATTTACCTGGAAAAATAAACATTTAAGTAAAAATTTAAGGAGGCATGAGGATAAAGTTTTTAGAAAATGGACATGATTTTTCAAAGAAACATGAAAGTTTATGTCAGTCTTTTCTCGAGAAGGGAAGAAACTGGATTTTGGTAGTCACGTGGGCTTTTTTTTTTTTTTTGAGACAGGGTCTAGCTCTGTCACTCAGGCTGGAGTGCAGTGATGAGATTTCGGTTCACTGCAACCTCCGCTTCCCAAGGGCAAGCGATTCTCCTGCCTCAATCTCCCAAGTAGCTGGGATTACAGGTGCCTGCCACCATGCCCGGTGAAATTTTTGTATTTTTAGTAGAGACGGGGTTTCACTATGTTGGCCAGGATGGTCTCAAACTCCTGACCTCAAGTGATCCGCCTGCCTTGGCCTCCCAAAGTGCTACGATTACAGGCGTGAGCTACTGCGCCTGGCTGTCACGTGGGCTTTCTTAATCATATTTCTTTTTGAGGAAGAATAGACAACTCTAGAAAAATTGCCCATGCACAGGACTTCATGACTAAAACACCAAAAGCAATGGCAACAAAAGCCAAAATAGACGAATGGGATCTAATTAAACTAAAGAGCTTCTGCACAGCAAAAGAAACTACCATCAGAGTCAACAGGCAACCTACAGAATGGGAGATTTTTGCAATCTACCCATCTGACAAAGGGCTAATATCCAGAATCCACAAAGAACTTAAAAAAATTTATAAGAAAAAAACAAACAACCCCATCAAAAAGTGGGCGAAGGATATGAACAGACACTTCTCAAAAGAAGACATTTATGCAGCCAACAGACACATGAAAAAATGCTCATCATCACTGGCCATCAGAGAAATGCAAATCAAAACCACAATGAGATACCATCTCACGCCAATTAGAATGGTTATCATTAAAAAGTCAGGAAACAACAGGTGCTGGAGAGGATGTGGAGAAATAGGAACACTTTTACACTGTTGGTGGGACTGCAAACTAGCTCAGCCATTGTGGAAGACAGTGTGGCGATTTCTCAAAGATCTAGAACTAGAAATACCATTTGACCCAGTAATCCCATTACTGGGTATATACCCAAAGGATTATAAATCATGCTGCTATAAGGACACATGCACACGTATGTTTAATGGGGCACTATTCACAATAGCAAAGACTTGGAACCAACCCAAATGTCCATCAATGATAGACTGGATTAAGAAAATATGCCACATACGTCGGGCGCGGTGGCTCATGCCTGTAATCCCAGCACTTTGGGAGGCCAAGGTGGGCGGATCACGAGGTCAGGAGATTGAGACCATCCTGGCTAACATGGTGAAACCGTCTCTACTAAAAATACAAAAAATTAGGTGGGGCTTGCAGTGAGCCGAGATCATGCCACTGCACTCCAGCCTGGGTGACAGAGTGAGACTCCGTCTCAAAAAAAAAAAAAAAAAAAAAAAAGTAATACACTACAAATGTACTTTGATCACTCATTGATAATATGATTATCAGGATAATATAATTATCAGGATAATAGGATTAACAGACAACGTTTGCTAAAAATTATACATTGTTTTGTATTGTATGTATATATTAATAAATTGGGGAGTTCCTTTTGATATTACCAAAGAAGTCTTCATCATGGGCAAACGGTAAAAGTAACTGAATAAAAGTAGCTCAAAACACTAGCTAAGAATTTTAAGCATTTTTTGGAAGGAAAGCAAAGAGATGACAGAACAGACCTCATTAAATATTTTACACTATCAAAAAGAAAACAAAGATGAAAAGATAAGTGTGATTAATCAAAGCAGGCTGAAATATTCTAGGTTCCTGGTTGCCTTCCAAATAGGAAACAATACCACTACATAAAGCAGATGAGTGCCTTGCTACCATCAATTACAAAGTTAAGAATTCTTTAAAAAATAATTAACATTTTGAATAAATAACACATACACAAAAATACTTTATTTTCTATAAATGATCGCTATGGCAGGAACTCACATTACAAATAAGTGGTTCTCATGCTTAGATATTTTCAGATTTACAAATAAAAACTACTAAAAGTTTGGTTCTTAAAGCACTTATAATTATTTAATAATTCCCAAACACAATAAATGTACACCAGTTCCTGCGAAATATACAAAGGTGGTCATCTGCAGTACCCTGAATGGGCACTGAATCACATGAACCGATCCTGGGGTAACCAAGCCTCTTACTTAAATCTAGGTTTCAAGAATTTGAAAGGCTCTGTAGTACATGGGTCACCTTTAGGTTCCTTTCAACACTGTGATGCCATGATATTAGAAGTTGCTTATCCAGAGAATACATCAACACTGAGGTGAACACAAAAAGCAGTAGTTACAGCTACTTGTCACATCCCTACCCTAAGAAACTGGGCAATAAAATTCAATCTGTGACCTATTAAACCTCACCTGATGTAAATTACTAAGAGAACGTGCTTAATAGGCAAGATTCAGGGCAGTCTTAAATACTTATTGCTTTACTTTCCAGGCTAATCAATAACATTGCTAGAGAATAAATACAACCTCCTCTCTCCAACTTGAGGCTAAAAAAAAAAAAAAACAGAGAGTAAATATATGACCTGGTCCATTCCTGTGAAATGCTTTGTCAACATTTTCTTTGAAGAGCCATCAGAAACAGCTCCCCAAAACCGTTATTGCTTCTGTTCTTCTATGTAAGTGGGCCATTCTATTTTTATAAGTAAAACACAACTTTCTGACGCAACCAGAAAAACAATACCAAAACACTGTTAACATCATAGGAGAGATGTTATAAATCTCTAAAAATACTGTCATGTGGGGAAACCACCTACACTGTGTATTTACTTATGTCAACATTATGTATAGTGTGGAATACTTTCACTTATCCATATATGAATATATTTACATACATAAAAATATATTCAACAGGTTTTGCACACAGTATTGCACAAAATAAAATGTAATAAAGCAGATTCTAGCTTACCATTCTTTTATTCATTTACCAAACATTTACTGAGGGCCTGCCATCATGCCAGCCATCAGGGACAAACTAGGGGGCAAAAACAGAAATCATCCCTTGTCCTCAGGAATCTCAAAATCAACTGGAAACACAAATCCAAATCTTGTAAAACTGTTAACTGAGAAACTACAAATTGAGAAACAAAACTGCAAATGTGATTGATAAATTAGCAGTGATTATTCACACTACTAGAATTGTTTTTCCAAATGATTCATCCAACTTTTTAAATTTTATTTTTACTGCTCCTTTAGGAGCAGGACTACGCCCATAGGCAGCGTACCTACAGTAGCACATTCAACTTTTTAGTCATCCTCACCTTTGAAATACATACAGGGCTGCACTACTTACCATTTTCATCACTACTGAAGTGGTCTGGGTGAGGCACCATGTTCTCTCACCTGGTCTCTCAAAGATATCGTAATCCCCCAAACCTGTGAATATGTTTACTTTACATACTCATACAAGAATTTTGCGGGGGTGATTAAATTAAGAACTTCCATACGAAGATATTATCCTGAATTATCTAGGTGGGCCCAGTGTAATCACAAGTGTCTTTATAAGAGACACACAGGAGTGCTGGAGAGGACAGAAGGTGTAATTGGAAGATGCTCCTTTGCTGGCTGTGAAGATGAAGGAAGCAGTCAGGAGCCAAGGAATTCAGGCAGGCTTCATAAGGTGGAAAAGCCAAGGAAATAAATGTACTCTCCCCTAGTACCTCCAGAAGGAACACAGCCCTACTGACTTTGGTTTTAGCTTGGTGATATTTACAGATTTACAGACCTAGTCTGATGTACAAACTAAAAGACGGTAAATTTGTATTATTAACCAACAAAGTTGCTGAAATTTGTTACAGGAGCAATGGAAGACTAACACAATTTCCTAAGCAGTCTCTCTGCTTCCATTTTTTCTCTCCTTTTAGCCTCAAAAGGAGCAATCCGAGTTATCTTTTTAAAATGTACGCCATATGAAGTCATCCTTCTGTTCAAAATCTGCCAATGAAATCCAAAGTCCATGTGAGAACCTTCACCTCTCCGACGTCATTTCCCACTTTCCCCTACTGTGAATTTCAGCCACACTGCTTCCCTGCTGTTCCTCTATTAATCTTGCATGCTCCAGTCATGGCTCTTCTCCCTCTGCCTGAATCAGACCCCTACTCTTACTCCCAGACTCCTATCCTTGAAGTCCTTTCTTAAATGTTACCTTCTCTCAAAGACTTAACCTGGACACTCCATTCCAAATTGCAACCCTCAGCCGCTAACACTCCCTCATCACTTCCCTCCCCTTATCTTTTTTCCTTAGCATTTACCACCAAACCCAAAACACAGCTTACTTCTGCTTACTGCCCATTTCCAAGAAGGCCAAAAATTCTGCGTTGTTTCCTGCTGCATCCCCAGCAACTATGCCTGGCACATATTAGACACTTAATAAATATTTGTTGAATCAATCAATGAACCAGATAGAGACTCTTAAAAACGTAAAGCTGTGATTTAAAAAGAAAGAAAGAAAAATATGATGTGGGAAAAAAGATAATCAAAACCGCTACGATTAAGAGATAATGATTCTCTTAAGCCTTTGCCACATCTGAACGCATAATCTGGAAGGAAATTAAAGCCACATGACTTAAATTAAAGCCAAGTGAAAATATTCTGGAGAAACAAAGTAAGCCAGTAACCTATTTCTCAATTTAAAAAAAAACCCGCAACGCAAAATGCCAGCATTTTCTCGGCATTTCTTCTCTAAAACATTCACACCTGCCAAACAGGTCTTGGCAAATAAACATTCTGCTCTTCTGAAAAACTGTGGTTCTCATGTTAGCAAATTTGGGACGAAATCCGTATGCAGAAAAAGCGCCGGGCCGCCCGCAATCCACCCACTCCATGACCCTTTTTTAGGACAAAATCCCTGGGCGCTGGGGCCTGCTGGAGGAGCTTCACGCAGTCTGGAGCTGAAGGGACACAGCGAGCGCCCCGACCCGCGACGCCCCGACTCCGCGAAGGCCTCCCTGGGAGGCTGGGGAAGCGTCGGGGGATCTCTCAGCGCAGCTCTGGGGCCCAGATTTCTGCGCCCGTCGTGCGGTGGCCAGAGAGGGACAGCGCAGCGCGGAGACGCGGAGACGCAGAGACTCCGCAGGGGGAGAGCCCGCGGTGCGTGAAACAAACCTGTTCTCTCCTCAGACCTCAAAGACAGCGGCTCCACCGCGGTACGCGGCCACCGGCTTTGGAGCCTGGACCCCAACTTGCCTCCTCTCGCGGAGAGACAGTCGCCGACGCTCGCTTAGCCGCCGAGACCTCGCCGCCAACTCTCTCACCTCTCGAGACGCCCAGGCCGCTCAGGCTCGAATCTTGCGGAGCAGGGGGCGGGACAATAGCGGCCGCGGCGCCCCACTCGGCAGAACTCCGCCACCAGGCGCGATGCCGGAACTACATGTCCCATGACGCTCTGGGAGGCCGCAGCTTTCCACCGGAAAGAGGGTGGCTGAGGTGGGGGAGGAGCCCAAAAGGCATTGTGGGAGTACAGCTCTTTCCTTTCCGTCTGGCGGCAGCCATCAGGTAGGCTGCGTTGAGGATCTTTGCTCTTCCATCCGCCTTTGATCGTCTTCCTCTTCAGCCATCCAGGTCCGGGGACCCTGCGTCCTCGGAGATAGGTCTCCCTCCTGTGCGGCCAGAGTTTGGTCAGGATGCGGGACAGCAAAGGGGTGGAGAGGCGGCCCCCGGGGCGGGTTGAGCGAAGATGTGATGGCGGCGCGAATTCGAGCTGGGCCCGGATCCTGGAGGAGGCGTGGGGCTGACGAATGGGGCGCCCGGGACAAGGCAGCCTAAAGTGAGGCTGCTGGTTGGGTGGGGTAGATGCATTTTCCTCGAGAGTTAATCCTCGGTGGCCGCAGCAGTACCTTGTCCTGTGATGTCAGCGGCATCTCCTTTCAGGTCCTCCTTGGGGACGCCGCCTGCCGCAGCCACCCGCCCCCTTGGTGCTCAGTTCTGGTTCTGTTAATTCGCCCCACCAAAACGTGCCGAGCACCGCTCTGTGCTGGGGTTGCGGAAGTGACTGAACGCGGCTCCGTGGGCGCAGTGGTGGGGGTTGGGCTAGCTGTCCCCGGCAGTTGGTGCAGAGCCATTTTCATTCCCGGCGGTTTCCTTGTTTTTGTTGGGGAACTAAGATGGACGGATACAGTCGTCTTATTGTACTTAAAGCGGATGATATTTAATACACAGTTTGATTTCACAGGTAAGCCAAGATGGGTGCATACAAGTACATCCAGGAGCTATGGAGAAAGAAGCAGTCTGATGTCATGCGCTTTCTTCTGAGGGTCCGCTGCTGGCAGTACCGCCAGCTCTCTGCTCTCCACAGGGCTCCCCGCCCCACCCGGCCTGATAAAGCGCGCCGACTGGGCTACAAGGCCAAGCAAGGTACGTGATCGACTGCGTGGATGCTTGGATAAAATTATATTCGAGAAAAGTTGGAAACCAGCTGTTAGGAAGACACTGCTGCCTCAGTGTCTTTCTTCGCATAGGGCTTTGGCAGAAAAAAGCTAGCAACACTGGTCAGTTACTGTATGCACTGTTGTCTAAAGTGGCAAGTGTGTCAAAGGTTACAAATCTGAATGAGTTCAGACTAAAGCAAAATAAACAGTGTGCCTCCCTGTGTGAGTAGCCTAAGGTGCATTGAAAAAGACTGGGATGTGTTTTATTTTTTTCTATTAGATAGCATTAACTTACTGTTGAAGTATTTTTGGTGGAGTATTAGTGACAAGCCATTGAGTCTTAAGCCTTACGGCTTCCTATAAAATCACTAATTTCGTGTGTGTTTGTGTGTAGGTTACGTTATATATAGGATTCGTGTTCGCCGTGGTGGCCGAAAACGCCCAGTTCCTAAGGGTGCAACTTACGGCAAGCCTGTCCATCATGGTGTTAACCAGCTAAAGTTTGCTCGAAGCCTTCAGTCCGTTGCAGAGGTAAATGGTTTTGAGTAGCAGTTATATTGAATACTGCCTGGGGATGGTGGGAGAGAGAGATTAAGCAACTTTTCTGATTGTACTTAGGTGAGCTGTCTCGTATATAAAACAGGGTTTGTGATTTTTACTAATCTTGGTGAAGAGTAATTGCTTGAAAGACTTGTCTTTGTTACAAATGCGTGTGTATATACTGGAAGTACTTGTGGAACCTAAGCTTTAAAGCGGCAAGAATATGCAGAAGAGACCAAATGTGGCCTGCACAGCCTAAAATATATACTAAATATTTTTAAAGCTAAACGTTGCTGAGCTCTCAGTTGTATGGAAAAAGATAAGGTCCCCAAACCCTAAATTTTGTTACCCAGATATTAACATATTCCTGCCCTAGTCAGGAATGGAGTATTAAGAGGGAATGATGTGTTTCAGTCTATGTGTGTTGTTTTAGCAAGTCTACATTATCTCATTACACTTGTGATAGTCTAGGGAGAAATGCTTAGTAAATAACTTGAGTAGTAAAAGACTCTTGTCTGGTGGTGAACTAGAGTTGAGAATTAAAATTCTTTCTGACTTGCTGCTATAGGCAATGTGGGAGATTGACCTTGGGCCTTTTTTCCTATTCTAGGAGCGAGCTGGACGCCACTGTGGGGCTCTGAGAGTCCTGAATTCTTACTGGGTTGGTGAAGATTCCACATACAAATTTTTTGAGGTTATCCTCATTGATCCATTCCATAAAGCTATCAGAAGAAATCCTGACACCCAGTGGATCACCAAACCAGTCCACAAGCACAGGGAGATGCGTGGGCTGACATCTGCAGGCCGAAAGAGCCGTGGCCTTGGAAAGGGCCACAAGTTCCACCACACTATTGGTGGCTCTCGCCGGGCAGCTTGGAGAAGGCGCAATACTCTCCAGCTCCACCGTTACCGCTAATATAAGTAAAGTTTGTAAAATTCATACTTAATAAACAATTTAGGACAGTCATGTCTGCTTACAGGTGTTATTTGTCTGTTAAAACTAGTCTGCAGATGTTTCTTGAATGCTTTGTCAAATTAAGAAAGTTAAAGTGCAATAATGTTTGAAGACAATAAGTGGTGGTGTATCTTGTTTCTAATAAGATAAACTTTTTTGTCTTTGCTTTATCTTATTAGGGAGTTGTATGTCAGTGTATAAAACATACTGTGTGGTATAACAGGCTTAATAAATTCTTTAAAAGGAGAGAACTGAAACTAGCCCTGTAGATTTGTCTGGTGCATGTGATGAAACCTGCAGCTTTATCGGAGTGATGGCAATGCTCTGCTGGTTTATTTTCAAGTGGCTGCGTTTTTTTTAGTTTGGCAGGTGTAGACTTTTTAAGTTGGGCTTTAGAAAATCTGGGTTAGCCTGAAGAAAATTGCCTCAGCCTCCACAGTACCATTTTAAATTCACATAAAAGGTGAAAGCTCCTGGTTCAGTGCCATGGCTTCATGGCATTCAGTGATTAGTGGTAATGGTAAACACTGGTGTGTTTTGAAGTTGAATGTGCGATAAAATTATTAGCCTTAAGATTGGTAAGCTAGCAATGAATGCTAGGGTGGGAAGCTGGTGAGCCAGTGGCCATTAGATAAATACCTTTCAAGTGTGAGCTTAGACGTCAACCCTAAAATACTTAACCGTAATGCTAATTGTGATCATTATGAATCCCTTCAGTCACATTAGGGGGAAAGTAGTTGGCTATAAGTACGTCATTCTTAGTCCAGTCAGTCTTAAAAACATCTTGGGTTACCCACTCTGTCCACTCCCATAGGCTACAGAAAAAGTCACAAGCGCATGGTTTCCAACCATATGTGTTTTCTGCAGTTATTTCTCTTGTTCTGGCCAAACAACCCTAAAAATCCTTACCATTCCACAAAGTTGGACCATCACTTGTGCACCCACTTTGACTATGAGTATACCACCACATTGCATTTCTGTTTGCACCATGTCTTCCAGGAGACTAGACTACTGTTGTCCAGGGTCAATTTGAGTGTAAAGAAAATGTAGACAAGGAATTGCCCAATTTTAAATTCTGACTTTGCTGACTTAATTTAAATGCTCGTTCTGAACCAATTTTCTCCTATCTTCTCTAGGGGTTTCAAAAGACTCAGTTAATTGATTTCCAGGAAGTACTCATAGCAAGTTCATAAAAGTTCTTGAGACCTAAATTTCTTCACAAAAAAAGAAAAGATCTTAAGTCATACATTTTAATTGTGTAGAGGTTGTTCAACTGAAGGAATAAATGTCTATTAAACTAAAACAAATGGACCTTCTGTTATTTTTTGTCATCTTACAGTGCTAATGTACTTTAAAGCAAACCAAATGCCCTAACCAGCAAAAAGGCATCAAAATGTGATTATAGAAATAATATAATTTGAGATAGCATAAAATGTACTTATTCTCTCAGTTCTTTGATCATTGCATGAATTAGGTTTTTATCTAAAACTGTTCAGCTGGGTGTGGTGGCTCAGGCCTGTAATCCTGGCACTTTGGGAGACAAGCTGGAGGATTTGTTGAGGCCAGCCTGGGCAGCATAGTGAGACCTAAAAACAAAAAAAATCCTTAAACATGACTAATTTGGGAAGGAGAGAAAGGGTTCGGGCCAAAGGTCAGCATTGTCTCTACAAGAAAACCTTGTTCCTGTCCTTGCTACCCAACAGTTTTATCTCCACACAGTAGTCCAAGGGATCCTATTAAATTGATCATGGCACTCCCGTGCAAAAAAATCAAAAGTCCTCATGATAGCTTTCATGATCTTCCCACTTTATGTGTGACCTCATGTCCTACTGCAGTCCACACCCCAGGCTCCTTGCTGTTTGTTCTTCAAATACACCAAACACTTCCTAATGCCTTTATGATGGGAAAGCTTTACTCCAATATTAAGGGTCACTTTATTAGCTATACCCTGACCGCCCCACAAGCTGTTCCCATTTGCTTTACTATTTCTATATTGGCATGTAATTCACACAGCAACATTGATTATTGAGTTTTTTTTTTTTTTTTTTTTTTTCCAGATGGAGTCTCACTCTCACTCAGGTGGGAGTGCAGTGGGGCAATCACGGCTCACTGCAACCTCTGTCTCCCGGGTTTGAGCAATTCTTCTGCCTCGGCCTCCCAAATAGCCAGGACTACAGGCGCACACTGCCATGCCCAGCTAAGTTTTGTATTTTTAGTAGAGACTGGGTTTCACTATGTTGGCCAGGCTGGTCTCGAACTCCTGACCTCAAGTGATCCACCTGCCTTGGCCTCCCAAAGTGCTGGGATTACAGGCGTGAGCCACCACCCCCAGCCCAATTTTTATTTTTTGTACAGACAGGATCTCACTATGTTGCCCAGGTTGGTCTCAAACTACTGGCCTCAAGCAATCCTGCCTTGGCCTCCCAAAGTGCTGGAATTATAGGAATGAGCCACCACACCGGGCCCAAATTTACTTTAGTAATAACAACAATTGGCTGGGTGCGGTGGCTCACGCCTGCAATCCCAACACTTTCGGTAACCAAGGTGGGCTTGAGCTCATGAGTTAGAGAGCAGCCTGAGCAACGTGGTGAGAGCCCATCTCACAAAAAATAACAAATCAGCTGGGCATGGTGTTGCACGCCTGTAGTCTCCGAAATCACACCACTGCACTCCCATCTTGGGTGATAGAGCCAGAACTTGTCTCAAAAATAACAATTGGTTTCTTACAATCCCAAAAGGTGCAGTTACTAGTATTAATCCTTTTTTGCCAATGAGGAAACACAAAGATGAAGCAACTTGCTCAAAGTCATACAGTGACAGTCTGAATTCAAATCCTATACACTTAAAGTTTATTTGTTTTGTTTTGGTTTTTTTTGAGATGGAGTCTCACTGTGTCGCAAGGCTGGAGTGCAGTGGCACGATCTCAGCTCACTGCAACCCGGGTTCAAGCGATTCTCCTGCCTCAGCCTCCCGAGTAGCTGGGACTACAGGCACGCACCACCACACCCAGCTAATTTTTGTATTTTTAGTAGAGACGGTTTCACCATGTTGGCCAGGATGGTCTCGAGCTCCTGACCTCAGGTGATCCTCCCGCCTTGGCCTCCCAAAGTGCCGGGATTACAGGTGTCAGCCACTGCACGTGGCCAACTTAAAGTTTTTGATAGATAATACATTAACGTTAAAAATTCAAAAGATAAGTATAGGCTCTACAGTACAAACCCTTCTGCCTCCTAGTTCCTCTCCCTGGAGGCAAGGTGATCAGTTTAACAATATTTTTTTATTTTGAGACAGGGTCTCACTGTTGCCCAGGCTGGAGTGTAGTGGCGCGTTCACAACTTACTGTAGCCTCAACCTCCTGGCTCAAGCAATCCTCCCACCTCAGCCTGTCGAGTAGCTGGAACCACAGGTGCACACCACCATGCCAGGCTAATTTTTGTATTTTTTGTAGAGACAGGGTTTCACCATGTTGTTCAGGCTGGTCTCAAAGTCCTGGGCTCAAGCAATCTTCCTGTCTCTGCTTCCCAAAGTGCTGGGATTACAGATGTGGGCCACGGTGCCTGGCCTACATATGTATTTTTTCCTTTTCTTCCCCAAGTGGTAGGATATGATACACATTGTTGATTTTTTTGTTTAGTTATGTATCTCAGAGCTTATTCTTTATCAGCTCATGAGGAACTTCATTTTTTTTTTTTTTTTTGAGATGTAGTTTTGCTCTTATAGCCCAGGTTGGAGTACAGTAACACAATCTTGGCTCGCAGCAACTTCTGCCTCCCAGGTTCAAGCGATTCTCCTGCCTCAGCCTCCGAGTAGCTAGGATTACAGGTGCCTGCCACTACATCCAGCTATTTTTGTATTTTCAGTAGAGACGGGGTTTCACCATTTTGGCCAAGCTGGTCTCGAACTCCTGACCTCAGGTGATCCGCCCATCTCAGCCTCCCAAAGTAGTGGGATTACAGGCATGAGCAACCGTGCCCGGCTGGAACTTCATTCTTTTGGTATAACTGCATGGTATCCCATCATGTGGATGTACCATGATTCATTGGATGTGGACCCTCCTGATGGACATTTAAATTTCTTCCAATCTGTTGCTATTACAAAAAGAAAAATGTGTGCATACATCTTTATTCATCTGTAGAATAAATTCTTAGAAGTAGAATGGCAGAGTTAAAAATTGTATGTATATAATTTTTTATAGATATTGCCAAATTGTCTTCCATAAAAGTTGAACCAATTTTCACTACCACCAGCAAAGTAGGAGAGGACTTGTTTATCCACACCCTCTTTAATGTATGTAATCAAATTTTGGGATATCTGCCAGTCTGTTAGGGGGAAATGATACTCTTCTCTACTTTTATTTTGCATTCTGAGTGTGGCAGAGGCAAAGCTATGTGCATACCATAGCTTTTTCTCCCCCTGAAAACACAACTAAACTACATTGTTTTCCTGGCCTCTCATGCATTTAGGTTGGGGTCATATTACTTCCCTCCAAGAAAAACAACAGTTGGTATGCCTCCTCCACACTTCCCACAACTGTGGAAGCCAGTGATCCAGATAGCATAGCTATTAATACAAGATGGGTGAAAGCTGCTCAACCGCATCAGACAGCATGAGTGGTAAGATTTTATTGTGTCAAACGACTGCATTAGTTGTGTTTTGTTATTATGGCAGCATAGCCTAGCTTAGCCCTAACTAATTCAATAAATAAAGTTGAGCATTATTTGTACATTTAAAAGCGTTTTTTATGTTTGCTTTACAGTGGCTTTCCACTTTTCTATCAGAGAATCCCCCCTCCCTTATGTACCATGCTATATTAATAAATTGGAAGGAGCTGCTAGCTCATTTCTCCTATGCTTCATAATTTTTCTGCTCATGAGATTCTTATTTTTTGAGACGAGTCTCTGTCACCCAGGCTGGAGTACAGTAGCACGATCTCAGCTCACTGCAACCTCCACCTTCTGGGTTCAAGTGATTTTCATGCCTCAGCCTCCCAAGTAGCTGGGATTACAGGTGTGCGCCACTACTAATTTTTTTGTACTTTTAGTAGAGGCGGGTTTGCACCATGTTTGCCAGGCTGGTCTATTACCCCTGATCTCAGGTGATCTGCGCCCGTCTTGGCCTCCCAAAGTGCTGGGATTACAGGAATAAGCCACCAAGCCTGGCCCTGCTCATAAGATTCTTGAAGGTAACTTTATGTAGAATAAATTCTTCAAATTTCAACTGTTCATTTTCGCCTTTCAATTCTAAGTTCTGATTTCATCTTTAAGTTCTGAAATTCCTAAACCAAATTAGTAGCTATATTGTATCAGGCAGACTAAATGAGGCAACAGTAATAGCCTCCAAATTTCAGTGGCTTAAAATAATAAAGATTTGTTTCTTGATCATACTTCATGTATGTTAAAGATTGTTCTCACTCTAGAATCCAGACTGTTAGAACAGACACTATCTGGAACATTGCGAGGTGTCCATGGCAGAGGGCAAAGAGCATGGCGTAGAACACCCTAACCTGTAAAGCTTCTGCTCAGGTTGTCCCATGGCTACTCCTGGGTTCAAAGGGTGGGGAAGTGATATCTTCCAGTGCTTGGAAGGAGAGAGAGAATCAAATATTTGTGAACAGCTCTAATGTCTACCACATACACTAATCCATTTCGTTTCTCTTTAGTCTTTGTACCCATTTGAAGTATTATGGAAAACAGCTAGTATACCAAGGAGAAAGCAGGAACCAGCGCAGTCCACACTGGTAGAGAGAGTATTTTGTCACTGACATTGCTTAGCATTGCCAGAATATGATGATGTTGAAAAAGAACATACTGAGACTGGGCTTGGTGGCTCACACCTGTAATCCTAGCACATTGGAAGGCCGAGGCAGGCGGATTGCTTGAGCTCAGGAGTTTGAGACCAGCCTGGGCAAGATGGCGAAACCCGTCTCTATTAAAAATACAAAAAATTAGCTGGGCACAGTGGCATGCGCCTGTGGTTCCAGCTACTCAGGAGGCTAAGGTGGGAGAATCACCTGAGCTTGGGAAGTTGAAGCTGCGGTGAGCCAAGACTGCGCCACTGCACTTCAGCCTGGTTGACAGAGTAAGACTCTGTCTCAAAAAAATAAATAAATAAATAAATAAATGTACTTTTACTCAGTTTTTGTTGTTTTACAATTCTCCTACAGACAATGCATTCCCTTATTGAGTTAATTCATTTGGTAAAATATGGTTATCTGCATACAACTCTGCAACCAATTCATTTGACACTTTATTATGTGATAGCTTCCTTGCTGTATACCCACAAATATTCACTGAAAAATACTTTAGCTGTATGCTTTTCAATATGATAGCCACTAGCCATCTGTGACTTTTAAAATTTAAATAGGATTTAAAAGTCAGTTCTCCAGTCATATTAGTTACATTTCAAATGCTCAGTGGGCACATTGGCTACCACGTTGGACAGCACAGAAAATATTTTGACCATCACAGAAATTTCTGTTGTATAGTGCCAATTTATTTATTTTTATTTTTATTTATTTATTTATTTTTTGAGACAGCGTCTTGCTCTGTCGCCCAGGCTGGAGTGCAGTGGCACAATCTTGGCTCACTGTAACCTCTGCCTCCCAGGTTCAAGCAATTCTCCCTGCCTCAGCCTCCCAAGTAGCTGGGATTACAGGCACCCGCCACCACGCCCAGCTAATTTTTGTGTTTTTAGTAGAGACAGGGTTTCGCCGTGTTGGCCAGGCTGGTCTCAAACGCCTGACCTTAGGTGATCCACCTGCCTTGGACTCCCAAAGTGCTGGGATTATAGGTATGAGCCATGGCGCCCGGCCATAGTACTGACTTAGACCCTTGAAATTCTTCTTTATTTCTTCTTCTTTCTTCTTCCTCCTCCTCCTTCCTCCTCCTCCTCTTGCTCCTCGTCCTCCTCTTCTCTCTTTTTTCTCTTCTTCCTCTTTCTCTCCTTCTCTTTCCTCTTCCTCTTCTTCCTCTTCTTTTTTTTTGTGTCATTCTCTAGTAGATGAAGATGAGGCATATGAAGTCTAGTTTTACCGTAAAAAGTTTGATGTATAGATTTCATATGAGAATAGTATTTGTTGCTATAGATATTTTAATTGTATAATTACCACTTCCTTTGTCAGGGCGATTTTAGGTTTTTAGAAGTTTTTGATAAGAGTTTTATCCCAATGGTACAAACTGTAGAAGAATGAACTGCTACAACACCTTTTCTAAGAAAAAAGGTTTTGGTCGAAAAAGACCTTTAGTTTTCCATTTGCTGCAATTTGGCTGCATCTTTTGCCAAACTGTTGGACCTTTGAAATCAGTTTTATAAATATTCATCATTCAGAGAAGAAACAATTCTTTGGATTTGTCCTAGAAGGATCAAGCTGGCCTGAAATACCAATAGGGGGTGACATGCACCAACAAGCTACACTTTGACCATCAGCTGCCCCAAACAGGATGAAATCCATGTCGCAGTTTTTAACCAAGCAACACTCTCCACAGCCCCAACATCATTCCAGTTCAGCCTTGGGAAGGCTGACTAGACATTTAGCTTCTCCATCGATTTTAGTTATTCTTATTAATGATGCAGTGAACATCATCACTATACATATAGTTTTCAACCTATTTTTATATAAGAAAAATAAACTGAAAATAAAGCCTTTTAGTATAAAATGCTGCTCAAGTTTTCTTTAGAAAAAGAAGAATCTGCTGCAAGGCTGAGTGCAGTGGCTCACGTCTGTAATCCCAGCACTTTGGGAGGCCAAGGTGGGAGGATCCCTTGAGGCCAGGAGTTCGAGACCAGTCCAGTCAACATAGTGAGGCCCCCATCTCTATATTTCTTAGTTGAGGAAAGAAAAAAAAACCTACTGCGAAGGTGCTATAGTTGGCTTGTGACATTAAACCTCATAATCAAAGCATTCAAACTTAACGAAATGCTGTAGCTGGAATGCACACTTCAGCTCACTCTGAAATCCTGGCAAACGGCAACTCACTCCTCCAAAACTGATGAAAGCATTTGATTTAATTGGCATGCTGTGAACATCTGAACTCATTTATTGGCAATTCTCATTGTCATTTGGAGAGAAGTTCATTATTTGGCAGTCCTAGTTAGTTAGAGACATTAACTGATGGATGATGTAATTATCAGTCATCAAATCACGAAACTTGTTTCTATGAGAGTGTAAACATACTATTTAGCTTCCCGAGGTTGATTATTAACTAAGCTAGGATGTTTTGCTTATCAAAAAGAAAGATTCAAAAAATGATCATCCAAGGCTGGGCATGGTGGCTCATACCTGTAATCCTAGAAATTTGGGAGGCCAAAGTGGGAGGACTGCTTGAGCCCAGGAGTTCCAGACCAGCCTGGGCAACATGGTGAGATCCTGTCTCTACAAAAGATTAAACAATTAGCCTGGTCTGGTGGTGCATGCCAGTAGTACCAGATATGCAGGAGGCTGAGGTGGAAGAATTGCTTGAGCCTGGGAAGTCGAAGCTACAGTGAGCCATGTTGGTGCCACTGCACTCCAGCCTAGGTAACAAAACAAGACACACTCTCTCTCCTCTCTCTCTCTACACACCACACACACACACACACACACACACACATACACACACACACAGTTCATCTGAGCCAGGAATGGTAGCCCACACCTGTAGTCTCAGCTACTCAAGAGGCTGAGGCAGGAGAACCCAGGAGGCAGAGGTTGCAGTGAGGCAAGATTGCACCACTGCACTCCAGCCTGGGCAACAGAGCAAGACTCTGTCTCAAAAATAAATAAATAAATAAATAAATAAATAAATAAATAAATAAATGTTATCATTTGAATACCATTAGTGCTTAGTAACTCTCCAATCCCCCATAACTCTTTGGTGAACTGACATTAAGTTTCTAAATATATAAAATGTAATTTACATTCTTAATTCTGATATGTGTCATGTTTGGCTTGTACAGAAAAATAAAGATCCTGTTGCATCTTGAAAAAAATGTTCATACTAATTTTTTTCCTAGAAACACTGTAATTTCAGATAATGCCATATGTGGAAGCTGACTCCAAGTCAAGATTTGTTTGCTAGTTTTTCATTACTGAAGTGCTTTTAGGAGAAACCGACAAGGGCATGAGGAAGTCAGACCAAAAAAACAGAAGCCTCAAAGTATGATTTAGGCTTAAAAAAAAAAAAAAAAAAAAGGCCGGGCGCTGTGACTCACACCTGTAATCCTAGCACTTTGGGAGGCCGAGAAGGGTGGATTGCCTGAGCTCAGGAGTACAAGACCTGCCTAGGCAACACGGTGAAGCCCCGTTTCTAATAAAATACAAAAAATTAGCCAGGTGTGGCGGTGTGCGCTGAGCCTGTAGTCCCAGCCACTTGGTAGGCTGAAGCAGGAGAATTGCTAGAACCCAGGAGGCAGAGGTTGCAGTGAACCGAGATCGTGCCACTGCGCTCCAGCCTGGGCGACAGAGCGAGACTCCATCTCTTTAAAAAAAAAAAAAAGAAAAGAAAAGAAAAGAAAATATATTTAAAACAAAAATTAAAATTAACTGTAAAAACCATGTTTTGTGCCAGGCGTGGTGGCTCATGCCTGTAATCCCAGCACTTTGGGAGGCTGAGAGGGGCAGACCACTTGAGGTCAGGAGTTCGAGACCAGCCCGGTCAACGTGGTAAAACCTCGTCTCTACTAAAAGTACAAAAAAATTAGCAGGGCATGGTGGCAGGCGCCTGTAATCCCAGCTACTCTGGAGGCCGACGTAGGAGAATGGCTTGAACCCAGGAGGCAGAGGTTGCAGTGAGCCGAGATTACACCACTGCATTCCAGCTTGGGCCACAGAGCAAGATTCCATCTCAAAAAATAAATAAATAAAATAAAAATAAAAACCATGTTTTGGACTACCTGAAAAAATTTGTTTATTTATTTATTTATTTTTGAGACAGGGTCTCGCTCTGTCACCCAGGCTGGAGAGCAGTGGCGTGATCTTAGCTCACTGCAACCTCTGCGTCTCCGGCTCAAGCGATCCTCCCACCTCAGCCTCCTGAGTAGTAGGGACTAGAGTTATGTGCCACCAGACCAGGCTAATTTTTTTTGTTGTTGTTGTTTTTGTTTTTGTAGAGAAAGGGTCTCCCCATGTTGCCCAGGCTGTTATCAAACTCCTGGACTCAAGTGATCCTCCTGCCTCAGCCTCTCAAAGTGCTGGGATTACAGACATGAGCCCCTGCACCCAACCTCTATGTTTCAATGTACTTAAAATTTGTGGGATGCCCAGACTTCTTTAACATAATACTAGCACATAAGAGATATTTTATTTTTGAATTACAGGAAATTTGGAAAATCTAGACAATAAAAAATTACCTGAATCCCATTACTCAGAGAGAACCATGTTATCATTTTGGTTTATTTTCTTCCAGTCTTTGTTTTTTTTAATTGGAAAAAATGATAGAATTTCTAGTTTTCATAATGATGGAATAAGTAATTGGTGGAATGGATAATCTGGACAAACACTCCAGGGACAACTAGAAAGGCAGGTCAAATTATAAGTACATAGAATATGTCATATATATTGAGTCTACTTAAAGGCATTGGAGAGCTAATAAGCAATGAAGAATTACAGAACCCAGATCTGGAAGAACATGGGGAATCCAGAGAGAGTGTCACATTGAGAGCTGCTTCATCCTGGGGGGTATTTGCTGATTCTAGAAGGGGTGGCTGAGTGCGTGAGAGGCTGAGCAACACCCTGACAGCCATGGCGGGCTAAAGGGATAAAGATGTAGTGGAATAAGCAGTGCAGGGGGAGGGTCCTGCTAAGCCCAGCACTTTGGGTTGGATTCCCTGCAATTCGTTCTCCCAAATGCAGCAAGGATGATGTGTCTGAAGCTAGTTACATCATGGCAGTGTTTTGCTTGAAACCCTCCATTGATTTTGAACCTCAGAATAAAAGATAAATAAGCCGCCAAAAAAAAGGACAAAAAATCTACACTATACAAACAGTTTTCAATCTTATTTTGGGGTTGAAAGGACCCACCATTCCCTTTTTATAATAGGAATTTACAATGCCCTCTTTACTATTATGAAATTAAATTTACAGACAATAACTAATCTATATATATAATTTCATAATTATAATGATCATAAGAGTCAATAAAATGCCCAAATTGTAATATGAAGAAAAAAATAAAAGTAATCTCTTTCATTTTTTTATTTTCTGAGACAGGGTCGTACTCTGTCACCCAGGCACAATTGTGCAGTGACACAATCATGGCTCATTGCAGCCTCCACCTCCTGGGCTTAGGTGATCCTCCCACCTTTACCTCCTGAGTAGCTGGGACTATAGGTGCATGCCACCATGTCCGGCTGTTTTTTTTTTTTTTTTTTGTAGAGACAGAATTTTGCCATGTTGCCCAGCTGATCCTCCTGCCTTGGCCTTCCAAAGTGCTGGGATTATAGGCGTGAGCCACCACAGCCAGCCAAAATAAAGGTAACCTACAATAAAACAATATGTATTTCAATATGTAAATATCTGGATACAATTAGATCACAGGATATAATGAAGTTGTAAGATGGTGTTTATACCTGTATTCAGAATCTTTATGTATGCAGCCTGATACAGTTGTGTATGCTATCAGTGGCTCTAATACCGTAAACAGTGTTTCCATCATTGACCTGGTTTCTGAAGTGGTTTGAAACTCTTCGTAAAGTTTCAAACAAAAAACCAACGTTCCCTTCAATCACAAGATTATGTTTCTGATTTCATTTCCTACTACATTTCTCTTTACTTTTGCTTCTGCAGCCATCCTGGCCTCCTCTCTCTCAAATTTGATTAAGTATGTTCAGCTTTAGGCTCTTTCAATGCCTGTTCTGCATTGACGTTCTTCTCCCAAATATAGTCGTGGCTCACTCCCTCACTTACTTTGGGTCTTTCCTCAAACATCCATTTCTCAGTAAAACCTTCCTGGATTCTTTACTTAAATTTAAACATTCCTCGTCCTTGCCCCTGGCACTTCCTTGTCTCCCTTCCCTGCTTTATTTGTCTCCTTAGCATCACCATCTGACATGCTCTTGTGTTTTACTTATTGTTTATCTAGCCACCTTCCCACCCCCAGAGGTTTTAAGTTTAATGCATTCATTTTCTGTTTGTTTTGTCCACCAATACGCCCAATAAGTATTAGTGGAAGGGAGGAAAAAGAAATGGAAAGGAAGGAGAGAGAGAGAGAGAGAGAGAGAGAAAGAAAGGTAGAGAAGAAGGGCGGGTTTCAGGAAGTAGCAAAGGGTCATGAGACCCAAATTTGGTTTCTTGCCTTCAACCACCCAGTGACTTCAGAAACTCGGCATTGGCTGTCAGCTCCTTGCCCCAAAGGCTGTCCCCTTTCTATGGGCACTGGGCAGAGACAGGGTGTTTTATCAAGTCTTTGTCTGGAGCAATGATGCTTATTATTAGTCAGCAGAGCCTGCTGCTGTTTTTTAATTTTGAGGGGAGAGATGTGGGAGAACTTTTGTAAGCTATACTACCCCAAAACCAACTGACTACAGGCGATTAGAAAGGAGTGTGGCTTGAAGTTTTTGATTCTCTTTCCAATGAGATGTATATAATTATGGAACTGAAAACTCACAACTAAATGGAAGTCAGAAGTGATCATAGAGTGACAGAGTTTGCCAGGGGTGTTTAGAGTCAGTCCTAGGAGGCAACCTTTAAACATCTGTGAGAGTGCCTAGAAAACAGGGCTCAATTAAAGGAGACTCAACAAAGAAATAAATTACATAATGAAATCCCAGTTATTTGCATAAATTTCTATACTAAATGATATACAGAGGTCCCTTACTTAACCTGTGATTTAATGACCTGAAGTGTACCTCTCTAACAAATTAATCTCGCATAAGGACTGTTTATTATTGTTTGCTACAAAATAACTTCTAGGCCTGTAATTCCAGCACTTTTGGAGGCCGAGGCGGGCGGATCACCTGAGGTCGGGAGTCCAAGACCAGCCTGACCAACATGGAGAAACCCCATCTCTACTAAAAAAACAAAATTAGCCGGGCGTGGTGGTGCATGCCTGTAATCCCAGCTGCTAGAGAGGCTGAGGCAGGAGAATTGCTTGAACCCAGGAGGTGGAGGTTGTGGTGAGCCGAGATGGCGCCATTGCACTACAGCCTGGGCAACAAGAGCAAAATTCCGTCTCAAAAAAAAAAAAAAAAAAAAGTAACTTCTATAGTTTTAGGAAGAAAACTGGCAGAGAAGATTGCTGGTGCCTCTCATAGGAAAGAGCAAAAACCAGCAGTGTGTTCCACTTTTACTTCTTCCTCTTCCTCCAAAATCTGCTTGATTTCTCTATGCTGGGAGTCAACAACGTTAACATTAATAGAATCACTCCATATGTATTTGTGGGAGGCAGAATAATGGCCCCTCCAATGATGTCCACTCCTAATACTGGAAATCTGTGACTATGTTACATTATAAAACAAAGAGGAATTAAGGTTGCAAATCAGCTGACTTTGAGATGGGGAGACTTCAGGCCTAATGTAATCACAAGGCTCCTTGAGATATGGAAGAGGGAGGCAGAAGAACATGAGAGCCAGAGATCGATGGCTTGATTTTAGTTTGTTAAGACTCTGACCTACAGGAACTGTTAAGATCATACCTGTGTATTGTGTTAAGTGCTAAGTTTGTGGTAATTTGTTAGAGCAGTAATAGAAAACAAATACAGTATTGTTCTGCTGTCTGCATTTGTCATTTAATCTCACACACAGAAGTTATTTTCTCTCCTGCCTCACGCCTCCAGAATTCTTCCTCACTGTTGCTGGTTTCTTGTAAATTACTCTATCCCAGTGGTTCTTGATGGGGTAGGGGAACAATTTTGTCCCCCAGGGACATTTGACAATGTCCAGAGACATTTTTGGTTGTCACAACTGGGAAGTGGGTGGTATTGCCACTGGCATCCAGTGGATAGAGGCCAGGGATGCTGCCAAACATACTACAATGCACAGACAGCAAAGAATTGTCCAGCCCAAAATGTCAATAGCACCACTGTTGAGAAAACCCTGTTGTACATATGTATCACCTTATATCACATATGGGGTTTGGGGATAAGTGTCTACATGCAAAGAATTCCTGTGCCTATCTCCCCCACTCCTACTCCCCACTTTTTTTTTGGTCCTGCTTTTTTATACGTGCATTCTCAAGGGGGTAATATCACCCCTAAGGGGGTAAAAATTGGTTTTTGAGGGATGTCTTAGTCACTTTGTGCTGCGATAACAAATTACTGTAGGCTGGGTGGCTTAAAGAACATTTATTTATCACACTTTTGGAGCTGGAAAGTCCAAGATCAAGGCACCAGTAAGTTGGGTGTCTGGTAAAGGGCCCAGTCTCTGCTTCCAAGATGGCGCCTTGGCTGCTGCATTCTCATGTGGCAGAAGAGCAAAAAGGGCCAGGACGCTTCAACATCTTTTACAATGTGGCTAATATCATTCATGAGGGGTCTGCCCTCGTGACTTAATCAACTCCTAAGGGCCCACCTCTTAATACTATCGCATAGTGATTAAGTTTCAATATATTAATTTGGAGGAACACATTCAGACCATAGCAAGAGGTTTCTAAATTTAGCTCAAAGTATGGCAAAGTAATGAACTGAACTTTATATTAGTTCAAAAGAAATGGGGGAAGGTTTGTCTGTATGTGTTTATCATTCATTCCTCCCTTCCTTTGTTCCATCACATATATGCGGAAACTTTTTTCCATAAAGAAAAACTAAATGTCATCTCACCTTTCCTCACCCCCAAACAAACCACTCCAATAAACCAAAACCAAAAGCCAAAAATAATTGTATCCTTATGCTCTGCCATGGGTATAAAGTAAGAAAGCACACATTTTAGGCAGCTGTGGGCGATGCTGTCATAATGATATGTCTCTTGTGATATTGGGAATTTGAATGATTAAACTGAGTATTCAGTTATTTGAATGATGTCATTCTGTTGCAGTTCCTCTGGCTATTCTGCTTTCGTACTGCAAATGTGTTAAAAATTTAAGTCCCAGCTTGAACTTTTCTTTATGCTGCGATCAGCCCTGTGGATTGTCTCATTATACAGTGCCTTCAGGGGTGGCACTTCTGGGCATGCTGGCAGCACTCTCGGGTCAGCAGGAACTATTTCAACTCAATTTATAAAGCAAAAGAAAGGGATCTGGTTGACCTACAAGGTCCAACTCTGCAAGAATTAACACTAACCACAATGGTGATTATTCACAACTTGCCCATCTTCTGAGAAAATAAAGCCTTTTTCAGAGGTATTTTTCCCTCCTTTAAATGAAAGCATCCATTCTTGCTCTCTTGAAAAAAAAAAACTTACAGAGAATATCAGAAGACTTATTATCTCTGAATTTTTTTAATCTATAGAAGATTGCTTAAGAGATCCATGCAATAAATGATTTCTAAATCCTGAAAGAATGGCAAAATAAGGCTGTGAGGATTGCTCAGCAGGACCCGCTCCAATCCAATCCACCCTCTATTTCCCTTTGTACCTTGAAGGTGATCTTAAAGCTTTCTCAGTTCTTTTTATTTTTATTTTTGAGACAGGGCTTTGCTATGCTGCCCAGGCTGGTCTCAAACTCCTGGGCTAAATGGATCCTCCTGCCTCGTGAGTTAGGTAAAAAAGAAGCAGAAACCATCAGGCTTTAAAAGAATATCAAATTTATAATGAATATTATTGTTAAAAAAAAACCCTGACAATGGCTAAAACTAAACATGGTAAGATTTATTGCCAACTCAAAAATAATAAATTAAATCTTAGCAAAGGGAAAATCTACCAAATTTGATAAGGCAGATGGAAGAAATTAGTTTATGAAAGAAAGGTGTTAATGGCCAAGGTTCTGATTAGACAAAAAAAAAAAATTGATCAACGAATCAACTCTTTTTTCTTTTTCTTTTTTTGTTGAGATGGGGTCTTGTTCTGTCTCCCAGGCTGGAGTGCAGTGGCATGATCAGGGCTCACTGGAGCCTCTACCACTAACACTTAGGCTCAAGTAATCCTCCAACCTCAGCATCCCAAGGAACTGGCACTATAGGCACGTGTCACTGTGCCCAGCTAATTTTTTAAACATTATTTGCAGAGACGAGGTCTCGCTAATGTTACCCAGACTGGTCTGGAACTTCTGGGCTCAAGTGATCCTCTTCCACCTTGGCTTCCCAAAGTGCTGGGATTACAGGTGTGAGCCATCACACCTAGCAAGAAGTAAATTTGTTTTCTAGAATGTAGATAAATACATCTATAGATAGATAATTAGTAAAGGCTCATGGTCAGGCACAGTGGCTCATCACGCCTGTAATCCCAGCACTTTGGGAGGCCAAGGCAGGAGGATTGCTTGAGCTCAGGAGTTCAAGACCAGCCCAGGCAACACAGCAAAACCTCGTCTCTACAAATAATTTTTTAAAAATTAGCCCGGTATGGTGGTGTACACCTGTAGTTCCAGCTTCTTGAGATGTTCAAGTGGGAGAATTGCTTGAGCCCAGAAATTCGAGGCTGCAGTGAGCTATAATCACGCCACTGCACTCTAGCCTGGGCGACAGAAAGGGACCCTGTCTCAAAAAAAAAAAAAAAAAAAAAAAAGCGGGGTTGGGGAGCTCATTGGTGATAAGCATAATAGGAGTGTTTATTCTGAGAATAGCAGGTTTGTCCTAGAGTCTATAGGCAGAAATCCATCCAGGCATGGAAGAAGATCTGGAATCATAAACCCAAGCAATGTGCTCTTTGCATTTAAAATTCTATCCTGTCATATTACAGGGCAGAAATACTGGTCGCTTGAAGGTGTGGTGCAGAAATTCTGAAGGGAGGCAGCCACTAACCTTATATACTTAGTCACATTGGCCTGTAAGCCCTGGAGTACAGGGCTGATCAATTTTCTGGTTACTGGCTTTCTAAGCTGATGCTCTCCCAAACTTGAGAGTGCCTCAGAATCACCTGGAGGGCTTGTTAAAATACCAATTACTGGCCCTGCCCTTAGAGTTTCTGATTCATTAAATCTGAGGTAGAGCCCGAAAAACTGCTTTTTCTTTTTTTTTTCTTTTGAGACGGAGTCTCCCTCTGTCGCCCAGGCTGGAGTGCAGTGGTGCGATCTCGGCTCACTGCAACCTCTACCTCCTGGGTTCAAGCGATTCTCCTGCCTCAGCCTCCTGAGTAGCTGGGACCACAGGTGCGTGCCACCACACCTGGCTAATTTTCTGTATTTTTACTAGAGATGAGAGTTCACTGTGTTAGCCAGGATGGTCTCGATCTCCTGACCTTGTGATCCGCCTGCCTCGGCCTCCCAAAGTGCTGGGATTACAGGCGTGAGCCACTGCACTACTGCGCCCGGCTGAAAAATTGCATTTCTAACAAGTTTTCAGGTGATGCTGATGCTGCTGATCCAGTGACCACACTTTTTGAGAATTATTGGTCTAGGTGACTTTCCCAGTGAGGGAAGAATGCGCTGCACTTGGAGAATTCACCAGTGGAGGAGAGCTCCTGATAAACTGAAGCTGAGTGAAGAGTTGATTGTTGAAAAGGGACCCACCTGGGTCTCTAAGTCTCCTCTAAGTATTGGCGACAAGGTAGGATAGAAAATTTAGGAGAGGCCTGGGGTGGTGTAATCCTGGCACTTTGGGAGGCTGAGGTGGGCAGATCACTTGAGGCTAGAGTTCGAGACCAGCCTGGCCAATGTGGCGAAACCCAGTCTCTACAAAAAATACAAAAATTTGCCGGGCGTGTGCCTGTAGTCCCAGCTACTCGGTAGGCTGAGGCACGAGAATCGCCTGAACCTGGGAGGAGGAGAGATGGAGGGCCATAGACTCTGTCTGGAAAAAGAAAAAGAAAAAAAGAAAAGAAAAAGAAAAGAAAACTTAAGAGAATGGTCAGTTAATGAACTCATGCTAGGAGAGATTGCACTGCTGGGAGGAATTCTCAATGAAGTATTTTCAAAAGAATAAACAGGAAGATTGAATGGGAAAATTTGTGAGTCAGCAATATATATTGTTCCTTTAGATAGCATGCCCTGTTGTTAGGGCAAGTTTTGTGTTTGATGTTTTTTTTTTTCCCTCACCCCAGGGAAAAAGTAGGATCTCTTTTTTTAACTGTGACCGAGAGTATTGAAAATAATGAGGCATTTCATATAGCATTTTTTATTTGTTGAACTGTCATGCAACTTTTCTTATTTTCTTTCTTACTTTTTAAAAAATATCTGTTTAGTATGTTATTAAATCAATGCAGCACTTAAAAAAATTCAACTAGGGTTTCCAGGTGGCATTAGATATTTTTTCCACTCTATTCAATGAAGTATCTTGGCCAGATGGTTTCTGTTGTTGATTGTTTTGGATTTTTATATATACATTATCGTGTAGACTGCATTCATTACATGTAGACATAACCCTTTTACCTACTAGATTCTTCTCCAAATGAACGAAAAGATATTAGATATTATTAAGACAATAAGAGACTCAGAATAGGCAAGAAACTGGGTCTATATCTGAAATATCATTTAGTGACCTTCAGCTCCACAGAGAATAAGCTCCTCAAAAATAGAGTGGAACCATTATGTGGAGTGGGGGCTTTTCTGTATCCACTTCTTATCTGACTTTCATTCCTTTCTCTGGAGCATCCATTCTTCCTATCCTAACACTTAGAAAAATACTTCCAGGGTGGAGAGGATAAAACCCTCTCATTGAGAAGTACAGTACCTTTTTTTTTTTTTTTCTTGAGACAGGGTCTCATATTGTTGCCCAGGCTGGAGTGCAGTAGTACGATCACAACTCACTGCAGCCTCTATCTCCCAGGCTCAAACGATCCTCCCATCTCAGCTGCCTGGGTAGCTGGGACCTCGGGCAGGAGCCACCACACCCAACAAATTTTTAAATTTTTTATAGAGTTGGGGGGTCTCACTATGTTCCCCAGGTTGGTCTTGAACCCTTGGGCTTAGGCCATTCTCCTGCCTCAGACTCCCAGAGTGTTATGATTACAGGTGTGAGCCACCATGCCCAGCCATGTTAAAATTTTAACAAAGTAATGTGGTCCTTGAGTCAGGGTGCACTGTATATGTGCGTGATTCTTTAAAATTGTTCCCTTTTGAAAATGATAGTTGCAAGAATATATTCCATCTCTTATGCTATTCAAGATATGACCTTGATGCTCCTGTTATAAAGAGATAAGGTCCATGTCCCCTACCCTTGGATCTGGGTGTGCTTGTGACTCCCTTTTAACCAATAATGCAGCAAAATTCATGCCACATGTCTTCTGAGGCATGATCAGAAAAGGTGATGCAACTTCTCCCTTATCCCATGGAACACCTGCATTGGAGGCCTGAGCTGCTCTGTAAGCAGTGTGACTGCCCTGAGGCTGCCATGTTGTGAGGAAGTCCAAAGTAGCCCACATGTAGAGATCTTGTGGAGAAGCCCTGTGACTACCTAAAGAGGGAAGTGCCCAGCTAGCTCCTAGCAGCTCCAACCCCCTGCTGTTTCAGCTCCACCCACTGTCTGATTGCCAAGAGACCCTGAGCCAGAAATGCCCAGCCAAGAGCTTCCAGGCTTCATCATAGATAACAAAATAATGCTGTTATCTTAAGTCACTAAGTTATGGGGTGATTTGTTATAATGCAGTAGTTGACTGGAATGTTCCCTAAAATTGGTGAGAATGATTGAAAACAATTCTATCAGTGAGGTTTCCTTAGTTACAAACAGGAGAAACTGACTCTGGCTAATTGAACAAATGTATACGATAAATGTCCAAATCAAGAAATGAGAAAAATAAGATAAAAATAAAATGGAAGGATGTAGATCAAGATAAAGAGCAGAAATCAATGAAACAAAAATAATTTAGTGAATCAATAAAGCAAAAAATTAGGCCATTGAAAAAGTTAACAAAGTAAATAAAAGTTTTGTAGGACTGATCAAGAAAGAAAAAGCACAAATAAATAAAATTAAGAATGGGAAACCAGGCCAGGAACGGTGGCTCATGACTTGTAATCCCAGCACTTTGGGAGGCCAAGTTGGGCGGATCATGAGGCCAGGAGTTCGAGAACAGCCTGACCAACATGGTAAAACCCCGTCTCTATTAAAATACAAAAATTAGCTGGGCATGGTGGCATGTGCCTGTAATCCCAGCTACTCAGGAGGCTGAGGCAGGAGAATGGCTTGAACCCAGGAGGAGGTGGAGGTTACAGTGAGCTGAGATCGTGCCACTGCACTCCAGTCTGGGTGACAGAGCGAGACTCCGTCTCAAAACAAACAAACAAACAAACAAAAAACAAAAAAGGGAAACTGTAGAGTTGATATCAATCAAAGAGATAAGAGGATACAAACAACTGTATTCCATTAAATGTGAAAGTTTATACAACATGGACAAACTCCTAGAATAATAATTTATCAAACTGATTCAGGAAGACGAAGAAAGCCTCTAAATCTGTAATGATGAATTTGGTTGCCACATGTGGCTATTGACACTTGAAATGTGACTACAGCAACTAAGGAATGAAATTTTGGATTTTATTTCATTTTAACTAATTTAAATTTAAATTTAAAAACTGACCGGGTGCGTAGGCTCACACCTGTAATCCTGGCACTTTGGGAGGCTGAGGTGGGAGGACTGCTTGAGGCCATGAATTCAAGACTAGCCTGGCAACACAGGAAGACTCCCATCTCTACCAAAAAAAAAAAAAAAAAAAAAAAGAGAAATTACTGGGGTGTGGTGGTACACACCTGTGGTCCTAGCTAATTGAGAGGCTGAGGTGGGAGCATCTCGAGCCCATGAGTTTGAAGCTGTAATAAGTTATATGATTGCACCACTGTACTGCAGCTGGGGCGACAAAGCCAGACCTGTTTCTAAAAAAAAATTAAAAAAACTGCAACAGTGTGAATTTTTTTTTTCATTAAACACAACTTGACAGTTTTGGTTGGGCTGTATTTAACTTTAACCACTACATCTCATAAGCTATTATTATTGCATTGTAGTGTGTGTGCTGGAGTTGTGTACTGTTTTCAGTATTGCCCATAAACACATCACTGATCTTGTTGGTGTCAATGGATTGATTCAGTTTGAATTAGTGTTTTCTATGCACAGATGTAATAGTGGAATGTGTTTATTTGAATATTTTATGAAGACATCAAATAAGACATAATTTACATAGTGATATATAAATCATAATATAATTTTTATTATTTCGTTATAACAAAATCATTTTTTTAGTTAAAAATTAAGTACAGACAAAGTTTTAAATTTAAAATAAAGACATATTATTGAGGCAGAATTGTGGAGAAATATAGAAGCTAATACCATGAATGGAACGGTAAAGAAAAAAATAGCCTGGAAGAAGGTACGTCACAAATGTCATGATGAACGGCAACTGCAATTTGCTGTGTCACAGCAAACTGCCAGAGCTATTTGTTGCTATGTGATGATGTCGCTGCTCTGAGACAAACATGCTTGGGAATTTTTGTGTTTTAAATGTCTCTGTTTTCATTTCTAATAAGTAGATCTTGATATAGTCCACAAAAAAAGTACTTTGTGGTCTTCAACAATTTTAAGAGTGCAGAGTTCTGAGATCAAAAGTTTGAGAACTGCTCATCTAGGGCATAGAAAAGGCAATTTAAGTGGCATGTTGTTTCGGTATTAGGAGCTAGCAGGACTCATTGGAACATTTTAAAATGAGGAATGACCTTAAATGTTTTTAATTGGCCTTATCTTTAATAGACTTCACCTTTCTCTTTTTTTCCTAATGCCCCTCCTTCATCTAGGTCCTCATACTGCAGTGCGCCACTTGGCCTATCTTACTTGAGTTTGGGATAAGAGGACTCTTAACATTTAGGCTCTTCTTTCCTTTATTCATATCTAGATGGACCTATCTTGTGTTGTTTTGCAGGCTCTGTTAATTGTATGTAAGGGCTAATGAGGTAGCTTTCCTAGAAAGTAATTTGCATTTTTAACAGATAACTTTTGAAGACACAGTCACTTCATTCAACAGTTATTTTGGTCAGAATGAGGAAGGTGGAGTAGGTAGAAATCCACTATGAATATTCTGAGAATCCCAACAGACTAAGCCATAGACACCACAGGATTAATAAATGAGGCTCCTTGGAATGACAGCAGCAAAAGGCAATTTCCACCGCAGCTACAGCACGCTGGGTACTGCCCAACCAGAGGATGCTCCTGAGCATCCTCCTCTGGCACTGAGGAGCCCAGCGAATTTCCAGTGGCCAGTGGTGTGGCTGGTGACTGACTTGGGTTATAGCTCTATAGCCTCTACTAGTTACTTGCAAAGTCTCATAGGAAGAAGGCAGCCTCTAAAAAACGCTGAGGCTCATAGACACTGATATTATTTTATAGACACTATCATCGAAGAGAGGGTCTTAAAGATATACTTTGCAATGGCTATTTTTCACTTACATTCTTCTTTTCAAATTTAAATAGTGGTAACCTCTTATACAATTTTAAATAGTCTTTATTTATTTACTTATTTATTTATTTATTTATTTTTGAGACAGAGTCTCACTCTGTTGCCTAGGCTGGAGTGCAGTGGCATGATCTCAGCTTACGATAAACTCTGCCTCCCGGGTTCAAGGGATTCTCGTGACTCAACCTCCCTAGTGGCTAGGATTACAGGTGTGTGCTACCACATCCGGCTAATTTTTGTATTTTTAGTAGAGACGGGGTTTTGTCAAGTTGGCCAGGCTGGTCTTGAACTCCTGGCCTCAAGAGATCCGCCTGCCTTGACCTCTCAAAGTGCTGGGATTACAAGCGTGAGCCACCGCGCCTGGCCTAGAGCAGTACTGTGAACTTCAGAGTTCCCAAGCACCTCCTGCCTCCACAAACGCACAGCTTCTCCCACTATCAAACATCCTGCGACACGGTGGTACATTTGTTACCACTATCGAACCTACACTGATACATCATTCAAAGCCATAGTTTATTTTTTCATTTTATTTTTTTGAGACAGAGTTTTGCTCTTGTTGCCCAGGCTGGAGTGCAACGGCACGATCTCGGCTCACCGCAACCTCCGCCTCCCAGGTTCAAGCGATTCTCCTGCTCCACCCTCCATATTAGCTGGGATTACAGGCATGTGCCACCATGCCCGGCTAATTTTGTATTTTTAGTAGAGACGGGGTTTCTCCACGTTGGTCAGTCTGGTGTCAAACTCCTGATCTCAGATGATCTGCCGTCCTCGGCCTCCCAAAGTGCTGGGTGAGCCACCGCTCCCGGCCTCAAAGCCACAGTTTACATTAGGATACACTTCTTTTTTTTTTCGAGACGGGATCTCCTTGCTCTGTCACCCAGACTGGAATGCACTGGGGAGATCATGACTTACTGCAGCCTCAACCTCCCAGATCAAGAGATGCTCCTGCATCAGCCTCTTGAGTAGCTGGGACTACAGTTGCACACCACCAAACCCGGCTAATTTTTGTATTTTTTGTAGAGATGGAGTTTCGCCATATCGCCCAGGCTAGTCTCCGATTCTCCAATACCTGGGCTCATTGATCCTTCCACATCAGTCTCCCAAAGTGCTGGGATTACAGGTGTGAGCCACTGCGCCCTGCCAGGGCTCACTCTTGACGTTGTAGGTTCTAGTTTTGACAAATGTGTAAAAACATATATTCACCATTATAGTATCATACAGAATACTTTCCCTGCCCTAAAAATCCTCTGTGCTCTATTCATCCCTCCTTCCCCTCTAGCCTTTAGTAACCACTGATCTTTCTACTGTCTCCAGTTTTGCCTTTTCTTCCTTTTTTTGAGACAGAGTTTTGCTCTTTTTGCCCAGGCTGGAGTGCAATGGCGCGATCTCGGCTCACCGCAACTTCCGCCTTCCGGGTTCAAGCGATTCTCCTGCCTCAGCCTCCCGAGTAGCTGGGATTACAGGCATGCGCCACCACCCCGGCTAATTTTGTATTTTTAGTAGAGATGGGGTTTCTCCATGTTGGTCAGGCTGGTCTTGAACTCCTGACCTCAGGTGATCCACCCGCCTTGGCCTCCCAAAGTGCTGGGATTACAGGCGTCAGCCCCCGCGCCCAGCCCAGTTTTGCCTTTTCTAGAATGTCGTATAGTTGGAATCATACAGTACACAGCCTTTTTAGAGTGGTATCCTCTTTTATGATTTCTTTTCTGCCTTCTAGACTGTTCATATTAACCTCATTTTACCTGTGTAGAAGTAGATGGTAGTTGATACATGAAAAAGCAAGCAAGCTACAAAGCGTGGCCTGGGGAACTCTTCCATCAGCATCACATGAGGGTGATAAATTCCAGAAGTAGGGAAGAATAGAGGGCTACCGTGATTAGGGAACTGTGTTTAGAAGGGTTTGGGTATCAAGACAGCCTTGGAAAGAGAAGCAGGACCCACATCTGTGCAGGGCGAAGCAGGTCAGGTTAAGTCGTTGAATTTTTTCAAAGTGTAACACGAAGCCATTGGAGGGTTTTCAGCAGAGTAATCAGATCTTATTTACATTTTAAAAATAATACTTTGACTGCTGGGGAGAAGTGACTGTAGGAGGACCCAAGAAGCACTCTCCTAGTTAGGGAACCAGAGCAGTAGCTGAGGCAAGAGATAATGGTTTGCTCTAGCAATACCAACGGTGAGAAACAGGGATTGAACATATTTTGAAGGTAGAATAGCTCAGACTTGCTAATGGATTGAATGGAGAATAAAAGGCTGTGAGAGTGTTAGGAGAGAAACATAATTTTGCTGGCTTCAGGAACTTGCAGATTTACCAAAACAGTAAATATTGATATGGTGAAGAAACCTGGGGGGTGGGGAAATAGGGTGTTGCACATGTAAATATGTCTTCCACGTGACATTTTCCCCACCTTCTATAGTGAAGAATTTCAGAGCAAACTGGAAAGAGTTTTACAAGCAACACCCATATCCCCATCGCCTAAGTTTAACATCTTACCATATCATCTATTCATGCCTCTATCAGCCCATCTTACTTCAGTAATGCGTTTAAATTGCGGGCATCAATGCACTTTCCTCAGAATTCACCTCAGCACGCATACAATTTATGTCTAGCTTTTTTCTTTTGATCTAAAATTTACATTCAAGGTGAAACGCCCAGATCTTGACTGCACATTAGCTGAGTTCGGACACACGCGTACACCCGTCTAAAATCTGAGATGCAAAAAAGCGGCATAATCAAACGGGCTGCTGGATGTAGGAATCTGGAGATTAGAAGAGAGGTCTTGGCTTGAAATATAAATCTGGGAATCACAAGAACATAGGTCTACTTAAGCTATGAGATTGGATAAAATCACCTAGAGGGTGCAGAGGGAAAGGGAAGGGTCTGTGCCCTCAGAGACCAGCGTTTGGAGGTCGGTCGGGTGGGAGCGGGGGGTGGGGGTGGGGGGCGCAAGGGTTGAGCAAGCCCGAACCAGCCGGCCCAGCCGGGGTCCTGAGAATCACCCTTGCTCGGCGCCAAGCCACCGCTTTGACCTAAGAGCCACCAGGTTGGGGGGCAGGGCGTGGAGAGGACTCCCGGCCAGAGGCGGGAAAGGCAGCCGGGAGGAGAGGAAAGAGGAGGAGGAGGGGAGGAATATGCGGCGGAGGGAAACGGAGAAGAGGTTTACGGCACGGAGGGGAAAAACGAAGGAAGAGGAGGGGCTCGGCAAGGAGAAGGAAGGGGAGAAGGGGGAAGCGCAGGAGAAAAGGGTAGCCGGGGAGCCGGGAAGCGGGCGGGAGGGAGGGGAGCGGCGGGGCGGAGGTCGCCGCAGCGGCCGGCCGAGGGCGGGCGGAGGGAGGGGGTGTGTGCGCGGGTCACATGGTCGCGGCTGCCCTCCCCGTCAGCCGCCCTCGCCGCCGCGGTGCGCTGGCTGCAGGAAGCCGCCGCGCCGCCGCTTTTGTTGTCAGGGACCCAGCGAGGAGCGCCGCTCGCCGGCCGCCGCCACCCTCTCTCGCTGCAGCCTGCTGTGCGCTGCACGGCCTGGGGCCCGGGAGCCCCGCCCGCTCTGCCCATGAGGGGGCCCCGCGACCACCGCTGCTTCCAGCCCGGGGCGGCGCGGCGCTGAGGCGGCGGCGGCGGCGCTGCCCCCTCTGCGGGAAGCGGGCGGCCCCGGCCGCCTCCGCGAGGGCACCATGGAGGTGAATGCAGGTAAGAACCGGACTGCGGCGGGTGGGGGATGGCCGGAGGGAGCGCTCAGAGCCCGCGGGGCACTTTGGGGGGCGGCGGCAGGGGGTGTCCCCATGGCCGGTGGGGCGGGGTGGGCTGCTGCGCGCCGCGTGTCCGCCTCTGGCTCGGTTCCCATCGCCCCCCGGGCCGCCCGGCGCCCGCCCTCTTGTCTCCCTGCAAAGCCGCAGCGCGGCCTGCCGGCGCCCGGCCCGGCCCCCCCCTCACATGGCCCGGCCGCGCGAGCCACGTGCGCGCTGTGTTTACGTTCGGCGGCGCGCGGGCGCCGGTTGGCTGGGCGGGCGCGTGACGCGGCATTACATAATGGGCGCTGAGGCGGCGGCGGCGGGCGGGGACACGTGAGGCCGCTCGGCTCCCTGACCCACATTCCCCGGGGCCGCAGGGACACGTGGGGGCGGGGGCGCGCGCGCGCGCGCTGGCTGGGAGCGCCGCAGCCTCCCGGGAGGCTCCGCCCCTTTGGAAGCCTCGGGGCAGTGACGTCGCCGCGATTCCCTCCTCCCCCGCGGGGTTGCACACTGCGGAGGAGGCCGCGCGTGCGCGCCCGCTGAGCCCCCGCGGCGGGGCGTCCCCGAAGCGGGCGCTGACACCGCAGTGCACCGGACGCCGCACGCTCTTTTCGCGAGGTGACCCCAAGGCGCGGACCCCGCGCAAACCAAACGAACCGGCGCCTGGGGAGGCTGGTAGCTGCATACCTTGCAGATTCCGAGGAGGAAGTGCAGGACGAGGGCGTGCTGCAGGCCGGAGGAGGCGCCTCGGGGAAGGCGTGGGGCTTTCCCGAAGGGATACGCTCGAAGGAGCTCTGAGGTGCTTCGATCCCGAGCGACTCCCCGCAGACTGGGTAGCACCGCCCCTGTTAGGATGCCGTCTGTTTACAAAAAAAACCGTTTGCTCTAGGACGCGACCTGTCTCATACACACACAGTCTTAAAAACTGCTTCCAGATCCCTTCGGGCTGGAGTTTTCCAGTAAACGGGTCACACCCGCAGCTGAGCGTGCAGCTCACGTATGGTCAGGATGACTCAGGTGATCATAGGTGACTCCAACACCATATGTAAGACTGGACATTCTTCATTTAAATTAAAAAAAAATTAACCTGTGGGTCGCTGACTTTTCCTGAATCTGATCAAGAGAATTTGGCTTTATAAATATTTTTCTTGTCACATTTTGTTACATTGCAACGGAACAACAGGGTGCCCTTCCCTCCTTTTGTCTGCCCCAAATGATGAGGTAGATCTGAAGTGAGTGAGGTTATGGAAACAGCCAGCTTTTGTTTTATTTTTTGAGTTGCAATGCGCCTCTAAGAATCTTGCCTCGATAACAAATGTATTGTGAACTTTTCACCAAAAGTAAAAATAAAGTCACTTTCTAATTTTATTTACGTATTTTTAGAATTTACTTATTTTTTTTAACCTGTTGTCTCACAAAAATCTGGATCTAATTGTGTTTTGATTACCTAATCGGCCTACTTAGCCTTTGAGGGTATTTTTAAAATTTTATGAGTTTATCATAGAATTAAACTTCTACATGTTAGAATTCAGAGGTGATCAGGGTGAACCTCTTCTAACCCACCCTTTAGCATGAATTCTAATAGCTTTAGTAACCTCATAAGGGCTGGCTCAATTAGGAAGTTTTTCTCTGGTTTGAGCCCTCTTCCAATACTTCGCTGATCTAAATCTTGCCTCGTGGAGCAAGGCACATTATAAAAATTCCTCCGGATGAATGTTGACCATCCCCTTCCCCCTTCAGTTCTTCCATTTACAGTTCTCATCTCTTTGTCCTTGCCCAGCATTGTTTTTTCTGATCACTCATCATCCTTGTTGCCGTTTGGGATGGAGCACCCAGAAGTGAACAGGCTCTTGTGGAAGTGGTTGGATGATTATCAAGTTCCAAGTTGCCCTCTTTGTCTTGAATCCTGTTGCAAATGAATTCCCTGGCAGGCTTAGTATTTTTGGCATGTTGCTTTGCTGACTCACAGTAACCTTGCAGTCAACTAGGACCTTTCACGTGAACTATTATGAAGTTAGATTTCATTCATTGTGCAGATAATTGCATGACTTGAAGTGTAGGAATTTACAATGACCATTCTTAAAATTTCTCTCGTTCATTTGGCCTTAAGTTCAAAGCTGTTACAAGCTGTTACCCACCATGTTTACAGTTTCTGCTATCTATCAGTAAGCAGGAGGTCTAATAAGAATTGCCTTAAACTGGCCGGGCACAGTGGCTCACGCCTGTAATCCCAGCACTTTGGGAGGCTGAGCCGGGCGGATCCCCTGAGGTAAGGAGTTCGAGACCAGCCTGGCCAACATGGTGAAACCCCGTCTCTACTAAAAGGACAAAAATTAGCCGGGCGTGGTGGTGGGCTCCTGTAATCCCAGCTACTTATGAGGCTGAGCAGCAGAATAGCTTGAACCTGGGAGGTGAAGATTGCAGTGAGCCGACATCGCGCTACTGCACTCCAGCCTGGGCGACAAGAGCGAGACTCCCATCTCAAAAAAAAAAAAAAGCCTTTTAACTTTCGAATTTTTGTAAACATTGACCAAGGTGGGGCCAGATTCAGCGCTGTGTGGCACACCTCTACCCTTCCCTCTAGTTTGGTTATCAGTTGACAAACATTCAACCAGTGATCCTGTAATCTTACTGTCCTTCGTGACATCTCTATGTCTCCTCGCCCCATGAGTAACAAGTGAAAACAGTGGAGTAAAAGACTTGGAAAAAAATTGGAGAGGTGGAGCAAAGAAATCTTTCCTTGGAGCAAGGAAAAGCAAGAATTGAAGAAAAGTTGCTCTACTGGTCAGTAGGGTTAAGAGATTCAAAAGGTAGTGTGGAAATAACCTACAAAGAAACCACTGGATCCTTAACACACATTAAAAAATGAGGTGAATAATGGGTAGGGAGGATTAGTTACTTTGGTTTGAACCATTCTGTTGGAACTCTTCTAGTATAATGATGACAAAAAAATAATCATCAGCTTCTTACTCTGTGCCAGGCCTTTTACATGTGTTCCTCATGTTAATTCCATGAAGGAAGGTGCCGTTGCCACCATCTTAATGATGCGGGGCTAAGTAAATTGAAGCTAAATAACTTACTCAGGCAAGTAGTAGAGCCAGAATTTGAATCCACAAAATTTACTTGGGAACACAAACTGTTAACTACTGTGCTATAATGTACTTTAGCCTGCATAATATTTGAAGATTTATACGCAACTTGGTGGTCCTGTCTTCTTGAGGGTGAAGGAGATACTGCATGTGTATGGATCCCCACTCAATTTGCAGTGATATATGTAGGTTATAGCTAGTGGAAAAGGATAGTCATCTGCAGGGCCTCCCAGTTTCATCAGTCCTCTCTTTAGTCATGCTGGCTTATTTCCAGACATTAGATTACACCTTGACCTCCCTTCTCCAGTAATTTACATGGAGATAAAAATAATGTCTATTTTATAAAATAAGACCGATTTGGCTGGGCATGGTGGCTCATGCCTGTAATCCTAGCAATCTGGGAGGCTGAGATGGGCAGATCACCTGAGGTCAGGAGTTCGAGACCAGCCTGGCTAACATGTGAAACCCTGTCTCTACTAAAAATACAAAAATTAGCCGGGTGTGGTGGCGGGTGCCTGTAATCCCAGCTACTTGGGAGACTGAGGCAGGAGAATCGCTTGAACCGAGGAGGCGGAGGTGGCAGTGAGTCGAGATCACACCATTGCACTCCATCCTGGGTGACAGAGCGAAACTCCGTCTGAAAAAAAAAAACAACAAAAAACACACCATTTATTTTTGTGTCACCCTATTTAAAAAATGTCTCTTTTGATGATTTAAACAGTCTTCAATTCCCCACTTAGATATTGCAACCTTGGATGTGTTTGCCCCTATTGATTTCTGCCCTCTTTAGTATGATCCTCAGCAGTCACAATCATGTGTGTGAAACATTGCTCCTAATAACATAGGTGTTTCCCCAGTTGGCCTATAAGGCATTTTAGGGAAAGGACCATGCTGTTCTCTGGAGCCCTGACACCTAGGACACAATTGGAATTTTAGTGCTTCAGTTAGATCTACTCTACCACCCTTGGAGTAGAAATTATTTATAACACTTTTAAAATGAGGGAAACTAAAGCTTCTTGGTGATAAAATGTTTTGTTCTAAGTCACAAGGCAGAAAAGTACAGTCATGACTTGAAGTCAAACATAATCTCCAGGATGGTGGACAGAGGAAGTGTGAGGGTTTTGATGATGGACAAGTGTAGAAAATGGGTAAGAAGACCCCAATATATGCAGGAATATCAGTGCTTCCTAGCAGTACAAAATTGGATATTGACTTAAGGCTTGTCTGAAGTTGACCACTGGGTAAGCCCTAGCCTGGGAACCTGGCCCAGGTCCAGGGTCCCTTTCAACTGAAAATAGAGAAGACTGCTTCAGCTAATTTTAGCTCAGGGTTTCAAAGAGGTACATACTGCCTGTTTCTTGGAGGTGTTGGGACTTGCTGGTTTGGGGATTTTTACTCTTCTTACTTTATCATCAAAAACAGTGTATGAAAAAAGCACTTATGAATGCCATTTCATTTCAGTCTTGTAATAAGTGGCAGATATTCCAATTTTATAGAAGACCACTCAGGTTTAGAAAGATTGAAAGTGACTTGCTTGCTCAGGTCTTCTCACCAAATAAGTTTGTACTCTGGAATTGGACAACCTTGACTTTAAACTTTGGCCTGCCACTTAGTGGCTGACTTATCCTCTCTGAGCTCCTTGTTTAAAAAATGATTTGATGAAAGTTAATTCACAGAGTTCTTCTTGTGAGGATGAAATTGTGTCATTTTATTCCTGACATCCAGTAGGTACTTGGTGACTTGTAGTTTCACTTTCCTTTCTTCATTAGGTTGAGGAACTACTAGATGTACTCCTTTTCTTCTAAGAAATTAAAATTTAACCCATTTGGGTTGCTATCAGTCAGGTTCATAGATGGGTGTCTAGTAGCAAGAATAGATGCCAAGACAACTAAATCAATATTGAAGGTCTTGCTAGGAGAATGCAGCTACTTCTAGATGGGTCTTCTTTGATTTTCTGGTGCCTGGCACAGATGCTTGTTTTCTTAAGACAGGAATTGGATCTTCGCTGGATTGATAATAGCCCAGTAGTTTCTTTTAGGTTGGATATTGAAGCTTTTGCAAAGGAAATTGTTTTTTGGTTAATTAATTACGATACAGTCCATTGCCCCGTCAGTGCTTGCAACCAATTTTTAAGCCATCTGCATAGCTCTAATTTCTTTTCTTTTCTCTTTCTTTTTCTTTTTTTTTTTTTTTTTTTGAGATGGAGTTTTCACTCTTGTTGCCCAGGCTGGAGTGCAATGGTGCCATCTCGGCTCACCGCAACCTCCGCCTCCCGGGTTCAAGTGATTCTCCTGTCTCAGCCTCCTGAGGAGCTGGGATTACAGGCATGCGCCACCACACCTGGCTAATTTTGTATTTTTAGTAGAGATGGGGTTTCTCCATGTTGGTCAGGCTGGTCTTGGACTCCCGACCTCAGGTGATCCGCCTGCCTCGGCCTCCCAAAGTGCTGAGGTTACAGGCGTGAGCCACTGTGCCCGGCCAGCTCTAATTTCTAAAAGTTTATTTCTTAGCTAAGGTAGTCAGCAGATCTTGTGAACATAAATGACTGAAAATGGGGGCCCTAGGAAAGTCTTACTTCCAAGGAAAAACATCACTTTCTTATCTTTTATTTTCCTGAGATGTTAGATGTGAATTTAGTACTTAAGACACTATTTTAGAGAAGACAAATAGCTGTGAGATCTTCCTTTGGAATTTCATTGAGGACTAAGAATATTTGTCTTTGTAAAGTGTCCTATTGTGAGTGGAGACATCTGTGAAAAAGTAGCAGTGTGCTAATACCTGGAATTTTTAATGTGGACTTAAGATCTCTAAAGTTATATAAAGACAGCACAATGGTTTTATCCAGTAACATGACACTGGCTAGGTTTCTAGGTTAAGTTGGTTTCTCTTTGGATTCACAGGGTATTAATGATATTCTGGCGGTTGTATCGATGAAATCATCAATCTTTAAAACTATGGGCCAATTTGTGTTTGAATTCACTGATTGTAGCCATTTTGAAACTTCAATGTGCAAATAATTGCTTGGAGAGCTTGTTAAAATTGCACATTCCTGAGGATGTGTTCTCGTCTGGGCAGGGCCTTGGAAACATGTATTCTGAAAAAGCACCAGCTAGTTTTGAGGATATGTATTTTACATAATTTCTCTGGGTGATGAAAATAAACTCGAAGTTGGGAATCTTTCTTCTTGTGTTTGTAGTTTTGGAGTTTTTAGATTTTAGAATAAATGGTAGATGAAAACTACCTTGGTCACTTTGTCTTCCAGGGAGCACAGATGAAGTAGTTGGCTTGTGGCAGTGTTCTTCAAACTTGGATGTGCATCAGAATCACCAAGAGGGCTTATTAAAGTTTCTGATCCAGTAGATCTGGAGCGGAGCCTGATAATTTGCATTTCTAACAGATTCTGGGTGATACTGATGCCCCTAGTCCAGGGCCCACACTTTGAGATGGTTGGTTTGTAGTTAGGGACCATGTTGCAGGAAAAATATTAATTGCAGGATTAATTAAGGTGAGATGCACATAGCAAGAGAGCATATGGACAGTGGGTTTAACTGGGAAGAGCAGATTTGCACCTCTCACCTCATGATCGAGTCCAGGCATAGGCTTCATGAATAAAACAGTGGATGGAATTGTCTACGTTAGTGATATTTTTGTCTTAAAAATCAAGTGCATATAGTTGAATTTATGTATGTTAAATTTGTGTCTGGGCTGGGCACGGTGGCTCACACCTGTAATCTCAGCACTTTGGGAGGTGGAGGCGGGCGGATCATCTGAGGTCGGAAGTTCGTGACCAGCCTGGGCAACATGGTGAAACCCTGTCTCTACTAAAAAAAAAACAAAAACCAAAAACAAAAATTAACCAGGCGTGGTGGCGGGCGCCTGTATTCCCAGCTATTCAGGAGGCTGAAGGAGGAGAATCGCATGAACCCGGGAGGCGGAGGTTGCAGTGAGCTGAGGTTGTGCCACTGCACTCCAGCCTGGACAACAGAGTGAGACTCCATCTCAAAAAAAAAAAAAAAATCGTGTCTGATGAAAAACATTGTGTGTTTCTTGGCATAGTAGGCACCTGTTTTATCTTCCCTTCTGGGTTGCACTCAAACCCCTTGAGAGTTGTGGTTGTGCTTTCCTCCTCAGAGGGTTTGTTTCTTAGCCTCAATATATATAATTGGTGCTTAAAAACACATCTGATATCTACTACATGACAGACTAAAAGTGACTCTAAATTTCTCTGCCTGTTTTTTTTTTTCTTGCCTAAAGACGGCAATGTCTGTCTTTTTGGGATTGTTTTGGCCTCAGCATTTTGCTTTGTGGATTTTTGTTTAAAAATGATTGATAGGCCCGGTGCGGTGGCTCACACCTGTAATCCCAGCACTGGGAGGCCAAGGTGGGTGGATCACCTGAGGTCAGGAGTTCGAGACCAGTCTGACCAACATGGTGAAACCCCATCTCTACTAAAAAAAAAAATACAAAAATTGGCTGGGGGTGGTGGCATGTGACTGTAGTCCCAGCTATTCAGGAGGCTGAGACAGGAAAATTGCTTGGACCCAGGAGGTGGAGGTTGCTGTAAGTCGAGATTGTGACACTGCACTCCGGCCTGGGTGACAGAGTGAGACTCTGTCTCAAAAAAAAAAAAAAAAAAAAAAAAAAAAATGCCAGTTTTCAGAAGGGTTGTGGCGGTTATATAAAATTGGGAATCACATTTTGACAATAGCTCTGTGTAGAGGGAATTAGCTTCAGCCTTACTGTTATTCTGGTATAGCATGCATTCTTCTAGCATCTTTAACACCTATAAAGAGCGAGTCAGAAGAACAAGTAGTGAGTCTGGATTTCTTAAGAGCTGCTTAGAGATGAATGGCAGAATGGGGTAGAGAAGGGAGAGTATTGAACTGGGGATTGGTTAGTGGATAGCCACATATGTCTTCTGGGAACACCAAAACAGAAAGGTGTGGGAGCAAGGGCTGTGAAACGATCCCTGTTTTGAGATAATTTACCTTATCTACCATTCTAAATGTTACATCTGTTCTGGATTAACCTGTGCTTCTAGCCAAGTGTTGGGGGAGGCAAATGATAAATTCATTGTTTCTAGGATTGTGTCAGATAACTATAACAGGAGGCAAAGAAGAGACCAGAACCAGATTTCTTCATGGCCAGTTTGTTTGAGCAATGAAGTTACTTAGGAGCATTTTTTAGTCCTTTTAGGAAAATACTGGAAAATGAAAAGCTTTAGGTGTGAGGATCTCCATGTGCTCAGAATATCCAAGCCAGTGAAATCCTTCTCACTTAATTTTTTCTTTCTTTGAGATGGGGTCCTGCTCTGTCTCCAGGCTAGAGTGCAGTAGCATGATCATGGCTCACTACAGCCTTGAACTCCTGGGCTCAAGTGATCCTCTCGCTTTAGCCTTCTGAATAGCTGGCACTACTAGAGGTGCTGGGTGCAAACCACATGCAGCAAGTTTTTAAATTTTTTTGTAGAAACAGCATTACCTTATGTTGCCCAGGCTGGTCTCAAATTCCTAGGCTCAAGCGACAATCCTCCCACCTCAGCCCCCAAAGTACTATGATTACAGGCATGAGCCAGTGTGCCGGGCCTATCTCCCTTTTTAAATCAGTGGGAGTTACATGTGCTTTGAACTTTGCGGAAGCAGGACGAATAATGGGAAATAAGGAAATACTTTATTTTTTGCTTTTGGTGTAAGCAAACATTTCATATCAGTATCCTGTTTCTAAAGTTAATGGCTTTACTGTTGAGATTTGCAAAAATAAAAAATACGTATTATCTTGTATCTAATTATGTGATTTTCCTCCTATTTTCTAGGAGGTGTGATTGCCTATATCAGTTCTTCCAGCTCAGCCTCAAGCCCTGCCTCTTGTCACAGTGAGGGTTCTGAGAATAGTTTCCAGTCCTCCTCCTCTTCTGTTCCATCTTCTCCAAATAGCTCTAATTCTGATACCAATGGTAATCCCAAGAATGGTGATCTCGCCAATATTGAAGGCATCTTGAAGAATGATCGAATAGATTGTTCTATGAAAACAAGCAAATCGAGTGCACCTGGGATGACAAAAAGTCATAGTGGTGTGACAAGTAAGTTACTTTGGTTTTCTAAAGATTGCTGCCATTAATTGCAAATGGGGCTTATTTTATCAGCTTTTCATTTAGGTGGCCATTATGTTTCTGGGTACAGTTTTCACTCCTTGCTGGGTAATCATACATCAGTAGTTAGGGAAGAAATCAGTGATGATGATAGAAGTTATAACCTAGGGGCTGTCATTAATTCTTGCCTCAGAGCAAGACATGTGATTATGTACTCTGCCTGACCCTGGTCCCTCTAGGGTACCCTCTTTTACTACATTTCACAGTTACTTTTCTTCTGAACTACTAGAACTAAGTCTTGTTTCTAGAACAGAGTACTTGCTCATTGTGGGAAGGGGTTACGTTAGTGAAACTGGATTTGGGAATATTTGGGATGAGGAAATGTTGGATTGGGATAACCAAATGAGTAGGGGGATTTGGACCTATCTGGCCTCTGTAGGTGAAGTAAATTGACACAGCTGCCTGTGGAGAGATATCCCTTTCCACCTTTTATTGATTGACTTCTCTGTCTGAATTCTTAATTGTTATCCAGAGAATTGTTTTCTTAGTTCTGGTTGCATATCTGGTATAAAGTAACTCTAAATTTACAAAATTTCTTATTTCCTGCTGACAGGTCTGGAAAAAAAATAAATTTACAAAATTTCAGTGTAATTCTAAAATCAGGAAAGGAAAAATCCGGGTCAGCGAGGTATTTTTGTCAGTGCCATAAGTTGTATTTAAAAGAAAATTATGGCTGGGTGTGGTGGCTCACACCTGTAATCCCAATATTTTTGGAGGCTGAGTGGGGCGGAGTCCAGGAGTTCAAGACCAGCCTGGGCAACATGGCAAAACCCCATCTCTACTAAAAATACAAAAATTAGCTGGGTGTGGTGGTGCATGCCTGTAGTAGTCCCAGCTACTTGGGAGGCTGAGGCATGAGAATCACATGAACCTGGGAAGTGTGGAGGTTGCAATGAGCTGAGATCACGCCACTGCGTTCCAGCCTGGGCGACAGAGGGAGACTCTATCTTTAAAACAAAACAAAGCAAAACAAAAAAAAAACACCGTAAGAAAATTATGATTGTGATTACTTTTGATTTGAAAATATTTTTCTTTTACATTATGAAAGTAGATGTGTATCTTCTAAAAGCTCTTACACGTTGAATGAAATAAAATATCTAATTGGAAAGAAAACAGACTCGGTGTTTCCTCCTACTTTTTACTTCGTGTCCTTTTGTGTCCTAGAATTTAGTGGCATGGTTCTACTGTGTAAAGTCTGTGGGGATGTGGCGTCAGGATTCCACTATGGAGTTCATGCTTGCGAAGGCTGTAAGGTAAAGCATGCTTTTGTTTCTTTAAGCTACTGATTCTGGGATTTAAGAAGTTGGGTTTAGATTTACCCATTTGTGCAATTGATAGTCTGAGAGACAGTGAGAAGTCAGCTGCTCTTTTTAAGTTTTAAGCATTTTATGTAGTGTATAAGCATAACTTGTTTTGAATAATATTCTTAATTCAGTGAAAGTATTTCTTTTTTCTTTAAGATTTTGAACAAAGTAAATTTGCTATCTCAATTAAACATACTTATTGTGTTAAACCAAGTGCACCAAATGCTCATTCATTAATGTGTCAAGCACAGTTCTAGGTGGTAGTGAAATAACAAGGAACAAAACAGAGAAGGCACTACTTCTGCCTTGTGGGAACTTAGTTTAAACCAAACTTTGAATTAGGATCTCATCATATACTTTGACTTAATGACACGTCAGGTACTGGGAGCTGGGAATAATTGCTACATACTTGAAAAAAATGTGGTATCTTAAAAAATAATGCCAAGTGAGTAAAATAATCCTGAATATAAGTTGAGCCCTTGGGAAAGCTAGTTTATTTGTAAGTTTAGTTGACTATTTTCTAGTTATTGCTATTAGAGTATTGGTCAAATAATTCCAAGTGAGATGGTCTCTACCTCCCTACCTATATACAGGGAATCTTTCTCTCTTTTTAAAAAACTTGGCACAATCTTTTCTCCTGAGTATCAAAAATTAACGTGATGAAGACACATGTTCTTGCTGTTCTCTGACTTGAGGCCACAAGCAAGAATCTAGTTTGGCGAGATATGATGGGTAAACAAGATAATGAATATACATGATGGGAGAGGAAATATTTTCAAGTGTGGCTCTGAATGAATTGCGAGTTTGCCAGTTTTTTTTTTTTTAGATGGAGTTTTGCTCTTATTTCCCAGGCTGAAGTGCAGTGGTGTGATCTTGGTTCACTGCAACCTCTGCCTCCTGGGTTCAAGTGATTCTCCTGTCTCAGCCTCCCGAGTAGCTGGGATTACAGGCACACGCCACCACTCCAGGCTAATTTTTGTATTTTTAGTAGATTCGGGGTTTCATCACATTGGCCAGGCTGGTCTTGAACTCCTAACCTCAGGTGATCTGCCCGCCTCGGCTTCGCAAAGTGCTGGGATTACAGGCGTGAGCCACGCGCCCTGCCAAGTTTGCTAACTTTTAATGGCCGGGTAACTTTGTAAGACAAGTCAGTATTTTTTATAGATGTAGCATTTTTTTCATTGTTTAAAAAAGATTCTCCTTCTCTATATATCTTTTTTTTTTTTTTTTTTTTTTTTTACAAAAATGTGAAGTAATAGGCCAGGTGCGGTGGCTCACGCCTGTAATCCCAGCACTTTGGGAGGCCGAGGCGGGCGGATCACGAGGTCAGGAGATCGAGACCATCCTGGCTAACATAGTGAAACCCTGTCTCTACTAAAAATACAAAAAAAAAAAAATTAGCCGGACGTAGTGGTGGGCGCCTGTAGTCCCAGCTACTCGGGAGGCTGAGGCAGGAGAATGGCGTGAACCCGGGAGGCGGAGCTTGCAGTGAGCTGAGATTGCACCACTGCACTCCAAGCCTGGGCGACAGAGCCAGATTCCGTCTCAAAAAAAAAAAAAGTGAAGTAATATTGGGGAAGGCATTATTCTTACTTTATAGCTAGAAAATAAAAGCACAAACTGAATGAGCTGATTGCATATTCTTGATAAATACACATCTGTGCAGTACTCTTAAAATGTCTAGTTCAGCTCTTGTAGTATCTAAGTCAAGTGTATAGTATCACAATAATAAAATATAAAAATGTTGTGTCCCATGACTACTTAGTATAGATTCGGGAAATGTGTTTAGTTGTCATATAAAAGGAAAATGCAGTTTAAAATAATTTCAGTAATTGCATTCTTGAGTTTTCTGTCCTCCCTGGTACCATGAAACTGGAGATCTTTGGAGACCTATCACAGAACATGTACTGGAATTGTTTGTGTGTGGAGTAAAGGCAGCTGTTTGTAGCCATCTAGTTGGGAACTGTCTTTCCTTGGATAGTTAGCTACTCTGTTGGTGTGTGGTGTAACACTTACCTGTTGCTGGCACGTAGTCAGTGATTTCTGTCATGTATAAGTAGGCCTTGCCATTGTCAGCAGGTAATGATCCTGGAAAGACCAACTTCTGTTAATGTAATCCACAATCTAGTGAGGGGATTATAGCTATCAAACATATTTCTCAGTCCACTTTTTAAGAAGTAGTCATTTAGGCTGGGTGCAGTGGCTCAGGCCTGTAATTCTAGCTCTTTGGGAGGCTGAAGCTGTAGGATTGCTTGAGGTGGAGTGTGAGACCCACCTGGGCAACATAGGGAGACCCTACCTCTACAAAAAATAAAAAAGCTGGATGTGGTAGCACATGTCTGTAGTCCCAGCTCTTGGGAGGCTGAGGCAGAAGGATTGCTTGAGCCCGGGAGTTCGAAGTTGCGGTGAGCTATTATTACGTCATTGTACTCCAGCCTGGGTGACAGAGCAAGACCCTGTCTCTTTAAAAAAAAAAAAAAAAAAAAAAAGCCTGGACATGGTGGCTCGTGCCTGTAATCCTAGCACTTTGGGAGGCCAAGGTGGGCGGATCAGTTGAGGTCAGGAGTTCAAAACCAGCCTGGCCAACATGGTGAAACCCTGTCTCTACTAAAAATACAAAAAATTAGCCAGGTATGGTGGCACGTGCCTGTAATCCCAGCTACTGGGGAGGCTGAGGCAGGAGAATCCCTTGAATCTGGGAGGTGGAGGTTGCAGTGAGCTGAGATCGCACCACTGCACTCCAGCCCGGGCTACAGAGCAAGAGTCTGTCTCAAGAAAGCAAGCAAACAAACAAACAAAAAATCAGGTCCGGAGTGGTGGTGGCTTACACCCTGTAAGTCTAACACTTCGGGAGGCCAAGGCTGGCAGATCACTTGAGCCCTGGAGTTCAAGACCAGCCTAGGCAACATGGCAAAACCTCATTTCTACAAAAAATACAAAAATTAGCTGGGTGTGGTGGCGCATGCCTGTAGTCCCAGCTGTTTGTGAGGCTGTGGTTGGAAAATTGAGCCAGGGAGGTCAGGGCTGCAGTGAGCTGTGATCATGCCACTGCACTCTAGCCTGGGCAACAGAACGAGATCCTATCTCAAAAAAAAAAAAAAAAAAGAATCAGTCATTCATACTTCAAGAGTTTTGGAATTTGTAGTGAATAAAAGTATGAGATGGAAAATGTGACTGCAGGCAGGGTCTGGTAACAGGGTAGTGTGGTTGTTGCAAGGGGTGTTTTGGGTAAGGACAAAGAATCTCTGAAGGGAAGAAGAATTTTGTTTGGTTAGTAGGTGTTAGGTGCTTACTCATACCAATAAGAATCGAAATTAAATTCTGTGTGTCAACATTGTATTTCCCTCTGTCCTAAGACATAGTGTTTCCCAGATAGTGAGTCATATACTGGGACTGTAGTTCGTCATATACACTAGATAGGTATGGGAGCAGTGTTTATAAGAAGTTCATTTGGGTGTTTTTAAATGGGTAAGTAAATCTTCCTTTGTTCTTAGGGTTTCTTTCGGAGAAGTATTCAACAAAACATCCAGTACAAGAAGTGCCTGAAGAATGAAAACTGTTCTATAATGAGAATGAATAGGAACAGATGTCAGCAATGTCGCTTCAAAAAGTGTCTGTCTGTTGGAATGTCAAGAGATGGTATGTTCCCAGTTTAAAGAGTGTTCCTAAAGTGTATGGAGCTTGGCTTTTATTCCTCATCATGAACCAGAGCTATAAACCGGTTACCAAGGACCCTCTTGTATTTAAGGTGAAGCAGAAAACATATTTTCATGCTTTACAGGACACCAAATTGATTAAAGTCGTATTTTAGCATTATCATCCCAGAAACAGTTTTTGGCTAAACTTCTGTTGTTGTTGCTTCTTCTAAAAAGAGCCATTTTTTTTCTGTGCAATTTGATTACTTTTTATTTTTTCCTAAAACCAATGGAGTTTAAAAACATTTTTTATATGGCCGGGCATGGTGGCTCACGCCCGTAATCCCAACACTTTGGGAGGCTGAGGTGTGTGGGTCACTTTAGGTCAGGAGTTCCAGACCAGCCATGGTGAAACCCCATATCTACTAAAAATGCAAAAAAAAATTAGCTGAGCGTGGTGGCATGCACCTGTAATCCCAGTTACTCGGGAGGCTAAGGCAGGAGAATAGCGTGAACCCAGGAGGTGGAGGTTGCACTGAGTTGAGATCGTGCCACTGCACTCTAACCTGGGTGACACGGTGACACTCTGTCTCAATGTAGCCTCTATCTCCCAGGTTCAAGTGATTCTCCTGCCTCAGCTTCCTGAGTAGCTGGGATTACAGGTGCCCGCCACCACACCTGGCTAATTTTTGTATTTTTAGTAGAGATGGGGGTTTCACCATGTTGACCAGGCTGGTCTCGAACTCCTGACCTCAAGTGATCCACCTGCCTCGGCCTCCCAAAGCGCTGGGATTACAGGTGTGAGCCATCAGGCGTGGCCAGGAGTTTTTTGAGTAACAGATTTCAGCAATTGATGTTTTGTTTTTTCAATTCCCTGAAATTTTTTTTATAGTGCTAAAAGTACTAATGCTATAAAAATAGTTGATGGATATTGTGATTGCCCTGAAAGAATAAAACTGACAATCATTTGTGAAGGGAGGAGTAGAGATAAAGTATCAAACATGATTAAGTTGTTTGTTTTTGGTAGCAATAATGTTAGAGGCTACAATTAGATTAACGAGGCTTTCTGGGCAAGTATACTGAATTTTTATTATCTCTGTGTAAATACTAGACTGTGAAAGAAGCTTTTCTTTCTCTCATGGATAGGATTATTGGAGACAAGACACCTTCTAAGACTAGCTTCTAAAAGAATAGAGGATGACTTATCTCATTTTTACTTATTTCACTGGTTTTAATTAAAATCTACCAAGTTTATTTTTCAGTAAGTGCATTTCTACTGATTGTGGAATTTTTTTTAAGGATTTTTTTTTTAAAGAGGCTGGAAAAGAAGACAGCAGATAATTTCATAGTTAGATCTTGAGAGCAAAGTTACAAAAATGAATTGACAAGGGCCAGGTGTTCAGGGAATGATTTCACCTACCAGATTCCATTAATGGTAATGGATGTGTGTAGCTGAATCACACATGCCTTGCTGGGAACAGTCCTCAGCTTTGTTAGTAAGGAGCTGTGTAGTAATACTGGTCTGCTTCAAACTGGTTTTCATTAGCTAATTTCATATTTCTTTTTTCTTTTTCTTTCTTTTTTTTTTTTTTTTTTTTTTTTAAGATGGAGTATTGCTCTGTCACCTAGGCTGGAGTGCATTGGCACCATCTCGACGCACTGCAACCTCTGCCTCCTGGGTTCAAGCGATTCTCCTGCCTCAGTCTCCAGAATAGCTGGGACTACAGGCGCCCGCCATCACACCTGGCTAGTTTTTGTTTTTTTAGTAGAGACGGGGTTTCACCATATTGGCTAGTCTGGTTTCGAATTCCTGACCTCAGGTGGTCCACCTGCCTCAGCCTCCCAAAGTGCTGTGATTAGAAGCATGAGCTACTGCACCCATCCGAATTTCCTATTTCTTTTCTTAGACTTTGCTTATAAAATACCTAGGAGGTAGATGTCCTTAACTTTGTTGTGGGGGGAAAATAGAAAATTTTCTCTCCCTCTCCTACTTCCTTTGGTGCATCAAGACCAGCAAGTTTAGAAAAATGTGGACCAGAGACATGTAGACTCATTCTTTATATGTATGACTAGAGGCCATAACTGTTGGATAATTTTGTGTTATTCTTTTATACAAAACAGGTCTTATTTAGAATATAGACGTTAAATATCTTTTTCTTCAATAGCTGTTCGGTTTGGTCGTATTCCTAAGCGTGAAAAACAGAGGATGCTAATTGAAATGCAAAGTGCAATGAAGACCATGATGAACAGCCAGTTCAGTGGTCACTTGCAAAATGACACATTAGTAGAACATCATGAACAGACAGCCTTGCCAGCCCAGGAACAGCTGCGACCCAAGCCCCAACTGGAGCAAGAAAACATCAAAAGCTCTTCTCCTCCATCTTCTGATTTTGCAAAGGAAGAAGTGATTGGCATGGTGACCAGAGCTCACAAGGATACCTTTATGTATAATCAAGAGCAGCAAGAAAACTCAGCTGAGAGCATGCAGCCCCAGAGAGGAGAACGGATTCCCAAGAACATGGAGCAATATAATTTAAATCATGATCATTGCGGCAATGGGCTTAGCAGCCATTTTCCCTGTAGTGAGAGCCAGCAGCATCTCAATGGACAGTTCAAAGGGAGGAATATAATGCATTACCCAAATGGTCATGCCATTTGTATTGCAAATGGACATTGTATGAACTTCTCCAATGCTTATACTCAAAGAGTATGTGATAGAGTTCCGATAGATGGATTTTCTCAGAATGAGAACAAGAATAGTTACCTGTGCAACACTGGAGGAAGAATGCATCTGGTATAGTGAAATCGATTTTTTGCTTACATTGTATCAGGGAAAGCTTTGAAAATTTTCTTTTATTCGGGAGATATGCTAACTTGGGGGGATGGTGTCAGGAAACCTAAGAAATTTACAGACTTAATTTTGTACAGTATTTTAGGTCAAATAATTTTAATAAACATCTTCTGATGAATGACCTAATTTCACACCCAGCTAGGTACAAGCATGTGATTTGATTGATCTGAGATTGGGATTAGGATTTTATGTAAAATATGATTCATGCAGAATTGGTCCTTTAATTCTTGGAAATCCCTTTGAAAATTTAAGCATTCTGGTTAATTAGTACCTTACTAGCTTTGGGATTTTCTCAAAGGGCCGAACTTTTCGCTTGCCATAGTTAGAAATTCTTTGATTTCTATAGAAAGAGGTTTTTTTTTTTTTTAACCATTATTATGCAAGAAGGTCTTTGGATATAGAACATAGATGTTTTATTGTTTGATAAATTTAGGAGTATTTTAATTTCATAGGCTAATTTCTAAGGATTTTCTCAGACTTCATCTTATGAGATGACTTAATGTTGGTCATATCATTGAAGCTTTTCTATTTTTCCATCAAATACGACATTCTACATCAAAGTACAGTGTTCATATTCAGCCAAAATTTCACCAAAAACAGCAGTACCACACCATTTCCAGTTTAAACCATGAAGTCCTTTGATAGTGCTTGGTATTTTCTACTGACAGGTAATTAAAGTCGTCTTTTTCATTTTCAAAATAGTTGACTCTACCTCAATCTTCATTAAAATTTTTGTTGTCACTTGGAGTTATTTGATTCTGTGGACCTTATGTTAGGCTAAGTCGTTGCTTTTTTGTTTTTTTTTTTGAGACATTCTTGCTCTGTTGCCCAGGCTGGAGTGCGGTGGCGCGACCTCAGCTCATTGCAACCTCCACCTCTTGGGTTCAAGCAATTCTCATGCCTCAACCTCCCAAGTAGTTGGGATTACAGGCATGCATCACCATGCCTGGCTAATTTTTGTATTTTCAGTAGAGACAGGTTTCACCACGTTGGCCAGGCTGGTCTTGAATTCCTGGCCTCAAGTGATTCACCCACCTCGGCCTCCCAAAGTGCTGGGATTACAGGCATGAGTCACCACGCCTGGCCAAGTGGCTGCCTTAATGAAGGAAAAATCTGTGGGCATTTTGGTTCTGATTTCATGATATTCTCTATGGTTTTGTAATCATCCCATTCCTAGATTTTGTATGGATTTAGTGAAAATTTAAAGGCTGATTTTACTAATAGAATATACAGGTGTGTTTCATCATCTTTTTGGTGTTTTTTTTTTTTTTTTAATAACTTCTTGGCTTCCTATTTTCCCTCACGCAGTCGTCATTTAGAAGACACACCTGTATCTGCAGTCCTTGTTTCCTGATTGAACAAGTAGAAGTCAGTGATCACAGCATTGTTTTTGAAATAAATGGGCAGTGACTTTTTTTTCTTTTTTTTTTTTTCGAGACGGAGTCTCACTCTGTCACCCAGGCTGGAGTGCAGTGGTATGATCTCGGCTCACTGCAACCTCCGCCTCCCGGTTCAAGTGATTCTTCTGCCTCAGCCTCCTGAGTAGCTGGGACTACAGGCGCAAGCCACCACGTCTGGCTAATTTTTTTAATTGTTGGTAGAGACAGGGTTTCACCATGTTGGCCAGGCTAGTCTCGAACTCCTGACCTTGTGATTCGCCTGCCTCGGTCTCCCAAAGTGCTGAGATTACAGGCGTGAGCCACTGCGCCCGGCCAGGCAGTGAGTGACCTTTTCAACAAAATGAGGCACCTTGCTGTTTTTTCTTCTTGGAAATTACAACATTGTAATTCTACCTATATAGAAATAAAGGAGTTTGGAAATATTAACTAAATGTGAATTTGGGCCTAGGCTTGTGACTTCTGGCTGTGTTGGACAAATCACTAAACCTCTCAGAGTCTCATTTCTCCACCTAAGAAATGGAAATTATAATCTGCCATGAATAATAGATTGAGAATCAAACAATTGAATTTGTTTGCAAAATTATAAAACACCATATACTAGCATAAGGTGGCAGCAGTGTTACAAAATAAACTCTTAAACCTGTGCAACAGGTGTTTGAAATAGCTTGTTATAGATGATATTTTTGCTTAGGCTTTTTTTTAATGATAAGTTAATTGCTATTTATATTAGGTTGCCAAGAGGCTTTCTACAGTATGGTGGGCAGCAAATGGATGAAGTGCTAATATCTCAGTAGATTTTACTTGTGTTTTGGGGGTTAAATTCATGTTGGGGTTTCTGATAATTGAGATGCTGCTTTTGACATTTCTTTACCACCTCTTAGTATTTAAGAGTTTTTCCGTTTTATGTATACTAGGTTTGTCCAATGAGTAAGTCTCCATATGTGGATCCTCATAAATCAGGACATGAAATCTGGGAAGAATTTTCGATGAGCTTCACTCCAGCAGTGAAAGAAGTGGTGGAATTTGCAAAGCGTATTCCTGGGTTCAGAGATCTCTCTCAGCATGACCAGGTCAACCTTTTAAAGGCTGGGACTTTTGAGGTAGGTTTTATTTATCCTGAATATTGATGCAGGCAGGGCATGTAGTATTTTATTTTCATGGATGTTTTAATTCTTTTTTTTTTTTTTTTTTTTTTGAGACAGAATCCTGCTCTGTCACCCAGGCTGGAGTGCAGCAGCGCGATCATAGCTCACTGCAACCTCTGCTTCCTGGGTTCAAGCATTCTCCAGCTTCAGCCTCCTGAGTAGCTGGGACTACAGGTGTGAGCTACCACGCCCGGCTAATTTTTTTTGTTTTTTTTTTTTTGTAGAAACAGGGTTTTGCCTTGTGGCCCAGGCTGGTCTCAAACTCCTGAGCTCAAAGCGATCTGCCCACTTTGGCCTCCTAAAGTGCTGGGATTACAGGTCTGAGCCACTGTGCCCGGCAGATGTTTTCATTCTTTTCTAAGTCAGTATTTATAGTCCAGAGTCTGAAACTATCAACAAAATAATCATCATCTCAGGATTTTGGGAACAGACTTGGGAGACTTGGTAAATCCAGAATTGTTTAGGATTTTATATATATTTTTTACTTATTATTTAGGATTTGAAATATAGGTATTCTGTATCTACAGCATATGAACTCCTGAGTTCTAGTATTGCTTTTAGATGTGGACTTAACAAGTTTCTGCAGTGTTAGACACCTCCTGAAAGCCTAGCCTAGCATTTACTGTATTCGATACAGAATAAGAAGGGCAAATAGAATGTGATTTCGTTTTTCGAGAGACTGTAGAATATTTTGGGGATATATCAGACATTTCTTATGTGCCACCTTAGCTCTTCCTGGTTTCACCTTGCTTCAGGATCCTTGGCTACTTTTCTGTCCCGCTTCTCTTGCAACACTGTATCCTGCTTGGGCTTGGGGTAGTCTCTACTGTATAACTTAACAGATGTGCCTCTCCTGGTCCTTAGTTAGGTGTCTTTCACCTTCTGTCTGCCCCAGGGCATCCCTTTTGCTGCCAAGGTGTGAGATGCCTTGGGACCTAATTAAGGACAACTCTGAGATTGGGGTGGTGAGAGGAAGTTGATGTTTGGTGGGCCAAATCTTTGAACCTTTTATGGATGGAAGAAGTGAGCCAGGGCTATATTTTCACTTCTCCCTGGATTTATTATAACGGAGGGAGTGAGATAACTAAGTAATATAATTGTTAACCGATTTAACTTGGATGTCAATTATAACATGGTGCTTAGAACACTTACTGTGATAGCTTTCTTTGTGGATAGTCTCTTTGGGTGTTGGTTTCTTGAAGCAGTTCAGTTAGACTTCATCTGCTTCCTTTGCCTTGGCTGCATTTGATGTGTTGATGTTTCGAAGTGTTGCTGCATTGGAATTTTGCTCTTTTTACTTAAGGCATAGAGGCCATGTGTTATACTTGGCAGCCTAAAGAGATTCTTTAATGCCTTTGGCCAGGGCCCAGTTTTAAATTTACTGGCACTATTTCTTGCTCTAATTTTATATTGCATTTCAGAATCTTTGTTAATAGAGTGGCAGAGTATCTTTGCCATGAGTGGCTAGAATTTCTTTTGATGTTCTTCTTGGAGTATTTATTGCTTTGGTAGAGAATCTGTCTTAAGAAAGTGGTTTTGGGACCGGGTGCAGTGGCTCATGCTTGTAATCCCAGCACTTTGGGAGGCCGAGGCAGGCCGATCACTTGAGTCCAGGAGTTCGAGACCAGCCTAGGCAACATGGTGAAACCCTGTCTCTACAAAAAATACAAAAATTAGCTGGGTGTGGTGGTATGTATTTGTATTCTCAGCTATTCAGGAGGCTGAGGTGGAAAGGATCACTTGAGCCGGGGAGGTTCAGGTTGCAGTGAGCTGTGATTGCATCTCCGGCCTGGGCAACAGAGCAAGACCCTGTCTCAATAAATAAATAAATAAATAGGCCGGGCGCTGTGGCTCATGCCTGTAATTCTAGCACTTTGGGAAGCCGAGATGGGTGGATCACCTAAGGTCACGAGTTTGAGACCAGCCTGGTCAACATGGTGAAACCCCATCTCTACTAAAAATAAAATCAGCTGGGCGTGGTGGCGTGTGCCTGTAATCCCAGCTAGTTGGGAGGCTGAGGCAGGAGAATCGCTTGAACCCAGGAGGCAGAGGTTGCAGTGAGCTGAGATCGTGCCACTGCACTCCAGCCTGGGTGACAAGAAGAAAACTCCATCTCAAAAAATAAAATCTGGCATGGTGGCTCACACCTGTAATCCCAGCACTTTGGGAGGCTGAAGCGGGTGGATCACCTGAGGTCAGGAGTTTGAGACCAGCCTTGCTAACATGGTGAAACCCTGCTTCTACTAAAAATAGCAAAAATTAGTTGGGCGTGGTGGCGCACACCTGTAATCCCAGCTACTTGGGAGGCCGAGGCAGGAGAAATGCTTGAACCCGGGAGGCGGAGGTTGCAGTGAGCCAAGATCATGCCATTGCACTCCAGCTCGGGCCACAAGAACGAAACTCCATGTCAAAAATAGAATAGAATAGAATATAGAATATAGAATAGAATAGAATAGAGTGGTTTTGAGTAAAAGTATACCCTGTTTTTCTTTTATAACTTTCTTTTATATGTGGGATGATTCATAACTGACTTGATTGAATACTAAGTTATTTTTTTATTATTGCTGTTAGACTTCTCCAAATACATTTCTTTTTCTTTTTCCAGGTTTTAATGGTACGGTTCGCATCATTATTTGATGCAAAGGAACGTACTGTCACCTTTTTAAGTGGAAAGAAATATAGTGTGGATGATTTACACTCAATGGGAGCAGGGGATCTGCTAAACTCTATGTTTGAATTTAGTGAGAAGCTAAATGCCCTCCAACTTAGTGATGAAGAGATGAGTTTGTTTACAGCTGTTGTCCTGGTATCTGCAGGTAAGCAAGCTGGTTCAAAATTGTGCCACACCTAGCATATAGTGACCAACTGGGGAGAAGATGGCAGTTAACAGGGTTCCAGAAAGTTATATAGAGGGAATAAGGCCTTAAGGAAGATGCTAAATTGTATGACCCTGTTATTTTTGTGTAACTAATTTTTTCGTTATAACAATATATGTCAAAGTACTATAGGAATAAAGTAATACTTACATCTAGGCCTTGTGTTTACCACTGTTAGTCTTTAGCTTTTTGTTCATAATTTTTCTATGAGTCTAAATCTTTATTTCATGAATTTGTTAGAACATTATGTATCTCCAGGTAGGTAGTTGTAATATGAATTTCAGTTTCCATTCAAATACAATGTGGGTTACTTGAAAACATTAAAAGTATCAAGAGGTATTAGTGTGGTTTGTTGCAGAGAAATGTGAATTAGTTGTAGGCTTTAGTCCAGTTCTGCCATTGAATTATGTGGGTAACTTGGGTAAGTAACTTTACTCTTTTGGGTCTTGGATTCCTTCCTCATCCTGTCAAAGGAAGGGGTTGTACCATGTGAGCCTAGTGTGGTGTCTGGCATAGAAGAGCTACTCAGTCACTGTTTGAATGAGTGAGCAAGATTTTTGAGTTTCTAATGTTTATTTATATGAGTCATTTATGATGTTTCCCAATGCCCCTGCCATCTTGCATTAATATTACAGTTATTTCTGACAGTACCCATTAAGGCAGAGATTGTTACTCCCAATAACAAATGGAAATTGAGGTACTTTCCTGGGTATGTCTAAGTAAGTGCCAGCTATTTTTAGGCATCATTTTATTGTATAACATTTGGGAATTTTTTAGTATTTGGTTATGACTTTGTTTCCCATTTGCTTCCTACTGTGTAAAGGGCACTGTGCTAGGCATTGTGAGAGTTATAAGTTACGGCCTCTGATTATGTAGCTAAACCATAAATTAGTAGCTCTTGAAAGAGAACAAGTTCTTGGCCAGGCGCCAGGGGTGCACGCCTGTAATCCCAGCACTTTGGGAGGCTGAGGTGGGTGGATCACCTGAGGTCAGGAATTTGAGACCAGCCTGGCCAACATGGTGAAACCCCCTTCTCTACTAAAAATACAAAAATTAGCCGGGCATGGTGGCACGTGCCTGTAGTCCCAGCTACTCAGGAGGCTGAAGCAGGAGAATCGCTTGAACCTGGGAGGCAGAGGTGGCCGTGAGCCGAGATCACACCAGCTTGCATTCCAGCTTGGGTGACAGAGCGAGACTCCGTGTTAAAAAACAAAAACAAAAACAACAAAAAAAAAACAAGTTATTTGTATAATTTTGAGGACCTGTACCTCAGTGGAATAAAGACTTGCCATTTGGTAACATAATTTGGCTACCTTTTCTGACCAGCTCTACCTGGATAACTAAAAATGTGTATATGACGTGGGAGTAGTATGAAAGGAATATGTCAATAAGGGATATCTGTTTTATAGCTAATTTATAATGCCTCTTGCATTTTACCTATCATTTGCAGAATCTCTTGATAAGTAATTAGTATTGGTTTGAGTTGACATCAGATTAATCGATTATTTTGAAACCACAGATAATCAATACTTGTTAAATTATTTATCTGATGAATATGCCGTACCTATTAGGTGCTCAGGGGGAGACAGAAAGCTTTAAGGCACAAGCTTGCTAAGTGTTTTCATTCTTTTTGGAGAGATGAAACTACACAAAGAGCTTTATGCTACTAAACCGTGTAGTTCTCTGTCTGAGGTAAGCTGGAGTTGTAGAAAGGAAGGTGAAATCATCTTGGAAGGCTCTGTGGGGAAAGATAGAAGTGGAGCTGGAATTTGAAGGTTGAATTATTAAGCTTTCCCAGTGAAGAAGAGATGGAAAGGCATGAGAGAGTACGAGATAGGGCCGGGGAAGGGTCAGGTGGCCAAAGCCTGGAGTGTACATCAAGGAGGAAGGGGGACAAAAGCCTTCAGAGTTAGGGGAGCACCAGGTTATGGACTAACAGCTATGAGAACTAAGCGGGGAGATTTTAACCAAAATATGGGGCAGAAGAAAGTCTGTGTACCTTCTTAAGTAGGAGAGTGATCTGGTTGAACAAAGTGATGTTTAACATTAATTCTGCATTTTTATTGTGGTGGGCAGATTAGATAGGTAAGTCATTAGTGCTAGAGAGTTAGGTTGAGAAGCTTTTGAAATGACATCAGGTGGGGTGAACTCTTCTAAAATAAATTAAGGCAGGTGAGATGAAGTAGAAGGGCCAACTTCCCAGAGGTAGTTCAGAGGAAGAAATGATGGCAAAGGGGTAGAGGGAAACTCTGTATGCCAGGAACGAACCTTGTTATTTCAGGATAGGAACATGATTTTTAGTTTGATTTAATCTGTTTTTGAAAAAGCCTTTTTTCTGATTATAAATTTAATATGGGTTCTTTGAAAATGTAGAAAATATTAAAATGGAAAAAAAAGGTTATAATATCACTACCAGAAAAGATCACTATTAATATTGGGGAGTCTTTATCCATTTACCTATCCATCTATCCATTCGCCTATCCATCTATCCATTTACCTGTTTGTTTATATAGGATATATTTTAAAAATGGAAAATTAAGTGTGAAAGACTGATTGTAAAAGAATACAGTGCATTCTAATTTTTGTTATGTCACTGTATGAACATATACAAGTACACATATATGAAGTTTCATGTCAAATTTTAATCCTTACCACTTAAAAATTACTAGCTGTTTTTTGTTGTTGTTGTTGTTTGTTTTTTTATTTTTATTTTTGGAGATGGAGTTTCTCTCTTGCTGCCCAGGCTGGAGTGCAATGGCATGATCTCTGTTCACCGCAACCTCCCTCTCCTAGGTTCAAGCAATTCTCCTGCCTCAGCCTCCTGAGTAGCTGGGATTACAGGCATGCACTACTACACCCAACTAATTTTGTATTTTCAGTAGACAGGGGGTTTCTCCATGTTGGTCAGGCTAGTCTCGAACTCCCAACCTCAGGTGATCCGCCCGCCTCGGCCTCCCAAAGTGCTGGGATTACAGGCATGAGCCACCGTGCCCGGCCAAACAGCAGCATAAATTACTAGCTGTTTTTAAAGCAGTATCTAGGCAGGAAAATGAAATTCAAACGCTACAGAAGAGTTTAAAATGAAAAGTCTCTGCTTTTTTCCTCTTTCCTCCACCCCAGCCTTATTCCTCAGAAAACTGGATTTCTTAACACCCTTCTTTTTAATTTTCTGGTTGTTGACCACCCAACTCTGAATATAATGCTTATATCTCTATACCTATTTTTTTTTTTTTTTTTTTTGAGACAGAGTCTTACTCTGTCACCCAGGCTGGAGTGCAGTGATCTCAGCTCACTGCAACCTCTGCCTCCCAAGTAGCTGGGATTACAGGTGCCCAACACCATCCTCAGCTAATTTTTGTATTTTTAGTAGAGACAGGGTTTCGTCGTGTTGGCCGGGCTGGTCTTGAACTCCTGACCTTAGGTGATCCACCCTCCTCGGCCTCCCAAAGTGTTGGGATTATAGGCGTGAGCCACCGTGCCCAGCCTATACCTCTTTTTATTTAGTGAGTATAACTTATAAATAAAAGTATCCTTCCTTTTCCCTCTCAATTTTTTTATGTTTTATTTTTTAATTTACTTTAATGGTTTTGTTGGTAATTTTAATATACTCACAGTTTTTGACCTTATACATAATGTCTTTTGGATAGTTTAGATAGAATCTCTTAATTGTTCAAAGACAGTTTTTTCTTTGTACTCTGACTTCGCTGTAACATTCCTTTTATGTAGTCAATTAAAACATTTATATCTTGTTCTATCACTGTTTGTCATGATTTGATCAGTCAATTCCCAAAGTTGAAAAGTTGAAAGTCAGCATTTATGGTATTATGATTATGTAAATAGTACTTACAGTGTTCACACAGTGAGGTTGAAATGGTAAAGAATAATGGAAACCTCTTCTCCAAACCTCTGCACCTTGAATCAGGGAACAAATGGATAGTTTATTTCAGTTCTCTATTAATTGTTTAGAATTAAGTAACATAGTTTGCTTTATCTTTAAAATAGCTTTTTCTTCTTGGAAATGTATAGTGGTCTTCTTTTGTTGTTTTTGGGTTGTCAGAAGAAATGGTAGTTAATTTCTATATCTCATTATATTACTTTATCCTCACAGTAGATCCCTGTGAGCTGGGACATGTTATTCACAGTTATACAGACAAGGGATTTGAGGAACAGAGGGATTAAGTAATTTACCCAATGTCCATTTTTAATTACTGGCTAAGCAAGTATTTGAACTCCCATTAGTCTGGCTTCAAAGCCTTTCCATTATACTGCTTGTTAACAGAATAGCTCTAGCTGCTAAGGGGGAGAAAAATCTCAAACATGATGTTTGCCTGTAAGATTGGAAGAATCCTAGTATCATGGAAGGGGAATTATACCTGGAAGGTAAGTTTCTTTTCAGGTTGTTTAAAGTAACAGCAGCCACTTCCAGTTGAAGATTAAGGACTTGCATGTAGGTGTGAGGTCAAGGCTCATTTACATACAGACTTCAGTTGTCTTCATAGAGATTTTTGTTGAAGGTTTGACTTTCATCCTGTAGGAAGTGAAAATAAATAGAATATTTGGTGAGGAGTACAAGCTTGGGAGTGCAATGAAGAACCAGCTAAGGAGAGAGAAGATAGAAGTGTCATAAATTAAACTCTGCAGTACTAGTGTAGCATTTAGTACACCATTTAGAAGATGAATTTCCACTTCAACATGTGTACTCTTAACATTATAGTCTCCAGAAGATTGTTTACCATCCAGCCAGGTTTGTACCTTAGGTTCTTTGGCCTTGAAATCTTAAAAACCATGGTTTTAGAAATGGAGGCTTTAGAAAAATTTAATACAATCTATGGTTTTAGATATAGGCATCCATTTCCCTGAAGTTCTGAGTTGTATAACGAAGCATAGGTCATCTAAACACAAAATAGCCACTGAAAGACCAACAACTTCAAACATTTTTAAATTTTTTGTGTGACTTCCTACACCTGTCCAACCAACTACTACTAATACTAGTTCCCACTCAGGTATCTTCCCAACTTATCAGTTGTTTCTTTCTTTGCCCACCTAGATTATTTTGTTTGTGGGGATTACTGTCATTCTTTCTCAGTTTTCGGTATTATAAATTACTAATCATATGATTGAAACCAGAGTCATGCGTCGCTTAATGACGTAAATATGTTCTGAGAAATGCATTGTTAGGCAATTTTGTCATTGTGTGAACATCATAGAGTGTACTTACATAAACCTAGATGGTATATCCTACTACACACCTGGGTTTTATGGTATAGCCTATTGTTACTAGGGTACAAACCTGTACACCATGTTACTGTGCTGAGTACTGCAGGCAGTTTGTAACACAATAAGTATTTGTGTATCTAAACATATCTAAACAAAGAAAAGGTACAGTAACAATAGATATGAAAGATAAAAGCTGGTATACTTGTGTAGGGCATTTACCATGAATGCAGCTTACAGGACTGGAAGTTGCTGTGGGTGAATGAGTGAGTGCATCGTGAGGGCATGTGAAGGCCTAGGATATTACTGTATATGACTGTAGACTTAATCACTGAACACGTACGGTACACTAAATTTATTAAAATTTTTTTTTCTTCCATAATAAATTAACCTTAGCTTGCTCTGTTTTACTTTATAAACTTAAATTTTTAAAAGCTTTTTGAGTCTTGTAGTAACACTTAGCTTAAAACAACACATTGTACAGCTATACAAAAATATTTTCTTTATATCCTTATTCTATAAGCTTTTTTCTATTTATAATTTATTTATTTACTTCTTAAACTTTATTGTTAAAAACTGTGACAGACACATACATTAGCTTAGGCCTACACAGGCTCATCATCATCAATATCACTGTCTTCCACCTCCACATTTTGTTCTACTGGAAGGTCTTCAGGAGCAGTAACATGCATGAGCTGTCATCATCTATCACCTTCTATATTTCTATGATAACAATGCATTCTTCAGGAATATCTCCTGAAGGACCTGCCTGAGGCTGCTTTACAGTTACCTTTTTTTTTTTTTTTTTTTTTTTTTTAAGTAGAAGGGACGGGCGAGGTGGCTCATGCCTGTAATCCCAGCACTTGGTGAGGCCCAGGCTGGTGGATCATTTGAGTTCAGGAGTTCTCAAAAAATGAAGTAGAAGGACTATACTGTAAAATAATGATAAAAAGTATAGTATAGTAAATACTTAAATCAGTAATATAGTTGTTTACTATTATTAAGTGTAATAGGTTTGCTTACCCCAGCATCACTATAAACGTGTTAGTTATGTGTTGTGCTATGATGTTACGACAACAAAAGCTGCAACGTCACTGGGCGATAGGAATTTTTCAGCAACATTATAATATTATGGGACCACCCTTTTATATGTGGTCTGCCATTAACTGAAACATTGTTACGTGGCACATGACTATTTTCCTCTGTCAGAATGTAAGCTCCTTAAAGGCATTCTTGTTTTGTTCACCGCTGATTTCCAAGCACCTTAGAACAGTAACCAGTACATATGTTTAATAAATGTTTGGCAAACGATTTCATCAAGTGAAATAGTGTTTTTTTTAAAAAAACCATTACTTGAATATCAAAGGCAAGAGGGACTCTTCAAATCATTACTGAAGGCTTTATTTTTATGAAGATAATTTATGATTGACCAAAGTTAAATGTCAAGAGAAAGAGGTCTCTGCCAGTAGTTTTGTCTGAAAAATTGTGACCCTCCCCCTACCCCCACAAACCAATATCCAATTTTTTTTTTTTTTTTTTGAGACAGGCTCCCACTCTGTCACCCAGGCTGGAGTGCAGGGGCATGATCTCGACTCACTGCAACCTCCATCCCCTGGGTTCAAGTGATTCTTGAGCCTCAGCCTTCCAAGTAGCTGGGATTACAGATGCCAATCACCATGCCCGGCTAAATTTTGTATTTTTAGTAGAGACGAGGTTTCACCATGTTGGCCAGGCTGGTTTCAAACTCCTGATCTCAGGTGATCTACCTGCCTTGGCCTCCCAAAGTGCTGAGATTACAGGAATGAGCCACCACGTCCTGCCCAACATTCTTTTTATTTTTTGAGACAGCATCTCGCTCTGTCACCCAGACTGGAGTGCAGTGGAATGATCGTGGGTCACTGCAGCCTTGACCTGGGTTTAAGTGATCCTCCCACCTTAGCCACCCAAGTAGCTGGGACTACTGGCATGTGTCACCATGCCCATTCAATTAAATTTTTTTTTTTTTTTGTAAAGACAAAGACTCACTATGTTGCTCAGGCTGGTCTCAAACTCCTAAGCTCAAGCAATCCTCCTGCCTCGGCCTTCCAAAGTGCTGGAATTCCAGGTGTGAGCCACCATGCCTGGCCTTTTTTTCCAAATAAGAATTAACATATAGTTGTAATGTTCAAATTTTGTTAAATATGAGATAAACTGGCCAGGTGCAGTGGCTTATGCCTGTAATCCCAGCACTTTCGGAGGCCGAGGCGGGTGGATCACAAGGTCAGGAGTTCAAGGCCAGCCTGGCCAAGATGGTGAAACTAAAAATACGAAAATGAGCCAGGTGTGGTGGTGGGTGCCTGTAATCCCAGCTACTCAGGAGGCTGAGGCAGATAATTGCTTGAACTCGGGAGGCAGAGGTTGTAGTGAGCCGAGATCGCACCACTGCATTCCAGCCTGGGTGACAGAGTGAAACTCCATCTCAAAAAAAAAGATAAAACTTATTTTTATCATTCTTCTGCATTTAGAGTTAATCAAATTTTTCTTTTTTTGCCCTTTACTATTAAATTTTAGTCCTTGTTTTAAGTGCTTTCATGGCAAATGACCTTTTTCAGCTATCACTTATAATGGAAGACCTCCTCAATATCCTTGTAAAAAAACGAAAGGGCATGAATGGCCAGAAGTTTTGATTCCTTGTAGAAGTTAGAAATCTTTTTCTTGTTAATTACAACCTCCCATGTGGGGGACCATTGAATATTTTTGTATACTCCTGCCTCCTGTTGTAAAGGGAAAAAAATACTCTTGCTGATGAAAACATCTATGGGTGATCTACATAGGTTTGCCTGATTTTAAGATACTTTATTGCAGGCTTATGCCAAATGACTGGTTTATAAACATATTGTATGACAAATTTAATAAACACAATATGCTAAATGAAAGTGAATGTAGGGTTACATAGCAATAAAGTTGCATAGTGTATTAGTTACCTATTACTGCATAACAAATTGTCCCAAAATTCAGGGGCTTACAAATGCAAACATTTATTTAATCTCACAGTTTTTGAGGGTTAAGATATGATATGAGAGATAGGATATGATATGTGCCTCTGACTCAGGGTTTCTTAGGAGGTTATAGTTAAGCTGTGGACAGGGCTGTGGTCTCATATGAAGGCTTGAGTAGGGAAGGATCTGCTTTCAGTTGTATGTAGTTATCGGCAAGATTGAGTTCCTTGCAAGCTGTTGGACTGAGCACCTCAGTTGCTTGCTGACTGTTGGCTAGAGCCCACTCTTAGTTCCTTGCCATGTGGGCCTCTCCACAGGGTGGCTCACAGCATGGCAGCAGCTTTTCTCAGAGTAAGTGAGCAAGAGCGTACCTAAGATGGAGGCCACAGTTTCTTGTAAGCTAATCTCAGAACGGACATCCTATCAATTCTGCCATATTTTTTTTCATTAGAAGTTAGTAAGTCTAGGTCCACTTAGTAGGAGGAGGTTGCGCAAGGGTGCGAATACCAGGATGAAGGGATCATTGGAGGCCATTTTAGGGGCTGCCTACCACACATGGTGACATACAAATGGGAGTGTATTCCATATGTATTGAAAATATGTTTATATACTACATTATTTTATTTTGCTAATTAGAAGCAGTTGAAATCAGATGACATCTAATTTTAAAAAGTCAGAACCTCTATGTTCTTGTGAATAAAAATTCTTAACAGTAAAGAATTTTGATTGATCAAATGTTTTATGTGATATATATGCTTTATAATATAGTAACTAGCTAACGATTTGTTACTGAGATTTTGAGAAATTTGTCAACTTTTGCCTTTATTCAGATGTATAAAACCTTGCTTTCTATTCGTTAGTGACACTGATAAGCAAGAATTTTATTTATATTTAATGTTAATAATTTATCCTGTTTTTCCTATTTCCCTATTCCTGATCTCTCTTAGATCGATCTGGAATAGAAAACGTCAACTCTGTGGAGGCTTTGCAGGAAACTCTCATTCGTGCACTAAGGACCTTAATAATGAAAAACCATCCAAATGAGGCCTCTATTTTTACAAAACTGCTTCTAAAGTTGCCAGATCTTCGATCTTTAAACAACATGCACTCTGAGGAGCTCTTGGCCTTTAAAGTTCACCCTTAAGGCCTTTGTTTATTTAAACATGAACTGATGGTAACTGTACATTTTGTGCTAAAATGCATATTTATATGTGTATACCATATGTGGAGATAGAAAAGACCTTTAAGACAATAAAAGATTGTAGGCTATCTCTGTAATCATGCAATAGCTGTTCGGATTGAGAACTCTTCAGCCATGATTAGACGTTGACTGCATCTCCCTGATAGACCAATCAGCTGTGTCGCACTTAAACTGGAGAAGTTACACTGAAGTATAATCACACTGAATGTTAGACTTTTTCATCTGCCAAAACCAAAAACCATTTTGATCTCCCTGTGGTTATCAATATAACGCACAATCACAAGTGTATGAGGACTTAGAAATTAATCCTTTGTGGTAGGAGTTCTGTTGAATGATGGAAATCTTATTACTACCACAAGACTATTTGATCTGGTAATTGGAGACTTCGGGATTTAGGAGATCTCCATGTCTGTATTTACTCTACCACTGCTAAAGTGTGTGGTCCTGGGTAGTTTACTTGCTTGCGGAAAATGAGAATTGATGGTGTCCCCAATGCCCCACCTCACAGAGTTACTAAAAAATGTCTGTAAAGCATATTTACCTCTTGGGAGATAGGCACTATGTAAATAAGGTAAAATTTCTGTTATTACAATTATTCATAATAATATTCTTTTCTTATTTCTAAGCCTTTCTGGGAAATCATTTCAGTCCACACCAACCATATTATTCAGGGTTCCTGCCATATGTGTGGGGTATCCTACTGATACACACGTATTCAAAGTTTATGGGTACAACAAAGACATAGTACATGTACATAATATGTATGTGAATATAGTTAAATATATTTCTTCACAATATTTTAAACTGTGAAGAACTTTATCATACAGGAAACTTAAAACAAGAGGTGTCAAAAGACCCAAATTAGGTGCATTTTACTTGTTTATGATGGCATAACCATTGCTTTAAAATGTTTAGACAGTAGAATATTGAATTTATGCTCTATTTTTGTTTATTTAAGCAACACTTAATGTAAAAGTGCAACAGGCAATTGAATCCAAATTTCAACGACAAAAAAAAAAAACATGTATTTTAGAGTTCATCTTTGGCAAAATCTTTGGTTCAGGGTACTAGTTGTTTAAAAGTTGATTCATATTCTTACCTTGTGCTGAGAAAGGTTGCATTGCTGCCCCTTATACACATGCTGCAGCTTGATGTTAAAGAATTTTTATTCTTTCTGAAGAACTAATTAATGTTTAAAGCAACTGTTTAATATGATGGCATGTGTGTGTGTGCGTGCGTGTGTATGTTCTGAGTCCACTTCTTTTTTCCTAAATAACACTACAGGGATTTTGTCATATTAGATTTAATTTATAATTTGAAAAATCATCTAGTGTGTGACCTACAGGCTTAGAAATGGTATAGTCAAAGACATTTTATCCACATTTCTAATAGTGGACTTGATTAAGTAGATAAGATCAGCATCTGTTTATGGTAGTAGGAGAAATAGCCAAAGTTGAGGATTTTATGTATGTTTTCCTGTTTACCTGGAAAATAGCAATTAATTGGATTTTTTGGTAAAGATTGCCTTCTGTATAATGTTTGGATTATATAAAATTGCAAAAATGATAACAGCCCGCTTTACTGTACTAAGCCTGTTACTTTCATGACGTGTGAGCAGAATGCCTTATTTTGTAATCTTGTTTAACTTGTTGCTACTGGGACTTGATTTACTGTGGCACTAGTTAAGTAAGTTAAAAAAAAGTTAAACCCTCTCATTATTAAAGAGGAAAGGCGATGGTGATGTCTGTAGTACAATATAAACCATAATTGTGATTTACCTTAAGTAGGTATAACTCTTATGGGATATACAGTATAGTTTTTGTGAATCTTTACATGATAGCATTATCTTTTTATAATTTTTTTTCCTAAGATAAACAAATGCATAGTTTTCTTCTATGGGTGATAGAAACAGCTTTTTGAAGTAATGAAAACCTCAAAAGATCATGTTGATTCTTAATTTTTGCCTTTTGCATAAGCCTCTTTATAACATGTATCTTTAAAACAATTAAGTCTTTAGGAATGTGTAACCAGAACTATGTTAGTATTGCTTATAAAACTTTAGTTAGGTTCAATATATACATATATACATCTCTATATAGGTATATAGATTTGCATTTTGTCTTGTAAAATTTTATTTGAATAAATTCTTCCTGTAGGTAATGGGAAACAAAATTAATAGTTCATATGTCACTCATAGCATTTCTATATTTGAAAGTAGCCCAATATAAAACTTTTGATTCTAAAATTAAACCAGCAGCCTATTACAAGCACATTCTTTGATTGAGTCATTGGTTATAAACTTACTAAATGCAGAGAAAGCAGCCAATTTAGGAAACTTCTGAGTTGGTGGGACACTGTTGATTAATAATGTACTGTATGAATTAAGTGATGCTTTAACTTTGATTTTACATTTTAAAGTTAAAATGTGGGCATTATGTCAGCAAACTTAAGGGCATTATGTCAGCAAGCTAAAACATTTTTTTTCCTGTGCTTTTAATGTATCTCTTTACATGATCTGAGAGAGGATTCAAGTTGATAGAAATAGCTGAGGGGAAAAGGGGGAACATCTTGGGATGAAGCTTGTCCTTATGGTGATGGTTTAATTACAGATTAAAAAATTAGAAGGAAATTTCAGTGGATTAAGTGTATAGCTTTCATATCTACATTTCAAGAAATTACCATTGTAACTTGATAAGAGATGATTTATTTTATGTAAACATCTTTGCAAAGCAAGGTGTAGCAGCTCAGCTAGATTTATTACTGTGCACGAAAGTAAATACCTATCTCAATTATTCTTTTTCTTTTCCAATATAAAGTTTGCTGAATGTACAAGAAGAGTTTATCACTTAGGATATAGAATTTTTTTAGGGGTTGGGGGAGGGGATCTGTTAGGAAACTGTTACCTATAAACAAAGATTGACTGGATTCGATCCAAAAGATAAAACTTGAAGCTATTCTGGAACTAACATGGAAAAATGAAATGGCTATTGTTTAAAAAAATGATAGAAATACATTGTTGATGGGATATGAGTTAAGTTTATTTTCTACAAACTGTAATTGATGAGGACATGGATAATATCTTCATGTTTCTGAGAAGTAATCTGTATGTGGGGGGAGGGGATAATAAATATTTCTAACCAACTGTGGTGTTTGGTGTCTAATCTACCTTGCCTTTTTTGTAAAACTAATAATTTAACTCACTACAAGTATCTTTCCCCTGAGCATAGCAGGATGTTTTATGTAAATCTCTGATTCAGCATGGGGAAATGTGTGTATATGTATATATGTGTGTGTGTGTATATACACACATATATATGTATATGTGTATATATGTATGTGTATATATATATATGTATATATACATGCACACACACACACAGGGCTTAAAAAAAGATTTTAGAGTTGAGATTCTGGCAAGGACTGTTGCTATTTTCTATAATGCCAACTGAGTAATGGTTCGTTGTGTCTAATAAGGTAGTCTTTCTAGGTAGGAGATGTGAGAGAGGAATGGGGTACTTGATATAACCAGAAATCACCCTTGGCCATGAATGGAGTGCACCTCAGCAAGACCACTAGCTTCTTTTTCTTTTCCTATCAGTTGTTCCCATGTTGGCAAAATTAAGATAGCTACTTAAATCTCCATTGTTTGCAGTAATATTGTTAGGCAATCTTGGGGGTGTTGCTTTTCTAGCTGGAAACCTGTAGCTGGTGGCACCTTTGCCTGAGATTTGCTCGGGCCCACTGGGCTTGTTCCACCCACTTGGCCTGGCAGGCTGTACCCAGCTCACGCTCCTGGCCTGGATCCCACGCCTCCAAGGGAGACTGTGAGTCAGGCATGGAGCAGCAAGGGGTGTGTGAGCGAGCGTGGGGTCCAGCTACTGTGCAGACACATCAGCTGCTGCCATGGGATAGACATCTCCAGGTGCAGGCTCTCTGCGAGGCTGCAGCTGGACCAGGTGCACCATGAGCAGCTTTCCCAGCTGGCACCTGGGAATGCAGTGGTGGCCGGAAGGCTGAAGATGCCAGGAACCACAGGGCTCCAAAGAGGGAATCACAGCCTTGGCTTGGGGCGTTCCCAGGTGTGACGTCCCTGAAGGGCTGGCTGCAGCTTTTCTCTCCTTCACCCACAGCGTGGTGAGCAAGGGGCATGTTTCAATCCTATTTGTGTTACAACTTTTAGCTTTGCCATTCAGTGGGTCCCAAGTTCTTGTCCTGCAACCAGGAAGAATGAGGTACACAGATGAGTGGAGGGTAAGATGAAGAGGAGCTTTGTTGAGCGATAGAATAGCTCAGAGGGGACCTGCAGTGGGCAGCTCCTTTCTGCAGCCAGGGGTATCCCAATGAGTGTTTAGGCCTAGCAGAGAGGAGACCCTGGAGTGGGAAGCACCTTGTTGTGGGCAGGTTGTCATCCCACTCTCTGGAGCTCTCAGCAGAGGGGAGACCCTGGAGTGGGTGGCTGCTCTCTGCAGGCAGGTCATCTTGTCATCTCTGCAGCTCTCAGCAGAGAAGGTAGTTCCTCTCTACAGCTGGCCATCCCTTGGTCTCCCCATCCTCTCAGCAGAGAGGAGGCCCTGGAGTGGGTAGATCCTCTCTGCAGCTGGTCATCCCTACCTTTTCCCCAGCTCTGACTCAGCCTAGGGATTTTATGGGCCTCGGAGAGGAGGAAGTGCATGCTGATTGGTCCACGGGCAGCCATGGGTGGGCCTGGAAAAGGCACCACAAGTTTCCACTCTGGTCTGCAGGGCTGGCGGCTCAGTTGCCAGCATTCAGGCCCTCTGTAGCCTGAAGGTGGGGCCTCACTGGGGACCCGCCTCCTTCTGCCCAGGAACCCGTCTGTCTCTTGCTGCTGTTCATGACCCCAGGACTTGGCCCCAACTTTGCTCCAAGGTCGGAGTGAGTGCCAATAGCAGGGGGAACAGGCACTTCTGAGCCTGTGAGGGCAGGGCCAGTGAGGGGGCCTTCCTCGTGCCCCCAAGAGTGCAGGGTGCTTGAACCCCGGTGGAGGAGGCTTCAGTGAGCCGAGATTGCACCACCAAACTCTGGCCTGGGCAACAGAGGGAGACTCCGTCTCAAAAAACATCAACAACAAAAACAGTGCAGGGATGTTTGGGCAGCTGCAACTGGACCCAGATGGGTGGGCCTCCCACCGGCTTTATGGAGCATGCAGCCCTGGAGGCACCTCCTTGCTGCAGCTGGTGTGATGCAGCCATGGGCCGTCTGGAGCAGCTTCTGCCATAAATATCCACTGTGTTTCTGTGGATGTTAATTGATGTTAGGTGGGAAAAATGGGCTCCTTGATCAAGTAAGTTTGGAAATGCTGGGTTAAACAAGGTTACTGAGATGTCTCCATGTCAGTCCTGTTCTGCAGTGAGGCAGTGTGCATTGTGAATCCTTTAAGGAAGGGTTTAATGGGATGCAATTTTCATCAAACTGTCTTCCCTAAATAACCCCTTTGCCTTTTTTTTTTTTTTTTTTTTTTTTTTTTTTTTTTTTTTTCCTGTGCTGAGCACTTGTTGGGACTCTTAAGAAAGACAGCTTTTAGGAGAAAAAGGCTTGTTAACCTTATACCCATTTTGGGTGTTGATCAGGATGTTGATCGAATTCAGTGCATTATTGCACAAATTTAATTTTATTTTGTCCCCTTCTTTGCACAGTTTAATAAGCAAGCTCCAAGTAAATGTGTGGTTGATGGAAAACAAAATGGATTAAATTCCTTGTGAAATTGAGGAATGCTGTCTGTGAATACAGGAATAAAGATAATCACTTCACAGATCTGGTTTTAGTTTTTACTCTAGATTGGGTCTGTGTTAAAATTTGTTATGTTTGATTTTTTTTTATTCTCTGTCTATGTAAAAGCTTAGAAACAGCTGTGGCATGTGTGTTAGTAGCCACATCAGTGTTGCTCTTCGCTGTGTAAGAGTTGGTTGCTGTGGGGTAATTTTTGACACCAGAGTACAAAATCCACTTAGAACAACACTGAATGCAGTGAGTATAGGAGCCCTAAGGGGAAGTCTTGGAGGAAGCTCAGAATCTCTGCAGTTGCTTTAATATGGGGCACATTCCCCAGAATGTAAACATGCTCTCAAAGTTAGCATTTCCCATACTTTTTAATGCAAGTTACTGACAGGGGTGGGATCAGTGTTTTTAAAATGACTCAAAAACAAAATCCGCAGGTGAATATGGTGTTCCTAAAATTTTTCCCCCTATTTTTTCTACTGGAGTCTGCAGAGTCAAATATGATCTTCTTAAAGTCTCTGAAGTCAGTTCTGTATTTTTTTTTCTTTTCTATTGTCTCATATTGCTCTGAACACCTTAACTCCAGCAGTTTTCCCCTTATTATTTTGTTGCTTTGCTTATAAATGCTCATCTGTTTTCTCCCCCTGCAGTAGCTGTTTAATTTCCTGTCTCAATTCTGCAGTTAAATGCAGTTAGGGTCGTTTCCAAAGTGGAAAGTACCTACTTTCATTCTCTTGATCAACTTTTTGTTCTCTACTATGGCTGCTGTTTTCCTAGGCTGTTTTATCTGATCAGATTTTCAATGAATGGACTAATGGTTTAGTCACTTATTATTATTATTATTGTTATTTTTTGAGATGGAGTCTCACTCTGTTGCTTAGGCTGGAGTGCATGGCTCAATCTCGGTTCACCGAAACCTCCGCCTCCCAAGTTCAAGCAATCCTCCTGCCTCAGCCTCCTGAGTAGCTGGGATTACAGGCGCACGCCATTGCGCCCTGAATTCCTGGAAACAGGAATCAGACCTCAGGAGCTCTCACAAGCCAGCTCCGGCATACAAGGTCTACAACAGCAGTGCCTGGCAATTATCCTTCAAAATGCTGGGATTGGTAGCCATTGTGCTCCACGTGCATACAATTCCCCTAACACTGTCTGAATTAGTTGCCCAGCCCTTCATGGAACCTCATTTTGCATTGGATTTTTTTTTTTAATCCTGACACATAGATATTCAATAACTGTGTGCAATTAATAAGTGACTAGGCCAGGCGCCATGGCTCACACCTGTAATGCCAGCACTTTGGGAGGCTGAGGCAGGCAGATCACCTGAGGTCAGGAGTTTGAGACCACCCTGGCCAACATAGTGAAACACTGTCTCTACTAAAAATACAAAAATTAGTGAGGCGTGGTGGTGGGCGCCTGTAATCCCAGCTACTGGGGAGGCTGAGGCAGGAGAATCACTTGAACTCGGGAAGCAGATGTTGCGGTGAGCCGAGATCGCGCCACTGCACTCCAGCCTGGGTGACAGAACGAGACTCCATCTAAAAAAAATAAAAATAAATAAAATAAAAAAATAGGTGATTAGGCCATGAAGGCTCTGCCTCTTTGAATGGATTATAGCGGGATTGGGTTCCTATAAAGGGTGAGTTTGGCCTGACTTCCTCTCTGTTTTATGTGCTTGCTCACCCTTCTGTTATGATGCAGCAAGAAGGCCCTCACCAGATATGGCCCCTCAATCTTGGACTTTGTAGCCTCCAGAACATAAGCTCAATAAACCTCTTTTTTTTATAAATTACCCAGTTTACCCTATTTTGTTATAGCAGCAGGAGTTGGACTAACAGTTCTCTTCTGTGTCAGGCTTCTTCACCCAGCATAATGTTTTTGAGGTTCATTCATGTCATTCGTGTATTGGCAGTTTGTTCCTTTTTATTGCAAGTCATGTTCCATTGTATAGATGCATCATGGTTTATCCATACGCCTATCGAATGGACATCTGGATTGTTTCCAGTTTGGTTATTATGTATAAAGCTGTTAGGAACACTCCTTTGTATTTGCAGTTGCACTGTTTTGTGACTTAACCCTGGTATATAATCTGTGCTAAGTTCTAAGAGTTCAAGAAGCAGTATATAATGGAAAGCATGATAAACGAAAGTAAATCATGAAAAGAATTAATACTTTCTGTATTACTGAAGGAGCAGTGCATCAATTAGAAGGTGCTTAAGCTCTGTCTAAAAGGGAGTTCAGGCAGAGCATAGTGTCTCATCCCTGTAATCCCAGCTCTTTGGGAGGCCAAGGTGGGAGGATTGCTTGAGGCCAGGAGTTCAAGACCAGCCTGTGCAACATAGTGAGCCCTCATCTCTATTAAAATATTTCAGAATTAGCTGGGTTTGGTGGTTTGAGGCTGTACAATGAGCTGTGCACTCACTGTAACCACTGCACTCCGGCCTGGGCAACAGAGCAAGACCCTATCTTTAAAAAAATAAAAATTAAAAAACATGGAGTTCTGTAATAAGGATGCTTATTAATTTTTTTTCCTACACAAGACTTCTAGAGGCAGGACAATTTCAGGCTGGTTCAGTGGCTTCACAAATGCCATAAAAAACACAGGCACCTACCTTACACCCATTAGGATGGCAACTATCAGGAAGAAAAAAAAAACACCAGAAAATAAGTGCTGGTGAGGATGTGGGGAAGTTGGAACCACTGTGCACTGTTGGAGATGTAAGTCAGTGCAGCTGCTGTGGAGGACAGTATGGCAGTTCCTCAAAAAATTAAAAATAGAACTACCATATGATCCAGCAATTCCACTTCTGGGTATATACCCCAAAGAATTGACAGCAGGCTCTCGAAGAGATATTTGTACTCACATTTATAGCAGCATTATTCATAATAGCCAAAATGTGGGAAAACCCCAGATTTCCATAGAAGGATGAATGAATAAACAAAATGTGCTATTATTGAGCCTCAAAAAGGAAGGATATTCTGACACATACTACAACATGGATGCACCTTGAAGACATTGTGCTAAATGAAATAAGCCAGTCACAAATACTGTAAGATTCTACTTATGTGAAGTACTTTGAGTAGTCAAATTCATAGAAACAGAAAGTAGAAAAATAGTTACCAGGGTTTGGGAGGAGGGGGAAAGGGGGAATTATTTCAGAATTTCAGTTCTGCAAGATGAAAAGAATTCTAAACTAAGAGTGGAACTGGCATGTCCCTGACACAAAGAAATGATATGCTTGAGGTGATGGGTACCCCAATTACCCTGATTTGATCATTATACATTATATGCCTGCATCAAAATGACACATGTACCCCATAAATACATACAACTGTTATGCACCCATAATAATTTTTAAGAATTCTTGAGATGGGTTGTACAACAAAGTGATTGTATTTAACACTATTGAAGTGAACACTTAAAAATGGTTAAGATGGGCCAGGCGCGGTGGCTCATGCCTGTAATGCCAGCACTTTGGGAGGCTGAGGCAGGTGGATCATGAGGTCAGGAGATGGAGACCATCCTGGCTAACACGGTGAAACCCCATCTCTACTAAAAATACAAAAAATTAGGTGGGCATAGTGGTGGGCACCTGTAGTCCCAGCTACTTGGGAGGCTGAGGCAGGAGAACGGTGTGAACCTGAGAGGCGGAGCTTGCAGTGAGTTGAGATCGCGCCATTGCACTCCAGCCTGGGCGACAGAGCGAGACTCTGTCTCAAAAAAAAAAAAAAAAAAGTTAAGATGGTAAATTTTATGTTATGTACATTTTACCACAATTAATTAAAAGAAAAGAAGGAACCTAGGAGTTCTGATCCTTCTTTGTCATCCTGTGCCTGTTTCTAATGTTTTCTCTCATGGTTGCAAGATGGCTGCCACAGTTCAGGCATCACAGCAGAGGTACCATTTCCAGATAAGAAGGGCAGAGACCTTCCTCTTGTATGTTAGGGGGGAATCTTTTCCAGAAGGCTCTAGCGGGCTTCACCCTTCAGTTCCTGTTGGCCAGACTGGGTCTCCTGCCTCAAGGGAGCCTGGGAAAGCAAGTATCTAACATTTTTCAGCCTCTGTAGAGAGCAGCGGGCTCTTCCAGAAAGAAGCTGTTGGGGAAAGGCTATTGGGTAGGCCACTGATGTGGTTTGGCTCTGTGTCCCCAACCAGATCTTGTGTCGAATTGTAATTCCCAGTGTTGGGGTAGGGACCTGATGGGAGGTGATTGGATCATGGGGGCGGAATTTCCCCTGGCTGTTCTTGTGAGAGTGAGTTCTCATGAGATCTGGATGTTTAAAAGTGCCTCCCCCTTCACTCTCCACCTCTCCTGGTCCTCCATGGTAAGACGTGCTTGCTTCTCCTTTGTCTTCTGTCACGATTGTGTAAATTTCCTGAGACCTTCCAGCCATGCTTCCTGTATAGATAGCCTGCAGAACTGTGAGTCAATTAAAGCTCCTTTCACCATAAATCGTCTGGTCTCAAGTAGTTCTTTTTTTTTTTTTTAGACAGAGTCTCACTCTGTCGCCCAGACTGGAGTGCAGTGGCGTGATCTCGGCTCACTGCAACCTCTGCCTCCTGGGTTGAAGCAATTCTCCTGCTTTAGCCTCCCAAGTAGCTGGGATTACAGGTGCCTGCCACCACGCCTGGCTAATTTTTGTATTTTTAGTAGAGACAGGGTTTCACTATGTTGGCCAGGCTGGTCTCAAACACCTGACCTCAGGTGATCAGCCTGCCTTGGCCTCCCAAAGCGCTGGGATTACAGGCGTGAGCCACCACACCCGGCCAGTTCTTTTTGTTTTTAATTTGTTTTTTCCCCTTCCTTTCTTTCTCCTTCCTTCCTTCCTTCCTTCCTTCCTTCCTTCCTTCCTTCTTCTCTCTCTCTTTCTTTCTTTTTTTTTTTTTGAGACAGGGTCTCACTTTGTCACCCAGGCTGGAGTGCAGTGGTGTGATCTTGGCTTACTGCAGCGTCGACCTCCTGGGTTGAAATGATTCTTCTACCTCAGCACCCCAAGTAGCTGGGACTACAGGCACACACCACCACGCTCCGCTAACTTTTTGGTAATTTTTATAGAGATGGGGTTTTACCATGTTGCCCAGGCTGGTCTCGAATTGCTGAGCTCAAGTGATCCACCCACCTTGGTCTCCCAAAATGCTAGGATTACAGGTGTGAGCCACCATATTCGGCCTCAGGTAGTTCTTTTTTTTTTTTTTTTTTTTTGAGACCGAGTCTCGCTCTGTCACCCGGGCTGGAGTGCAATGGTGGCATCTCCGCTCACTGCAGTCTTTGCATCCCGGGTTCAAGCGATTCTCGTGCCTAAGCCTCCCGAGTAGCTGGGACTACAGGTGTGCACCACCATGCCCAGCTAACTTTTGTATTTTTAGTAGAGACGGGGTTTCTCCATGTTGCCTAGGCTGGTCTCAAATTTCTGAGCTCAAGTGATCCACCCTCCTTGGCCTCCCAAAGTGCTGGGATTACAGGCCTGAGCCACCACACTCAGCCTCAGGTAGTTCTTTATAGCATTGTGACAACGGACGAATATGGACACCAAGAGTCATCCATATCTTCTACATCGAATAGTAAGGAACAAAGGGTCCTTCTTTGTGAGCTCAGTACTGATGGCCATCATCAGCGGTGACCAGAACAACATCCTGGTTGATAGGAATGCAGGGCCAGATACATGAAGGGCCAGAGCAAAAATAGATGAAGGTCCTCAGTCTGCCTTTGTCCTTTTTCCACTCCTGCCGTTGTCCCCTAGCATGAAGGACCTCTCCAGTGGTGTGCTGGGGCCAGTTCTTACCAGCTCATGAAAGCCAATGTTTCAGGAATTTTGTGAGCCAGTTGACTTCGCATTGGTAGCTTGAGATTGGCCATGGTGGGAGTAGTATTGATTTTATGGAAATCAGTAAATGCTACAGATAGGGCTCCTTCCACCCCTAGCACCCGCCTGCAGCTAAGCCTCTCACGCATAACGGTGGACATCCCAGCTCCTGAGTCCAAGCTGTCTACCTTATCTTTCACACTGTCACCTCCTGAGCCACCCCTTTGGGCCTAGGTCTGCGCACCATGGGCAGTGAGGTCTGCCTGCAGGAGGACCAAGGAAAGAGTCTCAGGGCCTGCCTGGAAGGCCCAGGTCCCTCTGGCCAGGGAATTACATTAATTGGAGCTTGGTCTAGAAGGGGTTCTGGGCTCTGGGAAGGTGTGTCTTCTTGGCTTAGGGCAGGGGCACAGTCAGAGGAGGGCCAGAGTTGGGCCTTCTGTGGCCCCCGTAGCCTGAGTTACAGGGAGGAGAAAAGAGGGAGAATCCTTCTGTCCCCTCTCCCCAACCCTGTGCCTCTGCCTGGATAGGAGAGAAAACCTCCACCCTCATCCATCTGCCTCATTTCCCCATGGATGGAGAATTGCCGGTCTAATATTTCAGAACCCAGGACACTTATTCATGGGCCATGTTTTAGTAGTGGACAAGCTTACTGTGCCTTAAAGCTTAGGGTCTCTGTAAGATACAGCTTTGGTGATTGTGTTCTCCTGCGGGGCAAGCACACCTGGGCAGCATACCGCCTGTGACTGCACCTGGGTGTGAAACTCAGGTTGGAATCATATCCACTTTAGATTCAGGGAGGAGAGAGCATGACGCCTCCTGACTTGAGTTGGCTAGGATTAGATACAGCCTGTATCTTGAATACCTCCTAGTACAGTGGTTCTCAAAGGGTAGCCCTCCAACCATCATCATCATCCCTACCTAGAATGCAGATTCTGGGGTCATACGACAGACCACCTGGATCAGAGGCTGGGGGATAGGGCCCAGCAGTCTGTGTTTTAACAAGTTTTCCAGGTGATTCTGTTCCAACTGAAAGATTGAGAACCACTGCTCTAGAAGAATATAGCTTGGGGCCGGGCACGGTGGCTCATGCCTATAATCCCAGCACTTTGGGAGGCTGAGGTGGGAGGATCACTTGGGGCCAGGAGTTCGAGACCAGCATGGCCAACATAGCAAAACCTCATCTATACTACAAATACAAAAAATTAGCCAGGCGTGGTGGTGCATGCCTGTAATCCTAGTTACTTGGGAGGCTGAGGCACAAGAATTGCTTGAACCTGGGAGGCGGAGGTTCCAGTGAGCCGAGATCTCACCACTGCACTCCAGCCTGGGTGACTGAGTGAGACTCTGTCTCAAAAAAAAAAAAAAAAAAAAAAAAAGAATAGGCCAGGTGCAGTGGCTCACACCTGTAATCCCAGCACTTTCGCCGAGGGGGTTGGATCACCTGAGGTCAGTAGTTCGAGACCAGCCTGGCCAACACGGTGAAACCCCATCTCTATTAAAAATACAAAAAACAAACAAACATAAAAAACAAAATTAGCTGGGTGTGGTGGCAGGTGCCTGTAATCTCAGCTACTGGGGAGGGTGAGGCAGGAGAATCGCTTGAACTGGGAGGTGGAGGTTGCAGTGAGCCGAGATTGCACCATTGCACTCTAGCCTGGGGGACAAGAGCGAAACTCCGTCTCAAAAAAAAAAAAAAAGGATATAGCTTGGTTTATTCATGTGCTGGGGCTGCTGTAACAAAGGACCATGGACTCGGTGGCTTAAACAACAGAAGTTAATTTCTTGACAGTTCTGGAGGCTGGAAGTCTGAGATCAACATGTGGGCAGGGTTGGTTCCTTCTGAGGGCTGTGAGGGAAGGAGCTGTTCCAGGCCTCTCTCCTTGGCTTGCGGAGGGGCCTGTGTCTTCACATTGTCTTCCCTCTAGGGACACCAGTGGGATTGTATTGGGCCCACCTTAATTCTCTCATTTTAATGACCTCTTTGAAGACTCTATCTCTAAATAAGTTTATGTTCCGAGGTACTGGGTGTTAGAATTTCAACATGTGAATTTTTGGGAGGCACAATTCAGCTCATAACACTTGAGAAACCGGGTCACATAAAGATTTCTGTTTTTCTTTCCATTCCCCGTTTGTGAGCTTCTAGAGGTCTTCCTTGTTTTTCTAGTGTCTCACAAATTGCCTAACAGTCTTTCAATAAATGTTATTTAAATTGATTGACTATGGATGGACGCTTATCGATGTTTAATGAGGTTATAATCTTAAAAAATTTTTTGTGTGTGCAAAGTACACTGCCCTAGACTTCATGTGGTCCCAGGCCTTTTACAAGCAAGTCTGATGGACACTGATTGGATGAGGTCCTGTGGTAGGAATCTACCTCATGTTGCTGTAGATTTCTGAATTGCTTAATCCTCCTTTCTGCTTTTGTGCAGTGTGCATGTAGAGTGGGAGAATTCATCTGGGGCCACCAAAGAGGCTTGACGTCTCAACACCCTCAGAAACTTGTTTCTTCTTTTGTGTCTAAGAGTTTTTCAAAAGAAAAAGAAGAAAAGAAATAGCGCTGCTTCATTCAAACATAGTAAAAGATTCTAGGTGTTTGTATTTTTAAGCACTCAAAGCGAGACTGTAATAAGCAGATAATTGTCATTGAGAGGTATCACACTTTATTTGCTAGGGATTTTCTATTGTTGCTTTTCCACTTAATAGACAGTGGAATTACAAGTTGCTATGGAAACCTATCCATTGCCAGTGCTGCCTGGGCCTTAAAGACACAGAAGCCACATTTTGTTTTATTCCATAGAGCTGACATTGTTATAAAACAGAGCAGAGCAAAGTGAATGGTGAATTAGACCAGACATCCTGCTTTCCCCTGTTTCCTCTTCCCTCCCCTCTGTGGTTTCTGTGTTTACCAGGCCCCTGAATTAGCCCAGTGTTAGAAATTGTATAATTTGGTTTCTGGAGTTCTTTCAAGAAAACAACTGCGTATCTGTCTCCTATGCAGTTTTGTGACTTTTGTTGCTGACACGCTGTGGTAGTTGAGAAACTCTGGGGATGGTTGGCACATAACGCAGTTAATCAATTCCCGCTCAAATCTGAGGTTTGACAAATGATAAACTTCTGTCATTTCTGTGACCACACTTCTTTCATTCAGGTGGGACATCAAAAGAAGGCCTCAAAATAACAGAAGACTGAATCTCAAGTCATTTCCAATGGAGGGGAAGCCAGAAGGGCCTGGCAGATCTGGGATCCATCCTAGGCTATGCCAAGAAAATGAATTAGCAGCTCAGCTTGAGGAAACACCGGAAATTCTGGCAACTGCCCTAAATGGATTTTCTCACTCCTTTGAGCTTTGCCCACAGCCACTGAACGCATTATGTTACAAAGCTAATTATATAAGATTTAAGAGCCAAGGGAAGGCTGATTCATTTGATAAGCTAATTTCAGAGCGTAACTTGAGCCTGGATGCATGCGTTGCTTAACAACAGGAATACTTGTTGAAAAATGTGTCATTAGGCGATTTCATCCTGTAAACACCACAGAGTGTACTTACCCAAACCTAGATGGGATAACCTACTACACACCTATGCTGTATGGTATAGTCTATTGCTTCTAGGCTGCAAAGCTGCATAGCATGTTACTGTACTAAATACAGTAGGCAGTTCTGACACAGTGATAAGTATGTGTGTCTAAACATAACTAAATATAGAAAAGGTACAGTAAAAATATGGCATAATCTAATGGGACCACTGTCATATATGTGGCTTTTCATTGATTGAAACATCATTATGTGGTGCATGACTGTACTTCTTGGAGGCATGAGAAGTTAAAGAATAAAACAAAATGTACCCTTAGCTATAGACATTGCAATTACCCTAAGTTTGCTGTCTATGAAAGTTTAGGTTTTAATGGGATATTTCTATTTGTAGTCTCACTTAATTTTTCAGACTTTAGACCATTGTTTAGTGCTGATTTTTATGGCTACTTTATGGGAGCGAGGACTTTCTTTTTTGGAATAAGAAATGCTTTATTTTATTCGGAAGGTGGGATCAACTAATGAAACATTGTTATCCACCCTGGCATTGGGGTGATTTTGGCTTTACCCTGTGACTTCTTTGAGAACTCAGGACAATCCTAGAGCTTCTCGGGTAACCATGTTTATAAAAGCATCCATTTCCGCACTTAGGGAGGCTGAGGCAGGAGGATCACTAGGAGTTCAAGACCAGCCTGGGCAATATAGCAAGAGCACCGCCCCCTCCACCCCCACTGCAATCTCTCCAAAAAATTAAACAAACTAGTTGGGCATGGTGGTGTGCACCTGTAGTCCTAGCTACTCTGGAGGCTGAGATGGGAGGATTGTTTGAATCCAGGAGTTTGAGGCTGCAGTGACCTATGATCACATAACTGCACTTCAGCCTGGGCAACAGAGGAAACCCTGTCTTAAAAAAAAAAAAAAAGGATGAAAGGATGAAATGATAACGATAATAGGAATTCAGACTAGGGAGGGACCTTAGAGGTCATTTATACTCAGTCCCAGACACATATAATGGATGTTTAGTTTGAGTGCTCCCAAAGCCAATTCAGAGACAAGCAGTTGGCTGCTGGGAAGTGATGCCAGGAAGCAGAAATGAGGGAGGGAGAAATCCAGAGGGGGAGAGGAGAGCCTGTGCTGGGCCTAATGAGCTGGGTGCCACTAAGGGCATCTGAGCTCAGTCATGTCGGGGACTGCTTGAATGTGCCTCAGAATTGTCCCATTAAGGGACAAGGGAGTCGGGGTATTTGTCCACTGACTCTGTCTCTTATTGGCTAAAGCTTACCTCTGTATGCTGAGCCAGTTCCCACTTACCAGAGAAACCCTCAGGCTGAGAAACAGAGAGACCTGGTGTTCTGTGTGGCTGAACTGGAGCCTGGAATCAGCCCAAAAGTGGCAGCAGGGGAATTCCTGCAGGCAACTGCCCCAAACTATCCTGAGATGGGGCTGGATGGGATTCCAAAGAAAGAAACACTAAATGCCAGGGTGATCAGTGCAAACACTTATTAGGGGAACTTATGTATGGAGGGGGCTGCAGCGTGTCCGCTTGACAGACAGTGAAACAAGATCTGTCTAGGTATGTCCATAACATGCAGATCCAGGTATGGAGTTTATATGTGGGTCTAAGGAATTCTGTTTAGGGATGGGGGCTACTTTCTACATGTTTAGCAACATGTTTGTTCTTTTCGTGGTTCAGGCAACAACCTAAATTAGTTTATCAGTGTCTGGGAATATTTAAGGCCTGGCTTCGGTTCAAGCCTGCAGGAAAAAATATGCAGCTGGCTGGTCACACAGCAGTTAAGGCACTTTGTATTTCTTGGCCAGGACAAAGGAAAAACTGGAAGGAACAGGGGATGCTACACTTGGGGACCTGAGGTAGGAAGCTGTCAGCAGTCACAGGAACTGTCCACCGTAGTTGCCATTGAACTCAGACATGGACCAGGGTGATATAGGACAGGGCAGCAATAGCGTCTGCCTTTGTGGTTAACTTCCAATGACATAACGCACTTAAGTGATAGTATTTATAGTGATAGTGATGGTTTTAAAGTCTTATCTGTAAATTCTTGACACACTTCCCCTTAAGAGGAGTTTCTTCCCTTGAATCTAGGCAGGTGTGTGACCGCTTTGGCCAATAGAATATGACAGAAGTGATCTATGTGACTTCAAGGTCAAGTCATAAAAAGTTTTGCAACTTTTTTGGTTGCTGGGACACTTGCATTTAGAGCTTTGATCTGCTATGTCAGAAGTCAACTACCTTGAGACGGCCATGCTGGCGCAGTCATAAGTAGGCTCCCTGGTCAGCCCCAGTGGAGCTCCCAGTCAATGGCTAGCATCCACTGCTAGCTGTGTGGAGGAACTATCTTGGATGTCGGAACCTTCAATTATCTGCAGCCTCAGCTAACATCTGACTGCAACCTCTTGAGTGACCCCAAGTGAGAACTGCCCAATCCAGCTCTGTCTGAATTCCTGACCCACGGAATTTGTGAGCAAAGTAAAGTGATTGTTGTTTTACAGTTCTACATTTGAAATATGTTGTTATGCAGTTACAGTAACTGGAACACTTAATATACAATTTCCAGGATTCTGGTGGTAATAGTATCTTTCCTCCCTAATCTAGGAAATGCTGGTAAGAGTGGCATTTTTGTAGGGATAACTTCTAATCTGCTTTAATTCATATTTGAAAAATAAGTGATTGAAAAGCCTTTATACTTGCATGTTAGCAACATCTGATGTGATACTTTTCACAAATGATGGACAATGCAATCTATCCACACCTATCCTTTTAAATTTATTTTTACTTAATGCTAATGCACAAAATCTTTTTTTTTTAAAATCTTTAAATGTAAGCACTTCCCTTTTTGCACAGCCAGTTCTCTGAGACACTGTCAGTCTTCAAAACTGTTCCTTTCTAGTGTCACTAGCTCATTTGCCCAAGCATGGAGCTTCAGCTACCAGCACCGTGATGGACGTGCAGGAGAAACACTCACATAACATCTTTTGGGATCAGGGTAGCCTGTCACTTTCCAGAGGAAGCCCAAGAAGCTCAGGAGGTAAAGGCACTCTCCTGAGCTTGCATTAACAAGCTTTTCCAGTTGTACCATTAACAATTCTCCACCCGCCCCTTGGGGATGCTGCAATAATAGGAGACACTATTTTGCAAAGGGCTTTGGGAAGAGTCTGGTAGCACCTTGTATTCATACTGTGCCCTTTATTTCTTTACTGTGGAATTCTCCACTGTCATCCCATTCCACTCAGTTGCTGAGAGACTTGCAAGATAGTATTGATTGTTTCTTCATAAAGACACCATTTCGTTCTATTTATCCAGAGCAGTTAGAGTCAAGGACAAAAGAGAGAGGGGAAGAACTTGTTTCACTAATCTTTCCATCATATGAATATTAAAACTTTTAAGAACCTGATATTCCAGGTGAGGAGTCAAAAGTATGGCTTGCAAATTTTGGGACTCTTTCAGGGGCTGGGAAAGAAAATTCCCTAAAATTTTAGCTTCAGAATCATTTAGGCCTTGAAATAACTCCTACAAAAGAGAATGTCAGTGTCATACATTGTAATGCACTGAACTGAATGGAGTGTAAATACATTCAATAGCACAAGGATTCCATTTTCCTTGATCATACGCTTGGGTTTAGAAATGAAGGAAAAAAGCCTTAAGAAAATATGTTTCGGGTTTTAAAACTGTATAATAGTAGTTAAAAAGAATTTCAAAACCCCAAACCATTCCAGACACCAGATGAGCTCAAACTCCTGCCATATTTAATCATTTCTACTACAAACTCCTAAGGCTGATTTATTATCTGCATCTTGCATAAGTTGATAATAAATCCTTTCTTATGCCAATGAGAATAAATATTTTGAGATGAAAAATGGTCAGTCTGATGATTTTCCCTGGATCTGAGTGAATCATAGAGACTGTACGGCTGGCTTCAGAAACTGACTGTTAAAATGATCCTAAAAAAGATTTAACTTGGAAGTGATCAATCCAGAGGCTGCATATAGATAAATCTTCACAGATTCTCAAGTGGCTAGACTTCAACATTCTATGGGATCCACAAAATACAACTTCACATCTTCTGTTGACAGAACACTGTAAACATTCTGGGCAATTCTGGGACATGAATTTGATCCTTTTAAAAATTTTTTGAGACTACTTTTGGCTAACTTAACCCATTAAAGTAAGAGTGTAAATTGGTGTGTGTGTGGCGTGTGTCTATGTGTGTATTTATGTATTCCTGCCTCACCTCAAAACATCAGTTAGCTTGTTCCTTTATCTTACATTTCCTGTGAACTGGAAGTTAGATCTGAGTCTTGATTAGATTCAAGTTAACCGTTTAAGGCTATAATATATAATAGGTGATGTTTCTGGTTTATATGGCATTATAGCTATTTATTTAGCTAACGATTCTGAAGGTTGTTCTTTAATTTGGGCTGGGATAAGCTGGGAAGAGCTTCTGGTCCAGGTTGAGTTTGGATGGTCTTGGATGCACTTGCTCATGTGTCTCTAGTCAGCTGATAGTTTGGCTGGGTTGACTGACCATGGGTTCGGCTGAGATGGCCAGTCTTTCTCCATGTGATCACTCACTCTTTCCCATGCTAGCTCATTCTCATGGCAGCTCAGGGTTCCATGCATGAGAACAGACGCATGCAAGGTTTTTTGAGGTATAGGCCCAAGAAAATCTCAAGGCCAGTCCAGATTCAAGAAGGGGAGAAAAACACTTTACTCCTTGATGGAAGGAGTTACAGTGTCACATTACTAGGGTGTAGGTACAAGGAGGGAAAGAATTGGCGGCCATTTCTTTCATCTACTACACCTGGGTTTGTAATTTTTGTCAGTGCATGATTTCTCACCTTGTGTAAGGACCACTGACAGGAAAATGTCTCAAGCTACTGTTGAAAATGTAAGTTTCCGGGCTGGATGCGCTGGCTCAGGCCTGTAATCCCAGAACTTTAGGAGGCCGAGGTGGGCAGATAACCTGAGGTTAGGAGTTCGAGACCAGCCTGGACAACATGGTGAAACCCTTCTCTACTAAAAATACAAGAAAATTACCCAAGCATGGTGGCGGGCACCTGTAGTCCCAGCTACTTGGGAGGCTGAGGAAGGAGAATGTTGTGAACCCAGGATGTGGAGCTTGCAATGAGCCGAGATCGCGTCACTGCACTCCAGCCTGTGCAACAGAGTGAGACTGTGTCTCAAAAAAACAAACAAACAAAAAAACCAACCAAACAAACAAAAACAAAAAACAAAAACAAAAAAAAAATAAAATGTAAGCTTCTGAAAAACCAGGTGCAAAGAATGTGTCAGAGTAACAGAGAAGCCCTGGAAATGAGGGTTTTGCGTTCAGCTGGGACGTCAAGTTACAGCTGATGAGCTTTTTCCAAAAATTGTCGGGCAGGTTTTAAGGATTAGAGAAAATGTTTGTTGAATAGCTAGAACAGTTCTTAGCACATAATGGGCGCTAGAGATGATGACTATTAAATATTTAGAATTATTTAATCAGTATTCTTCAAATGTATTTTGAATACCTACAGTGAAATATATCTTTTTTGTTGTTGTTGTTTTGTTTTGTTTTAAAGACTGAGTCTCTCTCTGTAGCCCAGGCTGGGGTTCTATGGTGCAATCTTGGCTCACTGCAACCTCTGCCTCCCAGGTTCAAGCGATTCTCCTGCTTCAGCCTCCTGAGTAGCTGGGATTACAGGCGCCTGCAAGAACGCCCGGCTAATTTTTGTATTTTTAGTAGAGATGGGATTTCACCATATTGGCCAGGCTGGTTTCAAACTCCTGACCTCAAGTGATCTGCCCGCCTTGGCCTCCCAAAGTACTGAGATTACAGGTGTCAGCCACCACACTCGGCCAATATATAGGTTTTTTAAAAAAACGTGTATGTTTTTTTCCCCCTCAAGGAGCCCTACGGTTTTTTAGGGAGAAAGAGAAGTAGACAACTGAAATACAGTTTGATAAATGTTTTCACATGATATTAATAAACTGCTATCTACAAGTTTTTATTGAGCACCTATTCTATGGAGGACATTTTGCTGAGTTTTTAGTAGATGGTGCTAAAGTATGCAGGTTTTTTTTTTTTTTTTTGAGATGGAGTCTCGCTCTGTCACCCAGGCTGGAGTGCAGTGGCCTGATCTCCACTCACTGCAAAATCTGCCTCCCGGGTTCACGCCATTCTCCTGCCTCAGCCTCCCGAGTAGCTGGGACTACAGGCGCCCGCCACCACGCCCGGCTAATATTTTTGTATTTTTAGTAGAGACGGGGTTTCACCGTGTTAGCCAGGATGGTCTCGATCTCCTGACCTCATGATCCGCCCGCCTCGGCCTCCCAAAGTGCTGGGATTATAGGCGTGAGCCACCGCGCCCAGCCTAAAATAAGCAGTTTTAAAAATACTTTGGGTTCTTATAAATAATGTACAATGACTTCAGCAGCATTGTTGGGGAAGGAACAATATCCAGAATGTTACACCAGTCAGTCATTTCTGAAGAATCTGTTGATGATAAAATGGCCCATTATTTTTTCTGCTGCTAAACCAAAGGCACTATGACCTGCTAATTCTCATTTACTCAGCAGGCGGCGCTCCAGCACCAGGGATTGCATTGAAAGTGACAATTTAGTGAAACAAGGAGGTTTTTGGTTAATGTTTGTTTTTCAGGCTAAAAAGGAAAGCCGTTAGGAAAAATAAACAGTTTATCAGGCATTGCGACAAAGACACTTGAGGGGAAAGACAAGCTGTCACTTCAAGGACAGGAAGAAAAATCCCTGCATCTGTAGAATCATCAGATGCATGACTGTCTTGTTAAAAAAATGATGAAATGAGGAAGGAAGGAAAAGCATCTGAGATAAAAGAGAAGATTAAAAAAATGGAAAACAATTGAAATCATCTGCAAGCAAGGATGGAGGAGTACCGCCCTGGGAGAGGGATGTGGAGGAGTGTTGCAGCAATTGGAAAAAATGAAAACAACTGGAATATAATTGGGACTCATTCTAAGTATTCAGATGTACCATTTTCTTTAGATGCCAAATCTGCATAATTGGTTTCAGCTGCCCAACCCACACCCAGTTCTTGTTTTGTAACTTTCAATAGTTTGAGGTCTTCAGCACGTAAACGTTTGCACCTAATGACAAGTGCCTGGTTTCTAAATCAAAATTGCCTTATAGTTTCCAAAAATTTCAGGTCAGGAATACAGGACAGCTGAATTAGTAATTAAACTTTAGTTAAAGGGATTGGAATAGAAACAGCTAAATTAAAAGAAAAAAGTATTTATTGTGAAAATGGTTGGATTTTTGAAGGGTCACTTGTGCTAACCTGCTATTGGGATTAGGGATAATGCTTCCAATTTAGGCTTCACTCTCTCTACTTGGCCATTAAAATAGTTTTCTCAAGAAGAACTTCTCTACATTTATCTTTCTGTATCACATAAATAGCTTAGCTAGTCTTTTTTCTGTAACGTTTTTAATGTAACACCATTTTACTTGGTTTACTCTTTCCTGGAGAGAGATTTAATCAGAATAAGTTAATCTGAAGGCACTCTATAAAACAAAAGAGAATGAGCAATTGTTAGATTGATTGTTTAGACCTAGCCACAGTCTATGTAATATATGAATTAAATTGATGCAATGAAAGAACTATCATACAAGTGGTTCGGAAACATTGGTGTGTATCAATGGTGCCAAACTTTCTTAAAACATAGATTGCTGGGTCCCACTCTCAGAATTTCTGGTTTAGTGGGTCTGGGGTGAGGTAATAAAATGTACATTTTTAACAAATTCTGGGTGATGCTAATGCTCTTGGTCCAGGGATCTGATTTTGAGAACCACTGACATACTTTTGCAGAAAAAGTTTTCTATTTGATTTGGTTATGGTTATGGCTTTGGTTTTCATCCTCCTGCAGTTATATATGGTCAGAATCAGATATTTAATGAATGGAGGAGGAGGAAGAGGAGGACCAAGTGGGCAGATATTTGTTGAACACCTGGTATATACTTGCTTCTATGGCTCTTTACATTCTTAATCTTCTCACTTAATCTTCCCCATGACTGTACAAAGTATGATTTGTTCTCCCACTCAACAGATGTAGAAACTGAGTCTTGAAGAGGTTGGGAACTTTTGAAAGGCAAACAGCTAGCTAATGGCTAAGCTGAAAATTAAACCCAAGTATGTTGACTGCAAAGGTGGCACTACACAAGAGGACTTCAAAATGTTCACCACAGTTTGATTCATTGAATTTCACAGATTTCAGTTCAAATTGACTTTACTTGACTGACACAAGCAAGTTCCTTAATTTGTTGTCCAGTTTCCATTTCTAAAGAGATATGTACCTGTCTTTCAGAACTGGTCTAAGGATTAAGTAATGAATTTGAGGGTGCTTGGGTATAGTTGCTGGTGCATAGTGAGTGCTCGTTAAAGCTCAGCTCCCTTTCCTTTCTTTAGAAATGCAAGTATTTAATTCAAGTTCATCTTAGAAATAAATGAGAAAACTATGATTAGGACAGAAACACTCAAATTCTGGCTTGTCCCAGGGACTTTGAACCACCTTAGTGGGAGGAAGGCAGCCATTCTGTTTGTCAGTTAACGGGACCTACATTAGTCTTCCAAGTTTCTCCAGAAGAGCCTACTTCTACCTTTGTCCCATGTCACCCAGCCCATCTGATGGTAGTGGGTGCCTGTCCTGTGCAACCTGTTCTCACCAGTGCAACCAAAAGAAACTGGACATACTCCAGAAGGCTTGTGTATTTCAATACTCTCTTGGCTTGGAATTCTATTGCCTTCCCACACACCTTCACTTGGTAATTCCATTATCTCTGTTATTTCTGATTCTGTTTCTATTGACTAACTTTTCTCCTGGTTTGAATCAGATTTTCCTACTTCTTTGCATGTCTAGTAATTTTTAAATTAGATGTCGACATTATGAATGATATTTCGTTGAGGGTTTGGATTTTGTTGTCTAAGTAGTGTTGAAGTTTGTTTCGGTGGGCAGTAAACTTACTTGCAGATCAGCTTGATTTTTCTCTAGGCTTGATTTTCAGCTTGTTAGGTCTGGTCCAGAGTAGCTTTTACTCTACCACTAAGGCGTGACACTCTGGGGTCACTCTGAATGCCCTTGTATTCAGTGAGTCCTCTCTACTTTGGCCGAGAGGAGATCAAAACATCTCTCAACCCTAAATGGGCTCTGAGAATGTTCATCTCAGAGCTACCTGAAAGTTGTCAAGTTGTCTTTTTTTTTTTTTTTTTTTTTTTTGGCTTCATGGAGCTTTGCCCTAACTGTGTATGGCTTAGTATTCAGTCAAACACTTGAGGAGAACCTTGCGCAGATTTCTGTAAAGTTTTCTCTGTATAGCTCCCTCCTCTCTGGTACGCTGGCCAATAAATTCCAGCTACCTTAGCCTCCCTGTGTTAGTCAGGGCTCACCAGAGAAACCAAACCAATAGGATATACAGAGATATATAAAAGTATATTTATTATGGGAATTGGGTCACACAGTTTTGGAGGCCAAGAAGTCCCGTGATATGCTGCCTGAAAGCTGGAGAACCAGGAAAGCCAGCAGCATAGTTCAGTCTGAATCCAAAGGCCTGAGAATCAGAGAAGGCAACTGGGTAACTCCCAGCCCAAGTCTGGGAGTGAGGCGGGCATTGGTATCAGTCCCAGAGTCTGAAGGCTCAAGAACCGGGAGCTCTAACGTCCAAGGGCAGGAGAAGGAGAATGTTCCAGTGAGAGAGAGAGGAGAGACACACACACACACACACACACAGAGAGGAGAGAGAGAGAGAAAGACACACACACACACACACACACACACAGAGAGAGAGAGAGAGAGAGAGAATTGCCGTTCTTTCTTTCATCTTTTTGTTCTATCAGGGTTCTCAATGGATTGGATGATGCCCACCTCAGTGGCTCTTCTTTACTCAGTCTACTGATTCTAATGCTTGTCTCTTCTGGAATCATCCTCACAGGAACAGCCAGCAATGTTTTTACCAGATCCCTGGGTATCCCTTAATTCAGTAAAGTTGACACATAAACACTTAACCATCAAACTCCCCAAATGCCTATCTTTGTCTACTCAACTCAGTGAGTCTTCCAGGTTCTATCTGGGTTCCTTTCCCTCTGCCAAGGTCCATGAATGGCCTCCAAGCAGAAACCTAGGGCAATTGTAGAGAGGGTTCCCCTTGTTTGTCTCTCTTCTCTCAGGTATCACAGTCCCGCTCTGCCTGGGGCCAACTATGTCATATATTTTGCCCAGTTTTCTAGATGTTTATAGTGGGAGGGTATGTCCTGTACCAGTTACTACTCCATGAGTGAATGTAGCAATCTGTATACCTTCATTTGGTTAATTCCTACTTGCCTGACTTTTAAGGTGCAATTCAGCCACCATCTCCCTTGGGACACTTTCTGGGTTTCCACCAGTTTGACTTAAGGGCTCCTTCATCTGCTGAGTTATGCTTCCTCCTTTTCCCCCTGACTCCACAGAACCGTAAGCTTCTTGAGGATATAGATTGTAGTTTCTCAGCATCTTCAGCCTCTAGTGTGGCACTTAGAGCATAGTAGGTGCTCAGTAAATGCTCATTGACTAAATGGATAAAGTACATGGAATTGTGCCAGATTCTAATTTTTTGACTTTAAGATCTATCAAGGGTGCTCCTCATTCATCCTCTACTTACAAGTCCTCTTTCCTGGTCTCTCAAACATAAGAAAAAGTTACTGCATACCCTCCCCACAACCCTACCCATGGCTTGTACAGGAAATATGGAGGAAGTCTGCTTGCTCTAAGTCATGTTTAAAAAAACTCTTTTTTTAGATTCAGGGGCTACATGTGCAGGTACTTGTTACCTGGCTATATTGTGTGATGCTGAGGTTTGGGATATGAATTATCCTATCACCCAAGTACTGAACATAGTACCCAATAGTTAGTTTTTGAACCCTTGCCTGCCTCCCTCCCCACTCTAGCAGCCTCTAGTTTCTATTGTTGCCATCTTTATGTCTATGAGTACCCAGTGTTTAGCTCCCACTTATAAGTGAGAACATGCGGTATTGGTTTTCTGTTCCTGGGTTAGTTCATTTAGGATTATGGCCTCCAGCTACATCCATGTTGCTGCAAAGGACATGATATCATTCCTTTTTTATGACTGCATACTATTCCGTGATGCATTTGTACCACATTTTCTCTAAGTTATTTTTATCATGCGGCAGACATGACTAACTATCCATCAAAATATGTGACCCCCTGCCATAGATAGGATTGTCCCTGGGATAGGGTTGCCAGATTTAGCAAACAAACTTGAAAAACAAGATACCCAGTGAAATTTGAACTTCAAATACAATATGGGGGACATTCTTATATTAAAACACCATTCACTTTTTTTTTTTGACGGAGTTTTGCTCTTGTTGCCTAGGCTGGAGTGCAATGGTGCGACCTCAGCTCACTGCAACCTCCACCTCTCGGGTTCAAGCAATTCTCCCGTCTCAGCCTCCCAAGTAGGTGGGATTACAGGCGTGTGCCACCACGCCTGGCTAATTTTGTATTTTTAGTAGAGATAGGGTTTCTCCATGTTGGTCGGGCTGGTCTCGAACTCCTGAACTCAGGTGATCTGCCCACCTTGGCCTCCCAAAGTGCTGGGATTACAGACGTGAGCCACCACGCCCAGCCAAAACATCATTCACTTTTGACTGAAACTGAAATTTAACTAGGCGTCCTGTATTTTGTCTGGCAATGCTACACTTGGGAGCAGTTGCTCAGCTAGGGACTCTAATTCTCAGCTTCTTTGCATGTGAGTAGTTCTTACCAATGGCATATAGTGAGAAATGATGTGTAATGTGTGCCACTTCCTGGCTGAGGTGGTTAAGATGTGTGTTCTCCACTTTCTTTTTCCACTTCTGCCTGTATGCAGAAGACCTGTGAGGCCCTAGGGGAGGAACAGGTCACAAGGAGAAAGCCTGAGTCTCCACACTGCAAACGGACAAGAGCTGCTTTGGACTGTTCTGTGGGTGAAAAATCAATACAGTTAAATCTGCAAAACTGTGGGGTTTATTTGTTATGGCAGTTAGTAGTACTCTATTTTATGTTCCATTAAAAATTGATACATGAATATTTTCTCCAAGGTTCTATATTGCCTACTTTACAGCTATAGTTGAATATCTCAAAGGTGTCTCAAATGGCATGTCCAAGCCTGAATTTGTGATTTCACCAGCTTCAGGTTAATCCTGTGCTCTTTATCTCAGTGGATTGCATAACCATCCATCTAGTCTTGACACCTCCTTTGCTCTTACCCTTAGTATCCAATCCACTAATAACTTCTATACATATTACCTTCTAAATACATTTTTTCTTTTTCTAAATACATTTTATTTTTATTTTTTGAGATTGAGTCTCACTCTGTTGCCCAGGCTGGAGTGTAGTGGCACAATCTCAGCTCACCACAACCTCTGCCTCCTGAGTTCAAATGATACTCCTGCCTCAACCTCCCGAGTAGCTGGGATTACAGGGGTCCGCCATCATGCCCAGCTAATTTTTGTATTTTTAGTAGAGATGGGGTTTCACCATGTTGGCCAGGCTGGTCTTGAACTTCTGACCTCAAGTGATCCGCCTGCCTCAGCCTCCGAAAGTGCTGGGGTTACAGGCATAAGCCACCATGGCTGGCCTGTAAATACATTTTAAATTGGCCCATCGCCTTCTATTTTCTTTGCCACCACCTGTATCTTTTGTGTGGCCTATGGCTATTGTCCACATTCTCTTACCCTCTTATTCAGTACGGCCTCTCAGCCAATCCAGTTTTCTCTCTTGCAGCCAGAGTTGACCTTTTCAAAACCAAGATCTCTTCTGGTCACTCCCCTGGCAAAGACTCTCAGTAGATTCCGATAGCTCTTAGGATAGGGATTGGAACCTTTAATGTGGCTTTCAAGGCTCTGCATGATCTGGCCCCTGCCTGCCTTTGCTGGTTCATTTTGCAACATGCTCCCTCTTTTCTTTTTTTCCTTTTTTTTTTGAGATGGATTCCAGCTCTTGTTGTTTAGGCTGGAGTGCAGTGGCATGATCTCGGCTCACTGCAACCTCTGCCTCCTGGGTTCAAGCAGTTCTCCTGCCTCAGCCTCCTCGCCAGTAGCTGGGACTACAGGTACATGCTGCCACACCCAGCTAATTTTTTTGTGTGTTTTTAGTAGAGATGGGGTTTCACCACATTGCCCAGGCTGGTTTTGAACTCCAGAGCTCAGGCAATCCGCCCGCCTCGGGCTCCCAATGTGCTAGGATTACAGGCGTGAGCCACCGCACCTGGCCGCTCCCTCTTTTCTAAGTGCCAGCCATACTAACCTCCTCCGCTTCCTTGAATGCTGCCTGCATCCTTCCTTTCTCCCTGAGCTTTTGTACAAGCTGTGTCCTTTGCAAGGTATGTTTCCCTCCGACTCTTAGCCAGGCAAATCCTTATTTTTTTCAGTTTTTAGAACTCAACCCAGTCTGTTTCAGGGAAGGCTTTACTGACTTCACTAAGCCAGTTTCCACTCTTCTGAATTCTCTCTTTTTTTAAAAAAACAATTTTACTTACTTTTTAATCTGGCTTAATAAAGGCAAATTCTGAGTTCTCATAGCAGCAAGGGGCATTCTTTTGTAGCCCTTGCCACAGGACAGAAAATGTCTCTTTCAGTGCTTATCACTAGATCTTCAATAAGCATTTGTGTGAGGTAGGGCTTTAGCTTAAATGTTTTCTAAATGAATATCCTACTCCTATTGTCCTCATCTATCGAACAAGTCTTCCTTTCTCTACTGATTTTAAATACCATTTTACCTAAATGTATTCTGATTCACAATGAGTCTCTTTTCAAGTTTCCTACTCTCTTTCATTTCTGTCGTCTATTATTGCACCAATGGTAGACTTAAAAAATCTTTTAATAGCCAGTGGATCAAGTCCTACTTACTGTTAAAACATTTCGTTTGACTCACTGCAACCTCCACCTCCTGGGTTGAAGTGATCCACCTGCCTCAGCCTCCCGAGTAGCTGGGATTACAGGCCACATCATCATGCCAGGTTAATTTTTGTATTTTTAGTAGAGATGGGGTTTCACCATGTTGGCCAGGCTGGTCTCGAACTCTTGAGCTCAAGTGATCCACCCACCTTGGCCTCCCAAATTACTGGGATTACAGGTGTGAACCACTGTGTCTCACCTTAAAACATTTCTTGACTATCCTCAAACATTCATTTTCTCATTCAGAGGAAACTTATACTCAATTTATCAAGTTTCATTATGAAATTATATTGGGATTTTGATTTAGTTTGCTTTGATAATTTATGAATTAATTTGGGAAAGAAATGATTCCTTCACAAAAGTGAGCCTTCACATTCAAGGGCATGGAATGTTTTTCCCTTTATTCAGGCCACCTTTTGTGTTTGGGAGTGAATTTTTATAGTTTTATTCATATCAGTTTTGTACACTTTTTCAGGTGCATTCTCAGACATTTTATAATTTTTGTTGCTGTAATGAATGGAATTTTAAAAATTACAATTTCTGCTTGGGCACGGTGGCTTACACCTGTAGTTCTAGCACTTTGGGAGGATGAGGGAGGTGAATCACTTGAGCCCAAGAGTTCAAGACCAGCCTGGCAATATGGTGAAACCTCATCTCTACAAGAATTCAAAAATTTGCTTGGCATGGTTGTATGCACCTGTTGTCCTAGCTACTCGGGTGGCTGAAGTGGGAGGATTGCTTGAGCCCAGGAGGCAGAGGCTGCAGTGAGCCAGCCCGGGTGACAGAGTGAGACCCTGTCTAAAAATAATAAAATAAAATAAAATAGTACAATTTTTAATTGCTTATTAATGGTAAATAAGAATGTGCTTGTCTATTTTTTTCTTTTTTTTTTTTTGAGATAGGGTTTCGCTTTAGCAACCAGGCTGGAGTGCAGTGGCATGATCTTGGCTCACTGCAGCCTCTGTCCCTTGGGCTCAAGCTATCCTCCTGCCTTAGCCTCCCAAGTAGCTGGGATTACAGGTGTGCACCACCATGCCCAGCTAATTTTTGTATTTTTTGTAGAGACGGGGTCTCACCATGTTACCCAGGCTGGTCTCAAACTCCTGGACTCAAAGGATCCATCCACCTCAGCCTCCCAAAGTTCTGGGATTACAGGCATGAGCCACTACATCCAGCTTTTATGTTGTTTCATTTGTTCTGTTTGTTCTTTTGTCTGGCTAAACTGCCGAATTCTATTATTTTCATAGATTTTTAGTTGCTATGTTGGATTTTCTAGGTTGCTTTCTAGGGTGCCGCTTCTAGATTTTCTAGCATTGCTTCTTTATTTCTATGATTTATATCTTATATATTTTTTCTTGTCTTATTGTCTCTCGTATGCATCCATACAGTGTTTAACAATAGCAAGGATCATGGGAGCCAACCGCAGCACGTGGTTATTTCCTGAGGTCAGGAGACTTAGTGTGTATAATGGAGAGACACTGTCCCCTCCTCTTTACCCCTAGACTGCTTTCAGCTTCTCTGGTACCTTTTCCTTTTGTTACCATATCATTCATTTGCAGTTTGGCTTTTAGATGTTCCACCTTAGGTTACTATTTTCTTCCTTGTGCTTTGTATTATTTGAAATTTTCATTTCAAAGGAGAAAGGGAATCAAGTGTGAGCACTGAACTCTCCTCTTGAGACTTTGGCAGATCTATAATCTTATACAATTAGAATTTTTTTTTTTTTTTTAGACGGAGTCTCACTCTGTTGCCCAGGCTGGAGTGCAGTGGTGTGATCTCAGCTCACTGCAACCTCTGCCTCCTGGGTTCAAGCGATTCTCCTGCCTCAGCCTCCCGAGTAGCTGGGATTACAGGTGTGTGCCACCATGCCCAGCTAATTGTTTTTGTATTTTTAGTAGAGATAGGGTATTGCCATGTTGTTCAGACTGGTCTCGAACTCCTGACCTCAGGTGATCTGCCCACCTCAGCCTCCCAAAGTGCTGTGATTATAGGCATGAGCCACCGTGCGCAGCCTTTTTTTTTTTTTTTTTTTTGAGACTCTGTCACCCAGGCTGGAGTGCAGTGGTGTGATCTTGGCTCACTGCAACCTCCGCCTCCTGGGTTCAAGCGATTCTCCTGCCTCAGACTCCTGTGTAGCTGGGATTACAGGCGCCCGCCACCACACCCAGCTAATTTTTGTATTTTTAGTGGAGATGAGGTTTCACCATGTTACCCAGGCTGGTCTGGAACTCCTGGCCTTAAGCGATAGGCTCGCCTTGGCCTCCCAAAGTGCTAGGATTATAGGTGTGAGAGCCACCATGCCTGGCAGGCATTGCTTTTAATTGGCATTTCTCTGATTACTGCTGAGGTTGTGTCCCAATATGTTTATTGGGCATTTGTGTTTTGTCTTTGAAATTCCTATTTGTGTTTGTTGCCCATTTTTCTGTGGGTACTTTAAAAACCTTTATTGATTCTTTTTTTTTTTTTTTGAGAGAGAGAGTCTCGCCCTGTCTCCCAGGCTGGAGTGCAGTGGCGTGATCTCGGCTCACTGCAACCTCTGCCTCTCGGGTTCAAGGGATTCTCCTGCCTTAGCCTCTGGAGTATCTGGGACTACAGGCGCACACCACCATGCCTGGCTAATTTTTGTATTTTTAGCAGAGACAGGGTTTCACCATGTTGGCCAAGCTGGTCTCGAACTCCTGAGCTCAAGTGATCCACCTGCCTCGGCCTCCCAAAGTGCTGGGAATACAGGTGTGAGCCACTGCGCCCAGCCTTTTATTGATTCCTAGATATTCTTTATATATTCTGGATATTAATCCGCTGTCAGTAATATTAAATACCTGCTTTGTGCATTATCTTGTCATCCTTTTTTTCCACGAACATCTTAGTGTTTCGGATGGCAGTTTTCTGTTGCTGTGGTTTCATTATAAATCTGATTTCTCCCTAACTTCCAGGAATTCTTTAAGATTTCTGTTAACGATGCTGTTTATTTTTGCCAAGATTGTTATAAATGTTATTATTTAAAAATACGTTTTTTTCTGTCACTTTAAAGGTATTTGGGTTATGATAGAGAATAGCATTTGTGTTCACTTTGCCATCTTTATCCAGTTTTTGATATCTTTATTTAAATTAACAAGTAAAAATTATATATATTTATCATACACAACATGTTTGGAATATGTATATATTGTGGAATGGCTAAACCAAGCTAATTAACATGTACATTACCTCACATATTTATCATTTTTTTTTCTGGTGATGAGAACACTTTTTTTTGTGATAGTCAAGAATATAATACATTGTTATTAACTATAGTCACTATGTTGTACAGGGGATCTGTTGAATTTATTTCTCCTGTCTACCTAAAATTTTGTAACCTTGGACCAACATCCCCCCAATCCCCCTACAAACCCCACTGTTCTCCTCTCTACTTCTATGAATTCACCTTTTTCAGATTCCACGTATAAGTGAGATCATGTGGTGTTTGTCCTTCTTTGTTTGTCTTATTTCACTTAATGTAATGTCCTCCAGGTTCATCCATGTTATTGCAAATGACAGGATTTTCTTCTTTTTTAAAGGCTGAATAGTATTCCATTGTGCGTACTATTTACATTATCTTTATTCATTTGTCTGCTAATAGATAGGTTGATTTCCCATCTTGCCTATTGCGAATAGTGCTATAATGAACAGGGGAATGCAGATATTCCTTAAATACACTGATTTCATTTCCTTTGGGTATATACTCAGAATTAAGGTTGCTGGATCATGTGGCAATTATTTTTTAAAATAATTTTTTCTCTTCCTTCTCTAGAACCATTTCTGTATCTCTTTTTCCTCAGCTCCCTTTTTCCAAGCATCCAGCTAATCATCTTTAACCTGAAGTATTTGCTATTGTAGAAGTCCTATCTGATTTTGAGGTTACTCTCAGAGGTGAGGACTACATACTCCAGGAAGTTTTAAGCTGCCACATGGGGAAACATCTTGTTGCCCCCTCAGGAATTTCCAATGTGCTGCACTTAAAAAAAAATTACCATCAGACTTGCCTTCACACGTCAGCGAAGGCGTTTTATAGTTAACTGAATTTCCTGGTATACTCCAGGTTCAACCCAAACTGTTTACAAGCCAAAGCTTGCTGTTTAAAAGTCTTGCTGATATCCATTAGTTCATTTTCTTACCTTAGTGGGGCAAACTCATGAAAACATTTAAATCATAAAAAATACCCAGGAGGGCCGGGCGTGGTAGCTCATGCCTGTAATCCCAGCACTTTGGGAGGCCGAGGCGGGTGGATCCCTTGAGGTTAGGAGTTCAAGACCAGCCTGGCCAACATGGTGAAACCTTGTCTCTACTAAAAATACGAAAATTAGCCAGACATGGTGGTGCGCTCCTGTAGTCCCGGCTACTCGGGAGGCTGAGACAGGAGAATCACTTGAACCCAGGAGGACGAGGTTGCAGTGAGCCAAGATTGCACTCCAGCCTGAGTGACAGAGTGAGACTCCATCTCAAAAAACAAAACAAAATCAAGCCTGCAAGGGATTTTGCAGCTTCCATAACTTCTCTCACCAGTCACTTCTGCTTTTTTTTTTTTTTTTTTTTTTTTGAGGATCTAGGTTTGTCACCCAGGCTGGAGTGCAGTGGCCTGATCTCAGCTCACTGCAGCCTCGACCTCCTGGGCTCAAGTGATCCTCCCACCTTAGCCTCCCCAGCAGCTGGGACTACAAGCACGGGCACCCACGCTTGGCTAACTTTTGTATTTTTTGTAGAGACAGGGTTTCGCCATGTTGGTCTGAAACTTGGGCTCAAGTTTCAGGTATTCTGGCTGGAATGTTCCAGGCAGGATTAAGCCCCAGTTACTCTCAATGTTGACCTCATTAATGCAGCCTTTTCCTTCTCCCCTTGCTCTCCCTGACTCCTCATCTTGGCAATTTGGCAGAACCTCCAAAATAAACTACCTGCATCGTATCTTTGTCTCCAGGCTAAACTAAACTTTAGTTTAGTCTGAAACTTGGGCTCAAGTGAACCACCTGCCTCGGCCTCCCAAAGTGCTGGGATTACACACATGAGCCACTGTGCCTGGTCCACTTCTGCATTCTTTTGTGACCCCCATCACAGAGATAGGCCTTCTTTCTGTGCCCTGGGGGTGCCTCATGTATTACTCAGCCACAACATGCATTGCAACATACTGTGATGTGTTTATGTTTGTTTTCCCCACTAGACCAAGAGAACTCCGAGATATATCCCATTCATCTCTCATTCCAGTGATTGAGGCAGAGTATGAGTCAAGTAAACATTGAATGAATTGATGAAAAATAATCAAGAATAACAGTTCTTAAGTTTTTCAGATAATAACATCAGAAGTGTCAAAGACTGGACAAAAATTCACTGTCTTACATGGGTGAGTTCATCCTGGTTTGCCTGGGACTTTCCCGGTTTTGGCACTGAATATCCCATGTCATGGGGAATCCCTGGGAGATTTACGACTGAAAGAAGTTCATTTTTTTGGGACAGGGTCTCACTCTATCACCCAGGATGAAGTGCAGGGGTGCGATCTCAGCTCACTGCAGCCTCGACTTCCCAGGCTCATGCGATCCTCCCGCCTTCAGCCTCTCCAGCAGCTGGGACTACAGGCTCCCACCATCATGCCCAGCTAATTTTTGTATTTTTTTCTAGAGAAAGGGTTTTGCCATCTTGCCCAGGCTGGTCTAGATCTCCTGATCTTAAATGATCTGCCTGCCTCAGCCTCCCAAAGTGCTGGAATTATAGGTGTGAGCCACCACACCCAGCATGACTGAGAGAGATATCTCCATTGGCTTCTGGCCTTCATTAGTTGAATCTTGCCTGGGGTTTGGTAACTCTCCCATGTGAGTGCCTGAAGAAACCCTGGGGTCTGGAGTGTTGGAAGAGTCCCCCAGTACATACTTGAGGCAAGGCACTATCACTGTCCCCAGAAAACTAGGACACTGAGTCTCTCTAGCTCTTAAGTTGCATAATTTCTGAAAGCTTAGCATGGAGACAAATATATGATGCAGGTAGTTTATTTTGGAGGTTCTGCCAAATTGCAAGGATGAGGAGTCAGGGAGAGCAAGGGGAGAAGGAAAAGGCTGCATTAATGAGGTCAACATTGAGAGTAACTGGGGCTTAATCCTGCCTGGAACATTCCAGCCAGAATACCTCTCAGAATGGTCTGTCAGAAGATGGACTGGGAGAAGTATTTATCCATCCACTCCTGGCCCCCATTAGTTGAGGTTTCCCTGGGGGTTGGAAACTCTCCCCGTGAGCCCTTGATGACACCTCTGGGCTCTAGAGTACTGGAGAAGTCCCAGTGTGTGCTTGAGGGAAAGCACCATCAGTGGGGGTTGCATTGAAGTCCATGAAAATGTGAGGTGAAATGAGGAGCTGAGAGATGTGAGCTGGGGTGTTAGAGGTGTCTACATGTGCTAGCCTTAGGATTTGTCCTGAGCCTGGCTGTTTGGAATTCCATCTCTAATATCTGCTCTTGTGTGTGTATGTGTGTGTGATACACCCTGAGATTTCCTCTAAAAGTGGAGCACAGAAAAACAGTCAGCTGACATGCTCGTTGCAGCCTGTCAGCTTCCTATTAGTCAAAGTGTGATTTAGACAGAGGAGGTCTTCACCTTGAGGCTTCTCCTGGGCTGATGAATTGCTTTCTCTCCTCTTGTTTGCAGGGTAGGAGTAAATTTCTATAAGTATATTGAGAGCCAAAGAGTAAATCTTTGTCCAGAGGAGGCAAACTAAGTAATTGTGAAAGATGAAATACATGACATTCAAGTGCAATGGAGAGTGTCATTAATTAATTTGAGACTGAACCTGAAGGAATCATTTGAATACGACTGTGTGCCAGCTCAGCTGTTAATTAATCTGAGGCTGGGCTTTCTTTAAAAGGGAAGGTGTTGCTTTTTCAAGCCAGCCTAGAAAAAGAACAATTCATAATTGGATTGAATTGATGCTACTTGGGGGCTTTGTCGGATTGAATCAGGCCAGTGATGCCTTTTTTTTCTTAATAAAGAGTTCCCCCTTTATTCTATTTATTATTAAAATTTATTTTATTACCAAAATTTAAAAAGTGAAATAGGACACAAAGCCTTAAAATTTAAAAACCTGGCTGGGCGTGGTGGCCCATGCCTGTAATCCAAGCACTTTGGGATGCCGAGGCAGGGGCATCTCTTGAGCCCAGATGTTCGAGCCTGGGTAACATAGGGAGAACCCATCTACAGAAAAAAAAAAAAAAGTTTAAAAAAAATTTAGCCAGGTGTGGTGGTTGTGCCTGTAATCTCAGCTACTTGGAATTAGCTGAGGCAGAAGGATCGCATGAGCCCAGGAGTTGGAGGTTGCAGTGAGCCATGATCACACCACTGCACTCCAGCCTGGGTAACAGAGGGAGACCCTGTCCCAAAAAAACAAAACAAAAAATTAAAAAAAAAATGTTTCCTACCCTACCCAAACCCCTTAGTCTTGTTTCTGGGAGGGACCCACTTTCTATCCATGTAGCAGTTGTGTCTGGAATTCCTGAATACTATCGTGGTTTGTTTATTTTAGACTTTTAAAAATTGATTTATTGACTTCTACTTGCGGTAGATGAGCATTTAGCTCTTTTACAGGGCTCCCATCCCACCCTGTCATTCAGCTGCTTTGCTCTTCTTGGTCTCCTGATACAGTCTAGTAAGTGTTTCTGGTTAGAGTAATATTCAGTGTTTATGTGATTATGCCTATGTAAATATTGTTTCCATGTGCATATTGCTTACCACTAACCAAGTACTGCAGTAAGATTACAATTCTTTTCTTTTTTTTTCTTTTGAGACGGAGTCTCACTCTGTCGCCCAGGCTGGAGTGCAGTGGTGCGATCTTGGTTTACTGCAACCTCCGCCTCCCAGGTTCAAGTGATTCTCCTGCTTCGGCCTCCCAAGTAGCTGGGGTTACAGTCGTGCACCACTGCGCCCAGCTAATTTTTGTATTTTTTAGTAGAGACGGGGTTTCACCATGTTGGCCAGGGTGGTCTTGAATTCCTGACCTCAGGTGATCCACTTGCCTCGGCCTCCCAAAGTGCTGGAATTACAGGTGTGAGCCACCGTGCCCGGCCTCGTATTATTTTTTCCCAAGTTGTTAATTGCATTAACATTTGCTTAGTTTTCTTTGTACCTATTGCTAATTTATCACACACCTTCCAGCAGATAACTCACTAGTCTCACTCTCCTACTTCCCAGTCTCATTCTTCCACTTCCCAGACTTCCCTCCTGGAGTCTTCCACCTTTCTGCTCAGATCTGGACTCTGTACTCTCTGGGCCTACTGTCCTCCGCCTGCCACCAAGCCCGGCTAATTTTTGTATTTTTAGTAGAGACAGGTGTTTCACCATCTTGGCCAGGCTGGTCTTGAACTCCTGACCTTGTGATCCGCCTGCCTCGGCCTCCCAAAGTTCTGGGATTTCAGGCGTGAGCCATCATGCCCAGCCGGCTTCTTTTCATCCTGGAAGTTTTCCCTCTGCTCTACTCTGTTGGGTCTTCTGTTTCTTAAATCCTATGCCTTCCCCTGCTTTAGCTATTTTTTTCCATTTCTCTCTGAAGCTTTTATAATCTCTTTATTTATTCCTCCTCTTCTAAAATCCTGCAATGATTGTGGGGGTGTCTTTTGAAATTTACTGTGCTTGGTTCTAAATGGTCATTTTCTATCCAAAGATTCACTTACTCCAGTTCTGTAAGTGTTCTTATTTTTTATTTCTTCCTCTCAATATTTTTCAGTCTTCATTTCTAGAACTCCAATGATTTGCATAGTGAACCTTGTCAATTGAGCTTCTCATTCTTACTCTTTTCTGTCTATTTCACTCATTTTATTTCTTTCTATTTATAATTGGGGCAATCTCTTTGATTTCCTTTTCTAACCTTCCTAGTGATTTTTAACTGTGACTACCATAGTTTTAGTTTCCAAGAGCTCTTGCTATTTCTGGTTCTTCGTTGCGTTTTTTAAAAAATGGCAGCCTGCCTTTCATTCATGGATGTGACAGTGTCTCTTGTGACTATGTCTATGATTTTTTTTTTTTGAGATGGAGTCTCGTTCTGTTGCCCAGGCTGGAATGCAGTGGCACGATCTCAGCTCACTGCAACCTCCGCCTCCCAGACTCACGTGATTCTCCTGCCTCAGCCTCCTGAGTATCTGGGATTACAGGCACCCACCACCACAGCCGGCTAATTTTTTGTATTTTTAGTAGAGATGAGGTTTCACTATGTTGGCCAGACTTGTCTCGAACTCCTGGGCTATGTCTATGATTTTAAGTTGTATTTTTTTAATAAGTTGCTTTTTTTGATGTCCTGCATAGCTCAGTTTCTTCCTATTCTTTTCTATTTGTTTGCTTTGCTCTATGTATTTTATGTTCAAGGCTGTCTTTATTATGTTATTTTATTATTTTTTTTTTGAGACTGAGTTTCAGCCTTGTCATCCAGGCTGGAGTGCAATGGCGTGATCTCGGCTCACTGCAACTTCTGCGTCCCGGGTTCAAGCAATTCTCCTGCCTTAGCGTCTTGAGTAGCTGGGATTATAGGCACCCGCCATCATGCCCGGCTAATTTTTGTATTATTAGTAGAGACGGGGTTTCATCATGTTGGCCAGGCTGGTCTCGAACTCCTGACCTCAGGTGATCTGCCTGCTTTGGCCTCACAAAGTGATGGGATTACAGGCATGAACCACTGTGCCTGGCCTATTTTATTTTTTTTTGAGTCACTCTGGCTCTGTCACCCAGGCTGGAGTGCAGTGGTGCGATCTTGGCTCACTGCAACCCCTGCCTCCTGGGCTCAAATGATTCTCCTGCTTCAGCCTCCTGAGTAGCTGGGACTATAGGCGTGCACACACCACGCCCAGTCAATTTTTTTATTTTTAGTAGAGACAGGGTTTCACCATATTGGTCAGGCTGGTCTTCAACTCCTGACACCAAGTGATCCACCACGCTTGGCCTCCCAAAGTGCTGGGATTACAGGTGTAAGCCACCATGCCCTGCCTAAGGCTGTCTTTAAATGTCAGGTAATCCTGAGCCAGGGCTCTGTTAGAGTGAAGACTGAGGCTCTGAGAAAATACTTGGAAGCTCTGTGAGCGTTGGTGGGGCTTGCTCATTGGTGGCCATCATTTCAGAATGATCTGGTAGGAAGCTGGCTTTTTCACTGGGAGATTCCACGATTTTAGTACCTGGCCATCTTTTCTCTGGGCTTGCCCAGTTTCTCTTGACAAGGATCTTTCTATCCCTCTTGGAGGTTCTCCAGCTTGGCTGTGGGATTTCTGGGAGATTGGCTGGGAAAGGAAGTTAAAAGGGATTCTTCTCATTCAGGAGGCTGACTTTCTGTCAATCCACTGCGTTTAATCCAGGACCTCACAGCCAACTCTCCACTATACCTGAATTTCCAGAATCTGGAGCTTCCCTCGTACACTTTCCCGGAGGTTAGAACATTCTTTCCCTGCAGAGGTCAGGGAGGGTATGAGCCTGAGATCTAACTGTCCCTGATGTAGATTTTCAGTCAAAACTCCTGCTTTTCAGTAAGTGCTGTACACGGTGATGTGCCTCCCAAATTCCCCTTCAAGAAAGGACCTGCCGCTCCAGTTTCTGTTGGCAGACAGCCTTCAGTTGTCATTCCTTTATGGACCATCTCAGATCGAGGTTGTGTCCTTTCCTGGTGGTCCACATCCAGTTACTGATGGAGGAAGAGATATAAAGGCCTGGCCATGTTCTCTTTACCTGGCATAATTCGGATGGGCCATTTGGCTCCAGAGCTCACCATTGGGTTAACTGAGGCTGCTGGACCTACATCAAAGGCTTGGATTCCCTTCTGCCTGATCCTTTCCTCTCTCTCTTTCATAGGTGTGGATTCCAAGGGTGCTCTCTAATGTACATCCTGTCCACTGAACTGCATCCAGACTCTGCTTCTCAGGAAGATAAACCCCATGAAAACAGTCCAGGCTTAGTTTTCTGTATAACTTCCTATTTCTGTAGCCAAGGCAATCCCCACAGGGGCTGACAGCTGCAGGCACTTCCAGCAGCTGGGCAAAAAGTCCTTTCTTGAAGGGGGATCTGGAATACACATCACTGTGTCCATGTGGCTGGACATCTGTCTACCCAGATGAAATGCACTGGGCTGGGGCAACTTAACTAAGGGTACTCATTCTCAGGGGTGGAGGAGGAAGTACACTATTATAGAAGTGGGATAGGCTTTGGACTCAACTTGATTTGAGTAATCTTCAATGGGTCACTTGAAAACTGTTACTTTAGACAAGTTACTTCACCGTTCTGGATTTCATGTTCTTTTTTCTTTCTTTTTCTTTTTTAAAGAGATGGAGTTTTGCTGAAGTGCAGTGGCTATTCACAGGCCCATTATAGTGTACTATAACTGAGAACTCCTGGCCTCAAGTGATCCTCCCGCCTCAGCCTCCTGGGTAGCTGGGGCAACAGGTGTGCACCACAGTGCCTGGCTCTGGATTTCATTTTACTATTTATAAAATATAAAAAATAATGCCCATCTCTTAGAGCTGTTGTGAGGGTTATGTCAATAATTTATGAAAAGTTCCCAGAGTAGCAGCTCGTGCATAATGGTGCTCACCCACATACTCTGTTTTCCAGAATCTTCCTGAGTAAAGTATAAGGAATAAGAGGATGTTGACATGTCTGGTTCAAACTAGGTATCATCATATGAAAAATGTTTATGGGCCAATCTATAGGAATGTTTCTGGCAGTGTGTTACAGAACTCTATCCTTGTTCCTAAAATATTTTTACTTATTTATTTTCTTAAAAAGTTATTTTAAAATTACACAAGCACTGCAAAACGGTGTTCTCATTGTAATATATTCAAGTAGATAAATCTGAAGTTACTCTTGATCATCTCCCCAGAGTCATTACAGTTACCAGTTTAGTGTGTCTCTTTTAAGGCTCTTTTAAAATATGTTTGCATAATATATGGACATAGAGGAAGATTCAGTTTTGCTTTTACAAATATGGTAGCACACTTTATATATGTTCTGCAAATCGCTTTATTCTCTTAACTCAAATTTGTATTATTTATTTAACTATTTCCCCTATTGGTTCCAATACAGGAGGTAATAGGGAAATTTCTAGTGTTTTCTTTATCACAAACAGTGCTTTGATGAGTGCTTTATTCTCTTAACTCAAATTGTTTGTTTATTTATTTATTTATTTATTTATTTAACTATTTCCCCTATTGGTTCCATTATAGGAAGCAATAGGTAAATTTCTAGTGTTTTCTCTATTTTACCTTTACTCCTGCTATCACAAAATCCTCTGGGTGTTGTTCACCAGCCAGAAACCTCTGTGGCTGGCGGCGCCTCTGCTTGAGTTTTGCTCGCGCCTGCTGGTCTTGTTCCACTCGATTGGCCCTGCAGGCTGTGCTCAGAGATACCAGCCTGGATCCCACGCCTGCCAAGGGTGAGCCAGGCGTGGAGCAGAGTTGGGTGTGTGAGCAAGTGAGCGCAGGGTCCGGCCACTGAGCACAGTGAGGCATGCCAGGTGCTGCGGTGGGGCAGGCAGCTCCAGGCGCTGGCACAGGCACTGGCTCTGTGCAAAGCTGTGGCTGAACCAGAGGTACCGCAAGCGGCTTTTGCTGCCAGCACCGGCGTCTGGACAAGGGGAACATGGTGGCGCCTGAAAGCTCAGAGATGCCAGGAATCACAGAGCCCCCAAAGAGGGTGTTATAGCAGGTCACAGTCCTGGCTCCGGGAGCCCTGAGGTCTGGGCTCCCAGAAGGGCTGCAGCTCTTCTCTCCTTCTCGTTGCCCACAGCATGGTGAGCGGGGTTGGGTGGGGATGTTTGGCGGATGGCATGTTTCAGCCTGTTTGTGTTACAGCTTCTTCAGTCCCGTGGCTTCACTCTGGCTCGCAGCTCCTGGGATGGCCCAGCCTCACCACTGCTTCCTATTGCGTGGGGTGGTTGCCTGGTGCCAGCAGAGAGAGGGAGGGCTATAGTGTTACAGCGCTGCATTGGGGAATCTCCAGGTCTGGGCCCTCGGAAGAGTTACCACTCTTCAGTCCTGCAGTCTGAGAGCTCAGAGAGCCAGCCAGGCACGTGTTACAGCCCCTTTCCCTCCTGCTGTTTGGCGGGTCCTGAGTTCTTGTTTTGTGCCCAGGAAGAATGAGGTTATGCAGACAACTGGACGGTGAGCAAGGCAGAGAAGTGCTTATTGGGTGACCAAACAGCTCTCAGCAGAGAGAAGAGACCTGAAGTGGGCAGCTCCTATCTGTGGCAGGTCATCCCAAGGAGTGTCTGAGTCAGGCCGAGTCCAGGGATTTTATGGGTTCAGAATGGAGGAAGTGTGTGCTGATTGGTCCATGGGCCAGGCCGTGAAAAGCACCACTTGATTGGCCAAAAGGCATCATGGAAGTTCTCACTCCAGGTCGTGGACTTCACCTGTAACTGGCAGCCTGGCCCCCAAGCTTCAGGCCTTCCCTGGCTTGAAGGTGGGGTTTCACTGGGGACTCACCCCTTCCCACCTAAGAACCTGTCTGCCTTCTGTTGCCATCAACACACCATCCACAGCTGCCAGGCTGTCCACATCAACGGGGGCCAGCAGGCCTGGGCCGAGTGCCCTCAGCCCCCGGCCTCCCTCCCATGCTTGTCAGCACCCAAAGTTTCAGCCTCAGAAGCAGTTTCCAGAGGGGGGCTGAGGCAGTGGGGGGCTGGTGTGTCAGCGTTGCCCCAAGCTCGTACACACCCGGTTGGGTTGTGGCAGCACCCCGGCTCGGCTATGGGGACATGTCCACAACTTTGCTCCACTGTGGAGTGGGCGCTGGGAGCAGGGAGAGGCCAGGGAGTGGGAGTAGCCACTTGTGAGCCTGTGGGGACAGGGGGCTTCCTGGTCCCAGAGAGCACAGGGATGCCTGGGTCGAGAGCCACACTCGGGCAGCTGCAGCTGCGCCTGGAAGTGTGGGCTCTCATCCTGCCAACTTGGTAGGGCAGAGGGCTCCCACTGGGATCACCTGATCCTGGCCCCCACTGGCTCCACAGAGCGCTCAGTCCCGGCCGCGCCTCCCCTGCTGCAGCTGGTGTTCTCGCAGAGGCCACTCCAGATGGGCCGCCGCCACCATCACTGCGTTTTTGTGGATGTGTCAGTGCTTCTCTAGTAGAGATAATTAATGGAATAATTAATGGAAATCCTGGATCAAAAGCTAAACACATCTCAAATTTCAACACATTTTGCAAATTGCCCTTCCCAAAAGTCTGTAATCTCACTAGAGTGATGAGAGTTCTTCCCCATCCTTGCCAACATTTGATATCATAAAACTTTATAAATTTTGCTAATCAAATGAGCCTCAGCTGGTTTCTCATTGTTATTTAATTTCCATTTTACTGACCACTAGTGACATTGAATGCATTTTCTTATGTTTATTGTTCATTCGTTTTTCTACTTCTTTGAATTTTTCATTTGTCATTTTGTGTTAGATTCATTCTATTTATTTATTTATTTGGGATGGAGTCTCACTCTGCCACCAGGCTGGAGTGCAGTGGTGCCATTTTGGCTCACTGCAACCTCCAACTCCCTGGTTCAAGTGATTCTCCTGCCTCAACCTTCCGAGTAGCTGGGATTACAGGCATGCGCCACCACACCCAGCTAATTTTTGTATTTTTTGTAGACACGGGGTTTCACCATGTTGGCCAGGCTGGTCTCGATCTCCTGACCTCATGATCCGCCTGCCTCGGCCTCCCAAAGTACTAGGATTACAGGCATGAGCCACCGCGCCCGGCCAGGTTCATTTTATTTATCTGTAGAAGTACTTAATATATTCTGGATATTAATCTTTTGTTGTAAACATTACAAACAGATTCTGTAATCTGTCTCCTTTTAAACTAAATTATGGTGTTTTTGTGATATAGAAATTTTAAATTCTGATGCTGTCAAATATATTAATATTTTACTGCCCAGATTTTATTTTATTATTTTTTTAGAGGCAGGGTCTTGTTATGTTGCCTAGTCTGGTCAAACTCCTGGGGCTCAAGCAATCCTCCTGCCTCAGCCTCCTAAATGCTGGGGTTATAGGCACAAGCCACCACTTCCAGCCCAGATTTTATAATTTATCTGAAAAAAATCTAATTTTAAAGGTACTTAAAGTAGGATGGTGGCAATGGAATTGGAATCTGCTAAGGAATGTTTAACAACTCACCTTCTGAAAAAAGAAAATAAAAAGGACTGAGGACTTATAAACATATTCTAGATTTTCCTCCAACTTTTTCACGTTTTGTTTTTAACTTTCAATATTTAATGTACCTGGAATTTATTTTTGTGAATGGTAGGAAATCTAATTATTTTCTTTCAAATCGATAGTCAATTATCAAAATTACTGATTTCATTCTTCATCTTTTTTCCAATGATTCAACATACCACATTAAAAAGTTTATATACTAAATCCTTATTATACATATGAGTATGTTTAGGATTTTTATCTTTTTGTATCATTTATCTATTTGTTTATTTCTGCTCTAATGCCACATTATTTTAATTATTAAAAGCAAAATGTTCTATTCTTGGGCATTTTCATATTCAGATAAATTTTAAAATCAGTCTGTCCTATTCCATGAAAATCTTTGGGGATTTTAATTGGGATTTCTTTGAATTTGTAAATTGATTTAGGGAGATATGTTGAGGACTGCTTTTATGCAGTAAGCACACTAAATTTTTCATAGGTTTCTTAATGTAGGTATTATATATTTCTTGATGATTTATAATGATTAAATAGTTTTTGTTGTTATTGTAAATGAGGTACTTATTTTTTTCCCCAATTGGTTATTACTGGTTTATGGTAGAGCTGTAGGTTTATATATATTGATCTTATATTTAGTTACCTTGTTGCAACTTTTTGTCAGTTGATTTTCTTGTTTTTTCTTGTTATACAACTATATTACCTATAAAGCTTCTCTCTTTTTTCTTTCTTATTGAATTGGCTACCATTGCTCCAATCATAAAAGTATATTCTTTTAATGGTTTTAATATTGGTATTATGCTAACCTCATAATATTATTAAAAAGCTTTTTACTTTTTTCTGTGATCTGGACTTGTTTACATAACATAGGAAGTGTAACGTTGAAGGCTTGGCAAAACTCACACGTAAAATCAAATGGACCTGATGCAATTTCAGGGGGAAGACTTTTGATTACCTTTGGTATTTCTTTTGTGGTTAGCATTCTATTTAGGTTTAAAAGAGGGTTTTCACATTTTTATGTGAATAGATACTTTGGTGGGAGATATCATTTTTTCTTGTGTGAATTTTAAATTGTGCTACTCTATGACCTGTATGATTTTTTCTTTTTGGAGTTTTGAGGTCTTTGCAGCATGATACATAGTTTCTGTAATTGTGCCATGTGTGTTTGAACACAAACTGGCTGCAAAATTATCTGTTTATATCTTTAGTTCAAGTATAGTGTTTATGTTATTATGTTTTATCTACTTTATAGATTTCTGAGTGAGGCATATAAAAGACTTTTGTTGAATTGATTATGGTTTCTTTGTCCCCTTTTTTGCTAATGTCTTGGTACTTCAGTTCTCCTGGTGGTTACCTTTACATGAAAAACAATTTATTTAATTTAATTTTTTAGGAGATGTGGCCCAGATGGCCCAGAACTATCTTTAGAGCCAAGCACCCTGACTCTGTGTACTCTGAATGACTGCAAAGGGAGTAATTTAATTTCACAAACTTTTAGCAAACACCTGTTTTGTGCTAAGCACTGAGCCAGTCGCTGTTAATTTGGAAGATGAGTGAGGTAGTTCTTACCCTAATGAGACTCATAGTCTAATGGAGAGACTGCCAAGTAAACAAATCATAACACCATGGGATAGGTGGTAATAGAGGCACATACACAGTGATGGGAGGGGACAGACGGTGAGTGTGTGTGGAGTCTGTCACATGGCGGTCCTGATGAATTACACCTTCCAGTCTTGTGTAGTTCCCTCCTTTTGAATCTGGACTAGGCCTGTCACTCATTTCTTGCCAACAGAATGTGGCAGAAATGATACTGTGACTTTTCTTTTGTATTTTTAATTCCTTTGCTCTTTTGCACTGCATTCTGAAAGAATTTCTTGGGAAAGAATTTCTTGGCTTATTAATTGCTCCCCAGCTGTATCCATTATGCTATTTATTTTATTTTCATTCTCCCTCCAAGGTCTCTAATTGGTATTTTTCTTTTCTTTTCTTTTTCTTTTTCTTTTTTTTTTGAGACTGGGTCTCACTCTGTTGCCCAGGCTGGAGTGCAGTGGTGCATTCATGGCTCACTGCAGCCTTGACCTCCCAGGCTCCAGCAATCCTCCCACCTCAGGCTCCCAAGTAGCTGGGACTACCAGCATACACCACCACGCCTGGCTAATTTTTTGATGTTTTGTTGAGTTGGAATCTCACTATATGGCTCAGGGTTGTCTCAAACTCCTGAGCTCAAGTGATCTTCCCACCGCAGCCTCCCAAAATGCTGGGATTACAGGTGTGAGGCACCATGTCCGGCTGGTTCTTTTCTATTTCTTTATTTCTTTTTTCTTCCTTTCTTTCTTTCTTTCTTTTTTTTTTTTGACAGAGTCTCGCTCTGTTGCCCAGGCTGGAGTGCAGTGGCACGATCTTGGCTCACTGCAACCTCCGCCTCCTGCGTTCAAGCAATTCTGTGCCTCAGCCTCTCGAGTAGCTGGGATTACAGGTGCCCACCACCATGCCTGGCTAATTTTTGTATTTTTAGTAGAGATGGGGGTTTCACCATCTTGGTGAGGCTGGCCTTGAACTCTTGACCTCATGATCCACCTGCCTCTGCCTCCCAAAGTGCTGGGATTACAGGCATGAGCCACCGCGCCCAGCCAGGTCCTTTTCTCAATGCTTCTTTTAATGTTTCTCTGTGTTTTTTCCATTAACTTTGTTTCCTTGGGTGTTTGTTCTGTTTGTTGAGTTTAGTATTTTTGTTTCCTGATATTAGATTTCTGCAAATATTGGAATGTGATTGCTTCAGTACTGATCTGGATATTTGAAATTTCCTATTAGCCCATCTGTGAATACTGCATTTATTTATGTCATGATGTATCTAATGGGGAGAGGTAAGATGTGATGCATGGGATGCTAGTACCACCCAGTTATCTGATGGTGAGGTCCCATGCTACTTCTGAGTCTCTCCAGCTGCCTCAGGTACTATGTGGTCCATTTCACCCAAGCGTCCACCCCTCTGCATCCCTCTGTTTGGCTCAGGTGGTGTGGGGCGAACCACCTGTTTGCCCTTACTTGCTATCCTCACAGGCATGTCATCCATTGCTTCAGCCCCACCCCATTTCGCTCTGCTCATTGTTTTTTTGCCACCTCTAAGCTTTGACATCTCCTGGGGCCACTCTCATCTTTACAGAAGCCCCTTTCCCATGCATAAATTGTTGGGTCTTCCTCCTTTGATCTGATTGCATTTGCTTTCTATCTTTTTTTCCTGAGATGCTCACCTTTAGGAAAAATGACTTGGAATAAAAATATAACCTGGAATTGAAAGCTGGCATGACAGGTAGGAAATAATTGTTCACTTCAGCCCAGAATTCAGAGCTGTTAAGATCATTTTGAAATTTGAGTGCAATAGAAATAAATGTAGGGCCTGGAATTTAACTTTAAAAGTACAATTATACCAGCATAAAATGGAGAAAACCCAGTTTGGTAGCAATTCATAAAAAAAAATCTTGAGCATTTGGTTTATTACAAGCTTTAAAGGGTGTGATACAAGCCTGTTGATGATTACTAAAAAAGGCAATTCAATCTTATGTTCCACTGTGAAAGGTGAAACATCTTTTTTATATGTTTAATAACATCTATTTGTATGTCTTTTACTAAGAAATGTTTGTTGATATCCTTTTATTTTATTGAAATGTTGATGTTAATCTTTTTCATGTTGATTTGTAAGAGCTTTATATGTAGGTCCCCTTTGCTGTCACATATGTTGTATATGTTTTCCTACTTGGTGATCCGAAATTTTGTTTATGGTAACTTTTGCCTTTTAGATGCTTAATGCTTTGTTTGACTTGTAGTCAAATCTGTAAATACATTGTGTCATATTTTAAAAAGACTTCTTCCCTCCAGGATTATAAAATAGGCTTCTATATTTTCTTCTAGTATTTTTTATAGTTTTATGTTTAAATCTTTTATCCACCCGAAATCTATTTTTACACATGTGTAAGATTCTATCTTTATTCTTTTCTAGATGTATAACAAACTGCTCTAATGTTTTTAAGATTTTTGTGCCTATATATAGTTTTTATTTATTTATTTTTTTTAAGAGATGGAGTCTTGCTATGTTGCCCAGGTTGGTCTCAAACTCCTGGCCTCAAGCTATCCTCCTGCCTCGGTCTCCCAAAGTGCTGGGATTACAGGCATGAGCCGCTGTGCTGGCCTGTGTCTGTATTCATAATTGAGGTTCTTCTGTACCTTCCATTTGCGTGCTATCTTTGTCAGGTATAGTAAGAGTATTATGCTTGCTTTGAAAAATGAATGGGGAGGATTTTTATGGAAAAACAGAAAGGAAAATATGCTGACATGAAGTAAACCTCTCATCCCTCTCTTCTGCTTAAAAATCCATCAGTGATATTCCCCTGCCCTCAGGATAAGCCAGTATTTTCTGGCTTGGTTTCAAGGCCCTTATCTGCCCCTCTTTTCTCTGCAGCCTTGTCTCTCTCTGTATCTTGCCTTGCCTCCTACCTTCCATTGGCATAATAAGCATTGTGAGGGGCAGGATTTTTGTGGTGTTTTGTTCTCTGCTGTACCTCCAGCACCTAGAACCATAACGTGCCTGGCACATTGTAGGTATTGGTAAATATTTGTTGTAGAAATAGCCTGCAATTCTTGGAAAAAAGCACCACTTTCTCCTCCAGACTTCCACACGAGCTCTTCTCTGTCTCTAGTACCTTCTCCCCAACTCGGTGCTTGGAAAAGCCTATTTGTCTTTTAGGATTCAATGTAGATACCGCTCACTCTGAGGAAATCCTCTCCAACCTTGGTTAGGTACCCACAGAATATCACTATTGTGGTGCTAATCATGTATTTTATTTATTTATTTATTATTATTATACTTTAAGTTCTGGGACACATGTGCAGAACGTGCAAGTTTGTCACATGGGAATACATGTGCCATGGTGGTTTGCTGCACCCATCAACCCGTCATCTACATTAGGTATTCCTCCTAATGCTATCCCTTTCCTGGCCCCCCACCTCCCGACAGGCTCCAGTGTATGATGTTCTCCTCCCTGTGTCCATATGTTCTCATTGTTCAACTCCCACTTATGAGTGAGAACATGCAGTGTTTGGTTTTCTGTTCCTGTGTTAGTTTGCCGAGGATGATGGTTTCCAGCTTCATCCATGTCCCTGCAAAGGACATGAACTAATTCTTTTTTATGGCTGCATAGTATTCCATGGTATATATGTGCTACATTTTCTTTATCCAGTCTATCATCGATGGGCATTTGGGTGGGTTCCAAGTCTTTGATATTGTAAATAGTAGTGCAGTAAACGGTAAACCCATCCTCATGTGACTCTCACAATCACCCTGTGAGCTGGACACTGATCCCATTTTATAGTTGGATAAACTGAGGCTTCAGAGAGATGACATTTGCTCATGGCACACAGCTAGGACGAACTGGAAAGGCCTGGACTAGAACCTGGACTGTTTCTACAGGCTTTGAAGACCTGTTCTATGATGCCACAGAATCTCTTAGATGCTGCAAATAATTTTTTTTTTGAGAAGGAAACTTTGAAATTTAATTTATGCAAACAAGTAACTTTGGTTTTCAGGTGTTAACTTTTGGTTTCACATTTTTCCTTTTTCTTCCTTTTAATAACCACTATTGAGGTATGAATGACATAAAAATGTGCATATTTAATGTATACAATGTTTAAAAATTACCTGCACTTGGCTTCTCATCTGTCTACACCAAGATGGTAGAGAAGAGATTATTTCATCCTTCACATTTGATTCAGCTTTCTATTCTAATACCTAGGATTCTACTTACTGCAGAATCTAAAGAGGTATTAGAATAGAAAGGTGTTTAGTGGACGGGCATGGTGGCTCATGTCTGTAATCTCAGCACTCTAGGAGGCTGAGGCAGGAGGATTGCTTGAGCCCAAAAGTTCGAGACCAGCCTGGGCAACATAGCAATTCCCACCTCTTTAAAAAAGAAAAGAAAAAGAAAGGTGTTTAGCAGCCTGCCAGGCCAGGCATCACAGTCTGACAAAGAATTCAACACACTCCTCTCAACTGAGTCAAATCTACCCTGAAGTGTATGTATATGGAAATGTATAAATGCGTAGAGATGCCTACCATGAGTGTAAAAGGAATAAGATATTAATTAGTTTTTGCTGGATTATGAGAATAGGAAAAAATCTGAGAACAGAATAAACTGTTGTTAATCTGCTGAAACAAAAAATGTAATTATGCTTTCTGGATGAGGCTTTCTCCTTGGTGTCAAGTAGGTACAGAATGCATTCCTTTTCAAAAAAGGTTGCTAAGGAAAGAGAGGAACCCTTCCTTTTGCCCATTGCTGACTGAATATAAAGTCTGTGGAATGGAATTTTGCCTAATCAGCCTTGCTTTCTAAGCTTTCACACAATCAGCAGTGTTGGCTTCTTCTGAGGCCTCATTTTAATCTTCATAGATTTCTGGAAACTGAAGCTTTGCCCAGACTGAGACAAGCAACTCTACCCTTTCAAACGTTAGTTTATTTCTTATTTTGGGTTAACTATTTCCAAACATAAACCACTTCCCGTACTGCTTGTCCTCATATAAGGGTTTATAATTCTCTCATAGAGGGTTTTACATGAAAATGTCCATATGTCATAGTTTTAGAAAACAATATTTTGAGCAGTGAGATGCGAATGGGTTGTATCCAAGTCCTGTTACAGTTGGAGAATTCGACTTTTAAAGTATAACTGTTAGAGGCAGCGTGGCAGAGTGGCTAAAAGTGTGGACTCTGTTGTCAGGCAGACTGGAGTTTGAATCTCATTTTTGTTAATTTATTTTTATCTTTTATTAACCTTTACTAAGTGATTTATCCTCTCTGAGACTCAGTTTCATTACCTGGAAAATGGAGGTAACTGGTGTTTCCTGTTGATTCACTTTTTAACATGAGGTAAAACTTATTTTACAAATTAAATGGCTTTGAGTACCTTTCCTCCAATTTCTGTGAAAAGCATCCATGGCTAGACTCTGCCTTTCTAGAGCATTGCTCTCTTCTTCTCCTCCCTGCTCTGCCTCTAGGCTGACCTCTAAGGCCTTTGTAGCCAATGGGAAGCATCAGTGGGATTTGCAGGGTCGCAGGGAGTGCAGTCAACAGGTGTTTCCCACCCTTCTCTAGATTCTGATAACTACTCTCTTCCCTTGCCTGTTTTGGGTGCTAAGAGTAAATGACCCCAGCTAATCCAGATTATGTAAACTTTCTTGGTTTCCATTAAACCCACCTGACTCCTTATAAATAGTGCCTTTATTAAGCCCTCCTCAGTCTCTCCATCTGAGGTGCTCTTAGTTTCCTGCTGAGAGCCTGAGAGATGCAAGCCTTTCTCCCTGAGGTTCCTTCGGTTCCTACTTGCTTACCATGGCCAGGTACTGTGCTGTTACCATTCTTGTATCGTGTCAAAACCTAAGTGCTTTAGGTTCACCACTTTAGTCAAAGCAAGAATCTACTAAAATATCAGAATATGGGGAAAAGGCTCCCCTTTTCCTATTTTCCCAACATTTGGGTGAGCTGCTCTCGGTACGGTCTTCCTGTGGGCTTCTGCTTCCAGGAGCAGTGTAGTTGGGTCATGTCTCTTCTTCGTTTCTCAATTCCAGCATAAAAAACAACTCCCAACCTTCCTTTCTGCCTCGCCTTCCAAGACTCAAGTGCATTTCTGCCAGAAACCAAATTAGTAAAACACCTGCCTGTAGTAATGGCTTTCCCAGTTAATCTTACTGTTATTCATTGGTTCCTGTTGTGTCCCAGGTACTGTGCTTCTGAAAATAAACCACTGGCCTATGTTTTGTTATTGCACTATTTTATCCATCTGAATTAAGCTGCCACAGACTGTTCTATATTTCTGGCTTGTTATTTCAAGCCAGAATGATGTTCTAAAAAGTTGATGAATTATACTCAGAAGAAAATTAATCAGTAGATTAGAAGACAGGATAATTAGTTAATAAAATAAAGCAACAAAAGAGAGGAAAGGAAATTGATTTCAACTGGAGTTAGTCAAAGGGTAGCAAAAACACATTTTGAGCCTTGAGTATGTTCATTTTTGTCTGGTTAGAATTTTTAATGCTGTTTTTATAGTAATTGTTTTGTTGAGTTTTATTTTCTGGGAGTTAAATTGCAGATTGGATGATGTATTATGAATCAAGAAACTGAAAACTGAGTGTTGTTTAGACAGTTGATACTTATGAAGCTGATTTTTGTTGTTTTAAACTTGTCTGAAGCACACTTTTACGATTGAATAAGATACCTGTGGGGATTGATGGAAAATATTTGCAAAGTGTTTTGTCCTTAGAGCAAAGCCTTTTTATTGGTGGAGGCATTAGTTGTAATGCTCCTTAATGCAAGACTGGTGTGGACCCAGTGTCTTAATTTTGGCCTAAGAATTCATTATGCTAGACTCTCCGGTAGCATTGACACTAGGAATATTGGGTTTAATGAACTTTTAACAAACTAGGCAGCATCCAGAGATGAGAAAGTACCTCTTGGCCCTTTGAAAATTTCTCCAGGAATCCTGGGCAGCACTGAACTCAGTCATTCTTTACCACTCGAAACATTTCCAGCCTGTAATGGTATTTTTTAGTGCTTTACTTTGAGCTCCAAAGTACAGCGGCACACATATGGACTTTGAAATTAACAAACTTGGGTTCAAATGCTGGTTCTGCCTTTTACTAGCTGTGTGATCATAGGAGGTAATACTTAATTTCCCTGAGCCTTGATTTACTCATTTGCAGCATGGGGATCATGGTGCCTACATTGAAGGCTTGTTTTAAGAATTAGAGTCAATGACAGTCAAGTTCCTCATATGGTGCCTGGCACAGAGTCAATACTACATATATGACAGATGTTGTTGTGATTATCCTTATACTCTATTTCCCTACATTTTGTTTTGATGTTTAAATGCTGTATCTCTGAAGACAGCACATGCTGTAAGGATCAGAATCTAGGTACGCATTTGGGATAGAATGAATAATTGTTGAATTAAATCAGATGAGTCTCTTTCATTCTAATGTAATCTCCAACATCCCATCTAATATCAGCCGTTCAAAACAGTCTGTGAACTACTCCTTATGGACAAGTGGAGTCAGCCTGGGTGCAGGAGTCTTAGGTGTGCAGCCGTGTTTATGGATGAAGATCTGTCTGCAGGTGTCTAGGTAAGAGGAGATAGGACAGCCATGGGAAGGACAGGGTTGTCTTCCAGGAGTGAGGCTCATCCGGGTCAATCTTCTCCCACCTGCCTCTGAGCATGACTGCTTTAATCCATTTTGAACTGATTTTGTATGTGGTGAGAAGTAGGTGTCTACCTTTATTCTTCTGCATGTGGATATTCAGTTTCCCCAGCACCATTCATTGAAGAGACTATCCTTGCTCCATTGTGTGCTCTTGGCATCCCTCTTGAAAATCACTTGATCATAAAGGCATGGACTTATTTCTGGGCACTTTATTCTGTTCCATTGGTCTATGTGTCTGTTTTTATGCCAGCATCATGCTGGTTTGTTTACTATAGCTTTGTAATATATTTCAAAGCCAAGAAATGTGATGCTTCTGGCTTTGTTCTTTTTGCTGAGAATTTCTTTGGTTATTCTGGCTCTTTTTTTTGTTCCATATACATTTTTAGGATTTTTTTTCCTATTTCTGTGAAAAACACCATTGGAATTTTGATAGGGATTGCATTAGTTTGAAGATCACATTGAGTAGTATGGACATTTTAACAATATTAATTCTTCCAATCTATTAGCATGAGATAGCTTTCTTCTTTTTTTCCATGGGGTAACATAGTTAACATGGGACATCTTTCTATTTACTTGTGTCTTCTTCACTTTATTTCATAAATATTTTATAGCTTTCAGTGCATAGGTCTTTCACTTCCTTGGTTAAATTTATTCTTAAGTACAGTTGACTCTTGAACAACATGGGGGGTTGGGGTGCTGACCCCCGGTACAGTTGAAAACCCCTGTATAATATTTGAATCCCCCAATACTTAACTACTAATAGCCTACTGTTGACCAGAAGCCTTACTAATAACATAAACAGCATATATTCAGTATGTTAAATGTATTATTTACTGTATTCTTACAATAAAGTAGGCTAGAGAAAAGAAAATGTTAAGAAAATCATAAGAAAGAGAACGTATATTTACTGTTCATTAAATGGAAGTAGAGCATCAAAGGTCTTCATCCTTGTCATCTTCATGTTGAGTAGGCTGAGGAGGAGGATGATGAGGAGGAGAGGTTAGACTTGCTGTCTCAGAAGTGGCAGAGGCAGAAGAAAATCTACATATAAGTGGACTTGGACAGTTGAAACCTGTTTTGTTCAAGGATCAACTGTATTTATCTTTTTTGGTAACTATTATAAATGGGATTGTTTCATTGTTTTCTTTTTTAGATAGCTTGTTGTTAGTGTATATAGTGTATAAAGCTACTTTTTTTGTATGTTGATTTTGTATACTCCAACTTTGCTGAATTTATTAGTTCTAATAGTTTTTTAATGGTGTCTTTAATGTTTTTTGTATATAATATTATCTCATCTGAAAACAGGGATAATTTAACTTTTTTTCCTTCCAGTTTGGATGCCTTTAATTTTTTTCTCTTGTCTAATTTCTCTGACTAGGACTTCCAGTACTATGTTGAATATAAATGTTGAGAGTGGGCATGCTCATCTTGTTCCTGATTTTAGAGGAAAAGCTGTCAACTTTTCACCACTGAATGTAATAGCTATGGGCTTGTCATATATGGCCTTTATTGTATTGAGATACATTTATACCTAATTTATTGAGAGCTTCTAATCATGAAAAGATACTGAACTCTGTCAAATGCTTTTTCTGCATCTGTTGAGATGATCATATGGTTTTTGTCCTTTATTCTGTTAATGTGGTATATCACCTTTAGAGATTTACATATGTTGAACCCTCCTCGCACCCCTGGGATAAATCCCACTTGATCATGGTGAATTATCCCTTTAAAATGCTGTTGAGTTCAGTTTGCTAGTATTTTTTTGAGAATTTTGCATCTATGTTCACCAAAGATATTGGCCTGTACTTTTCTTTAGTGTCCTTTTCTTTTGGTTTTGGTATAAGGTAATGCTTGCCTCGTAAAATGAATTTAGAAGTATTCTCTCCTCTACAATTATTTTGGAAGAGTTTGAGAAGGATTGGTATTAGTTCTACCTCAAATGTTTGGTAGAATTCAGAAGTGAAGCCATCAGGTCCTGGGATTTTTTTTGATAGACTGCTTTTTATTACTGATTCAATCTCCTTACTCACTATTGGTTGGTTCAGATTTTCTAGTTCTTTATGATTCAGTCTTGGTTGGGTATACGTGTCTAGGAATTTATGCATTTCTTCTAGGTTATTCAATTTGGGGTGTATAATTGTTCATAGTAATCTCTTATAATCAAATTTCTGCAGTATCAATTGTAATGTCTTTCAGTCTGATTTTGAGTTGTCTCCCTTTTATTCGTAGTCTAGCTAAAGTTTTGTCAATTTTTTTATTTTTTCAAAAAGCCAATTCTTAGCTTCACTGATCTTTTCTATAGTTTTTCTAGTCTCAATTTCTTTTATTTCTGCTTTGATCTTTATTATTTCCTTCCTTCTACTAACTTTGTGCTTAGTTTTTTCTTCTTTTTCTGGTTCCTTGAGGTGTCATGTTAGGTTGTTTATTTGAGATCTTTCTTCTTTTTTTATGTAGGTGTTTATTACTATAAACTTCCCTCTTAGAACTGCTTTTGCTGCATCTAATAAGTTTTGGTATGTTGTGTGTCTATTTTTGTCTTAAGATATTCTAAAAATTTTTCTTTTAATTTCTTCTTTGACCCATTGGTTATTTGGGAACATGTTGTTTAATTTCCATGTGTATGTAAATTTTCCAAAATTCCTCTGTTATTGATTTCCAGTTCTATACCATTGTAGTTGGAAAAGATACTTGATATGGTTTCAGCCCTCTTAAATTTGTTCGGGCTTGTTTTGTGGCCCAGCATATGATCTAGCCTAGAGAACGTTCTATGTACACTTGAGAAGAATGTGCATTCTGCTATTAGATGAAGGGTTCTGTATATATTTGTTAGGTCAATTTGGCATTAAATATAATTTAAGTTTGATGTTTCCGTATTGATTTTATCTCTGGATGACTTCTTGTCCATTGAAAAGCCAAATATTTTTAACCCTTTGGTCTCTGTATTGCTCCTCTTTAGTCTCCTTTGATCTTGAACAGTTCCTCCGTCTTTCTTTGTCTTTTACAACTTTATTGCTTTGTTTCCTATTCTTTAGTTGTTGATGACCTTGTCTTCTTTCTCCAGTACACAGGGCCTAGCTTTCTAGCCTAAGAATTTGTATTACTATTTTAATGGAATACTATACAGCAAGGAAAATTAATAAACTAATATATGCATCAATATGATAAATCTCAAAAACATAACATTGAGCCCCTTTAAATTAGAAAGATAAACTAGAGAGTGATATATATTGATGTAAATATAAAAAGCAAAACGAAATAACATATTGCTTAGAAATACATAGGTGTTAACAGTTATGAGGAAAAGCATAGACATAAATAATATAAAATTTTGCATGGTAGACTCTAATTAGGGAGTGGAGGGAGGGAGGAGAGCAGAGAGAAGGGGAATTGAATTAGGATGGTGTACATAAGAGTATGATTGTTTTGTTTTATTAACCTGGGTTTTGGGTAAAGAGGAGTTCCTTTTATTATTAACTTTTGTCCACAGCAGGCTGCAGGGGGTTGAAAAATGAACTTGGAGACAGTGATCCTAAACCACTTTTTCAAGAGAAACAAATTAGCAACTTAGGGGCCCAAGGTCAAGGGAAGATTGTCTTATAATTAAGGGGTAATGTCTTAAGGCTGAAAAAAAGCCTTTGGAAACAGAACCCAAAGAAGATAAGAGTTGAAGAGAGAAACTTAGAAAATGGAATCTGGCATGCTGGAGAAGCCAGCCTTGGAACATAGTAGAGACATTTCTAGTGTGTGCAGGCACTGTCCTTGGTGCTACAGGGGATTCAAAGAAAACACAAACAAATCCCAGGCACAGAAATTCCTAATTTTAATGTGGTCAAATTTATCATTTTTTTCTATATAATTAACAGTTTTTGCATCTTATTTAAGAAATCTTTCCATTCCAAAGTCATATATTGATCTTTCTGCATTGTACTCTGTGTTTTATAGCTTTGCATTTATCACGTAAGTCTTTAATTGAGCCATAATTAATTTTTGTGCATGGTGTGGTGATCCAGTTTCATTTTTTCCATTCAAATTTATTTCCAGCAGCATTTATGAAAATAATCCATCCTTTCTCCACTGACTTGCATGGGTCTATTTCTAGTCTCCCTTCTGTTCCATTGGTCTGTGATCCAACCTGTTCCAGAAAAGATAAAGGTCATATACATTTGGTATTACATTGACTTTAGCTATTATATATTTACTATTACAAACTCATTAATTTCAGTCATTTATCTGTAGATGTGGATGAAAGTTGAATTTTATTGCATGCTTTTGTATACATTTAATACATCTACGAGACAACCATGTAGCTTTTCTTTTAGATTTTAATATGGCAAATTATATTATTTTGATTTTCTAATATTAAACCAACTATGCACCCTGGGATATATCGAATTTGGTCATTGTAAATTATCTTGCTTTCACATTGCTGGATTTGAATTGTTAATATTTCATGTAGAATTTTGGCATCTATTTTAGTAACTTTTTTTTTTTTTTTTTTTTTTTTTGAGACAGGGTCTCACTCTGTCACCCAGGCTGGAGTGCAGTGGTGGGCTCACTGCAGCCTTGACCTCTGGGGCTCAAGTTATCCTCCCACCTCAGCCTCCCAAGTAACTGAGACTACAGGCATATGCTACCACGCCCAGCTAAGTTTTGCATTTTTTGTAGATACGGGGTTTCACCGTGTTGCCCAGGCTGGTCTTGAACTCCTGAGCTCAAGCGATCTCTCTGCCTCAGTCTCCCAAAGTGCTGGGATTACAGGCATGCACCACCACCTCTGACCAATTTTGATAACAGTTTTTCTATATTTTACTGTGCTTTTCAGGTTGCTGTCTCATGGTATGCCAGTCTCCAAAAATGGGTTGTGAAGAATTCCCTCTTCTTTTTCGTGGAAGAGTTTGTGGAAGATTTAAATGATCTGTTTCTTGAAATGTAATAGAATTTGTCAAAGAATATTTTTGGGCCTGATCTTTTCTTCATGGAAAGTTTTGCTTAGTTTCTTTTTTAAAATATAGGTTTATAGGGAAACATCTAGAGTTTCTAGTTCTTGTTGGGTTAGTCTTGGTTAGTTTTATTTTATTTTAGAAATGTCTATTTCACCTCAATTTTATCTTTCTTCCTATTGATTTCTAACTTCATGATAACTTGATCACAAAATGAGGATTGTATGTCACCAAATCCTTTGACATTGGAGCATAGATTTGTGGTCCAGCCTCTGATCAATTTTCATGAATATTCCATGTGTGCTTGAAAAGAATGTTCATTTTCTGTTTATCATGTTTGATGTTCTTCCTTTTTTTTTTTTTTGAGACAGGGTCTCACTCTATCACCGAGGCTGGAGTGTGGTGGCATGATCATAGCTCACTGCAGCCTCAACCTCCTGGGCTCAAGTGAGCCTCCTACCTCAGCCTCCTGAGTAGCTGGAACTACTCAGTTCCAGCTACCAGTTGTGCACCACCATGCCTGGCTAATTTTAAAAAAATGTTTTTTGTAGGCCAGGTGTGGTGGCTCATACCTGTAATCCCAGCACTTTGGGAGGCTGAGGGGGGAAGATGATTTGAGGTCAGTAGTTTGAGACCAGGCTGGACAACATGATGAAACCCTGTCTCTCCTAAAAATACAAAAATTAACTGGGCATAGTGGCGGCACCTGTAATCTTAGCTACTCCACTGGCTGAGGCAGGAGAATTGCTTGAATCTGGGAAGTGGAGGTTGCAGTGAGCTGAGAACACACCATTGCACTCCAGCCTGGGCAACAAGAGTGAAACTCCATCTCAAAAATAAATAAATAAATAAATAAATAAATAAATAAATATATAAAAATAAATATTAAAAAATATTTTTTGTAGATACAGAGTTTTGCTATGTTGCCCAGGCTTGTCTCAAACTCCTGGGCTCGAGGGATCCACCCACCTAAGCCTTCTAAAGTGCTAGGATTATAGGCATGAGCCACTGTGCCCAGCCTCATGTTTGATGTGCTTTACAGGTCCAAGAGATCAAGCTTGTTAATTATTCTCTTCAAATCTTCTATGATTCTTTCTTTTTTGTTTTGATCAGCTTGATTTGTAAATTACTTAGGAGTATTTTCTTTTTTTATTCTACTGATAGGTTTGTCAATTTTTCACGTTTTTCAGGCAATGTTTTGTGTTATGAGGGTATGTTGTTAGAAGCATACAGGTATAGAATTGCTTTATCTTCTTGATAAATTGGATCTTTTGTTATTAGGTAGTTGTATTAGTCTGTTTTCACGCTGCTATAAAGACATACCTCAGACTGGGTAATTTATAAAGAAAAGAGGGCTGGATGTGGTGGCTCACACCTGTAATCCCAGCACTGTGGGAGGACTGCTTGAGGCCAGGAGTTCAAGACCAGCCTGGCCAATGTCGTGAAACCCTGTCTCTACAAAAAAATATGAAAATTAGCCAGGCGTGGTAGTGTGCACCTATAATCCCAGCTACTTGGGAGGCTGAGGCAGGAGAATCAAACCTGAGAGATGGAGATTGCAGTGAGCTGAGATCGTGCCATTGTACTGCAGCCTGGGTGACAGAGTGAGACTCTATCTAAAAAATAAAAAAAAATAAAAATTATAAAGAAAAGAGGCTTAATTGACTCACAGTTCTGTGGGCTGTACAGGCTTCTGCTTCTGGGGAGGCCTCAGGAAACTTAGAGTCATGGCAGAAGGTGAAGGGAAGCAAGCACGTCTTTCATGGTGGGAGCAGGAGAAAGAGAGAGACGAGAGGTGCCACACACTTTTAAAGAAGCAGATCTTGTGAGAACTCTATCATGACAACAGCAAGGGGGAAGTCCACCCCCATGATCCAATCACCTCCCACCAGGCCCCACACCCAACATTGGGGATTACAATTCGACATGAGAATCGGGCAGAGACAAAAATCCAAACCATATCAGTAGTGATCCTCTTTAGCAATGTTTTTGGCTTTAAAGTGTATATTGTATTATGTTATTATGGATATATACCAGCTTTCTTCTGGTATGCTGAATATTCTCTATTTGCACCTCCCGGCTCCCTCTCTACTCCTTCCCTTTCTCCTGGTCAAGAGGTCGACAGCTGTGGACAGTGTAATCTTGGCTCCTTCATCCCTTGGCTTCTGTTTGGGGTTGGCCAATGAGGACCCCAGCAGGAGTAGAGAACAAGGAGACAAGGGAAGTTGGGGTATTTATTCCTCTGGGTCCCTTCCTGCAGTTCTGTGAGTTAGCAGTGGCTCTGCTATAGCTTCAAGCAATTTCCTGTTTCCAGTAATTGCTCCTTTCCTGTGCTCTTTTAGGCCCAGAGATAGTAACCCAGAGGTGACAGCTGCCTACTCTTGTTGGTCTCTTGGTACTTCATCATTCCCTACTGGAACCCTTACCCCTACACACATTGGTCTTCAATTATTCTTTTGGGTATACTTTGTGTTTTCTTCTGGGACCCTGATTCGAATTCCATTCCTTTACTTTCACCTTCTGTGTCCTTATGTTTTAGGTGTGTTTGTTTTTAATGACATATTGCTGAATGTTTGTAAAATCCAATTTGATAATCTTTATTTTTCAGTGAAAGACTTTAGCTACACTTTTTTATTGTGAATATATATATATATAAATATATATAAACAAAAGTGGAACAAATTATATGTGTGTATATATAAATAATATATATATTCCACTTTTCCTCATTCCATTCCACCCACCCCTCTGCTTGGAAGTCCTGTGTTTTATGTCTATTATTTTAGTTGTTACCATTTGTATTTTATTTCAGTTTTTTTTTTTTTTTGGTTTTAAGGAGTGGAGAGTTTATCAGGCAAGAAAGAAGGAAGGAAGAAGAAAACAGCTCCCCTGCACAGAGACAGAGGGAGGGGGAGAATCAAACAAAGAGAAACCCCCTATTTCATTTTTTTAATCCGCAGAGATGGAGCACACTATTTATATTTTAACAAGTCTATTTAACAAAGTCTAAAGTTTATAACTATTTTGCCTTCCTTCCTAATAATACATTTATGATAGAACATTATAATTCTGATCATCCTCTCTCATGTTACTACTCTTTTTTTTTTTGTATTTTGGTTTTATCCCATCTCTCTCCCATATTATACATATTATTGTTTTATAAGTCAATGTTTGTTTATATTTCCTTATATATTTTCTAATATCTTTGTTCACTACCTTTATTGAATCTCAGATCTTGCATCAGGGCCCATTTTTCCTTAAGCTTGAGTCCTTTAGGGTTTTCTTTCATTAAAGATCTATTGATGGTAAACTCATTCAGTTTTTGTTTGTTTAAAACTGACTTTAATTCTTCCTTGTTCTTTTCTTCTCCTTTGAGACAGATTCTTGCTCCATCATCCAGGAGGGCAGAGTGCAGTGGCATGATCTCGGCTCACTGCATCCTCTTCCTTCCTGGTTCAAGTGATTCTCATGCCTCAGCCTCCTGAGTAGCTAGCAGGGACTACAGGCACGTGCCATCATGCCTGAGTAATTGTTGTATTTTTGGTAGAGACAGGGTTTTGCCATGTTGCCAGGCTTATCTCGAACTCCTGGTCTCATGTGATCTCCCCGCCTCAGCCTCCCAAAGTGCTAGGATTACAGGTGTGAGCCACTGCATCCGGCCCCTTTCTTGTTCTTTTCTTTAGGCAAGAAAATCTAAGATGACAGTTATTTTCTTTCTGTGTACAATAATGATATTTTTCACTGTGTATTGACTTTCATTTTTGCTTTCGTCAATTCAACTATAATTGCCTTTTCTTTGTAGGAAATCTTTTTTCTTTCTTTTTATAACCTTTTCTTTGTATTGTGCCTTCTGAGGCTTCATTGATTTGTTTCAGTGACAATTTCTTTCTTTCTTTTTTTTTTTTTTGAGTCAGAGTTTCACTCTTGTTGTCCAGGCTGGAGTGCAATGGCATGATCTCGTGTCACCACAACCTCCACCTCCTGGGTTCAAGCAATTCTCTTGCCTCAGCCTCCCAAGTAGCTGGGATTACAGGCATGTACCACCATGCCTGGCTAATTTTGTATTTTTGGTAGAGATGGGGTTTCTCCATGGTGCTCAGGCTGGTCTCGAACTCCCGACCTCAGGTGATCCGCCCACCTGGGCCTCCCAAAATTTTGGGATTACAGATGTGAGCCACTGCGCCTGTCCTTCAGTGAGAATTTCTAAGAAACAACATGACCTTGATGTAAGGGTTGCTATGTTTTGACAGTTCTGGAAAATTCTCAGCCATATTTTCCTTAAGTAGTACTTCCTCCCCCTTCTATTAATTCTTCCTGGAGCTCTAACTGGACACATGGGGGACCCTCTAGACTATCCTCTAAGCTTTCAAACCACTATTTTATGTTTCTGTCTCTTTGTCTCTCTCAGATGCATTCTGGTTCGTATTTTCAAAGTTGTCTTATTTTCTCCATTCTGGTTCATATTTTCAAAATTGACTTATTTCCTTAACCACATAAAATATTGTTATTTTTTAAAAGTATCGTATAGTTCCAATATTGGCAGTCTTTATGGGGATGACTATATATTCTATTGTTTTTCCTGGCTCTCATTTGCAATACAGTGTTTCTGTGTGTGGCGTTTTATACTGTGAGCTGTTCATTTTCCTTGGAAATTTACGAGAATTTTTTGAAGCCTGGGATGATGATGTTACTCCAGTGAGGATTTGTGTTTGCTTCTTCCATTTGCCTTGGCATACTGCTAACCCAGGAGTAACTTTAAATTAACTTCTATACTTGAGGGATGTGTGTGTGTGGTGTTGTGTTTACCACATAGTTAGTATGAATTTGGACCACAAGCCTATGTGAGAGCTAGTCTGTGATAGTGAATTATAAAAACAAAAACAATTTCCCTTCATGCAGTGTCAAGGATGAAACAGGCAAATTTACTTTATTACCTCTGTTTGTTTCTCATTCATCCTTATAGAGAAGGGTATAATTAGATTCCTCAACTTTGGTGGTCCTAGAGTTTTCTTCTCTCATCCACATTCCTATAACTTTGAATACCAATGCTTCCTTTCCATTTAGGGCACTGCCTCATTTCAAATATTTATTGCCCTTTTATAATACTACTATAACAGCGACTTTATTTGTTTCTTGGTCTCCAATCCATTCCCCCTCAACCCCATTTTTACATTACCATCCTGGTGATCTTTCTAAAATACAAAATAGATAATATGATCATCAAATGGACAGAAAGGAGACATTTGGCATGCAAGGAACTTCACAAACTGGAGATTGGAGCTTCATTCACAGTAAAATCTCCAGCCACTTCCTCTACCCCCTGTATTCTATACTTAAGCTGTCCTAGATTATTCATTATTTTTGGAACATTTCATGCACATTAGCATGTTTTTGCCTTTGCACATGCTGTGATCCCATCTAGGACACCACTGAACCTCATGATTTGAACTAGGATGAGGCAGGTAAGGTGTCTAGGGTGCAGAATTTAAGGAGGCACTCATGCTCAGGTTAATGCAAATTAGGTATTGCTTCTGCCTAAAGAGGTGCCTAATGCAATGGTCAAAGCCAAGCTTATAGGTTACCTGTTTATCTTCTTAAAACAGGGGTGTAAATTGTGTTAAATACCATATCTCATGAGGACAGGAACTATGCTCGTTTACTACTGTATCTTGATTGTCTAGAATAGTATATAGCAGATGCTCAATAAACATTTGGTGAATGAATGAATGACTGAGTGAGTAGATTCTGAGTTTCTTGATGGCAGAGAATGTCGTATTCTTCTGTTCCCTGTCTTCTTATAATTCACTTATATTAGACTCCTAAAAGATGTTTGTTATTTGAATAAATGGAAGGAGGGCCTGCGTAGCCCTATTTAGGCACTTGGAAGAGTCTGGGTGAATGGTGGACCTTCCCCTAGTACCCACACATTGCTTGCTGACAGCCCCTTCCTCCTGAGGTTTTCTAGCAGGGCATAGGTGCAGTTGGGCTAAGACTACCAAAGCTGGCCAGCCATAAATCACCTGAAAGCATCTAATATACATGAATTCTTTAGCCCCTCTCCCAGAGAGTCTGATTCCATTTTCCTGAGACAAAATCCAGGAATCTGCATTTGTATAAATTCTCTGAGTGGTTCCAGTAATCAGTAAAGTTTGGGGACCAAGACACTAGGGCACTAACAATCTAATTTTATTTTTCTAGATATTCATACAGCTATTTTAAAGTGATTGCTGTAATGATTTCAGGATCCTGAATGTTTTTAAAAATACTTACACATCTGCAAATGTTTCTTAAATATGCCACAAGACATCCGGAAAGTATGGATTAGAAGGAGAAGACACAACCACAAATATCATATTTGTGAGGTTCAAATCTGATCTGTTTCTTTTCTGTCTTCTATAAGCTTCAAGTGCCATCCCAGAGGAAACTGTCCTAAATAGATGGACTGGAGAGTGTTGACCAGTGAAGAAAGCAGACAGGAGGAGAAAAATAGAACTTAAAATAATTCTAGTCTCTACGGAACATAACTTCCTCATTGGAGAATGAATTCTATAAATAATTGAGATAGCTGATGGAACAAATAGCTGAAAGAAAAACATACGCACTTAGCGTGAGCCTCAAGCTGCTCCTCAATCCTTCGGTGACGTTTAGATCTGAGAAGCATGTCTTAGGCATTTTGAAATAATGGATGTCATGGAGGCGTTCTGTTCAGACATTAAAAATAATCCACTCCCTTAGAAATAAACATTTAACCTAAGCCATGAGGAATTCTCAGTGAGAGACAGAAATAGCTTCTGTAGTCCCCATTGCTCTTTAATTTCTATTTCTGCCATTTCATTCTTCATCATTTCTATGCAGTTCACTTTGTCTGTTTATTTAAAATGTGATTCCAGACGACAGGCAACAGTCCCAGTGTTCTCAGTCTTGCACAGCCCTTTCCGCCTTGAGAAACAGAAATTATATAACTTGTTTTCAATTGTGCAGACTGGGGAGGATTCACATGTTCAGTTTGGTGAGCTTCCAGGAAATAATTTTAAAGTGTTTATCTGAAGTTTATCCAGACTTTCTTGATCTAGAAGTTAGACAGGAAACCTAGCAGAGAATGGAAAGAAACTAGGCTCTGAAGAGCGGTCACTATAAGTGTAGACTGATTCAGCCAGGACAGTGCTGAGCTGGGATGCCCCCCAGTATTCACACGTTGGAACGTGAAAGGCCTGATTCTAGGACTTATGCGATTTGGAAACTATGTTCATATTAGTGTATGCTACCATTTACTATTGTTCATTGCTCTGGTTACTACGGCTGTGTAACAAACTACCCAACATGTCATAGTATAAACCATTTTATTTTGCTCATGATTTTGTGGGCCAGTCCTCTAGAAGGGGCTTTGCTGAGTGGTTCTTGTTGGGGTTGCAGTCTGATGTTAAGTATCTGAAGGCTTTCTTGGGCTGGATGTAAAGCTGGCTTACTCATGTGGCCAGCTGGCAATTTACGTTGCCTGTCCACTGGGAGCTCCATGGGGGTTGTTGCCTGGAGCACCTGCAGGCGGTCGCTCCATCACGGTTATGTTAGGTTAGTCAGGCTGCTGGTGTGGGAGTTGACTCCTCCCAGAGCAGGGGTTCCAAGAGACCAGGCAGCTCTGAAAGGCTTTTTTTTTGCCCCAGCCTTGGAGATCACTCCTATCATACTCTACTGCTTAAAGCAGTCATAAGCCCACCCAAAGTCAATAGGAGAAGGGATATATTTCACTTCTAATGGGAGTAGTGTGAGGGATTTATGGCCATTAAAAAAAACAACCATCACACTCACATAATACCAAACATTAAATAAAACATGTATGTTACTTAATCTTCACAAAAACCCTATAAATAGGTATCATTTTATTCAAGTTTTCCAGATGAGGAAATCTAGATTCATGGAGGTTAAGTAATTTTTCCTAAGTCACACAGGTAAAAAGTGGTTGAGATGGTAGGTGAACATACAGCTGTCTCCAAATGTCTACTCTCTCTGTTAAGCTGTATGATGTTTTAAAGAGTCAAACTTTGTCTCAAATCTTAGTCATTGCAGCTGTTCTAGGCAATTGGAAAATTCCACCCCATATAGAATGTAGGCACATGAAATGCCAATTGGAGCCTCTTGTCAGTCCCTTCAAAATGAGGAACATTCGTTCATTGGAGGTTGTGGCAAAATTAGAATTAGAATCTCGTGTGTTACTGAGGGGGTCACAATGCTGAGGCTGAACAAATGAGAAACAGATGGTTGGAGGAGAGTCCTATAGCAAAGGTATATACTGTTCGTTGGCCAGGCGAGTGTGAGCCAAGTGCCCATGTGGACAGATGGAGACACACAGAGTGTTTTTGGGCCTATGTAGCTGAGAGCAGAAGCCGTCCTCCAGGACCCAGAGACAGGGAGGGAGGAGAGTAGAGCAGAGCTGAATCCTCAGATGAGAGCAGTGGGCAGAAGCCAGGGGAGGGCCTCATAGAGCTCTAGTTTAAGCACAAAGAGTTGAGGGCAAAGAGGGGGAAGACATTCCCTTTTTCTTGCTTTACCCCTTCCTCTCTTCTCTCCACGGACATTTATGAAATGTTTCTAGAAAGGGTCATAGGTCCTGGAGATAGAGTGGTGGACTAGCTGGATACCCCTGCCCTCTGGGAGCTTACAGTCTAGATGGGGAGGGGAGTCATTAATAATTACACACTAAGGATCTAGTTACCATTATGATAAGCAGTGGCAGAGACTTCTAATTGCCCCCATCCCCGTTTACCCTCTTCTTTTCAGTAACACGGGGCATCCTGGAGCAGGAGCAGGGCAGGCAGTTGGAGAGGGCAGTGTAGTTCCCAGCCTCCCTTACAGCTAGGAGTGGCCACGCCAATCAGCTCAGGCTCATAGAAGTGATGGGCACCACATCCAGGTCCCAGCCTTACAATGAAAACTGGCTCCCCTCTATGTTTTTTCTTCTCCTTTCTCACTGGCAGGTAAATGGTAACAATTTAAGCAGACAACTGACATAGAGATGTGACAAGGCTATGTTGGGTGTGGCCTTGCCAACCTTGGCCCCACCCCACTGTTGTTATTATGACAGATTAGCTTTTACCCTAGACGAATACGACAGTATCCCTGTGAAAAAGTACAGTGTGCCATCAGGACATATGACTAGGGAGGTTACCTGATCAAGGGCTGTTTAGAGTGACTAGATTCTGTCCTGTGTAACTGAGAGCAATACAAAGAGTTGGCAAAACATAGATTATAATTGTTTCTTTTACTACTTGCTTTCAAAATGTCTTCTGGCTAAAGCCCTTTTATTGCAGACAAAAAAGGACTAAATTAGAATTTCCAGATAAAATATAGGATGCCCAGTTAAATTTGAATTTCAGACAAACAACAAATCGTTTTTTTTTTTAGAATAAATGTTCCACGTAATACTTGGGACATAGTTACATTAAAATGTTTTCATTGTTTATCTGAGTTCAGATTTAGCAAGGTATCCTGTATTTTTATTTGCTAAGTCTGGCAACTGCAGCCCGCTAAACTCTTTCTTCTTAAGATTTATTTATCTTTATATTGGCAATGCCTGGCATATAGTAGAAACTCCATAAAAATTAAGCCTCTGAGATAACAATGGTAAATCACTGAAAGATCATCTGAAATGTAAAGCCAATAAAGGCTGAGGGTTGTGCATTCTTTCAATGGTTTTAATTTGCCGTGATTAAAGATACTTCGAGTTTCTGTTTTTCTACAGATCATCTCAGATTATCTGTCGATTCAGATAATCTTAAAAAATTCCAATAATGCTCATATCTTCCAATATCACCTGGGGACTAAAGGATTCTACATTTATTCTACAGATAATGGACACTTAATTGTTTTATTTTATCCTTTAAATTTGTATTTTTTGCCATGAACACTCTACCACTGGAGAAGCTTAATCCTTTTAATGCTTCCAATTTAAAAGTTGTATACATTTTTTTAAAAATGGAAATCTTTAAAAAATATGACCCTTAATTTTCTGCTTCTTAAGCAGCATCAGACAAATTGGTAGACTTTATTTTTTATTATTTATTTTTAGAGACAGGGTCCCACTCTGTCACCCATCTGGAGTGCAGTGGTGCAATCATAGCTCACTACAGCCTTGAACTCTTCTGCCCTTTTGCCTCAGCCTCCCTAACTGTTGAAATTACAGGTGTGTGAGCCCAGCCAAGTTGGCTGACTTTAGATCAAAATTTATGATCTTTCTCCTTGCCTAATCTCCTGCCATAATCTTTGGTGATTTTGATGTTCCTCCTGGTGGCTCTTCTTAACACCTGAAGCCCCAGCTCTATGTCTCCTGTCCCTATGCCCTCCATGGCATCAATCTCATCATCACTTGAAATGGAACCACTCCCAGGATCTAAAACTTGGAATTGTCCTCTTAACCATGGCCTATTTTCCCCTTCTGTCATGTCCTCACTTCTGCTGGCTATTCTTTGCATTCACATTGTAACTTCTTGACTTTTGGCCCTTTCCTGTGTACTAGCTCATTACCTTTCCTGCCACTGTGCCAAGTCAGCCATTCATTGATGACACAGTGCCCAGGCCTGGCTATCTCACTTGTGACTTTGCTGGAGAAAGGCATGAGACTAGAGAGTGGTTACACCACACAGGCTTGCTTTTGATGCTTAGGGAGAATTTACTGGTGTCTAGTGGTCTTTCATAAGCACTTGATGCCATATTGATTTATTCTCAGTGAATTTTCCAAACCTTTTCTAATTTCTGTAACCATCAATCAAAACTTTGTCCTGACCCTCCTTTGTCTACCTTCTCCCTCCAATACCTATTACTCCCCGGCATCAGCTACTACTTCTAAGCAGATGACCCTTATATTTCTGTCACTGGTTTCAACCTCTCTGCCAAGATGCAAATTCATTTCTGCCATCTTTCTATTTTTATTCCTCAAATCAGCTACTTCTCTTTACTTCCCAATTTCTGTTAATGGAGGTGTTTAATGGGCATCACTTTCAGGGTGTAAACCAAGAGTTATTTTTATAACTTATTGTTTCTTTTAACTTCTGAACAAGTAAGTGGTCCATCTTCTGCCAGGGGGTAGAGGAGGCTGATAACTCCTCTACTCATTCTCAGATAATAGAAAGCTTGTCACAAGACACAGTCTTGTTACAGAAATTAGAATGTCCAGTCTAAGACCTTAACATATCAGTTTTCATTAAGCACTTCTTTGTCCGACGAGGGCTAGCTGTAGGGGCCAGGGGAGCATTCCTTTGGGGGTAAGGGTATGATCAGCTTCTACTTTTCTCTCACCGCCTCCTAGACTCCCCAGCTGCAGCTCCTGAATCCACCAACACTGAAGAGACTAGAAATACGTAAGGAAAGGTACATTTTCACTTAATAGACATTACCATGAGATGGCTTCATGCTTTCTGGGCTGGGCGGATGTTTACATTTGGCTCTTTTTTTTGTGGGCACTGCTGTGGGCTCTTTGCAAATCCCATTCTGGCACCTCTATGACCCCTAGGAGGTGAATGATGCCTCTCCATCAATGGCAGCTGCTGATACCCAAGGATATTCTGACACCAAGGTATTAATACATTCTCCAGGCTATTATTGCTGGGCTCCCCTGGCCTGGAAGGCCATTCTCTAGGGCAAAATCCCTTTTATAATAGCCCCAGGCTCATGTTCCTGCTGCAGGTTCCACATCTGATCCCCAGGATCCCATGTCTTTGATATGAGGAAAGTTTAATTACTACCCAGCTATGGCTCTTTAGTCTGTAGCCAAAGAATGCTCTAGTTTTCTCAGGCAGACTCTGAACCATGTCAAAGTGTCTGAGCAGTGCCTACAAAGGCCCTGTTACTGGGTTAGGCTGAAGGGAAAGTTTCTCTTATACCTTCCCTTAGATGGCTGGCTACTACTCACAGCAAGGCTTCTTCGAAATACATTCTCACAAATTTTTCTCAGATTTCAACTCTCTTGAGTCTTTTATGTCCTTGAACTGAATGAGGATCCCCAAGAGGTGTATAACTGATTCTCCAGCATTTCACTTGAAAATTTGCATTTCCTATCAGCTAAATTAATTTGTGTTTGTATTTAGCTGGTCTGTCTCACACATCTCTGTTGGTATCTAGTTTCTCTCATATCTTGGGGCCTCAATCAAAACTTCTAATTTAACATCTGGTTTCACATGCCTTCCTCTGCCATGCTGGTTTGAACTCTGACTCATCTTTGAGTCATCCTTCTTTCTTAACTCCTACATCCAGTTAGTTAATAAATTCTACTGATTTTTATGTTTCAAACCCTCCTTTTCTCTCTCACTGCCAGCACTCTGCTTCAGACTTTCATTATCCCTTGTACATTGGCTTAGTGGCAAGGTGATGGTATGACTAGGTGAGTAAGTGTTTGTGCTCTGGATCCAGTTTGGCTGGGTTTGAATCCAGCTACACCACGTGTGTGTGTGTGTGTGTGTGTGTGTGTGTGTGTGTGTGAGGGAGATAGAGAGAGAGAGAGACGGAGTTTTGCCCTTGTTGCCCAGGCTGGAGTGCAACGGCGCAATCTCAGCTAACTGCAACCTCTGCCTCCCAGGTTCAAGTGATTCTCCTGCCTCAGCCTCCCAAGTAGCTGAGATTACAGGCATGTGCCACCATACTTGGCTAATTTTGTATTTTTAGTAGAGATGGGATTTCTCCATGGTGGTCAGGCTGGTCTCAAACTCCTGACCTCAGGTGATCCACCCACCTCAGCCTCCCAAACTGTTGGGATTACAGGTGTGAGCCACCGCACCTGGCCTAAACCACTTATTAGCTTTGCAATCTTGGCTAAAGTTATTGAATTTCTCTAAGCTTCAGTTTTGTCTGCAAAATGAGGATAATAATTTTTTCATAGGAATGTGTAAGAGTTGCATGTAGTAATAAAAGTAGAATCCCTTGAACATCACAAAATAATGTTGGAAATATGATCCCTATCATAATTATTTTTGAATTGTTTTCTCCATGTTTAGTCTTATTCCTTCAATCCAATGCAGACACTACTATCTGTGGTGGAATGTTTGCAAAATCGCCAGTGAAATTCCACTCCCTGTCCCTAAGGCTTTGTAGTTCTCTCCCACACTGATTCTGTTCTTGGCTATTTAATTTGCTATGGCCAATGAGACAATAGCAAATGTGCCACAGGCAGAGGCTTGAGATGGATTTCCACATAGGAGCTTGCCTTCTTTCACTGCTGGGACTCCTGGTACCATGGGAAAAACCTGGCTGATCTATTGGAGGCACATAGTTCATTGGACATTCACCACCATCTGACTGCCAGCACCAACTGCTGTATATGCCAGCTAAGCCTATCTAGACTAGTCAGCATCTGCAATCAAATGCAGCTGTATAAGCCTAGGCAAGAGCAGTAGAATTGCCCAACTGAGTGTTGTCCAAATTGCCAACTCACTGAATTTAGAGTTAATAAATTATTCTTGTTTTTTTTTTTTTTTTTTTTTTTTTTGAGACGGAGTCTCGCTCTGTGGCCCAGGCTGGAGTGCAGTGGCGCAATCTCGGCTCACTGCAAGCTCCGCCTCCCGGGTTCACGCCATTCTCCTGCCTCAGCCTCCCGAGTAGCTGGGACTACAGGCGCCCGCCATCACGCCCGGCTAATTTTTTTGTATTTTTAGTAGAGACGGGGTTTCACCGTGTTAGCCAGGATGGTCTCGATCTCCTGACCTCGTGATATTCTTGTTTTAAGTCACTGTCTTTTGGAGCAGTTTGTTATATAGCAATGGCTAACTGATACACTACTGCATTAATTATATTAAAGAACAGCTCTAATCACATTGTCCTCCTGCTCAGGTGACCATCCTCATTTGCATGGAATAGTCTTGGTTTACATCTGCTGTCCTAGATGGTAATTGATAATGCCATCTTTGACCCTCAACATTGCTAGTTTGGAGGGCAAAATCAGTGGTCACCCTGCTTCTGCTCAAAATCATTATTATTTCCTGTTGTTTTAAATAAACTCTTTGGCTTAGTGTTCAAGAACTTCCATGAGCTGGTTTAAACATATCTTTCAAAAAGAGTCTTCCCCTGCCCCATTCCAAGCTTCAGACAAACTGGGCTGTGGCTGAATCTCCAAAATACAACCTTCACTTTCTGCTCCTGCATCTAGTCTCTTCCTTATGTTTCTTCCTATGTTGTTGTTTTCATCCATCTTAAACTCCTACTCCATCTTCGAAGCTCCTGGCCAAACACTGTTTCCATTATATCTGTCCGTTTCCCTCAACTGGATGTTGGGCAGCTGATGGAACCTCATCCCTAGTTCCCTCTCCCAAGCCATCTACAGTGGCGGTGACAATGAACCTCATCTTATAATACCTTCAGCAGTATATCCTATCCTTAGGTAGTTTTAATCACCTTAAGTAGAACAACAGCAGCCATAGACAATATGTAATTTGCCAGATTCTTGAGGACAGGGATTGCATCTTGCCCATTTTGTAATTTCCTATAGTGCCTGGTGTAGTGCCGTGAGTCTAGGAGGTGATCCACAAGTGTTTATCGAGTTGTTTGAAGGCTTAAAGACTGAGGCAAATGCCAATTGCCATGTTCTTTATACACTGTCTTTGACTGGGTTCCTTGGAAACAGACACTGAAGTGGGTAGTTGCTTGCAGAATGATTGCTTTTGGGAGATACACCTGAAAGGAAGTGAGGATGACAGGATTGAGCAGAGGGAGAAGCTGATACAAACATGGTTGTAACCAGGGCTTCAGTCAGTCCTTTGGGAGCTCTGGAGCAGGCTTGGCCCTTCAGAGTTGTTTGCCATTGAGGCAAGGGGGTTTCCAAAGCCCACTTATTTGACAGTTCAATCACAGGGACTCCTTTTCAAGCTTTTAAGTCTTCTTCCTCAATATCAGACCAACAGTGGCCACTGCCTATTAAGGTCAGCATGCCCAGTTTAAGGATCTCTTTCCCCTACCACCTGTTTTTGCTTCCAATCTACTGTGTGAAAAATATGATTTCTTATTTTCTTAAAATTTAGACTAAATTTTTAATTTAAACTTTTTATGTAAAGGCCAAATAGTAAATCTTTAAGGCTCTGCAGGCCATGCAGTTTCTCTCTTGACTACCCAACTTTGCTGTTGTAGTGGAACAGCAATCACAGACAATATGGAAACAAATGAGCAACTGTGTTTCAATAAAACCTTATTTACAAAAGCAGGTTGCAGGCTGGGTTTGTCTACAGGCCCTTGTTTGCTGATCCCTGGTCTAAATTAAGACTAAATTCATTCAAAGTAGAAATTTAAAGAATTTTCTCATAAAGGGCTGTGGGTTAAAACATGGAGTTTGGGATTAAATTTTTGATTTTGCAGAGGGGTTGAGGGTCTACCTTCTGTGGTTCTGTCTTTGTTTTGAATAGTTAAGATTCCTGATTAAGTCACTTACCTCTAAGGAAGAAACATAATTCTCTAATTATGTTTGATATTTTGTGTTTCTGCTTTCTTTGATAAGAATGTTTCATAAAAAAGTTTTTTCCCCCAACAACAGTTATTTAAAATTATCCACAGGGTAACGTTAGAGTATATTTGCAACCTGAATGTGAGAAAAAATGATTGTAATAATTTGTATTCAAGGTTGGCTCTCACTTTCCATTTTTTATCCTTTTATGACAACTCCAATTTCTTTATTTGTAAAAATAAGCTTCATAGTTGGAATAATTCTTAGGGAAAGAAAATCAATTGATTAAATAATTCCATGTCTTAAATCGGGTTACTGAAATGAAAGTTGTACCTGCTGTAATGGGAAAAAATGGTCATTTCCCAGTGGGCTTCAGTGATGTGTTGGAAGGAAGAGTGTGGAGTGTAAGCAAGCAAATGATCATGGTTGATTGTAGGTAAACAGAATCCTCATGGAAAAGTACATTCACGATTCTTTCCATTATGTGAAAAATAATACTAGTTAAAAAAAATCAATAGCTTATACTATGTATGTGGCCACCCTGAAAGGTCACATAAGCAGAATTTTGATATCCTTGGCATTACTTTCCAAGGTGACTTTGCATTTCACAGGTTTGAAACATTCTAAGACTTCACTTCTGCACAGCTTGGAAAAATAATTTCCAGGTCTTTTTTGAGTTGTGCATCTTATCAAGTGATTGTGCTATCCCCAACCATCTCCCTTCTTCTATTATGTTGTGAAATTTAAAATGAGTTAAAACATTTGTTAAGAAGACTCTGGTGTGTCACTGGACCAATGTATTTTTTAAATTTATTATTCTTTTTTATTATACTTTAAGTTTTAGTGTACATGAGCACAATGTGCGGGTTTTTTACATATGTATACATGTGCCATGTTGGTGTGCTGCACCCATTAACTCTTCATTTAACATTAGGTATAAGGACCAAGATTTTGTGGTTTACCTCTTGGTATGCTACAGGAAGTAATCCTTTTGTGTTTCTCAAAAGAGGTTACCTAGAGCAGCGATTCTGAAGCTTTTGGGTCTCAAGAACTCTTTGTAATCTTAAAAATTGTTGAGAATTCCAAATAATTTTTGTTTATGTGAGTTGTAGCTATTAATATATGCCATACTTGAAATCAACATTGAGAAAAATAGACAATATTTCTGCAATTAATTAATGAAAAAATAACATTAATACACCCATTATATATTAGCATAATTTTTTCTGAAAAATAATTATAGCATGAAGGGCTATTGAATTTTGTCCAAGCCCTTTTCTGCATCTTTTTCAAAACAAAAACAATGTAGTGAGGAGGATGGCATTGTTTTACATTCTTGCAAATCTGTTCATTGTCTTAATAGGACACAGCTGGTTTCTCATAGCTGCTTCTTGCATTCAGTTTGTTGTGATATTGCATGTCATATATTCTGGAAAACTCCACTTACATTCTTTTATTTATTTATTTATTTATTTATTTATTTTTTTTTTACTTGTACTTTTTTCTCACTCTCTTCTTTTTTTTATGATACTTTAAGTTCTAGGGTACATGTGCACAACATGCATGTTTGTTACATATGTATACATGTGCCATATATTGGCACATACATTGGTGTGCTGCACCCATTAACTCGTTATTTACATTAGGTATATCTCCTAATGCTATCCCTCTCCCCTCCCCCTACCCCACGACAGGCCCTGGTGTATGATGTTCCCCACCCTGTGTCTAAGTGTTCTCATTGTTCAATTCCCACCTATGAGTGAGAACATGCAGTGTTTGGTTTTCTGTCCTTGCAATAGTTTGCTGAGAATGATGTTTTCCAGCTTCATCCATGTACCTACAAAGGACATGAACTCATCCTTTTTATGGCTGCATAGTATTCCATGGTGTATATGTGCCACATTTTCTTAATCCAGTCTATCATGATGGACATTTGGGTTGGTTCCAAGTCTTTGCTATTGTGAATAGTGCCACAATAAACATACGTGTGCATGTGTCTTTATAGCAGCATGATTTATAATCCTTTGGGTATATACCCAGTAATGGGATGGCTGGGTCAAATGGTATTTCCAGTTCTAGATCCTTGAGGAATCATCACACTGTCTTCCACAATGGTTGAACTAGTTTACAGTCCCATCAACAGTGTAAAAATGTTCCCATTTCTCCACATCCTCTCCAGCACCTGTTGTTTCCTGACTTTTTATTTTTTTATTTATTATTATTGTTTTTATTATTATACTTTAAGTTTTAGGGTACATGTGCACAATGTGCAGGTTACTTACATATGTATACATGTGCCATGCTGGTGTGCTGCACCCATTAACTCGTCATTTAGCATTAGGTATATCTCCTAATGCTATCCCTCCCCCCTCCCCCCACCCCACAACAGTCTCCAGAGTCTGATGTTCCCCTTCCTGTGTCCATGTGTTCTCATTGTTCAATTCTCACCTATGAGTGAGAACATGCAGTGTTTGGTTTTTTGTCCTTGCGATAGTTTACTGAGAATGATGATTTCCAATTTCATCCATGTCCCTACAAAGGACATGAACTCATCATTTTTTATGGCTGCATAGTATTCCATGCGTATATGTGCCACATTTTCTTAATCCAGTCTATCATTGTTAGACATTTGGGTTGGTTCCAAGTCTTTGCTATTGTGAATAGTGCCCCAATAAACATACGTGTGCAAGTGTCTTTATAGCAGCATGATTTATAGTCCTTTGGGTATATACCCAGTAATGGGATGGCTGGGTCAAATGGTATTTCTAGTTCTAGATCCCTGAGGAATCACCACACTGACTTCCATAATGGTTGAACTAGTTTACAGTCCCACCAACAGTGTAAAAGTGTTCCTATTTCTCCACATCCTCTCCAGCACCTGTTGTTTCCTGACTTTTTAATGATCGCCATTCTAACTGGTGTGAGATGATATCTCATTGTGGTTTTGATTTGCATTTCTTTGATGGCCAATGATGATGAGCATTTTTTCATGTGTCTGTTGGCTGCATAAATGTCTTCTTTTGAGAAGAGTCTGTTCATATCCTTTGCCCACTTTTTGATGGGGTTGTTTGTTTTTTTCTTGTAAATTTGTTTGAGTTCTTTGTAGATTCTGGATATTAGCCTTTTGTCAGATGGGTAGATTGCAAAAATTTTCTCCCATTCTGTAGGTTGCCTGTTCACTCTGATGGTAGTTTCTTTTGCTGTGCAGAAGCTCTTTAGTTTAATTAGATCCCATTTGTCAATTTTGGCTTTTGTTGACATTGCTTTTGGTGTTTTAGACATGAAGTCCTTGCCCATGCCTATGTCCTGAATGGTATTGCCTAGGTTTTCTTCTAGGGTTTTTATGGTTTTAGGTCTAACATTTAAGTCTTTAATCCATCTTGAATTAATTTTTGTATAAGGTGTAAGGAAGGGATCCAGTTTCAGCTTTCTACCTATGGGTAGCCAGTTTTCTCAGCACCATTTATTAAATAGGGAATCCTTTCCCTATTTCTTGTTTTTGTCAGGTTTGTCAAAGATCAGACGGTTGTAGATGTGTGGTGTTATTTCTGAGGGCTCTGTTCTGTTCCATTGGTCTATATCTCTGGTTTGGTACCAGTACCATGCTGTTTTGGTTACTGTAGCCTTGTAGTATAGTTTGAAGTCAGGTAGCGTGATGCCTCCAGCTTTGTTCTTTTGGCTTAGGTTTGTCTTGGCAATGTGGGCTCTTTTTTGTTTCCATATGAACTTTAAAGTAGTTTTTTCCAATTCTGTGAAGAAAGTCATTGGTAGCTTGATGGGGATGGCATTGAATCTATAAATTACCTTGGGCAGTATGGCCATTTTCACGATATTGAATCTTCCTATTCATGAGCATGGAATGTTCTTCCATTTGTTTGTGTCCTCTTTTATTTCGTTGAGCAGTGGTTTGTAGTTCTCCTTGAAGAGGTCCTTCACATCCCTTGTAAGTTGGATTCCTAGGTATTTTATTCTCTTTGAAGCAATTGTGAATGGGAGTGCACTCATGATTTGGCTCTCTGTTTGTCTGTTATTGGTGTATAGGAATGCTTGTGATTTTTGCACATTGATTTTGTATCCTGAGACTTTGCTGAAGTTGCTTATCAGCTTAAGGAGATTTGGGCTGAGATGCTGGGGTTTTCTAAATATACAATCATGTCATCTGCAAATAGGGACAGTTTGACTTCCTCTTTTCCTAATTGAATACCCTTTATTTCTTTCTCCTGCCTGATTGCCGTGGCCAGAACTTCCAACACTATGTTGAATAGGAGTGGTATGAGAGGACATCCCTGTGTTGTGCCCGTTTTCAAAGGGAATGCTTCCAGTTTTTGCCCATTCAGTATGATATTGGCTGTGGGTTTGTCATAAATAGCTCTTATTATTTTGAGATACGTCCCATCAATACCTAGTTTATTGAGATTTTTTAGCATGAAGGGCTGTTGAATTTTGTCAAAGGCCTTTTCTGCATCTATTGAGATAATCATGTGGTTTTTGTATTTGGTTCTGTTCATATGATGGATTACATTTATTGATTCGCATATGTTGAATCAGCCTTGCATCCCAGGGATGAAGCCCACTTGATCGTGGTGGATAAGCTTTTTGATGTGCTGCTGGATTCGGTTTGCCAGTTTTTATTGAGGATTTTTGCATCAATGTTCATCAGGGATATTGGTCTAAAATTTTCTATTTTTTTGTTGTGTCTCTGCCAGGCTTTGGTATCAAGATGATGCTAGCCTCATAAAATGAGTTAGGGAGGATTCCCTCTTTTTCTATTGATTGGAATAGTTTCAGAAGGAATGGTACCAGCTCCTCTTTATACCTCTGGTAGAATTCGGCTGTGAATCTGTCTGGTCCTAGACTTTTTTTGGTTGGTAGGCTATTAATTACTGCCTCAATTTCAGAGCCTGTCATTGGTCTATTCAGGGATTCAACTTCTTCCTGGTTTAGTCTTGGGAGGGTGTATGTGTCCAGGAATTTATCCATTTCTTCTAGATTTTCTAGTTTATTTGCATAGAGGTGTTTATAGTATTCTCTGATGGTAGTTTGTATTTCTGTGAGATCGGTGGTGATATCCCCTTTATCATTTTTTATTGCGTCTATTTGATTCTTCTCTCTTTTCTTCTTTAGTAGTCTTGCTAGTGGTCTATCAGTTTTGTTGATCTTTTCAAAAAACCAGCTCCTGGATTCATTGATTTTTTTGAAGGGCTTTTTGTGTCTCTATCTCCTTCAGTTCTGCTCTGATCTTAGTTATTTCTTGCCTTCTGCTAGCTTTTCAATGTGTCTGCTCTTGCTTCTCTAGTTCTTTTAATTGTGATGTTAGGGTGTCGATTTTAGATCTCTCCTGCTTTCTCTTGTGGGCATTTAGTGCTATAAATTTCCCTCTACACACTGCTTTAAATGTGTCCCCGAGATTCTGGTATGTTGTGTCTTTGTTCTCATTGGTTTCAAAGAACATCTTTATTTCTGCCTTCATTTTGTTATGTACCCAGTAGTCATTCAGGAGCAGGTTGTTCGGTTTCCATGTAGTTGAGCGGTTTTGAATGAGGTTCTTAATCCTGAGTTCTAATTTGATTGCACTGTGGTCTGAGAGACAGTTTGTTTTAATTTCTGTTCTTTTACATTTGCTAAGGAGTGCTTTACTTCCAACTATGTGGTCAATTTTGGAATAAGTGCAATGTGGTGCTGAGATGAATGTATATTCTGTTGATTTGGGGTGGAGAGTTCTGTAGATGTCTGTTAGGTCCGCTTGGTGCAGAGGTGAGTTCAATTCCTGGATATCCTTGTTAACTTTCTATCTCATTGATCTGTCTCATGTTGACAGTGGGGTGTTAAAGTCTCCCATTATTATTGTGTGGGGGTCTAAGTCTCTTTGTAGGTCTCTAAGAATTTGCTTTATAAATCTGGGTGCTCCTGTATTGGGTGCATATATATTTAGGATAGTTAACTTCTTGTTGAATTGATCCCTTTACCATTATGTAATGACCTTCTTTGTCTCTTTTGATCTTTGTTGGCTTAAAGTGTGTTTCATCAGAGACTAGTATTGCAAACCCTGCTTTTTTTTGTTTTCCATTTTCTTGGTAAATCTTCCTCCATCCCTTTATTTTGAGCCTATGTGTGTCTCTGCACATGAGATGGGTCTCTTGAATACAGATCACTGATGGGTCTTGACTCTTTATCCAATTTGCCAGTCTGTGTCTTTTAATTGGAGCATTGAGCCCATTTACATTTAAGGTTAATATTGTTATGTGTGAATCTGATCTTGTCATTATGATGTTAGCTGGTTATTTTGCTTGTTAGTTGATGCAGTTTCTTCCTAGCATTGATGATCTTTACAATTTGGCATGTTTTTGCAGTGGTTGGTACTGGTTGTTCCTTTCCATGTTTAGTGCTTCCTTCAGGAGCTCTTGTAAGTCAGGCCTGGTGGTGACAAAATCTCTCAGCATTTCCTTGTCTGTAAAGTATTTTATTTCTCCTTCACTTATGAAGCTTAGTTTGGCTGGATATGAAATTCTGGGTTGAAAATTCTTTTCTTTAAGAATGTTGAATATTGGCCCCCATTCTCTTCTGGCTTGTAGAGTTTCTGCGGAGAGATCAGCTGTTAGTCTGATGGGCTTCCCTTTGTGGGTAACCAGACTTTTCTCTCTGGCTGCCCTTAACACTTTTTCCTTCATTTCAACTTTGTTGAATCTGACAATTATGTGTCTTGGAGTTGTTCTTCTCGAGGAGTGTCTTTGTGGCGTACTCTGTGTTTCCTGAATTTCAATGTTGGCCTGCCTTGCTAGGTTGGGGAAGTTCTCCTGGATAATACACTGCAGAGTGTTTTCCAACTTGGTTCCATTCTCCCCATCACTTTCAGGTACACCAATCAGACGTAGATTTGATCTTTTCACATAGTCTCATATTTCTTGGAGGCTTTGTTTGTTTCTTTTTACTCTTTTTTCTCTAAACTTCTCTTCTCGTTTCATTTCATTCATTTGATCTTCAGTCACTGATACCCTTTCTTCCACTGGATCAAATCGGCTACTGAAGCTTGTGCACGCATCACGTAGTTCTCGTGCCATGGTTTTCTGCTCCATCAGGTCATTTAAGATCTTCTCTACACTGTTTATTGTAGTTAGCTATTCGTCTAACTTTTTTCAAGGTTTTTAGCTTCTTTGTGATGGTTTCGAACATCCCCCTTTATCTCAGAGAAGTTTGTTATTACTGATCATCTGAAGCCTTCTTCTCTCAACTCGTCAAAGTCATTCTCTGTCCAGCTTTGTTCCGTTGCTGGCGAAGAGCTGCGTTCCTTTGGAGGAGGAGAGGCACTCTCATTTTTAGGCTTTCCAGTTTTTCTGCTCTGTTTTTTTCCCATCTTTGTGGTTTTATCTACCTTTGGTCTTTGATGATGGTTGCATACAGATGGGTTTTTGGTGTGGATGTCCTTTCTGTTTGTTAGTTTTCCTTCTAACAGACAGGACCCTCAGCCGCAGGTCTGTTGGAGTTTGCTGGAGGTCCACTCCAGACCGTTTGTCTGGGTATCACCAGTGGAGGCTGCAGAACAGCAAATATTGCAGAACAGCAAATGTTGCTGCCTGATCCTTCCTCTGGAAGCTTCACCTAAGAGGGGCACCCGGCTGTATCCACTTACATTCTTGAGAGAATGAAGGTAAAAACGGTAAGTCATGTTTTAATATTATTATGAAAACAGTTGTGCCTTTATGAACCCTGTAAAAGAGTTTCAGGGACCCTCAGGGGCCTCTGGGCTATACTTTAAGAACCACTGGTCTGGAGGGATAGTACCAGATCCAATGGAGCATGTCCTTTGTTACAGGGCTGCCTTACATGTCCTCACAAGAAGCCATGTATACATATTTTATATGCAACCTCAGCATTCCTGGTTATTTTGTTTTCTGAGTCCCTAGTAGATTACAAGCCAGAGGATTTGAAGTCTGACATCCCAAGTTGAGAAATGGTCAGTGACAGCAAGGGAGAAGATACAAATAGTACAGAAACAGGTACAAATCCCAAAGGCATAACATACTGTAAATAAGAAGGCAACAAAAAAATTATGTCATTTTAGAAAGACTGTGGAGAACCAAGATTTCTTCCTGAATAAGCCCACATGCCCCCGCAGGTTTTCTGGCATTATGCTCTCTGGATCTGGGGCTTCCTCTCCTCGTAGTAGAAGGTGCTGGATGTGAGCACAGCTTCCCACAAGGCCTCCAGAGCTGGGCATCTGGTGATCCTGGCACTCCTTTGCAAAGGTGGCACCCAAACTCAGACAGTGTGTCCTGATTATGAGACAGTTCTATTCTTCCTCTAAAAAAGGGAAAATAGTAGAGATCTGAAGCTACCTCCTGTAGCACAGATGCAAGTTGTGTCCAGCTGTGCTTGGCCCACTGGGGCCTCACCATGTGCTGTTGAGTGAACAGTAAATGTGTGCATTTCTTGCCTGTTGCCTGTGAGTTTCAGCCTGCACCTAGTAATACCCTGGTGTTTATCAGGACCCTCTGCTCCAAAGACATTCATTCAAATGGATTAAAACTTGAGTGTGTGTGTGTTGGGGCGGGGGGCGGAGTGGGGGGGCGGTGAGACCTAAAGTAGCATCCCATGTAGTTTTTAACTTATGTGGGATCCTTCGTTCTTCAAGGATTCTGGATAAATGAAGCATAATAACATATTCTGTTGCTTCAGAGTAGAAAGTCTTAAAAGCTAATTACTTTAAAGCCATTTAAACACATTGAAAGAATTTGAAGAGTTCTTTCTCCAATACCCTCCAAGTAAATTAGAACTTAGAAAATGAGGTGAAAGGAATAAAAGGTTCTAACACTTCTATTTAGTGGTTAAGAAAATTTCCTTTAGTGCTTTTGAAACATTTTCAAAGTAGAAGTGCTTTTGGCTTCTACGTAGCTTTGTAAAGTACTGTGTCCCAGCATGAAGTGGCTGTGTTTAGTAACACTGCTGAGTCCCTGCATGAAAAATGTGCCCCAACCACATTCGCCTTGGTCAGTCAGACTGAGTTGAAAGGATTTCCAACAGCTCTCCCCCTCCAGGCTGTCTTGAGTGTGGGCCGTAACTTTTGATAAATGTGTCTAATCTCAGTGCTGCAGTAGCTTAAAAATAGTGTCTGATATTCCAATTCAGTAGAAAAATTAATATTTCCCTTAAAACATTCTCTTAGATTTTCTCTCAATTAAAGAGAAATGGAAGATTTTTGAAGGATTGGACAATATTCAACTGTGTTTGTGACAGAATTTCCTCAGCTGTTGATGTATGGTGGTAGTTTTCCCTTGTAACGTCTATCGTTGAACCACACACTGGAAGTTTAAATGAAACTTTTTTTTGCTTTTGTGGCTCTATAAACAATAAAAAGCAATATAGTGCTGCCCAGTTTAAAGAGAGCAGAGTAAAATGTCCCAGCTCCATCTTCTCTCTCAAATCACATCAAAGAAACAGAGAATAAGAAATGGACATAAAAACTCAATTTTGTTAAAAACTAGGAGAAGCAAGTTGATTTGTTCTACAGGTAAACAAGTTAAAGTTCATTACAGGAGATCCAGAAATTGATAATAAAAATTTGCTAAGAGTTTCAATGGGAAGAAACTTAACAAAGAAATAATTCAAGACAATTTCTCAGAACTGAAGGACTTATGTCTCCATATAAATTTAAAAATATTCTTTTCTGAGGTGCATCATTTTAAAATCTTATAGAGAGAAGATTCTAGAAGCTTTCAGATATTGAAAAATAGGTCACACATAAAGAGTTTGGAATAAGATTTCAGATATTTCAAACAACACATGGGAAATTAGAAGACAATGAGGAGGGAATTTTCCCTCTAAATTCTGAGGGAAGCAATTTTCTAATGAGAATTCTATGCACAGAAGAACCACTCAATCAAGTGTGAGAAGAGAATAATGTCACCTTCAGACATGCAGCATCCCAAGCATTTTATTTCAAATTTCAAATGTATACTTTCTTAAGAAGGCACATCGAAACAAAGGAGCAAATTAAGACATGGGAGCCAGGAAATGTGGGGTTCAACACAGCATATTAATAAAGGAATTCCTAGTTTTACAAATAATGAGGTCCCAAAATGATAGCTGTGCGGTAGTGTTAGAGAGCAATCAGTCCACTTTGAAGCAGGAGGATATGGAAGACTTTAGGAGGGATGTTTCTAGAGAAAATAAAATGGAACTTATAGTTAACCATATATGTTTCTGACCATGTGGAAAATAGTATTGATAGCGGCTTTATAAATTCATTGGAGAGTTTGAATTAACCATATATTGGCTGTAACTATATTGTATGGGGGGAAGGAAAGGAGTGAGGATGTATAGAAGAGATTTGCAAGGCAGGAAAGTTGTGAGAGAATCAAGATATTATTAACCATAATAGGAAGTTAATAGATAATGTCTAAATGGATGAATCCAGGGATATCAGCATAAGCATATCATTTGAAATATGCTCAAATGATATACGAGATATGATATTTGAGATATGCTAAAATATACTGGAGGTAAACACCAGAAGAAAGAGCTGGAAGTGTTTATTGTATTTCTTGGAGATGCAGGATTAAAGGATGGTTAGAGTGGGACAGATGTCCCCGGCTATTTTATTTTATTTTATTTTACTTTGAGACAGAGTCTCGCTCTGTCACCCAGGCTGGAGTGCAGTGGCGCAATCTCAGCTCATTGTAACCTCCACCTCACAGGTTCAAGCAATTCTCGTGCCTCAGCCACCCGAGTAGCTGGATTACAGGCACATGACACTAAATTTGTTTTGTATTTTTAGTAGAGCTGGGGTTTTCACCATGTTGGCCAGGCTGGTCTCAAACTGCTGACCTCAGGTGATCTACCCACCTCAGCCTCCCAAAGTGCCAGGATTACAGGCGTAAGCCACCACGCCTGGCCTATTTTTATTATTTTAAGGCCCATACCTAATAACTATAATATCTGGGTCATCTGTTGTTCTGTTTCTATTGTCTGCTTTTTTCTCTTGGACCTGTCTCTTGGCATACAAGGAAATTTTTTATTAAATGCAAGATGTTGTGTTGAAAAATGATAGCTGCTTGGGCGATATTATCTTAGCCAAAAGAAGGTTTCTTTAGTTTCTGTCAGGCAGTTAAAGTAGGAGCACATTGCTTTAATTCAGTCACTGAGCTGATTTGAAATTGGATTTTAGTTTTTGGAAGGCCTGATCTTTTTAGATTCGACCTTACTCTTAGGATGTAATCCATCAGCAGTCCTAATTAAATCTGGGGGTCAGAGCCCCTTGACCTTAATGGTTGTGAACTCTGATTTATATTCCCTCAGTTTGCAAGACTGCTGATAGCTTGTTTTCCACTTCCTTACAGGTTTCTCCTGGGAGAATTTCCTTAATAAATAACTTGCACCTGAATTCTTGGCTTAGATTCTGTTTCTGGGAGAACCTGACCTAGGACAACATCTATCAATAAAGCAAAATTAGATGAGCAGACAAAAGTAAAACTTAGGGATAAATAAATGCATCTCTCAATTACACTCAGGCCAAAACAGCCTACAAATTTCTGTGTTCCATCTTGAGGACTGTAAAAAAACTAACCTTGTTTTATTTTATTTTTGTGATTTATTTTATAGTTGCCCATTTATTTCTGCCTAAGCAGAAGTTGAAAGGAATAGAGGAAGAAATGCAGACTTAGATATACTGTCAGATACTTTGGTTTCTTTTTGGCTCAGCCTAACTCTGGTATGAAAACGCCACAGCTAGGGCCTGCCATCTAGGTGTTTTTCTAAAGAGATTGACTCCAAAACGTTTGAACTTCTTACTCAAAATTTCTCAACCTGCTGTGTGCATCTGGAATTTGCTTTTACATCAGAGTGTTTTTTTTCTTCCTCATTTGGGCCCACGCTCATCTTCTAGTGGGCTTCCTGCAGGGTGTGGGACTGGCTGAGCATGACTTTGAAGCAATACTGGGGATCCTGTAAGTTCTGGAATATTTTCTCTGTTATCTTTAGAGACAAAATTAGTGACAGTTTTCTCTTGACTTCCATTTTGATCTCAGGAAAAGCAGAATAGTTTTCCTGAAGATCCTCAAATCTACATTCAGTAAAAGAGAATTTGCCCAGAATATAAATAAGAGATTTAAAATAGATTTTTTAAAGAAAAACGTAAACTGGTTTATTGTACCAAATCTTAAACTTAGATGGTGTATTAGTCTTCTCAGGCTGCCTTAACAAAGTGCCATAGCTGGGTGGCTTAAACGACGGAAATTATTTTCTCACATTTATGGAGGCTGGAAGTCCAAGATCAGGGTGCCAACATGGTTGTGTTCTAATGAGGGCTCTTTTCCTGGCTCGCAGATAGTTGTCTTCTTTCTGTGTCCTCACATGATGGAGAGAGAACATAGAGAAACAGGAGTGGAGACTGTGCATTTGTCCCACTCTTTTCTTTTTTTTTTTTTTTTTGAGATGGAGTCTCTGTCGCCCAGGCTTGAGTGCAGTGATGTGATCTCGGCTCACTGCAACCTCCACTTCCCAGGTTCAAGTGATTCTCCTGCCTCAGCCTCCTGACTAGCTAGGATTACAGGTGTCCACCACCATACCCAGCTAATTTTTGAATTTTTAGTAGAGACAGAGTTTCACCACGTTGGCCAGGCTGGTCTCAAACTCCTGACCTCAAGTGATCTGCCTGCCTTGGCCTCCCAAAATGCTGGGATTACAGTTGTGAGCCACCACGCTCAGCCTTGGCCCACTTCTTCATGTAACGTTCTCATACCTTCAGGGCCTGCTTGAGCTTGATCACACATACATTACTTCCATTTGATGATGGAGTGCTGCTGTGCACACCCAACTTTATGGTGTGGTGAGTCAGATAACACCCATTTTCTGATGGGCAGCTCAATTTGCATGGTAATTTGGCAGGCCATGGATAAATGTTCAGTCTCTACTAGCGCCTAGTAGCAGGCCAAGAGCCATTTCTCAAAAGGAGAGTAGTTAACTGCAGAGTGTGGCAGGGCTTTGTTTCAAAATCCAAAGGACCGGCATTGAAATTCACCTACCAGGTGCCTGCCAAAGGCTCCAAATAGCACCCACATCTCCACTGACGGTTCAGGTATCATTATACTGGGTCATATGGCCCAAGTGGTACAGCAGTTTGCACAGTATACTGGATCTGTTGCAGAGCCTTCTCTTGTTCTGAGCTCCACTCAAAATAAGTAGCTTTTGGGGCCACTTGGTAAATGGATTAGAGTAACACACCCACTGTGGAATACCTTGCCTCCAAAATCAGAAGAGACCTACTAGGCATTTTATTTTGCTTTTTGGTTGTAAGAGGAGTCAGATGCAGCAATTTGTCATTCACCTTAGGAGGAATTTATCAACATGCCCCAGAACACTGGACCCATAAAAATTTCACAGAGTTAGAAGGCCCCTGAGTTTTTGTCAGATTTATTTCTCATTCTCTGACATGCAAATGTCTTACCAATGGGTCTAGAATAGTTGCTACTTCTTGCTCACTAGGTCAAATTAGCATAATGTCCTCAATGTAATGGGCCAGTATAATATCTTGGTGAAGGTGATCAAAGGGAAAGGTGATCAAAATCTCTGCAAACCAAATTTTGACATAGGGCTGGAGAGCTGACATACCTCTGAGGCAGGACAGTGAAAGTGTATTGCCAGCCTTGCCAGCTGAAGCAAACTGGTACAGCACATCTGGTACGGCAGCTGTAATTAAAGTTGCTACCTGGTTAAACCTATGATAATCCACCGTCATTCTCCAAGATCCGTGTGTTTTATGCACAGGTCACATAGGAGAGTTGAATGGGGATGTAATGGGAATCACCACGACCTCATCTTTCAAGTCCTTGATGATGGCACTAATTACTGCAATACTAATCTGTATTGCTTCTGATTGACTAGTTTCGTAGGTACAGGGAGTTCTAGTGGCTTCGCTTTGTCATTTCCCACCATAATAGCCCTCACTCCACAGGTGAGGGAACCAATGAGGTGATGCTACTAGCTGTTGAGTAAGTCTGTTCCAATTATGCATTCCGGAACTGGGGAAATAACAAGATGGGTTCAGGGATACACTGGACCCACTGTGAGACAGACTTGAGCCAAAACTTGGTTTATCATCTGACCTCCATAAACTCCTACTCTGACAGGTGGACCACAGTGATGTTTTGGATTCCTTAGAACTAGTCAGTTCAGAGCCACTGTCCAGTAGTCCCTAAAAGGCCTGATTATTTCCTTTCCTCCAGCACCCAGTTGTCCTGGCAGAAGGCTGTATGTTCCTTTGGAGGAAGGCCGACAGAAGACCAACAGTTTAAATTTTTGGCTGAATAGTGGGATCCTTTCTCAAGGAGACCTGGCCTACTCATCATTCAAGGTCCTCTGGGTTTGTAAACTAGCTTAAGTTTGTAACTGTAAATTGAGTAACTGTGACTGTCTATGATTATGATTCAGATTAGACTTTTGTTCACTTGAGCTGGAACTTTTCTGCTTATAAAGATCAAATAAGCATTTAATAGGCTTCCTATTTTATTTCTAGGGACACTGTAATCAACTGGACCATGCTATAGGTCTGTGTGAGTTAGACTATTCTGATTGCTGCTCTGACTCTGATGTTCATTATAGTATCCATACCCATCTTGCCTTTGGCAGTTGAGTCTTGCCATCTGGCCCCTGCCACCCTAGGATCCAACTACTCCCGTTGCATTTAGGTTTTCCAATTCAGTGACTGTAGTTCTTGCACTGGGGTCTAGCCTACAGGGAAGAGGAATCACAGGGCTCTTCAAGGATGCTGGAGCTCCTCTTACACATTTATTTTTCATAGTCTTGGTGGATGAGTAGTTCTTAAATGACAAATCCACTCTAATATTTCAGTCTCCCTAAGCTTTTGAATCACTTCCTCTATATTAAACCAAGGCAGTTCTAGCATTTCCAACTCATGCACTGTGGTCTTTGGTCCATGTTTTAGCCAATGAACCAAACTATTAGACCCCTTAATCTCTGAGCCACAACATTAAATGCAGAATCTCTGCATAGTGAGACCATATCAATAAATTTAGCTTGATTCAACTTTATGTTCCTTGTGTCATCATTTCACACTCTTAATATCTGTTTCCACACATATTCCTTAGATTTCTGTATACATTAGAAAACTCCAGTTACTCTTTTGGAGCATAGCACACTTCCTCATGGGTCACCTTCTGTACTTCACCTTTAGGGACCTACTGGGACTTGAGTCTAATTATAGGTTTAGAAGCAAAGAGAGTTGGTGATGGTAGGTTCTGAGAAGACTCAGCATTGTCTTCGATGGCAACTGCCTCACGGGAGGCCACTGGAGTTTTTTAGCCAATGCAGGGTTAATCTCCTCAGATAAGGGTACAGAAGCTTATACCACAAGGGATGGGGAGATGACTCCCTTCTGGAGTAGGGAGAAATCTTCCACTGGCAAAGAAGACTCATCAGAATTTAGGGGCTCAATGACCCCAGATTCATCAAGGTCTTCCTGCATGTCCCCATTACAATTTTTCAGAAGCCCATTTCTTCCCAACCAATGCCTTCACCTTAACAGTAGACACCCTGCGAGGCTGGGAGTTCAACTTGTGTTGTAATTCAGCCAGTCATAGCGTGAGGTTCTGCCTTTAATTTTCAGCAATCTCAGCTCTGCAGCTATTGGAGATAAGAATATCCTTTAGGGCAAACATAGAAGCTTTCCAGTCATTTATGCAACACTTGGGCTGGCAACTCAAACCCCTGAGCTCATCCTCTTCTTTCTCCACTTTGTCCAGCAATAGAACAACCAACCAATCTCATTACATTTGTTAGCTTGCCAAAAACGTTTGAAAGTACATACACAGTTACCAAGCTCCTTGATTCTTAAAAGTAGTTGACTAGGAATATTCAATGGTGATACTTTATGTATTTTTATTGCCAGATCACACCATGGACTTTCAATGCTCTCTTTACTACTGGAAATAGAGTCATTAATGTCTTTAATTAGATTAGAGAGTCTATTCCAAACGCCTCAAAACCAATTCAGAAAACTCATTCTTAGAATTATGTTCCTCTAGGACCACTCTTGGTACCAAACTCTGTATTAGTCAGGGTTCTCCAGAGAAACAGAACCAATAGGATATATGTGTGTGTGTGTTTGTTGATTTATTATGAGGAATTGTCTCATATGATTATGGAGGTACAGTGCAGTTGGACGGCTTGAAACTCAGCAGAATCTATGGCGTGGTTCTAGTTCCTGAGAATCAGGAGAGCTGATAATGTAAGTTTCAGTCTAAAAGCTAGCAGGCTTGAGACCTAAGAAAGGCCAATGTTTCAGTTCAAGTCTAAAGACAGGAAAAGTCTGATGTCTCATCTTACAGCAGTCAGGCAGCAGGAGTTCCCTCTTACCTCGTGTTTTTGTTCTACTCAGGCCTGCAATTGACTGGATAAGGCCTATCCACATTAGGCAGGGCGGTGCCCTTTACTCAGTCTGCTGATTCAGATGTTATTCTCATTGAGAAACACTCTCACAGATAAATACAGAATAGTGCTTGACTATATGCCTGGGCACCGTGTGGCCCAGTCTAGTTGACATATAAAATTAACCAGTGTGGGTGGGCTTTTACATAATCAATGCTTTACAGTTTATATTGACTGTTTATTCATAGCTCTGAGACAAATTATTTTTGTAACAATTTTGTAGGTGAGGAAACTAGGTCCAGGGAGATACCCAAGCAACTTGTCCACGAATGAGCCAAGTCTAGAGCCTAATGATTACTGACATTAAATTCAGCTTTTTCTACCACTTTGTAATATAATTGTAGAGGTGGTATTGTGGATATAGTGGCTTAGAAACTGGGCTTCGAAATTATTCTGCATGGGTTTGAATGTCACCTCATCTACTTATTAATCGTGGGGCCTTGGGAAAGTTACTTAGATTTTTTTAAACATTTGTTTCCAAACCTTTACATTGGGATTTATCTAAAATTCGTATGGAAGATGAAGAGTAAAGATGAGGCAAGACTATTTGAAAGATATCAGCGATAGGGAGAGATTAATTCTGCCTGATATTAAGACTACTTATGAAATTATCGCATTAAAATGAAATAGTATCAGCCTAGAGATAGACCAGTAAAAGCAGACTAAGAAAGCAGAACACAGAGCCTAGAAACAGACCTACAACATGTGGGAATGTGCATTAAGTCAAAGGTAGCATTAAAATCAGTGGAGAACACATAGATGGATTAATCAATAAAGGGGGCTCAGATAATTGATGGTTCATATTGGATAAGATAAAATTAGATAACTACCATATGTAAAGATACATTCAGATGTACTAAAACCTGAATGTGAAAAGGAAAATATAGAAAAATGTTATGATAATTGGGTAGGGCGAGATTTCTTATACAAAGCAAAAAATGGACACACACATACACACACAGAAAAAGGGAGGATTAATGTATCCATGGACATTAAAAATAAAGCAAAAACCAAACAAAACTTCTGTTCAACAAATGATACTGTGAGCAAAGACAAACTCAGACTAAGATATTTATAATGCATATAATCAACAGAAAAATGCAATCTATAAATAGAATATATATAAAAGTCACAAATTGTAAGAAAAAGGCAAACAACTCAATAGAAAGTAGGTAAATGTTATAAACTGGCAATGTAGGGAGGAGAAACCTGAATAGTCAAAGCACATATGAAAAATATTGAAACACATTTGTAATTTGGCTTATGAAAGTTGAAACATTCATTAGAAACTATTTCACAACCATCAGACTGCCCCAAGATTAAGAAATTAGATAACACCAAGTGTTTTCAAGGATGTGGAGAAAGTCACTTTTATACTTTGCTGATGGAAGTATAAACAAGTATAACTCATTTGGAGAAAGAAAATAGAAATATATAACAAAGCTGAAGATGAACATACTCTATTTTCATACTCTACACCAGGGGTCAGCAAACTATGGCCTTTGGGCCAAATCTGGCCCGCCACCTGTTTTGTTAAATCAACTCTTATAAAAACCCAGCTGTGTGCATGCTTATTCGTTTATACAATGTTGATGACTGTTTTCATGCTACCTGACAGAGTAATGGCAACAGAGACCATATGGCCCACAAAGCCTGAACTATTTGCTACCTGTCTCTTTACAGAAAAAGGTTTCTGATTCCTGCCCTTGATTTTAGAGAAACTCTCATATGCATACACACTGAAAAATGCCCAAGGATATTCTTTGCTACTGTTTTTGATTAAAAAAATAGGATATATCCTTTTTTCACCAGTAGAAGGGATAAATAAAATGTGTTCTTTTTTCTTTTTTTCAATTTTTTTCTATAGTAGAATACTATACAGTAATTAAAATAACTAGACATGTATGAAATAACTAGTACAGATATCAATATGGATAAATTTCAACATACTGGTAAGTGGAAAAAAGCAAGTTTCAAAATAATACCCACTATTATAACTACCTTGTTCTTCTCCTCCTTGGTCCCATGAAATAATTGTTTTACACAGTGATTGTCAGTGGATTGGAATCATTAGTTATATGTAGGTGGGGAATGATCACTATCATGAATGTCACTATAAATGGAACAACAACATATTGGGTAACTCCTGATGTAATGCATTTATAAAATACACTTTGTCTATGAAATATTTTTGACCAAAAAAATGAAACTAAATCTAACCAAGCTTCTAGAGTTAATTACACTACAGAGTAGCAAAGGGACACATTTGGGATGTGGGGCATTATGCAGGAATATTATGTGGATTTTGCAAATCACAGGGAAATGCTAAAGGGAAAAAAGTGTGCGTGTGTGTGTGTGTGCATGTGTGCTCCTTTAGGTTAAAAGAAACTCAAACATAAACAAATGTAGTGTATTACATTGTTTATACCTTGATTCAAACAAATCAACTGTGAAAGAAATTTTTAAGACAGTTAGGGAAATTGGGTTGTAGTATGGGTTGATATCTTAGGTGTGATAATGTGATTGTATTTATGTTTAGATTTTCAGAGAAATGCATACTGCATACAATACATAGCAGTGAAATTATACAACGTAATTTTTTTGAAGAAGCGATTTTATTTATTTATTTATTATTTTTCTTCCAACTTTTATTTTAGATCCAGGGGATATATGTGCAGGTTTGACAAGGATAAATTGCATGTCACTGGGGTTTGGGTAATAAAATGATTTTATTACCCAGGTAGTGAGCATAGTACCCAATAGATAGTTTTCTATCCTCCCCCTCCTCCTACCCTCTACCCTTAAGTAAGCCCTGGTATCTATTCTTCCCCTTTTTGTGTCCATGTGTACTCAGTGTTTAGCTCCAACTTCTAAGTGAGAACATGCAGTATTTGTTTTTTCATTCCTGCATCAATTTTCTTAGGACAATCGCCTCCAGCTGCATCTGTTTTGCTGCAAGGGACATGATTTCATCTCTTGTATTGCTGTGTAGTATTCCATGGTGTATATGTACCACATTTTCTTTATCCAGTCCACCGTTGACGGGCATGTAGGTTGATCCTATGTCTTTGCTATTGTGAAAAGTGCTGTGATAAACAGACAACTGCATGTATCTTTATGGTAGAATGATTTATATTCCTTTGGGTATATACCCAATAATGGGATTGCTGGGTCAAATGTATGTAATTTATTTTAAAATACTTCAGCAAAAAAAACCAAAAAAAAACTATGAAAAAACAAGAGCTGATTAAGCAAATGTAGCAAAGTTTTGATAATTATTGAATTTGGGTGACGAATTTACAGAAGTTTGCTGTGTTACTCTCTCTACTTTTTTAATATTTGAAGATTTTCATAATAAAAAAGGCTCTTTTCAGAATTTGACCATTTTCTCACTCCTTACACTATTACTATCCTGGTTCAAGCCATCACCTTCTTTTTTTTTTTTGAGTATTTAAGTTTTATTCAGGTTTCACTTTATATTATATTTTAGTGTTGTTTGAGTTATTTACTTGAAAATGTCTGATACTATTTTTTCTTTTCTTATTATTTGTATTTGCATATATTTTCACAAATTTTTATGTAACTTCAAAGTAACCATTTTCAAGACTTAAGTTTTTAAGAATATTTTTAGGTTCACAGCATAATTGAGAATAAAGTACCAAGGTTTTCCATATATCTCCTTCCCCCACCACTGCACAGTCTCCCCAACTATCAACATCCCCCACTAGAGTGGGTACATTTGTTACAATTGATAAACATGTATTAATACATCAGTATCACCAAAAGTCCATAGTTTATATTAGGATTCACTCTTGATGTTGCACATTTTACGGGTTTTGACAAATGTATAATGACATGTATCCACCATTATAATATCATAAAGAGTATTTTCACTGCCCAAAAAATCCTTTGTGCTTAACCAATCTCTGGCAACCACTGGTCTTCTTACTGGCTCCATAGTTTTGCCTTTTCCAGGATATCGCAAAGTTGGAATCACATAGTATGTAGTCTTTTCAGATTGGCTTTCTTCACTTATTAATATGTATCTAAGATTCTTTTTTTATTACACTTTAAGTTTTAGGGTACATGTGCACAACGTGCAGGTTTGTTACATATGTATACATGTGCATGTTGGTGTGATGCACCCATTAACTTGTCATTTACATTAGGTATATCTCCTAATGCTATCCCTCCCCACTCCCCCCACCCCACAACAGGCCCCGGTGTGTGATGTTCCCCATCCTGTGTCCAAGTGTTCTCATTGTTCAATTCCCACTTATGAGTGAGAACACGCGGTGTTTGGTTTTCTGTCCTTGCGATAGTTTGCTCAGAATCAAGCCATCGCCTTCTTCCTATTGCAATCATCTTCTAACATGTTTCCCTACTTCTACCCTTACCTTCATATAGGCTAATCCCAACATAGCAACCAGAGTGATTCTTTTAAAATGTAAGTCAGACCATGGCACTCCTCTGTGCAAAACCCTCCAGTGGCTCTCATTGCGGAGTAGCAGCTGAAGTCCTTACAGAGCCCTACTGCTCTTCACCCTCTGGTCCCCAGAGCTCTTCAGCATACTTCTCTGCCCTCATCTCACCGTCCTCTTTTCCTGCCTTGCTGTCCTTCATGTCATTGGTTTCCTTGTTATTTATTCGTTGGACACATCCAGCATGCTCTCACCTCAGGGCCTTTGCACTTCCTGTTTCCTTTTACTGGATTGCTTTCTTGCAGGCTGTCTGTGTGACTTCTGACTTCCTTTCTCACTCACCTACCCAGATCTTTGAACTCATGGGCTCAAGCAATCTTCCCACCTCAGCCTCCCAATTTGCTGGGATTACAGGTGCCAGCCACAGTGCCTGGCACCAGATCTTTACTCAAACGTCACCTTTTTTATTTTTTGAGACAGATTCTTGCTCTGTTGCCCAGGCTGGAGTGCAGTGGCACGATCTCAGCTCACTGCAGCCTCCGCCTCCTGGGTTCAAGTGATTCTCCTGCCTCAGCCTCCCTAGTAGCTGAGACTACAGGCACGCACCACTATGCCCAGCTATGTTTTGTATTTTTTTAGTAGAGACGGGGTTTCGCCATTTTGGCCAGGCTGGTCTGAAACTCCTGGCCTCAAGTGATCCACCTGCCTCGGCCTCCCAAAGTGCTGGGATTACATGCCTGAGCCACGGCGCCCACCCTCAAATGTTACTTTCTCAATGAGGCCAACCCATATCATCCTATTTAAAATTGCATTCTGCTTTCTACTCCTTGGTACACCCCTTCCCCTTTCCCTGCTTTAATCTCCTTGTAGCATTTCCCTTCATTTGACATACTATATATTTTATTTATTTCAATGAATATGCCAATGTATTTATTTATTTATATTTTTAATTTTTTTCCATAAGTTATTGGGGGTACAGGTGGTATTCAGTTACATAACTTCTTTAGTGGTGATTTGTGAGATTTTGGTGCATCCATCACCTGAGCAGGATACACTGCACCATAGCATTTTATCCCTCGTCCCCCTCCCACTCTTTCTCCCAAGTCCCCAAAGTCCATTGTATCATTCTTATGCCTTTGCATCCTCATAGCTTAGCTCCCACATATCAGTGAGAACATACGATGTTTGGTTTTCCATTCCTGAGTTACTTCACTTAGAATAATGGTCTCCAATCTCATTCAGGTCACTGCAAATGCTGTTAATTCATTCCTTTTTATGGCTGAATAGTATTTACTCATATGCATATACCACAGGTTCTTTATTCACTCATTGACTGATGGGCATTTGGGTTGGTTCCACAATTTTGCAGTTGGTGAATTGTGCTGCTATAAACATGTGTGTGCAAGTATCTTTTTTGTATAATGACTTCTTTTTCTCTGGGTAGACACCTAGTAGCAAGATTGCTGGATCAAATGGTAGTTATACTTTGAGTTATTTAAGGAATCTCTACACTGTTTTTCATAGTGATTGTACTAGTTTACATTCCCAGCAGCAGTGTAGAAGTGTTCCCTGTTCACTGCACCCATGCCAACGTTTACTGTTTTTTGTTTTTTTTTTAATTTTTTTATTATGGCCATTCTTGCAGGAGTAAGGTGGTATCGCATTGTGGTTTTGATTTGCATTCCCCTGATCATTAGTGATGTTGAGCATTTTTTCATATGTTTGTTGGCTATTTGTATATCATGCTTTTGAGAATTGTCTATTCATGTCCTTAGCCCACTTTTTGATGGGGATTGTTTGTTTTTTTCTTACGATTTGTTTGAGTTCATTGTAATTCTGGATATTAGTCCTTTGTCAGATGTATAGATTGTGAAAAGTTTCTCGTACTCTGTAGGTTGTCTGTTTACTCTGCTGACTATTCCTTTAGTCTTGCAAAAGCTCTTTAGTTTAATTAAGTCCTAACTATTTATCTTTGTTTTTATTGCATTTGCTTTTGGGTTATTGGTCATGAAATCATTGCCTAAGCCAATGTCTGCAAGGGTTTTTCCAATGTTATCTTCCAGAATTTTTATAGTTTCAGGTCTTAGATTTAAGTCCTTAATCCATCTTGAGTTGATTTTTGTATAAGGTGAGAGACGAAGATCTGGTTTCATTCTCCTACATGTGGCTAGCCAATTATCCCAGCACCATTTGTTGAAAAGGGTGTCCTTTCCCCCACTTTATGTTTTTGTTTGCTTTATGGAAGATCAGTTGCCTATAAGTACTTGGTTTTATTTCTGGGTTCTCGATTCTGTTCCACTGGTCTATGTGCCTATTTTTATACCAGTACCATGCTGTTTTTTTGACTGTGGCGTTATAGTATAGTTTGAAATCAGGTAGTGTGATGCCTCCACATTTGTTCTTTTTGCTTAGTCTTGCTTTGGCTAGGTGGACTCCTTTTTGGTTCCATATGAATTTTAGAATTTTTTTTTTCTAATTCTGTGAAGAATGATGGTGGTATTTTGATGGGGATTGCATTGAATCTGTAGATTGCTTTTGGCAGTACGGTCATTTTCACAATATTGATTCTACCCATCCATGAGCATGGAATGTGTTTTCATTTGTTTGCATTGTCTATGATTTCTTTCAGTGGTGTTCTGTAGTTTTCCTTGTAGAGGTCTTTCTCTACAAGGAAGGTAGATATATTCTTAAGTTTTGTTCTTAGGTATATTCCTAAGTTTTTTTTTTTTTTTTGCAGCTATTGTAAAAGCGGTTGAGTTTTCGATTTGATTCTCTGCTTGTTCACTGTTGGTGTACAGAAGAGCTACTGATTTGTGTATGTTAATCCATGTATCCAGAAACTTTGCTGAATTCTTTTATCAGTTCTAGGAGCTTTCTGGAGGAGTCTTTAGGGTTTTCAAGGTAAACAATCATATTGTCAGCAAACAGTGACAGTTTGACTTCCTCTTTACCGATTTGGATGCTCTTTATTTCTTTCTCTTGTCTGATTGCTCTGGCTAGGACTTCCAGTACTATGTTGAAGAGGAGTAGTGAGAGTGGGCATTCTTGTCTTGTTTCAGTTCTCAGAGGGAAAGCTTTCAACTTTTCCCCATTCAGTATTACAGTGGCTGTGGGTTTGTCATCGATGGCTTTTATTACATTGAGATATGTCCCTTGTATGCCTATTTTGCTCAGAGTTTTAATCATAAAGGATGCTGGATTTTGTTGAATGCCTTTTCTGCATCTATTGGGATGATCAAGTGATTTTTGTTTTTAATTCTGTTTATGTGGTGTATCACATTTATTGACTTGGATATGTTCCCTGCATTCCTGGTATAAAACCCACTTGATCATGGTGAATTATTTTTTTGATATGTATTGGATTTGGTTAGCTAGTATTTTGTTAAGGATTTTAGCATCTAGTTCATCACAGATATTGGTCGGTAGTTTTCTCTTTTGGTTATGTCCTTTCCTGGTTTTGGTATTAGTGTGATGCTGGCTTCATAGAATGAGTTAGGGAGGGTTCCTCCTTTCTCTATCTTGTGGAATAGTGTCACAAGGATTGGTACCAATTTTTCTTTGAATGTCCGGTAGAATTCTGCTGTGAATGCATCTGGTCCTGGACTTTTTTTTTGTTGGTAGTTTTTAAATTACCATTTTAATCTTGCTGCTTGTTATTGGTCTGTTCAGGGTAGCTATTTCTTCCTGATTTGAGCTCAGAGGGTTGTATTTTTCCAGGAATTTATCCATCTCTTCTAGCTTTTCTAGTTTATATGCATAAAGGTGTTCATAGTAGCCTTGAATGATCTTTATGATCTTTTGTATTTCAGTAGTGTCAGTTGTAATATCTCCCGTTTCATTTCTTAATGAGATTATTTAGATTTTCTCTCTTCTTTTCTTGGTTAATCTTGCTAAAGGTCTATCAATTGTATTTATCTTTTCAAATAACCAGCTTTTTATTTCATTTATCTTTTGTATTTTTTTGGTTTCAATTTCATTTAGTTCTGTTCTGATCTTGGTTATTTCCTTTCTTCTGCTGGTTTTGGGTTTGGTTTGTTCTTGTTTCTCTAGTTCCTTGAAGTGTGACCTTAGAATGTCAGTTTGTGCTCTTTCAGTCTTTTTGATGGAGGCATTAAGGCTATGGACTTTCCTGTTAGCACTGCCTGTGCTGTATCCCAGAGGTTTTGATAGGTTGTGTCATTATTGTCATTCAGTTTGAAGAATTTTTTTTTTTTTTTGAGACGGAATCTTGCTCTATTACCCAGGCTGGAGTGCAGTGGCATGATCCTGGCTCACTGCAAGTTCCACCTCCTGGGTTCATGCCATTCTCCAGCCTCAGCCTCCCAAGTAGCTGGGACTAAAGGCGCCCGCCACCATGCCTGGCTAAGTTTTTGTATTTTTAGTAGAGACGGGGTTTCACCGTGTTAGTCAGGATGGTCTCAGTCTCCTGACCTTGTGATCCATGCACCTCGGCCTGCCAAAATGCTGGGATTACAGGCCTGAGCCACCGTGCCCAGCCCAGTATGAAGAATTTTTTAATTTCCATCTTCATTTTGTTTTTGACTCAATGCGCATTCAGGAGCAGGTTATTTAATTTCCATGTAGTTGCATAGTTTTGAAGGTTCCTTTTGGAGTTGATTTCCACTGTGGTCTGAGAGACTGCTTGATATAATTTCAATTTTCTTAAATCTACTGAGGCTCATTTTATGGCCTTATCATATGGTCTATCTTGGAGAAAGTTCCATACACTGTTGAATAGAATGCGTATTCTGCGGTTGTTGGATAAAATGTTCTGTGTATATCTGGTAGGTCCATTTGTTCCATGGTGTAGTTTAAATCCATTGTTTTTTGTTGACTTTCTGTCTTGATGACCTTTCTAGTGCTGTCAGTGGAGTATTGAAGTTCCCCACTATTATTGTGTTGCTGTCTATCTCATTTCTTAGGTCAATTAGTAATTGTTTTATAAATTTGGGACCTCCAGTGTTAGGTGCATATATGTTTAGGACTGTGACATTTTGCTGTTGGACAAAGCCTTTTACCATTATATAATGTCCCTCTTTGTCTCTTTTAACTGCTGTTGCTTTAAAATTCGTTTTTTTTTTCTGATATAAGAATAGCTACCCCTGCTCACTTTTGGTGTCCATTTGCATGAAATGCCTTTTTCCACCCCTTTTAAGTTTATGTGAGTCCTTTTGTGTTAGATGAGTTTCCTGAAGGCAGCAGATAGTTGGTTGGTGAGTTCTTATCCATTCTGCAGTTCTGTGTCTTTTAAGTGGAGCATTTAGGCCATCTACATTCAATGTTAGTATTGAGATGTGAGGTACCATTGCATTCATCATGCTATTTGTTGTCTGTGTACTTTGGTTCTTTTGTTTTTTGTTTCTGCTTTTTAACTTGTATTTTTGTTTCATAGGTCCCGTGTGATTTATGCTTTAAAGAGGTTCTGTTTTGATGTGTTTCCAGGACTTGTTTCCAGATTTAGAGCTCCTTTTAGCAGTTCTTGTAGTGGTGGCTTGGTAGTGGTGAATTCTCTCAGCATTTGTTTGTCTGAAAAAGACTGTATGTTTCCTTCCATGTGATGCTTAGCTTCACTGGATACACAATTCTTGGCCAGTAATTGTTTTGTTTGAGGAGGTTGAAGAAGATAGGGCCCCAATACCTTCTAGCTTGTAGGTTTTCTGCTGAGAAATCTGCGGGAAACTTCTCCCGCAAACAGACTGTCAGTTTCTCCAGGAGGGATGTGTGTTCAGGAGAGGAGGATATCCCTTTACCACTTTTGCAGTTGGGGCACTCACAGTGTTTGGGTGTCTCCTGGGTCCTGCGGGAGCAGTATGCTTCCTTCAGAGGGTCTGCGGGCCCTCTCAGGATTGCTCGTTTGTTCTTGCAGTCAATCTAGAGCTAAAATCCACAGCGTGAGCCTCTGCATGCTACTCTGTCTGTTCAAGTCAGAGCTGCAATCTAGTCCTGCCTCCCATCTGCCATGATGATCCTGCAGCACATACTATATATTTTATGTATTTATTCTTCCATTGACTGCCTTCACCCTCAAGAATAAGAAGAGAGATTTTTGTCTGTTTTGTTCTTTGCTTTAGACTTAGTACCTAGAATAGAACCTGGCACCTATGAGATATTCAGTAATTTGAAAAATCTTGTTGATTGAATCTCATTTATTTCTCATCATTAATGAAAGATAGTATTGCAGAAGACAAGAAAAAGGGTCTTGATTCACAGAGGTGTGGTTTGAATTTCAGATCTGCCGTTTGCTAGCTAGCAATGAGGCATTGGGTGAGCCATTTATGCTCTCTCAACCTCAGTTTGTTCATGTCTGAAGTGGAGAGAACACTTGTCCCTTGTGCTGTACGTGATTGCTATTAGGATCAAGATGAAAATTACTATTCAAATATGAAGAATTATTACTAATAGGTAATGGTAATACTTACCATTTACTGAACACAATATGCTCCAGGCACTGTGTTGATAGTTTAATATATAAAGTATATGTAAAAATTTCATTTAATCATCACAATAGCCATACGAGCCAACTTAAAATTTAATTTTACAGATGAAGACACTGAGGCTCAAGGGTGTTAAAATGGCTTGTCCAAAGTCACTAACACAGTAAGCATCAGGTCAGATATTTTACTTGAGGCCTCTCTAAATCTTCTGTGTTGTGGAGCTAGGTTTTTATGGCTTTGAAAGTCACACATTTCTTCTTTAGCTAGTATGCTGCTGCTGTTTAACTCTAATTTTACTAAAAATAATTTAAGAGTCTTAGACAGCATTAAAATGACAATGCCTTTTTCTTTTCATTTTATTTTTTTGGTATTTTCTTTTCTTTTTTTAAATTTTATTATTATGATACTTAAAGTTGTAGGGTACATGTGCACAATGTGCAGGTTTGTTATATATGTATACATGTGCCATTTTGGTGTTCTGCACCCATTAACTCGTCATTTAGCATTAGGTATATCTCCTAATGCTATCCCTCCCCCCTCCCCCCACCCCACAACAGTCCCCGGTGTGTGATGTTCCCCTTCCTGTGTCCATGTGTTCTCATTGTTCAATTCCCACCTTTGAGTGAGAACATGCGGTGTTTGGTTTTTTGTCCTTGCGGTAGTTTGCTGAGAATGATGGTTTCCAGCTTCACCCATGTCCCTACAAAGGACATGAACTCATCATTTTTTATGGCTGCATAGTATTCCATGGTGTATATGTGCCACATTTTCTTAATCCAGTCTATCATTGTTGGACATTTGGCTTGGTTCCAAGTCTTTGCTATTGTGAATAGTGCCCCAATAAACATACGTGTGCAAGTGTCTTTATAGCAGCATGATTTATAGTCCTTTGGGTATATACCCAGTAACAGGATGGCTGGGTCAAATGGTATTTCTAGTTCTAGATCCCTGAGGAATCGCCACACTGACTTCCATAATGGTTGAACTAGTTTACAGTCCCACCAACAGTATAAAAGTGTTCCTATTTCTCCACATCCTCTCCAGCACCTGTTGTTTCCTGACTTTTTAAAGATTGCCATTCTAACTGGTGTGAGATGATATCTCATTGTGGTTTTGATTTGCATTTCTCTGATGGCCAGTGATGATGAGCATTTTTTCATGTGTCTTTTGGCTGCATAAATGTCTTCTTTTGAGAAGTGTCTGTTCATATCCTTTGCCCACTTGTTGATGGTGTTGTTTGTTTTTTGTCTTGTAAATTTGTTTGAGTTCATTGTAGATTCTGGATATTAGCCCTTTGTCAGATGAGTAGGTTGCAAAACTTTTCTCCCATTCTGTAGGTTCACTCTGATGGTAGTTTCTTTTGCTGTGCAGAAGCTCTTTAGTTTAATTAGATCCCATTTGTCAATTTTGGCTTTTGTTGACATTGCTTTTGGTGTTTTAGACATGAAGTCCTTGCCCATGCCTATGTCCTGAATGGTATTGCCTAGGTTTTCTTCTAGGGTTTTTATGGTTTTAGGTCTAACATTTAGGTCTTTAATGCATCTTGAATTAATTTTTGTATAAGGTGTAAGGAAGGGATCCAGTTTCAGCTTTCTATGTGTGGCTAGCCAGTATTCCCAGCACCATTTATTAAATAGGGAATCCTTTCCCCATTTCTTGTTTTTGTCAGGTTTGTCAAAGATCAGATAGTTGTAGATAAGCGGCATTATTTCTGAGGGCTCTGTTCTGTTCCATTGGTCTATATCTCTGTTTTGGTACTGGTACCATGCTGTTTTGGTTACTGTAGCCTTGTAGTATAGTTTGAAGTCAGGTAGCATGATGCCTCCAGCTTTGTTCTTTTGGCTTAGGATTGACTTGGCGATGCGGGCTCTTTTTTGGTTCCATATGAACTTTAAAGTAGTTTTTTCCAATTCTGTGAAGAAATTCATTGGTAGCTTGATGGGGATGGCATTGAATCTATAAATTACCTTGGGCAGTATGGCCATTTTCACGATATTGATTCTTCTTACCCATGAGCATGGAATGTTCTTCCATTTGTTTGTGTCCTCTTTTATTTCATTGAGCAGTGGTTTGTAGTTCTCCTTGAAGAGGTCCTTCACATCCCTTGTAAGTTGGATTTCTAGGTATTTTATTCTCTTTGAAGCAATTGTGAATGGGAATTCACTCATGATTTGGCTCTCTGTTTGTCTGTTATTGGTGTATAGGAATGCTTGTGATTTTTGTACATTGATTTTGCATCCTGAGACTTTGCTGAAGTTGCTTATCAGCTTGAGGAGATTTTGGGCTGAGACGATGGGGTTTTCTAGATACACAATCATGTCATCTGCAAACAGGGACAATTTGACTTCCTCTTTTCCTAATTGAATACCCTTTATTTCCTTCTCCTGCCTGATTGCCCTGGCCAGAACTTCCAACACTATGTTGAATAGGAGTGGTGAGAGAGGGCATCCCTGTCTTGTGCCAGTTTTCAAAGGGAATGCTTCCAGTTTTTGCCCATTCAGTATGATATTGGCTGTGGGTTTGTCATAAATAGCTCTTGTTATTTTGAGATACGTCCCATCAATACCTAATTTATTGAGAGTTTTTAGCATGAAGGGTTGTTGAATTTTGTCAAAGGCCTTTTCTGCATCTATTGAGATAATCGTGTGGTTTTTGTATTTGGTTCTGTTCATATGATGGATTACATTTATTGATTTGCACATGTTGAACCAGACTTGCATCCCAGGGATGAAGCCCACTTGATCATTGTGGATAAGCTTTTTGATGTGCTGCTGGATTTGGTTTGCCAGTAATTTATTGAGGATTTTTGCATCGATGTTCATCAGGGATATTCGTCTAAAATTCTCTTTTTTTGTTGTGTCTCTGCCAGGCTTCTGTATCAGGATGATGCTGGCCTTATAAAATGAATTAGGGAGGATTCCTTCTTTTTCTATTGATTGGAATAGTTTCAGAAGGAATGGTACCACCTCCTCTTTGTACCTCTGGTAGAATTCGGCTGTGAATCCTTCTGGTCCTGGACTTTTTTTGGTTGGTAAGCTATTAATTATTGCCTCAATTTCAGAGCCTGTTATTGGTCTATTCAGAGATTCAACTTCTTCTTGGTTTAGTCTTGGGAGGATGTATGTGTCCAGGAATTTATCCATTTCTTCTAGATTTTCTAGTTTATTTGCGTAGAGATGTTTGTAGTATTCTCTGATGATAGTTTGTATTTCTGTGGGATCAGTGGTGATATCCCCTTTATCATTTTTTATTGCATCTATTTGATTCTTCTCTGTTTTCTTCTTTGTTGGTCTTGCTAGGGGTCTATCAATTTTGTTGATCCTTTCAAAAAACCAGCTCCTGGATTCATTACTTTTTTGAAGGGTTTTTTGTGTCTCTATTTCCTTCAGTTCTGCTCTGATTTTAGTTATTTCTTGCCTTCTGCTAGCTTTTGAATGTGTTTGCTCTTGCTTTTCTAGTTCTTTTAATTGTGATGTTAGGATGTCAATTTTAGATCTTTCCTGCTTTCTCTTTTGGGCATTTAGTGCTATAAATTTCCCTCTACACACTGCTTTGAATGTGTCCCAGAGATTCTGGTATGTTGTGTCTTTGTTCTCGTTGGTTTCAAAGAACATCTTTATTTCTGCCTTCATTTCATTATGTACCCAGTAGTCATTCAGGAGCAGGTTGTTCAGTTTCCATGTAGCTGAGCGGTGTTGAGTGAGTTTCTTAATCCTGAGTTCTAGTTTGATTGCACTGTGGTCTGAGAGACAGTTTGTTATAATTTCTGTTCTTTTACATTTGCTGAGGAGAGCTTTACTTCCAACCGTGTGGTCAATTTTGGAGTAGGTGTGGTGTGGTGCTGAAAAGAATGTATATTCTGTTGATTAGGGGTGGAGAGTTCTGTAGATGTCTATTAGATCCACTTGGTGCAGAGCTGAGTTCAATTCCTGGATATCCTTGTTAACTTTCTGTTTCATTGATCTGTCTCATGTTGACAGTGGGGTGTTAAAGTCTCCCATTATTATCGTGTGGGGGTCTAAGTCTCTTTGTAGGTCACTCAGGACTTGCTTTATGAATCTGGGTGCTCCTGTGTTGGGTGCATATATATTTAGGATAGTTAGCTCTTCTTGTTGAATTGATCCCTTTACCATTATGTAATGGCCTTCTTTGTCTCTTTTGATCTTTGTTGGTTTGAAGTCTGTTTTATCTGAGACTAGGATTGCAACCCCTGCTTTTTTTTTATTTTCCATTTTCTTGGTAGATCTTCCTCCATCCCTTTATTTTGAGCCTATGTGTGTCTCTGCATGTGAGATGGGTTTCCTGAATACAGCACACTGATGGGTCTTGACTCTTTATCCAATTTGCCAGTCTGTGTCTTTTAATTGGAGCATTTAGCCCATTTACATTGAAAGTTCATATTGTTATGTGTGAATCTGATCCTGTCATTATGATGTTAGCTGATTGTTTTGCTCGATAGTTGATGCAGTTTCTTCCTAGCCTTGACGGTCTTTACAATTTGGTATGTTTTTGCAGTGGCTGGTACTGGTTGTTCCTTTCCATGTTTAGTGCTTCCTTCAGGAGCTCTTTTAGGGCAGGCCTGCTGGTGACACAATCTCTCAGCATTTGCTTGTCTGTAAAGTATTTTATTTCTCCTTCATTTATGAAGCTTAGTTTGGCTGGATATGAGATTCTGGGTTGAAAATTCTTTCCTTTAAGTATGTCAAATATTGGTCCCCACTCTCTTCTGGCTTGTAGAGTTTCTGCCAAGAGATCCGCTGTTAGTCTGATGGGCTTCTTTTTGTGGGTAATCCGACCTTTGTCTCTGGCTGCCCTTAACATTTTTTCCTTCATTTCAACTTTGGTGAATCTGACAATTATGTGTCTTGGAGTTGCTCTTCTCGAGGAGTATCTTTGTGGCGTTCTCTGTATTTCCTGAATCTGAATGTTGGCCTGCCTTGCTAGATTGGGGAAGTTCTCCTGGATAATATCCTGCAGAGTGTTTTCCAACTAGGTTCCACTCTCCCCGTCACTTTCAGGTACACCAATCTGATGTAGATTTGGTCTTTTCACATAGTCCCATATTTCTTGGAGGCTTTGTTCATTTCTTTTTATTCTTTTTTCTCTAAACTTCTCTTCTCGCTTCATTTCATTCATTTCGTCTTCCATCACTGATACCCTTTCTTTCAGTTGATAGCATTGGCTACTGAGGCTTCTGCATTCATCACGTAGCTCTTGTGCCTTGGTTTTCAGCTCCATCAGGTCCTTTAAGGACTTATCTGCATTGGTTATTCTAGTTATCCATTCGACTAATTTTTTTTCAAAGCTTTTAACTTCTTTGCCATTGGTTCGAATTTCCTCCTGTAGCTCAGAGTAGTTTGATTGTCTGAAGCCTTCTTCTCTCAACTCAGCAAAGTCATTCTCCGTCCAGCTTTGTTCCGTTGCTGGTGAGGAGCTGCGTTCCTTTGGAGGAGGAGAGGCACTCTGATTTTTAGGCTTTCCAGTTTTTCTGCTCTGTTTTTTTCCCATCTTTGTGGTTTTATCTACCTTTGGTCTTTGATGATGGTTGCATACAGATGGGTTTTTGGTGTGGATGTCCTTTCTGTTTGTTAGTTTTCCTTCTAACAGACAGGACCCTCAGCCGCAGGTCTGTTGGAGTTTGCTAGAGGTCCACTCCAGACCCTGTTTGCCTGGGTATCAGCAGTGGTGGCTACAGAACAGCGGATATTGGTGAACCGCAGATGCTGCTGCCTGATCATTCCTCTGGAATTTTTGTCTCAGAGGAGTACCCGGCCGTGTGAGGTGTCAGTCTGCCCCTACTGGGGGGGTGCCTCCCAGTTAGGCTACTTGAGGGTCAGGGACCCACTTGATGAGGCAGTCTGCCCGTTCTCAGATCTCAAGCTGAGTGCTGGGAGAACCACTACTCTCTTCAAAGCTCTGTTGGAAATGCAGAAATCACCTGTCTTCTGTGTCGCTCACGCTGGGAGCTGTAGACCAGAGCTGTTCCTATTCGGCCATCTTGGCTCCTCCGACAATGCGTTTTTCTTAGTGCCACAGAACTAGCTGTTGAGTATGAACATTTGAAGAAAAGAAGGGGCTCAAAGGTGAAATAGAGATAAATCTTCTTTTGGATAGTTCTTTTTAGACTATATTTGAATATGCCGTAATGGCAAGGATAGAAGAAAATTCAGGGCCAGAACTGCTGCTTTAAAAAGAAATATTATCTTCTAGGAAATGCCGTGATGGTCCTCAGTTTGCAAGAACCAGAGTTCAGTTTTAAGGGTGCAGGTAGCTTGTGAAGTTTGGGAAATATAAATATCTTAGATCTTACCATAGCTGAACACTGTTGTTTATAGAAACTTGGTTCCCTCCCCAGCTTTACCGTTGCCTATCGTGTGGCTAAAGCTATTGCAGATGATCAGAAATTTGAAACAGAGTCTGCCATACCCAGGGAGGTCTCGTGTTTTCCTTGTCAAAATACTCTCTATTGGAGTATACATGTGGTTATCTTGCTCAAATAAAGAAATCAAATCAAAATCAACCTTCCGCCAAGAGCAATCATTATGCTTCCTGTCAGGTGGGTGGGAAAGGAGGGAATGACAGTGTCAAGAGAAGCACCATGGATGGAATGGGCAGGAGTCCGCAGAAATGGGATTACAGGCTACTTTTACCCAATTCAAATGGCTTTGGCAAAAGGAGGAATACATTAGAAGGCACATATGTGCAGAAGAGGAGTAGGACTGAAGCCATGGCTCAGAAACCAGAACTAGGACCTTCAATGCCATCAGGACATGCATTTCTGCATCTCTCAGATTGACTTCCTCCACATAGCTGGAGGTGTGGCCACTGGCAGTGTCATGCCGCACCACATCTCACAACTTCAGGACCAATGAGGGATGCGTTTCTCTCCCATGGCCCAGTTTGAAAAATCCAAGGGGAAAGTCCTTATAGGCCTTGTGGAAGTAATATATCCACCCTTGGACCAATCATTGTGTGCTATAATTGATAACTATTACTAGTACCACATGGTTGAAGTTGGGAGAGGAGCAACTTCCTAACAGAAAGGGACAGTCATACTCAAACAAGAAAAGGATATTTGGACATCTGTACTGTGTCCTTTACAGATCATATAGTGTAGCCATGTGTATGGTTAGTTGATGCAATAACATATTACTATCTTTGGGTTATCACTTCCTTGCATTTATAAAGCAGTTCATGATTTCCAGAGACTTTTCTTAACTTTATCTCATTTAAACCTGTATCACTCTGTGAATTAGGTCAGGCATCCAGCTATTTGGGCTCAGGGGAGGTGTAGTGATTTGTCCAAGACCATCTGTTGAAATACTTAGTTTGGATCATTCTTGCTACCTTTGATCTATTCACTCAGAGAAAATAAGCATCAATCCACCAATGCCATTCTAGGAATCTGTTCTGAGTTAATATTCACATATGTGTAGCATTGTTCATTGTAGCAAAAAATTAGTCACCTTCAGGGTTCATCAATAGAAAAGTGGCTACATAATTTATAGTACATCCATTTGATGAAACACTGTGCATATGTACTAATATGGAAAGACCGCCAATATATTTTTAAATGAAAAAGAAAGTTGCAAAACAATGAATAAAACTTAATCTCATTTATGTAAAAGAAAAAACAAACCCTACGTATGTGAAGAAATATATTGAAAAGGACTGGAAGAATAGACTTTATAAGTAGCGGCCAATGTTGGGGAGGGAAGTAAAAAACAGATGGAAACTTGGAGGTCCTTTGTATTTTACTCTGTGTAGTTATGTAGTGCCTGAATTTTTAAAAGGATGTATCCACATACTACTTACATAATAAAAAGCAAACAGAAAAAATCCAAAGCATCCCCCAGGGAACCCATTGGGCTGGGATGAAATTTCTCTAGGTCTCTGACTGTGTCATTTAAAACCTTGTGCATCCCTTATGGGTTGGGTCTGACCCCATTCAGTTTTGAGCAAAGTTCTTATAAAACATCCATGGATACATGCCTTCTAAGTATCTACTACATGCATATATATATGTGGCAAATGACGTACCAAAAAAGTCTAAGTAAAGGTTTCTGTTCTCAAAGAGTATATAATTGGAAAGCAAATATAAAAGTTAAATATTAATAAACTCTGTGGAGTTCTTAGTACTGGAACTTTACCAGCCTTCGTTTTGCACTGTGTAAAATGTGGACTAGATGGTCTCTAAGGGGCCTTAGTTTGGGTATTTTGGAATTGTGTGATTATGTTGTAGGCTGTTCAAGATTTTTTTTTAGAGGTATGAGGAAACATGGTTAGCATTAGACTCCAAACCACAGGGAAAAAGAGATGTTGGAAGTCAGCCAGGATAGAATTCAACATCACTTTGGGTCACTTGGAAAATATTTCTGTAAATATAGAAGACACATATATTTCTCTTTAAATATAAGACTAAGGAAGGTGGCTGGATAATTACATTGCTGTATAATCCTCTGCCTAAGAGCTGCAAGTACCAGTGGAGAAACAAAAGGAACAGGAAGCTAATCGGTGAACTCTGGAAAGCTTGCACACAACCAAGGCAAATGGTTTCTCTCCTCACAATGGGACTCTCAATCCTTGGCTAAACAGTCAAACAAACACTCAAGAGAAACTCAAAACCAGTTGCAAGGTAAAAGGTGGAAAAGGATTTTTGCCCACTCAACTGGGCTTAAAGCCTTTGGAGAAGTGCTTCAGGGCTTACAGATGAGACAAAGGCAACAGAGGGAGCTGTGTTGGAGAGAATTAAAAGCAAAGGCATAGAGTAAACAGGTTTCAACCAGACAGTCTTTATTGTTGAAAAGCCACTCTGAACAAAATCCTGCTTTTTACTTCCAAATTACTGCAGCAGAAAGCTCCAGGAAACTAACAAGACTAGCAAATGTTAACGTTGAATACCCTCCACACACATCACCTTCCCATTCCCTTCTTTCAGTCTGCAAGAAATATGTTAAAACACCAAAATAATGTACTCCTTCCCCATTATAAAGTAGCATAAACAAGAAGAGCTATCTTTGGAAGACAGACAGGATAGCAAAGGAGATAAAATTTAAAATCAGGCAAGCCTGATGTGTTGCCTTGAGCACGTAACTTAACCTCTCTAAGCCTCAGTTTTCTCATCTGTAAAATGGAGATAATAATGGTACCTACCTTATGGGGTTGTCATAACAATTAAATAGGATAACTGACTTCAAGTGTTTAGTACAAGACCCGAGACATCGTAAATAAACACTCAGTAAACAGTAGATATTATTGTCATCATTATTAGTTTTATTTTAAAATCTTCTTTGGTGCAAAAATATAACTTTTCTTTAGCTATTATAGAGAGTAATTTTTGATTCCTTTACTCTGTGTTTCAGGGAATCTCTGCATATAGCTACAAAGTCACCCAGGGAAGGACAAGCTCATGGAGGGCTCTTTCCTGCCCATTCGCCTCATTTAAGTGCAGCCATCCTTCAGGCCCTTGGTTAAGCTTCCAAGGACCCTATGGGTCAAGGTATGTTACCCCTTTTGCATCCCCAATTGCTTACCACAATTGTAATTAGGTGGTTATTTATGTAATTATTTGTCTGTTTTATCAACTGCTTAATTTTCAAAAAGTTAAAAATGATTTTCATCCAAATGTGTAGTGACCGCATGCCAAAGATTGATCTAACCCAGGAAACTAGAAGCATAATTAGGCTGGTTCAAAGAGCATTTGTAAGTTGTGGAAGGTATGTTGAAGCAAGTTTGCTATATTATAGACAAAAATCCTACTCCTGTTTCCTGAAATGTTCTATAGGCAAAAAAATTATAACCTTTGGGGTTGTCTTTTGTATTTCACTAGACAAAAGTCTACAAAGTAACGTATAACTCCACAGACGCTCCACTTTAATCAGTGGTAAATAGTGAATCAAATAAAGGTACATTCTGCTAGATAATGAAATAAGCACTGGAGTAGGGGTAGGGACTCTTAAGTGAAGTTTTGGTATGACTTTGAAAAGACATGCAGTCCTCTTTTGGCCTTATTTCCAAGACTTGAATAATTTTTCTTAATAAATGTCTATCTCCTCCGGTAGAACGTAAGCTCCGCGATGTTGGGGTCTATGTGGTCTTGTAGTCCCAAGCCCTGCACAGTGCCTGGCATGATTGTCTAAACCAGGGGTGTCCAATCTTCTGGCTTCCCTGTGCCACATTGGTAGAAGGAGAATTATCTTGGGCCACACACAAAATACACGAACACTAATGATAGCTGATGAGCTAAAAAAAAATCGCAGAAAAATCTCATAATGTTTTAAGAAAGTTTATGAATTTGTGTTGGGCCACATTCAGAGCCGTCCTGGGCTGCAGGTTGAATAAGCTTGGAGCTTGGTAAACCAAGCCTTCTGGGTCTGGGGTAAGGTCTGTGATGTTTTTGTTGCAATATCTTGCTGTGTCCTCTAGGGTGCTCCTTGTTCTCTCTTGGAGCCAGTCCCTGCTGCAGAATTTGTTCTGTAAACTTATACTTTGTATCCTAGATTTTATTTTCAATTTTTGTATTTAAGTTCACAAGTGAATTGAGCTATCATTTAATTTCTTTGTTGGTGTCTTTAGGTTTTGTGATCAAAACCACATTTACCTCATAAAAATCAATTGAATTACATGCTGTTCTATTTTGGAATAGTTTTGGTAATAACAAAAGGAGTAAATTGTTTTTAGAAAATTTAAGAAAATACTTCAGTGACTTCATTAGTACCATTTTGAAGGGGGGCATAAACTTCTTATAACTGTTTCTACTTCTGTGATTAGTTTATTTGTGCATTTGTGTTCTCTGTTTTGCTGTGACCCATTTTAGTATTTAATACTTTAGCAGCTATCCATAGAGTATTGATAATAATTATTCATACATAGTTTAGAATATTATCATCCCTACTTTTTTTTTTTTTTAATTATACTTTAAGTTTTAGGGTACATGTGCACATTGTGCAGGTTAGTTACATATGTATACATGTGACATGCTGGTGCGCTGCACCCACTAACTCGTCATCTAGCATTAGGTATATCTCCCAATGCTATCCCTCCCCCCTCCCCCCTCCCCACCACAGTCCCCAGAGTGTGATATTCCCCTTCCTGTGTCCATGTGATCTCATTGTTCAATTCCCACCTATGAGTGAGAATATGCGGTGTTTGGTTTTTTGTTCTTGCGTTAGTTTACTGAGAATGATGGTTTCCAATTTCATCCATGTCCCTACAAAGGACATGAACTCATCATTTTTTATGGCTGCATAGTATTCCATGGTGTATATGTGCCACATTTTCTTAATCCAGTCTATCATTGTTGGACATTTGGCTTGGTTCCAAGTCTTTGCTATTGTGAATAATGCCGCAATAAACATATGTGTGCATGTGTCTTTATAGCAGCATGATTTATAGTCATTTGGGTATATACGCAGTAATGGGATGGCTGGGTCAAATGGTATTTCTAGTTCTAGATCCCTGAGGAATCGCCACACTGACTTCCACAATGGTTGAACTAGTTTACAGTCCCACCAACAGTGTAAAAGTGTTCCTATTTCTCCACATCCTCTCCAGCACCTGTTGTTTCCTGACTTTTTAATGATTGCCATTCTAACTGGTGTGAGATGATATCTCATAGTGGTTTTGATTTGCATTTCTCTGATGGCCAGTGATGATGAGCATTTTTTCATGTGTTTTTTGGCTGCATAAATGTCTTCTTTTGAGAAGTGTCTGTTCATGTCCTTCGCCCACTTTTTGATGGGGTTGTTTGTTTTTTTCTTGTAAATTTGTTTGAGTTTATTGTAGATTCTGGATATTAGCCCTTTGTCAGATGAGTAGGTTGCGAAAATTTTCTCCCATGTTGTAGGTTGCCTGTTCACTCTGATGGTAGTTTCTTTTGCAGTGCAGAAGCTCTTTAGTTTAATTAGATCCCATTTGTCAATTTTGGCTTTTGTTGCCATTGCTTTTGGTGTTTTGGACATGAAGTCCTTGCCCATGCCTATGTCCTGAATGGTAATGCCTAGGTTTTCTTCTAGGGTTTTTATGGTTTTAGGTCTAACGTTTAAATCTTTAATCCATCTTGAATTGATTTTTTTATAAGGTGTAAGGAAGGGATCCAGTTTCAGCTTTCTACATATGGCTAGCCAGTTTTCCCAGCACCATTTATTAAATAGGGAATCCTTTCCCCATTGCTTGTTTTTCTCAGGCTTGTCAAAGATCAGATAGTTGTAAGTAAGCGGCGTTATTTCTGAGGGCTCTGTTCTGTTCCATTGATCTATATCTCTGTTTTGGTACCAGTACCGTGCTGTTTTGGTTACTGTAGCCTTGTAGTGTAGTTTGAAGTCAGGTAGTGTGATGCCTCCAGCTTTGTTCTTTTGGCTTAGGATTGATTTGGTGATGCGGGCTCTTTTTTGGTTCCATATGAACTTTAAAGTAGTTTTTTCCAATTCTGTGAAGAAAGTCATTGGTAGATTCATGGGGATGGCATTGAATCTGTAAATTACCTTGGGAAGTATGGCCATTTTCACGATATTGATTCTTCCTACCCATGAGCATGGAATGTTCTTCCATTTGTTTGTATCCTCTTTTATTTCCTTGAGCAGTGGTTTGTAGTTCTCTTTGAAGAGGTCCTTCACATCCCTTGTAAGTTGGATTCCTAGGTATTTTATTCTCTTTGAAGCAATTGTGAATGGGAGTTCACTCATGATTTGGCTCTCTGTTTGTCTGTTGTTGGTGTATAGGAATGCTTGTGATTTTTGTACATTGATTTTGTATCCTGAGACTTTGCTGAAGTTGCTTATCAGCTTAAGGAGATTTTGGGCTGAGACGATGGGGTTTTCTAGATAAACAATCATGTCGTCTGCAAACAGGGACAATTTGACTTCCTCTTTTCCTAATTGAATACCCTTTATTTCCTTCTCCTGCCTGATTGCCCTGGCCAGAACTTCCAACACTATGTTGAATAGGAGTGGTGAGAGAGGGCATCCCTGTCTTGTGCCAGTTTTCAAAGGGAATGCTTCCAGTTTTTGCCCATTCAGTATGATATTGGCTGTGGGTTTGTCATAGATAGCTCTTATTATTTTGAAATACGTCCCATCAATACCTAATTTATTGAGAGTTTTTAGCATGAAGGGTTGTTGAATTTTGTCAAAGGCTTTTTCTGCATCTATTGAGATAATCATGTGGTTTTTGTCTTTGGCTCTGTTTATATGCTGGATTACATTTATTGATTTGCGTATATTGAACCAGCCTTGCATCCCAGGGATGAAGCCCACTTGATCATGGTGGATAAGCTTTTTGATGTGCTGCTGGATTCGGTTTGCCAGTATTTTATTGAGGATTTTTGCATCAATGTTCATCAAGGATATTGGTCTAAAATTCTCTTTTTTGGTTGTGTCTCTGCCCGGCTTTGGTATCAGAATGATGCTGGCCTCATAAAATGAGTTAGGGAGGATTCCCTCTTTTTCTATTGATTGGAATAGTTTCAGAAGGAATGGTACCAGTTCCTCCTTGTACCTCTGGTAGAATTCGGCTGTGAATCCATCTGGTCCTGGACTCTTTTTGGTTGGTAAACTATTGATTATTGCCACAATTTCAGCTCCTGTTATTGGTCTATTCAGAGATTCAACTTCTTCCTGGTTTAGTCTTGGGAGAGTGTATGTGTCGAGGAATGTATCCATTTCTTCTAGATTTTCTAGTTTATTTGCGTAGAGGTGTTTGTAGTATTCTCTGATGGTAGTTTGTATTTCTGTGGGATCGGTGGTGATATCCCCTTTATCATTTTCTAATGTGTCTATTTGATTCTTCTCTCTTTTTTTCTTTATTAGTCTTGCTAGCGGTCTATCAATTTTGTTGATCCTTTCAAAAAACCAGCTCCTGGATTCATTGATTTTTTTGAAGGGTTTTTTGTGTCTCTATTTCCTTCAGTTCTGCTCTGATTTTAGTTATTTCTTGCCTTCTGCTAGCTTTTGAATGTGTTTTCTCTTGCTTTTCTAGTTCTTTTAATTGTGATGTTAGGGTGTCAATTTTGGATCTTTCCTGCTTTCTCTTGTGGGCATTTAGTGCTATAAATTTCCCTCTACACACTGCTTTGAATGTGTCCCAGAGATTCTGGTATGTTGTGTCTTTGTTCTCGTTGGTTTCAAAGAACATCTTTATTTCTGCCTTCATTTCGTTATGTACCCAGTAGTCATTCAGGAGCAGGTTGTTCAGTTTCCATGTAGTTGAGTGGCTTTGAGTGAGATTCTTAATCCTGAGTTCTAGTTTGATTGCACTGTGGTCTGAGAGACAGTTTGTTATAATTTCTGTTCTTTTACATTTGCTGAGGAGAGCTTTACTTCCAACTATGTGGTCAATTTTGGAATAGGTGTGGTGTGGTGCTGAAAAAAATGTATATTCTGTTGATTTGGGGTGGAGAGTTCTGTAGATGTCTATTAGGTCCGCTTGGTGCAGAGCTGAGTTCAATTCCTGGGTATCCTTGTTGACTTTCTGTCTCGTTGATCTGTCTCATGTTGACAGTGGGGTGTTAAAGTCTCCCATTATTAATATGTGGGAGTCTAAGTCTCTTTGTAGGTCACTCAGGACTTGCTTTATGAATCTGGGTGCTCCTGTATTGGGTGCATATATATTTAGGATAGTTAGCTCCTCTTGTTGAATTGATCCCTTTACCATTATGTAATGGCCTTCTTTGTCTCTTTTGATCTTTGTTGGTTTGAAGTCTGTTTTATCAGAGACTAGGATTGCAACCTCTGCCTTTTTTTGTTTTCCATTTGCTTGGTAGATCTTCCTCCATCCTTTTATTTTGAGCCTATGTGTGTCTCTGCACGTGAGATGGGTTTCCTGAATACAGCACACTGATGGGTCTTGACTCTTTATCCAACTTGCCAGTCTGTGTCTTTTAATTGGAGCATTTAGTCCATTTACATTTAAAGTTAATATTGTTATGTGTGAATTTGATCCTGTCATTATGATGTTAGCTGGTGATTTTGCTTGTTAGTTGATGCAGTTTCTTCCTCGTCTCAATGGTCTTTACATTTTGGCATGATTTTGCAGCGGCTGGTACCGGTTGTTCCTTTCCATGTTTAGCGCTTCCTTCAGGAGCTCTTTTAGGGCAGGCCTGGTGGTGACAAAATCTCTCAGCATTTGCTTGTCTGTAAAGTATTTTATTTCTCCTTCACTTATGAAGCTTAGTTTGGCTGGATATGAAATTCTGGGTTGAAAATTCTTTTCTTTAACAATGTTGAATATTGGCCCCCACTCTCTTCTGGCTTGTAGGGTTTCTGCCGAGAGATCCGCTGTTAGTCTGATGGGCTTCCCTTTGAGGGTAACCCGACCTTTCTCTCTGGCTGCCCTTAACATTTTTTCCTTCATTTCAACTTTGGTGAATCTGACAATTATGTGTCTTGGAGTTGCTCTTCTCGAGGAGTATCTTTGTGGCGTTCTCTGTATTTCCTGAATCTGAACGTTGGCCTGCCTTGCTAGATTGGGGAAATTCTCCTGGATAATATCCTGCAGAGTGTTTTCCAACTTGGTTCCATTCTCCGCATCACTTTCAGGTACACCAATCAGACGTAGATTTGGTCTTTTCACATAGTCCCATATTTCTTGGAGGCTTTGCTCATTTCTTTTTATTCTTTTTTCTCTAAACTTCCCTTCTCACTTCATTTCATTCATTTCATCTTCCATTGCTGATACCCTTTCTTCCAGTTGATCGCATCGGCTCCTGAGGCTTCTGCATTCTTCACGTAGTTCTCGAGCCTTGGTTTTCAGCTCCATCAGCTCCTTTAAGCACTTCTCTGTATTGGTTATTCTAGTTATACATTCTTCTAAATTTTTTTCAAAGTTTTCAACTTCTTTGCCTTTGGTTTGAATGCCCTCCCGTAGCTAAGAGTAATTTGATCGTCTGAAGCCTTCTTCTCTCAGCTCGTCAAAATCATTCTCCATCCAGCTTTGTTCCGTTGCTGGTGAGGAACTGCCTTCCTTTGGAGGAGGAGAGACGCTCTGCGTTTTAGAGTTTCCAGTTTTTCTGTTCTGTTTTTTCCCCATCTTTGTGGTTTTATCTACTTTTGGTCTTTGATGATGGTGATGTACAGATGGGTTTTCGGTGTGGATGTCCTTTCTGTTTGTTAGTTTTCCTTCTAACAGACAGGACCCTCAGCTGCAGGTCTGTTGGAATACCCTGCCGTGTGAGGTGTCAGTGTGCCCCTGCTGGGGGGTGCCTCCCAGTTAGGCTGCTCGGGGGTCAGGGGTCAGGGACCCACTTGAGGAGGCAGTCTGCCCGTTCTCAGATCTCCAGCTGAGTGCTGGGAGAACCACTGCTCTCTTCAAAGCTGTCAGACAGGGACATTTAAGTCTGCAGAGGTTACTGCTGTCTTTTTGTTTGTCTGTGCCCTGCCCCCAGAGGTGGAGCCTACAGAGGCAGGCAGGCCTCCTTGAGCTGTGGTGGGCTCCACCCAGTTCGAGCTCCCGGGCTGCTTTGTTTACCTAAGCAAGCCTGGGCAATGGCGGGCGCCCCTCCCCCAGCCTCGCTGCCGCCTTGCAGTTTGATCTCAGACTGCTGTGCTAGCAATCAGCGAGATTCCGTGGGCGTAGGACCCTCCGAGCCAGGTGTGGGATATAGTCTCGTGGTGCGCCGTTTTTTACGCCGGTCTGAAAAGCGCAATATTTGGGTGGGAGTGATCCGATTTTCCAGGTGCGTCCGTCACCCCTTTCTTTGACTCGGAAAGGGAACTCCCTGACCCCTTGCGCTTCCCAGGTGAGGCAATGCCTCGCCCTGCTTCGGCTCGCGCACGGTGCGTGCACCCACTGGCCTGCGCCCACTGTCTGGCACTCCCTAGTGAGATGAACCTGGTACCTCAGATGGAAATGCAGAAATCACCCGTCTTCTGCGTCGCTCATGCTGGGAGCTGTAGACCGGAGCTGTTCCTATTCGGCCATCTTGGCTCCTCCTCCCTCATCCCTACTTTAAAATGGTTGTTTCTATCCATTGCTGATATCTTATTTCTCTCCCTGCATTTTATTATTTTTGATAAATTTGCCAATTCTCCCTTTTCTGTTAATTTATCTCCCTGCATTTTATTATTTTTGATAAATTTGCCAATTCTCCTTTTTTTGTTAATTGGAACATGTCCTCAACTTTATTAATTTTTAAAAAGCCAACTATTAATTTGATTTACCAACTCAACTTTTTTTTTTTTTTTTTTGAGACAGAGTCTCTTGCTGTGTTGCCCAGGCTGGAGTGCAGTGAAGTGATCTCTGCTCACTGCAACCTCCAGCTCCCAGGTTCGAGCAATTCTCCTGCCTCAGCCTCCTGAGTAGCTGGGACTGCAGACACACACCACCACGCCTGGCTAATTTTTGTATTTTTGGTAGAGACAGGGTTTCACCATGTTGGGCAGGCTGGTCTTGAGCTCCTGGCCTCAAGTGATCTGCCCACCTCGGCCTCCCAAAGTGCTGGGATTATAGGCATGAGTCATTGTGCCCGGCCTCAACTCAACTTTATAAGCATTTTGTTCATTTATGTTGTTAGTTTTATTATTTTCATTTTACTATTTTCTTTTGGCTTTTCACTTTAGCCTCTTAGCAGATAAAGGCTTTGCTTTTATGGTGTTTTTTTCTTTCTTCCCTAATTTAGAAAAATGAGTGTTTTTCTAAGCACTGCTGTGGCAATACTCCATCAATTTTAATACAGAAATATCATTTCAAAATATTCTGTAGTATAGGGACTTTTTTTCTTTTTTCTTTTCTTTTTTGATTCATTCAAATATTTATTGAGCAGCCAAGGAGACCCAAAGGTGATTAAAACATGGTCAGAGAGGTGAGGCAAATGTGCAAGTAACAGAAAGCAAGGGGCTAGGTTCACAGAATCACAGCTGTCAAAAGAAAGTGCTTTAGGACATGAAGAGTGAGTTCGTTTCCAGCCTGGAAGGAGCATGGCTGGCAAATCAGAAAAGGGGATTCAGATTAAAACAGAAGACTTCAGTCTGGATGGCTGATGATACTCAGCATGGACTATATTTCTCTTTCCTCTGTCCCCATCTTTGGACTTAATTTTGCAGTATTGCCCAGGACTGTTCAATGTGCTTTTTCTGTACTTGCTTGCATTTTAGCTTTAATGTCTTCTATAGAACTAGGTCCTTTTTGGATTTTTAGGAGTTTTTTCCTGTTTTTTTTGAAGTATTCATGACCTTTTGATCTTGGTCTTGATAGTTTTGAGTTTTTCCATTTTGGTTTGATTTTGGTGCATTTTTGGCTGGAGCATCTTATATAGATTTCTTCACTGGAGCTTTTTCTTCAATTTCTTCATCATCAAAATTATCATCATCATCATCTTCATCAGCAGCAAGTTTTACTTTTTTTTCTGTGGAAACTTGCTGCTACCTCCAGGGGAAGATTGCCTTCCAGATATATTAAATACCTAAGAGTTTCACATCCCCCTGCTCTTCATCTTCTGACTCTGCCTCTCCCTCCACAGCTGCTAAGTGCTGCCCACTAATATGCATTGGCCTTGATCCACACTTCAACTGTAATCCCACGGCTGATGTTATTTCAAAGCCCCCAAGGGAAACCGTTGACTGTACTGACATTTTCAAAGTTGCCAGTGTTACTTCAATAGGACTGCCTTCATAATTCATTGCCTCTGCTTCAACAATGTGCAATTCATCTTTTACACAGCCCCTAACCTGACCGTGCTTAAAGATAACTGGTGCTCATTTTCATCATTATCCACCCGAAACCGATCATCTTCATCGGCCTTTAGTTCACAACCAAAAGATAGTTCTGGAGCCACAGGGGGCTTGTGTCCATGTCCATTGAATCTTCCTTGGGGTGGTGACATACACTTCGGTGAGAGAGAAGGCAGACGGAGATAAACAACTACCGCTCCAGAGAACAGCTGTGCGGGACAGAATCACACCAGGCACAGAATTATTTTCTTGATGTAGGAAGTATTTAGGCACTTAAAATTTTTTTATGTGATGTAGAGATTTTATATTCTGCATGCATTGAAAAACTCTAGTTCACCGAGATATGATTTATATACAATAAAATTTACCTTTTCTAACCAAAGAGTTTAATGAGGTTTTACAAGTGTGTAAAATTGTGTGGCAACCGGCTGGGCGTGGTGGCTCACGTCTGTAATCCCAGCACTTTGGGAGGCCGAAGCGGGTGGATCACGAGGTTGGGAGATCAAGACCATCCTGGCCAACATGGTGAAACCCCGTCTCTACTAAAAATACAAAAATTAGCCAGGCGTGGTGGTGCGCCCCTGTAATCCCAGGTACTCAGGAGGCTGAGGCAGGAGAATCGCTTGAATCCGGAAGGCAGAGGTTATAGTGAGCTGAGATCATGCCACTGTACTCCAGCCTGGGCGACAGAGCGAGACTCCGTCTCAAAGAAAAAAAGAAGACAAAAATTAGCCGGGTGTGGCAGTGCTTACCTGTAGTCCCAGCTACTCAGGAGGCTGAAGCAGGAGAATTGTTTGAACCCAGGAAGTGGAGGCTGCAGTGAGCTAAGACATGCCACTGCACTGTAGCCTGGGCGACAGAGTGGGACTCCGTTTCAAAAAAAAAAAAAAAAAAAATTGTGTGGCAACCACCACCATCAAGATACAGAACGCTTACATCTCTCCATGAAGTTCCCCATGTCCCTTGGCAGTCAACTTCCTCTCCTATTCCTGGTTCCTGGCATCACTGGTCTGATTTCTGTCCCTGTAGTTTTTACCATTTATGGAATGTCGTATAAGTGCAATCGTACAGCATGTAGTCATTTGTGTCTGGCTTCTTTTGCTCAAAATCAGATTTTTTAGATCCGTCAGTGTGTTGCATGTATCAACACAATGCTCTTTTTTTTTTTAATTGTTGCATAGTATGCCATCATGTGGACACACCACAGTTTGCCTATCCATTCAGTTAGTGAACATTTGGGTTGTTTTCAGTTTTTGGCTATTATAAATAAAGCTGACATAAATCTGATTGAACTTTAATTTTTAATTTTATTGTTTTAATATTGTGAAATATTAGACTTTCTGACTTCTTTTTGTCTGCCTTCATCCATAATATGATAAATGTGTATACATCCTTATATTCTTAAAAAAAAGTATATTCTATTCTACCTTTTGCCTCTCTCCATTGTCTAACTGATTGATTCTCTTGATCAACTCTGCAATGTCTTCTATTATTTTATTATTTATTGATTATTAACTTTCTGATTATTTCATACTGAGAGGCAACACACTACTGTGGTTATGAGAATGGGCTGTGGAGTTAGACAGACTTGAGTCTCAGTCGTAGCTTCACCTATTACTAGCTGAGTTTCCTTGGCAAAGTCACTTAACTTTTTAAGGTCTTATTTTCCTATCTGTGAAATGGGGAGAACGATAATAACAATACCTACCACATGGAGTTGTGAGGATTAAATGAGACGATGTATGTAAAGTGCTCAGAGCGGTACCAGGCAGATGGAAAAATCTCAAAAACTGATACATTTGGCTATTTTTATATTGGAATAGTTAGCTCTGTAATTTCAATCTATTTCTTCCTGTTTTTCTTGAATTTCAGATATTCATTTAACTGCATGTGTTATGTTCATCTGTTGTTTGGGGCATATAATTCAGAATTGTTGAATTTTTGTTCTTTAATTTACTGTTTACTATGCTTATTTAATGATGATTTCATCTCTCAATGCTTCTTTCTCCCTTCCTTCCCTTCCCTTCTCCTTCCTTCCTTCCTTTTCTTTTTTTTTTTTCCAGACAGTGTCTCTTCCTGTTGCCCAGGCTGGAGTGCAGTGGCACAATCATAGCTCACTGCAGCCTCCAGCTCCTGGGCTCAAGCAAACCTCCTGCCTCAGCCTCCCAAGTAGCTGGGATTATATTATTACCCTGATCCATGTAATCCGCCTCCATGGACATGCTGAGAACCTTAGTTTCCTGGAAAGGATCATAGTATTAGACATAGTTTATTGAGTACTTATAATATGCCCAATACAGTATTAATAACCTTATATATTAATACATTGTCTCAATAATCTTTTTTTTTTAATACTGAGTCTCGCTCTGTCACCCAGGCTGGAGTGCAGTGGTGCGGTCTCGGCTCACTGCAACCTACGCCTCCTAGGTTCAAGCGATTCTCCTGCCTCAGCCTGTAGCTGGGACTACAGGTGCCCACCCCCACGCCCAGCTGACTTTGGTATTTTTAGTAGAGATGGGGTTTTGCCATGTTGGCCAGGCTGATCTTGAACTCCTGACCTCAGGTGATGTACCTGCCTCAGCCTCCCAAAGTGCTGGGATTACAGGAGTGAGCCACCATGCCCGGCCTCAAAAATCTTTAGGATGTAGATGTTACTGTTATTATTATTCGCATTTTATAGATGAGAAAAGTGAGGACCTTGCATAGGGTCTCATGTCAATTAGTAGCAATCAGGACTCAAACCCAGATAGTGTTAAACATTATGTTTTACTGACAGGCATTGATAATACAGCAGGAACCAAACACTCTTTGAAATGAATATATGCCCTCAACATTTGCATAAATACATGGAGCTCCATTTATAGTTCCTTGGGCTGCTGGCAGTTCATTCTATATAGACTTTGGAAGCCCTTTAAAGTAATGACTTTTTTTTTTTTTTTTTTGAGACAGGGTCTCACTCTGTTGTCCAGGCTGAAGTGCAGTGGTGCTACCATAGCTCACTGCAGCATCGACCTCCCTGGGTCAAGTGACCCTCCTGCCTCAGCCTGAGGGTTGCTCTGGCTGAACTTGAACTCCTGGGCTCATGTGCTCTTCTTGCCTTGGCCTTCCAAAGTGTTGGGATTACAGGTGTGAGCCACCATACCCACCCTAATAATGACTTTATAATTTGGCTTCATCCCACACATATTCCCACTGCTCCCTGAAATGCTCCCTTACTGTTTTGTTGGGAATCTTGTTCTGATCTTCAGAATATAAACACTCTTGGCTCTAGTGAATAATCATTACAGATGATATGACAACCTGGGTGGCTTTTAAGTCATATATGGATGAATTTTGAATCAGATGCTCTCTCAAGGGGATTCTTCTTCCAGAATCCACAGTCTCGACTCTGCCTTCATGCACTCGTAGCCCAGAATCCCTGCAGGGGCTGGTGTGCGTTTCCCATGCTTGCTGATCCTGCATATATACTTTGTAGAAACCACTTACATTACAATTGCTCCTTTAGCTTCTGTGAATTAAAGTAGTTTTCCATTTTGGTGCTTCCTCCTAGATTATGACATATGTTGAATTTAGGTCAGTTAAAGGGCTCATGGGAAGAGTTTTTGCTAGGACTCTAATTTGTTTACTCAAGATGGAATGGAAGACCTCTTGGCACATGTCCCATGAAGCTGACTGGCCAGCAGTAGCTGTATTGAGCAAAAAGTCCATTCAGGTTCTGGAGTGGAGACTGGATCCAGTTGCTTATCGGGAGCTCTGGGAAGGGATGGGGCCCAGTCTATTATTGTCACCAGAAAAGAAGCATACGAACTGCTTACTTTTGACAGTTGCTTAGGAATATTCAACGCAAGACCTTTATTAATATAAAGCTTCCCTGTGTTTCTTCCTCTCTGGTCACTGAATCTGTGGATGATGCAATGACAGGACGCCGACATTCTAAAACTTATTAACTCTGGGCGGATGCGTGCTCTAGAATGAGAGACAGAGTTAGTATGCTGCTAGATAGGCATGTGTTGATCACAGGTAGAAAGGGCTGCCAATGGAACAGCAAGCCAAGGCCGATGGTAATGAGTCAGGGGTTTCCGTTTCTCATCTCTTCCTCTGAAGGGCTCACCTCTCCAGGAGGGAGGGCTCACCTCTCGCCCAGGCAACTGTGCTGGCCTCCAGCTGGGTCCCCCGACTCCAGGCTGTCCCCCTTGGATCCGTCTTCTCTGTTCAGAGTCTCTTATCTCTGTGCTGATAGTAGACCTGGTCTACTCCCCATTTTGTGTTGCTTCCAAGCTCTTGAGGGAGGGCTCTTTCATGCAGAGGACTGGGTAGTTGCTCTGTGAAATGTGTGGAACAAATGAATAAATGAATGAGAAGAGAAGGGGATAATTTTGCTGGGCAACACCCTCCATCAGTGGTTCTTGGTCTGGGGCCACATCTGAGCTATCTGTGGATGTTTTCAATAATATCCAAGTCAGGACTCCACTGCAGACCAATTGCTTCAGGAACTAGAGTGAGGCGAGGACAGCTGTGTGTTTGAAACACTCCAGCTGATTCGAATGTGCATCTCTGTGTGGAACAGCTGCCCTAGATTGGTGGGTCTCAAACTTGATTGCACATTGGAATCATCTGGAAAGTGTTCAAACACTTTTTTTTTTTTTTTGCCCCACCCCAGTTTCTGATTCAGTAGGCCTGGGGCAGGGCCCAGGAATTTACATTTCTGACCAGTTTCCCTGCAATTACTCATGTTGTGGGTCTGGGGCCCACATTTTAAGAACAAACACCCAAGATTTTTCAACAGCTGTAATGCTTTGTGTTAACAGTACTCAGTCTTTAGCTGCATATTAAAATCATAATGGGAGCTTTCACAACATACTGTTGCCAGAGTCTCACTGTAGCTCATTATAACTGAAATATGTGGGAGGAGCCTTGGGCATCTTTTGTTTGTGAAGTTTCCCCAGGTGATTCTCAAGCACAGTGAGGTATAAGAAATGCTGCTCTAGATTTTTGCCACTGAAAGCATGGTCCTGCGACTGGCAGCACTGGCACTATCATTGTTTGGGAGCTTGTTAAAGACGTAGAATCTCAGGCCTTACCCTGGACCTACTGAATCTGCATTTTAACAAGACACGTGGGCAACAAAGTTTGAGAAGCACTGCTCTAGAGAGCTCTCTTCATCTCCTATGCTCAAAGAATGATTTGTTTCTTATCTCCAATATTACAGTGCAAATTCCCTCAGGATAGGCTTCTTGATTAATTTATCCTCAAGCCTACAGCACCTAACACAGTGCCTTTTTTCATACAGAGGTGCTCAATAAATATTTTTGAATGAATAGATTTTCCTGTGAGTGTTATCTCCAAGGTACTTACACACTTTTCTTCTTCCCACCATCTGCTCCTACTACCTTCCAGGTAACATATACCTCACATTGTCATATCACTTTAATCACCTCCTGGTAGACTTTGAATGTTTTCACTCTCTGAATCTTATGTTGGAATGTGATCCTCAGAATTGGAGGTAGGGCCTAGTCGGGGGTGTTTGGGTCATGAGGGAGGATCCCTCATGAATGGCCTGGTCCCTTCCTCATGGGAATGAGTGAGTTCTTGCTGTTAGTTTACAATTTAAAGGAGCCTGGCACCTCCTTCTCTCTCTCACTCCTCCTCTTGCTATGTGACATGCCTGCCCCCCCCTTGCCTTCTACCATGAGTAAAAGCTTCCTGAAGCCTCACTAGAAGCCAACTATAGCCACTGCCAGGCAGAAATGTGAGCCAAATAAACCTCTTTTCTTTACAAATTACTCAGCCTCAGGTATTCATTTATAGCAATGCAAAACAATCTAACACACCCCCAAACCTAACATCATTAAAAATATATCTCATGGGTAGTAATCATTTTAGACTTGCTTGGTATTTCAAGGAAAAACAATCTGGACTCCTTAGGCTCCATTTTTCTAGAACTCGTTGCTACCCAAAGGTTTGCTGTGTGGGCCCAAGGCTTTGGTTTCATCTGCTCTCACATAATGGAAGTTAACATTCTTCTCAGAATTTCCATCACCATGGTTACTGGCACTGAGTGGCTTCCCTTAGAATCTCAGAAACATTCCTGTAATTATTTTTTTCTGGTAATGTATAGAAATTAAAACAAAAATTAAAGATGCCCTATCACTGGGCACTGTTCATTTGCCTCACCACGGTAGAAATGTTTTACCTTTAGAGCCATTTTAATGCTCTTGAGAAATGGTCAAGTTGAACATCTTTGGGAATGAGTCAATCTCAGGAGGCTTCTAGAAGCCAAGTGTGGTCAGCAGAAGAATGCCCCTCCAAGTCCCAATTAGTCCTAATTATTCTACATCTTAATCATCCCCCGCTTCCCAACATGTGAATATTACCTTATCTGGCAAAAGGGTCTTTGCAGATGTGATTAAGGTTAAGGACCTTGAGATTGGGAGCTTATCCTAGATTATCCCAGTGGGCCCAATGTCATCAAAGGAGTTCTTAAAAGCTGAGAATCTTTTCTGGCTATGGCAAACCAGAGAGATGGCAGTGTCAGAAGAGCTTGACCTGCCAGGAATGGGGAAAAGGGACCAGGAGCTAAGAAATGAGCATAGTCTCTAGAAGCTAGAAAAGGCAAGGAGACAGATTCTGTCCTAGGGCTTCCACAGAGGCACCAGCCCTGCTGACACTTTGATTTTAGCCTAATGACACCTGCGTTGGACTTTTGATCTACAGAACTGTCAGACAACAAATTTGTGTTGTTTGAGCCACCAAGTTTGTGGTGATTTGTTATAGCAGAAATAGAAAACTAATGCAGAGAGCAAGGCACCTTTTTGTTTCTAGGTATGTTTGGAGGTAAAGACCAGGTTACAAGCATCCAGTGACAAGTCTGTTTTGTTACATTCTTTTGCATCACATAGATCGTCTCAGTTATCAGAAAATGATTTTGTATTTTGGCATAAACTCTGTTTCTAAAATTTCCATCCTTCCCCTCCCTTGATGTGAAGTAAACTTCAGAGGATCCGGTGTCGGGATGGAAGGGTAATGAATGTGGCAAGTTGTGTTTGAGTTTGAAGAGTATAGATGTGCCCCCAAATATCTACTCTCACCCAATGTTTGAAATTTCATTATTAGAGACCCATGGCTTGCATCTTCTTCAGTTTTCCTCTATTACAGGCACTTATACCTCCAGAGAGGTAACTGCTATAAGCCCTTGTAGGAGAATTTGGTTACTTTACCACTCCCTGTGGGATGGATATGAGATATTATATGGGAAAGGCAAAGGAAGGAGCAACCTTCCTGCCATCATGAATTTTTTTTTTTTTTTGAGACAGAGTCTTGCTCTGTCACCCAGGCTGGAGTGCAGTGGCGCAATCTTGGCTCACTGCAACCTCCGCCTTCCGGGTTCAATCGATTCTCCTGCTTCAGCCTGCCGAGTAGCCGGGACTACAGGTGCACGCTGCCATGCCAGGCTAACTTTTGTATTTTTAGTAGAGACGGGTTTTCACCATATTGGTCAGGCTGGTCTCAAACTCCTGACCTCAGGTGATCCACCCACCTCGGACTCCCAAAGTACTGGGATTACAGGCGTGAACCACCATGCCTGGCCACCATCATGATTTTGTCAAGAACTATTTATCTAAGATAGTCAAGGAAAGTTAAATGAGATGCTGAAGGAAAATTGTGTGTGTGTGTTTATTTAGTGCCTATTCAGTGCCAGGTGTTTTATTTAGGCTACTGCATCTAGCCTTTCAACAGTTCTGTAAAATGTCAGGTGAGGGGTTTTCTTTTACACTACTTACAAGCTAATAAATTAACCTATTAATGTTTAAAATGTATTTTCCAGCGAGTATTAGTCTCTTATTTCTGATGCTAGCCAAAGACCTGAGACTCCTAGGTCAGAGACAAAGAACTTTATTACTCACCATCACAGCAAAGAGCATCAGCATCAGCTCCCTTTGCTACTAAGATTCAAAGGGCAAGCTGACACAGATCCAGAGGTATACTATACGCACAGTGGGTTTGTGTCATAGCCAAGGAACATTGAGCTTGAAGAATCTACTACTTTTATAGCAAGTAGTAAGTAGTTGTGTTCTTTGTTCCAGGGTGGGAGACATTACTTTGTCCCTCAAGTTGCTCACTGCAAGCACAACCCTGACAAATAGCCTGGGTAAAGAGTACACAGGGCCTTGGATTCTTGGCATACCCTACGCGCTGCATATGGGTTTGAGAGATCCATGGAGAGAACTGTCTCTCCCAACACAAAATAGGTATTATTATTCCTATTTCACAAACAGGAAAGTTGAGGTAAAAGAAAGTTAAACATCTAATGTAAGGAAACAAGGGGTAGTGAGACCAGGATTCAAATCTGTATCTATATTCTGAAGCCCATGATCTTTTTACCATATGTTGCTGTCTACTGGGAGGGCTCTTGGAAAAATAATTATACCACATTGGTCTTTTATTATGATTCACAAGATAACAAATGCAAACTTAATATTAAAAAATGTCCAGAAGGTGCTGAGATTTCTGATGGGTATGCAAAGATATGTATGTATTCATCCACTCATTTACATATATTTCTAAAAACCATCTATGTATCTGCCCCTGTGGTAGGAATGGATGGAGAGAAAGGAGTAGAAAAATTAAGAATTTGTTCATTTGTGAAATGTCTCAGTGCCACTTAACACAACAGTGTTTTAAATTTCCAAATTCAAAACTTAAGAGTCTGTAGAACTTTGACATTCGGAAAGGTTGCCTTTTCTGAACTCCTAATTACTTTAAATTGAAAGTCACTTCAATCTCTTTTCTGCAGCTTCTCTGGACTTTTGGTTTCATTGAAGTATAATCTAGGCAGCTTCAGTGGGAATTTATCACTGTATTAAGGAAGAAGATACATTTTGATTCTGGAAAACTCAATCTCTTTTTTAAAAGTCCACATGTAAAAAGACATTTGGAATAAATTTTAATGTGATTCATTGGAAAAATTCTTTCAATTTGAACTCTCTGCTCATACAAAAGGATCAACTCATTAAGTTCTCCAGCGTCTCCAAGGAAGATGGTGATAATGGAGGGCTAAATTGTGGCACTTCCGTGTTTCTGATAAAAGCTGAGAATGAAAAAAAAAATGTGACCCCTTTGACATTACTTATTTAAATACATTACTTATCAAAAACAATTATGGTTGTGGGCTTTGGAGCAGGGAAATTCTCAGCTTCCAGAAAGCCTATGGAAAATATCATTGAAGTGTAACCCCTTTCACTCGCCCCATTCCTGTCTCTTCTATTGGTCTAATTTTGAGATTTTATATTCCTTATGGATGAACTCCTAGAGATCTTTGTCTGGAACCAGGTCTACTTTGAAGGTTGAAACAGTGATTAATATGCCTGTGTATTAGTCACATAAAAATGTCTGGAAGGATGTCTCTCCACTCACATGTCACTGTGGCTATCCTGGGGCCATGGACTCACAGGAGGTTCTTTTGCATTCTCACCGGAGGGTGGGTTACTTCAGGTGGAGCAAGAATTCTCTCCTTGTCCCTGGCTTTCCAATATGCAGTTCACTTCACCCTGGGTTGTTGCCTCCTTTCTTTCTTGCAAATAGCACATGTATAGTTCTTCCTTAGTGCAAGTGGGTGGGTGTTTGGTGGTGAAAGAGAAAGGGGAAGGTGGGCATGCAGAAACAATTGGGGCTGCCATGCTGGTCAGGCTGTTTTCCCCCAGGCCTCTTTGGGTGTTGGTAGGCATAGGGTTGTTGGTACCTTGGGCCAGCTGGACCTTTCTTTCTCTTCGTTCATTTCACAATTACTTACTGAGTGAGGGTATGTGCCAGATACTTCCAGGGGATATAGCAGTAAACAAAGCAAATTCCCTCTTTCATGGAGTTTACATTCTAGTAGACAATTAAAAGATAAAAACATCTAAAATATGAAGTATATCAGGCCATGACAAGGGATGGGAAGAATAGCAGACCAGGGTAGAGCAGATGGAGAGTGAAGGAAGATAAAGGTAAAGGGAGCGATTTTTTCAGGTGAAGAGGAAAATCCTTCCTGATAAGGTGCTATTTGAGTGGAGGCCTGATGGAAAGGATGGAAGGGGCTCAGGGGCTGCTATTTCAGGCAGAGGGAACAGTACACAGAGTACTGAAGTGTGAATGTCCTTGGGCTTTTCAAGGAACAGAAGATAGTTCAGTGTAGCCAGGGCAGAGTGAGAGAGCTGAGAGTATAGGGAAAGAGGACAGGGGGTTAACTGTGCCCCAGGCCCTGTACAGCCTTGCAGGCCACAGTGTGAGGGCCTGAAGATCTTAGTTGGGTAAGCAGGAAGCAACAGGGGAATATTGAGCTGAGAAGTGACTTGCTAGAATGTGTTTTAGAAGAAACATTGTTATCTTGTCTTTAATTTATTTAAAATATTTTATACTGGACAGTGGGTTTTAACACTTAATGACCTTTTTTCATTAAGTGTTGAAGAAGTACATCACTATGTTACTGGGTATATTTAATAATTACATTCAATATTGTAGTGAAATAGGGACGTGATGCTTTCCAGAAGAGAAAATAATCAAATAGAGATTTACAAAGCCATTTGCTCATATCTCCATGACGGACACAAGCCTTAGTCTTTATGCACAGGTGTATGAGAAATGTAAATCTTTATCTTCCCATCAATATACTCCCAGCATGAGCTCCATTATTCTGGGGGTTCCTTCTTCTATCTGAGTTTCATGTAAGTCAGGGGGTTAGGATGCAACAGAACAGCGATTCTCCAAGTGTGGTTCCCAGAGCTGCAACATCAGCATCACCTGAGAACTTGTTAGAAATGCAGATTCTCACTCTCCACCCCAGGCCTGCTGAATCAGGAACTGTGTGGCTGGGCTCAGGAATCTGTGATAACAAGCTTTCTAGATAATTTTGATGCACATTAAAATCTGGGAAAATTTTCTTATGGTGTCAAGTCGTGGGTGACGACAGCTAGTCTGTAATGTCGTCAGTCCACAGTCCACAATGGCATCAGCTGAGACGTTGTCTTCCCCTGTTGATCCACGCAGGGTCCAGCTTTGCTCCTCATGCCTGACTGCAAGCTCTTTCATGTCAAGTTTTCTCTTTCTCTCAGCTAATTTTTGGGCCATTCTTATGGCCCTGTTCATATGATGATTCTATTATTTCTCTATCAAATTGAGCTTTGGGAAATTTTGTGGTTGTTATCTAAACTCAGGCTACTTTGGGTCTCTCTCAACATCGTGAAATTATCCTGCCATTTCCTTGTTACTCTGAGGCTTGGAGAACTCATACATCACATGTCCATTTCTTTTATGGGGTCTTGCTGTCTTCATAGCCTCAGCCCAAGAATGGGAGTCCAAGTCTTCTTCACTCTCAAATTGCCCCATATTTAACTGAAGTTTCTTTCACTTTCCTTCTCCCCTCAATAGTCAAGAGAATGTTTTCCTTCTCCCCTCAATAGTCAAGAGAATGTTTTCCTTCTCCCCTCAATAGTCAAGAGAATGTTCTCCTTCTCCCTTCAATAGTCAAGAGAATGTTTTCTAGTCTCAGGCAAGAAAATTTGCCTTGTTCTAGAAGAATCTCACCTACAGCACAAGCTATCCATCATCAAGGTAGATAAAGACACCTGGGGAAAGATCTCAAACAATAGCTTCTCTCATTGATGAAACAATTGTGCTGTTTTAATTTATTAATTGAAAAACATTATTGTAAGCATAATACATCTCGTTTTAAAAATGTGCCTGTATATGTGCCAAATGCCTCTCAGGTGGTTCTTAGATGCCTCAAATTTGGGAAGTCCTGAACAATATCCTCAGGACTGAAGCTGCCCACATCTTTTCTCTTATTGATTACTAACCTTTCATGGACCCAGTGAGTCAGATTCTGTGGGTTTGGGTGTGAACTGTATCATTTATATATTGTCTGCTTTTCTTTTGTCCTCACTAGCTTGCAAAAATTAAAGGCAGGTAATTATCATTTTAGGCACTGTCAACATGAATACAAATGAATGATTGAAATTTTATTTGGTTTTGAGTTGATCTAGATGATAAAAAATATATGTAAGTTTTTTTTAAATTATACTTTAAGTTCCGGGATACATGTACAGAACGTGCAGGTTTGTTACATAGGTATACACATGCCATGGTAGTTTGCTGCACTCATCAACCCGCCTAATGCTATCCCTCCCCTAGCTTCCCATCCCCTGACAGGCCCCAGTGTGTGATGTTACCCTCCCTGTGTCCATGTGTTCTCACTGTTCAGCTCCAACTTATGAGTGAGAACTTGCAGTGTTTGGTTTTCTGTTTCTGTCTTAGTTTGCTGAGAATGATGGTTTCCAGCTTCATCCATGTCTCATCATCACTGGTCATTAGAGAAATGCAAATCAAAACCACAATGAGATACCATTTCACGCCAGTTAGAATGGTGATCATTAAAAAGTCAGAAAACAACAGATGCTGGAGACGATGTGAAATAGCAACGCTTTTACCCTATTGGTGGGAGTGTAAATCAGTTCAATCCTTGTAGAAGACAGTGTGGCTATTCCTGAAGGATCTAGAACCAGAAATACCATTTGACCCAGAAATCCCATTACTGGGTATAGATCCAAAGGATTATAAATCATTCTACTATAAAGACAGATGCACAAGTATGTTTATTGCAGTACTGTTCACAATAGCAAAAATATATGTAAGTTTTAAAAATTACTTTGGAATGAAAATGGAGATTAAAAAAATTTTTAATAAACATTTTGTTAACATCTGAGAATAAGTTCTCAGAAACCCAGGGATACTTGGTTTAAGTTAAGGATATACTGGTTTTGAATCTCTGGAGTCAGTGGTTTTATTTTTGTATGCCATGGACACCATGCCTTTTGGAATTATGGCACTTCTTTCTCCTTGCCACTCTTGCCCCAGTATCCCTGTCTGTATCAGATGTATTTGTGCATTTTGTTTTTTCAGGGAGATATATGGTCTTATTTTTGGAGAGAAAGAAGCTGCACTTGGATGTGGAATGAAAGGATTCCTGGAGATGATGAAACTGATTGCATTTGCAATGTTTTTATGACAAGCTGGATGTCATCAATCCTTGTAAATATGTGACTCGTAATCACTATTTTGGAGGAAGAAGTTGCACCAGCACATTTTTAGTTTTGCTTATAATCCACAGTAATTTAAAGTGGTCAGAATCTAATTATGCCCATTTCTGATAGACATTCAAAATAAGCCAGTTTCTTAGCTCTAAAGCTTCATGAGGCGCCCATGCAGGAGTAGCTGAGATCTTATAAGAAGAACAGAAAATACAACCCCCTTACCCTGTCTATTTTAAGGCACCCCTCTGTCAAAGTGCACTTCCCATTTCCCAGATACCTTTGCATGGAATCACCATGGCATTGAATGAAAGTGTTCTGAAACGTGGAAGAAGAATTAACTCCTTGAGGAACATGTTTTAAAAGTTCTATTTGTCTCTGCTACATGAATTGTCAGAGAAGCCTCTCAAACTGCCCACTGGCTGTGATTTTGGGCTATATCATTAGTCAGCCAAGCTGATTAAGACTAATTTTGGTCAAAATAAATTCGTGCCTGAGCAAACAACCCATGTGCAGAATCTCAACCAAAGGCAATTAAATCGAGATTCCTTTTATGATGGAGACTCAATAACTACTGTGGTTTTTGACATCATTCTAATGAACCAACGGCAAAGAAATGTCCCCAGTGTATCAGACTATCCTAGAATTTATTTTCTATATTTCTTCTCACTTTAGAGTTGCTCTTTGATTCTGGCACATCATTCTCTCTGATAATGGTTTCAAATCAGCTTGTCTGATTCATGGCTGCACAGAGAAGGTTTTCTCAGGAGCTAGTGGAATGGTTATTAAAAAAAACATGGAGAGGCAGATGGTAGGCTATTTTACTGGCTCATCTGCTTTTGCAGGGAATGATTATACATTCAAAGTAAGTGGCACCAGAAGTGAAATCTAACTGAGGTTGATCTCCCATGTTTCCTTGTAGAGAACATAAAATACAGCAGCAGAGACAGCCTAAAAGCTGATCCCTGAGGACATGGTCATGGTCGTGATACAACCTGGGGCTGAAGCAGATCTGAGAGGTCATTTATTTGAGGTTCCAGCCTTCTTACAACCTCGTTGTCATGATATTTCAGTCTTTGCTTGAACACCTTGAGTGATGGGGGAACTCATTATTTGCATTTGTAGGCAGTTAATTGCGATATAATTCTCCCTTCTTTTGAGCTGATATTGACTTCTGAGTAGTATCCATTTATCCATTCATTAATCCTGGCTATACTCTTTGGAAGCAGCACAGAACAAATTGATTTTCTGTTCCACCTGGCAGCTAGCTTGGGTGTGAACTAGAATGCCATCTCAAGTCTTCTACAGGCTAACTGTTCCCAATTCCTTGGGTCATTCCCCATATGAAATGGGTTGGGTACTGGTTCATAAGCCTCTGGACTGGGGGAAACTAGGAAGAGACAGATAGTTTAAACTTGCTTAACCCACATTCATGACACAAACAAATTGAACATTCAATACCAGGCCCATAAAAATGAAAGACATTGTCAATTGGATTTTAGAGGATAAAGTAGGAGTAGTGGCAGCAAAGACTGTCTCTCAGGTTTCCTCATCCTTGTCCCAGGCAGCATAGCCTTAGGTCCAGTGTCTCTGTAGACTGGTGATGATGCAAAGGAGACTTAGTGGCTCTACTCTGGCCCTTTAAATAAAGTTGACTCACACACTCAGCACCTAGACTTGGCTTAAACATATAAGAATTTCTAGATCAGAGGTTTCCAGAACTCTACTGGAGATTTAGGGATCCCTAGAGACAGATTTACTTTGGGGACTTTGGGGTGGCTGAATGGCCTTTTCTCTTTTACGTTTTGGAGTTTCACATTCAATATTGTCAATTAGAAAAATAGATTCTGCGGCTGGAAGACCATCTATCAACCAGGACTGTCTACTGCTTTCTCTTTTTTTTCTCTCTTTTCTTCCCATGTCATCTTCAGGCCATTTTTAATGTCATCTTCCTGGCTCCAAGGCCATAGATTGTGCTTCTCACCCAGGATTCTGTTATCCAATCATTTAATGTCCATTTTCTTGCAGTAACTGCTACAACATGGGTGACTCAGGGAAGAGATAGTAAAGAGATGGTTAAAACCTGGCAGTTTTGTGGGGGAATGGCCTTAGGCGCAGGGACTTGAGATAATCATACTCTGTATTTTATGATGGCTACAATTTATTTCATTTTTTTCCCTTCATCTCTTCTATACAGGCACCCAGTGTAAAGTGCTTGATGTATGTCCTTGGTTATATATGATTCCATGCAAAATGTATGGTACTCCTTTGTGTTTGCAGTTTACATAAATAGTATTGTGTTATAGATCTTTTTGTTTTGTTGTTGTTGTTTTTACAAGTTTCAATATGCAGGTCTATTTCAATGCTTTCTATGCTGCAGTGATTTCCATGGTAGGTATCCCTCCACCCAGTATTTATCTCCTCTTGCCTTCTCTGAACTCAGCTCCTTAATATTGCAAAGTATGTGATGCTAGGATTCCTATGCCTATAGGTCTCTGTAAGAGCTTGAGGTATTTTCCCAGAATGGGAATCCTGGCTCTAGGAAAAATGGGCTGAACCCTCTCTCACTAGCGGGAGATGGGGTCCTTATCTTTTTATATTCCTGTTAATGCTTGGTATTTTCTGTCTACCTAATCTGCGGGTATAGAGCGATGTCAGTTTTCATATTTCTGATTACTCGTGAGGTGGGGGATCTCTTGATATACTTGTTAGCCATTTGGGCCTCTCCTTCTATGAATATTCTATTTTACTATGGCATTTTATGTATTTTTCTTGTTGATTTGCAAAATCTACCTGCATATTCCTGACGTTAATTCTGTGACATTTCAGATATTGCAAATATCTTATCATAAAAAATTCTCTTTTTAATGGATCTGAATTTGTTTTGCTATGTTTTGTTTAAGACTTGTTGTTTTCCTTTAATTGCAGGTGTGAGTGAAAGTTGGGCTTTTATTATTGCTTTCCTGTGGAAAATTCCACAAGAACCTTCAATTTACTAATTTATTCCCACGTCTAAGTACAGTCTTAAGTAAACGTATCTACCAGATGTCAGCTAGAGCCCTCTCTTCATGTAGCTAGAGCTACATGAAACTGCTTTGAAAAACTCTTCTCTCAATTCTTTAAATTAGACAAAATAACCCCCAGAATCCTATGCATTCTGGGATAATTACATTATTAAGATCCCCTTTGTTTTGGCGCTCACCAGTTCTATATAAACATGATACCTGAATGTCTCTTTTCGTTCGTTTCCACAAGAAATTCATCTGCATCATGCATTTGCTAATAAGATGATTATCTAAAGTTGAGAGAGCTACAGTATGGTGTCACATCTTGAAACATAAGTGTTCCTGTCATCTTGTTTGCTTTCCCTCCCCACTTCCAGCCTCCATTACTGTAAATTCTTTTTCAATTATGCAGAGCAATTTGGCTCTCCCAAAACTTGATCAGACCCTCAAATGCTTAGCAAACTAAATGTCCTCTTGTCAGACTGACATATCTAGTAGCCAGCTGGGTTATACATAGGTCCTACAAAGAGAAATTACATTTTATGTTGCAACACCAATGAGTGGTTTTGCATGGACACAATCTAATGAGAGGTCAGGTAACCTTCCTTTATAATGTACTTTTTTTTTTTTTTTTTTTTTTTTTTTTTTTTTTTTTTTTTTTTGCATTAGAGTAGGTGAACCTTTTAGGAAGGGAAATGACAAATATTTCCAGAGCAGACTTGCTTTTTTGTTTTTGTAAGGGGCTAAGGCTTTACCCTGGTCTCAGTGCAGGTTGTAAAAAGAACATGGGTCTTAGAACCCCAAGATCTCTGACAATTGGCAAAAGTGTCATCTTAGATAAGTTGCCTATTCACACTGAGTCCCATGTCCCTGTTGCCAAATGAGAATACTAACACCTACTTCCATATTTGTTTGGAGGATTAGAGGTAATATAAAGGGTCTAGTATGATTTCTGGCATAGAGTAGGTGTTAGGTGTTCATTACATGCTGGGCAATTGTTACATACTCCAACAAGATAGTGAAGAACTCTGGGAGGCAGCACAAACACCTAGCGCATCCTTTGGGGTGGTTGCTGGGACTCTTGAGTGGAAAGTAACAATGAATGGAACTTTTGTCAAAGTGCTGGGGGAAACAGAGGTGAATTTTCTGAAATGTTCAACTGGATTCTCACAAAGTAGTTCACTTACCAATGAAAAATCTTTGGTGATCTCAAATTCTTCATCTTATTTTATTATTTATTTTTTATTTATTAAGAGACAGAGTCTCATTCTGTCACACAGGCTGGAGTGCAGTGGTATGATCCCAGGTCCCTAAAGCCCCGAACTGGGCACAAAGGATTCTCTTGACTCAGCCTTCTAAGTAGCTAACTACGGATGCATGCTACCATGCCCGGTGAATTTTTTTCTTAGAACGTTTTGTAGAGACAGGGGTCTTGGTATGTTGTCCAGGCTGGTCTCAAATTCCTGGTCTCAAGCGACGTTCCCATCTCAGCTTCCCAAAGTGTTGGGGTTACATGAGCCATTGCACCTGGCAGGTTATTCATCTTTTGATGTAACTTATTACACAGAATCTACTTGGCCTTGACTTTATGTAGTGGAAAGATATCCTAAAAGATCTCTTTAGAGCTAAAAACTCCCATTGGAGAAATCATAAAATCCTTGGAATGCAAACCCACCTGAATATCTGCAACAGATAAGGCTACAGCCTCTTTCTAGGACTTAGGGTCAAACTGAGGAGTGTTTTTCATATCTCTGTATCCATTGGGATTTGTGGGCATAAGAATTTTCTGATTTGTAACTTGAAGATGTTATACTCTATATGCATCTTCCTCATTGCTATTGGTGTTATGTACAAGAAAGTTAAAACAAAATATACAGGACATTATCAGTCTGTCCTGAAAGAAAAGGAGTGTTTATTTCAGCTTCTTCTGACTTTACTCTTTATACGCATTGTTTCCAAAAATGTCTATGCCAAGTGAAGTTTTATATGGAAAAATAAAAAAATTTTATTGGCTTCTATAAAACTTTCAGATAGATATTCATATAGAAAAAATTGCCCTTGTAATGAAACAGCTACAAGAAAAACTAAGGTAGTGTAATTAAAAGATTAGTTTACATGTATTTAATTTTTTACTGCAAGAAAATGCAATTAAGAGGACAATTAATTTACATAACCAGTTTATATTACATTAAAAGCCCCTATACAGGCAGGTCCATGGTACAGTGAAATTTAAGTTTGATTGTCTATTGAGCTTCATGATTCTCTTTGGAACCTGACGGCCCATGTACAGATAATTGGAAGAACTTGTTGGCTGAAGGAGCCCTTGTATCAGAAAATTGCAGAGCCTCTAAGTTCTACTTATCTCCTCAGGGCCCAGGGCCACTTGTTTCACCCCACTTGCCACCTGATCTGCCAACCAGTAAAGGTGGGGTATGCCCATCTGTGGAAGTAGAGACCAAGTTTCCCCATGTGCGGGATTGCTTTAGCTCCTGAAGTGTGAAGCACCACGGGACCTGCTCTTTGGCCAGGTACATATAACCTAGACATGGAGGGAAGTTAGCCCTATTTTTGATAATGTGAGAGCCAGTAGATAAATTCTTTCTTTCTTTCTTTATTTTTTTTTTTTGGAGATGGAGTCTTGCTCTGTCGCCCAGGCTGGAGTGCAGTGGCATGATCTCGGCTCACTGCAACCTCCACCTCCTGGGTTCAAGCTATTCTCCTGCCTCAGCCTCCCGTGTGGCTGGGATTACAGGTGCGCACCACCATGCCTGGCTAATTTTTTCTTGTATTTTTAGTAGAGACAGGGTTTCACCATATTGGTCAGGCTGGTCTCGAACTCTTGACCTTGTGATCCACCCGCCTTGGCCTCCCAAAGTGCTGGGGTTACAAGCGTGAGCCACTGCACCAGATCACTTTAGTTCATATGGCCCCTTAGAAGATGGTCTTACACAATTGAGTACTCAGTTGTGTTTGTTTGGTACTAAGTGTGGCCAACTTAGCAAAGCACTTTATATTTATTCTCTTTTCTTCTATGCCTCATTCACTTTTGCCTCCACTCCTTCCTTGGGTGCTATAATGCCTAATAAAATTGCAGCATGAACTTTGCTTTCTGGGGAACCTAGGCTAAGGCAATTCTCTTCTCATTTTAATATAGCCTCCAGGCAATATCACTGTATAGATACAGACTTCATTTATGATTTCATCAGTGTATGGTGTAGGTAGATTGTCTTTAAAGAGTATAACATGGCACTTTTCATCAAGTAGTCAGTGAATTCTCTTGAGATACATGCTCAAATGGTATCTGTAACATTCTGCATTTCAGTAGTTCTACTAAGTTTTGCTTTGGTTTAGACACCATTTAATGTGTCAGAATTTGTGTACATAAACCTGATGACAATTCCCCTTATTTACAAAGCTATGGTGCCCTGAGTGTCTAAACATAAAAACCAGAGTGAGCTGTCATCTTGAGGGTGGAGAAGCAAACCAACTTTGTCCTCTGGCTTCTCTTCATAGATTATTAGACTTTTCCAGGTTTGTGACATGACAACAGCTTCTGGCTTTGCCTGTGTAAAGGGGTTAAGAATTGTACCTAGCTGGAATATATATGTTCCAGCTCTCCACAATAAATGAATCCAGTAATTTCTTGGAGGAGGGAAATATGTTCATTAGGAGGAAGTTGGGAGGTACATAATGTAGACAAGAGATAAATATATAAAGGTTAATCTTAGTCATTTGAATATAGAGTGGAAAAACTCAGAAAATAGTACTCTGAACTGATCTAGCCTAGGGAAATAATGATGCTTGCCCCATCTTACCTGAACTGGTGTTTTCACGAACCAGGAAGAATGCGATCAAACACTTTCTTTGGAAGGTGTTTATTTGGTTCATGTCCTGGCCAAATAAAAACTTGGAGATGAGCTTCCTCTGTGTGAAGGAGAACCGCTTGCTGTACTGAAATGGGATGTTGTTTTAGATTTACCTTTGGTGTGGGCACTGGTTGCTTTTGCTTGCCCACCATTCTCTTCCACTTATAGCAGCAAGACTTAGAATTTTCTTTCAGGAATCATCTTGCCTCAACTCTCAGTCCATAGTTTAGATGAAGCTGACTGTCCCTCTTTCCCCTCACCCAGTTCCAGGATTCCTGAGGATAAGGTTGGTTATGCATCTGTTTTCCTCACCACAGTGATTGGCTCAGGAATGGGCACATGACTGAACTTGGGCCAGTGAGAATTAGGCCAGAATTTTCATTAGAATTGTTGGAGAAAAGAAATTCTCCTTTCACTATATTTGGAGCTGTAAAGCTCATCCTGGAGCTATTGGAGGCCACCGTAAGGTGAAAGGCCATGTGAATGTTAAGTCTACATGAATGACAAAAAAAGGAGCTTCCTGAGAATACTGAGTAAGTGCACCCAGATCCAGCCATGCCTGAAGCTTTGGTATGCAATACCCTAGATCCCAGATATTAAAGTCAATAATTAGCTTTCTGCTTAAGCCAGTTTGAGTTAGCTTTTTGTTACTTGTCATAGAAAGAATCTCAATTAACATGTGTTCAGGGCAACAGAGATTGAGATATATGTTGGCAGCTGATGTTAACATAATTCCATTAGTAATATTCCTGAATAATTTGAGATGAGAAGATGAATGTTGTCCTTGAGCTGCAAAACTTCACCTCTCTCCTCCCTTCATCTTTGTGGCCCCTTCCAAAGAGGTAACCCCCCATCAGCATTTTACTTAGTTTCTTCTCTCCCTCCATAGTTTCTTCTCAAGTAAATTTGCTTATTCTAGTAGATGTTTATTTATGAAATAAATGTCCTTACATCCGTGGTTCCGTCTTTTGGCAGCAGCTGAAGTGAGAAGAGCAGGCAACTCTTTGCCTATGTAGAAAATAATAATATTTAAAGAAAGAGACAGGAAAATATATCTGTTATAAGCTTTTTCTTTTTTAGAATTTAAGCTTATGAGTTTATCTACGCCCACTATATTCATAATTACAGTTTTATATCTGCATACAAAAGCTATGTAAAAATCCATTTTTCCCAAATATACAAATTTTTTTTGGATAGTTTAAAACATTTTGATCACAGATTTCAACAGAGTTTTAGGCTGAAAAAAATATCACCATCTAGCAATATCACTTAACACTGTTTGCAAAACACAAATCTTCCAATGACTGTAAATCTTTTTCTATTCTGTAGTATTTTTCTGATTCTCAGGGCATGAAAACATTATGGGAAAAAAAAGGATTTTCTACGAAGAAAGCATGGAGAACTAATTTGGCTCTATGGTCAAATTAAAAATGCCAAGTTAATAAGGGAGAACCAAAAGAAAGAAGTGGCATAATGTCACATCAGCTCATTCATGCCCTGATAATTTCTGTATCAACAATACATATGTAAAGTGTCTCCTTTTGTCTTACATTGTGCTCCATAATTTACATGAGTATTATCTGCATCCTGAGGAGGACAGATTTATATTTGATTGTCTTGTGCATAGGGTGGGTCAGCTTTAACTGTGCAACAGAAAGCCACAAACAGCGTTTTACCTGCACAATATTGCTCTTGAAGGCGGCATTAATTAATGTGGAAACACACTATAAATGCACACTTTTCGCATTTGCAAACATTTATACAGCACAGTAAAAATTCTGTGATAAGGCCAAACCTTTTTTCCCCCAGTCTGGTTTTTTTTTTTTTTTTTTTTTTTTTTTTTTGAGTGTGTTTTTAATGCATTTTTTTTAAAGATTAAAGTAAAATGTCTCAATTGTAAAAAATACACACCGGGCAAATCCTTACCTGGATAATAAATATCTACATCACAGTACAATAAAATTTCTTCTCTATAAAATTTAAATATGGATTATAGTCTATCACTATCAAAAGAAACACTATGCTAATATTTCCATATTATTAAAATAACAGGAAAAATTACGAGCTTATTTTAGAACCTGATGCCATAGCCGTTGGAAAGGGCAAAGAGATTCAAATGTCGATCATCACTCTCCATTTGAGGAGGAACTGTGGCTTGGTTATTCACTTAAATTCAGTTCATGAAAAAGGTTTAGCCTTACAAATGCTGGCTACATTTCAAAAACTGTAAGACTGATTTCATAATTTATGACTCATGCAGCAAAAGGTCAATATGACACGAATAGGTTAGAGTTCCATAGAATAAAAAGGTATCACTGACAATGACATGCTTCAAGGGTGCTCAGCGGTTCCTTGGAGGCTGAGTCTGTGGGGGGCTTAGTGTCGAGGAGGGGCCAGGGCTTGTACCCCTGTTCATGGAGGAGCAACAAGAACGGCGTTGCTGGCACAGAGCGAAGGCCTGGCAGTCCACCCCAGGCCTGCACTGCACACTGAAGAGCTGTCGCCCGGGGCACAGGTGAGGGGCTTCGCTGGGCTGAGGCATCAACAGGTCAAGCGCGTCATTGAGGACCGAGGCTCTAGAAAAAGCTCTGAGGCGGCACGTGGTGTTTTGAGCAGAATCATAAAGAAGAAAACATCTTACTTTTTTCATTGTTTCTGGAAATACTGCACGTCTAAATTGAGCAAAGTACACTTGAGGGTCACACACGCACGCGCATACACTCACACGCACACACGCCCCACACCGCTCATCCCTAAAAGGGAAGTGATTTATAAATACAAATCCCAGCATAATGGGTGTGTTCTCCTCTACTGAGACGTCTCCCTGCCGAGGGGGTGGGAGCGCAGGTGTGAAGGGTATCTCCATCAGGTCCACACTGGATTTGCAAGTCTGGACAATAGATGAAAAAATGTTTAGAAAAATCTAGAGCAAATCCCTCACAAATGAGTTTTATGAGATGGAGTCTTGAGATGCACTAAGTACCTCTGTCAGCTTCAGAAGGAAGGAGTTTAGTTTCAGAGTCATTATCTTTTGAGTCCTATGGCCTTTCCTTTCAACCTGAAGGTGGGCTAAGGCTTGTCCTACTCCGCATGAAGTATTCAGCCTTCAACGAGATTTCCAGACCAGCAGTTTGCCTATTGAAGGCAATCAATCATTTAAGGTGCCAAGGATCAAACGTTCCTTTACTTGCGGCTGGCTGGATGGCTGTTTATATGCCATACTATTTGGCCAATTCTCGATCATGGTTAGTCCCCAAAGCATTCTGATTTAGCTTGAGATCAGGCTCTGAACTTATATTCAAATCTGGGTGTCTGATGTACTGAGGACCCTGTCAAACAAAATGAGGAAACTTTCCCCAGAAGGCCTGACGCTGCAGGACCCTGCCTGCTTGCCTTCCTCTCATTCCCTTTGGAAAGAAAGCTTGCCCCAGACAGCAGAGCTTCTCAGGGTTACCCTGGAGCACAGAGGTGGCTAAGTGTTTGTCTTCCAAAGAGCGGTTGGTTCCTCAAGGAGTCAAGAGAGGAAGCTGAAATATTAGCAGAGCAAGCAATTAAGGAGCCTGGCCAGAGGCTGCCTAGACAAAACCAAACCCCAAAACAATCTGTCTGTAGATAAAGCAGGTAATCTGCCAATGAATTTCGTGCTTATAATTGTAAATCTTTTCACTTCCTTTCTCTGGGTAACAAGTTCCATAGCAATGTTCTTGTTTCCTTTTTCCCAGAAGCCAGTACAATTGCTTTCATGCATTGAATATTTAATTCCCCGCTCCCAGATAATTTCCAATCATACTTGGAATTTTCAGTGCTGTTCCTCTTCTTTTTCCAAGGCCTCTAAATGGTTGACTAGTATTGTGTCAAATTATTATTTCGAGCCAATAACAAATTTACGTTCCTTAACTGTTAAGTGGGCCATACTTCTTGTCTAATAAAGTTAGGAATTTAAGTGTTAAAAAAAAATAATTAAAGGAACCAGATTTTTTTTTTCCCCTTGAAATTCAGACAATATTAAGGGCAGGAAGGGTTTTAGAGATCATGACTTATTCACCAGGTAAGAAAACCAAGACCTAGAATTACAAATCTACCAGTTGACAGAGCACGAACTAGAACTCAGGCACCCAGACTTCTGGGCCAGTTATGCTCCACCAAACTTACAAAAAGCATCTACTTGGTTTCCATAGTGACTTTCCTTCCTTTGTTTTTAGGTAAATCTCACTGATATGGCTTATTTTCCCCAATATTTCCAGGATAAGGCAGTAAAAGGTAGGCAAAGGAATAGTTTATATCTACTATGCCAGTGGAGAATGAGATACATTCAATTGCATGGGTACATTCTATGCCCATTTTCTGACGCTGAAGAGATGAAGTGTCACTGTTTGTTTTCTGGGCACAAGCTATTCTAGCATGGGCCGTTGGGGAGGCAGGTTGGGCAGGAAAGTTAAGTGTGCACATGGTCTGCAGGTGTTTTCTATTGAGTATCTGTCAGGGTATGCTATGAGAGGGACAGGAGGGTCAGTGGCAGGGCCAGTCTCTGTTTAGAGATAGTCAAGCTATTTAGTTCCTCAGAGTCAGAGGGAAAAAGGGGACTAGGAGACATTTGTCAATGAGGCAAGGAGCTTGAGGATCTAACCAGGAGGAAGCGTCCTCCAGCCATCAGGACACAAAGGGGCCCTCAGAACACTGCATTTCCTTCAACTCAGAATGTAGCTGCACTAATCTCGCCTCAGCATTTCTCCAGAAGAAGACTGAAGTTTCACCGTATCTTTCCTTGATTAGAATATTTGATCCATAGAGAAATCTGTTGTCAGCTCAGCAAAGATACAACCTGGATAAAGAACTTCAGGAGCTTGGGAGATGACAGATCAGATGCCACAGAAAAGGGGTGCCACCCTGTAAATAGGTTTGATTTCTGTAAAAGTGTTCTCTGAGCCTAAATGGGAAAGAAGCCTTCCTACTGTGAGGTAATACTATGTGAATTTTTGGAAACCATGCAGTCACTGACATTGGTGAAGATTTCTAATTTCTCTGGGCTCACTGAAAAAAAATATTTTCCTTGTTGGCCTCCATCAGTCAATACCTGCACATCCTTGAGTCACACCTTTGTATAACTTGAATTAAACCATAACGTTATAAAAATGATATTGGAAGGGCAGCTGATTTTTTTAGGACACAAATATTCCTGTACATTCCAAGTTATGCTCCTAGGAGACCATAAAGAGTGCTGCAAACAGCATGCTCTTGAATAGATGAAAATTTGTTCGAGTCTTTCCCTAAAAGGCTGAAAGCCACATCTAACTAAAGGTGGTCTGTGCTCTGTTAACTTCAGCCCTGCGAACATCAGGATTGGGTGGAGGTGGTCGTATTATCTTGGTTTTAAGGCTTCTTTAGTGTCCTGTGGCGCCATTTTGCTGACTCAAGTCTTGGACCAGGGACGGGTGGGAGCTGGTGATGCTTGGTGCTGGTGAGTTAATGATTGTCCCCCACCCCACCTCCACAACCATAAAACCTTCAGAGCATTCACATCACAGGACCGGAGAACGAAATGCAATAGTTTCAAGTACCCGCATTCAAGGGGCAATTTCATCCATGTCTATGCCAAGGACTACTTCCCTTTTCCCTCCCAAATAATCCCTCCCAACACAAAGAAACAAACAAAAAAGAGCTAGGCAATGGAATGAAATGACACCCAGTAGTGCTGTAGGAATTATGAGAATGAATCCAGTCAGTCTAATCCTCGAACACTTCCAAGAACAAAGGGGGGAAGAGTTCTGTGGGGCATTCCACCTTCATGTGCAGGAAGCGGCTGGCATGGCAGGCTCCTATCATCCGCAGATCTGTCACCTTCATCAGGAGTTTTGGCCAAAAGTGTGTCACGTGGTGTTTTCGGTAATTGATATAGTGTTCAAAGGCCAGCAGGAAACTATCTTGGTACTTTTCTATTCTCTCAACACAGGCAAGCCCCGGGCGATCTGCGGGGAAGAGAGAAGATGGACATTGATTCAGAGATGGAAGGGGGAAGGCTTGCTTTGTCCAATTCCAGGCCTTTATTGGGGGGCGGGCAGATCTAGGGTCTTCCCTCTTAGCCATGAGCATGGATGCAGCGTGAACTCTGGTGCTCCAGGGACCAGGTACCAGGGGAGTGGCATCATTTATATGAAGAGAGGCAGTACTTTGTTCAGATAAATATCTCTGTTTAGACAGTTTAGCTTGAGTGTGAATTACCTTCTTGAGTGTGAAAGGTGATGCCTCCCTCCTAGGGTACAGAAGGAGAAGCCTGACATAGCTGAAATATTCTGCAAGATGAGGGGAACAATTTTGAATTTTCACTGGCTGCCTGGCAGAGAGGAGAGGATGAGCGTGGACATGCATAGAAGGGGGAGATATATGAAGGGACTGGGGACATTGCAGCAGGCCTGAGGCCAAAGGAGGAACGCGGAATAGTAAGACATTTCCTTGAGGACCAAGAAACACCATGTTTAATTTTGTGTTGTCTTCCAGGCTGCAATGAACTGGCCTTTCCCTTCCCTTATGCCTTTAGTAAAATTGCTACCAGTAGCAGCCTTGTATTAGTCATGATTTTGGAATTGAAATGAAAAGGGGAGGGGAGCTGTGCCAGAGTCACCCCATGCAGAGAAGAGAACAGCTATAGTGGGAGCTGGAGTGAGAAGACACCGGGACCCTGGAAAGCCCAGCAAATCTTCCCAAGTCCTGTGCAGACTACTGGGCTTCCCATAGTATGTGGGAGAGGCTCAAGTCAGTTTCCAAAAGTGGCAAACAAAGGGGTGACACAAGGAGGCTGGGCAACTGGGGAATAGTTGGGCTGCAGACACTTGGCTGACAAAAATAATCTATAAACCCGGATGAATTCCTCAAATAGCTCCAGGAGGCCCAACGTGCCCCTGCTAAGTTCTCTTCAGTTTGTTCTTTGTGGCTCTGATCAAATGAATTCACACTTCAAAGGTCCAATTATTGAGGTGTCTGTATCAATAGGAATCGAAACAGGGTTCTGCTTCATTGGAAAGGAAGGATCAGGGCTAATGTCTCAATTCACCCTTCTGAGTCTAAACAAACTAACAAACCATATGGGCTTTTGGAATCCCCTATTTAGCACAAATGGCAATTCGTGCATTTTTATCTTGTGTTTTCCTTCATATTTGATGAAGCTGCTCTGCAGATTTGCTGGTTCTCCCTCTCTCCCTTTCCCCTATCTTCTCTCTTTCTTTGAGTGTGCAAGAATTTTCCACAGGATCCTTTAATTTTTGACCCAAATAGAAGATCAACATATTATTGCTTTGGATGTGTTCTTTCAAAGGGAAAAATATAATGTGGGTTTTGTGGCATCAAAGAGATAAAGACGAGATGGCCACGTAAATGACATAGCGAGTACAAATTGACATTTTGATGATGCTTGAATCACACTGAACAGGTTTATGAAGAGAGAAACATTTTAAAGACTGAAGACCATTTTAACTCCTTAAGACAAAAGTTCTTAAAGAAATGTCTTTCAGATCATTTTCATTTTTTCTCTTTGCACTGTGGGACCAAGGAACTTAGAAGTAGTGGCTCTTGGAAAAGTCTTTGAAGAAAAAGTCTAAGATATTGTGTAACCGAAATGGCACACAAAACATGGGGCTTAGAACATCAGGCCCCATGATAGAACTGGAGACTTGGGGCCCTGACACGCAGCTATCATTTGCCAAATGCACAATGTCTTGTAATATTTTTCTGGTCCTGGCAGTATTAATGAAGAGGGTCCACATCACTGGGGAGGGTGGATTGTGAAAAGTTATTAAGTTGTCCTGTAGCTGTCAGGCAGTGTCAGCCTCACAACATGAGAGAACTGGGAAGAATCATTCAGTTTGGTGTTTGATAGTGTTTGGCATCACATTCACAGTTTTTGTCATCTCCACCTACTTTTCCTTTTATCTACCTTACTTAGATTATTTGCTTAATAATCTGTTAAACTGACCCACTACAGAGGAAACATCTTATTATTCAGTAATAAAAATCCATTTGACATAAATCAGAAGATAACCACAAAAATAGATGCATGGCAAAAGCCTTTGTTACTTTGGAGCTGAAGGTTCTGGCTGAACATTGCTCCTGAGATCCACTCTCTCTTTGTTAAAAAAGAAGGTAAGTGTCAAGAGAGGTGTTAAAGGCAGACTAGCACCACACCGAATCTCTCTCCTTGCCTTATTTGGAAGGAGATATAACCAGGAAGAAAACCGTCAGAGAAACAGCTTTCTCGTGGTGTGATTCAACATTATTTAAAACTGTCTTTGTACCTCTAAAATCTCAGCTAAAAAAATTACCATGAGTCCCTCCAGAAATATAATTCCCGTGTATGTAGCTTAATTTCTTCATTTTAAAGGTCACTGAAGTCCAGAGAAGCTAGGGGTCACCCAAAGTCACACAAGGAGTCCTTGGATAAGCTATAAATTTTATTTCTTTGAGACTAATTCTCCTGAACGACTGTGGGCCCCATTTCTTGCTGGCTGTCACTGGAGACCACCCTCAGCCCTAGAGGTCATCTATAGCTCCTGTCATGGGAACTTTCCCCACATGGCGGTTTACTTCATGAAGCTGGCACGGAGAGTCCCTAGAGCAAGTCTGCCAGCAAGAGGGAATCTTAGATTATGTAATGTAATCACAAGGGGTGACATCAAATTTGCCATATTCTCTTGGCTAGAAGCAAGGTACAGGTCCTGCACACACTGAAGGACAGGAGATTATCCAAGGTGTGAACATTAGGAGGTGGTGGGGAGTGTAGGAGGCCGGTCTGGAGTCTGGGTGCCACAGTGTACATGGGAGTTCATTATGCTATTCTATCTGCTTACCCTTGAAATTTTCCATAATAAAAAGAATTATTTCTTTCTTTTTTTAAAAGTCTGCCATATCTAAATTTCCTATAGTAAATACATTTCTAGATTAGCTTTAAAAAAAGAATTCTAGGCCAGGCGTGGTGGCTCATGCCTATAATCCCAGCACTTTAGGAGGCTGAGGTGAGAAGATCACTTGAGCCCAGGAGTTCAAGACCAGACTGGGCAACATAGTGAGACCTGTTTCTCTCTACAAAACAATAAAAAATTAGCCAGGGGTGGTGGCGTGTGCTTGGAGAGGCTGAGGCAGGAGAATCTCCTAAGCCCAGCAGGTCAAGCCTGCGATGAGCTGTCTTTACACCACTGCACTCCAGCCTGGGCAACAGAGCAAGACCGTGTCTCAGGTTAAAAAAAAAAAATTTCCTACTGAGTTAACCAGGAAGCAGCAACTCTACAAAGAATTCTCGATGTACTTGTGACCGATATTTTATCCACATATTCAGCCATTTATCCAATAAGCATTTCTTGAATTCTATTGCACACTGGCCTAGGTGCTGGATGTACAGTTAGACACATCTATGTCCTCAAAAAAAAGAAGTCCACAGGGACTTACGTGGACAAGTGAAGCAGGTAGTTACAGTGCAGAGTGACAAGTGCCAAAGCACATCTACACTTGGGTGCCCTGAAAATGCAGAGGACTCTGAAACCACTTCTATTTAAAATTATCTTCCCTGAAAGGGTTTGATGTGTAGTGGCTTACAGACGGCTGCCCATTCTGTGCTATCCTCCCATCTACAGGGGGACCGTTGAGTCCTGGCTGGCACTCAGACTTGTTTGGGCCAATCCAGTGTGGATGAAGGGATCCTGTGTGATTTGAGACTGGGCCTCATGGGATCTGCAACTTCTGTTTTCGTGTGCTTGGGACTCTTTCTCTTGGAAATCAACAGCCAAGTAAGAAGTCTACCCTGCCGGAGGAAAGGCCGCATAGAGGGAGGCCTGAACCAGTGTTTGATGTCCCAGCTGAACTCCAGCCATCTTGGATGTTTAAGCCACTAAGTTTTGGGTCGGTGTGCTATTTAGCAACAGATAACTAAAACTTCAGTTGTAGCTAAGCCATGAACAAATTCTAGCCTGCATCCGCGGTTTCCACACACAGAACTTAACACACAATCGTGTGGTCACTCACATCCATATCTGGCATACCCCAAACCAGAAGGAGGCAGGTTTGGCCAAAGACTACGAAGAGGGCTGCACAGTATCCACCAAAGGCGGATCACTTCGTAGAGTCTTTAAGATGGCTCCTTTGGCTTCTTTCTATCCTGGGACACTGCAAAAAGCATCAGACATCTGACGCCCCCCCTTTAAGTTCCCAGTCCACTGGCAAACCTGCAATTTCTTACTGAAGAAGAGTGAGCTATGTTTCTGAAGCTAAAGGGGGACTGAAAACTCAAGTGATTGGAATTAGCGCTAGACAAGCAAAAGCTCTTTGGATGCCCACTAACGAGTCTAGGCGTACTCACCTGAAGACATCAGCAGGACGGCCTGAAGGAGGGCTACTTCAGTGTCATCCAGGTTGAAAGAAGACAGAGACATGCCCAGGTCAAAGATGGCGTCTGACACCACCCCAAGACCCCCATTTTTCAGCTGGCCCCGTGTCACTGCCATTTCCCCATTCAAGGTTAAAGTCTCACTTTCTGGGTCATAGCGCACAGCAGCGCGAAGGGACATGATCTCCATGCAGCAGCCTTTGAGGAGGATGATCTGGTCTTCACATGGCAGCTGAAAAGAACCAGTTCATGTCAGCAAAGAACAAATGCAAAAATGCCAGTCAGGAACAACATACAGTATCTTAAAAGCAATAGGAATAACCTTCTGTGATTAACATTTGTCCTGCATTCTTTGAGCCCATGGTTTTCCCTTCCCTACTTGGCTGCAGACTTTCGACAACCATTTTTCATACTCAAAGTTGACTGTAATCTTCACCAACTTTAACCTCAGGAGTTTGCATTGCTTTTATGACAGACACAGTTCTCCAACTGCTATTACAGTCGTGTGTGAAACTGTGCTAATAACCCCTCAGTTTGGGGGTTTGTATTATAACTTCAACTGATAACTGCTTGAGAGCAGGGTTTATGTTAAACTCTCCATTTTTGTTTGTTTGGTTTTTTGTCTTGTAGCTTGAATAGGTAACAGCTTACCCTACTGTTTAGCTGGCAACTGGGCTTCCTTTTGGTTTTTGAAGCACGTTTGCTCTTGTAGCCTCTTGGCACAAAGCTAGAGGGTTGTTGGCAGAGATACATGTTGCCCATGAGGCCCAGAGATATAAGCTTCATCTAAAGTCACCCAGGGACTTGAAGGCAGAGGGGAGAGCAGAATTCAGACCTCCTGACTCCCAAGGTTGTGTTCTTCTCAGCACCTTAGACACAGGATTACTCAACACACTGGGTCTTTCTGCCAGTGTTGCAATCTCCTTTTAAGCTCATTTGGTTACCCTGTTAGTTAAGATTTGTGAGAATGTGGCAACGTTAATAATAAAAAATACCTTTGCTTATAGGCAAAATAAGAATTTTATTTTCTGGAAGGGGAGACTATTTAATTAAATGCCATTATCAAAGGAGTTTGGAAAGCTATTAGTAAATGGGTGTGTTTGATGAATTGGGCATCATGCCCAGATTTCCATGCATCACCTCATTTAATCTTCACAGCAGTACAATGAAGTAAATATTCTAATTCCATATTACTTACAGATGTGGAAATCCAGGCACTGAGAGGGTAACAAGCTGGGTGGGGGCGGGGGTGGTCAAATGAATGTTTCATGGGTGAGGCTAGGATTTGAAACTGGATCTGTCAGAATCCAATGCCAAGAGAAGAAGGAAACATAACTCTTTTTTTTTTTTTTTTTTTTTTTTTTACCATGGATATGACTAAGTTTCCATAAACAACAAATATGTGAGTTACACCTAATATCTGTCTCTTCATTAGAGCAGTTACAAATTCCTTTTGGGAAACGCTCTTGGCAATACTCAACCAGTCCAATTTAGGTTATTATATAAAAGTAATACAACTGAATTACATCTAAAATACTGGGCATTTTATGTTTTTTACTAGCTCAGCCTAGTCACTTTACCATTTAATTTCAAACTGCTTGGCTTTTTCTTCAGAATAAAAGTCATTGCATATTTGATTCTGGAATCCATACATATGAATTCTCTCCTTCCGCTCATTTTTTAAAAAGCACTGTGATTTGCTTTTGTCTAGGTTCTGATTGTTAAACACAGATTGCTGACCCCAACCTCTGAGTTTCTGCATTTCCCCCAAGTTCCCAGGTAATGCTTATGTTGCTGGTTCACAGATCCCACTCTTGAGAACCACTAGCATAGAACAGCAACAAGAAGTTACTAATCAGATCAAACCATTTATTTTTAAAATGTGTCACAAAGTATGCAAACTGGGGCAGGCCCCACTTTTGAAACCAATTCTGATTATAGATGAAGTAGAAATTTTCTTTTCCAAATTTCTAGTTTAAATACCAACTGTTGAAGATTAGTTCAAATTTAAATAAAAGCTGAATAAGTATTTGCAAAGGATCACCAATGGTTTAAAAACTAGGCCAGATGCCTTTTCCTTTAAGAGGGATTTGTAGGATCCTGGTGAGATTTGTTTCAACACGTGGGCAAATAATCTCTTAGACACCTGCCAAAATGCTTTCATTGTGAGAACACTCAACAAGGGCCTGACAGGCAGAGATGCAGGGATACTCCCACAGGTTCTTCCTGCTTCCTTAGGAGAGCATCACTCAGGTTGACTGGCAAAGACGACAGGGCCCTGCACTCTAGGAGTGGTTTTGCATGTTGTTTTGGCAGCTCTGCCGGCGATGATTTTAGATCTTGTGAAGCCCCTGGTGTCATGCCAGTCTTGTTTGGTGGGTTGGCGTGGATCTTAGAACAATTATCATGAACACAGTTTGAATAGCAGATGTGATAAACTGCCTCTGGCAAGAGACCCCTGGCTCTCAAGACCACCTGAGATCTCCAGCCCACTCCATGGGTAGCTCACGAACCTATACAGTTAATTCACCTCTTTTGGGTTTGAGAGAGAATATAAAAGGCTAAAGGTCATCAGGAGGCCTCAAAGACAGAAAGTACATGCAAAGGTGCTTTGCTGTAAAGGTGCTCCCACCATCCCGCCACCATTGTCTTTTGTAATTGGCAGACCACACGATATCAGGGTAGAAGGAGAGATGGAATCAAAAATGAAACAGCTTGGACTTTTAGGGAAACTTGGATAGATAAGCTTGCCACAACCCATGCTTGAAAAGTTCCACGTTGACCCCTCGCCCTTGCCGTGGATGAAAGTGCGCAGTGTGTTTGCTCCTGGTGGCGGAGATGGCTGCTGCTTCTGTTTTCTTCCTTCAACTGAAATATCTCTTCAGTGGTTTACATGAGTTTTACACTGGAAAAAAACCATCTCAGGGGCTGGGGGGGCGGTGGCATTCAAAGGGTACCATATGACTGGCAGGCTGGCTAGAGTTGTAGGGGTGACAGACTCAGTAGAGTTCCTCCTCAGACCCAAGAACTGGGGGCAAAGGGACACAGCCAGAGAGAGGACCAAGAGAGGTCCAGGAAAACAAAACCATCCCCTCAGACAAAAGAGAACGATGACAGCCAGAACTGGCAAGAGTGAGGGGAAACAAGCCCTTCGGTGCAGATGTGAGAGTGCACATACTTTCTCGAGGGCACTCTGGCAACACATATCAAAAGCCTGTATATCTCGGTCCTTAAATTCCATGTCCAGGCTTTACCCTTCAGACATAGTCAGTGATGCGGGCAGGATATAGTTGCCAGAACATTCACAGGAGCATATTTTTATTAGTGAAAAATTGGAAATGAACTATAGATCCAGTAAAAACAGATAACAGAATTTATGGTAGATGTATTCTTTGGAATACTATGTGGTCATTGGAAATCATTTTGTGAAAAAATATGTAAACGCTATGTCCTCCCATTGAAGGTAAAAAGTTGGTACAGTGACAGGTGCTGGTAACGATCTGCTTCTTTTGGTGCCGATCATGTGGGTGGGTTCAGTTTGTAAAAATTTATTGAGCTGCACTCTTATGACATATCCACATTCTTTAATAAAAAGTTAAAAATAATTTCATACACAGTACATTGTGGTATGCATTATATTAAATATGTTTTATACTTCATATATATGTATGTATGTGTATATGTGTGTGTGCACACACACAAATATTTGAAAAAAGACTAAAATAGGTGCCAAAATCTTGTGGTAGTGTTACCATAAATCATTACCTTTATTATGTTGTATAAATAAACCTTCAATGAATACGTATAATTTTTGTAATATCCTCTAAAATGTTAATAGATGTCTACTTCTAAAAAAGGCGTCAAAGGCATGGGAAGCTCCATGGCCAACACAGAGATATAAGTCAAAGTCCCTTCCTCAGTATCTACTGACTTCTTTAGGGGTGGGGTATGAGTCATTGCTACTGCAAGGCTGTGGGTACTAGCATATCAGGTACCCTGGTGCTATAGACTGAATGTCTGTATCCCTTCAAAATCCATATGTTGCAACCTAATCCCCAGTGTGATGGTATTGAAGGCGGGGCCTTTGGGAGGTGATGAGGTCATGAGAGTGGGGCCCTAATGAATGGGATTTGTGCCCTTGTAAAAGACATCCCAAAGATCTCCCTTGTCCTGTCCATCATGAAGGGACACAATGAGAAGACAGCTGTCTATGAATCAGGAAGCAGGCCCTCACCAGACAGTGAATCTGCTGGTAACTTGATCGTGAACGTCCCAGCCTCCAGAACTGTAAGACATAAACTTCTATTGTTTTTAAGCCACTCAGTCTATGGTATTCTGTTGCAGTGGCCTGAACTAAGACACCTGGCCCCCACCACAGTGAAGCTGGGGCTAAGAGGGAGGCAAACGTGCTCTCTCAGGTAGGTCTAGGGGCAAGATATCTGTTTCCCGAAGCCCACTTTCCTGTCCTTCTGGGTATGGCTTCTGTGGAGGCTCAGAAATTGGCAATGAGAAGTGTCCCCATAATGTCTGAGGTCTCTGTGTCCCTCTGATTCCAGCTAGGCTCCCATTATTGCAAACTCAAAGACAGAAGAGAGCTGGAAGCCAAGGCAGCAGGAGTCATTCCAGGTGAGGAAACTTAGCTTCTTTTTAGGTGAGACCAGGATCACTTATCACTCAGCCTGCTTACCTAAGAGGCTCACAGCTGTCCGTGACCCTCTCTATTTGGTATCTTTCTGGGTCCTCTTGAAGGTATACAGAGCAAGAGACAAGAATCTTACGAAATTTTTTTAAAGTTTTCCAGAAAACATAACCCCATTTGATTAAAAAAGAAGAAGGTTAGAGGCAGGATGGAAATGTAACAGATAAAATAAAAGCAGTATTAGCAGTTAAACTATGGAATACTTATTATAACCCAGGCACTGTCTAATCACTTTACAAATATATTATCCCACTTAAAAAACCTTTCAACAGCTCTAAGAGGTAGACATTATTGTAATCCCCATTTTAAAGATGAGATAAGTGAAGTTTGAAGACATTGGGTAACTTGTTTAGGATTCTTGCCCATGTAGCTGACTGTAGAGACTGTGGCATCAGCCACCACAGGGCAGGCCTGATAAAGTTCAAGTGTCCCAAAGGGAAAGTCGAAGAACTCCGGTGGGACAGCTCTACAGGGTGCCCTGAAGATGGGACAAGCAAGAGTGAGCTTATAGGAAAAGACGAAAGATTTGTGGGGATATTAAGAGCCTGGTTCTATGAGGGGCATTTAACTTATTCTTGAGGATTAAGAAACGACCACACAGTCATCTCACTGGGATATGCACTGAGAAGAATACAGACCTAGGCTCTAACCATGATGTCACATTTGGATAACTTAATCTCTTTGATCTTGATTGTCCCCGTCTGAAAATGGGGTTAATACAAGCAACCCTGCAAATCGGTTAGAAGGATTAGATTGAATGTGGGCAAACCTGAGCACCTGAGTGTGGTAACTAGGACAGCATAGGTGCAGAATAAATGGAATCTATTGCTATCATTATTTCTCAATGCCTGGAATCAGGGGGATGAATAGGATCTTGATGGGCCTTACACGGACAAGCTAATGAATGATGACTAAATACAGAAAGTGGGAAATCCAAATGAAATAGAATGCATTTTCGTTTTGTACTGACGTTGCTTTCATATGATTAAGTCCCTACTAATTAACATTAAATTGTAAATAATACCCAGTATTCCTGGAAACTGATGAAACTATAATTAAGAATAATGCAGAAGGAAAAACAACATCCTCACCTCACAAAACATAGGCAACTTTTTGGCAAAATCCACCACTCTGGTAATTGCTGGTGTGATGATTTTTGTAAAATGGCTGAAGGCTTCCAAGTCAACCTTTCCACCTTCTGGGGCATTGACTATTGGTGCTTGTCCAATGTCTTCTGGCTAAGGAGGAGAAAAAAGAAAGATTTAAATGAAGAAGTTGAAGGGAGCTTTATTTATCATAGTTCTTATGTGGCAGAAAATCTCTTCTGAACTGATATCCTGTACAGTTTCCAGTTTTCACATCATTTGTTAACAAACTGTACAGTTTACACATCTTTGAGTAAAGATATATGTTTTGGCCATTGCTTTAATAGGCCCTCAGTGACAATGTTTACAGGACTGTTGCTGCAGAAAGAGAGAGAGAGAGAGAGAGAGAGAGATCAGAGAAAGGACAGGAATTTGGGTCCTGCTTCTGAATGCACAAAGGGTGTATACTTAGGTAAGGTGACATAAATTCCAGGGGCTCTGGGATGGCATTTTCAGAGCACTGCACATGCTGGTGTGTGTCTGTGTGTGGGAGGTGGGCACACCGTGGGCAGTGATAGAGCAGAGCGATGGGTGGGCCCTAGCAAACAGCGCCCTGTGGATTCTTGCTTCTGACCCAGCTGGGGCTTGAAGCTCCCCTCTGCCCTACAGACTCCAGTTTGAGGTGGTCTCAGCTGAGGGTTGAGGGGGAAGATTGCTAGGCTGTCTACAGGAAACTTGGCAAACTTTAGGGCAGAGTGGTGAATTTACTAGTATTTAATGTCCCTAGGGCAGTTCTCTGCTGTTTACTTGCTCAAGAACAATCCATGGCCTTGTTGCTCAAAGCGTAGTGCAGCAGCCTGGGTGTCACCAGGGGACTTCTTCTCAGGCCCCTCTCCAGACCAGGTGGTACAGAATCAGCATTTTAGCAAGACCTCCAGGTGACTTATATGCTTCCCAACGTCCACAGTAGCCATCTGACTCCTGAGTTTCTCATTCAGTGACCTCCCTGATGTGATCTGTGTCCATGTGTCTCCTGCTGTCACCCAGTGCTTCCTTCAGGAAGAGTCTGCTCCACTTCTCCTCCTTGTCTTTGTGATGATCATAACCACCATTTATTTGTGGCCTACAAGTGAGCCAGCCACTTTGCACACTACCCTGTCTCAAGTAGTCCTCATTCAAATCCTGATTCGCAGGTGAGCAAACTAGGGATCAGAAAGGTTAAGAGCAAGCTGCTGAGGCCAGGCCTGCGATCTGGGTGGCCCTGACTCCACACAGCAGTCTCCCCGGAGCTCCACACCTCCTCACCCCTACTTCAAGGCTTTTACTCCCTGTGGACCTTTTGACACTAATGAACAGTATCTCTACTCCTCTGAACACCCTCCTAGCCAGCCTCTCCAGCTGTCTCCCAGAAAGATGTGAATGTGACCAAGGAGATCACAGACTCAAGCCCTACCCAGTGGTGGCCACCTTTGCCTAGAGCCACAGTGAATAGACAAGAACAAGACCAGTTCTCTTTTCCGCACCCAGGGGCTTGGAGATGGGGGTAGGAAAGGGGGATGGGAATGAGGAACTGACACTGTGAGTGAGATGAGCAAAATAGAATTCCTCACTTGCAGAGCAGTGAGGACACTGCCAGTGGTGAGACTAGCCTAACATAGTGGCCCCCAAACTTCACTGTGCGTCAGTATCACTTGATTTCTGGGCCCCATCCCCAGTGTATTTGATTCAGCAGGTCAGGGATGGAGCTTGGGAATCTGCATTTCTAACAAGTTCCCAGGGTGTGCTGATGAAGCTGCTCTGGGCCCACTCTTTGAGAACCACTGAGTTAGCAGTAACCAAGTCCAGCTTAGAGTAATCCAGTTCCCTTGCCTCCTCCCGCATATCTCCTGTTACTGCTCACATCACATTTTTAGCAGAAGAAAAAGCAAAAGATGATTCTTTTACTCTTCTTGGTGCCAGAGCACCAGGGTCAACAGGAGCAGCCCAGGAGTCATGCTTACAGCCTCAGGGGAAGGTTTTAAAAACATATTATTAATACATAACAAATGCTGGCAGCATTTAACTTTTTTTGACCATCCAGCATTGTCTTCTGTTTATTTTTTACTTTATTTTTTTGTGTGTGTTGCTGGCAGTGAGTGGATGAAACCTGGTTTCTGTCGTGTTTCACAATGATTGAGAATGTTTTGGGGCAACTGTTGGCATAGCAAGCCCAGGGAAGGCCACTGTTCGGCTGGCTCTCTGGGAGCAGGCAGAATTGATGAAATAATCACATGTACAGCCTCCTTCTACTTCCCTCTTTCTCACCTAGATTGTGCTAAAGTAAAAGGTACCTGTGTTCCTCCTTTGGTAATGCTGCTCCCTGCAGCCTTCAGATATCCCTGCTCTTCTTTATAATTTCTTCTCATTCCTGAAACTGAGGCTCATCTCACTGACCTTGTCTACTTGACAAGTCTTTTATGAAGATCAACTGATAAAAGGAATGTGGGCACACATTCAAAAAGGCAGAGAGTCATATATATATATATATATATATATATAATACATAAATATATATTAATTACATATCTATATAATTATATATATGTAGGATGAACTTTTTAAAATAAAAATAAAATTAAGAAGTGTAATAACATTGTTTTGGCCTGGCTGAATCTAAACATCTCTCAATGAATACTGATAGAGCTGATCTGATATATTTAAATGGCACTGAGTGTCCTTTGAAATGTTGGTGGGTTAATACTGATGTTAATTTTTTCATTCAATTTGTGGGTGTGTAGATTATTTGAATTCCACTTGTGACATGTGTAAAGATTTGAAAAAAGGAGAGAAAGTATGCAAGGAAATATGGCAATTTTAAGTAAAACTAAACCCCCAAATGTAACAAGCTCACAAGTTTTCTGATGGAAATATATATCAAGGTAGAATAAAAAATTCACTTTTAAGCCTCTGGCTATTTAATGGACTACAAAATTGCTAGAAGTAAAACTATGAACAAAGTAAAACCCTTTGATTTTATCATTAAGATTTTTTTCCATAATGGATCTTAGATACCAGAACAACAAAAAAGAATCTATCTATCTGTTTGTCTATATCCATGAATTGACCCGAGTTATTATCAGGTTAATCAAGGTTGAGCAGTGAAACCCTGTTTGTTACTTCCCTGAAGATTTTTCACCTATAACAAAAATACATAATTTTCTAAAATATTTGGAAGATGTTAAAAATAGAGTATAAATATTTCACATTAGTTGAACCCATTAGATATCTTATTATAGCTAATAGCCTCGTAAACTACTATATGAAATACATTTGCTCATATACACATATGTATTTATGTGCCCAAGATCAAGCTCCAATACTGATGATAAGTCTCTAGCTTGCTTGTAGATTCACCACTGTAGACCTGTGGGGAAAGCCTGCTTTTTGCCTCTGTGGATCCAACTGCCTGAGCTAGCTCATGGTGGTATTTTCAACTCTCATTCTGATATCCTCTCTTTGCCCTAAATGGACTTCCTGAGCTAGCCCAGCTGTCTGCTCTATGTCTCCCCTACAGCTTGCCTTACATTTTCCCATTTCACTGCTGCCTTCTCTCCAGACTTTTGCTTTCTCCAAAGCCCCCACTTCTGTCTCTCATCTCTGTCTTTTCCAAATCCTATTTTCTCTTCAAGACCCAACTCAAGTTCTATCTTCTCCTAGATGTTTTCCCAGGTGACCTCAGTTTGAAATGACATTTACCTCATTCAAACACACATGGTGGCCCATGACTATGAGTCATATGGTATTTAGGCATTTATTACTATCACTTTTTATTATAGTTATGTAAGTACACACCAAAGATATGAACTTAAGGGGGTAGAGAATAAGTCTTACTTGTCTTTGCCTACTGTGTACAAGGCATTGGGCCAAGTTGTGGAGGACAGAATGCTTATTGGTTGAGTGAGTGAATGAATGTATACTTATACCAATATTTATTGAGCAGGTACTGTGGGCCAGGCCTAGTTTTAGATGCTGAGGTTACAGCAATGAACAGTGTATCCTCAAGGACCTTGCATTGTAGTGAGGGGAGATAGACAATAAATAAGAAACATGTATTCGTGGAAGAATTTGTGATAAGTCTGGAGGTGACATGATAATACATGGGGAGGCAGGAGAAAGGAAGGTCAGCCAAGGCCCCTTTGAGAAGCAATGTGTGGACTTTGACTTGAGGAATGTCAAGGAAGTAGCTTTCCTTAGGGCCAGAGGAAGAACACTCAAGGCAGAGAGGAAAGCCAGTGCAAAGTCCCAAAGCCAGAAAGGAGGCCCGTGTGGTTAGAGCCCAGTGATGGCATGAAATGAGGAAGCAGAGGTAGGCAGGGGGATCCGTGATGCTAGGCATTGTAGACCATAGAAAGGAGATGGGCTTATTCTAAATGCAATGGGGCATCTACTGAAGGGCTGTAAACAGGGCATAGACATGACACGATGGTTACTGCATGGAGAAGATATGCGGGGAGTCAAAGGAAAAAACAGGCAGGAAACAGCTGTGGTTTGGGCAGGCTGAAGTGCACTATGGGGATGGCAGTAGAGATGGAGAGGCCTAGAGAATTACAGTTGTATATTGGCAGCTGAAAACAAGGGCCAAAAATGGACTGGCTGTGGGGTAAGGAATCCAGAATGACTTCTTGGGGTAGTGGGGGTGGAGGGTGCAAAAGGAGAGATTCAGGTGTGTGTTCAGGGGTGACCTCAGCCCCTGCTCAGCACGGGTGAGGCTGGTCTTATGCAAATCGTGGCCAACTGGCTTTCTGCTTTGACTATTTCATTAGTATTGTTCAAGGTGAGTAGGAAACGCTGCCAGCTGACCTCTGCTGAGTCCTTGGCTCAGAGCCAAGGACTTCTTGGCTTGAAAAGGTAACTCTCTGACACATGCAGAATGGAGTGGGGCCAGATGGGACTCTCACTTCTTCACTTGTTCATAGGATGTCTTCTTGTACCTTTGCCAGGCTAGACAGGAAGACCTGGGCAGATAATAATTCAAGGTCCTTGGGCCATGGGATATGACTACAGCCTCACCCTTTTCCTGGGATGAGCAGGAATAAGATGGTGGCAGTGCGGGGTGTGGGGGTGGTAAGGATAGTGCATGTAGTAACCACTTACGTGGTTGCTAACAATATGCCAGGCAGTGTTAACCCACTTGTATCTATTGCTTTATGCCATTCAGCAAGGGCATAAGGCAACTGAGCCTGAAATAACTTGCCCAAAGAAGTCACACTTAAAAAAGCAACAAAGGCAAGCATGGAACCTTGGCTGTCTGGTTCCAATCTCCATTCATGTAACTACTAGATTATCCTGCCTTCTTCTGATGTTATTCTAATAACTTGGGGTGATAGATGCCTTCCTGACGTGATTGCACTTGTACTATGAGCTATGCACACAGACCAAATATGGCCTCATCACTCACCCTGTCTGACCCTTCTGCTTATGCCCCTTGTCTGAAGCTGCCCCAATTGAGTGTGTGAAATCAGACAGTATCTCTGCCAGGGAAAAAGTAGGAAAGGTCTCCTCTGATCCTAAAGGTCACATTTTATACTTGGGTAGACATTCACCCAAAGCTACAACTTTGCATGAAAATTAAGGGAGCAGAATAATGACACAATGTCAGCAGACAATAATAAATGATGTCAATAGACAAGATTGTTGCTGTCAGGGGCTGCTACTGGAGGTCTAGAAGCGAGCTACCCTTGGTGGAGTGACCTGCTTTCCCTTGTTTGGCATCAGATGCTGCTTGTTCTCTTCTCAGCCTGCTTCTGCTTTTCATCCTTACTGTCATCACACATGAATTGTTGGTGGTGAAATTAGGCATTTCTGTAGCCTCAGAGATTTGAGTAGATTGGAGAAAACTAGAAAATTATATGATTTAAATGCTTTTGGGAGAAGCTTTAAAGAGTGGCTTTAGATTTATTATGAAAATCTTAATGGCTTTTGCAAAAGTTCCTCATTTGCCAAAGACTCTAATTTTCTCAGACCCAAATATAGATTTAAAATCCAGATCAAATCACTGTCTCTGTTTCTTTTTCTTTCTTTCTTTCTTTTTCTTTTCTTTCTTTTTTTTTTTTGAGACATGGTTTTACTCTGTTGTCCAGTCTGGAGTGGAGTGGCATAATCACAGCTCACTGTAGCCTTGACCTCCTGGGCTTAAGTGATCCATCTACCTCAGCCTCCTGAGTAGTGGGGAACCACAGGTGAGTATCACCAAGCCTGGCTAAATTTGTTTATTTTTTGTAGAGATGGAGTCTCGCTATGTTTACCAGGCTGGTCTCACACTTCTGGGCTCAAGCAATCCACCCACCTTGGCCTCCCAAAGTGCTGAAACTGCAGGCATGAGCCACTGTGGCCAGCCCTGTCTCTATTTCTGACTTGAGTGCTGGTCTTAAAGTGAAAATGGGTCCTGGTCTTAGACTGAAAACTATGTCAGTAGCTCCTTTTAGGGAATAATGCACTTACCCATTCCAGATAAATGAATACTTTCAGCTTTAATGACAACATGTAATCCCATATGACATATTTTTATACTATTGTTAACATGATAGGCCTCCTCAAATTCTTTTTTGGAACAAAATGGGACATCAACACATAAAAAATAAATAACACGTGGCAGTGTTGCAAGCACAGGAAAAGGGGTGTTAGCACACAGGAGAGGCAAATTCTAATGTGCAAAAAAGCCTGTTTGGTACATGATACCTTTCAGTACATGAATACCACTTAGCAAAGCTGTCTTTAAGTAAAGATTCTTAATGTCCTTGCAGGACTAATTCACTACTCAAAAGAGTGAAATTTTCATCCTGAGCATAAATACTCAGTTGGAGTCACGTTTCTGCAAGGAGTATATGTAAATATGTAAACTGGCTAAGACACAGGGCTTAACTGTACTATCTCCAAGGATGGGTGAGTGGAACTGTATGTTCAGTTCAACAAATATTTATCGAGTTCTGTTCTGGTTATTTATTGCTGTATAACAAACTAACCCCAAACTTTGTGGTTTAAAACAACAATTTTTAATTTTCTTTCTGAGTTCTGGGGATTGATTGGCACAGCTAGGGGGCCCTCATACAGCTGCCATCAAATGGCAGTAGAGGCTGGTGTCATGTAAAGGCTTTTTTACTCATATTTCTGGTCCCTGGGCTGCTTGGGAATCTCTCTTTCTGTGTGGCCTTTTTACATGGCTAGCTTGGGATTCCTCACTGCCTGGTGGTCTCAGAGTAGTTGGACCTTTATTATTATTTTTTATTATTCTTATTTTTTAATATATAGTCAACTGCTATGAGAGACCAGGTGGCTTCCCTCCCCCAAGGTACCCAAGTGGAAGCTGCAAGGCTTCTTATGACCCAACCTTAGAAGTAACTTAAATATCACTTCTGCCAAAATGCACTGTTTAAAGGCATCAGATACCAGCCTAGATTCAAGGGGAGAGGGGAACAGACTCTACCTCTCCCAGAGAGAGAACGGGCTGTGTATACAGAGATGAGAAATAATTTGATGGCAGCCATCTTGGAGAAAAGCTGCCACAAGTTTCCATCACACATAGCATAGATACTCAAGTGTGGAGGCTGAATGGAACATTGTTCTCCTGTGAAGAGATGCAGGGGTTATCCCAGGCACAGAAGGGGATTGGCTGACAGAAATGAAGTTCATTGTAGAGACAGACAGGACAGTGGAAGAGTCCTGATCCTTCCCAATAACCCTCTAGGGAAAAATGGCTCGGAGAAGCAGTTATTTACATTTGAATCAAGATGGACAATTTCTTGAGCAGATTAAAGATCTACAAAAGATACATTTCATGTCAGCCCTACAAGGAGAATAAAACTCTCTTGTGCATGGGTAATCTCATGGTTCTGACAGAAGCCTAATGGCAAATCATTCTGTGCCATAGATTCTTTCCATAGATGGTCAGGCTGGTGAACTGTTAGGAGCCTTTAAGTGAACAGTGCAGACCTCAAGACTGGTTCTAATGACTAGATATTGTGACCACACAGCACGAAGATATTTGATTATATTTTGCTTTATAGAGGTGGTTTCTCTGCTTCCAGACATAGCACAACGTCATCTCCTCAGAGATGCTTCTTCTGACCACCATGTTCACAGAAATGAAGTCTCTCCCCACTTCCAGTTCACAAACTCTTCATCCCATCACACTGTTTATTGCCTTCATTGCACTTACCACTACCTGCATTTATTTTGTTTGTTTATCTCTTATTATCTGCCTCCCACTAGAGGAATGTGCCTGACTTATTTACTTTCTGGCACATAGTATCCACTCAATAAATGTTTCTTAAATAAAGGAACAAATCTTTAAAGTCTGGAAAGAAGCACCTTATGACTACTTAAACAAGTTTAGTTGGACTAGTATCCCTTCTCTATGGGGAGTAAAGACAATAAAAGTATAAAATTCCCGGGAGAAGTCCAGGATGAACTTCAAATCTTCTACCTTACTTGGAATTCAGCTTGGTCACGACTTGAAATCAGGAGACAGTGCCAGGCCTGGAAGTGGTTTCTACAATGTCCATTTATGGGTGACACATTTGGGGAAAGGATGGATTTAAGTTTGCAATTAGGTAGGACTCTGTCTTGCTATGCCCCAAGTGTACTGTGTTAGAATTTGTCTATCAATCCAGAATTAGTGCTTTTGAATTTTCTGGCAGATATACCAGGGTGGGGTGAAGATGCAAGATCAAGGCACTGAGAGGCTGCTCCTCCAAAGAGCTGGGATCTTTCAGAGGCTTTTTGGGTTTGTGCAGGTGCCAAGATTGCATAGGGTAGTGGATAGAGACATAAATCCCGGAGCTGGCTGCATCCATCACCACTGTTTACCAGTTGTGGGAGCTCAGGCAAGTTTCCTCAACTTCTGTGTCTTACTTCTCTCTTCTGTAAAATGGAGATATTAACCACATCTACCTACAGGATTGGTATAGGAAGTTAATGAATGAAAAGCACTTAGAATAGTACCTGGCATATGGTAAAGGCCATCTAGGTATTTGCTGACATTGCTGTTAGTGAAAGCCATCAACAAAGTGCTGGCACTATTGTTTCATTACAACGAAAGTAATTGTGTCAGTACAGGTGAATTATGTATAAGCCTTTTCTTTCCAAAACTTCCTTTAAGGTTGTTGTTATGTTGTTTTAAGAAAAAGATCCACTATCTCATTGTAATGTTAATGTTGAGGTACAAGGATAATTATACCACTATATCTTCTTGTTCAGATGGGGAAGTACTCTAATGTGTCCTAGGGATACAAATGAAACCACAGAATATCTGTTGTCAGGTAGGTACTTGAAAAGGGTTTTATATCATAAACTAAGAGCAGAGTCAGTCTCTGAGATGGTCCAGCACTAGTAGGGCACGTAGTCTTTCTAATGAGGTGGGTGGAGAGCCTGGACTTGGAACCAGAAGACCGAGTTGGTTTTGGTGCCTGGCTTTTAGCAGTGCGATCCTGGGCAAGCGGCTTAAGGCCTTGGGCTTGGTTTGCATGTCTGTAAAATGGGGATAGTAATTCCAGCTTACCTCAAAACACTATGAAGTCTGAATAAAAAATGAATGGGAAGAATTTTCACAACTGGTAATTTTTATAAGAATATTAAACATCAATATTGCAAGGGTCTGGAAGGTCTTTTTTCTCTACACACTCGTGCCCACCAACCCTATCCCTACTCCCTCATTCCCATTGCCCTTCTTGAGTCAAGCTCATTTAATTTAAGCTAAAAAATTTTGACTTCTGTTGACATAAAAATATACTTGAGGCCTAGAGGCTATTATAAAGGGAATATTTGGGATTGAGTTCAGGGACTAAATATGTATATACTGGGCATCTAAGGAAAGAAATGGGTATAGAAAGTAAAAGATGGCAGACAAAACATTTTACTAATTAGTTGGTCTGGGAGTGGTCTTTCTAACAGTAAAAGCAAACTGATATAATGTGGCCTAAGAAACTGTTTTAGAATTCAGCAAATCACAAAGTAGATGGTAGGAGTGGCCTTTATTCTCACACAGACCTAGACTCAAATCCTAGCTTTGCAAGTTACTCAGCCTCTCAGAGCTACGGTTTCCCTATCAGTAAAATGAGGCAATAACACCAGTATCCCAAGGTGATGAGGACTGAATAAATTGAGGTAGAAAACACTGGCATATAAGTGAAACTGATCTGTGCAAGGAAGCCTTACCAGGAATTTCCGTTTTTGCTTCCAGTGGCTGCCTTGGGCGTTGGTCGCCACATGGGCTTCGGTGACAGTTTTGATGAGCTCCCATTCCTCGTCTGTGGGCTCTGGCTTGTGCCCGATGGACTTCTGCAGCTCTTCCCGCCGTCTTTTCTCCCGGTTCTCCTCTATCAGCTTCCTCTTGGCCAGCCTCTTGCTGTCATCCAGCACCACTGGGAGGGGGAGAAAGATGAGACAAGGCACACAGATGCTCCCAAGATACACAGCAAGCTGCACTTCCTGGAGCCTCAGGAGTGGGACCACTGATGCACAGATGGCTTACTGGGTCCTTCGGGGTGGGTCACACTGGGACAGTTTCTCTCCTCACCAGCAAACTGCCATTGACTAGTCTTGTCCAACATGGTCTCTAGAGCCAAACTCCCCATGACCGGCCAGCTTTTCAAAACAAAGTCCCCAGAGAACCTAGACACTGCGCACTCCAACTCCACAGAAGGTGGTTCTAAAACAGAGTGAAGCAGAGAGGTAAAATCCATACTACCCACAAGATCACAGAGAAATCTGTCCAGCCAGTCATCCGAATTCACTCTCTGGGTTTCTGTCCTCCCCGCTTCCCCTAAAACGGCTCTTAGTAAAGAGAACTTCAGGTTAAAGAAACGTTATGGAATTAAAAAAAGAAACGTTATGGAGCAGTAAGTGGGAGGCTCGTGATCCCTTTTTTTAAGAGGAAAAAGGACCCCAACTCTTCATGGCTCCCTTAAGGGCTAATTGGAATGTGGCTGGGCCTCACCTGGGCCTCAAGGTACTCACTGTACATTATTCTCTACCTGGTCCACCCTCAAGGGTGGTTAAAGAGTCCAGGCTTTGGAATCTAGAAAGACTTGGGTTTGAATTCTGATATTATTACATTCTAGCTGTGTGACCTCTGGCAAGTTCCTTAGGTTCTCTGAGCTTTCATTTCTTCCTATACAAAATGGGCTCAATAATACCCACTTCACAGAGTATTCAATGTGATAATGCATTATAAGTGCTCAGTAAATGCAGTCCTGACTTCTATCATTTGGGTGAAAGGAAAATCAGAAGGGCAGGTAACAAGAAACCTATATTTCTGTGGTCAATTTCCAAAACCAAAACCGTTTCACTAGACTTGGTAACTATCAATGGAATGGAAAGGCTCAGGTTTTACATTGCAGAGTCATAGTATTTTAGAACTGGAAGGGAACTTAGACGTCATCTAGTCCTACTCTGTCTTTTCACAGAAAGAAGAAGAAATTGATCCAGAGAGGTCGTGACTTGCCTAAAGTCACAGAGCAAGTTAATGGCAGAGCCAAGGCAAGACCCAGGACTCCTGACTCCAGTTCTACGACATCACTGTCCTAGGGCCATTTCTTGATGAAGGTGTGACCTGGTAGGAAAAGAAAAAAAGCAGACATAGCAAGAGAAGGAGAACCAAGGTGCCTAGCTAGTCTCCCATTTAAATATTCTAATTTAAAGAGAATATTAAATTCCAGACCATTTAGATTTGATTGGATTGTCAAAGTCATGTGAGCGCTTACAAATGAGGAAAATATGAATGAGCCCTGTTAAGTCATTTTGGTTCAGTTACTAAAGGGAAAGGAGGAATGGTAATAATACCCTCAACCCCTTCCCAAATGCTTCCGGTGTGCCAGGGACTGTTGTATTTGATGAACATTATCTAATTTAATCTTGAAAACAACTCTACAAGGTAGGCAATGATTTCACAGAAGGAAAATCTCAGCTTAATTCCAAAGGTCACACAGCTAGTAAGTGACAGATCTGGGACTCGAACAGAAGTTTTTCTGATTAGAAAGCCTGAGCTCTTAGAATCCCTCACAAGCAAGTAAAGGGCACTCAAAATTTATTTCCATACAGTCTAGATTAACACTGAGTTTTTAAACCTCATAGACACTAGTATCTTAAACTTCTCAATAGAACACTGAAATAGATAATCAATAATAAGTTTGTCATAGTGGCATATCTAAGTATTTGGCTGTAAGTCAATCATATTCACATATCCCTATCAGGCATATTGTTGGCAAGGGCTAAAGGCCTTTAAGAGATAAAGATAAAGAAAATACTCAGCCAGAGGTGGGGATTAACCCAGGATTTCCAGCCTAACACTCTAACATAACCCTCTTCCTTTTTAAAGATTCTCCATTCCTTCTTCTTTAATGGGCAAACCAGAACATTTCACAGATTTTTTTTTCTCAGTGAAAGAACTCTATTTCTCACATAAAATGTGAGTCATGATTACTTCTTTCATCAGGAAAAATCCTCACTGTATTTTCTTTTTTCTTTCTTCATTTTTTATCTTTCTTTTTCTTTTTAATTTTTAACTAATAGTTGGAATCTCTCACTGATGTGCAAAAAATTTATGCCAGTAGAATCATTAATACTGATGCCTGGCAAAAGGGAGGCCACACATTCTGAATGACATGATTCTTATTTTTATGATTAGATTAATTAAAGTGACTGGTGTAAATCCCTCGCACAGTGTGGGGAGAAGAGACCCCAAGGGCTAATCTCGCCACCATATGCTGTAGCACTTTGAAAACTGGGTAGGACGACTTCAGCTCGGAATGTCTTTATTGCTAAAAATATAACAAACAACCAACTGCAGGATGACTCATGCAATAGCACTCAACTTTGCATTCTTCAGAAATTTCTGAACACGATGTTTTCTGCCAGCGCCCCATCTCCAAAAATGTCCATAAAATAAATTCCTGTCTTTGCTCTTGAAAAAATATTAGGACTAGTCCCTGAGGCTCTACCCCATGTGAACACTGTGTATAGAATGATACCTTATCAAGGTAAATGGACCAGACCTCTCATTTGTAATCTCTGTCTCAAACAGAGTGTTGCTAACAACTAGGCCTGCAAATGTGATAGGGATAATTTAACTGCATTTCCTCCTCCATCATCCATACTTTGACAGTTAGGAGGTGGTATGACAGGGTAGGATGGAACCCACCCAGCAATGGCTCCCACCTCCCTTTCAGGGCAAGCCTGGATGTGGGGAGTGAGGGGTGTATGCGAAAGTAAGGTATTCCCTTCTCTGTCTTCTTGGGTTCCTGCCTTCTTTTCTGCCCAGTCGATCTCCTTGAACCAAACTGTTTCCTAATCAACATTCCTTGAATATGAAGCAAGTGAAGATCTACTTACAATCTGTTGCCATGCCAACATAGATGCATTTCTTAAAGCGACATTCCTGGCACTGATTTCGCGTGACTTTGTCTATGACACATTTTCCTTCATATTTACAGGAATAGGATGGATGGAGATTTTTCTGAATGGTTCTTCTAAAGAAACCCTATATGAAAAACAAAGACCCAAGACAACAGTTTCATATTTTCTTGAAATCAGTGATTCTGGAATTTTGTGTCCATATAACTATGAGATGAATCGTTTTGGACCTTAACCTGTTTCTAGGCCTCTAGCTCCACATATTCAAATATAAGACAGTTGGCCCAGAAGGATCTAGAGAGTTCTAAATCTGAGCTGATGATGCCATAGGACTACAGAGTCAACACCTTTTTTTTTGGTCTTTATTCAAGGAAAAGAGGCTAGTAGGAACATCTAGCGCTTGTTTTTATTTTTTCTAAATATTGAATATATAAGTAAATTATACTGTTCTATTTCATATACTGACATAATTGTGTTGCTAAATTAAGCTATGAGGAGTTTTGCTACTTTATACTGAGTAATAAGAGAGCTCCAAGACCAAGAAGAAAGTGAAAAAAATGAAAAGACATGGATACTTGCAATACTTTATTAATTAAAAATCTAATAATTTAGTAATTAAACAGATGTACTAGCTGGCTTCCTGGATTTAGTTTAATACTTGTTTTTGAATCTTGAGACAGCCATGATCAGCTCACTTAGCCTTTCAAACAATAGGACTCAGGGAGTAGAACGCTCCAGGTTTTCTACCAAGTTTTTCCCCATAGCTCATTGCATTGAGGTTTTCCTTTTATAACACTCTTTCTTTGGTATCTGTAGACATACACCTACAGGTTCAATGATTCTTCCTTTCTTAAGGCATGAGAGAGCACCTCTGTAGCATCTGGGGACACTGTTTAGTTCTAGGTTTGGGTGACTTAGGTAATATTCTCAAGAATGTGCAATACTAGAATTTTTCTGGACGTGATCCTCAAGTTGAGGCAACTGTCATCTGTATTGTAGAAGTTAATAACAGCAGTGAGCACTTATTGTGAGGGCACATTGCTAAGTGCTGTAGAAACATTCAATATCCTTCTATCTTCCCTACAATCATGTAAAGGAGGTGCTCTAAATATTTCCATGGTAGGGATTAAAAAAGTAAACCTCAGACAGGTTAAATCGCTTGCCCAAATCACATGGTAAGTACATGTGGGAACTTCAGGTAGGATGGAAACCACCCAGCAATGACCCCCACCTCCCTTGCAACCCAGGAGCGGCACTCCACATCTTACTTGCTTAACTGCTTATATGATGTATAATGAAGTAAATTTTACTGTATTACTTGAATGTTTTAGATCAACAGATTATAAACAGTCCTGCCCCAGCCACTTAAAAAGTTCATTTTAACTGTTGGTAGGATAACAAGGCAAAATGAGTGTTTTAAAATGTAAGAAATTAAAAAAAATTTTTTTTGAGACAGAGTCTCGCTCTGTCACCTAGGCTGGGGTGCAGTGGTGCGATCTTGGCTCACTACAACCTCCACCTCCAGGGTGCAAGTGATTCTCATATCTTAGCATCCAGAGTAGCTGGGATTACAGGCGTGTGCTACCACACCTGGCTAATTTTTGTATTTTTAGTAGAGACGGGGTTTTGCCATGTTGGCCAGGCTGGTCTCGAACTCCTGGCCTTCAGTGATCCGTCCTCCTTGGCCTCCCAAAGTGCTGGGATTATAGGCGTGAGCCACCACGCCTGGCTAATTTTTGTATTTTTAGTAGAGATGCGTTTTTGCCATATTGGCCAGGCTGGTCTCCAACACCTGGCCTCAAGTGATCCGTCTGCCTCCGCCTCCCAAAGTGCTGGGATTACAGGCATGAGCCACTGTTCCTGGTGGCAAAACAAGTTTTGATGGATGTCTTCTGCTAAGGCCTAAAGGGGTCCTCTAACTTTGCTAGATAAATGGTGGGAAATATCAGTTGATCTAGATTCAGCCCAAATTTTTATGATCCCGGTTAATGTTCTTTGGCTTTGATTATATACGTATACCCTATTGCATATTCCTCCTTCAGACACAAAAGCTCTTTCTTATTATGAAAATGCCCGAGGTAGGATTTTATATTGGGCAAAGCAGAATAAAATAGAAAAACATCAGGAATAACTGAGACTAACAGACTTGATTTTGGGGCGTATATGCAAATCCCTTATCATTTCCATTGTTCAAGTTCTAACAGAAAACTGTCAATATTATATTTGGGTTCTGTGTTCCTAAGCACTTGAGTCCATTAATTTCAGTGATGTTCATACACTGTTACAAGATTCACTCATTCACACGCAGGGCAGTTGTTGGAGATGTTGGCAATGATTTCCTGGGTGTGCAGGGTGGGCAAATCTTGCCAAAGCATGAATGTCAGAGCATGCCATGAGAGTGAAAAACAAGTTTCCCTGCAAACCTAGCTTTTCTCTCTGCTACCCTCTGACCAAGGAGGGCAAAGGAGAACTAAAGAAACCCAGAGATTCCTGGCAAGAAGATGTATGTCACAGACAGGGAGGGGAGGGGTAGGGTAGCACGCCTCCTTCTGGAGGAAACAATAATTTCCTAGAGGTAGAAATACCAAAGTCCAAGACATCCAGTAAGAATGCTGACGGCTTACTAGGATAGGAAGATTGTTAGTCTATCTGAAGTTGGGGAGACCCTTGTCTCCCTCATACTCTGATGCTGACTCATGTTCAGGGGTGGGTTTAGGGCAAGGAGTACATTGACCAGTAAGACCACGCTAAGCAGAGAATGAGGTGTGACACACCAGACACTCCAAAAAGTCACTCTGTTCACTTTTTATTGGGATGAATGAAATAATTTATACTTTGCTTATTTCCACAAAAGAGTTGAGATAGCTAGCTCTACTATACACTATGCCATCTTTTCTGTGGCCTATCTCTGATGACTTGTCTTGGGCACTTCATGGACCAAATCCTTTTAAAGATGTTGGCCTTTCTTTTTTTTGTTTTTTCTTGATTTTCTTCTTAAAATGTTGGCCTTTCTTAAGCTATAATTAAAGCATATTTTGATGTATGATAAGGAACCACTTCATTTTAAAAAGTAACAGAAATTAACTCTTGGAAGTGGACTTGAAGACATTTAAAACAGTCTACTTATTTTAAAAAAATCCTTTTAGAGATGAGCTGACAAAAGAGATGCCCTGGGCAATAAATAAGGACATATATTTCATTGATGATTTGTTGGTAAGAAGAGGTCTTGCTTTTATAAATCAATATCAGACATGTTTCTTTGTATTCTGAGAAGAACTGTATCCATTTTTTAGTACTTTGAGATGATTCACTGATCAATGTGAAAAGGAGATAACTCACTCTTCTAGTTCACTATTCAGGCAGCTGTTGAAAAGCTTTGATTCTTTCTCTAAAAATAGTTTGCTGTGGGACAGTATCAATATCCTTTCTACAAAAGATGTGTAAAAACTTGGATATCACAACAGACATGACATCTCCAAAAGATTTCACTCTTCTCAGGGTGAAAACTGGCAAAAAGGATTCTCTCCATACACATTGCAAGTATGGGGTAGAAATATTTTTAAATTACAGGTTTGAATAAACGATATAGGAAACAATTAACCCTTTCATCTTTCACCACTCTTAAAAACCGTGTTTCACTTGAAAAACTCGTTTGTCTTTTTCCAAGATGCTTTGTCATTATATTAAGTGATCCGCACAAGTACCCTGGGAAGGCTCTTCTCTGATTTTACAATGAAGGCAACCCTAGAAACAGGATTCTGACCTGAGACAAAGTCACAGAATCTGAAAAAAAATCTAGATTTTGCTACACGATTTCTTCTTTTAAGAAAACCTCAGCTGATCCAGGCTCCAAACATCCTGTGATCTAGGGAAAACAGGCTAGTTGATTTCTTGATCATCCTGAAGACATATGTGAGGCAGGGATATAGGTTAATAGGCTCAATTCTCTCTTTGTTTAAGTCAGTCACTAATAACGTATTGTCCTCTGTAAGGCACATTCACTCTTTAGAGTCATTTTGGGGAATTAAGTATTAAATTGAATTCCATATTAAATGGAATCAGGATCTCTCTCCCAGAATTCGAAATTTCCCATTATGCGCCGATTTAGAAGAATCTCAGTGCTGCAACTAAGGTAGGGAAAGCCTTATGAATTGGGACTAATTTAGAGAAAAGTCTAGTTTGAATTATCGAACTTTTGGAATGAGAGTAGGTACCTAAAGTTATGTAGTTTTATTACTTTCAAATCAAGCCAATAAAACTACTTTCAAGAGACTGTCTGCAAGTCTCTAATTAATAAATAGCCAGAACTTACTTGTAATTAGATTCATTAAATTCCCTAAGACATTATTTTCATAGATGTAATGGCAACCTTTAGCCCAGTCTTTGTTAAAGGACTACGAATTCCAGATCAAAGGGGTCTGGATAAATAAGAACATGTTACACCACATTCCAAAAAGCAAGTCTTGCAACCTTAGAAATTACCCCTTTCCAATGGATGTATTATCTCAACATTTTTAGCAGCCTTCTCCTAAATGTTTCCTAATGTCACGTACAAAAACATAGGGAATTTGCATGGAAAATCTTCCACTAGGGAAAAGGAAAACACCTTAATTTGAAACTGAGCTAACATGTTGATTTGGGGGCTTTACGAGCAAGGGTATGAACAAAGCGGGGCAGTTGGAGAAGCGGAAGAAGAGAAAAAGAGGTAAGGTGGATGAGAGAGGAGGGAAGGTGAAATGTTTTATACATTTAATACAATTTTTGCTTTAGGGTTTACATCTTGATAATTTAGTTTTAAATATAAGAGGTAAAAAAGACAAGGTATTTAACAAGTAAACAATTTTAAAAGTCCTTCCCTGACTTTAAATACTTCTTTATTTATGAAACATTAGCTGAACAGACACGAAATACAGCACTGGGTCAAGCTTTTTCCTTTATGGTAGATTTCATTTTCAAGGCTAGATTGTTGGACCAAAAGATATTTTCCAGAAACCTTATCTGAATTTTGTTGATGAAGTCTTGTAAGTAGGCCAATTTAGGTTCAGTTTCAGGAAGTGAATGGACTGATCACTGGTATATTCTTGTCAAGTATTTCCTGCAGATAGGACTGTACAGCACAAAATTAGCCGATGGATGACCAGAATCTACTTAGTCACTGCAGGCTGTGCGAAAAGCCAACTTGGATAATTTCAGAACATAACTGAATCTAAGTAGCCTCAAAGATATTCCCTATTGGAACCCTTGAAAATGAGCATATTCACTCAGACTAACAGCAGAAAACAGCCTGTGGTAGAGTAAACTCTGTCTCCTCCAACACTGTAGATAAAACAAGAAGAGAAACAGTCATTTCTCGGGATGACAACATGTTAAAAAGGACCTATGCTTTTTAAACCCAAAGTAAGAGTTTTATTAATTTCTTTTTATTTTATTGATTCTCTTCCTGTTTTAAAAACACTTGCAGAAGTAAAGAAACCAGACATTACACTCATTTAGTTATTTATGATTTGGGAAAAAAATTCAGTTCTTGAACATGTCAAAAATGAAGAGCACAACCAGACACCTGGATGATCACAGACCATGGATGTTAGAATTTGATTTTAATTTGAATTTAAACTTAACATTGCATTCTGGAAGAGGACTGGGAGGGGACTGGAGCTGGGCTAAGCTCTGTGCTTGTGGACCCAGGGCAATTACCTTGCAGCCTTCACACGTGATACAGCGGTAGTGATACCCGGTGGCTTTGTCACCACACACTACACAGAGCTCGTCCTTGTCTAAGTAACTGGGGATGTACCCTGTGAAGGAAATAAAAGAAGGAATATTAAAAAATAATATGTTAACGTCAAAGAGACACTATAGCTAAGGTTGCTAGGCCAGAGACAAAATTGGCTTGCCAGGAAGAGGTAACAACAGTAAAGACTTAGTGAAACCAAACGGTAAGAATTTTATACTCATAGAGTTAACATAGGCCCAGGATTTCAGAATGCCTTAGAAATAGCTCACACCTATAATCCCAGCACTTTGGGAGGCCCAGGCAGGTGGATCACCTGGGGTCAGGAGTTCAAGACCAGCCTGGCCAACATGGCAAAACCCTCTCTCTACTAAAAATACAAATAATTAGCCGGGCATGGTGACAGGCACCTGTAATCCCAGCTACTCAGGAGGCTGAGGCAAGATAATCACTTGAACCCAGGAGGCAGAGGTTGCAGTGAGCTGAGATTGTGCCACTGCACTCCAGCCTGGGCGACAAGAGCGAAATTCTGCCAAAAAAAAAAAAAGAAAGAAAGAAAGAAAGAAAGAAAGAAAGAAAGATAGCTGTGATCACTTGCTGTGCAGGTGGGAATGGCAGGAAGGCTGTAGAGCCAGTGACTCAAGCAGAGAGGCCAGGATTTGAGCACTGTGAGTTCTAGATAACACAATCTATTTAACAAGGCTTATTTCAAAACCTGTTTTCACAAGATTTGATCCACTTTGGAATCACAGTACCATGCAATGAATTCAGAAAACTTTATAGCTGGAAAGGTCCCGGGAGATGACGAAGTCCTTGTAAGGTGAAGAAACAGGCCTGCAGAGGTTTGGCCTTCCTCAGGGTCTCACTGGAAATTACAGGCAGGACTAAAACCCCAGTCTCTTAATTTCTAGCCCTCCAGTGTAATATGCTGGTCTTTTTCTAAAAATGGAGAGTTGACTTTAAGTAGAATGAATTTTGCCACCTAAAAAAGTTAGGTAAACTTGTGATATTATGATATGCAATCCAACAACACTGGATAGTGTGAAATGACAGAGGTTTTGTTTATTAAGAAAAAAGGAAAATCCAACTATGATAACTCTCTTTTTTAGTGGACAATGAGTTTATTAGTTTAAATTCCTTGACTCAGGAAGCTAAAAAGCACAAAAGCAGAAGCCTCCTGTTTCCCTCCTGTCTTTGCTCCTTCAGCTTCCTGTGGAGAGGATGCCCAGACACAAGATGCTGATTCAGGAGGGCAGGTTCATTCTCCCCTCTATCAATGGTTTACCATTGATAAATTATGTGATATATAGAATCACACAGCTTCACATAAGACCAAACAATCAAAATGAGGCAGGATTGGTTGGGATGTGAAGAAGGAAGAGGCTGAGAAACAATCCTTTCTCCCTATCATGGTCCTTATGAAGTTTTTTGACTCAGTTCAGCAAAGTCTTCTTTGTTCCAATAAAGATTAGCTAGGTTGAAATGACTGATGCCTTACTGTGTATCTTACCGTGACATTTCATAGACCTTTTATTAAACTAGGTCACTGAAGTCTTGCTTTTCAGAAAAAAAGCCATTAAGGAAACAGAATGAAATAAATCCTTTTCATAATTTCTTAGAAATTATGTTGCTCCAACTTTAATTTAGAAAAATGTTCCTTCTTGGGAGGCAGATAATTGACTTGAAAGTGAGGTTTAGTAATGTACAGGATTATATTTTTAAATATCACAGCTTTTCTTAGTTTACTTTTGCATCATGCAAACCATGATTCATCTGTTGAGTTCACTGCAAGGGTTTCAAAACTCTTGTCAGTCATTTTTAAAAAGGGAATTCTGGGAAGGATCTGGGCAGAGAAAAAAGGGAACTAGAATGCTTTGCGCGTTCATTCAGTCATTTATCTATGAATTCAGAAAACATTTATTTAGCATCTACATGTGCTTAGCATTGTTCTAGGTGCTGAAAATACAAAAATGAGTAAGACATGGTTTCTTCCTTTGTAAACTCATAAGCTGAGTTCTGTTTCTGTAGCCTTGGTCATTCTTCAATGAGAAAAAGAGAGGTGAAAATGAAGGGAAGAACATGAAAAGATGCTCAACATCATTGCAGGGAAATGCAAATCAAAACCACAATGAGATACCACTTTACACTCACTAGTATGGTTTTAACAAAAATGACACAGTCACAAGTGTTGGTAAGGAGGTGTGCTCATGTGCTTTTGTGTGCATATAAAGACCTACTTATAAAACACAAAGTAACTTTTAAACCACAAAGTAACTCAATTAGGAAAACAGGCACCTTCCTGGTAAAGGCAGATGGAATATACAGACCCATACTGTCAAAAAAGCTACATCTGAACCTCTTATACCTCGAGGTTATACACAATTAATCCAACAGAATGAAGACTTTCAAGTTCTTAGTATCAAGTATGGAATGCAGAGATAAGGGAAAAAGAGGTACAAGTCATTTCTGTCTAATCTCAGGTATGAGAACCAATTGTGATACACTTGAACACTGCTGTACTTGTGGGACATGACTTGGGAGGGGTCAAAACAAGGTGTCCAAGAACATTAACCAGAGTTGGGAAGATGCAGGTAGTTCCCTCTCACCTCATACTACCCCAGCCTGTCTCATGAGACCTGCTGGCTTTATCTTTTGGCATTGGCAGCCAGACACTGAAGATTTATTCCTACCTGTAGTTCAACAATTTATGTAGATGGTGTTTAAGGTTCTTGTGGAATCCAACAATAATTCAATCAGTGACTGGAATGGACTCCTTTCATTTACTGACTGCTAGGCTGAGAGGTGGTGTGCTTTACTCTCTTATTTCTCCTAGACTATCTTCTTCATGGGTGGAGGTGATTAAATGACTTTAGTTAAATCATCAAAACTTCTACAGAAACATCTACTTAAGTTGGTGGCAGCTACTTACATGATCATACTAGTGCACCCCACCCCTTGCTTTCTTTTCTGTAACATATTAACTCTGAACCATCTTATTTATCCAAAACAGTCACCACAGGCAATGATACATCAATCATTATGCCTAAGTCCATTATTCTTCATTAAATAACTTCCATCAGGGAATAATGTCCCACACATAGTGACTAGGTAGGTGAGGATTCTCTTAAGGTTACTGAACATGATTGACAACATTACATACTAACCAATTCTCCTAGAGAACTTAACCATTTCTTGCTGTTGTATTTCCTGTTGTATTTTAGTGTCTCCATCATTTTCCTTTGTCATACTCACCAAATGAGTTACACAATGGTCAGTATGCCAAACTAAGGAAAATGCACATGTATCATTAGTTTTGTTGCCAAGAGTGGACACTGATGAGTGTCATAATGTCAGCGTTGGATTCTGCCTAGAAACAAATACTACAGACACAATCCTGGAAGCTACGACTGTTCATGTCAGGAACTGCATCTGCTAGTTGTCCCAGGTGACTGCTAAAGAAGCCTGGTCAATAACCCTCCAGAAAAAATTAAGGTCCATGACAATATATGATAGTTCAAAAATGATATATTTCCCTCAGCTCTTGTCTGCTCAGATGTATTATTTTTCAGATTAATACATTATGCTGCCACTTTATCAAGCATATTTTTATAAAAGCAAACTCCATCTGTTCAACAAAGGACTTGAGATTTTTTCAGTTGACATTTGGCAATGTCTGGTTAATTGCTAAGTATTATCTTGAATATCTTACAGTTAATGCTATTTAAAAAATATTCTCTGAGCGACTTGTCATGTAGAAGGGGAAAGTTTTGTACATTTGCACTACAAAGGATGCAACAGGTAGTAAGCTTGCCTTCTTGGTTGAAAACAGATTCAATGCTTTCTTCCCTATGGGCAAGATCAGAAGGCTGGCTAGTTTAATTCTTTTGAGTGAATTATAACAGCATCTCAGGTCCTAGGAGGAGAAACACTGGTTCCTCTTGTCACCTTGGCAGATACATGGCCCTTAGGGAATAGAATATAAAGCAGATTAATCTTGAAAGTAGATCTAAAATATAAGGTGCTGCCTAGGAGAGCAGAAGTAGCAGCATGTGAGAAGAGCTGAGTTCAGAGATCTTTTCCAAACTGGCAAATCTTATCATCTGTATAAGACCACTTGCCTAGCAGAACCAGTCCTGGCATCTTAAGGGAGGGGCTGTGGTTTGCGGTAGTGGGAAATACTTTGGGTAGCTCAGAGAAGTGAAGAAGTTCCATGTTGCTGATTCATCTTGTAGAGCTATCAACTCAGAGCCAGTAGGTATCTGATCTTGGGACGGGATAGAGGATGAGACTGTATTTTGTCACCCTTCAGGAAGCTAAGTCACTAGCATGCTTAGTCACTCTTCTGATTTTATACTGAACCTCCTCAGTTCATCCTGCAGCTCAGACCTGATGATTTAAGCTTGTTTTCCCCACCAGCACCTTCCCTATGTCATTTCTTGACAAACTTAAAAACCTTGAAAGGGTTATCCTTTAGCCTTTCCCCAACATACGAATCCTGATTCCTTTTATATTTAATTCTTGGCATTAGGTACCAAGCTTTATATCATGTTAATCTTTAACCCTGTGATAGACACTATATTAAATTAAACCATGCATTCATCCATTTGTTTATTTAACAGCATGTATGGGTGTACTGTGTGGAAGACACTTGGTACAAACTTGAAACAGCATTAACTTTGGAGGCCTTCATCCATTGCCCTCTGCAAATTATTAGCAGAGCTGCCCCAGGGGCTCCCACTTCACACAATTCACAATCTTTCCTCAGAACATCCACTGTTTTCCCACCCTGCCTACCCCTGCTTGGAGTCTTGGAGTCTCTTTCTTTACACTTTGCCCTCTGGCTGGCTGGGCCCTGGTGTTGGGGGACAGCAGACAATGGCTCGCCAGGCTTTGAACACTGAAGCACTGGTGGGCGGAGGAGGGGCGAGCAGGAGGACCAAGTAGAGGTGTCAATCTAGAAAAGGGGATGAGGATATGAGGCCAAAGGACCCTGGATTCTCATCGGAGGCTTTAGTGCAGAAAAAGGGACAACATGAGTTTTGGATCATTTCTTCTGATTCAAGAATTCCTGAAACTAAGACATATTTTTAAATTACAATTTTTTTTAACTTTTATTTTTTGAGACAGGGACTCACTTCTGTCACCCGGACTGGAGTGCAGTGGCATGACCATGGCTCACTGGAGCCTTGAACTCCTGGGCCCAAGCAGTCCTCCCAGCTCAGCTTCCTGAGTAGCTGGGACTACAGGTGCATGGTCACCACACCTGGCTAATTTTGAAGTTGTTTCGTAGAGATGGGGTCTTGCTATGTTTCCCAGGCTGGTCTTGAGCTCCTGGTTCAAACCAGCCTCCCGTCTTGGCCTCCCAGAGTGTTGGGACTACAGGCATGAGCCACAGTGCTCAGCCTATTTTTTAATTTTTAGGGCCAGGTTTGGGCATAGTATAGTTTAATGTATAAGAAGTACCTAGTGAAATGTTCCTTTTGCCGTCCCTGTACATTCAGATCCTTAATAGCTGACATAACCTTTCAATCTACAATTAGAGGGAAAACACTTGAAGATGCAAACCACTAAGAAAGGGAATACGTTGATATAATGCGTTTGAGTTGGAATGTTAATCAAAAGGGCACACATTCTGGCAGTCTACAACATTTGGCTTGCAGAGTGTTTTTAAAAATCGTAGCAAATTTTTAAAACTAGGAAATTTCATAAAACATACAGAATTCTTGCTTCATGTGAAAAACAGGAGGAACTGGCAATACTGAACCCAAATTCTCACAGTGTAACGATCAACTGAACTAGAAAGGTAGCCCTACCTCCCAAGAAACGGACATCCTTTTTAGGCTCCACAGTCAGAACCTCTCCTGATTGTGTGCATCAGTTGCTATTTATTTTTGTTCTTGCATTATGCCTTTTCATAAATAAAGAAATATTTCACATAATTCTTTATCTTTATCAAGAGTGGAAAAACAAAAGTAGTTTGAGAAAAATGATAACTTTTTTTTTTTTTGGGGGGAGGGTGGGGGACGAGTTTCACTCTTGTTGACCAGGCTGGAGTGCAATGGCACGATCTCGGCTCGCTGCAGCTTCCACCTCCTGGGTTCAAGTGATTCTCCTGCCTCAGCCTCCTGAGTCACTGGGATTACAGGTGCCTGCCACCACGCCCAGCTATTATTTGTTATTTTTAGTAGAGACGGGGTTTTGTCATGTTGGCCAGGCTGGTCTCGAAATCCTGATCTCAGGTAGTCTACCTGCCTCGGCCTCCCAAGGTGCTGGGATTATAGGCGTGAGCCACTGCTCCCGGCCTGAGAACATATTTCTTCATGGAAGTGAGAAGTATTCTTATCATATATTATGTAAGCATTATGTGTCTTTGTTGAAAAATTTAAATTAAGCAGCCATTGTAAGACAGCTCTTCCTCTCTCTCTCTCTCTCTCTCTCTCTCTCTCGCATACTTGGGGGCATTGGAGTTGTAGAACCCTGGTATTGATGAGATCATTTCCTGTTTTAAAAGACGGCATGAATTAGAAAGCAGGAAGGCAAAGTCATCAGAAGATTAGGGGAGGGAGCAGAAACAGTCACTAGAGAAGGGTGATAGTTGCCTCTGATTTTGCTGTGAGAAGCAATTTATAGCTTTGGGCTCATGCAGAGGCACCCACAGTTATGTCATATCCTGAATCCTTGAGAAAAACAAGTGTCATTTCTTTACCTGAAAATCCATTCAGAATGGGATTCAAGGTTATAGCTCTAAAAATGTGGGCTAGCAGCCCTTCAGCCTTATGTTACATAAACATACATAAAAGGGAAGGAGCTGTTGCATTTGTCATCAGAACACCGTCACTGTCGTTATGAGCTATACTGCTCTCCCTGCAGGTGTATCCTGCAGTCACATGGATGTGCGCTTTAGGGAGTGCAAAATAAAAGAGATTGATGCTTTCGTAGTGCTTATGATCTAGATAGATTTGATATAAATAAGCAAACATGATGAGGGGAACCCAAATCCCAACAATGGAAATGAGCTATGACACATATGTATGTGTTATGTTGCACGTATATATGGTTATGTAGGTTCAGGTGTACTCCATTTTGACAGACGTCAATATATGAACACTTAAATATGATATTTGGAAATGGAGGAGGGATTTTAACATTATAAGAAATCCTTTATGAAAGATCCTTTACTTCAGATATTCTCCAAGTAGTAAGTTCTTCACCATTAATGCAGTGGTCCTCGAGTGGGGATGATTTTGCCTCCCAGGGGACATTTGGCGAAGTCTGGAGACATTTTTGGTTGCCACAACTGCTGTGTGTGTGTGTGTGTGTGTGTGTGTGTGTGTGTGTGTGTGTTTGCTACTGGTGTCCAGTGGGAAGAGGGACCAGGAATGATGCTAAACGTCCTACAATGCACAGGACAACCATCACAACAAAGAATTATATGGCCCCAATGTCAATAGTGCCAAGGTTAAGAAACCCTAGTCTAATATACTTTATATATAATATATTACTTTTCAAAGGTGGTTTACACAAATGATTCAGAGCTATTGTATAAAACAAAGGATATCTGCCTTTGAAGGCAGGGCTGGTTGGGAGCGGGGGTGATGAGAGAATGTGTTGCTGGGTAATAGAAGAGGCTGGTGGGCTGTGAGCTGAGTTGGTGACATAAAGTGATGCAGGCTGACAGTGGCAAGGTGGCCCACCAGGGTGTGGCTGGCAGTGGGTGACAGCTGGAAGAAAGCATACTGGTTCAGGGATGGAGACTAGGGTGACAGAGAGAGGAACCCATGGGGAGACTGGCCAAGGTTTCTGGAACAGAGGGTGTGGGTAAAAGCACAAAGCCAGAATCAAAATTGAACTCTTGAGGGCAGGGAAGAGTTGGTGGAATTTGTGGTAATGGAAAAGGGCCCCAAACCTTGAGACGGAGCCCTGTGGTGGTGCAGAGGATGGGGAAGAACTGCCCCTGAGTGGCTGGAAGCAGAAGGCTTTAAGCAAGAGAGGGTGAACCTGGAGGGAAGAAAGGCAGGAAAACATGGCGGGAGGTATCTGCGGATAAGGAAAGCAGGTGTGTGGGGTGACTGCTCAAAAGCACATTCTGGGAGTCTCCAAGAGAGCTGAGGAAATTCTCTACAACAGCTGGTACCGAGGGAGCTGATGAGAGGGAAGTACCAAGGACAGCGCACGGGAAGGTCAGCATTCCCAATGCTCTGGAAACAGGAAGAATACAGATAACCAAGTGGGCACCGGTGAAGCCAAGGACCCATAAGATGATGGGATCATAAAAGCTGGAGCAGAGTGGGTGGTAGGGCGGGAAGCGGCTTGACTTCAGGCTGAATGCACTTGAGTGCTGAGAAAAAAGTGTTGTGCTTGACTATGAAAAAGTATCCATGGAGGCATGTGAGGTGGTGGATATGAACTCCATATGCAGAAAGTCAGCAGTCTCACCATTCCTCTGTAAGCCTGCCAGGCGTCTGAATCCATTTGCTCATAATGCTTTGGACTCCTACTGTTAGCTTTCATTGTGAGTAAGGGCAATGCATGCTCTGGATGAGGTTAGGGCATTCAGTGAAATCTCTGAAGGACATGTCTTTGACGAGACAGTTAATTCTCAGGAAAGAAAAGGAAAGAGCTCACGCTTTTGTCTGCACTTGGACTTGGTTTGGAAACGATTATTGCTCCTTACTTTGCTTTCATTTCTGGGTGCCAAGAGGCACTTTCATTTAACCTTTTGTACAGTGAATATGTTCTGTATTTTTAAAAGTTGTGGTATTGTTTTCTGGAGTGGTGTTTTCTCTGAACAGCATGTGTGTGGCAGTACCTAATTTAAAATCCTAACTTTCCATCAGCGTCCTTAAGTTACATACGCATTGTTGAAAAATCTATGATTGCATTAACCACTTAACTATTACATTTAAAAGAGATTATTTATTTAGTACTCAACAGTTCACTGGGTGGACTGATCACATCTGTGTTTAAATTAAAAAATTCAAGTATAGGGGAAGAATAAGGATGGGAGAGAGAGGGAGAGAAAGAGAAGATAGAGGAAGAAAGAGATGGAGGGAAAGTAGGAGAGAGAGACAGAGGGAGAGGAAGAAGGAAAGGAAAGGAAAGCTTGAGAAAGAAACATTCCCCAATTTGCTACTTAATTTTCATTTCAAATGCCTATGTAATTGTTCACCTGGAGTCAACAGAGCTACAGAACACACACACACACACACACACACACACACACACACAGACAGAATTCTATCTCCAAGTCAGAGGAACAATGAAAGCAGATTCAGAAAGCACAGTCCTGTGTGGAGTTTCTGCTTCAGTTATTAATTTTTATTCCTGCACAATTAAAAATGTGGTTGTAGAGCAACAACATATACAATCAGAACCAAAACTGAATAGGACAACCCTCCCCCACCCCCACCCCCACCCCCATCTCCTCGATCCTGGCTTAAAAACAGGAAATTCTTATTCTCTTGGACATGATAAGCATCTCTGACAACTTTTCAAACATGCAATTCCTATCAAGTAAGATGGCATGTAGAAGGTCAAGCAAAGAATCCCGTGGAGGAGAGTCGCCCAGGGCAGACTCCTAGGAAGGTTTCTGTTTCAACAGACCCGGCTGGTCCAGACTAAATCGAGAGGTTGACCTGCAAAGCTGCCTTCAGAGCAGCCAGATGCAGATGCAGGCTGTTCGGGAACTTCGGAATGTGATTAGTATTTGTGATGGAAACAGCTAGCACTTCCACCCACAAAAGGATTTTTTTTTTTTTTTAAAGAAAGAAAAGAGAAAAAAAAGTCAACTTTTTACTTTGCTGCAACCTCAGCCACAGAGCAGAAAGCACAACAAATAACCTGTCTGCCAATTCTCCTCCATCTGATTCCAAACTTACTGCCTTCTTCTCCTGAATTTGCAGGGGCCAGAAGTGTGCAGCCAGCACTGGCCCCGTGAGGACTTAGCATAGCATTTCACAGCTATGTCACTAGAATTACAGTAAATATCATATCTTCTGAGTGAATGATAGGGTTCTTTTCATTTGTCCCTAACTTTTGAAAATTAAAAATTTGTTTTTTCATAATCCATATGAAAAATAAGACAGACATTACATTCTGCATTTTAGGCCTCCTCAATGTGAAAATTACATCGGTTTTCCCCTCCTCAATTCTTGAAGCTTTATTTTAAATGTGATTCAATGAACTGACATCTGACTCTTCCTTAGTTCGTGTTCTTAATGCTTCCAGAACTTGATAACTTATTCTGTCGGCTATGAATGCAAAAAAAAAAAAAAAACTTTGTAGAAAAACAATCCAAGGGAAACTAAAAGTTATTCTAAAGTCTACCAATTAAGATAACCATTCTTAACATTGGGTAGTGTAGCCTTCCTTTATTTCACCAGTTTGTACCTATAATTTTTTTATAAGATTGTAATTTTTTTTTACAAGATTCTCTGTATATTAGAAAATAAAGGCTAGGAAATAAGCCATCCTTAAAAAAATAAAGAAAAAGTTAACACAGCTGCAGTATTGGAGTTTATAAAGCTGTAATGACAGCCATGAACACAGATGAAGCAATTATGAACTTTTATCTATTGTGAATAGATAAAAATCCAATTGGAAAATGAGGCCTACCCCACTGAACACCTGTTTATGGTCTTAATTTTGCCTTAACGAGACACTACTGATGTCATTCAACACAACAAAAATCAATAGTGGATCAATATGGATAAACATGTTGGGTACAACCTTTTGTCCTAAGAGACAGTTAACAGCTGGGTTTAGTTTTACTGGGATTTACTCGAAGACTTGTAAAAGTAAATAATGGTGCATTTAAGAATATTTGCCTGTTTTGATTTAGTGAGTTTGGCAGGTGGCGGTGGCCTTTCAATGACATATGGCTTTGAAATTACATCAATATATGCATACAATGTGTCTTTTCCTTTAGTTCATGCATCAAATTAATTAATAAAGAACCCCTGGTTTAACATTTTATAAGCAAATATTCCCCAGTGTTGGTTGAAGAAAATACAGTGAAAAGATAAAAGAGAAAAGAGCCTGAAACGTTCTGCAGGAATTTTTAAGAACAGCAGAATGAGCACATAGATTGACAGGTACCAATATTTTCTTACAACACTACAAAAGGCATATCCAAGTATGTTTAATGAGGCAATGTTAATTTCTTCTTTTCAAAGTTAAATTACTTATACTATTAAATGAAATAGCACATGTTCAATGTACCTCAAATGTTTCCATTAGGGGACTTACCCTGTGTATCCCTTGTAATAAATGAGATTCTGATGACCTTCAAAAGGATGCAAAACTCTATATTTATAAATAAAAATCAAGATGAGAAACTCTAAATATATTTCATGCTGTAATCCCCTTAATATTTCATGATTGGAAGTTATAGAATAACATTATATATAGTAAAAATTACAGATTCTAGTTTTTGTTTTTATAAAATTTTGTTCATTTGTTTTCATAACAGACTACTTTCAATTATAAAGTCACATTAAGAAAAGCAAATGATAAATTTTATAGAAACCACAACTAAATAAACCACATTATGTTTTAAGATTAATTTAACAGAGAAATTTACCTTTGAGGATCAAAGGGCATCATGTTTTTGTAAATTATAGAAACTCGTAAATTTGGTTCTCTATGCAATATCCTATAGATTATATACAAAAGCATGAGATTCTGGCATATCTGCACTAGCATTTACACTATCTTCAAAAGCATTCCTATCTGGCAGTTGCTACTTAATGTTCTACCTGTTTGCCTCCCTTATTTTATTTTTCAGTATCTTATTTTTCAGTAATACAAGAAATGTTCTATTGACAGAAATTTAAATAGCATTATAAAGCCACAGTGTCTATTAAGATAAATGGATATCGTACTGGTTTTAATATTGGCTATTTTGAAGTGTGTTTCACTTGCTTTCATAAAGAGAATTCACTTGATATGATTACAGACATGTTCAACTTTAGGGACAAAATAGCAAAGTAAAGTTTCTCAGTTTTTGAGTTTTACATCTTACAGTTTGACATGGTTACAAATAGATTCTTTACTGTTTACATGGATAAATAAATACATTAAAATGAACATTTACAGATCCTAGCAAATCAACATTAGTATAGTACTGTTAAAGAAATCACTAAATCACTAAATATTTTACTAGTTAACTAGTCAACTAAAATAAACTTTCAAAATGAAGTGCCAAGGAAAAGTCAAATGAGTTTTTAATCTGAACCTGAACTAGAGAGAATTATCTCACTTCAAACACCACAACACCTACCCGCCAGAAGGAAACCTTTCACATATTTTCTTTCGCAAAGAAGCCAACAATAGTCACTTTGGGCAATATATACACACACATGCAAAATACAGAAAGGCAACTCACTCCAGCTTTCAAAGATGAAGAAAAAAAGTGCTTGGAAATCTTGATGTTCACAGAGTCCTTCAATCACCTAGCAACCCCTCTTACTGCCGTTTTTAATTTCAAATATTTAGCGTTCAAATTCAAAGATTTGACGAAGCTGATGTAAACTGTAACTTTAAAATGAAACGAAAACAAACAGTGAAACTTTGAACAAATTTAAGCAAAATGGTCCCTACCTTTTTTTTGAGAATACGATGGCGACTGCACTTGAGAAAAAGTAGGCTTTTCTTCAGTGAAATATTCAGGTTGGCTGTATTGATTCAGGGCCATGTCCAAGTCAGAGTCCTTGCTTTTAAACATGTTTCCAGGGTAACTACAGGTATAAGGCTGATTCACTGCCCAGGCCTGTTCCATATATATGTTGTTACTGGGCACAGCCTGAGCATCGCAACCGCTGTAACCCGGACTATCTTCAAAATACGCGTAATAATCAGTGGACTGCATGTAGCAATTGCTGCCGGCAGCTGGGTGCACTTCATATATTTCTTGCATACAGTAGTTCATTTTGTTTCCCTGGTTCAGTTTCTAGTTTACATATACACACAGTCTACGCATGCATTCTCCAGCCCCATACACCCTGAGAGCTGGGCATATACGCAGAGAAGCATACATACATACACATGAAACGCGAAGGGAAGATGAATAAACACCACCACCAACACAGCAACCCAGCCTGCTTTACTTTGTAATAGCACCTGATGTGCTAAAATCCTATTTAGACCGAGGTGTCTTTTGAGCTCTTCTGCCATCCAAACATATTGGAAAGCAGATTTATGACTATCAAAGGTCTTAAGCTGTGCATGCAGCTAGTTAATTCCTGGGGAAGATGGCAGGCAGGTAGGAATGACCTCCACCCAGATAGGGAAGTGACAGCGAGAATGTTACTCTGAAGCTGCTAAGATGCATTTTATATGCTGTTTTTAACCCCTTTCAACATGATTATAAAACGATTACTCATTGTTATGTCATTTTGGTTGACAGCTTAAGCATGAAACATTATAAAGACATCTTAGAGAATATCCTTGGATACAAAGAAAATCCTAAAATCAATAATCTAGTTTATTAGCATGAACCAGAGAAAATCCAGTAGTAATGAGCCTGATGACTGACTGACTCCAAAACATTAATCTAGCTGTGCAAATATTGGTGGTTGAATCTGTTGTTGAATGTTACTGACTGGGTTTTCATACTAGGATCCAACCATCTTCCCATGACACATAGGTCCCGCTGGTTTTTAAAACATGCCAAGGAAGTACACGGTTGAAAATGCTGCTGATGTCTGCAAGTGAGTTTTATTCTGTTCCTTGCGCATGATTATTTTCTACTTCATAAGCACTAATCTACATGAGACCTAAAGCTTACATTAACTGTTCAATTCTGTAATTTATGTTTTCTTTATAAAGGCATGAGAGACTGTATGCCAATGCCCCTATATGAGGAATACCCCTATTATATAGCAGCTTTCCTTTTCTGTTGGTGCTTAACAGTACTCTGATCAGTAGTGCGTGGAAAACTGTAAACACTTACCACTTTATTCCCATTCAAATCTGCTTTTGAGATTATTTTCAAGATTTAATGTGATTTAAGTGGTATTCATGTACTTACTTAAAGATAGTGATCAAAAAGGGAACAGCATTTTCTGTAAGAATCATCATATCTTTTAACTAAGGAGTTAACAAATACCAAATTAGATTGTGAATGCTTGCTAGGATGATTACTAATGGTATTTTCTCCCTGTGGATGGTGGCCAGTGTGTGCATGTCACATATATGCATAGTTGTAGATCATGACATCAGGAAGGGCGGATGCTGCTCTTCTACACTAGGGATTCCTTCCGTTTCTTAGGCAGCTTGTTTTCAGGGCTCGGCCTCAGGTGGTTACGTTTACATTTGGCTTCCTGCTGGTCCATGAGCATGTGACCTTGTTGGTATTTGTCTCTAAAGGACCATCAACAATGTAATACTGTAATTTTCAACAGTGAGACCTTTGCTTTGGACATGTAGCTCCAGTCATCAATTGCAACGTGGAATTCTGGGACAGGGACATATGGCAGAAGTAAGGAGGGTATTACAGTCATTCAACAAATTATGGGGTGTCTGTTAAGTACAAAGCAAGGAGTTGGTGGCTACAGAGATGGCTGTTCAGAAAAAAAAAATCACCGTCTCTGTCAATAAGTAGCTTAATAGCATGTATATTAAATATACAGTCAAGTGGACCACCATTGTGCTGTCTTTAATTGCTGACTTTTTATAAATGTAGTAAAGGAGCCATAGACTCAAGGGAAAAGGTGGGGAATTGTAGAATGAGCTAAAGATGTGACAAAATTAGAAAAGAGACCCAGGCAGACCTATGTGGAGGATAGTAATAAGACTCCTTTAAAAACTGCAACTGATATAAAACAAGCAAAAGCATGTTCGTCAGTTGGTATATATTTGAACCTGGAAAATGAATCACAATATCCTAGAAAGCATGAAAAGTTACCATAAGGAATAAAGAACACAGCTAACATTTTAATCGTGTTTTTACTTTCTGATTACCATTAAAACAAATGAAAGATTTATTCAGTGTTACTAAGAACACATACACAATATTACAATTAACATTTTCTCCCTACTGGAAATGTCAAAACATTTCATTGGAAGCAATAACTATTTTCTGAAAACCCCAGGAAAAAGGATCCAGGCCTTATGTTTTTTTGTCTGATGTCATTTATTTATCTCAAATTTCCCAAGCCTAATCTGAAAATTAACCTTTCAATAAAGCAGTTTTCTTTTTTGGCAAATGCACATGTTCCAAAGTCTCTTTTTCTGGTTAAGAGCTGCGTGTTGAATCCATTCGATTTTGCAGTTTTGCCCAGTGCATTTCCTGGCTCCCTCTCTTTCTCATTAAAGGCAGAAATCCAAGCAATTTCTTGCTTTTCATCAGTAACAATATCAACGAAAATCAGAGACTCAACTTTTATTCCAAAGGAATACTTAAAAATAATTTTCAGAAATCTCTAAATATGCTTGAAAAATTGGAGAGTTATTCTCCCCTGGAACTGGATATAAATACTGCAGTGAAAAAGGAAAGAATAGCTGCTGAAAAACTTTCTCTCTCTTTTTACTAAACGTCAGAAAGGTCAACAGTATTTTTATTGAATTTAAAAAATCCTGAATTCCCTCAGAAATCTTTAAATTAAAAAAAGTTTCAAAACATATTTAAGAGAGCTCACTTCCTCACGAATGTTTATTGTTTGGAGAAAAGAGAACAAAACATTCTGAAACACTCCTCATACCAAGTGGGAATACTCTTTACTTGTAACGAATGCACAAAACTTTCATTACTATTAGTTGAAAATGGAGCTCAACACTTACATTGAATTTGAAATATGGCCCCTCACATCCTGATAGAAGCAATCACATCTGTCACCTGTGATTCAGTCTTGCATGCTTCTTTGTAAAGTCAGTAAAGCAATCTAAACATATTATGTGTCACAAATGGGGTAAGCTTCAGTGAGGTTGTTGTCTTATTTTCTTGATTGCCTGCTCTAATTATTTAAAGAGCAGCTTAAGAGTTATTTCACTTATAGTGCATCCAACTGCCTTAAATAAACTCAGGAGGACTTTAATAATTCCGATTAGAAGTGTTTCAATCAATAATATATATATATATATATATGCGCCTAGGTGTGACTTATAGAAAGTCCGCTTTAATAATTATGGGTGAAACTTTAGCATCAAGATTTTTAAAAGAAGTTCCTGAGGTTATTTACATAAGTAGCAACATTTGAGAACCACTTGTTCTACTAGGTGTCTGACCCCAGTCCCTTCACCAAGGAGCAGGAAATCCTGTGTACTAACTCCTTTTTCTTCATTTGCAGCTTCACTACATATTTCCCTTAGTTCTTAGCAATTTACCCTCCACACTTCAACCAGGCTTCACCTGCCTTTGAGTTAACCAGTCAAGCAGAGGAGGCAGCACAAAAGGAGGCACGCTAGGAAAGAACGAAATACAAGGAGAAGTGTAATAAACTTGGCATGGGGACACAGGAGTAATCTGCCTAGAGTGCCAGGGATGGCTTCACAGAAGAGGTGACCAGTGAGCTGGAAGAGTATGTAGGACATCATCAGTGGAGGCCTAAGATATGAAATGGCTGAGCAGAAATGTCTTAGGAAGGGTGCTATCAACTAACTGTACTTGCAAAAATACACATAAAGAAAGATAATTGATAAGCTTTAAAGCAACTGGTCAGAGCCTTTTAACTTCCACTCTAATGATTGTTCTCACTTTCTGTTTTAGTAATTGAACCGCTAAATTTTAGTTGGGCTCATGGCCCCTGAGAAAAAAACTATACGTCCCAGTTTCCCCTTTGTCAATATGTGTCTGTGTGACTAACTTCTGGCCAACGAGATGTAATAGAAGAAGTGTTGCAAGGCAATTTCTAGGAAACTTAAAAGACACATTAAAAGACAACTGGTGCATTCCATTTGCCTCTACTTTGTTTTGACTTTCTGCTCCCTGCAATGACTGGAGCCCCAGCCATCATTTTGGTCCATGAGAGTGAGGACTATACTCTAGGGATTACGGAAGAATGATCTGGAAAATTCTAGGTTGCTGAAATACACAGAATTGCCATACTAGCACTGGACTGCCAACTTCTGGACTTCTTTTTTTCTCGAGACAGAAATAAACTTATTTAGGTCACAGTTTTCTTATTTGTAAAACAGATAACGGTAGTCACTTCATTGGTTATTGTGAAGATTAAGTGAGTTTATATAAGTAAAGCACTTAGAATGATGACTGGCCTAGTAAGTGACATAATTATATATACATAATAATTATAATAATATATATTATATATATATATTATAATATATATCTCTTAGGTCTTGTCTTGGGCTACTTCTCAGTCTATACTCTAGGTCACAGGTCAGCAATCTTCAGCCTGTGGGCCAAACATGACCCACCACCTGTTTCGTAAATAAAGTTTACTGGAATACAGCTTTTATTTGTTACATATTGCCTGTGGCTGCTTTTGTGCTACCATGGCAGAGTTGAGTAGTTGCAAGAGAGACCTTATAGCCTGCTGAAAATATTTACCACCTGGTATTTTGGAGAAAAAGTTTGCCAAGCCCTGCTCTAGCTGATCTCATCCTGTCTCACAGCTTTAAATACTAATTATATGCAACATCCATGTGGATATCTCCATCGCAGATGTCACCTCTGAAACCAGGATCCTATATCCAACCATCAACTTGACATCTCCATTTGCCCAACCAGGGCATCTCCAACTTAATTCTTTCTAAAACCTGTTCCTCTCACAGTAGTCCCATCTTGGCACCACCATCCACCTGGGAGCTTAAGCAAATAACCTTCAAGACAACTCTTTTCTTCCCTTCACTACCTAAATCCAATTCATTAGCAAGTTCATTGGTTCTTCCTCCAAAATATATGTTTAATCCAACTACTTCCTTCTCTCCGCTGCCATCTCGCAGTCCAATCCATCATCATCTCCTAACTGGACTCCCTTCTGGCTTTCTCATTAGCTTTGGCCCACTTTAATATTTTCTTGACACAGCCACCAAAGAGTGATGTTTTACAGGCTGCAAATCAGATAATGTTTCTTCCTTGTTTAAAACCTTCAGTGGCTTTGTACTGTATTTAGAACAAAATCCAAACCTCTACCAAAAGGTGGTCCTTCCCCACTACTTATCAACCCTCCTGCTTCCTTGACATAAACCAAAATAGCATCCTTATTATTCCTTGAGCACTCCAAGTTTTTGCCTGCCTCAATTCAAGGACGCTGCACATGTTCTTCTGTCTGTCTGATATATTCCTCCCTTTAGCTCTTCACAGGACAGAGCCCTTCTCATTTGTTTGGATGGAGCCTAAGTGACATTTTGTGTGTCAGGAACCTCTTGATACCATCAGAGGCCTGAAAGCCCTGACACTCTTCATATACATAACAACACTTGCTCTCTCAGAAAAAAGATGGAGGACTCTCTGCACCAAAATCCATGTGCATTTAAAAAAAAAAAAGATAAAATGTTACATATTGCAATAAGTGGATTATCTTAGGCTTGAAAGTTTCTGGGAGATATCTGTCTGTCTAAAATCGATCCAGTTTGTTCTTTTATATCTTCGTCACAAGAGAACAGAGATAGAGCTGTTTATTAAACTTACCTCAGTTGAGGTTATGGAATTACAAGTAACCATCATCAGTGCCAATCATCTCTGCCCCAAAAGAGATGATAAAAAGGATTGAGACATTTGCTGCCCTTTGAAGTAACTACTCAAATTGAGGAAAGTTTCCTTTAAAAATGTAAAGAAGCATGAGTCTCGATCTTACCACTGAAGTGCTGAAAGCACATCTAATACATTTTGGCGGAAACCAAAGAGGTGCACAAAAACTTTTTGACCATGCTTTCTTGGATTGTTGAGGTCTGGAATCTTCGGACTCATTGCTTTTGAAAAGGACTTCAAATCAGTTCAACTCCAGAGATGTGAGCAGGGCAAGCTCCTGGGACTTCCGGAGCACCCAACTTTAAAGCAGCCCTCCCTCCAGACGCTAACACATATGGAACACTTATGGAGGCTGAGACCTGTTTTATGTTTTCTTAGGATCCTAGGATATTACAGCAGGAACTTCTGAGCTATGCATTCCACATGTATTTTATCTGATTATGAGAAAACTGAATCCCAAGGGGATGAAGTGACTTGTCACATGGTAGGTGGTAGCCGTTGAGGCCGTGACCCACTCCTGCTTTGACTGTATCATTTCTCCTATTGTAGGTGGGGCCTTTATTTTCCCACCTGGGCCTAGTGTTCTAGGGTTAAAAAGGTGCTGTGGAGGAAAGGGAGTAAAGGAACTTGTCTTAGGCCTGGGGATTGACTGTCCCTCCTCAGCATTTCTGCCAAATAATATAAAGCCTTGAGTCACTAGATCATGCAAAACTCTAACCATTTTAGAAACTTTTACTTCCTCAGTCCTGGGAGTGTTAATTAGCATGGCTCCTCCTCCCCTACCACTACTGTAATGGTGTAATTCTTAATAAATGAACACCATGGCTACTGGGTTAATATTCAGATGGTGTTCCCTAAGTGGTCCCATAATACAGTCCCAAGAGATGATCTAAAGAGAAAACAATAAAAATAAACTTTATAATCAAATGAGTTTGGGAAATGACACATTAATGCTCCTCTCTTGGAGATTCACACACACACAACTTTGAATGACTTTGTATAACAGCATTTCCTAAACATTTCTGATCATAGAACCCTGTGTGTATCTTGTAACATTTGTTACAAGTGTTCCATGAAACATACTTTGAAAAACCTAGTCATCTGCTCTGTTGGATATATATGCTGGAGCTTAAGGCACGGATACATAACAGTGCATTTCTCAGATTACACACCAAGAACAGAGAGAAGAAATCTGCTGAAGGGGAGTGTCCTTTTTAGGGTCTTTACCAACGAGGAAAGCTGCCGGCCAGAAGAGGCAGGCTGGACACATGGAAATGCAAATCCCCAGGTGGGCACAGGACAAGACCAGGGCCTCTTGGGCTCTTGAATTAAGTCTGTTTCAGTAGGAATAGAAACTCAAAGCTCTTCTCTTTTAAAACATATTGTTAACTGAATTTGTTTCTAATTTTTTCCCTTGGCATTTCATAAAAGCTTTTGATAGTTCTAGCCCATTACAGCTCTACAAAAGGGCACTAAGGGGAGACTTTTGTTCACAATCGATCACCAAGCAGAATATGCTTTTACAAAAATGTGCTTGAAAAAGTGACAGTGTTTTACTAGTGAAAAGGGAATGGATTCTGATCTGGTGCAGTGGAAAAAAATTGGCTCTGATTAGAACATTGAAGCAGGAACAAGACAGTCTCAGGGACCAAGCTGATGGAAGCAGGCCCAGTAATTGAACTGAGAGATTTCCAAAGGGCAAGAGACTCTCATCAAGGCAGTCCTGGTGGCTTCCTCAACCTGGACACCCTCTTTGTGGGTCTAAATTTTGGAGTTGCATGTTTTATTTCACAAAGGTGGAATAATTGCCTCAGCACATTAATGCAAAAGATACCACAAACTTAGCTACAGCAGCCTTTTACTAGATGAAATATGTCAATTTCTAGGATGAGCAAGTTAAAAAGAACAGCCTTTTGTGGTTCCACAAAGATTATAAAAGAGTCCAAAATTCTTAGGTCAGTGATTCTCAAATGGTGGTTTCTGAACCAGCAGCATTAGCATATCCTGGAACTTCTTAGAAATGCAAATTCTGCAGCCCACCCCAGACCAACTGGATCGTAAACTCTGGGGGGTGGGGACAGCAAGCCCTCCAGGGGATTCTGATACTAGCCGAAGTTTGAGAACCACTGTCTTAGTAAAGGCTGAAGTTGCTCTAGCTAGTCTGTGTCAACTTTTCTAGCATCACTGGCTGTTACCTTGAGCCCTGGATTCTCAAAACTTCTGTCTTCTTCTGTTGGTTTTCTCCTGGTCCTGGCAGGTGTATTGACTTTGTCCTTGATCTAAAATGTTTTAGGCCTAATTAGGCTAGGAAGAACGGCGTGCTCCATGTGGCCAATGCAGCTCAATTTTCCTGGCCTCTACTTTGAGTTTTGGTGACCATGCACTACCAGTACCATAATACACAACAAACTTTATCACTGTCACTCCAGACTGTCAACAGGAGCAGTGATATCTGACATTTTTGGGTCTTTGGACATAATACTATCACAACAGCACAAGCTCTCTGCTTCCACCCAACTCCACAGCCAAACCTATTGATGGTATACCAGAAACCTCCATGTCATACAGCCTTTTCCCACATGTCTCCTCTATCCCTGGACAGTTCTTTTCAGTCATCTTCAAGGGATGATCTCCTCATCTGTCTTTTACAATTGGCCATAACTTTGGTTCTATTCTCAGCCCTCTTCTAACCATACATATTCTTCCAGGTGAAGCCATCAGTGTCTACAGCTTCAGCTATTGCCCGTGTGCAGATGGTGCTTAATCTCTCTTGTGCCTTCCAGACCTGCATTCCAGCCACCTACCAAACCCCTTTCTGTGGATGCCAAGGTACCTCACATACCAATTCTAAACTCAGTGTGTCAGATTCTGTGTTGGGTGTTTATATGCATCATCTTATTTAAACATCACAATAGTCCTACAGCAGCTATGACTGGCCACATTTTAAAAAAAATTTTTATTTTACTTCAAGTTCTGGGATACATGTGCAGGACGTGCAGGTTTGTTACATAGGTATACGTGTGCCATGGTGGTTTGCTGCACCTGTCAACCTGTCATCTACGTGTTAAGCCGGGCATGCATTAGGTATTTGTCCTAATGTAGCCACATTTTTTTAATAGATGAAAAAAAATCTATTTGTCTGAAGTGGCACAATGGTAATTTGAAGAGTGAGGATTCAAATCCAGATCTGTTCAAGTAGAAATTACATACTTGGACTTTTCGTTACAGCTTGCTTATCTCTCTGTAGCTTTGCCACAGCCTCTAGTCACAAAGGGCCAACTATTCTATGCTGTTACTATTTTAATTAAACTAATCATTTCATTTTTAAGAGAAAACTTGGCTAACCCAAGAGGTTTCTATACCTCTCATCTTACTCTGATCTTTCCATTCATCCACCACGTTGCAGCTAGGGGAATTGATTTTAAAGGAGAATCTAAAGCATGTCACCTGTTACCCCTCCCACAACCCCAATCCTAGCTTGCAATAATCTTTAGTTTTTAAGATAAAGCTTAAAGACTTAGAAGTCTTTTGCAATGTAGCTCCTGACTACTTTCTACTCTTATCTCTTGCCACTTTCTCATATGACCTGAATGCTGGCCATTTGCAGTTTTGTTGAACAGCATCTCTCTGGCTTGGTCACACACAGTTTCCTGCGTACAGTGGCCCATGCACTGTGCTAACCACTTTCCTATAGATTATATCATTTAAGCCTCACAGCAATCCTGCTTGTAGACATGACTGTTCCTGTTTTAGAGATAAGGAAACTGAGACTCAGGGAGGTTCCATAACTTGCCCACAGTCATAAGACTGATAAGTGGTATTCTCAATGCATGCAAATACCATATTTATGTCCAAAATGGTATGTCTCTGTTTTGCTGCCCTTATGCCATTTAGCAGCTTACGCTGGAGTCTGGGAAACTGTAGGGCTATAGTGACTGACATGCAGTGATTCTTCGTGGTTTGTCATCTGTCCTCTTTGATGAGTCCAGAAACTTAATCATGTCAGACAAGGGAATTTATACACTCAGAAAATTACTAAACAATCTTTGCTGGATGTTTAGTCCATGAAATCCTCTTCTGCATATTGAGAAACAATATATAGTCTGATTTCAGCCTAAATTCAAGATTTGTTCCATTTAAGTTTTCAAGTAATGGGTTGTAGGGTCCAAAATTCCCAGACACGTTTTTACTATTCCAAGCCCTTTCTTGCATAGTATTTCCAGTGGATGGAACAGTGCTGATTAAAGACTGGAGTCCTAGCATAGTGTCTTTCACATAAGAACTCTGGGATAACGATCAAGGGTTTTATTCTGACTGATATTTCCCAAGAAGACCAAAGGCAAATCATAAAGTCTTCTTGTGCTTTGAGAGAATGAGATACTATTCAAAAAGAGCTCAGGATCCACACCAAAAGAAAAATGCACATATACAAAAGTGAACAGAATAGTATTCGTAAGGCTGGAGATTGAAAGAAAAGTGAAAAATTTGAAATATACTTCAGACCACTGTTATCATCATTGAAGTCTTCTATTTGCTAAGCCAACAGTGGAATGTCTGCTCTTTTTTATAAATGAACATTTGATTCAAAACCAACCTTAATGAATCTAATATAGTCTGATGTGGCTTGAATATCATGGCATAAAAAAATGCAAAAATATTTCAGTTTTGGTGTACCTTTAATTAGACAATTGGCTACATAATAATGATGAGGTCTATTGCATGGTGTCTTTATAAACAATAAGATTGCTTGGGAAGGTATTTCCATTCATTTTGCACAGTGGAAAACTGAGGGGTGCTTTTCTTACTGTACATAATTACAAAGGGAAAAGGTTAGTATTGAAATTTAGGCCCTCAAGTTACTATTCTAGAAATCACTTTTCCCACTTCCACGCTATGCTTTTCTAAGTGGAAAATTATTTTATTGTTTTTGAATTTCTGGGTGACTAATAATGTGTTTCAACACAAATTCTAAGATCACTTCAATGATTTATCTGTTTTTCCAAAGATGTGCTTAATTTAATGTCACATTGTATATTTATTATAGTCAATATGTTTCCTTATATCTCTAGAAAAAAATGCTCTTCGATATTTTGTTTTTATAAATATCATTTATGTTTTGCTTGAATTTCACATAGCAACTCATTTAATGTATTTTTTAATTTAATCATTAGATAAAGTAGATATGTTTCCCCTTAATGTGTTAAGATAATTATTTCACTGTAATTCACAATGATCGACTTGATGTGAAAAGTTGAGTGGTTGTTTAAGTGGAATAATTTTGACATTTAACAGCTACAGTATACTTTCTTTATCCCAGAATAGCATGTCAGAGATTAATTTTAAAACAAATTTCCCTAATAATAGGAATAATGAATGAACAATTGAATCACCTGCATTTACTTTGCTTTTTCACCCTTAAGAACAACTAGTGCAAAATTTAGACTATGCCACAGCTGATGTAGTTTCAAAAGATTTATTCTTTGTCAGTAAAGGCTCCAGTCCTACATTATACTTGAAAATGTTATAAAAATAATAAAAGGTAAAAAGTTCAAAGTACTGATACATGCTACATTGTGGGTGAATCTCAAAAACAGTATACTAAGAGAAAGATGCCAGTCATACAAGACCACGTATTGTAGCATTCCACTTTTGTTAAGCTTCAGAAAAGGCAAATCTACAGGGACTGAAAGAAAAATGGTTGCCAGAGGCTGGGCACAGGAATGGGGAGTAACTGTAAACGACTCAAAGTTTCTTTTGGGATGATGGAAATGTTCTAAAATAAGATCCTGATGATGGTTGCATGCCTCTGTAAATATACTAACAATCATTGAACTATACACTTAAAACAGGGGAATTTGATGGCATGTAAATTATATCTCAGTGAAGCTTTACAAAAATAGATGCAGGGCTACAAACAGCTTGAGTTAATTAAGACTGATTCTCAAAATAAAATAAAGTTTACATCATTTATGTATCAATACCATGTATGTTATTCTCCCAGATCTAATGGAGATACACTATAGAAGGAAGACCTGGCCCTGACTCTGAAATTTGCAATCAAACTAAAAATACCTATCAGCAAGCAGAAAACAGTATCCCACACACTGAATACTTCAAGTGTTAAGTGAACATGGAGTAAAATGGAATCATTATTTTTGAAACAACGTAGGTTACATTCTTCATTATTCTTTCCTAAGACAAATGCCAGCCAGCCAATAGAATTTTCATCATCGCTTGGTTGTCAACAGAGTTACTGCTCATTGCAAGCCTAGACTCGAAGCTCTGCCAACATTTTCTGTTTGAAAAATCCTACGAAAAAAGGGGTGTGCATTTAACTTTTTATTCTCAGCATATAGTACAGTATTGGACACACAGAACACACTCAATTTAAAACATTGTCAGTATAAATTATGACGAATTCACCATCTGCAGTGAATCAAACAGGCATGTTCAGAAGCCACAATTAAATAAGGCAGAACACAATGAATACTTGTACAAAATTTCATCACAGCATTAAAAACAAAAATCCAAATTCATTCTGATGGGGCATGGGGGCGCACAGAGGAAGCGATGTCTGAATTGGGCCTTGAAGGATGAGTAGAGAAAAAGGATTTGTAAAAGTTTGCAAAAATAGGATCTACTTCATGTTGGTGCCCTTGAGATCCAAATCCAGAAATGGCAAATTGAAATTCTTCATTTTATTTCAAATGTCAAAATGTTCTAGAAAGTTACACAATAAATATCAAGGTTATCAAGACATACTCTGATCTTAGTTGTTTTGTAATGTAATATGATTGGATTGTGGAAAGAAAAGAATGTTTAGTTAAAATATGAGACGAGAATAAAGTGGCTGTGTCTTTTTTTTAATCTTCAGAAAAGTCTTCAGACCGTGGACAATGTGCTCTTTGCCCCTATTATGGAGAAAGGTGTTCCCTAGGTAAGTATCATCCTATGGGTCCAACCTTAAAAATGTCACAGGGGACAGAGAAACAAGTAACTTTTTCTTCTGACATTCACCTTTAGAGCATTGAATAGCTGCTTATTAGAGGACTTTAGAAAATATACTTTCTTCTAACCCAGTAAGATAATGAGCCAGCTCACCAGTAAAGATCTAGGCCTGCTCACACTAAGATATAAGTGGTTTGGAAGATTGAAAACTATTTCTGCATCATATAATTAAATTCAAAATTTTATAGGAACAAACACCGTATCATACAATTTTTTAGTATCTCTGTCCAAAATGTATAATCTGATTCTAATCATGAGGAAAGGCTGGGTGCGGTGGCTCATGCCTGTAACCCAGAGCAAAGGAGGCCAAGGTGGGTAAATCACTTTAGGCCAGGAGTTCAGGGCTGCAGTGAGCTATTAGCTCACCACTGCACTCCAGCTTGGGCAACAAAGTGAGACCTTGTCTAAAAAAAATCATGAGGAAACATCCATCAAACTTAAATTAAGGGACATTCCAAAATAATAATCAGCCTGTATTTTGTCAAGAAATATTTCTTCAATGGTGTGAACGACAAAGAAAAACTGTGAAACGGTTCCAGACTAACATGAACCTGGAGGACATTATGCTAAGTGAAATAGGCCAGGCACAGAAAGAAAAACACTCCATGATCTCCACTATATGTGGAATGGAAAAAGCTGAAATCGAAGCAGACTAGAGTAGAATGGTGATAACTAAGGTCTGCAGCGGGGAGGGTAGGTAGAACAGATAGATGTTCGTCAAAGGGTACATAATTTCAGTTAGATATTGCTAAAATGTTCTCACCACAAAAAATGATAAGGATATAGGTGATAGATATGTTAATTAGCTTGATTTAATAATTTAAAGCTGTATAATGTGGCAAAACATAACATGTACATGATAAATACATACAATTTTTATTTGTCCATTATACTCTAATAAAGCTGCACAGGTGGTGGGAGGAAGAAGCAGACTAAAGAGATAAAAAATAAATAAATAAAATGAATGATCCTGGCCTGGATCCCAGACCGGAAAATAAGATTGGTATAGAGGACAATTGGTGGTGGCCTCTCCCAGCCCTATCTAGAGGAATGAAGCCTGTGAAAACCCCTTAGAGACAAGTCCTCTCTCCAGCTCTGGTCCTCACCTCAACTCCCCCTCCAAGGGGGTGGCAGGAAGGATAATTTGTAAAATGTAAATAAAGTCTGTAGATTAGAAAATAGTAGGCATCAACGTTAAACTTCCCAATTCTGATAATTGTGCTATGGTGTCCTAAGATAATTTCCTTAGTTTTAGCAGGTATTTAGAGTTAAAAGGGCATGATGTTTATAACTTACTCTCATATGGTTTGCAAATGACATAATAATAATATGTATATATGCAAACAAACACATACAGAGAATGAGAAAAGAAATATGGTAAAATGTTAACAATTGGTGAATCCAGGTGAGGGGTATGGGAATTATTTGCACTATTACAACTTTTTGGTAAACCTGAGATTAATTTAGAACAAAATATAAAAAGGAATTTATAGGTCTGCCTGAGGAGCTCTTCCAAGAAAACGTACAATTTACTCAACCTTGAAGACTTAGTGGTCCTTTGCCACCAATTTTATTTTTCCACTTCAACTCTTAGAAACAGAATCCAACTCAGAAAGTAAGCAGATTTTCAATAAAACAAGTAATAACAAATAGCTTTTGATTCATTAAAAAAGGGGGTCAGATTGATTTGCATAATTTTATTTTTTAGTAGTGATCACCAGGCTTATATTCCTGATATCAAAAAGTCTTAAAAAAATCATAGAACGGGCATTCATTTCTTTTTTTGGGAGAACAAATAAGACTCAAGCATAGAATGATCGCTTCAAAGGAAATTTAAGAATGAGCATGTCGTGTGTAAGATAACAAGGAAAAGGTAACAAGAAAGAAATTCCCTATGTTTTGTCTTAAATATTAAGTGGGATGAACCCATTGCAGATACCTGTTTCCCTGGAAACCCATTCAATTGAAATTGCTGCAAAAATTAACATGTATTATTTTTCCCTTAAAGGGCAGTAGCTTCTTTTACTTACACAGTTTTGACCTTTAGTTTTGACCTTTAGTTTTATATCTTAGTCTTATTATAAGAAGTTATTTCCAGAACTAGGCAAACAAAGAGCTGAATACATATCTTTTCATTAGTCCTGAGGCTTAACTAAAATAGTATGGCCTTTATAGCTGTACTAGATGTCTGAGGCAACTATGGGTGGTTGGGGTACAATCTGCAAGTCATAGAATATTGCAGTCTAGACTAATAAACCATCAACCCACACATGATATTCTGACTCAAATGCCAAGTGTCTTTATCATATAGACAATTGAGTTAAACAGTCACATATGCAGCACAGCTCTGTATTTTAAAAGGCAGTAAAGTTGAATAAAGTCAAGTCCCTTATATAAGCCCATACTGACAAATGTCATGGGGACAGAGGTTCACAATATATAATAATCCTATGTCAGGTCAGTGCCATGGAGAATAGCTCTGGACCTTGGAGAATTTCTGACTCTAATCTTACTTGAAAAGCTCAGCTGTTTCTGAATTTCTGGGACCCGGGCAGTGTGGATAGAGGCTCATATTTATTCCAGTTCAATCAAGAAGGCTGAACTGGCCAAGACCTGAAAGACCAATCTGTAAATACAACTCACAGAATTAGCCACAGAATAGAATAACTGGAGAGATAAACCAGCCCTATGCCAGGGCAGGTTGTAAGCACAGGTGATACGGTTCCCCCATGTATGTGCTTCCTAGACTGCAATGCCACTATCAGAGGCTACCTTTGGCATGAGGTCGCTGCATCTCCAGGAGTACTCAAAACTCAAAGCCTCCCTGCCCTGGAGAGGTAAGGATGTAAGTCAGTACTGGTCACCAACACCTTCAGGGGAATAAGTTTTTTTTATGGAAAATGAGAATGTTTTCAGAATGTGAAGAGGGAAGAAGCCTAGACTTCGTAGAGACTGAAAATGGGTTTGGATAGCCTGAAGACTCCTATTTTCCTGGGAAAAAGATATCCTCAAGGGAAGTAAGGACACTGAAAGAGATGGTTTAAGGCAACTGATTTCCCAACTTATCCTGGAACTGGTCTTATGTTTTCATGATGATCATAGCTTGTTTTAGGGGGCTGGTAATGATTTAATATATTTTTCCTTGTCTTCCCCACAAGGGAAAATATGATTATCATATTGGAGGGCCACTTTAAAAATGGAGTGTAGATTCATCTATTTGATTTCTTTGTGGTCAGTTAATCTCTGACTACATTCTTTGTTGGAGAGAATTATTGATTTAGCCAAGGTTAAATAGCTGGTAAGCGTCAAAGCCAAGAACCAATGGTCATCTGTTCTAAACATTCTCCTATGTGTTTACTAAGTGCTGGGCAAAATCCCTAAGATACGATGCAGCAGGCCAGCTGTGTAAGGTGAGGCCTTTGGGGATATCTTGATAGCCTATGATCATTACGTCATTCACACATTTGTCTAGATTTGGCTGGAAACTCTTTGTAGTTTAAACCTACGCTCAGGGTCAGCCCTTGACAAACAGTGAGATAGGTGACATTTGTCTTTAGAGCCTTGACAATGAAGTGAGTGCTGCTCACAACCTGACAAGCTGCACAGTATTACTTGTTACTTGGCAGTCCTGCTCCTTATTATTATTCTTTTCCTTCTCTCTTATCCCTTGCTATCCTTACCCTGTTCATGGCCTCCTTCTAGTCCCATTCTTTCCATTGTCTTTATTGGACCCTGCCAAGAGTAAAAGGAATCTTATCCAATTCATCCATTTGGAGAAGCTAATGACTTGATAAGATATTCAGCCAGTAAGTTTGCGTTTTGAAAGACCACAGTGGGGCCAGGTGCGGTGGCTCGTGCCTGTAATCCCAGCACTTTGGGAGGCCAAGGTGGGCGGATCACGAGTTCAGGAGATCGAGACCATCCTGGCTAACACAGTGAAACCCCATCTCTACTAAAAATACAAAAAGTTAGCCGGGCGTGGTGGCGGGCGCCTGTAGTCCCAGATACTCGGGAGGCTGAGGCAGGAGAATGGCGTGAACCCGGGAGGTGGAGCTTGCAGTGAGCCGAGATTGCGCCACTGCACTCCAGCCTGGGCGACAGAGTGAGACTCCGTTTCAAAAACAAAACAAAACAAAAAAACAAACAAAAAAAAGAAAGACCACAATGGAAGGGCAATGATAGAATTATAAGCATTCAGGGCAACTTGTAGGAGATGTCCTGGGGAAGGGAAAGACTGAATTCCAGTGATCACCTACGATGTCTTTGTAAGGCTGACCCTCCCAATAATACCTTTCCAACTTCAGTGCTAGGTACATTAGCAATCCACTTGTATCTGATTTTGTCTGAAAACTACCTGATGGAAGAGTCAAGGGATTTGGCTATTACATCTGTTCTGCCTGCGTCCGTAATATTCCTGGCTTTAGAAACTTCAATCCTGCCAGCCACAATATAGTGATTATTCTGACGTGGGCATTCTGCATTCCTAATGTCCAATGTGGTTCTCATAGTCTTTCTGGCTCATTGTAAGAAAAATAACTCCCATCTATTGAGCACTCACTGTGTCCCATGAGATCATTTAAGAGCTTGTTTCTTTCCACAATTCTGTGAAAGAGGGTCCACATTTTACAGACGAGAAAACTGAGGCTCAAACAAAGTGACTTGCCCAAGTTTCAATGGCTGGTAAATGGCAGCACCAGAATATGACCTCGGACTGTATAAGTAGATACGTGCTGACCTCTACTGCTCCCATCACAGCAAGTCTGACCACCCTGCATCTTTACCTGACAGTAGAGCAGTATTTCCTCTGCAGTTTCAAATTCTTTCCTTTGGGTCTGGAATGTTCTTACCCTTTAAAGTCATAGGGGATTATAACTGTAGAGAGCTCTGACCCTGGGGCCAGATTGCCTGAGTTAGAATTCCAGTTCAGCTACTTCATTTTCCCCTTGATTTCTTATTTAAAGTTTTAAATTTTAAAAGAGTCTGAGAAAAAAAATACTTTGGTTGTTGCTATGGACTTTTTTTTCAACTGTTTATGCCTCTACTAGAGCTGTGCACATGATGTTTTGTTTGGCGTCCCTTCATTTATTTTTATATAGTTCAATGTATTTCAAGGTCAGAAAGGGTGGCAAAAACTGGAGGAGGTGGGCACAAGGCTAAGAGGTGTGTTTATATTCTAAGAACAGTTATCATTGTTTAGTCTCTCCTAAGTGTCAGGCACTATGTTGGGGGCTTTATACATATTATCTTTCATCTTTTTTCTTTTCTTCTTTTTCTTTTTTCTTTTCTTTTTTTTTTTTTTTTGAGACAGAGTCTCACTCTGTCGCCCAGGCTGGAGTGCAATGGCGCTATCTTGGCTCACTGCAACCTCTGCCTCCTGGGTTCCAAGCGCTTCTCCTGCCTCGGCCTCCTGAGTAGCTGGGATTACAGGCACACGCCACCATCCCCAGCTAATTTTTTTTTGTATTTTTTGTAGAGACAGGGTTTCATCATGTTGGCCAGGCTGGTCTTGAAACTCCTGACCTCAAGTGATCCACCTGCCTCGGCCTCCCAAAGTGTTGGGATTACAGGTGTGAGCGACGGCGCCTGGCCTTTCATCTTTTTTTTTTTTTTTTTTAAATTAAATCCTTCATTGAAATATCTTTCATCTTTACAACAAATCTGAAAGCTAGATATTATTCCTCTGTTTAAAACTAAATGGACTGAGGGTTACAGAGGTTAAAAAATTTTCCCTGAGCTGATGATTTAAAGAGCAAGAAATAAACTGAAGCCTAACTGTAAAGCATATGATAATAACATTAAACAAATTTATGCACATCATTATTCATTAATACATTCATTAATATTTATTAATACGTTCTTGTAAAGATTTTTGAATGTGGTTGCATATGGAGTTAATCCTTCTTATTCCGCCCTTTTCTAAGGTATCTACTGAAACAAGTTTGATGTATATCTGGGAACTTTTTTCTGTGCACATTTGTAAACACACAATTATATAGACTTTTAACGTTATAAATGGGATTACACTATTCTTAATGCATGCTTACTTTCAATAAGTATTCCTAAAATCACTTCTTTTAAAAAAGCCTGTTTTTAATTTTTCTGGTGAATGCTTTGGATGTACCACAATTTATTGGAACATTCCCCAGTGGACAGACATTTAGATCGCTTCCAGTTTATCAGTAACAAAAAACAAAGATGCAAAGAACATGTTTGAACAGACTTGTGCCCTGTGTAAGTATTTCCCTGGGACAGAGTATGATGAGAGGTATGGTTGGGTACGTCTGCATCCTTTGGCGTGACAGACACTGTTCAGTTGGCCTTGGAAAGCGTGGGGTGGTCCATCCTCTGCTCTGTGTGCATCTCAACGAAAACTGAAGTTAGATGAACCAGGGCCTTGAATTTCTGATATCTACCTCCCTTTGACATTGCTGTTTCCAGTTTTTTGTTTTTTCTTCCCTCCAATCTCGTGAGTAGCTTTTCTCCCCCTTGGCTTTCTATTTCTGTCTGCCCCAGTATACGTATGGGGTACTCGTCCCTGCCTTTGAAGTATCAAATCACACAGCTATCTGACATATGCCCACAGTGGGGAGAGAGCCATCGTTCTCATGTTGATTGCTAAGGTTCCCAGAGTGCCCTTGAGGTATAAGAATCACTGGCACTCTCAGTTGGGACTGCAGATCCTGATGTATGATGAGTGGGGCAGAGTAGAGAGCAGAGATGGATGGAGCAGATGGTAGTACTGGCGGAAGGGCACAAGCTTTTTAATCCTCCACCTTTTAAAATACTCATTCACCTGGAGATGCCCTTGTATTTTACTTAAGGACAAAGATAGCAATCATCTGCTGAAAATGTGAATGTCTAACATGAAGGATTATAATGCACACAATGACTTGCATTTATGTCTCCAACTTTTAAGACACTTTGTTATTTTGGTAAATGAGAATGGCACATCATTTGAAATTGTCATCACTGATTTGATTCATTTTTTTTGTCTTTATGAAGAGCATGAATTAATAGTTTTCCCCTTTGCTGACATAAGATATTGTTTAAAAAATTACTTTAACTTGTCTAAATCTTGAGGACTGGTTTAATAAAGTATGATACATCTATAAAGAAGAATAATCTATAGCCAATGAAAGTCAGGACTCAGAATATTTAATGACATGGGAAAATGTTCATGATATATTGCTAGGCATTAAAAGCTGGTTAAAATGGTATGCCTAGTATGATCCCAGGTTTATAAAAAATACACATGCACAGAGAAAAGACTGAAATGTAATAAGAATGTGCAGTGCTTACCCTTGGGGAATAGAACTTCAACTGATTTTAAAACATTATTTGCAATTTTAAAAATTTGTAGAAATTTTTTTTCTACCATGAACATATATAGGCTTTTATAATGAGAGGAAGTAACTTGTTCTTAAAATTATTTTAACTGATTCCCTCTTGCCTTCCTGGGTATCTGAGAATCAGTTTTAAAAATATTAAGCACAGAGACATTTCTGTGAGATCACTGATGGCTGCTCTCCTTTTTCTGAGTCCACCAGGGAGGTGGGTGAGTCCCTGCCTTGTTTCTCCCCTTGGGTTTCACTGTTTCAGGGAGGTCCCTGATTGACATAAAAGTGTAAAGGCCTGACTGCCTGGGTTCAGCAGGGCTGGTTAGGTCCAGCTCCAGGGATCCATGCATCCGTCTAGAGCCCATCCTTGTGGGACTGGGGAGACCCTGTGGTTCCCAGAGAGAAGTACAGTAGGGCATGAGAGGGTAGAGGGGTGAAGCCTTGTAAGACTTCAGGGGAGGATCAGGGCCCCAGTCAAACAGTGTGGGGTTCTCAGAAGGGCTCAAGTCCCAGGGTGATCTGTTATTAGGCAGTGACTAAGCAGACCTTCCAGCTGGCAATTGAGATAAGCTAGGCCCAAAGACAGGCCCAACCAAGAATGGAGGGACTCAAGTGGCTCCCCACGTGCAGTCAGGGAAGGGAAGAAAAATGCACATTTCCTAAGTGCCCACCAGGTGGCAGACCCTTTCCTGTGCAACGAGTTGAAGAGTATTTTCAAGCTCGTCATGATACCCAGGTATTAAGAATCTGCACTGGGCTGGCAAGAACATAGAAGGCTGGGCCCCTCTCTAGAGATTCACTAGTCTGGGTGGGGCCTGAGAATCTTATTTCTACCAAGCTCCAGGTTCTCCTAGTGCCACTGATTGGTACTACCACACTTTCAGTAGCACTGGATATATCGTCTCAGACTGGGAAGGGAGGAGGAGGACAAGGAGTAGGATGTGGTCCTTATGGCTGAGCAATTGGTTCAAATTGTGATTAAAGTGCCAAGGAAGTGTGGCATGGAAAGAGCGGGTGTGGGTGGGTGGGGTGAGTTGCAGAAGGGAATGGGTCACTTGCTCCTGGTTAAAATAGCCTCTGATACTCCAGCAGATTCAACAGAGATCTGTTGTGAGATCTGCAACAGAATGTAAGGGCTCTTCCATAGCTCTCATTCTAATTAAATGTGTTACCAATTAATTCACTTAGGATGCTTACAGCAGACAGAAGCATAGGTATATGCAGGTTAAAATAAAAGCAGTAAGGCCGGGTGCAGTGGCTCATGCCTGTAATCTCACCACTTTGGGAGGCTGAGGTGGGTGGATCACCTGAGCTCAGGAGTTTGAGACCTGCCTGGCCAACATGGCGAAATCCTGTCTCTACTAAAAATACAAAAATTAGCTGGGCATGTGGTGCATGCTTGTAATCCCAGCTACTCAGGAGGCTGAGGCAGGAGAATTGCTTGAACCTGGGAGGTAGAGGTTGCAGTGAGCCGAGATTGCGCCACTGCACTCCATCCTGGGCAACAGAGCAAGACTCCATTTCAAAAAAAAAAAAAAAAAAAAAAAGCAGTATTCAGAACAAAATGAAAAACAAAACCTTAGATAGCTACCCAAAACCCTAAAGAAACAATATTTAGAGTACTATCAACTATTTGAAGTGAAAGACTATTTTAAAAATCTGGTCCATTATGGAGCAATACATGGTTCTACTGCACAGGACTTTTACATAGTTCAAACCACATGTGACTGACCAGGCAAGTTTGACAATCCCCAACTAACTGTCTATATCCTGTTCAGTGAAATGAATTCACTGATCATGCATTTGGATGCCAGTGGCAATGTCAAACTGCTATAAAAGTTCCTAAAGCTTACTCTCAGTTTCTGTATTTGCATCAATAGAAATGGTAATAACCACTTTGCAGAAGAGTGCCAGTCCCCAAACCACGCTTAGAAGTGCACTGGTCTAGCCTGGCTAGATGACTGATCTGGCAGATGGGCTCACTGCACAGCTTCAAGGAAGTCAATTTGTTCTTTGGATCCTGTTGTGCAGAATTAACTTTTGTATCCTCAGGACTATTTTGTTCGTATCATTTCTACATGGGGTCCTTGGAATAGGGCTAGTTGGATGTCCTTTTGGCCCTGCTGCCATTTTCTTATGCTTGGACATCAAGGGCAATATCCTGTATACAGTAGGCACTCAATAAACACCGATGAGTGAATGCATAGATTACTAGCCCAAGACTGAGATGTCAAGCATTCTTGTGGGATACACAGCCATCTAGGAAATAAATGCCCAACATGGATGAACATCAAAATATAACTCTCTTCATAGTAACTATATAGAGCTGACAAGCAGAGCAGATGGAGAACCAACTCTATAAGGAAAGACTGTATAATCTTGTTGCTGTCCTGGACTCACTGCTGCCTCACTCAACACATGTGCCCATTTTGAATGAATGGTATTTATAAGTTTCTTGGACCAAGATGACACAGGTTTCCTGGTGGCATTTTTATGCTGAACCAAGGCATTGCCTCATGCCTATGTCAAGGTGGACCCTGGTGGTTACTCTGGAAAACATGGGAGAGTTATTTTAGCTGTTTTCCTGTTAATATTAGGATCTTGAGGAAGGACTTTAATAATTTAATTATATTTTCTCATTACATCTCTGACTTTCAGTGAAAAAGAGTTGAATGAATGCAAAATAAATTATCAACTCTAACGTCCCTGAAGCCTCATGTCCTACCCCACATCTATCTGAAATTCTCCTCTTGCTTCATTTCTTACCAGGCTCACAGCATAGTTCAAAGTATTTATATGACTTAATAATGCATACCTAATAATAAGGATCACAATAATAATGACAGTTGCTATTCAGAGAGCACTATAAGTCAGGTACTTTGCTAAATGCTTAAATACATCATCTTATTTAATTGTATTAACAATCTTATAAGTTTGCTCAAGGACAGAAAGTAGAAAGGCTAGGATTCTAGCTCAAATAGATCAGTCTCAAATATTTGTGGTCTTAACCACTCTACTAAGCATCTTGTATTCAAACAGAGACTGTTTCCTTTTGCTTTTAAGATGCATAGATTTATTTTAAATGATTGATAGAGACATAGATGGACTCTATGAATGAATAAATGAATGAATATTGGTATCAATTGTGAGTGAATCAAATTGGGTTTATGACATTATTAGATCACAAGGATGCTAGAGTTTTCTGTTGGCGTTTCACCGTAAACTGACATGGTTTTAGTGCCAGCCCATACAATGTTGAGATACAATCTGGCCACATACGCTAAGAGTAAATCTCAATTGTATTGCAAACAAATGTATTTTGCGCACGCACACACGTGCACACACACACACACATACGTCCTACATCCTGACTCCTTTGAAAAACTTTATTTTGCTTTTTTTTCTATATAGCCCTTTCAATTTCTCAGATCTCCTCAAATATATATATATATATATATATATATGAGAGAAAGAGAGTCCAAATACAAACCTTTCCAAAGGGACATGTATAGTTTTGACTGCACTCAAATCAGAGCTCAGAACACTATTTCACTATTACTTTTGAATAACTCTATTTCCAACTGAAACACTCAATTTCCCAGGTAAACTGGTAATTCCCAGGAGCTTTCAAAGCATTTTCAGAAAACCTAAAAGACCAGTTCTTTTATATGAAGGATAAATATAATCATGTGTATATGTTCAAAGTAGAGCAGCTGTGTAAGTCCTTCATGCCTTGTAAATGGGAGTCTTTGCAAACTTTATTATGTTTTGGTATATGATTGTGAGATTTTCAAAACACAATTTAAAACTTTACCATGAGTCACAATCCTCAAAGAAAAACTAAATAGACCCCCCCTTTTCTTTTAAAAAAGAAAAACCACTAAACTGAAAAAGAATGGGAAATTAAATGAACTTAGACATTTAAAGATGCAAATTGATCTCTTGGACATTGAAAGACACAAATTGATTTAAGAAGCAAAGATTTTGGGGAGCCCTAAGACAATAAAGCGATCAGCACAAAGACATCTGTCAGGGTGGAGGCGACCTGAGGTAAAGAACAGTTAAATCTAATGCAATCAGGAACTTAGGCCAGTTTAATGTTTTTTTTGCCTTATGAGCTGACAACCTCCTAACACCATAATCTCTCCTTTCAGGATGATGACACAAGGATTTAATGAGTAGAAGACAACAACTTAAAACCTCTCATTTGAGCATGAATTGTCTAGGTTAAAGGTAGGCATTGAGATCCCATTAGCTACTGGCACACTTGGGAAAAGAAATGTACACATGCACAGACACACTTTAAAGCAAGACTTCATAAAAATACAGCGATGCCTGTTTCTACTCAGACCCAAAAATGGAATTAAAGCCAAAACTTACAACCCCTCTACTAATTAGAGAAGTAAAAATGTCTTCACCCCAAGTGTCCCAGCACAACGTGAAACCGAAACAAGCTGCCTTTCTTTGGATTCCACTTATTTATTTATGTTTAAAAGAATATTTGAAGAAAAGGACGCCTAGTAAAAGAACAGTTGGAGAAAACATGGGACACCATACATTGGAAGAGAAATGTAGATGAAGTACACAGCTACAACAGGGATATTTTTTTTCTTGTTGAAACACATGATAATGGGCTAATAAAAATCTGGTTACCTTTACATTTCTTCTCCTCCGTTTGGAAGGTCTGGGCACTTGAGACACTCTGGTCGTTCACATCATCATGGTCCAGATGGAATATTGAGCTAGTCCAAGTGGTCTGGATGAGATGTGGCGACGACTGTTCATTTTTCAACGTGCTGCGCCTCTCTGAATGGCTCTTCCTATGTAGGCAGGCTTCAGACATTCCTACTAGCTTCCAGTCGTGTTCTCGGTCTGGACAGTGCTTCGGTTTGTCCCAGGCTGTAAGGCCATTTTCTAAAGGGTTGAAAAACACGAGATGACGAGCTGTTGGCATTGTCAAGATTTTGCTGAGATGCAGAGTTTTGGAAGGCAAGTTGTTTCTCAATTCTTTTGGGCTGACAGTATTCACATGCCACTTGACGGGAGTGATAAGATGCAGAATTTGTCAGCCTTGGGCATTTAGCCACTGCAGTTGGGTTGCCTGTCGGAGTAATCAACACATTCCCCCTTATTTTAAATGCCTAGAAAGACATTAGTTCCTGCATGGCAAGGCTGTACTTTCGCCAGTCCCACTTCCACAGCAATGGCCCAGGAGCAAGTTTACACACCAATTTACGTTACTGCTTAGATGACCATTTGAGGTCTTGAGGGTCAGGGCTGGCCGTGAACACTTTTCAGATCCTTAGGACATAAAACACCCAGGATTCAGCCTTGTTTGACTTGGGTTTTATCACAAGCTGACCTGAGGGACACCCTGTTACTTAAGTGGGACGTGCTCACGTGGCCACACCGAGAGTGGCAACTCTGTTTTTACCACCTTCTACCTCTGATGGCCTACAAAAAGAAAAAAAAAAAAAGAAGGGAATCTTACAAATAGAAGTTTTGTAAAGGGCTTCAGTAGAGTCCCAAGTTGGCAATAAGAACCGATGAAGGAAAGCAGATAGTGCTTTAGGTGTGGGACAAATTAAGAGCCCTAATGATAGAATGATGAACTTAAATTCTTTGGAGTACAGCTGGTTAATTATTTATGTATATTATATATATTTTTTCTATTCAATTTATAGGGACTTGAGGGTCTGGCCTACAGAAAATGGGAAAAAATGTAATAATATGATGAAAAATTTCTGACACTAACCTTCCCTGGTGGCAAATTTTACTTCCTTAAATATCTTTACTGCACATGGATATAGAGAGCAAAAATGAGCAAGCTAATATATATATATATACATATTTGTATGCATGTTGTACACATTAAAAAAACAATCCATCTGGTCATCCATATTTTCAGAAATTCTTAAGCTACTGTTTGTCAAAATTAGAAAAAATATAATATAAATATGTGAGTCCTCCTTTTCAGAGTTTATATGGTCTTTTTAAAGTGATCATAATTCACAAATTTATATGTGAATTTTTTTTAACAGTGAAATTACGAGAAGACCATGGATACCCATATCCCTGGGGCTTAGAGAGACATGTCTATCCTGACCTGTGCACAGCACACTGAATTTTAAGCTGACTTTCAAACATTTAAAGTGAATTTTAAATTATTTAACATGAGGGTTAAAAATGCTTTAGGTTTTCATAAGCACCCTCTCGAAAGCTACCAGATGTCTTCAGCTAATGTTGGTTAGGATGGTTTCTCTAAAAGTGTAAATTACTCAGTCACTTTTGAAAGTTGCATTTACCCTTCCGGGTTTTCATATTACTATGAGAAAATGCCAATGCCCATGCACATTGTATTTCTACTCCAGGAGAAAACCATGAACAATAGTAACAAAGTAACAATCAACACACGATTCCTTTGTCATAGTAAATGGAAATGCTGTGGCTTGAAATAGCTTACTTTGGCCAGTAAGCAATAAGTCTCCTTTTAAAAATTGTACACTGTGCTAGCTTTTGGGTGTAACATTTGATCTTATTCAGAGAAGAGCTCTGAAAATTCACTGTATGCAAAGGGCTGTGCTAAGCATTGTATTAGGCACATTATATAAACATAGATTCTTCCTTTTCAGAGTTTATATGGCATTATTCATTGCATGGTAAATCAAAAAGGTGTGGACTTCTACCACTTTCGACTGTGCTAGCTACTGGTGCAATTACAGGCACTTATTCTCAGTAGCCATTAAAAGGCAACAACAGATTGAGATCTTGAAAGATCGTATTGCATTTCGAGCTAAACATATCCATGTGTAACTCATTCAAGTACCTTTATCCATAAGGGCTTGAGGTTTTTCATGAGCTAAATATAAAGTTACTGGGGGCAGGGGTTAATTCTGGGCCTAATGAGATTGATTTTATTTCTACAGACATGAAAATTCTTCTCAGCACACATGTTTTTATGGTGTCTGCTTTATTTTCAGATACTCTAAATCCTCAGCAAATTGCATCTCGCAAAGCTTAATTTAAATAAGGTTAAAGTTCTCAAACTATTTTGAAAAGCCTTTAAGATGTGATTTTTCTGCAGAAAATTCCTAAAATTTGGTATTAATTCCCTTGACCCCACAGAAATTAAGAAAAACAGCCAAACTGGGTAGTCATTACTCCCTAGGGAAACAATGCTTGGCTGAGAGATGCTAACAGGGGCTCCACTCCAAGAGGACATTGCCCCTTAAAGTGCAGCCTATTAAAGCTTGCTTACCATGTCCCTTGGGCCAGCAAGAAGGGGTTTTTTTCTAAGCAAGGAAGGCTACACTTGGGGTGAGGTAAGGGATAGGATTGCTTTCATTTTCCAAAGAAAAGCAGCTGAGATGGTTTGGGAAAAGGGCTTCATTCATGGGAGGCAATTACAAGCTCATAATTACTGTCTGTAATTACATTCGTAATAATGATATTCAGTTGCTTAACTGGCAGGTTTATTGGTTGGGGCACTGCTGGGAAACCTGGAGACTGAGAAGTCCCGGTTGGGTCATGAGAAAACTCAACAGGAATTTATTTAAGGAGGATTCTTGATTCTGATCCTCGCAAGAACAGAGGGGCAACATGCAATTCCTATGCCATTCCCAAGGAAGGATGAGACTCCCATGACACTGGGGTCCTTGAATTCTACCTACTGGATATACTGTTGTTGGTGAGAACTGCAAGTTACCTCCACATACCTGTGGTTGGCAATAATGGTCTTCAGTAATTTCCTATGTCTAATGCCCATATCCTTTTGTTCCTTCAAAGCTCACACAAATGGGATATTTCTTTTTAGGGAGATTAACATCCCAAAAGGTTAAGTCAGTGATTCTCAAAGTTTGATGTGTATCAGTATCACCTGAGGCACTATTAAACAACACTGAAGACCAGGCTTTTTGAAATTTGGATAGGGTGTGGGCATGCATAGATCTATCAAGTTCTCCAGGTGATTCTGATACCCAACAGAGTTTGAGATCCACAGGGTTAAGATAAATTTAAGGTAAGAAAATAAATTAGTGACAGATTTTGAATAAGCGTGTAGTTTCTTCAGACTCCAATATTTTACACAACCTCAGAGTAAATTTTCATTATCATTCAAAAAGTCATCCATTGTTTTGAGGTCTACTGAGTGACGCCTTAAAAGTCAGGTGTTAATTAGATATTATCTTGTAGATTGCAGGTATGGATGTAAATAAGTATTTACTCAGATTGCAGGTATGGATGTAAATAAGTATTTACTCAAAAAGCCTGTTGTCACTTGGAAAACAGTGTGGAGATTCCTTAAAGAACTAAAAGTGGGTCTACCGTTTGATCCACCAATCCTACTACTAGGTATCTACCCAGAGGAAAAGAAGTCATTATATGAAAAAGACATTTGCACACACATGTTTATAACAGCACAAATTGCAATTGCAAAAATATGGAACCAGCCCAAATGCCCATCAATCAACTCATGGATAAAGAAAATGTGATATATATGTATACACCATGGAATACTACTCAGACATAAAAAAGAATGAAATAATGACATTCATAGCAACCTGGATGCAAGTGGAGACTATTATTCTAAGTGAAGTAACTCAGGAATGGAAAACCAAACATCATACGTTTTCACTCATGTGTGGGAGCTGGGCTATGAGGATGCAAAGGCATAAGAATGATACATTGGACTTTGGGGACTTCAGAAAGGGTCAGGGTGATGAGGGATAAAAGACTACACATTGGGTACAGTGTACACTGCTCAGGTGGTGGGTGCACCAAAATCTCAGAAATCACCACTGAAGAACTTATTCATGAAACCAAACACCACATGTTCCCCAAAAACCTATTGAAATAAATAAAAAATTAAAAATAAAAGCCTGTTGTTCTGAGCATTATCTGGGACACAATGCACACAGTAGTAGAAGTAATATTTTTTTTTAAAAAACGAGCATTCTAGAAACGATCATATCTTGTTATTCATATAAATTATGAACCGTTTACTCTTTAATGAATCCCAGCTAACATCTGGCTTTCAATACTTCACATTCTAGACATCAACACAATTAATCAATTTAATTAGTTATGGTGAATTAAAAATAAGTAGAACAAAATAAAATAATAACTAGATAGGGACATGTGAACTGCATTGGCTTGTGTGTCTCAAGGGAGTTTAGGCTTGAATGATTAGGTTTGCATTCGATGACCATCATTCTGATGGCTTTGATTGACACAACACTGATCCAAAGTGTTCTTTTGCAAAAGAGAAACAAACATAAATCGCATTAACATAACTACTTACATCCTATCTCTGGATATTTCATTAAAGATGATAGAAAATAAATCTGTCCATCAAAGAAGGGAGAATTAGATTAAAATATTCAAGTATTTCAGGACACAAGAGCGAGCTGATACCTTAGAAAAGAGCTAAAGCAAAGGAAATAGGATTATGACAAAGTGGTCAGAAGGGGTAAGCTGCGTAGGCTGGGATTTCATGGCACTCATTGCAAGAGTTTAGCTTGCATTAAAAGGCCATTAATATTAGGTACTGAGACTGACTGCAAACCATATTCTGCATTAGGGGTGTGTGTATAAAACGTGCTTTGTAAACCCAGAGAGTGTGTAGAATTATCATTGTGTAGCATCAGACTATTAGGTATGAAGCCTCAAATTTCCATTTTAATTTTTTTACTTCAACCCATAAGGTTTAGCCTTGCTGAATTCTCAGACTATGTACGCCTCAACTGATTTTTTTTTAGAATCGTGCAGGACAGGAGAATAATGTTTGGTTGAGCATTTACTATGAGCCAGGAACTGAGCTAGACACTTTATCTTCACAAACATCCAGGGAATATATACTGCTTAACTGACAAGGAACCTAAAATTAAGAGAAGCACTTCACCTGCTCCTCTTTGCCTTTTGTGCTATTAACCGATATGTTCTCCTTATCGCCCTTAGTTTGATGAGTAGTAATTGACCTATTAATAGCTATTGTTTTATTTGTGCTTTGAAAGTTCTTTAGAAATTGTACTTACTACCTCATTTAATTTTCCTGTTACTCATTTATATTCATAACAAGTCTCCTTGCTTTTGCTCTCAGCCACTTATAATCTATTTTCCACAGAGCAGCCAGAGTGAGCATTTAAAAGTATAAATAAGAGTGTATTTCTCTGGTTCTTAAAATAATCTGATGACTTCCCACCAATATTAGAATAAAATCTTCAGGCCTTACAGTGGCCTCAAGGCCCCACTGAGCCTCCCTCTGGCTGAGCTCCTCACCCATGGCTCTGCCCCCTTCTCTCTATCCTCCAGCCACATGGGCTGCCTCTAACATAGGAAGCCCATTCCCACAGCAGCATCTTGCAGAAGCTCTTTCCTATGCTGCAGTGCCCCTGTCCAAATCCTTATATCACCAGCTCCCTGTCATTGAGGTTTGAGGGAGGCCTTTCCTGACCAGCTCTCCAACCATTTTCTCTCTATCATCTTACTTTAGGTTCTTCATCATACTTGTCACCAATGGGAACTGTTTTGTCTGTCCTCACTGGAAATGTAAGCATGACAGAAATAGGGATGAGCACTGTTGTGGTCATTACTGTGTCTCTAGCACTTGCAAAAGAGCCTTATGAATAACAGGTGCTTGGCAAAATTTGTATGGGGGTGGGGAATGTGGACAGAATTATCATCCCTGTTTTACATGTGTGGAAACTGAATTTAGAAAGTGATGTGGATGTACATGATGGAACTGGACTCAAACCCAGGTCTTCTGACTCTAAAACCTGACCTGACCTTCTATAGTTCAGTTAAAGTTGCTTCTGGTTGCCAAGGACTGTAAACTTTGACCTAGTCCAGAAGCCATTTGAAGGAATGGCTCATCCCTTATATTTCTTGGTAGCCTCGTGAGAGGTGGTCATTAGAGAGGCCAAAAAAATAAAAATAAAAATAAAAAAAGTTGCTTCTGGAACTTTAGAGATGTGGGTTTTCTGTAAAATGGGAATATACTATTGTTTTGATGACCAAATAGGTTTATATATAAAAAGGTCTTAGAACAGTGTCCTGCACATTGTAAGCATGCACTAATTGTAAGTTCTTCACTTATGCATCCACATGACCTCTCTTCCCTTGCCTTACTCTCCAAACTCTTCTCCTCTAAACATGATTTTTAAAGAGCATTCCCCCCACCCCAAAAAAAAGAATTTCATAAATGACTCCATACCACTATATTAATGGCTAAGAACCTGGGATGAGTCACCTCACAGCAGAAGTTGTGTTTTAAAGAGGATGCCTGGAAAGCATTGGGCCATGGCCCAAGGAATGTATCTCTAAAATTGGATTCCTAGATTCTGTGCAAGGCAAATGGGAGAAGAATTTTGGTGAAGTGAGCATTTCCTGTTAGGTTTGCCTGACCATCATTTTATCTGGCTTGATTAGCTTGGTAGCTCAAATAACATAACAATGAAGACACACATTTGATCCTTACTCAACCTTCAAGGTCTAGTTCATCATTTAAGCTTTCTTGAAGCAATCCATCCACCCTCCAAACTTCCATCCCACTTTCCATGTATCTCTCTCCTCCATGTGCTACCTTCTACCTTGTGATATATCCATTTACATACATGTATATAATTTTCTTAACACTCATAGTGGCTAGCACAACATCTGAAGTAATATTTATTGTCCTCTCATAACTTTGCAAAGAGAAAACTATTTCCTAGGCACATAATCCAGTAACTTTGCAAACACAAAACTATTTCCTAGGGACATAATTCATGCCCAGTTTCTTATCCAAAAGCCACTGGTCTGCTAGGAGGACTCATCATTACAAGCAATTCAATATGGACTACCAATAGGATTGTTCTCCCAGAAGTGCTGGTGAAAATGAAACCTATTTTGCTTTTCAGAGGCAGGAAAAGATAGTGGGTAAGAATATGGGCTCTGCTTGCCAAGGTTCAAATTCTGACTCTGCCATATATTAGCTGTGGTTTGGGGCAAATTGCTCTACCTCTTTGAATCTCTCTCCTGAATTATCCATAATATTTGTCTATGTCTCTTCTATAAGGCAAGAACTTACCATGTCCTCCTTGTATCATGTAAATGGTACATGCGCCCTTTTCCCTCTTATTGGACTCTAATCAATGTATCCATCTCTTAATCTCCACAGGTCTAAGCACAATGCTATAACATGATGGGACCTCAATAAATATTATTTGGAAATAATTGAACATAATAAGAACAGATCAAAATACCCCGAAACTGAACAGAGCACATACAGGTTTTTATTCATTTAGGAATTTCTATTTACTGAGCAATAATGTGCTCTATGCAAGGCAGAGTCAGCCATAACTGGTTAGCATCAAAGTTCTGCAACAAAAGGCAGCTCAGCCATCAACAGATACTGTAGCATAGCCTTAGACAAGCTCTGTGAGCAGGGAAGACAGAAAGGGCAGCTAGATGGCTTTATTCTTCCTTGTCCTCAGGCTGTGTAAACCAACCGTGTTTTTACTTTGGCATTTGTATCGGATGCCGGAGCTGGTATCTCAAGGCCATCTTTCTAAGACCTCTGAAACACTGACTTAATCGGTTAGTCCACTAACATCTGGGATGGGGTGAGCTGGTCACCAGAGGGCAGGCTCCTGGCTTGTGTTTCCCAGTGCCTTTGAATCTACCCAGGTGGCTTTGCCTGGCCTGGGAACTTTTAACAGTAGCCTGAAGCTGCAGTGCCTGCTCGCTTCCATTTATGTAGGTCTCTGCAGGAACTCTGCCCCAGCTGATGCCATGAGACTTGTAAATTTGGAATATTCGGACAAGGGAGGAGAGACATCTCCAAAATAGTGAAAAGTTAAATTGTTGGCTGTTTCTAAAGGAAATCTGCTATTACTACATTCAAGAATTGCTATGGAAGCGTTATAGGTTATAGGACCTCACAGTGTTGGTGTGAAAGTACTTCACAATGTTGATGTGAAGAATACATGAGCCAACACATGGACAAGGTCTAGCCTTGTGCAGAAATACAGTAAGTGTTCAAAGTGTCTCCCCCCGCCCCCCCCCCCCCCTTTTTTTTTTAACTACTAGTAATTACAGAGACCAAATCCACAATTCTCAACTGGTGGGAAGGAGCCTGTAGGATCTATTCTCATGCTTCCCCTTTCTCTCAATTTACACGAACATTCTGGACTCTCCCAGCTCAGTTTCAGTCCTATCCACACAGCTTTCCCTTACTATTCCAGTCTGTGGTGAGTTCTTTTTCCTTTAAAATACATTTCTTATTTATTCTAAGCTCATGCAATCATGATCATTTCTGAGCTCTTGTTGGTGTATGTTAGTGTTCCCAAAATGAAGACTTAGATAGCTCTTGAGACTGTGAACAGATCCTACTTTGGTATTCTCAACAATTTAAGCCTGCAAAATGGAGTGAAATATTCTGGTCATTGTTAGACTCATGGAGGCATGGGTCATAGCTGGGGAGGGTGTGTCTTCCTGGCCACTGGCTCCTAAGGGAATTGAGGATAGAGTGGATGAGAAAGGGAGGGAACCATATTCATTATTTTGTACAAGGTAGCTGAAGGGCATAATCATAATAATGTTAGTGATAGCTCAGATTTATGGAGCATTTATTTAAGTCAGGCTACATAGACTAGGCTCCATAAATTAAAATTACTACCAACTGAACACCTACTACATGCCAGATAGCATCCGAAAGTACTTTTCATACATTATTTTATCTAACTCAGATAATGTGTTTTGATATCCCTAATCAGGGTGCACTCATCTCAAGAAGAACTCTGCTGCTTCACTCCTGAGACTTGATCAATACGGTCTGCTGAGGCCCATGTTCAACTTTTGTCCGGTTACATAAACTATGCCTTCAGAATATCTTCTTTTAGGCAAAGTCTTGCAAAATTAGCCTCTTTGTTCAAGTACGCTGCCTTTCATTGCTAAATGGTTTTGTCTTTCTTTTACTGAGCACCTGCCTATTAATTTTCTCTCTTGTTGAGACTGGGCTTTTCTGTCCCCGTGTGCAAGTGAATTTAAGTTTGCTATCACAGAGTGCTTCTCCTATTTCATTGGTGGGGATTATCAGTCCATTAAGTGGGTGAGATTTGGGAGCTGTTAGGAGATAAACAAATCTTTTCCTTATCTGGCTGCTCCCACTTCTCTGGTTTTCCTGTATATTCCATTAGGCAATCACTATCCTAATGAAAAACAATCATCATGACTGCAGAAACCTGAAATAATTACTCTGAAACTAAAAAGTACAATGATTGATAATCTTTTGATAAATGAAAACCATTAAAACAATTTTAAAGTTTGTGTTTATAACATTTATAGAGGATGCTTATTAATCTGAAGTGCAGCCTGAAACAAAACTAAAAAGCAAAACAAAACAACGTGTGTTCAAAGACCATGGTGTAAATGTCATTTGGCTGCATGAAAACATGGCGGTGACCAGGTTCATAGGCAACATCTTACAATTATTTAACCACATAGGAACAAGCTGACTGCTGAACACTGACCAGAGGCCCTGAGCACTGGGAAAATACTTTCCGGAGGACACAATGGAATCCTCCCCCAGGAATGGTCATTTGATTTTCCATAATTCATACCGGATTTAATCAGAGAGTCCTTAGGTTGGATGACTCAAACTTTGAGGTAATTACTCTAAAGGCCACAGAGATTCCATTTAGGATATTAGAAAAGCTACAGTGGTTGCAGAAACATTCATATTAACGAGCCACAAATGCACATAAAAGGGAACAGATGTTTACTGCTAGGATTAGGTTTATCCTGTGCAAAAGTTCAGAGCATAATGTTTATTCTTGATGCCAGTCTGAACCCACATTTTTCAAAAAAACCCAAGATATCTTTATGAGACTCGCCCCATTTTATGCTCCCAAACATGAAATACCCCTTTTCAGGGTAGAAAATACACGTGAATCTTTTCTGACTTTGGAAACTAGGACTAGGGTATGATTTGTGGACAAAAATCAAAACTTAAGATTTATAATTTCTCAAATAAAAGACAAAATATGACTTGGGTAATTAGATCAATGGTATACATCACCCTGTAAAAATCTCAGTACTTGGCAGCAAAACACCCATATTCTTTCAACAGATTACTCTCAGGGATTAACAAAATCCACACAAATATATGCTAGTGTTAGCAGAGTAACATATAGGTCCTCCTCTGGGTTTTCATAGAATCTCACTACAATTTCCCACTTTGTTTGGTACCCAGGTGAGACTAATTTTCAATTTTTATGTGTAAAAAAATAAATAGGATCAAGATCATGGCAGATAGTTTTTAGGGAAGAGACATTTCAATCTGGAAAAGTTTGGTTTTTTCTTTGGTTCAGGAATAGAAGCACTGCCACAGCATGCACAGCTATCTTCTTGGTTATAATAGCAGGTGAGGTTTTTACACTGGTGAGATCTCCTTGAGAGCAGGCGCTTTTGGGATATTTTCAGGTCCACAGAATACTTTTAAATACACCAAAAACATATTTTATGAAATGGGCCTTAGTGGTATGACTTAAGTACCTGCAGGGTATGTAATGCTCCCCTAGGAGGGTCTATTTTAGCACCTGTATCTCACTGATACAGTCCCAACAGTAAAGAGGGGAGAATTAAATTGTCTTCTACGTGCCTGTCTTGTGGAAGATAATTTAGAACTGCAGATGGGTCAAATTGCTTGGTGTAATCTATTCTATGATTTTTTTTTTTTAAGTTTAGGAAAATGAAGAGAAGCAGGTAGGGTTTTGACTGTCTTTTCCATATCTTCCTGTTATTTTTCCCCTGAAACATTTCAATTTCTTAAATTAGAGTTGGCGAGGTTGGGGCTGGAGAGGGGGTCTGGCAGTGAGTTCCTGTAGGCCTGCTTGATCTCTACTGCTTGATCTCTACTTGGGTCAGGTGTGCCCCCTGCCTCCTCCATGCTCAAATGGCTTGTGAATATCTACGGCCCTGTTACTCAAAGTGCAGTCTAAGGACCTGCAGCATCAGCATCTCCTGGGAATTTGTTAGAAATGTGGGATTTCTGCCTCCAGAACAGGTGAATCACAATCTGCATTTTAACAAGATCCCCATGTGACTCACATGCACATTAATGTTTGAGACATTCTGTTCTAGGGGCACAGTCTCCATATAAAGTAGACAGAATTTGTTAAACATGTGGTTACCCAAGTGAAATGTTGGTGGGATTTAACATATACCACATAGTGATAAGAGCCATGATTTTCCTATTCAGAAATCAGAGGGGAAAGTAGTAGTTGATGAATTGTAGGTTAGGGAAATTATACATGCAGAAATTAAAAGACAGTGTATTTGATGTCTTTATTTCCTAAGTGGTTAGTTTGGTAAATTTGGTTCATAAAATGGAAAAATCCAAACACCAAGATTTCAGATTATACTTCCATTTTTTTTTGTCGGTTTCTCCTCTAAAGACAGCCAACAAAATAATAAAAGCAATAGCTAACATTTTATTTATGCTTACTATATGTTAGGCACTCATTTTGATCAGTTTTCATTTAATTTTCATGATAACTCTATGAAGTAGACTGTTATTCTCATTTTTTGTATGAGGAACCTGGAGCACAGAGAGGTTAAACAACTTGCCCAAGATCACACAGTGGATAAATGACAAAATCAGAATCCAGGCCCAAGTAGGATTAGCTGAGCATGCGACACCCTTTATGGGAAGTCAACACTGGAGGGCTTAGATGATCATCTCAGGCAAACAAAAACAAAAACTAAATTCCATGGGCTGAAATATGGCTCAGAGAGGTCACATTCTTGCTCAAAGTGACTGAGATGGAGGAAGAGCTGGGATGAGTCTTGTGATTCTTCATCCCATAATCTTTTAATTGAAAACATACGTTTTTGGTATACAACAAAAATTCATTGCTCAATCTCAATGCTGTTTCAAATTCTGATATTTGAACCCTACACCTCAAATACTAAGAGCTGTTTTTGTAATTAAGACTCCTTTTTTTCATCTAGTAAATTAACCAAACAAGAGACAGCTGTGCAAGGAAGCATTCTGTTTCCCATACTGGTTGCTGATGATGATTTTTAAAAAGGTTAGTATTTATGACCGGCTCTGCCTCCAAACGGCCAAACTTAAAAAGATGGCAAAAACAAAGCAACCAAGGTCATGAAGAATCAATTTGTTTCTTAGCTGCCATCTAGAAGGTTAAAAAGCTGCCAAATCATTTAGAACTGACAAAAGGATAATTTTGAGTTTATGATACTGAGCGTCAATGCCTATAGAGGGCCTACTATGTGCCATTTCATTTACTGTTTCATTTACTCACTACAACAACATTGTGGAGGAGATGCTGTGATTAGCCCCATTTTACAGATGAGAAAACCTTGGCTGAGAGAGCAAAAGATGTTACCCAAACTTACAGATAGTAAATAGGTAGCTACTTTCATAACACCTTTGCTATCTTCTACAGGTGAGGCAATTGGAGCCCACAGAGATAAAGCATTTGTCACAGTCACAAAAGTAATTTAAGGGGAAGTGCTGCACTTGGAATCTTCCTCAGGATGGGTCAACTGGCCTGATGGCAAATGGGAACTCTTGTAATTACTATGGGCCATTTCGGCAGGACTATTGCTTTGAGAGAGGTTCATCTATTTCCTTAGCAAAAACCACTTCAAGAAGCAAAATCTCTCCTGGAAAATGAATGGAGGAAAGGGCATTTTTCTTTAGAAGCCCAGCCGGGCGCAGTGGCTCATGCCTGGAATCCCAGCACTTTGGGAGGCTGCAGTGGGTGGCTCTCTTGAGCTCAGGAGTCCAAAACCAACCTGGGCAACATGGCAAAACCCCATCTCTACCAAAAATACAAAAAATTAGCTGGGTGTGGTGGCACACACCTGTGGTCCCAGCCACTTAGGAGGCTGAGGTGGGAGGATTGCTTGAGCCTGGGAGGTGGAGGTTGCAGTGAGTCACTGCACTCCAGCTTGGGTGACACAGTGGGACCTTGTCTCAAAATTTTAAAAAAGCATATAAAGGACATTATGTCTAAATGAATAGGGTTGTCTCATTTCACCCATGGAGCAATAGTGTCTGAACACTGATGTTTGGGAAGTTGAGAGACATAAGTTTTGGGGCGGTTCTCAGATGGCTGAATAGGAACAGCTCCAGTCTACAGCTCCCAGCATGAGCGACGCAGAAGATGGGTGATTTCTGCATTTCCAACTGAGGTACCAGGTTCATCTCACTGGGGCTTTTCGGACAGTGGGTGCAGGAGAGTGGGTGCAGCCCACTGAGTGTGAGCCGAAGCAGGGCAAGGCATCACCTCACCCGGGAAGCACAGGGGGTCAGGGAATTCCGTTTCTTAGCCAAGGGAAGCTGTGACAGACGGCACCTGGAAAATCAGATCACTCCCACCCTAATACTGCACTTTTCCAATGGCCTTAGCAAACGGCACACCAGGAGATTATATCCCACGCCTGGCTTGGAGGGTCCCACGCCCACGGAGCCTTGCTCATTGCTAGCACAGCAGTCTGAGATCAAACTGCAAGGTGGCAGCAAGGCTGGGGGAGGGGCACCCGCCATTGCTGAGGCTTGAGTAGGTAAACAAAGCAGCCGGGAAGCTCGAACTGGGCGGAGCCCACCACAAGCTCAAGGAGGCCTGCCTGCCTCTGTAGACTCTACCTCTGGGGGCAGGGCATAGCTGAACAAAAGGCAGCAGAAACCTCTGCAGACTTAAATGTCCCTGACAGCTTTGAAGAGAGTAGTGGTTCTCCAAGCATGGAGTTTGATATCTGAAAACAGACAGACTGCCTCCTCAAGTGGGTCCCCGACCCCTGAGTAGCCTTACTGCGAGGCACCCCCCAGTAGGGGCAGACTGACACCTCACATGGCTGGGTAACCCTCTAAGACAAAGCTTCCAGAGGAATGATCAGGCAGCAACATTTGCTGTTCAGCAATATTTGCTGTTCTGCAGCCTTCACTGCTGATACCCAGGCAAACAGGGTCTAGAGTGGACCTCTAGCAAACTCCAACAGACCTTCAGCTGAGGGTCCTGACTGGTAGAAGGAAAACTAACAAACAGAAAGGACATCCACACCAAAAGCCCATCTGTACGTCACCATCATCAAAGACCAAAGGTAGATAAAACCACAAAGATGGGGAAAAAACAGAGCAGAAAAGCTGAAAATTCTAAATATCAGAGCTCCTCTCCCCCTCCAAAGGAACACAGCTCCTCACCAGCAATGGAACAAAGCTGGTTGGAGAATGACTCTGACAAGTTGAGAGAAGAAGGCTTCAGACAATCAAACTTCTCTGAGCTAAAGGAGGAAATTTGAACCCATCACAAAGAAGCTAAAAACCTTGAAAAAAGATTAGACGAATGGCTAACTACAATTACCAGTGTAGAGAAGTCCTTAAATGACCCGATGGAGCGGAAAACCATGGCGCAAGAACTACGTGACGAATTCACAAGCTTCAGTAGCCGATTCGATCAACTGGAAGAAAGGGTATCAGTGATTGAAGATCAAATGAATGAAATGAAGCAAGAAGAGAAGTTTAGAGAAAAAAGAGTAAAAAGAAACGAACAAAGCCTCCAGGAAATATGGGACTATATGAAAAGACCAAATCTACATCTGATTGGTGTACCTGAAAGTGATGGGGAGAATGGAACCAAGCTGGAAAACACTCTGCAGCATATTATCCAGGAGAACTTCCCCAACCTAGCAAGGCAGGCCAACATTCAGATTCAGGAAAGACAGACAACACCACAAAGATACTCCTTGAGAAGAGCAACTCCAAGACACATAATTGTCAGATTCACCAAAGTTGAAATGAAGGAAAAAATGTTAAGGGCAGCCAGAGAGAAAGGTCAGGTTACCCACAAAGGGAAGCCCATCAGACTAATAGCAGATCTCTCGGCAGAAACTCTACAAGCCAGAAGAGAGTGGGGGCCATTCAACATTCTTAAAGACAAGACTTTTCAACCCAGAATTTCATATCCAGCCAAACTAAGCTTCATAAGTGAAGGAGAAATAAAATCCTTTACAGAGAAGCAAATGCTGAGAGATTTTGTCACCACCAGGCCTGCCCTACAAGAGCTCCTGAAGGAAGCACTAAACATGGAAAGGAACAACCAGTAGCAGCCACTGCAAAAACATGCCAAATTGTAAAGACCATCGATGCTAGAAAGAAACTGCATCAACTAACGAGCAAAATAACCAGCTAACATCATAATGACAGGATCAAATTCACACATAACAATATTAACCTTAAATGTAAATGGGCTCATTGCTCCAATTAAAAGACACAGACTGGCAAATTGGATAAAGAGTCAAGACCCATCAGTGTGCTGTATTCAGGAAACCCATCTCATGTGCAGAGACACACATAGGCTCAAAGTAAAGGGATGGAGGAAGATCTACCAAGCAAATGGAAAACAAAAAAAGGCAGAGGTTGCAATCCTAGTCTCCAATAAAACAGACTTTAAACCAACAAAGATCAAAAGAGACAAAGAAGGCCATTACATAATGGTAAAGGGATCAATTCAACAAGAAGAGCTAACTATCCTAAATATATATGCACCTAATACAGGAGCACCCAGATTCACAAAGCAAGTCCTTAGTGACCTACAAAGAGACTTAGACTCCCACACAATAATAATGGGAGACTTTAACACCCCACCGTCAACATTAGACAGATCAACGAGACAGAAAGTTAACAAGGATATCCAGGAATTGAACTCACCTCTGCACCAAGCGGACCTAATAGACATCTACAGAACTGTCCACCCCAAATCAACAGAATATACATTCTTCTCAGCACCACATCACACTTATTCTAAAATTGACCACATAGTTGGAAGTAAAGCACTCCTCAGCAAATGTAAAAGAACAGAAATCACAACAAACTGTCTCTCAGACCACAGTGCAATCAAATTAGAACTCAGGATTAAGAAACTCACTCAAAACCGCTCAACTACATGGAAACTGAACAACCTGCTCCTGAATGACTACTGGGTACATAACAAAATGAAGGCAGTAATAAAGATGTTCTTTGAAACCAACGAGAACAAAGACACAACATACCAGAATCTCTGGGACACATTTAAAGCAGTGTGTAGAGGGAAATTTACAGCACTAAATGCCCACAAGAGAAAGCAGGAAAGATCTAAAATCGACACCCTAACATCACAATTAAAAGAACTAGGAGAAGCAAGAGCAGACACATTGAAAAGCTAGCAGAAGGCAAGAAATAACTAAGATCAGAGCAGAACTGAAGGAGATAGAGATACAAAAACCCTTCAAAAAATCAATGAATCCAGGAGCTGGTTTTTTGAAAAGATCAACAAAATTGATAGACTTCTAGCAAGACTAATAAGAAAAGAGAGAAGAATCAAATAGATGCAGTAAAAAATGATAAAGGGGATATCACCACCCATCCCACAGAAATACAAACTACCATCAGAGAATACTATAAAAACCTCTACACAAATAAACTAGAAAATCTAGAAGAAATGGATAAATTCCTGGACACATACACCCTCCCAAGACTAAACCAGGAAGTTGAATCCCTGAATAGACCAATAACAGGCTCTGAAATTGAGGCAATAATTAATAGCCTACCAACCAAAAAAAGTCCAGGACCAGACGGATTCACAGCCGAATTCTACCAGAGGTGCAAGGAAGAGCTGGTACCATTCCTTCTGAAACTATTCCAATCAATAGAAAAAGAGGGAATCCTCCCTAACTTATTTTATGAAGCCAGCATCATCCTGATACCAAAGCCTGGCCGAGACACAACAAAAAAAGAGAATTTTAGACCAATATCCCTGATGAACATTGATGCAAAAATCCTCAATAAAATACGGGCAAACTGAATCCAGCAGCGCATCAAAAAGCTTACCCACCATGATCAAGTGGGCTTCATCCCTGGGATGCAAGGCTGGTTCAACTTACGCAAATCAATAAACATAATCCAGCATATAAACAGAACCAATGACAAAAACCACATGATTATCTCAATAGATGCAGAAAAGGCCTTTGACAAAATTCAACAGCCCTTCATGCTAAAAACTCTCAATAAATTAGGTACTGATGGGACATATCTCAAAATAATAAGAGCTCAGACATCCAGGTGGGGGCGAGAGACATCATCATCTTGTCTCCTTCAGACTGAGCTCCAAGAAACCCATCACATTACCCAGCTGCACAGCCCCATTCCTCCCCATTTTTCCTTCCTATACCTCAATCATATAGTGCAGAAACCCCAAAGCCAGCAAAAGAGCCTACTCTTACTGTCAGAAACAGCTGCACTCTGCCAGCTATCTATGACAAACCCACAGCGAATATCATACTGAATGGGCAAAAACTGGAAGCATTCCCTTTGAAAACTGGCACAAGACAGCGATGCCCTCTCTCACCACTCCTATTCAACATAGTGTTGGAAGTTCTGGCCAGGGCAATCAGGCAGGAGAAAGAAATATATGGTATTCAATTAGGAAAAGAGGAAGTCAAATTGTCCCTGTTTGCAGATGACATGATTGTATATTTAGAAAACCCCATCGTCTCAGCCCAAAATCTCCTTAAGCTGATAAGCAACTTCAGCAAAGCCTCAGGACACAAAATCAATGTGCAAAAATCACAAGCATTCCTATACACCAATAACAGACAAACAGAGAGCCAAATCATGAGTGAACCTTAATTCACAATTGCTTCAATGAAAATAAAATACCTAGGAATCCAACTTACAAGGGATGTGAAGGACCTCTTCAGGGAGAACTACAAACCATTGCTCAACAAAAAAAAAAAGAGGACACAAACAAATGGAAGAACATTCCATGCTCATGGGTAGGAAGAATCAATATTGTGAAAATGGCCATACTGCCCAAGGTAATTTATAGATTCAATGCCATCCCCATCAAGCTACCAATGACTTTCTTCACAGAATTGGAAAAAACTACTTTAAAGTTCATATGGAACGAAAAAAGAGCCCGCATTGCCAAGACAATCCTAAGCCAAAAGAACAAAGCTGGAGGCATCACGCTACCTGGCTTCAAACTATACTACAAGGCTACAGTAACCAAAACAGCATGGTACTGGTACCAAAACAGAGATATAGACCAATGGAACAGAACAGAGCCCTCAGAAATAATACCACACATCTACAACCATCCGATCTTTGACAAACCTGACAAAAACAAGCAATGGGGAAAGGATTCCCTATTTAATAAATGGTGCTGGGAAAACTGGGTAGCCATATGTAGAAAGCTGAAACTGGATCCCTTCCTTACACCTTATACAAAAATTAATTCAAGATGGATTAAAGACGTAAATGTTAGACCTAAAACCATAAAAACCCTAGAAGAAAACCTAGGCAATGCCATTCGGGACATAGGCATGGGCAAGGACTTCATGTCTAAAACACCAAAAGCAACAAAAGCCAAAATTGACAAATGGGTTCTAATTAAACTAAAGAGCTTCTGCACAGCAAAGAAACTACCATCAGAGTGAACAGGCAACCTATGGAATGGTAGAAAATTTTTGCAATCTACGCATCTGACAAAGGGCTAATATCCAGAATCTACAAAGAACTCAAACTTACAAGAAAAAAACAACCCCATCAAAAAGTGGTTGAAGGATATGAACAGACTCTTCTCAAAAGAAGACATTTTTGCAGCCAACAGGCACATGAAAAAATGCTCATAATCACTGGCCATCAGAGAAATGCAAATCAAAACCACAATGAGATGCCATCTCACACCAGTTAGAATGGCGATCATTAAAAGGTCAGGAAACAACAGATGCTAGAGAGGATGTGGAGAAATAGGAACACTTTTACAGTGTTGGTGGGACTGTAAACTAGTTCAACCATTGTGGAAGACAGTGTGGCGATTCCTCAAGGATCTAGAACTATTTGACCCAGCCATCCCATTACTGGGTATATACCCAAAGGATTATAAATCATGCTGCTATAAAGACACATGCACACGTATGTTCATTGTGGCACTATTCACAATAGCAAAGACTTGGAACCAACCCAAATGTCCATCAATGATAGACTGGATTAAGAAAATGTGGCACATATACACCATGGTACACTATGCAGCCATAAAAAAGGATAAGTTCATGTCCTTTGTAGGGACATGGATGAAGCTGGAAACCATATTCTCAGCAAACTATCACAAAGACAAAAAACCAAACACCCCATGTTCTCACTCAAAGGTGGGAATTGAACAATGAGTACACTCGGACACAGGAAGAGGAACATCACACACCAGGGCCTGTCATAGGGTGGGCGGAGCGGGGAGGGATAGCATTAGGAGATATACCTAATGTAAATGACGTGTTAATGGGTGCAGCACACCAAGATGGCACATGTATACAAAATTAACAAACTGCACATTGTGCACATGTACCCTAGAACTTAAAATATTAAAAAAAAATGACATAATTTTTGGAAAAAAAATCACAGCTTAAGATACAAACATTTCTAGTAATGAAAGTCTGGCCTGAGATATTTTCTGACCAAATAGTAACCAAAATAAGAAAAAATATTGTGCTGTTAACAATTATTCTGTTTGTTCTGATACGTGTCTACAGATGACAGCTTCTGTGGAGAGAACAGAATTAACAAAACGGTGATGTCAAAATGCTCTCCAACCTAAATGTGGCATGTTTCTCTTGTATATTTTCATTGTTATATTCACTTAGGACAATGTGGCAAGTTCAGGGGACGGTGCTGCAAAATGGTCCATGCTTACTACACCAAGGAGAATTGGCAATTTGCTTCCTGGGAGGCCCTATCTACAACTGCCTCAATTCTCAGGACACATTTACCTAGAAAGTTGAAAAGATGGGGAGGGTGGGAGGAAACTGCCAAAGTGAGGAAACTGCTCTGGAAGAAAAATTCCATACCTGCATGTTCCCTTCATGTGAAGATTATTTGTTCGATCCAAATAATTGGATCCCTGGCTGGGGAGATCCCCGGCTGGTGGATCTCACCCAGGTTGGTTTATTTGTTTGTTTTTTTTTTTTGCTTCTGTGGGGCATAGCTGGCAATATCTGGAGACATTTTTTGGTGGTCACAACTTGGAGTGTGTGTGTTACTGGCATCTAGTGGGTACACGCCAGGGATGTTGCTCAACATCTTAGACTGCACACGACAGCCCCCACAACAAAGAATTATCTGTCCCCAAATGTCAACAGTGCTGAGACTGAGAAACTGTGAGGTTAGTGAGTTTCCAATGCTTCTGATTCAAAGCGTTCATCCTCTGACGCTGGGCTACCTGGCACTGGAGTTCCTAATTTACACCTGTTATCTCCTTTCTACCAGTCAGCATGACTGATTCCCGGAGGGAATGTCTGGTTGACAGTAAGTAAGGTATGAATGACTGACAGGTGTAGTGCTAGCAGAAACCTATTTTAAATGGTCACTAATTGAGTGGAAAGTCAGCTTCAATCAATGGAGTTTTTGGGAGGGTTCCATAGTAATGTGGACATTTGTTTTTGGAAGATATAAAAGATGGTGGGGCCAAGTGCGGTGGCTCATGCCTGTAATGCTAGCACTTTGGGAGGCTGAAGCGGGTGGAATACCTGAGGTCAGGAGTTCGAGACCAGCCTGGCCAATATAGTGAAACCCTGTCTCTACTAAAAATACAAAAATTAGCCAGGTGTGGCGGTAGGTTGCCTGTAGTCCTGGCTACTTGGGAGGCTGAGGCCGGAGAATCACTTGAACCTGGGAGGCAGAGGGTGCAGTAAGCTAAGATCGCGCCACTGCACTCCAGCCTGGGCAACAGCAAGACTCCATCTCAAAAAAAAAAAAAAAAGATGGTGGGATTTATAAAGCACTATTCCCTTTTAAAAGTCATAATACACATAAGTATATTTGTGATGTGGTGCTTGTGATATATAATCATGAATGCTTTTTTCTTACAAGCAATGATTTGCACCTGGTATTGATCACAATTGCTTTCCAGCAAGGGGAGAAACAGTACAGGAAACTTCCTGTTCCCTCAACAAACCTTACTTTCATTTCCCTTCATTGCTAATATTGACTGGTGGGCTTTGATATGATACAGCCGATTTGTTAGGTATTCAAAATGTCCTGTCACCGTAAACCTCAGGCTGTCTTCTCTCTGGACTGCCGTGGACCTATATTTGGATGGCACACTGTGTAGGCTTTTATCTTAAGCAAGTGAAGCAGACACAGCTTGAAAAAATAATGAGCAGTGGGGATGCACTGCAGAGATGTCTTCTAAAATGAGAAGGCTTAGAAACTGAAGATTGTATTCTTTTTGCCAGCTTATGATGGTGCCAAACCAAAGTGATCCTACCTTGGCTAAGCCACACTGGAGTGACTTCATGAAGTCTTTATCTTGTTCTTCAGACTCTTTGTTTTTCCGACCCTCATCTAGGGACATGTATGCTAAGATGATGTGCAGCAATATTTCATGCCCAGTTTCAGAGGCAAATTAACCAGATCAATTGGTCCTAGTTCAATGGGCTCTGAGTAATAAAATGCAGACAATATTTGCAGGCTAAAAAGGACCTTATTACCACACCAGTTCAACTTTATTTATAGAAAAGGAAATTGAGGCTGGGCACGGTGGTTCACGCCTGTAATCCCAGCACTTTGGGAGGCTGAGGCAGGCGGATCACCTGAGGTCAGGAGTTAGAGACCAGCCTGGCCAACATGGTGAAACCCTGTCTCTACTGAAAATACAAAAATTGGCCAGGCATGGTGGCTTATGCCTGTAATCCCAGCACTTTGGGAGGCCGAGGTGGGTGGATCACGAAGTCAGGAGTTCGAGACCAGCCTGGTCAACATAATGAAACCCCATCTCTACTAAAAATACAAAAAATTAGCTAGGCTTGGTGGCAGGTGCCTGCAATCCTAGCTACTTGGGAGGCTGAGGCAGAAGAATCGCTTGAACCTGGGAGGCGGAGGTTGTAGGGAGCCGAGATCGCTCCCTTGCACTCCAGCCTGGGTGACAGAGCTAGACTCCGTCTCAAAACAACAAAATAAAACAAAAAACGAAACGAAAATTAGCCAGGCATGGTGGCGGGCACCTGTAATCCCAGCTACTCCGGAGGCTGAGGAAAATCACTTGAACTTGGGAGGTGGAGGTTGCAGTGAGCTGAGATCGCACCATTGCACTCCAGCCTGGGTGACAAAGAACGACTCCGTCTCAAAAAAAAAAAAAAAAAAAAAGAAAGAAAAGAGAATTGAGACCCATGAAGGTGATATGGTTTGATCCAGGCCACTTGGAGAGTTACAGGCAAAACCAAGCCTTGATCCCCCGCTATTATGCTGACACAGAACACAACCGTCCATCAGCTGCTTTCCAGATAGTACAGGGAGTGCTGAGACAGCCTGGGAGAAAGCTGGGTGAAGGTAAATAGCCCTCATCTAGATGAAGCGACCTCCTCATTTCAGTTACTGGATTCCTCTGTCTTCTGTATCTAATTTGTCCTCAAGATTAAGGCAGCAGCTGACTATTTAGGATTAAATAATATTGAGCCAAAACATTCAGATGATTCCTTCTGCCAAGATAACTGGCAGACGTTCTAAACCAGTGTGCCCCTGGGGAGTGGCAAACAATGCCATTCTTTAAGCGGAGTGAGCAACTCTGGCGATACGGTATGACATGAACAATGGGAGTGGAGAACAGCAGCAAAAAACTGTAAGGGTGCCAAGTAGACCAGACCCTTAAATGGCAAGAGTTTCTGAGAGAGAGAAGAGAAGAACAGAGAAAACTGATTAGGAAGTGTGTTTGGTGAAATTATCACTGGACTGGGCCAAGCTGTCCCAGGTCCAGGAGCCTCATACTGTAGCCAGTTTAGGTTTTGTCCTCTTGGCCAGTGCATGTGGTGTTCAAAAGCCTTTATTTAGTTGATTTGTGGCACATGGAAAATTCTTGAGAAGGGATGGGGCTTGACAGGGTCAGGAAGCAAAGCACATTCTTAATCTTGGAAAGTTGGAATCTTACCCAGGACTCTATTAATTAAACATGCCATGGACTGTGTACTTTGGAAGGAGAGGAAACTTATCATGGATAGAACTGTCCCTGCCTGAAACAGAGAGAAGGCTAATCCCAGCCCTGGTCAATATTTCCAGTTCTCCTAAGACAAGAGGGTAGAGAAGAACCACATATAGAAGGATCTTCAGAAAAATCCTTATCTGGAAAGGAGACGACAATACAATCAGATGTATTGTGGAGGGAGGCCCTAGCAAAGGATCCAGGAGCTTTAGTCATAGACTTTCAGTGGTGTCTTCTGCACAAACATTCTAAAGGGATTTAAAAAATTAATGGGTAATTCTCAAGGATCAGGCCTGGAAAGTGCGACTAGAAGACTCATTTCTGAGCCAAACCTGTGACTCTTTAGTGTTTAGCTGTGGAATGGGTTGTTCAGGAAAACTGGATGGCATTTGGTTAATGGGGAATGTGAAATGTGTCCTCTAAGTTTGAAGCAAGATAACAAGACAGCTGCATTTGTTCCCATCACAGCTTTTCTGGCAAGGTTGGTGCATTTGGCCTGCAGATATGGTCACTGTGGGGGATCATGATGATGGCACCTGTCATTTATTATTAGAGGCTCACTACCTACCTTCTAGACATGATGCTATGCACATTCTGTTATTTCTTTTGACCCTCACATGAATACTGACATAAGTAATGATCATCTCCGTTTCACAGGTAAAGAAACTGAGTATTAAGAAAGGGAAAGCGACTTGCCCAAGGTCACAGCTGAAGAGGTAAAGCCACAATGGACTTGAGGTGGATGTGACAAAGCCTGTGCCTTTAGCTCTTCTGTGGCATTAGGGGTCAGCAATGCAGCTGTGGTTTAGGGCATATAAAATGGCTGGTGCAGGGCTAGCTGGAGTCAAGATGGTATGTACTTTGGTCTGAAGACCCATCATCCTCATTATGTGCCCCTTTTCTCCCCCAGACTATTCTGCATTTAAGGTAAAAAGATAAAAGAGAAGTAAAGAGAAATAAAACAGCTTCCTGGAAAGCATGAAGCAAGAGAGGAAAAAATAGGCAGGCTATCAAACAAAACAAATATAAAGGTCCTCTGCTCTATTTGGAAATCATAGGAAACAATAAAAGCTGAGAGACAAGAAGGAGTCAAAGAGCACCGAAGGTGCCGGTTTCCTCAGGCAAAAACCCTCACCAGTCTCTGAATCCCAAAGACCAAGGCTGCATCAGTGGCTGAGATGCCGACATGGTGTTATCCTCCTTCTCTTGGGGACCTTGCTTGCCCCTTCTGATCTGTCAGTGAGTAGGAGGGGCTGCTGCAAATTTACTGCCCTTCTGGTCCTCAGGAAGCCTGCAACCTGGCCTGCAACCAGAGATGGTCCTCACCATCTCTGAAGACCCTCCTCATCTCATTTGTAAAGGAGGCTTAGCAATGGAAAGGCCACCAGTCTTGAAGAGGGCTCTCCAATTTGATGTTTCTGTTTACTCTTGTTGGGACTGAACAAGTATTTGTTTGCAGCTCAAATCATTATGTTTTATGCCCTTGCAAATTAAACATCCTTCATAGACATAAATATTATCACCCCATCAAATCAATTTCAAACAACAGGAACAATGGAAACATTTGAAACGTTTTCCACTTGACCTATCCATCTTACAGATCCATCATTCACTAGTTTATTCTATCTAGAATTTCTAGGGATGAACATATCTTCACAGCTTAGCTATAGAGGGCAAAAAAGCAAGAGCACTAACATTTACTGAGTGCTTTCTCATGACAATAACTGTATATATATCATTTATTAATCTAGGCTCTGTGCCTTTAAAAAAAATCTCTGCCATTTCCCCAGAGTGTACCATAGGACTTGACATGTAGTAGGCTCTCAGTAAGTGTTTACTAAATGATTTAATTAATTCACACCACAACTCTAGGATGCTATCTGCCCCCATTTTACAAGGAGAAAATTGAGGCTTACGCAACTTGCTCCAAGTCACAAGGTTACTTAGTGGAAAACTGGGGATTTGAACCCAAGGACACATGACGCCAAAGTCTGTTTTCTTTCCATTACTCCATGCCAACTCCAACAGCAACCAGGAAAGGTGGGTAAAACAGACCATCCTACCCCTGTCTAGAGATGTTGGTAAAACCTGGAATAGGGTCAGAGGACTGAAACAGACACTTTTTAAACAAAAAGATGACTTCACTGTAAAGATCAAGCCCTTCCTGAACTGATCTCCATAACGTTATTAGGCATTTGTATAGCCCTTTATGACACAGACTCATTATCAAAATCTGCATACTCCTAACTTCCTGGGCACACAGCTAGACTGCATTTCCCAGCAACCTTGCAGTGAGACACGGCCATGTGACTGAGGTCTAGCCAATAGAATGAATGAAAGCATTGGGCACTATTTCCAGGTCTGGCCTGTGAAACACCTCTTATGTGTTTTGTTTCATTGTCTTTCTCTTGCCTCTGTTTAGTGGAGAAAATTCTGAAGTCCTAGAGGTAGATGGGGATGTAAGAAGGAAAGAACCTGGGTCCATAAATGACCTTGACAAGTGTCACCTGCCAACCAAGAACATGTGGTACTAGACTTAGCATGAGTTAGAAATAAAATTCTGTTGTACTAAGTCACTGAGATTTTGGGGTTCATTTATTGCAGTGGAGAGCATTATTTTGCTAATAGACGCTTTACAATTCCAAATAGCTTGGCTATCTTTTATATCATTCAATATTTTAAAAATCCAGTCAGAGTCAATGGATGCTTAAGGTGTGAGAAGTGTGAAGGCAAACAACTGAATCGTCTGGGTGATGCACTGCTGCAGGGCCACACATTTATTACTTCAAGTTAATGGGCTTTGTTTCTCCACCTGTAATTTCATGGCATTGAACTAGATGGTCTCTAAGATTCCTTCCAATGCTGAACTTCCATGAGTCAGATGTTAAAAATATGAATTGCTGGCTGGGCGCAGTGGCCAGTAATCCCAGCACTTTGGGAGGCCAAGGCAGCCAGATCACGAGGTCAGGAGATCGAGACCATCCTGGCTAACATGGTGAAACCCTGTCTCTACTCAAAAAAATACAAAAAATTAGCCGGGCGTGGTGGAGGGCACCTGTAGTCCCAGCTACTGGGGAGGCTGAGGCAGGAGAATGGCCTGAACCTGGGAGGCGGAGCTTGCAGTGAGCCGAGATTGTGCCACTGTACTCCAGCCTTGGTGACAGAGCGAGACTCCGCCTCAAAAAAAAAAATATATGAATTGCTGTGTTTAGAAACTGTGATCTCTTGACTATGAGCTTCTCAAAGGCAAGAACTCTTGCTCAGTCATGTTTATATGTTTAGTATGTAATATCTGAGATGCTCAAAAATGTTAAATTGTATTAGAATTTTCTGTTGAGAAACTTAAAGAATTTACGAATGTTCTGATTTATCCCAATAATTTCTTAATCTAATTTAGAGCATGGTGTTAAATGATTAAACTTCTCATGAATATTTTCATTATGCATTGCTGAGTTCGATGGGCTATTTTATATTCATTTACATAGAAATCTTTGAAGAATGATTTTATAATAATACTGAAAGACTTTTTTGATGAAAGGTAATGCCAGCAGTAATTGGTATTCTGATGGCTTCATTTATGGTTCCATAGTCCTTGTACCCCAGTTTTCTCAACCCTAAGTAGGAATTACACTCTTATAATATTAAAATAATAAATATTATAAGAATTATAAGATATTAATATAATATTTAATTAATATAAGAATGTAATCCTACTTAGAGTTGAGAAAATTGGGGTACAAGAATATTCAGAATTTTCTTTTTCAAATGTTTCTAACCTGAGGTCTATAAAAGCAGCGTCAGAGGAAACTATGAGCCATTTAAAAAGTTTGAAAAGGCCCAAGGGAAGTTGTACAATAATATGAGGCAGTCTGTGACACTTCCATGAAAAATGCCTTCAGATTTTTGAAAAAGATATAGAAATTTTTCTATACATCTGTATAGCGTGGGAACATTGATCATTTCATCCTGCTCATTGAAAACATCAGATTAGTAACCAAATATGTCTTTGATGATTAAAAACCAGTCAATGAATGCTATTACTTCATAAAAGTGGCTTGGCAGGTAAGATGTTTGAAAGCACGGGGTTCAAGGGACGTGTGTGTTGGGAGAAAATAAGAGGATCTTGGCAAAAAAAAAAAATGTTGAAAATCACAATTTGACACCAAGCAAGTAAAATGAAATTGAATTAAGGGAAGCCAGTGCTTTTAAACACATTTTATTGGCAGTAGTGGGAAGGTATGTTTCCCCTCCCATTTTCTGCTATGACTTCCTACATGATGTGATTGTATCATGCTAAGTCCTCCATCCTGCAGGACGCTAGGCATTCAGGAAAATACTGTGTGGTGTGGTCCCTTGCCTTGTCTGGCCTAGGAACTGATGCCTGTTAAAAAATTAAGCAACAATAATAATCATAGCAACAAATGTTTAAAGATGCTTATTTTATCAGGGATTGCAGAAAGGAAGAGATTGTATGAAAAACTATCTACTTCCTTTTGCCCGAATTGTTTGCTTCAAATCTTATGTTTAGATTACTGCTTCATTAAAAATATCTTTCCTGGCCGGGTGCTGTGGCTCACGCCTGTAGTCCCAGCACTTTGGGAGGCTGAGGCAGGTGGATCACGAGGTCAGGAGATCGAGACCATCCTGGCTAATACCGTGAAACCTCGTCTCTACTAAAAAATACAAAAAAACTAGCTGGGCATGGTGGCAGGCACCTGTAATCCCAGCTACTCGGGAGGTTGAGGCAGGAGAATGGCTTGAACCCAGGAGACGGAGCTTGCAGTGAGCCGAGATTGCGCCACTGCACTCCAGCCTGGGCGACAGAGTAAGACTCTGTCTCAAAAAAAAACAAAAAACAAAAAAAAATTTCCATAAAGAATAACAAATAAATTTTTTGTCTCTCTCTCTCTCTCTCTTTTTTTTTTTTTTTTTTTTAAAAAGAAAAGTCCTTAGCTGTACGGAAAATTCTTTTAGAAAATTCTAGCTAGGGTGCTAAATTTGTATGTGACACTAGTGAGAAGACATGAATTATGGGAATGGGCTAAGCAAAGCTATAGACATTTAAGGTTAGCTGCAAAACAAACTTCTTAAAAAAGTACAAACACTCATTTACATTTGTTTTTTTTTTCCATTGTAGGATCGTAATTCTGTTGGCTGTTTTCTCCACAGTAAATTAAGTTAGTGAGTATCTACTATGTGCCAGGTACTCCCTCATAATGGCTGTTGTATGTTGTGCCCCAGTGCTCCAGACTCTATGTTAAGTGATTTATATAAATCTTACATCCTCACCACAATCCTTTGAGAAAAGTTCAGCATTTTCAGCATTGGGATTTTTAAGATTTCCCCAAGTGAGTTAAACATGTAGATCAGGCTGAGAACAATAACCCTATGGGGACTGCTCACCAGAGTGCTATATTCTCTTCAGACCCCAAAATGGAAGTCCTCTCATTTATTTAAAAAAATTAAAAATAATAAGTATATAAATACCTCTTCCCATAACCAAAAGTACCACACATCTAAAGACAATACATTAAAGCAGCATAGAATAGCATTCTAAGCTCGGGCGTGGTGGCTCATGCCTGTAATTCCAGCACTTTGAGAAGCCGAGGTGGGCGGATTGCTTGAGCCCAGGAGTTTAAGACCAGCCTGGTCAACATGGTGAGACCCTGTCTCTGCAAAAAATAATAATAATAAAAACATTTAGCTGAGTGTGGTGGTGTGTGCCAGTGGTTCCAGCTACTCACAAGGCTAAGATGGGAGGATTAACTGAGTCTGGGAGGTCTCCTTGGGAGGAGGAGGTCACTGTCTCCATGGCAGTAAGCTGTGATCACACCACTGCCTGGGTGACAGAGTGTGAGACCCTGTCTCAAAAAACAAAAACAAAAAAATAGGATTTTAAACTCGATGCCTATCAAATCATTTGTGGGACAGAGAAACAAGTTTCCTCATGACTGTTCCATTACTTCAATGAAAAATGCTGGCCTTGGAGTGCAGGCCTGAAGGACTTTGTGATCATTTGAGCTGGAGAGTTTGCTGTTCTGATGAGCCATTTGGGTAAGTGAAGATGCTGATGTTCACTGGTCAAATGCATGGTTTCAGGAACCATGAGTTTGTCATTTGTGGGCAAAAGTAACAACAGACACCTACACAGTCCTCAGGAGTAGAGCATCACTAATTACATTTCAATTTGCCCACCCTAGGTCAGGTTAGGCCTAGATTAAAGGGTAATATTTTAGATTTTTTTGTAGGTACTCAGATGGCCAAACTAACATTTTCTGTGGAAAAAACAAAACCCTCTACATCAGTGATTCTCAAACTTCTGTGTGCATCAGAATCACCTGGAGAGCTAATTAGGCACAAGAAAAGCCAAGGCACTTGTCATTAGGTAAGATGGTTGGATAGAACTTTTTTCTTTTTAAGCTAAATTTCCCAGTGATTCTGATCCCACCACCAAGTTTGAGAACAACAGCTCTTTCCTTAACACCAGATGCGTAGCGGAATCACTTGAGGAGTTAAAAAAACAAAGCTACCAGAGGTTTCACCTTACACCAATTAATTGGAATCTCTAGGGGTGGGGCCCAGACACTGGTATTTTTTAACAGATCTCCAGCTGATGTGTAATAGGCAGCAGGGTTGAGAACCACTGTGTCCCACTGGGTTGTACTTTAGAATTACCTGGACAGTTTTAAAAGAATGCTGAGTCTTGGGCCCCCACCTGGAGATTACTATTAAACTGGTCTAGGATGGCATGGACATCAGGACTTTAAAAAGCTCCTAGAGTGGCCAGGTGTGGTGGCTCATGCCTGTAATCCCAGCACTTTGGGAGGCTAAGGGGGATGGATCAGCTGATCCCAGGAGTTTGAGACCAGCCTGGGCAACATGGCAAGACCCCATCTCTACAAAAAATACAAAAATTAGCTAGGTGTGGTGGTGAGTTCCTGTAGTCCCAGCTACTCGGGAGGCTGAGATGGGGGAATCACACGAGCCTGGAAGGTGGAGGTTGCAGTGAGCTGAGATCATTCCACCGCACTCCAGCCTGGGCCACAGAGTGAGACCCTGTCTCAAAAAGAAAGCTCCCAGAGGGATTCTAATATGCAGCCAAGTTTGAGCAGGACAAACTTAGGTCCTCTTTCAAAGAGAGGGATCAAATTTCTGGTCACCTGGCTGTCATTTTGGAAACTGAAGTTGTTCTAGAAGCAATTGTCCGAATCTCTAGGAGTTTTGAGGGAGGTTTTTGCTAATCTGACTAAATTTGCTGAGATTTTATTAATTTGGTCTCAGCTTACTAAAAAGGAGAAGAAAGAATGCTTAATACATCTTCCTTGGAAATGCAGCATGAAAAAGACAAAGAACTTCAGTCAAGGTTAAACAAAAGAAAAAAAAAAAAAGAAAGAAACATAATCACCATTTGAAGCCATTTAACCCACAGTTTCCCAGTCTTTGGGAACTGATGGTCCAAATACTGAACAGTCTGCTGTGGCGGCCCTGGGCAAGACACTTCACCACATTGGCTTCAGCCTGCTAATGTGTGAACCATGGCTTAGAGAAAATGACTCAGTTCAGTTACAGAACCAAGACAAGAAAGCATCTGCACTCTGCAGGCTTGGGGAACTGGCATTCCACACTAGTTTCCTTTTTACAACACAGCCAGATTCCAGAGCGAGAATGTCATCATAGCCAAGACTTGAAAGAAAAGCAAAGATGGATAAAACAAGCGCCTGGGACTTTTCAGATGGCAATGGTGGCAGGTGGTGGTGCCGTATAAAAATAACTCTTGGCTCATTGCAAACAAAATAACACCATATAGTCATTAGAAACCAAATTCTGGTTGGGAAAATTGTTTTCTTTTGAAGGGATTTGCACCTATATATGTGCAACTGCTGTGGACTTTAGTGGCATTTAGGAGACTAGAGAGGAAGATACATCCCCACATAACAGAACCTTGTTAAGTTATAGCTGTTATTTGTGACTGTTAGGAAAAAAGTTAGGTAGAGATGTGCTGGACAGCTCTTGGTTACAGCAGGGCTTGCAGGAGACTGAGATGAGTTTAGCAGAGTGGTGATGGTGGGGATAATGGGGATGATGATGTGGGAGGCAATGATCATAGTGGAGGTTGGTGTGATGATGATTGTGGTTGGGGTATGAGAAGAAGCCAGCTTTGTAAAGGGTGCCTTCTGTAAAGGGTGACTTCTAGGAAGAATACAGGGGTTGCTGAGAAAGAATTTTTTTTTCACTCTTCTGCTCCCACCTTCTACTCTCTATAAAGTCTTGTCCTTTTGACATTTCAACTTCCTGATTACCTAGCTGCTCAAATTTGGAAACTGAAGTTGTTCTAGAAGTAATTGTCTAAGAGTTGCTGGGAGATTTGAGGGAAGGTTTTCGCTAGTCTGTCTGGATTTGGTGAGATTTTGTTAATCTGGTCTCTTTCAGAAAGCTCCCTACTTTTCTGTAGTAAGTTTCTCTTCCAAGAGAAGCTCAGGAAGTTAAACAGGAGGGATGAAAGGAGGACAGAGACAGTCAGAGCACAAGAGGACCAGTCCTTCTTCATGTAGCCTATAGGGCATCTTTTACCCAGTCATACCACATGAAGAGTTACCGTTCTTTGTTTCATGAGGAAAAAAGGAGCATTTGCTCTTGTTTTAAAGAAAAAGGTGATGTATTAGCTGCACAGAAATTCTTCCTGGTGGTCTCTTGATTTGCCCCTTATTATGGCAGAAACTAGAGAAACTCGTGAACTGAGGTGCTGGTCTCCTCTCTTCCCTAGTCTGGATGGAAGCCATGGAGTGATTTTCATCCTCTTCTACCAATTTGTGTGTGACAGGAAAAAAAAGTAAGATGACAAATATTTATGGTTTTCCCTTCCTTTGCTTTCCAAGGTAAGTGAGGTCCCAAGGAAGATCTGTTTATTTTGCTGAGTGGGGTTTTAAAAGGAAATACATATCGAGGAAGTGGAGAGAAGAGGCTCACAGTCTTGAAGGTGGAGGTAGTAGTGGGGAGAAGAGGGAGGGGAGCGAAGGGTCCAGATTCCTGACTGCAGCGGGGAGGGGAGGCAGTGTGTACAGCCGACTCATCAGGGTTTTAGCCTCTGGGGAGAGAGGGAGAAGAGGATGTGAGGTTTCAGCAGTTCCTGTGAGGCATGGATCTGTGGGAGAGATGTCTGAGCATGAATTTAAAGACTTTCTGTGTGATGTGTGTAATAGCCTCCCTTCTGCCCTCAAGGAATTTGGGGGAAGACAGATGCTTCCTTTCTAGCCTACTTGCAGTGAGATTTTTATTTCTTTTAGAAGTGACAGCATGCAGAGGGAGGAGCAAAAAGGCCCCCATCACATTGTGTGGTTAAATACTGAAGAAATAAAATCAAAGCTTAGCCAACAGTAGAGCTAGCTATTTGGGCTATTTTTCTTTCTGCCAAACTATTCATGGCAGCATTCGTAATGTGTATAGATGGCTGTATGGAATCCAAGGCCAAGTTTTATTTTTGGTCACATCTGGGGAGACAGGAATTCAGGAGAAATTGCAATAAACCTCCAGATTTCCCTTCAGAATGGCTATGCCAGGAGCGTGTCCATCTATCTAAAGCCTCCCAGCTCTATGGCACTGTGGGAAGCGGAGCCGAGGGTCGTGTTGGCATTCTGCATCGTTGCTCTCCTTTGGCTTCTGTTATTACTTCATCTACACCTGTAATCAGTCCTAAGGCCTGGGGATTGACTGTCCTGAGTTTGGGAGAAGGGACAGAAGGACCTCCACCAATCAGGTTTGCCCCTCCCTTGCCTCAGAGGCTCACCACTTTGTGTGAGTGTTTGGTGCACAAAGGTAACAATGCAAGTGTTAAAGGTAAGTATGAGAGAGAAAAATCCTCAACCTTAAGCAAGTCATTCCTGCGTCTAATTAAAAAGAACTACATGTTGAAATAAAAGTGCTAACACATTCCAAAGAGCCCATTGAGGTCTGTCCCTCAGTACTCATCAGAAGATATTACTAAGCTTGACAACAAAGAAATAAATCATAAATGACACCTCAATAGAACTCATTCTATATAAATTAAAAGCTTTTGTATGACCAAAAATGCTATGGAACCATATTTACAATTTATTTGTAAATGGTTTGAAATAAAAATTAGATAGAGATGGAAAGAGAGAGAAAGAAGATTAAAGCAAATGTGATAAAATTAACATTTTAAGACTTAGGGTAAAGGATGGCTTGAAATTCTTTGTATTAATTTTACAACTTTCCTGTAAGTATAAAATTATTTCAAAGGAAGAAAAATTAAGGTTAAATATTGCCATAAACAAAAAGAAGAGATATGTACTAAATTGAGAAAAATATATATACTGTTTAAGATAGAAAATGAATTAATTCCCTAATATCTAAATCATTAAGAAAAAGACAAATACCACAATAGAAAAGTTAAACAAACAGGTTAAGTTATAAAAGGTGAAGTTTGAGTCACCAATCAATGTGTGTGTGGGGGGGGTATATAGTCAAATTTATAATCAATAAGAAAAATATAAAGTTTTGAAAGGCTTGATACAATTTTGCCTAATAAATTACCTCCTCAAAAACAAAGAAATAGGCTAACTATACCAAAAATTTCTACATTTGGAGGGTATATACTTAAATGGAGGCTGAACTGCTGTTGGATGTCTCAATTGGTCCAATAATCTGGCTAAAATGTGAAAACAGAAAAAGTTTTTAAAGCTGTTCAGTCCCTTTGACCCATCATTTCCTTTAACATAGTAGAGTTTATCCAGAGGGAAATTATCGGAAAGATGCAAAATTATGTACAAGGCAGTTCATTATATATTCATCATGTCAATATGTAATAAATATGTATTCATCGTATATTATTTATAACAATATTATGTTAATAGCCTAATAATCAGGGACTATATCACCATATGATGAATTACTAAGTAGCCATGAACAAATCCCTTTGAGGAAGCGTGTTTATTGACAGCAGGAAATGTTAACAATATGTACAGTGTTAACATTAGTTATTTTTGAATGGTGTCATTATTTTGCCATCAGTAACCTTTTGAAACCATGGAAAGCCATTCTACGTAGGTTGTAGGACATATGCACCACCGTGAATCTATTTCTGAAGGAAGAAATGGCCATTAAGAAGCAGCTGAAAAACCTAAGGGACACCTGAAGGTCCACCTTTGAAAAATGGCATGGGCTTCACAATAAAATGCCGAGTTTTCCCAACTTAAATGTTTTGTCTGACTCTGAAAAGCTTGTTCAGTAGGACAGTCTCAAAACACAAAATGCACTGCCTCAGTGTTCACTTTTTCTTTATACTCAACCATCAATGTATGTATGCCTTACTTTATGAACATGTGATTTATAAATATTCAAATTTGAGAAGTGGAAGGGGAACTAGGGATGAACTGCTTTCACTTTCTCATTATTAGATAAGGAATTCAAGATCTAGGGAGATGACGTGACTTGCTTAGTTAACTTAGCAAAAGGAGACTCTAGCTTTGATATTCAACATTTAGCATATTCGCATCTCAGCCTAAATTGCCCTATGCTGTTGATCATGGTTTTATCCAAAATAGAGCTCATATATCCATAACACATAAACAGGTTCTACAATTAATGAGAAAAAGACAAAAACTACAGTGGGCAAATGGACAATCACTATGAACAAGCAAGTTACAGATGCAGAAATGCGAGTGGTGAATAAACATGTAAAAAATGCTCAACCTCAGTTGTCATAAGGGAAATTTTTAAAAACCTGGGTTGTTCTCAGTTTTGCTTAACACATGAGCCCTCCCAAAGCAAGCTCACAGGAAACAGTACAAAGATCACATGGTGGGAAATTTTGGGGTAACATCTGAAAGCTCCTATCTATCTTGGCACGCATCCCTTCCCTGCTACAGAGGGATACTCAAGAATAATGCCTTGATAAAGAAAATACCTTCCCACAGTAGGGAAGCTAAACAAACAAGCAAGTCACAAAGAAGTCCAAGTTAATAACTGAATGGGGAATACATTATTCACATTAAAGGCATCATAATAGAGTGACTTTAAATTACTGGAGGCCCAGTTTCAATGAAAACGTCAAGTACTTTGCCAGCTTTATGCCATATCCTAATATCATACAGCCAGGTTCAGCGCAAACATAATGGGTCTTTGTTTTTGCCTCTTCCAGCACAGTTTGAATTCTTGGTTTCCTGTTCAGTCAAGGCCAAAAGCCTCTAACTTTGGTATTTAACATTTTAGCTACTCATATCTTGGAACAAATTTCCCTATGCTGAGGATCACGGTTTTATTAAAAATAGAGCTCATTATATTGTCATCAATGTCAGCAGAATTTCCCTCAGATTATCTAGGAAGTGATGCTTAATTCCAGACAGATAAAATATTGTATCAAGGTACTTTTTTACTTCCTTCTTTAAGAATTGTATTTTTTTTCTTGTTTCTGCTGAGGTTGGAAGGAATCGCATTTTTCAATGAATGATTTCATATAGTCCTAATTTCAAATTAGGTGGCGTAAAGCAGTGAGAAAATTTTGGCAAGACCTGACTCTACTGTAGCTTATATTAAGTAACCTCAAAAAATAAACAATTATTCATTCGAGTTAGTGCAAAGTACATAAATTTAATAAGCATTGCGGTTGAAAGAGCCTACAAAAAACATGCCTCATTTATCTGAAAATGCTGACCTGTTCTGTTTGAGGAAAATAGATTCCATATTAACTACTGATCATCTAAAAAATGATTTTCTTTTCATAAGGGTTTAATTGATTTCCTGTGTTGAATAGCAGTAATATTATCTATTATGCTTTTCAAAGGAAAAATATGCACATTTGGCCTTTGAAGTATGCTCCTAGAGCAAGCACTTAGTTCTGACAGCTTATAACTTCATTATGGTCTTCCTTTGGGTTTCTTAAAACATGTACCCCTGAGCCCACTGCAATCGAAGGAGGGAAAAGAACATTGTTTTATCTCATACACAAACAAGGGCATCTAAAGTAATGATTTTCTCATATGAGCCCACTAACGTATACTGTACATGTATGTGTCTGGAGTAGGTTTCTTTTGAAAATAGAACTACAATTAGTTTCTCCACTATGAAGCAAATGCTGGAAGTGAAAACTCCCTCCTTCACTAGGAGGCAGCTGGGGTTCTGGCTCAGTCTGCGAGGAAAGCATCCCAGCTTCCACAAGATGGGCTGAAAAGCTGGCTTACCCTAGAGCTGTCTAGGAGTGGGCCTAGATTCCTAGCTCAGCTCTCAAGCTGACTCAGACCTGGGGGCTCTGCTCAGTAATGAGATGGTTTGTAGCTAGAAGAGAACTGCCTGGACCACCCTGGGCTCTAGAACAAGGGTCCACAAAGTATGGGCCAAAGCTGACCTGCTGCCTGTTTTATAAATTTGTAGTAAACCACAGCCAAGTCTATTTATTTACATATAGTCTATGGCTTTTCATGCTACAATGGCAGAATTGAGTAATTATGACAGACACTGTATGGGCTGCAAAGCCAGAAATATTTATTCACTGGCCCTTTACAACAACAATAAAAATTGCCAGCCCCTGATCCAGAGGAGCTGGAATGAATGGTCACTCTCCCTAGATGAACTGCACTGTACCTAGAACTAATCCCCACAGCAAGCGAAGACCATTTTATTACCTACTTTTACACCATGTTTTGCCATTTCATATGTCTTGGGGTATGTTCTTTGAGTCCAGATCTTTGGACACTTTTTCAGGTGGGCAAATTATCATGGAGTAGAGAGCCATCCTTATAGCACCTGCTCTCACACTGTCCTCCTTTATCAGAAAGGAATACTGTCCCTCCATTTTGCAGCGTGGCTACCTGCTGTCTGGTATCTGTGTGCTCACACCTGCGTGTGCCTGCAAAGACTTAGGCCATCACTCCTCCTGACTGAGATTGCCATTCATCCCAACAGAAACATTGAGGCTGTAGCTAAGGTTGAATGTGTTGGTTTATGACGTAGAAGGAGTGCGATTTTAGTGGCGGAGAATTTGACCTAGTTGGCAGTGGAATAGATGTGGGAGTGGGTGCGTTTTGGTGCCTGTTGATGTGAAATAAGAAGATATGTGATTCCGATGCCCTCAGCTCCTACAGGTGTGAATCATTGTGATTTGCCCAGGCACCCCATCTTTTTGCTATATCAGGAGCTCCAGTACGGGTGGGTAGAGAGGCTGGGCAAAGATGCTGGGAGAGTTAAAGTTTATGGTCATTGGGAGGCTTCAAAACTTTTAGAAGGCTGAGTGGCAACTTTCAGTTGCTTCAGTTTCTCAGGTCTACTGGAGAATAAGTTCTTGGAGCAATTTGTCCTACATGTTTAGCTTATCATAGGGTGGGGAGGTGACATGAATAGATAATCAAAGGTCAGGCTGCATCCTCGACACACAGAGGTCTATGAGGACCTGCCCTGTTGCCATGGTAACAAAAAGGACAGTGGTGGACTTGCTGCTAGGCTGGAAGGTATATAGCTGAGGTCATAAACTCACAGCTCATGGGTTGATTCTAGTTAGCAGACATATTTCGACTGAGCCATAAGTCTATAAAATTTTTATAAGTTATTTGCTAACATCTAAAATTTGGGATATTTCATTTAAAATCCGAATTTCCAACTTCTCTTGCAAATTTGAAATCTCTGGACACATGGGGCTTCATTCCTTCTTGTCAGTGATTGCTTAGAGTGGGAGATGGCTTCCTTTTAGAGAGAACCAGAGTTCTCCAGCTTTGTTTACTTGTTTTTCCTTTTACCTAACCTTTGTCATCACTGGTGTTATCAGCCTATTCCCTGGCACCACTGAGTGTACAACCATCGCTCTATAAATTGCACAAAGAATTTGTGCTATTGCAACCTTGTATTCCTCCAAGGTCATTCTGCCTCTCCTTTGACCCTTGCTAAGAGTTTTATAACTGACTTATACCTTACATGACCTAATCATATTCCATTCTGACTCTACTGCTGAATGGAATAAACAGCCAACTTCTGAAAATATACACTTTCTGTGGTCACAAAGTATGTAGAGCCATTTATTATATTAATTGGAATGACTGTAAGAAGTAAACATACACCGGGTGCAGTGGCCTACTGTAAATCCAAGCACTTTGGGAGGCTGAGGTGGGAGAATCACTTGAGCCCTGGGAGGTTGGGGCTGCAGTAAACCGTGAGTGCACCACTGCACTCCAGCCTGGGTGACAGAGCAAGACCATGTCTCAAAGAAAAAAAAAAAAAAAAGGAAAAAAAAGAAAAGAAAATAGTAAACTTAGTGTGCAATGGCTAAAGGATGGCTAAAAATGAATAGTCATTTCCTCTCCATCACCTTTCTGGTGAGGATGCATCTTATATCAGAAGAAGATGGAAGTACATTTCTAGGGAGGTATTCACAGGATTTAATAACACTTATTGGTTTGGAAATAACGGTTGCTAAAACTCGCAAGTTAATCTTTAAGAATCTATAATTTCACTCTAGGTGGAACAAAAATGGAGGCACACAAAGAAAATGTAAAAAAAAAAAGATACCTGTCATACTGTTGGGAGTCATAGGTTAGTAATCATTCTGGATCCCTTTTTTCACTGACATCTCCTACAAGGAAAAAATACAAAAAAAATCACAGATTATAATCTGCATTTTCCATAATGGTTTTGTTCCAAACAATATCATATGCATTAATTACCTTGAAGCAATATTTGTTACTCTCAACTCAGAACTGGGGACACCGAAGCATAGGTGGGCTATGTGATATGTGTAAATTTGTAAGACCTCTTAATTTTCATCTCAGGGTTCCTTCTATAAACATGTTTTAAAAATAAATTTTTTATCAAGCGCACATTTTTCCATCTCAGATTTTTAAGAAAGCTACCAGCTCACAGATTTGCTGTTTATCCCAAGAGTGGCTAAGATGTATTAGCATCTCTAATCTAGATCTTGCTTCTCAAGGTGTGGTCTGTGGGCCAGCAGTCTCGACATTGCCTGAGAGCTTGTGAGAAATAGAAAATTTGGGCATCCCCTCAGTCAGAATCTGCATTTGGACAAGACCCCCAGGTGATTCATGTGCACTTTCAAGTCATAGACACACTGCCCTAGAGAACTGAATCCATATTCTCATCTGCCCATTTATGACTTGTCCTAGTCAGAGCTGAACTCCCCACCTCACCACTACCTTAATGAGATCCAAGAGCAACAGTCAGACTTGGCCCTCAGGCTGGGGATGGAGGCCTGGTATGCATCAGTGGCCAGAGGTGCACTGACCCAGGGAAGAATGCCAAGGAAGGGTGCACCCAGGATGACACAGATGGACACTGGTGGGTGATGAACCTGGGTCACAGTCCTTCAGCATATTGCCGGAGACAGATTAGGATTAGCTTTCTTTTTCTGGAGTGTGTTCTGTGGCCAGTGGTAGATGGTGGTAGCATTTTGGCTTAGGAATAGCACTGAAGCCTGAGGCATGGGCTTGAGGTCCAACGTTGTAATATACTACTAGCTGTGGGATCAGAGGAAGTAATTTCAAAGCACTGGAAACACGATTTCTTCAGTGTAAGATGAGGAAACTAATACTTGTCCCACTTATTTCACAAGGCTGGTATTTCTGAGGTTTGAAGATGCTGTGAGTGGAAGTGCTGGGTAATCTATAACGTACTGTGCCCATGAAAGGGAGGAACAATCTTGTTAAATAACTGGTTGGAGAAGAAAAAGAACGAGGCAGAGGAAGTGTGTGGATTATGTTTACAACACAGATTTATACATAGCCATTCATGCTCTGTCTCCACATCTAATGCTGCAGCAATGACTTCAAACCTTGATCATACTTCTTGTCCCATTCTGTGGAAATTACATGTTTACACGGCTGCCTTTCCCACCACACTGTAATCTCTTTATGGCAGAGACTGCCTTTCTCATGTTTATATCTTCTACACTGAGCGGAATGTCAGATACATAACAGGTACTCAACAATATATGTTGAACAACTAAATAAAATAAGATGAATGAAGTTGATATAGCATAGTGTAAGCTGCCAAATTGGCACCTGATGGAGAGGATGAGTATTCACTGCTAGGAAAATGCATTCTTGCCTCTGATTAGCTCGTCAAGGGTCTCTACCACAAGCCCTTTGTCCCATCTTTGTTCACCTGTCCAGCAGCATTTTGAGTGAGAGGCACCAAGTTCTGAGCTGCTGTAGGTGAGAGCACAGGTCGTACCTACAGTATTGCGGGTCCTGACTCTGTTGCTCCTCTTAGAAACTGTGCTGCCATTAACCACCCCCTCTGAACCCATGGAAGCTGCCATGTTTTCACATGCTACCACTCCTGAATATTCTAAAGAGGTGGAGGAACTTGGCTTGGACTGTGCCCCACCTCTGGCAAAACTGGCTTAAGACTTGAGCTGGACTAGTAAGATGATTTTTCAGGGTGAAAGAAAGGGAGGGATTGAGGGAGAGAGAAAGAGATATTATCTAGTTCCTCTCTAGGGACAGAATTTATTAGAAGTTAAAACTCTAACACTGAGACCATATCTCTCAGCCACCTGGAAAAAGTCCATTTGAAGGTGAGAGAGAGGATCCATCTGACATTCACAGACAGCCTGAAGTGGAAGGAGAAAGCTGTGGTGTCTCTCGGCTCTTCCTGAGGCCCAGCTGTATCCTCTTCTGCTCCTCCAGGGATTTGGCTATTCAGCCCTTCCTTGGATGCCCTCAGTAAAATATTACCCTTTTTACAATAAGCTGGTTTGACTTAGGTTTCTGTCACTTGCAACCAAAAGAATCCTGACTGATAATATTAAAATACAACATTAATACAAATGTGTCAGCATAGTTTTGTATGCTTTTTATTGTCTTGAAGGCGAAGCTATAAAATCCCAGTTATGTCCTTATGATATTATCAGTTAAAAATATCTTCATTTTCAAAATTCCAATTGAATAGGCATATGAACTATAGGAAATTATTGTGTGTGGGGCGGAAAGTATCTAGGAATGGAAAAAATCTTAATTCTATATAAGACTTTAAAAATAGTGTTATCACCACAAAATTTGGTACCAATTTTTCTGTTTAGTACTATTTTCCTTCAACTATAGTACAATTTAGTACTTCAGTATTTTAGTGTTACTGTTACTATATAACAGATATAGTATTACTAATACTATTAATAGTATACTAGTGTTACTTTTACTGTAGTATTTTGGTATTATTTAGTATTTAGTAGTATTTAGTACAATTTTCCTTCAGTGAGCTCTAGAGTTTTCAATGTAATTCCAGTAAAGCTTCTAACAATCCCCCAGGGAAGGCAGGTGTCCCGGGGCCTCCTTTCCTGGTCTCCTGTCCTACATGGTGGGTGTTGGTAAAATGCTCTGTACTGAGGAGGGGAATCCCAAGATGGTCCTTTCCACAGCCTTGGCAGAGGCCTGGAGCTCACCAGCAAATCATGGGATCAAAGGAGAAAAGAAAGTCCAAAAGAACTTAAAAGTAAAGCAAGCTGAGTTTCTTTATTTGCCAGGAAGGAAACAAAAACAGCGAAGGGCTTTGTAGGTCAGTGAGGAGGAAGGGTCAAGGAGTTGTTGAGTTAGAAAGGGGTGGCTACGCTAATGAAGGATTGACACCTAGCATCTGTGTGTCATTCATTAAAACATGCCCTGTTTCTCTCTGGTCAGGGAAGGGTTTTCAGTTAGATCCAGTGAGGGTCTGTGTACCACGGCCCTTCAAAGTCGATGGTCCTTTAACTGCTTCAACAGTTCAGCACTAGGGGAAGGGAAATGCCATTCCATTTAGTCTTCTAGGCAACTGCTACCCAAGTAGAGAATATCCCTTTGACATGGGTCATTCATTTGTTTGGTTATCGCGAGGCCTTGGTTGAGGCTACTCTGTTTAGGCAATGCCCTAGGTTTTGTTTAAAGACAACACTGTGGCCTGTCCACAAGCAGCTTCTAAACTAACATAGGGAGAGAATTGCACCAGATAAATGCAAAAATATATACAGGTTTCACCTTACCTGTCTCTTCAGAGTAGACTGGGGCCATGAGAGAAGGAAAGGTCATTTCTACTTGGGCTTATTTGGGGAGGATTTTGAGTGGAGGTGACCCCAGACCTTTAGGCCCTTCTTTCAAATAGACCTATCCCCAGGTTATGATTTAACCCTTTGTTCTCATCCTTGTGCTCCTAAGGCCCATGGACTACTCTGCAAGGAATGAGCTTCATACAGAAAAACTGGGTGGTGCCTTTACATTACGCAGGTTTTAAGCAGGGGTGTGATAAGACCCAATGTGGGTTTTTAAAGCTTTACAGCAGCTCGTGGGTGGAAAGCAGACTGGTCAGGCCACGGCAGGTCCAGAATAGAGAAAAAGGTGCTGGAACTTGAGTGGAGGTGGTGGAGATGGTGAGAGGGCTAGGTGTTTAAGTGACATTTAAGAGGTAGAAACAAGACTTGTGAAGAATGTGATATGAGCATTTAACACTGGGATAAACACTGCGGATGCAGATAGGTTAAGATTGGAGGCTCTCTGCCCTCAAGGAATTTACAATCCATTTTATAAGCTGGTTGGGAAGGAACAGCTAAAAATAAAAGTCACAGATGCCATGTGCCAAGGGGTGGTGCTGAGAATCATGCAGGTGGAGCCTTCCTCTGCCAGTTCTACCTGTTCTCAGCCCAGTGCTGTGTCCCTTAAATAAAGCTCATTCCACTCATTGGAAGAGTAGAAAAGCAGGCATTCACCTCTCAAACACACAAAGTGTGTTTGTATTTTAAAAATCCAAATGATGGTAAAGTTATTATTGAATCCTCTGAAACTGAAAAGTAAATGGAATTATTATCAACACTTAGTAAATAGGTCCAGGAACTTTGGAAGGCCTTGGGTTCCATGCCACACTGTGAACTGTGGCTGCTGCTAATTACTCTAACAGCATCTTGGGCTGCATGGACAGAAATATAGCCTGTAGCTGGGCACAGTGGCATGCACTTGATACTCTTAGCTACTTGGGAGGCCAAGGTGGGAAGACTGCTTGAGCCCAGGAGTTTGAGACCAGCCTGGTCAACATAGTGAGACCCTGTCTCAAAAAAAAGGAAAGAAAGAAATAAGAAAAGAAAAAAAGAAAGGAAGAAAGAAAGAAGGAGGGAAGGAAGGAAGGAAAAGAAAGAAAGAGAAAGAAAGAAAAAGGAAGAAAGAAAGAAAGAAAGAAAGAAAGAAAGAAAGAAAGAAAGAAAGAAAGAAAGAGAAAGAGCCTGTAGGACATTGGTCAGACCACATGTGGGCTGCTACATTTTAAGAAGGATGTCTCATGTACAATATCCTGGACGATGGAAAACGTATCTTAAGGAAACATTGAAGGAAACCTAGAAAAGGGAAGAGTCACATGAGGGGTAGAGAGTGGTCTTCAAATATCTGAAAAGCTGTCACGTGGAACAGAGTGCAGGCATGTTCAGTGGACAGAGAACGGGTGGAGAGATGCTGTTGGAGACTGCTGAGGGGCCTTTCCCTGCCCTGCCTGACGTCTAAGAAGATGCATGTCTCATAGGCTGGGATGGCCACACAGAAGAACACAGTCTCCTTACCTTGCACTGCTTTTTGCTCTCAGGGCATGTTAAGCCTCTCTTGAGATGACCTGGGTCTTTAAGCTGCAATAAAGCAGGCGCTGTGTGTATGAAATGGCTTCAGGGACAAGCTAAAATCCTGCTGCATGTCCCTCACTCCTTCAAATTCTCCTTTAAAGCTTCATTCTTTAGCTGAGTGATCTCAACTATTAGGGAGTGTGCTCTCCTCAAGAAATGTAATGAAAAATTACATTTCCATTTAATTATATCACTTGCCCCTCCCCTTGAAAAATGGGTAAGCCATTTGGTATATATTTTCAGAGGGTTCACAGATACTTTACACATGCAAAATCTACTCACAGCTGCCATATTAAGCTTTGGCTATGGACTTTGATCATTCTTAAAATGCAGATAGCTAATGGAAAAGATATAAGTTGATGTAAATGTGATCTAGTGAATAGAATGAAAAGGAGACACAAGAGCTATTTTTGGTTGGGAGCAAAGAGAAGAGAACCTACCAGCAGTAAATTCCTTTGTGGGTGGAAGATGAGTTTCTAAAAAACAAGCCTGGAGGCTGAAGAGGAATCCATCAACCCAAGGATCTGTCTAGGGCTGCCCCATTAATCCCATCAGACACCAACTCAGGCTTTAGATCATTCAAGATGAATTACTCATGGAGCCCACTCCTGCAAGGCTTAGGTGAAGAACCAACCTGTAACTCAGGGGCAGAAGAGCTGAACAAGAGGGATACAAGATGTGTTTGAAGGCACTGAAGAGACTGTAATTAATTACACCTGTATGAGGGAACCCAATGGTGATATGTGAGTTTGGCTTTGGAAAAATGAGCTGGGATTTTTTTCCACGCCAGGGATGAAAAGCATGGCTTAGAAGTACCAAAAAAGCCCAGGGTATGTGACTGCAGGAGCGGGGCAGGAAGTGACCATGAATGACACTGCAAATGTAGTTTCAGGCCAGATGGTGAAGAGTCTTGAAAGAGTTGCTGTGGAACTTGGGCTTTATCCTGTGAAAAATGGGGAGCCACGGAAGGTCTTTAAGCAGTGATCCAGTGTGAGAAAGGCAGCCCTGCTGCAGTGTGGAGGAGGCCTGCTTGGGAGGCTCACCCTTTGGTGGCACCTCTTTGAGTGGGATCATTGCTATTAGGTTGATGCAAAAGCAATTGCAGTTTTTGCCATTACTTCTAATTGCTTTTGTTTTTGCACCAACCTAATACTTGCCTGTCTCAGTATTCAAGGTCACAAGGCTAGACCAGTGCCAGAGAGAACACCTCCACTCCTTCTTGTAGAACTCCAGCACGCTTGCCCTGACCACACACCTTTGTCCCCTTGTGTTTCCTTTCTCTGTATCGAAACTACAGCACTGAAGGGGCATCTGTAAAAATTACCTCATGAAAAATCTTTCCACGTAGACCTGGTGAGTCATTGTTTATCCAACCTGTGCACTGAATCAAAACATGCTTCCCCTCACAGCTCATCATCAACCTTTTGTGGCCTTTTCAAACTGTCTTCCTTAGTTTTTCTTCTCCTTGGCTCTCTCAGGAGGAAGGGTAGCAGAGTGTCATGCAGCCTGATGTATCAGATGATAAGATTTAACAGGGCTCATCTATTAATACTTCAGCAGGTGCTTCATGGGCAGCCCAGAAAAGCCATGACTGACTGGGTTGGGGGCTGTGGGTTGGGGAACCTTCATTAGCAATTCTCTTGGTTCATTTTAAAAGGTCAGACCCATGAGTGTGACGTTATTACATACCCTAGCCCAAGACCATTAAAACTGGGAAGGCCTTCAGAGAAGGACATATCCATCTTCTCACCTAGCATTGAGCAAACGTGACTAGATGCAGAATCAGTGGACATGCTAGATTTCCTAGGAAGTTGCCGTGTAAGAGGGGGGCATAGCTTAGGGATGTGTCTTGAAGTTGTGTTTAGGTAGCAAGCAACTATTTTTATGAAGTTTATTTGGTATTGTGGGGTGCTGGGTATGACTGGAGTTCATGGGATGGGGCTGAACCCCTCACCCCACCCTGTCCCCACTTGAGCCTTCCCACAGCTCTGTCTGTGGCATCTGGAAGCACAGCTGAATAAATGCAAATGGCTGTCCCCCTAGGTGGGCTGCACCCATGCTAGGAGGGCAGTGAGGCTGTGGATCTCTTGGGGGTAAAAGTGGAGTTTCCCCTTCTTTTCCTTATCCCCCTCATAGGAGGAGAGGGAGAGCTATACATCAAACCTTTGACTCTGGTATTTGGGGAATATTTTAAAGAACAAGTCCAATCCCAGGTATGGAGGAAAGGCTCCTGGACTGGGCGTCATTCCAGATGGCTTTGGGTCTCAGTTTAGTAGTTTGGGGATCATGGACAAGTTCCTTTAACTCTTCAAGCCTCATTTGTAAAGATAAATCACAATTCCTGCCCTCTCAGGATTATGCTGAGGACCAAAGCAATTGGAAAATGCCTGTAAATTTAAAAGGAGGACACAAATGTAAGGTATTGGGAGACTTCTTTATTATTATAGGCATCATCATTATTATAGATGATCTCAACTCCTGGCCAGCCTCAATCATCCCAAAGGCATGGGGGAACTGAAACTCTTGCCTGGTCTAACTTTAAGCTTACCTGAGGTCATTTAAAGACTCAAGAACAATACAGAGCCCACCTCCCCAGATGCTGTCATTACAAAGATTAAAAGGAGGTGAAATTGCTTCTCCTTCACCTGCCCTGCCATTTTCCTCTTGCAAGGCTGAATTTTTGTGAAAAAAAATTTTTCCCTTTCAAGGTTACTTTGCATGTTCATTTAACCTTGCTGTGGGGAGTAAGAAAGTTTGGACACAGAAATAAATTTGTTCCCAAGTCTATAGCATCCTGAGTGCAGCCCCAGTTATCCTTCCCCGAGCCCTTTGCATTTTAATATTAAATCTAGGACCCAATGAAGTGAATAAATAATGGTTGAATTTCTCATGATAGGAATCAGTTAAGAACTCAAATAGGAGAACAGAGGCAAGGTGTTTTCAAATCATACCACGCTGTGATCCACCTTTTGTATTCAGTAAAACTAACCCTATTTGGGAATGTAGTATCAAAAAATCAGTAAGAGAAAAAATATGAAAAGCTAGCGTAGTTAGACTGGGCATGAGCCTAAAGAGGAACATAAAACTCTGAGTTAGTAAAAATGTGGAAAACTAGTGAAAGCTCTGTCTGTACCGTATCCCAGGTATTAATCTGAGTGGGTCACCTCTTGGAGGGGAAGGCAGTCAGAATTTCTCCACTGGGTATGGCAGGAGACTCATGCCCCACATAACAGACTTTAGCAAATGACTGTTGAATGGCAAAGCTATACTTTTCATTTCAGATTTTCAGGCAGTCTCTGTAAGTGTTTTGCCGTCAGGAAGGGAAATAATTCAACCAGGGTCTATGGTTGAAACTGAGCTTAATTTGCTGTTGCTGATATTTCTTTTTATTCTTAGTAAAATAATTCACTTTTACTTCCACTCCACCCACTCTCTCAACTCCAGTTCAACAATCTCATTCTAGAGTTCCCCCTACTCTTTATGTTAGTCAATATCCAGGCCAAATCATTGTCCTCTTCTCTCTCTTCCCCTTCCTCTTCCCCTCTCCTTTTCCACCTCTCTCCCAGACAAAGTCACCATGGCATGTTACAAAGAGCATTGGCCTTGCCACTTAAATATGGGATACTGAGTCAGGAGTAACCATTCCTAAAATGGGAATAAGGCCGTAGCTCTCAAAGGTGACATTGGGTTAAGTGGGACGTGCACACTTAATCCATGGTAGTATTCTATACCCTTCAATGCTGGGTTCTGGGGCTACAAGCAGAGTAAAATCCGATTCCTGTGTTGAGGACTAGGTCAGCAGTGGCAGAGGTGGAATGGGCCTTAAAACAAACAAACAAAGCCCCCTGCAAATCTAAAAGCATCAACCACATCTAATTTATTGTCACATTGAGTGAAACATGGAGCACTTTTAAGCCAAATAAGGTAGTGATAGAAAAGTAAAGAAGAAAACAGCCAGTAAAAATTTTATGAGACCAACCTGAAAGGACCAGCTTGGCCACCTGCTGTTTATAGTGCGGTTTCCTTATGGCTGTCTTTCTCTACAGGTGGACTATCATCTCCGAACACTCCTAAGAAATGGAAGATAGTCTCTTAAGAGGACAGCCCAGAGGTAGTTTGAGGAAACGTCTGACAGCAGGAAAAACAACTTCAGCAGATGCCCCTTTGGCCAAAGCATGCTGTTAAAACTGACTCTACTGACACCTGGTGGAGAGTAGGGTAACTTCTCCCTGCTAAAGAGGGTGTGTGTGTATGTGTGTGTGTGTGTGGGGGGGGGGGGGGTGTGTGGGGTGTGTGTGTGATGAACGGATTGGAAACACATTCATCATGTCAGGGAAATTAATTCCTAAGGAATGAGGGTACCATGCAGAACCACCAGATGCCAGAATATATAATTGTGGTTAGGTGACTCACTGAGACACATGCATGAAAAACAACAAACAAGAATGTGAAAATAAAACATTAAGACTGCAGCAAATGATTTATTATTGATTTTTAAAAAGAGTTTGATAATGAGTAAGACAATAACAAACAATCCACTCCCTTCTGCAACCCTGGATGGTGTCATAAGAAAAGACTCTAGTACTTGACCCCTTGATAGTATCATCTGAAATTTAAAAGAAAATTCAATCTTGTCCCAGGGAGACAGTGTCTCTCAGTCTGAGCCAGTGCTCTGCTGCCTCTGGAATCTGCAGTGAGCTCCTTCAGATTTTTAACCCTGGGATAAAAAGAATAATCTTCCTAAATGGAGTGTTATGAAGACTGCTGTGCTCCTGAAATTCCCTTGAAGATGAAAATAAAATTATCCTAATAAATATAACTGTTTACTACTTCTTCAGTGTCAAATGGGGGGCAGGGGACATGGGGCTACATTGCAAAGCTCTTGCAGAAATTGACTTCGGAAACTTTGTCTCCATTCTCACGCATTAGGTTCTTTTTTTTTTTTTTTGAGACAGAGTCTTGCTCTGTCACCCAGGCTGGAGTGCAGTGGCATGATCTCAGCTCACAGCAATCTCTTTCTCCTGGGTTCAAGCAATTCTCCTATCTCTGCCTCCTGAGTAGTTGGAATTACAGGCACAAGCCACCATGCCTGGCTAAGTTTTGTATTTTAAGTAGACCCAGGGTTTCACCATGTTGGCCAGTCTGGTCTTGAACTCTTGGCCTCAAGTGATCTGCCCACCTCGGCATCTGAAAGTGCTGGGATTACAGGCGTGAGCCACTGCATTCAGTCGCACATTAGGTTCTTGTTTAATTCTGCTTGGTAAAGGTTCTGTTGGCTCTTTATCAGAAATTCCAGTGGCTTTCTGTGAGGTGTCAGGTGCATGGTATAGCACACACAGCCTGAATTTGTCTTTCAACAGTGTGTATCAAAGGTGATTTTCAGGAATGCACCAGAGCAATTAGAGCAATCATTAGTTCCAATTTGCAAGAATTAATCCATCATATTTGGGACACTAAATGAGAATTTACATCATCATTATTATTATTTGATGGAGTCTTGCTATGTTGCCCAGGCTGGTCTCGGACTACTGGTCTTAAGCAATTCTCCTGTCTTGGCCTCTATCATTATTATTTATTATTTTGAAAAATCACAGGAGCCTTGGTTAAGGGTTGTCTCAGGGAGCTAGGATGGGTAGGTCTGGGTAGGAAGGTTATAAAGGAAAGAAGTCCCTCAAAGATGCATATAGTTCTAATTTTCTTTCAGCTTCTCCCCTGCTAATATTTAAATTTAGAATGTGTATTTCCTGCAATGTGATGGCTTGAATGCATGATCCTGCCAGAATGTGTACAGTTAAACTATACCTGGGGACAGTCATGCTGTAACAGAGATTCCCAACTTTCTCAGTGTATGTCACTCTTAGTGTTTCAGTAATATTTTTTACGGTGACCCTAGGTCAAAAGAAATACTTAAATGCCCTGTTTATGAAGTTATGAGGTCCAAACAGCTTGACAGGTGGATTTGCATGGTGTCTGACAGTTGTTTCTGGGTTTCCCTCAAAAATTAAAAACATCCCACTGTATTTCTGTGGGGTTGCTGTGGTACCCAAGGTGCTCTGGTACAGATTTTGGGAACCATGGCTATAACAGCTTTGAAAATCAGTGAAAAGTCTAGAAGTGTGATTTGCAGTATCTCCTTTCACCCCTCACTCTTTGTGAGACCATGGCCACAACATTTGACCTAAAGGTGCCATTAAAAAGTTTCATACAGCCAAGTGAGTCGGCCTGGCTTACCACTTGGTGTGGAGGATATGAGAAAGAGACACAGAGTGAAGTCTTAGCAGGATTTAAGGCAGTCCTGGGAATAAATCAGGCTTGGTTATTATTCAGTAGTTTACTGAGCCCGCGTCAAATGGGGAGGCTGTGACGAAGAATCTAAAAAGTAAAAGAACACAGCCCTTATATAATCTGAGAAGAGGATGCAGTAAGTCAGATTATCACTGGAAATTACACGGATGCCAACCATAGCTGAGAAGCTGGCTAGATACTGAACACTTCACATTCTTAGGTGAAAATCAGACAAATGAGCACAAGATGTTCACCATGTTGGAAGAGTTGTACGAATACCTCAGTAGATGAATAAATGACCGGTTGCCTGCATTCCAATTCTGTGCTGCTTCTGACTTACAGGTAGCAAGGAGCTACCTATAGCATAAGCTAAACTAGTGTCTTTCAAACTTTGGTGAGCATGTGAAGGGTTTGTTAAAACCAATTGCTGGGCTCCATTCCCAGAGTTTCTGATTCAGTTAGTTTGGGGTGCCTGAGAGTCTGCATTTCTAACAAGTTCCTAGGTGATCTGGATATACTTTCCAGGGCCCACATGTTGAGAACCACCAGCCTGATCCATTTAAGAACATGTTGGAGGAACTAAGGTGCCATCCTGGTAGGCTGTACTCACTCAACACATGGCAGGCACCCCCACCTTTCCATCCTGACCAGCACACGGTCAGCCTTCTCTAGAATATTTCCAGTGAACGGCAGCTTACTCTGGCCAACACGTCCAGCTGTGTTGGTGGACTGTGCCCACTGAGGGCCACTTGCATTTTAAATGGGCACACCTGAATTTGGGACGCTCAACTCCTGTGGCAACAAAACGGCAATGAGACACAATGGGAAGGGGAGTGTACCCATTGGGCACTTTGATTTTGTATTTTCCAAAAGATTGGCTTTGCACTCTGCTTACTTGTAAGTATGGGGCACAACCACACAGGATGCAGAAAAAGCATTCTCAGTTCTCAAGGAGGGGTTTTCACGGCAGAATCATCTGAGGAGCTTTGCTCACCGTCTCCAGGCCTGGGCCCAATAATGCGTACTTAGAAAAGCCACTCAGGTGATTCCACTGAGACCTTCTGCTCATGGGAGAAGTGCTTGAGTTTGAGCGTGGAGACAGGTCACCCTACTGTCCTCTTAACCCTACAGCCATTTGCTCTGCCACTGCGAGGCCACATGTGTATGTCTTACTGTATTATGTCCTGCTCAACTTCCTCAGGCCTACAGAGAAATCTATTCTTGTGCCTCTTGTCACCCTTCCTTGGATGGTGGCAGTCATGGCCAGTGTGATCTATCCAAAGCACGTTGCCAATTAACACTCATTAGCTAGGTGCTAGAGAACAGATCCAAAAAGGGGTACCTGCTATTGCACCAACAAACCAAGTGCACCTTTCTAGTGGACTTCTGTATTGAACCCTCCTTGCCTGCCCCTTGTACTTATTTTCTTAGAGCGGGGTTCTCAAAGTATGCAGGCAGCAGAATCAGATCACTTGGGAACAAGATGGCAATGCAGATGCACCGCCTCTATCCCAGACCTAATGAGTTATAAACTCTGAAGGTGGGGTTCGGGTCCTATGTTTCTGATGCACACTTGAGTGTGAGAACTACTGCTTTATAGTATTGGTGCACTCCCCTGCCCATCGCCACAAATTAGAAGGTCTTCAAAAGGTAGGGACCACTCTCCTTCCTCCCCCCACAAGTTAGCACACTGATCAGTGCATAGTAGGAACTCAAAAAACATGAGTTATTTCTTGAAGCTAGGGCAGCTGTACTGCCTGCTCACAAGAGTGAATAAACACTCCCTTGGCGTGCCACCTCTGAGAGGTTGCCAACACTGGGTCTAAATTATCTCCCATTTCTTATGGGTTGTATTTTCCATATTTACAAATCAGCTTTCCCTAAATCCTCTCCAAGTTTTTTACATTCTTTTCAGCTCAGGAAGCCAAAAACAAGATGGCATGTTTTAGCCAATGTCTGTTTCCTGCTGGGAGGGGGAAGGGCATTTCTGCATGATTCTTAAATTCCATGCTCCCAGCATGGTGATTATTTTCCGAACAATAGAACCAGATTGCTGATTCATGTTCGGCTCACGGCTCCAAGCATTTTTTTTTTCCTGCTGTACTTGTACCGATGCAACACAATAATGTTCTATTCATCCCTCTGAATTAGAAATGCCAGCAGCTCAGATATGCAACTGAAGAATCCCCCCTCCCCTCTGGCTTATTTAAAGCCTTCCCACAAATAACACATTTTGAAATATTAGACGGTGCTCACTTTGAGCCATTTGGCTTGGGCAAGGACAGTTAAACCTTATTTTTTTCTCAGCTGCTCCTTGCACAATGCCTGGCACACTGTCACTATTATTCTTAAACACTGTTTGTTGAGTGAATCACATACCTTCTTCTTGAGGTTCTAGCCTTATCCTTCTCTTCTGCCCTAATATATTACAATAAGCCCTTTCTTAGGTGCAGAGAGAAAGCCTTGCTCTCACATTCAGAGGCTCGTGTTTGCATCCAGCCAAAGAATGAGATTGACCTCAAGGTCTGATGATCCAGGTGGGCTCCAGCCAGCCCCATCCCAGTTTGCACACTGTCTGCAGCACCAGTCCTGCCACTGCTATAGCAGCAAGATTTTTGGCTGCCTCTCAGCACAGCTTTGCCAATGAGCAAGAGGGGTCATCTGTGGGGTTTTGTTTCCTAGCTGCAAAGTCAAATCAGGGGGACTACTTAGTGCTCTGAAAGCTCTCATGGTCAACCTGGCTTTCACATCAAAATCACCTGCGCACCTTTGAAAAAAAAAAAAAAAAAAAAAAAAAAATCCCAGTGCCCAGGTGCACTCCAGGCCAATTAGTGTCTGTAGCTCAGGCCTCAGTTTGTAAAGCAGCGTGGGTGATTCTGATGCCCAGCCAAGATTGAGAGCCACTTAGGTTTAGAGGCCCTAAAGTAGCCTCTGAAGTAGTATCCAGGGGTCTCCTGCATCTGCCCTTGCCCCTTCTCATCTCTGTTTAAAATGGCATTCCAACAGGTAGGATACGATTCCGCTCCTGTCACCCCTCTGCTCAAAATCCCACTGTGGCTCCCACAAGGATCTGCCCCATCTGCCTCTCTGTCTCTCCTCTCCCAGTTTCAGCTTCACCAACTCCTTCCTCTTCCTCGAACGTGTCATATGTGCCCCCTACAAGAGGGCCTTTTGCGTCAGGATTTTTCCTTGCCTGAAATGCTCATGCCTCCAACACCTGCTTGGGTCCCTCCCTCACCTCCATTAAGGGTTGAACACCTGAAGTTCTCGGGATGCCTATTTGAACATCCCAGTGCTGTCACCTGCCCCTTCCCTGGGCACGGCGCTTCCCAATACCCCTTATCTTCCTCTCCTGTCTCTCTTTGCCATAGTACTTAGTGTCTTTTAACATGCTGTACATTTTACTTCTGTGCTTTGCTGCTGCTGTTGTTGACTGTTTTTTCTCCCTCTGCTAGGAAGTCAGCTTTACGGGGACAGGGATCTTTTTCATTCTGTTCACTGATGACCCCAAGTGCTAACACAGTGTGTAGTTCATAGCAGGCCCTTAGTAAATACTCGTTAAATGGAGAACACCCTTGTTGGGGGTGCTAGGGACAGGTGCTGAATGGAGGAAGGGAGGCCCAGTGACACAAAAGGAAATAAATTTTCTCAAAAATGACAGATTTTGAGGAAACACTTATTAAATTCTAATTATGAGGAGTTGCCAGGCAATGTCTAGGTTAAAAAAAATGCACACTATAGAGACAGGAAGTGGACGAGTGGTCAGCTAGGGCTGGGTGGTGGGGGTGAGGGATTGGTTTAAGGATGGGGAGTGACTGCTCATGGATACAAGGGATCCTTTTGGGGTGGATGAAGGTATCCTGAAAGGAGACTGTGGTGACGGCAGTATATAAATGGCTGTAAATACACCAAAATCCAGTGAACTATATATTTTCAATGGGTAAACTTTGTTATATAAATTACATCTCAATAAAACTGTTGAAAATACACACCTAACTGAAGCATCATACAGGGTGTTAAAGACAGAGCTGAAAAAGAAATAGGCTATTATTATTTCTTGTCAGGCATGTGGATTTTCTCTGGCTTGAGTTTTGAATTGGGAGTGAGAGAGAACCTTCCTTATCTCTCATTTGCTGCCAGAGACATCTATTTATTGGTAAAGAAATGTAATTGAAACTTCTTGATCAAGGCCTACCTCAAGAGCAATTTATTTGGATTAAATGGCTTTCCTTAATAACTTCCACATCTATCAAAATTCTGCAGTCTTTTCTAGGCCTCCAGGTCAGTTTTGGAAAACAAGCAGCTACTTTGTATGAAACTGAACTTTGACACTTTTGAACTTATAATGCCAAGGAAAACTCCAGGCATGTTGACATCAGTACCATCTGCTGATGGGCAATTGCTCCACACAAACAGAGCTCAAAGTGTCTGTGGCAGTGAACTGAGATGTTGCTTAGCTAGCAGCCCTGTGAATCTTCCTCCCGAGAACTCACTGATGTTATGGTAATCTAATAACATATATGGAACAATAACAGCACATTGCAATGAAAATGCTGCATGGTTACAACTCAATGAAGACCATTCTCCCTCTTCTGGGAGCTTAACAGCATACCTTGTTAAGCTGTGAAGGGGGAAACTTTCTTTCTGCTCTTCTGCCTGTTTCTCTGCTCAAAATCTTGACATATGCCCATCAGTGCACAAAGGGTCTGTTTGAACAAAGGTCAGGGGGCTATCCAGAGTCCTGGCTTCAACCTTCTCTTTTGGGAATCCCTAAGATGTGAGCAACGTGATGATATGAGAAGACTCTTGGGGACTGCTGCTATGTGTCTGGAGAACTCCTGAGGAGGACACAGTCACTATGCCATTAATAATTAGAATGTTTGAATGAATGGTAAGTTTTCTGCTCATTGATGAAACAGAGGGCCAGAGGACTGAGAAACTTGCCCTTTGTGACCCAGCTGGCAAGGGGAAGAGTTAGACTGCCAACCACAACAAATGCTTTTAACTGCTAAGCCATTCTGCATCCCACCTGCAAGGTGCACATCACTCAGCTGGGTGCCATGATGGGTGCAGAGATGACTAAGCCCCACCCCTTTCCTTCTGACAGATATTGACTGGTAGAGAAGACGGGATGTGCACAAACAATTCTAATTAGGGGAGGCTGTATTTAATACTCTGTCAGAAGTGCAGAGGGCCATTAGTGTGTGTGAAAGGGAAAGAATAACAAAAAAACCCAACTTTACAAAACATGGACACTCCACAGATTACCATGCCTCCCCGCACAGGGACCACGCCAATTTTCTCTGTCAAGATCCAGCTATAAACTGAGGGCCTGGTCAGGTGCAGTGGCTCACACCTGTAATCCCAGCACTTTGGGAGACCGAGGCGGGCAGATCACTTGAGGTCAGGAGTTTGAGACCAGCCTGGCCAATATGGTGAAACCCCATCTCTACTAAAAATACAAAAATTAGCCGGGTGTGGTGGCACGTGCCTGTAATCCCAGCTACTTGGGAGGCTGAGGCAGGAGAATCACTTGAACCTGGGAGGCAGAGGTTGCAGTGAGCTGAGATAGTGGCATTGCACTCTAGCCTGGGCAACAGAGCGAGACTCTGTCACAAAACAATACAAAGCAAAACAAAACAAAACAAACAGAGGGTCTTTCATAATGTGGGTTACGTAAAGTGTAGTTTATTGGGTTGGTATCATTCTGACCATGCAATCTGGATGCTTGGACAGAATAGCTACATCAGCTTGTTTTAATATCATTTGTACATGTGTCCCCAAAGAAGATAGCATGTCCCTTACGGAGATGTTGTAGGAATTAAATGAGTTCATGCAAGAAAAGGGCTTAGGATAGTACCTTGCACATAGTAAGTGCTCAATAAATGTGAGTTGTTATTGTTATGCATAGTTAAGCCTAGGTTCTGGATAACTGAGTATTGGGTACCAGAGACCTAATTCCGTAGGGTCCTGGTCATTTTGTTACACACCAAGAGAAGAGCTGGCATGTGAAGTGTGTTCCTTTCATGGGGTTTCAAGAAAGAAGGCAGTGGAACACTCACTAAGTGCCACTGCTGCCTACTGAGAACTTGATTTACTTCATGCACTGGTTGTACGGTTGCAGTTTTTGAAAAGGGCATGGTATTGATATTTCTCAGTGTGAAATGATTTCTTATATAATAGTTGGTAACATTAGGAAAGAGTGGGATTTCTATTCTCTAGCATGATACTGAGTAGAAGAGATTTAATGACGGGATAACCCAGTTCTTTGGGGGCAGCAGCATTTGCATAACTGACTCTTTTCAGCAATTCTGCAACAATTAATAGGAACCATTTGATGTCTCTGTTGGGACTTCAACTAACGCTTTCCCAGTGAGAGAATATTTAGAAGAATATTTTCACAACTTTACTTTCCCTCAAAAAATATAGTTTTGATCCCAAAATGATAGTTTTTATAGGTGTAATTTGGAATGCCTCAGTTGTACCATCTCTAGAGTCAAGAAAAAGTTTATCATAAACAAGGCCCACTTAATGACTAATTTTTGTACATGAAAAGGAAAGACAGTGGATCTTGGTCATCAATTTGTATTGTTGATTTTACCTACTATAAACAAACATGAACTATTTCACTTTTCAGAAAAAAATTCATGTAATTTGAAAACAAAGATTACCAGAGAAAGAGGAATTAATCTCTTTCTAAAATGCCAAAGAAATATTGCGGATCCCATATGATATGCTTGAATGTGTTTCTGGAGTCACTTCTTAGCTCCATGGCAAAGGCCAACTAGACAAAACGTGGCTCTTGGCTTTGAGTAGAAATCTACAACAAATGTAAAGAGTTTCTATTTGTTGTGTTCAATGAAATTGAGTACAGAAAAAAGAAAATAACAATACTTCTTTATGATGAATAAATATCTTAATCACCATACATCTTACACATGTGTGCACGGTTTCCTAAAAAGTAAGAATAGTAATGATGATAACAATAAAGGCGATAATAGCAATAGCAGCTAACATTTGTTGAGTGCTTGCTATGTTCTAAAGGGTTCTGATAAGTTCTAGGGAACCTGCTAAGGATTCTGCTGCCTCCTTTATTACTCTTATTACTTGTATTCTCAACCTATGACGTAGGTGGTACCATCCACATTTTACAGTTGGGGGAACTAAAGTTAAGAGATGTGACTCCCTTGCCCAAAACTGCAAGAATTTTAAAGTGGGAGAGACAGGGAGCAAATCCTTTATGCTCTAAATCACTAAACTTGACTGCATCTTGCAAGAATAATAATGATTACATGCATTTATATTGCCTTTTTACACTGTATTTTTTCATTTGATGCTTACAACCTCATTTTATCATCTCTTTTACAGATGAGGAAGCTGAGGCTCAGATGTTAAATGTCTAAAGATAAATACTGGTACATGGGGAAGTCAGGACCCAAAAATATGCCTCCTGACCCCAAATCCAAGCTTCTTTGTGAAGAATTAGAGCTTCAATCTTTTCTGAATGAAAGGTCCTAAGAATTTTCTACAATTTTTCTATGAGCAAAAATCACATCTATGGGATATATATACTTCAAAAATAAAGTTTATAGCTCAGAATATCAAGCAACCAAATTTTTAATATATAAAGCACAGGATTTGGCTAGGCTGAAACCAATTATTTGAAAAGTTTACTCTTGATGAGTCTGGAATTTTTCACATGGCCAACCCTGTATCAGTGAGACACATTACTTAAGTGGCAGGAAAACCTTTCTTTTTGGATATGAGACATTTCTGAGTTCAGTAAAGGTTACATGGTTTCTCAGAAAATTAGAACTTCTATTAATAATCAGTGCTCCATTTGATTAGGATATTATTCCTATTACTTTGAGGTCAAATTCATAAGAATGGACCCTAACAGTATACGAACTGGGTAGGAGTATATACAAATGAACTGCCCTTGAACCCTAACCCCACGCATTGAGCTATCAGGCTCAACCCCATATTGATGCTGCTGGAGACATTTCTAAAGGGACTACAAATGAATACTCCTCTAATAAAGAAAATACTCTTTTCTCGAAAAGCCAAGAGATATTTGGAAATTTAGGACATCAGTAGTTGTTTAAAGGAAAGGTTTGGAATAGTACAATGAATAAAGCTGGTTAGCTGCCATTTATAAAACTACTGAGTTTTTGACCCAAAAGCTGGGTGCTAGTTTGTTACCTGTTGCCCCTCAGCTCCAGATCCACCCTTCTTTGCTCTATTCTGTGATGCTGGGGCTGGGATGTGGCTATTTCCCAGAGTCCCTTGCCAGAGGGCTTTCTATTCACTGGAAGAAGACTGGAAGGTGAGGAGAAGGAACTTCCTTTCTCCTTTTTCATGCCCCAGGAGCATCCTCCAGTAGTCACTGCTGTCTGGAGTATGGGCCTCTTTCTACATTTCCAAAACCAGTCCCTTTGCGTCCCTCAGAGGTTCTAGCAGCAGCTGGTTGGCTTCCTTTCTTAGTGGTCCAAGCACCAGCTCCACAGGACTACTTCCTTGAGTTCTTAGGTCCTACTAATTTCATCTCCTCTTTTTGTTTCCCAACTCTGAGGGTGACAGCTACTTCTTGCAATTGGGTTCCCTCAGTGTTCCTTTTTGCTCTTTTAGTGCTTTAGTGCTCCAATTCCGATGTAACAACCAATTCCCTGAACTAAATCCTTCTGTTTGAATTACCTAGTGTGATTTTGTTTCCTCTCTGGATCCTGACTGCTGCATGTCAGTGCTACACTTGTGAAAGTGCAGTAGCAGAAACAACACCGTTGACTTAATGCAAATCTGTTTCTGCTAAGTGTGAGAAATTATTATTTCCAGCAAAGAGCCAGCATGTGTGAGAAATGATAAGGCCCAATCCAAAGGATAGTAGAGTAGAAGTCTTCAAAGGATCAAACTTTTAAAAATTCTTATTTTTTTTTGCATAAAAATGATTCCTGATCACCCTGGAAATGTTTGAAAACAGAAAGTATAAAGGAGAAACAATTAAAACCCACCATAGAGTTAACCACTAACAAACTATCAGTGGATAGTTTGGCATATTCTTTCTGATCTTTTCCCCCTTATACTTCTAATACTTTAAGGTGATAATTATTTTAAACCAACCCTTGTTCTCTAGTATTTTCACATGGCAGTATGAAGAATTAAACTCTTAGAGCGATATAACCTTGCCACATCACAAGAAAACTTGTTCCTTCTACTTTGGGACTGGATCACTCTGGCAAGGGCTGCTTACCTCTAACCCAGAACTTAAACAATCAATGGCTAGGGCCACAGACTCCCATCTCTGGTATATCTGTTATACCTTCTCAGTTGGATTCATAAAGTAAACAAGAAATCTGTACACATTCAGGAGGAATACTTAATACATTATGAGCTGGCTCCAGGAGTGAGTCTATGAAAAATTTTGAAAGAATATAGAACTCAACAGTCTGCTCTATAAGGAGTGGCATGTTTGGACAGAGAGGTGGGGCAAATGTCAGTGCTAATTACCCTGGTCTGCAACACCTATTTCATATTTTGCTACTTCACTCATTCATTTATTCACAACAACTATTAGGCCGGGGCAAAAGTAATTGCTGTTTTTGCTAGTATTTCCACATGGCACCATGAAGAATTAAACTCTTAGAGTGATATAGTCTTCACCATTACTTTTAATGGCAGAAACTGCAGTTACTTTTGCACCAACCTAGTACCAGAGTATCTACCAAAGGTGAGGGCAAAGCACTGTGTTAGTTGCTGGGCACAGAAATAAGACATGACTGTTGGTCTTTTTACACAAAATTCATAGTTATAAGAAACAAAATCCAGAAAGAAGAAATTAAAAGATCAAGCACATATATCCTCATGTCACTTTTCTTAACTAATAAAACATCTTAGTATTAGATGCATTTGTTCTTGCCTAACCCTCAGGTATACCTGTCACCAATTCCCTGTACCCCTTGAGAAGTCTCCAACTTTGAGATCTTCTCATAGCTCGCAGGTAGTATTGACTGCCTGTTGGTGCAATGTTTCAGTCTCCATCTGCCTTAAAATTATTTATCAGGTAGAAAATAGATATAACCATACATTATGCTCCAAGTAACATAGTACTGAAATGTATGAAGTGCCGGGCATGGTAACTCATGCCTGTAATCCCAGCACTTTGGGAGGCTGAGGCAGGAGGATTGCTTGAGGCCAAGAGTTCAAGAGTAGCCTGGACAATATAATGAGACCTCATCTCTACAAAAATTTTAAAATCAAATTAGCTGGGCACAGTGGTGTACACCTATAGTCTCAGCTACAGGAGAGACTAAGGTGAGAGGATCCCTTGAGCCTTGGCGTTTGAGGCTGCAGTGAGCTATGGTTGCACCACTGTACTCCAGCCTGGGCAACAGAGTGAGATCCTGTCTCTTAAAAAGAAAAAGAGAAATAGATGAAGTCAAACCCTGTAGAAAATTCAAGGAAAAATACATGGAAACACAATAGTGGTTGTTTAACCTACCTTACATTCCTTCAAAGATTAAGTAGATATAAAATAAGAAAGAATACCAGAATAACATCACTAATGTTAATCTAGGATCAGATACCCATATCTGAAAAACAGAATACTGCAAAAATAGAATAATTATAGCATGTGACCAAAGGCAATAAAGAAACTTTCCAAGAGTAGAAATAGGTAGAAATGTGACAAAACAATCTCCCTAAAATATACTTAACTTAGAAACTAAATAGAAAAAAAAGAAAGAAAATCAGACACATAAAAAAAGAAAAACTGCAATTACCTGGAAGCCAAGAAAATTATCTCCTAAACAACTCTTTGTCAAAGAGTAAATAGAAGCCTTATTGCTAGATATGTAAAGAATAATTATGATCTAAATAACAAATGTTAAAACCTATGTGAGACCCTCAATGCTGTACTTACTAAAGGAAATATCTTAAATGTCATAGTTTTATACATTTTTATGACTTAAAAATAAATGAGTTAAGCATTTGTAGAAAAAGAACCACAGATAAAAGAAAGCTGAAAGAGAAATTAATAAAAGTCAGAAAGCTTATAGGACTAGAAAACATTTTAACAGGTCTCATGTGTAAAGATATCCCAAAGCTGATTCTTTGGAAAAACCAAGAACAAAACAACAAATAGATGAACTAGCAGTTAACCTAGTGGAGAAAAAAAGGGAGAAATAACAAATTCACAAAATTAGGAAAAAGAAAGGGAATTATTTATGTATACTGAGGATTAGAATAATTATAAGAGATGACTTTCAGTAACTGTGAAAATACATTCAAAATCTTGATGAATTGTTTGATTTTCTTAAAAAACATAAAGTAGGAGAAAAGACAAATTTGCATAGACTGAAAATCATGGGAAAAACTTAAACACTGTCAAGGAACCCCCCTCCTCTCCCTTCCCTGAAAATGCCAAATCCAGATGGTTTTGTGTGTGATTATTTCATAGATAAAAAAAATTATTTAAACTGTTTGAAAGCACAGGGAAAAAATAAACTTCCTCAATTACTTTTGTAAATCAGCATAATTCTGATACCAAAAATTTGGAAAAGACAGCATAAAAAAGAAATTTGCCCAGATGACTTATTTTAATTGAGACAAAAAATCTTAAATAAAATATCAGCAAATGACTCTTGGAAAAATTAGAAGAACAATACACCAGAAAAAATGGAATATTTCTAGGAAAGCAAGGATAAGTCAACATTAGGAATGCTGAAACTGCTAATCAGAGTAATAAGTCCACTGAATAAAAAAGTATTTGATCTCCTTGAAAGACGCTAAAATGGTATGTGATAATAGTCACTGCTTGTTCTTGATGACTTAAAAACCCACAGGGAAGTAAGACTATATGAATGTTATCCTGTAAGAATATTAAATATACGAAACACTTTGAACAAAAAGTAACAGGGAGAATTAAGCCCATCAGATATGAAAGCATAGTATAATGCCTTAGTAATTAAAACAGTGCAGTATTGGTGCATGAAAAGTTAGCAGATCAATGGAGCAGGACAGAAGTTCAGAAACAGACCTCAATATATATGGAAATTTACAATATAATAAAAACTGGCTTATTTAACTCCTAAAGATGAGATAAACAGTAAACATCTAGAAAAAAAATCACAGTTGAATCTATAACTCATACCTTATGCCTGGTTAAATACCAAGTATATGAAAAAATTAAAATGTAACAAATAAAAGCCCTAGAAGAAACCACAAGAAAATCTTTCCACAGCTTTAAAATGGTGAAGACTTACTAACTATGGCACAAATCTAGAAACCACCCACAATCTCACTTCTTAAACACCTGTAACAACCATATCTCGAATGCCTATAAAAGGAGATATGTAAAACGCAAATGTCCATCAACAGGAACTAGTTAAATAAACCATCTGGGAATAAATCACCAACTGGAATGCTGTATAAATGTAAAAAAAGAATAAGAGAACATTTATAGAATAATATGAAATAATCTTTAAGAAATATGGTTAAGTGAGAAAAGCAAAGTGCATAGCAGTGTACACGGTATGTGACATCCATATATACAAAGAGAAAGAAGAATATAAAAGGGTATCCAAAGAGTATCTGTGGATGGACACAAAGAAACTAACAACACTGCCTATGAGGAGGGGACCTGGATGGTTAAGGGATGAGGTTTATTGCAGACCTTTCCATACATTTTAGATTCTGGATCATGTATAGGATTTGGTATCTATTCAAAAAGAATAAATGAATACAATACAATACAATACAATACAGTGAATACAAATAAAGGTGGGGGAAAGAAAGAAAGGTAGAAAAATTTGAGGTAACACTCAGAGATAATGTACGTTTTACAAAATTGCTGTGGAGATGAAATGCAATAACATAATAGAGGCATAAAATAAATAATATAAAAAGGAAAATGGAAAGTATATATGGTATAGATTGTTGTATATCTATAGAAAGGTAACCATTTAGTCTTCTTTTCTACAAAGTGCAACTCTAGAGCAAAGGTTGCAAACTTTACTGCTTACAGGGGCTAGACATTAATTCATTCAACAGATAGGCATCAAGTGCCAGCCATGCCCCAGACAATGGAGATACAGCATTGAACAAACACAGGAAAAAAAATCTCTGCCCTCACTGAGCTTTTGATCTAGAGGGAGATGACACAGGCAATTAAACAAATAAATGTCACATGGAATAAGCAGCAGCAAAGTGCACTGGGAGTACAGTATTTAAATAGTGAGGTCAGGACAGACAATGATAGCAGTTGAGAGCTGCTGGCCTAACTGTCTCTTTCATACAGGAGGCAGCAGATACTCTGCTCCAGGACGGAATTGTCACATGGGGCTGTGGAAAGAGTTTTGCCAGATCTTCAGATTTTCCAAGGAGATAAGAAATTCAGATTTGTACTGGAAATCTCCTGGTTTTTCAATCCTGACTCAATTTTTAAAGAAAACCACTACGGTGGCCAAATAAAACACATCTTGCTAGCCAAGGCTGGCCAGGTAGATGATCAGTTCAGATCTCTAAAGAAATGAGATTGGGTTTGAAAACAAACACAGCAGAACTTGTAAGCCCTGTCATCTTATGAAGCTATGCATGTTTTCCATGTCTTCAAACGTTTCTGGAACTCCTCACCGAGAGAGAACCAGTTGTCCCTCAGAACCATTTTTTTTTTTTCTTACCACACAAGGAAAGCTGTTATCATTTTGAACTGAAATCTTGTTTGGACCCTGAGTCTATTCACTAGATTTGATTATTCATAACATTTGGGTTTTTCTAAAAATCAGATTTACCGGCCGGGCGTGGTGGCTCACGCCTGTAATCCCAGCACTTTGGGAGGCCGAGACAGGTGGATCACGAGGTCAGGAGATCGAGACCATCCTGGCTAACACAGTGAAACCCTGTCTCTACTAAAAAAAAAAAAAAAAAAAAAAAAAAAAAAAAAAAAAAAAAAAAAATTAGCTGGGCATGGTGGCGGATGTCTGTAGTCCCAGCTACTCAGGAGGGTGAGGCAGGAGAATGGTGTGAACCCGGGAGGCAAAGCTTGCAGTGAGCCCAGATTGTGGCACTCCAGGCTGGGCAACAGAGGGAGACTCCATCTTAAAAAAAAAAAAAGAAAAGAAAACCAAATTTACCTTCCAAAGGCTCAGGATGTGTTTAATAATACATATACTATTGGCCTTAAAGGTAGTCCCAAAAGAGTGGCTGCAAATATTTAGAGTAAGAACAGTGTCACTAAAATAAATATGCATCTTCCAAGGTAATCATTGAAGAAGATTGCACTTAAATGTGTAGGAGTCAACACAAGTCTCCCAGCCTTACAGGCATTTAATAAAACACTCAATACTTTGGATTCTGTTGATTGCTATCAGGGTTTTTCCTCTTCTTCTTCTGCTTCTAAAGGGCTCAGTTCTTTGGACCTGATTGAGTGCTATAAGGCAGTTCATTCTAGGGATCCTTGGAATGCATATACCCAAACAAAGGCCTTGTGCCAAACATAACCAGCACGTACACCATTTTTATTTTCCTATGACCAATGACTTAGTTTCTGTGGTCAGTTAGTGACATTAGCCATGTAGAATCACATTGAGGAAGAATGCAAAGCTTTCTATGAGCCCCTGACAGCTTCAGTTTTCCTCTCTAATAACATGTATGAATCAGAAGCCACTAGTTTGCATTTCAGAAATATTTGTGGTAGTTAGGAAACATACTGCACTTATTGTATTCCCATAGAAATAGAGTGTCCTTGGGAAGAATGGAAAAATGGCACTGAGACATCCACCAAGATATAGGCTTTATCAATTCCATTGTTGTCTGATGCTTATGCCTCCTTTGCTCTTGGTTACTGGAAAGTCTGTAAACATTCATCCCATCGGTCCAGTATTTTTGTTAAAGCACAGATCTTAGATCAAATATGCCATAACTGTTTGTCTATCCATGTATCTACTCTTCCCTCCCTCTATGCATCCTTTTGTGAAATATTCTTTGAGTGCCTTTTACTGATTAACCCCTGTGCTAAGTGCTAGGCATGCAGTGTAAAACAAAAATAACATGTATATCACATATATAATACAATATATACATATACAATACAACACATATACAATAATAATATCTGCCTTTAGGGAGCTTGCTGTCTTTTGGAGAGAATATATATTAATGAAGTTAATTATGCAAGCCAATGTAAAATTAAAGCTATGTGTCATTTTCCTTTATGGCCAAAATGTGGGCTCTCACTTAGATAAGGCTTTCTAGACAAAGTGATGAGTGGGATGAGACTCCCAGAAGTGCCAACTAGAATGAAGTCAAAGGATGAGTAGGAGTTGCCCAGGTGGAAGGAGAGGGAAGGGCAATCCCATGTGTGGGTTTCATGGAGAAGGGAGGGACCCGTACTTATGTACAGGGTGATAGATGGCTGGTGTAGGCAGAAGGGTGAGGACAGGGAGCTGGAGAGAGATGAGTCTGGAGAGACAGACAGGAGACTGGCCGGGCAGGGCCTTTTAGGCCATAGACAAGATTTTATATTTATCCTAAGTCAGAAAAGGTTGAAGGGTCTTAAGTGAAGGAAGTAGCAATGATTAGATTTACATTTCAAAAACCACTGTATCCACTGTGTTGAGGGGGTGAGGGGAAGCCTTCATTGTCATATAGATAAATGGTAACTGAAGGTGTCAACATGGATGCTATTGCTTTAGAACTGCAGCTAGAGCAAGAAGAGGAGCACCCACTATTTAAAGAACTCTAATATTGAAAAGTCAGGAAGAAACAGCGAGCTAGTGAGAGAGTCTGAGGATCAAGTGAGCTGGCAAGAGTCTGTGAGGTACAAAGAAATCCCAGAGAGTTTTGTGTCATGGAACTAAGGGAAGAGACAAGAAGGACAGAGTAATCAGTGGTACTGAATACTGCTGAGAGGTCAAGGGAGATGAGGTCTAGAAAATGGTCACTGGATTTAGCAATATGAGGGTCATCAGAGGCCTTAATGAGTATTACTTGGTTAGTGGAAGAGGGCCTGAAGCCAGACAGATGGAGTTGAAGAGTAAATGGGAGATAAGGACACAGAAATGGTGCTCATTTATTCTCCTCTTCCCAGCCAAAGACTGGGAAGCCAAACTTTCAGAAGTTTGGCTGGAAAGAGGAGAATAAATAATTGTGAGTTCGTTGCAGGGAATAAATGGTGATATGCTTTAAAAAAATTTAATGGAAGATGTGGACATGTTTAGAAGGAAGATATATTAATAATAATAATGATAGTAATTTGTTTTTGAGAGAGGGAAAAAGATAACTCATACTGAAAGATCCTGGGAGGGAGTCCCATCTGGAAGGAGAGAGATACGTGTCTCAAGTATGTACAAGAAGGGTGGACACCTCTACTGTACTTGGGAGGAAGGGAGGATGGACACAGATGTAGGTAGGCTCATGTGTCTGGTGTCAGGACAATTAGAGTTACAGAGAGATAGGTTTCATTTTCTCTGAAGGAGAAGGTGAGGTTATTTGATGAGAGCAAGGGAGGACAAAGAGATGTTAGAGGGTTATGGAAGATGAAGTCTGAAACAGCATTACAGAAAGTGGAAGAGTATGTTGAACAGAGATATTTAGTAGGATTCAGGGAAATGTTGATGGCCCATTTGAAGGTGGCCATCTGAATTCATAGTAGCACAAATTAGCTCTGTTCTGTGACCTTTTTTGTTTTTGCAGGACTGGCAAAAGCCCTTTGCAGAAAGATAGGAGTTCTGGGTTCTCGGTTGTGATAGCTGTAACTTGTCATGTGACCTTAAGCACATCCTTCTCTGGTTCTCAGTTTCTTCAATTTTCCAAATGGTGAGATCAGTTTAGATGATACCTGAAGTCTTGTTCCAGCTCTAAACATTCACGATGTCCTCAATATTCATGGAGAGGCCCTTTAAGCTTATTAAGGTTTTTCTATTGATGCCTTTAGTTTTTATTTTAAAATGAAATAAATTTTTTGATATATTTTTTGGTATATCAAAAGGTATTTTTTGATACCTTTTCATTAAATAATTCTACTCTGGGAACCAACAAGTCCAGATGTTTATGATATTATCCAAGTAGCAAAACAAAACAAAAGCAAAACTCTGAGAAGAAACTAAATATCTTAATTTTAGGTTATAGAATATGAAATAGATCTTTTTAAGATCTATAGGAAAATACATGCTTCATAGTAAAAAAAGAAATTTAGATAATTTATATGGCTATTCTCTATAGACCTATAATATCTGATGTCCACATCTAAATCAAGTGTTGGCAAATTTTATCTGAACAGAGCTAGATAATAAATATTTTAGGATTTTTGGGCCAAATAGTATTTTTTGCAATTACTCAACCATGCCATGCAGTGTGAAAGCAGCCACAGACAATGTTAAGTGAATGAGCACAGCCCAATAAAACTTTATTTACAAAAACAGGCAGTGGGCACTTTCCACAGTTTATTCCACAGTGAATTATATAATGCATTCAACACACAAACAAAACAAGTGAATGCACACTGTTAGACACAAGTGGGACAGCCTCCTGCAGTCACTGTGAGGCCTTGAGCATTCTAGCAGAGGCTAATATTCCACAGCCATTCATTCAGCTTCAGCTTGGAGAACTCTGCAATTAGAAGCTCAGTTATGTGGCTTGGCACCTCACACTTGGAGCAACACTTCCAAAATAGTGAGTGCATGAACAATAAATGGACTGCATGGAGAATCAGGGTCTGTAGTTTTCTGAGATCAAATTGGTGACATAAATCAAAACACTCTCTTTGTATGAATTTATTCACCGCAGGGCTGGAGATGAGTGACTTTGAACAGAGAAGAGAGGGAGGAGAATGAGGTGAAAGGAAGCATGCCAAGAGGCAGGATTAGGCACAGAGGCTGGGGCCTCGGACTCATTTGGGGGAAGATGGAAAAGTTAAAAAGGGCACCCAGCAATGCAAGCGACGCCTAAGAACCAACAGGGTGGGAGGCCCTGTCCGTCTGAGGCACAGAGACAGGAAAAGGCCGAAGGGTCTGCTGCTTGATTCACTCCCCTGGGCAGGCCTGATTTCAAAACCAAAATAAACTTAGGAGAGCCAGAGGGGAGGAAGGAAAGAAACAAACAAACAAGTGGAGCTTCAGCTTATGTTTTCTCCCAACCCACAGTCCAGTCCTGCGCCAAGCTGCCTGCAACTCCAGTTCTCATGTGGCATTGAACCTTCCCCTGAAGGACTGCTGCTCTGTACTTAGTACCATACGGGTAATCATCTCACCTATGATAGCTTTGTTCCCCAGCTAGACTAAAAGCATGCAGGTGGGGCCATCTCATCTGCTTTTGTGTTGAGTACAGATGTATACATTACTGCATACGCTGTAGTGCAGGCTCAGTGTGGATCTGTGCGGGCACATCATTACTTTGAATACCAACAGCTTTTACTCTAGCATGAGTCCTGTGATCAGTAACTTACAGCTCTACCTGGGCAGCAGGTATGATTATTATTTCCTTTTTCAACAGGAAGTCATTGATACATACAGAGGCCAAAGAACTAGAACGAGGTTACCAGCAAGTAGCAAAACCAGAATTCAAACCAGGTCACTCTGACTGGAGGCCCCAGCTCTTAACCTCTCAGAAGTACACTGCCTTTTCTAGAGTGTAGAGTTGGAAGGAACTCCAGAGATCGCTTGATTCAGTCCTTATTTTTAGATGTGGAAATGGAAAATTAAATGGCTTGCCCAAGGTCACAGAGCCACTAGCTGAGAAGCTAACTTGGCCTCCTGATGCTTCCTTCGTGCCCCCACTGCAGACCCACGCCTGCTCCATGAGCATCCAATAACTCTTCCATAAAGATTTATCAAAAATTCGAGGATGGAGCATCAGTCTCGACAGAATTTATTTTCAGGTGCTGCAAGGCAAGACTCTACATGGGCTTGGGATTGTTCCTACACAAAGACAAGCTGGCCAAGTTGAATGATTCAGGAGTTGCTTTAAATCACCAGATACATGAAGCAAGTAGGTGGCGGCATTTTTCTAAACAGGGACAAGTTACACATTTCAACTACGGCATGGAAAAGAGTGTCCTTCCCTAAGCTTAGAGCAAAAACGTTCATGCAAAAGTGAAACCATGGACACTATTAGTGCTCAGACACAAAGCTGACAGAAGCAGAAATGAACATGTTCTTAACAGTGTATGTGTATGCTGCTTTGACGAGAGAGGAACACACCGCCTTAAGACTCCTGGGAGCATACGTTTTGAAGGGTCAGAAAGAATTCAGCTTTGAAAAGTAGAATTAACAGCCACTTTGGTCCAAGTTTTTCACAACAAAGCACTACAAAGTGGGAATTAGCTCTGCTTACCTTTTTTTTTTTTTTTTTTTTTTTAAGGAAAAAAGCTTAACTCCTAAAAGTTATTTCCCATATCAGAGACTAGAAGTTTGTTTGTTTGTTTTTAATATATTGGAAAGCCCTCAGCATTTAAAGGAAGTTCTATTTGTTTAAAGATAGGTACAAAGAAATTCAGTTATAGATTTAAGTGATTTGGTTTATTTCCATTAACAAGTCCTTGTTTTCATCTATACAAATAGATTAATTAAATGTGTGTGTGTGTATGTAAGTTTTAAAAAGCAGCTTTATTGAGATATGATTCCCATATCATACAATTTACCCACAGAAAGTATACAGTTTAATGGTTCATGGTACATTCACAGAGTTGTGTGGTCATCACCATGGTCAATTTTAGAACAGTCTCATCATCTTAAAAAGAAACCCCATACCTTTCAGCTGTCACTCCCTTATCACCTCAACCCTAAGCAACCACTAATCTACTTTCTGTTTCTATAGATTTGCCTATTTCATGTAAATGGAATTATATAATATTGTGGTCTTTTGTGTCTGACAAGCTCTTATCTATATAATAATTTAGGAAAATACAGTTGTCAGGAGAGAAAATGAAGAAATGTTTTTTTCTGGGCACTCGGTGAGTCACACTTTATCTCTAGCTGACCAGTTTGTGTCTTACTAGCCAGGCAGCCCTTGCCGTATCCAGCACTCTGGACTCATGAGCTGTGTGGCAGCCCCAAGACTGTAGACATGACTCTCACCAGGAGGCAAGTAGGCTGGGGTTGCAGGGTGGATTTTGGACTGCAAGAATAAAAGGTAAGGTGGTCTTCAGGAAATGGTACAATTTCCATGCTGGAAAGCAATGTTTGCCTGTAAAGCTCCTGTTTATGAGACAGTAGTCATTTTATTCACTTATTCTTTCTCTGGCTTTCTCTTTATCATCATGTCAATTCCAGCTGCTCATCACTGGAGAAAAAGACACAATCATACTGATGGGCTCTGGGTAGACACATGGCCATGAACTCAGGTGCGCACTAAATGCTCTCAGGCACTCACAGTTCTTCCCCAGGTCACTGACTCTTCCATTCTCCTAGACAACTGTATCAAACTTCTCCTGTCTCCCCAGATCTCCAACAACTTCCCTCCAGTCTTCACTCTCAGCTATGTCCTGTCTTCCTATTTAACTGAGAACACAGAAGCAACTGGAAGATAATTCCCTACAATTCTTAGGACCACATCTACTCTCGGACCAGGATCTATACCTACGTATTCTATTACCACAGATCAGACTTTACATCAAAATCACCCAGACGGTTTGTTAAAACAGGTTGCTGGCCCCAACCCCAGAGTTTCTGAATCAGTAGGCCTGGGAAGGGCCTGAAAATTAGCATTTCTAATAATTCCCAAGTGATGCCGATGCTGCTGGTCTGGGCCCACACCTGGTCCTATCTAAGCTCAATCTCTCTTCTTGGGAATGCGACCCCAAGCCCTCCCACTTAGAGACATGTTGCAGAAATTCTCTCCTTTACCTCTTGCCTCATTACTTGGCCCTTCTTTACTTGGCCATCCTGTCAACTAGCAAACATGTTATTTCCTGAATCTTCAAAAATACATCTCTCGGCCAGGCGCAGTGGCTCACGCCTGTAATCTCAGTACTTTGGGAGGCCGAGGCGGGCAGATCACGAGGGCAAGAGATCGAGACCATTCTGGCCAACATGGTGAAACCCCGTCTACTAAAAATACAAAAATTAGCTGGGCGTGGTGGCACGCACCTGTAATCCCAGCTACTCAAGAGGCTGAGGCAGGAGAATCACTTGAACCCAGGAGATGGAGGTTGCAGTGAGCGGAGATCGTGCCACTGCACTCCAGCCTGACAACAGAGCGCGATTCTGTCTCAAAAAAAAAAAAAAAAAAAAACCAAAAAAAACTCTCTAGATCCCACTATACTCTTCAGCTTCCACTCCATTTCCCTGCTCCCCTTTAGAGCAAAGGAGTTGTCCTTACTCCCTGATTCCAATTTCTTTCCTGCCTTTTTCTCTGAAAGTTTCTCCAATCAGACTTAGTTCTCTCCCCACTCTTCAAAACTGTCTGAGTTAAGCCAACCCATGAGGCTCATATTGCCAAATCCTATGCAATTCTTGGAACTCATTTTATTAGACCTATCAGCAACACTTGATACAGCTAGCTTCTCACTACCTCTTCAAATCTTCCTCCATTTACCCTCCAGGATGAGACACTTTGCTGATTTTTCTCACTGAACAATCCTTTTCAGACTTTTCTGGTTCTTTTCCATCCAGCCTTTACAAGCTACAAGACTTACGCCTGGGATACCTTTTATTCTTCAGTTCTCTATCTGTACTTACTCCCTTGGTGATCTCATTCTGTCTCAATGGCTTTAAATATTATTCATAAGGTTACATTTCCCAAATATGTGTCTCTATAGACCCCAGACCTCTCCTTGAACTCTAGACTTGTATATCTAATTGTCTACTTTAATAAACTTGATATGTCCAAACTAGATTACAGAGCTTCCCCAGGCCTCCCTTAAAAGTCAAACAAACAAACTTGTTCCATCCTCTGTCTTCCTTAATCACTATAAATGATGATTCTAAATAATTCAGAATCAAAACATTCTTTCTACCTCCATCATTACTGTTATCATCTCTCACCTGGATTTTTATAATAACCTGGTCTTTCTGCTTTCATCTTTGTCCCCCAACATTTTATTCTCAACATAGCAGCCAGAGGTAGTCTTTTTAAAACATAAATTATGTCCCATGACTCCACAGGGCAAATTATATGTCAGTTCATTTGATCCCTGGGTGCCAAACCCTGCAATGGTTTTCCTATCACACTTGGGGTAAAAACCAAGTTCCCCACTCCCTCTGATTGTGTCTTCAGCTGTTGTTCCTCACTCACTCCATTCCAGTCTTGCTGAACTCCTTCTGTTCCTCAAACATATCAAGGGTTGCTCTCACCTCAGGACTTTTGAATGTGAGCTCTCTGCAAAGCTTCTCTCCCAGATACTGTCAGAGATCTTATACCAACACCTTCTTTAAGTCTTTGCCCAAATGTTACCTTTCAATAAGATTTTGCCTAATCACCCATTTAAATTACACCTCTCTTCCTAATCACTTTTCCACTTTCTCTCCAGAGAGCTTTTCACCTTTGAATATACTTCTAATATACTGCCTATTTTCCCCTACCCCCTACTAGACGGTAAACACCATGAGGAAGGGATTTTTTTATTTTTTTTTCTATTTTGTTAATTACTCTATCTCTAGAAACTACAATGGTGCTGGGCACACAGCAGATACTCAATACATTTATGTGTAGAATTTGATTCTTGCAAATATTCTTTCATCCAGTTTAGGTGGCTGGCGAAAACTGAACATGTCTTCTAGAGTATCTGGGCCCAGCATTGAAAGACAATAAATATTAGTGTGACATACAGGGGTAAACCATTCCATTTTTGGCTTTAAACATAATAGAAGGGGACATTATTCTTGAGCTTTTTTATGCCTTTCAGTCATTTATGTGCAACATTAAAATATTTTGCTACTTTTGGCATTCTTCCAATCCCACCTTGCCTGCTGGACTGCTTCCAATTTTCTTCTCTCTCCTTTCCTGTTCTTTTTCACCCAACAGCTGCCATGTACCGAATGTGTATGCCAGACTCTTTATACACATTATCTTATTTAATCCTTACAAAACCACTGTGAATTAGGGAGCATTATCTCTGTTTACCAAATGAGGAGACAGTTGCACAGAGAGGTAAAGTGGCTTGCTCAAGATCACATAGTTAACAAGAAGTTGAAGCAGAATGTGTCAGATCCTAAAGTCCACGCTTTTAAAATTATATTATGATGTCACCAATATGCATAATATATCTTATATGTCCAGTTTCCTAGTATTTAAATTTTGGCTTTTCACCCTCAATTATTTTTGGAGATTATACTGGAAATGACTTAATGACACACTAGATAGTAAACTTCATGTGGATTGGGGTTACAGGCCTTTTTTTTTTTTTGCTGGCATTCCTTCCATACCAGCACCATGGCCTAGACAGAGTGGGCACTCAATAAACATTTATAGAATAGATACTTGCTGACTTAAATATAGACATAGATAATTATACTAGTACATAGCTTATTTTTAGAACATATCTTTCATTCATAAATTAAAGATGACCTCTGGAAGCTTTAAAGAAGTAACTTTGTTGGAAAGCATGGGTTTTAAAAGTATTAATGGACAGTTGATACTACATGTAATAAGTACACAAGTCCTATGTCATCATCCAAAGTGATGTCTCAGTTCTTAGAGTTTTGGAGGCACTGAACTGAGGAAAGATGAAAAAATGATGTTTTTGCTCCTGCTTGGCATTGGCAGAACATATTTATGTCTTACTGACATTAATGTCTATTGGCCAAATTACATGTCAGTTCATTTAATCCCTGGGCACCAAACCCTGCAATGCTTTCCTGTCACACTCAGGGTAAAAACCAAGTTCCCCATTCCCCCTGATTGCATCTCTGGCTGTTTTTCCTCACTCACTCCATTCTAGTCTCACAGACCTCCTTCTTTTCCTCAAATATATCACTGTTTCTTCTGCCTCAGGACCTTTGAACATGAGCTCTCTGCAAAGCTTCATTTTACGTTTGAAGAAACTAGGGCCTTGAAAAGACAAATTTCTAAATGACACACAATAATTAGGGTCAGAGTTGAGTAGAGAACCCAGGCCCCCTTGGTGCTTAAAAAAATAACTGTGTTTATTGTACCTCTTAAATTTTTTGTTTGTTTGTTTGTTTTTCCTGAAAAGTTGCAGACAAAGTTTGGACATAGGGAATCAGCTTTACCCTGACACTTGGAAAAGCTTTCTTTATATGTCTTAAATTATCTCCTTGTTTTCCCAGCTGACAATGCGTAAACTAAATGAGATAATATATGAAAAATCACTTAGACTGTCCTAAGTGATTTTTCATATATTATCTCATTTAGTTTACGACAGTGGTTGCTACTGACAAAACATTCATTAAACAGAACTATCGTTATTACCAAGGTCATTTCACATTTTAAGTTATTCTTGTTCCAGGTAGATTAAAAACTTCAATTAATCAAAAAAAGAATAAACCTGAAAATCAATGTTTCAAATATTTGACACTTAGAGAACCCCCTAAAACAGCAATCTTGTTGCAAAAAAAAAAAAACTGGACTTTGTGCTTTTAGTAGCAATATCCTAAAAGTCCACAAGAGGGCAGTCCTCCTTACAGCAGAGGGCCCCAGAACCGTAGGTGGGTGGAAGGGAATTGTGGGTGATGAGGTAAGCTAATAATACCATCAATGGGAGCCATTATTAAGATACTTTTGAGTGATAACGCATACTATGAAGAAAATAAAGCAGAGTAATTAGACAGAGAATGCCTCGAGGGGAAAGTTAATGGGAACATTAACTGAGTGGAGAACTGACCTTTGGATAAAAAAGGGTTAGCCATCAGTAGACTGGGGGGAAGAGTATTACACTGGAAAAAATAGGAGGGACCAAATTGGACATGGTCTTGGTCTACTTGGGGGACAGAAAGAAGGGCAGTGAAAGAAAGTGAAGAAAGAGGTGAGGAGGGAACATTAGATCATGCAAGTAATGAGCAGCTCCCAGGCCTTTCTGATCCTGGAGTTTGTTCACTGAATCACTATGCTACTTTGAACTCTGAAGAAAAAGCCAAAGGGCACTGATCAAGACATTAAAAGTGGTATTTTTTGGAAATAATGAAAATAATTTAGGAAATGTCTCAGTGCTTCTCAGTAAAGAATTGATCAGAAATCACATGATTTTAGACCTTGAAATTATGAGGAAAAATTAGTGAGGGACATATATTTAAATTTATTCAAAATTTTATGTTCTAAGTCTAATCAGGTGCAGGATTTCTCTTTATCTACTTATATGGTACTGTATAATAATCAAGGTTTATAATAATGTCCATTAAATTATTTTGCTAAGGCAAAGAATACTTATCTTAGAAATGTCTTCATTAAAAAGTATTACTAACATATTTTAAAGGAAATACATCCTAAGATTTATATAGAAGGATGTTCATCCCAGCATTAATGTTAACAAAAATTATAAATAGCATAAATGTCCAATCGTAGATTATTTGAGTGTATTAATTTGCTTCAAAATTATTAAAATATCATTTCAAGGAATATGTAAGGCTACGTTACATACTCATAGGGTACTGTTAGAGGAAAGACAAGCAACAAAATAAAAATGATATATGAAGTTTGAACCCAATTTTTAAGAACTATGCACAGATAAGCAAATTAGTATAAGAATATCAAAAATAATATGAGAATGAATGTCTGTATTTTCTTTATAATACTTTTTTGTATTAAAATTTCTGCAAAGAATGCATCTATTTCACAGTCATAATAATGAAATTAAATATCTGGCATTGAAATTTTAATCTTCCCTAAACTTTCAAAATCTGTTTAGTACTGCATTTTGTATAGAAATTGATAGGGTTTTTGAGATGACAGGGAGAAAAGATAATTTTGTAGAGTGAAGTTAGATCATAGAGTCTCTGCCCTCTTTTAACACTTAATGAATGAACAAAAACATATATTAAAATAAAACAAGTCAAAACAAAGTGTTGCCAGGAGCCACAAAACCAAGAAAGGAGTGTAACGCCATATCCTCATCTTAAAATGTTTTGGCTAAAGAGTAGGAATAGCTGGGCTGTGGCGGTGTGGCTCCAGCTCCTCCACCTCTGAGACAATACTGAGGAAAGAAAGGGAGTGGGCCGAATCCAAAGAATCTCTAATGATGACTTTAGACTTGGGAAGAAATGATCTGAGGGTAGTGAAGAGGCAGGCTTGGAAAAAGTCAAGAAAAACACCTTAGAAAACAGGAGCTCTTGTGTACAGTCATGAAACCTTGGCAGAGGCAGGGCTCTGACCCAAATTAGTGAAAGAGCTGAAGCCCACAGCCACAGGATCCACTGCAGCTGATGGAAGGGACTCGGGTTTAGCACATCGAATGGGATTTAAAGAGGGAGCCAGCCAAGCCCAGGTCCCCAGCAAAGGCAACACACTGATGTTGGAAGCTAATACCCAGTCCACAAAATGTACTCAGTGAGGAAGATGAAGGATTTTGAGATGACATGGAGAAAATGCCAATAAAAATTCACCCATACTCTAGTAGAGTGAAAAAATCTGGACAGACCTTCCATATTAAACATAAATAAGATGAAAAGATATAACATGAACCTATGGATGGAGGAAAGAGAGGAAGACAGAAAAGGAGGACAGGACGAGGAAGGAAGAGAGGGAGGAGAGAGGTGGAGGAGAGAGAGAGAAAAAGAGAGAAGAAATAGAATAGCTCCATCTATAAAGAAAACATAACCCAAGAAAAATAAGAAAGTTTCCCCTGAATACTTAATTAAATAAAATAAGATTAAAAGAAGATTATAAAAGAACAGAATAAGATGAAAAGGGATGAAAAGGGGGGACAGAACGAGAGAAACAAACTGAGAACCAAAATGCCATAGTTACAGAAATAAAACTATTGAAACAGTGAGGAATATAAAGCTAACATAATGACAAGAAGAAAATTTCATAAAATAGTCAGTGAAGAGGAAAATGACAGAATTTGTAGCAGTTACATAAGTGGGTAGAGGTGGAGAACCAAGACAATAGAACATAAGGATTAGTGTTTCTAGAGATGAGAAATATAATAGAAAATGTATGTAAAGGTATAATGTTAGAAACTTTTCCTGAAAAAAAAAAAAGACTTGAATCTGCAGATCAAAAAAACTACAGTGTTCCAGGATAAAGAGTGATAAACAATGACTGACCACTGACAAAAATTCTCTGCTAGACCAAAATTTAGTCAGCCTCCTGAAGCCTCTCCTGGGCTCATCTATGCACTTCCTTGTAAAATCCAGTTTTAGCAAAGAACCCTGCTAAGTCAGTTTAACCAAAACCCCTTATCCTTAATATCTGATCACCATTGATATTTGATCAGGTTCATCATCCTCCACCAACCCTCAGGTCATGTCTAACACTCTAGCCTGTCTTCAGAATAATCCCGGTAGGTTGGTTTAGCCAGAATCTCCTGTACACTTGATGTTGCCTCTTAGTAATTTTCATCCACTGACCACACTCTGCCCCTTGACTATAAATTCCCACTTGCCCACGCTGCTTTTGGGGTTGAGCCCAATCTCTCTCCCTGACTGCAACACCCCATGCTGTGGTCCCGGTACCCATCCCAATGGTCCTGAAGAAAGCCTTCCTTATCATGAATTAACAAACATCATTGAGTAACATTTCTTCAACACCATTAGCCCTATCCTAGATAAATTATGAATTTCAGGGTCAAGAAAATAATTCTTTAGTCAATTAGGCACACAAAGAAAGTTCTCTATAAAGGCAATACTTTTGTTCAGCCTATGATGTTTTCATGACATTCAACCCCAAAGACAATGAGACAAATATCTACAAAATTCTGAAATAAAGTGAATGGACACAGCCAACATCATCGAGATTATAAAAGACATGCATTCTCAAAAATGGAGGAACTTAGGAAATTAAGGCACCCCTCAGTGATTCTTGAAAAAACAGCCAAACAAACAAAAAAACTGGAGAGTGAAATCCAGTAGTGAGCATCACCTATTTACCTATAGAATATGACTAAACAATTGGTGAAATTAGAATGCAAATGTTGTAAACCCTGACAAATAAAAATAATGCAATATAACAAAAGCTGGAAGATAGTGCAGCGAGGTGGGAAGAAATGAGATCCTTTAAAAAATTGCTGTAGTTAATTAATATTGTTTCAAGTTGAAACAGTAGATTAAAAAAGACCTCATTTAGAAAAATCTTTTAATTTTATGGGGATCTTTTGAAACTTAACATCCCTTGGGTGAAGAACATTTAACTGAAATTCAGCAATTTCTTCAATTTCCTTTTAGTTTTTCTCCTGACAAATTCAAGTAAAATTAAACACATTTTAAAATGGCATTTATAATGTGATCCTATATTTATAAAACTATTTCTATTTACCCATCCTTCCTTTCTCCTTGTTTTCTCCTATTTTATACCTATGAATGGATAAATAATCTAGAAAGAATGTTCTTCAAATGTTTGTGCCTGTTATCTCTGGGTGTTAAAGCTTTGAGTTATTTTCTGCTTTATTTCTTACATTTTATGTTATATTTAAATTTTAACAGGAAGTGCTACATTCTATTATATAAATAATTAAGCAATATACATTATTATATTTTATAAAAGTGACATCTTAAAAATAAAAAGAAAATAGAAAATTTCTTACATACTTTTAGCACTGGCATTATTAATGTAAATTCCCCTTCTGGGTAGGCACCATTAGCCATACAGGCAACATGGCCCATGTCCTCAGGGTATTATATAGTTTGTCACAGTGACCTAGTCCCACAGATGGACATGGAATTATGGCAATATCAACATATTGCTTCATGACCAACATATTGCTTCAGTCATTTTCCCACAATTATAAAATGTTGCCTTCTTTCTAAGAAATGTCAATTTGATTAAAGTCACAGAAACATAATACAAATGGGAGAAGGATTAAGGTTTTAATGATTTACTAATGTTATCTCAGGAAATAAGGGCAGACATTCCCATAGGCTTATTAAAATGGATACACCACACACACACACACACACACACACACACACACACACACACACACGTTATCTTTGCTCTGTTGTCCAGGCTGGAGTGCAGCGACACCATCATAGCTCATCATAGCTCACACGCGCGCGCGCGCGCGCACACACACACACACACACACACACACACACACACACACTTAAGTTATCTTCGCTGTGTTGTCCAGGCTGGAGTGCAATGACACCCATCATATCTCACTATGGCCTCAACCTCCTGGGCTCAAGTGATGCTCCTGCTTCAGCCTCCCAAGTAGCTGGGACTACAGGTGTGTGCCACTACACCTGGATAATTTTTAATTTTTTTTTTTTTTTTTGTAGAGACAGAATCTCACCATGTTGCCTCAGTTGGTCTCAGACTCCTGGACTCAAGCAATCCTCCCACCTCAGCCTCCCAAAGTGCTGGGATTACAGGCATAAGCCACAGTACCCAGCCTTAAGTTATTTCTGATTAAGGGTAATGGCATCAGCTTCTGTGTTCCATCACTATTTTATTCACCTTGACAAGTATTTTGAGCAAGGAGATGCCCACTTTATCAGTAAGAAATTAAGTGTAATTTTTAAATTTTGACATGTACCTTTATAATTTCTGCAAAAATAATTTTGGTCCTTCCTTCTTTGGCTTTTTCTGAATTGTTTTCTCACAAAACTCTTAGCTTTTTTTTTGCACCATCTAATGTATTTGAGCATCAAAAATTAAACTATGCTATTTAAGGTTTTACAAATAGTGTTTACTCAGATTGGGAAATAAACTTTTTTTAATGTGGTCACACTGATCAGAATTTTATATTTTGAAAACATAAAAGCTAAAAGATGGTTCTATGCAAAATAAATTTTAAAAACTGCAACTCTAAGGCAGTATTGCATCTTTCTTTTTAATAATTGGTCTTGCTTCACATCTTTGAAAAGCAAACAGGCCATTAAAGGCATGCCTGATGTGTTAGACACTTAACCAGGTTTACTACTGGACAGGGTGCAATTTTATTAATCTTTAAACACATTTTAATGAGCTATGGGTATAGTTTGTACTACTAAACTACCATGAATTGCTCACTCCCTGACTCACTTTAAAAATGAAAAACATGTGTCAGGTCAGAGATGAGCTGGAAATCCCATTTAATTATCAAAATAACAAGAATGAAAAGAGATCCATGTTGCCATTTAATCAAGTGAGCCTGCAGGCTTAGGTGCTAACATTATGAGCACCTATCTATAATGCCATTACTCAGACTGGCTAGAAATTAGATACGTCCCAGCCCTTCCAGCTGGAGCTTAAGAGAAGCATTGTTGGCATCCATGCAATTCTTGCAAGGGTCTTGAAAAGACAGCTAACGGGGGTCAGTTCATCAGGTCATGGAGATTTAAATCAGACAGTGTCCTGGAAATTTACAGGCCTGGGAGTGGGCAGAGTGAATTCTAGCCTAACTTCTGTTCCCAATCAGCCAGGGGCTCTTGGGAAAATCCTTTTGCCCTCTGGATCTTTTTGTAAAGTGGAGTGGCTTGACTAGTTTATTTCTGAAGCTCTTACCTTCTGTAACATTTCTTGTTAATTAAAAAGAATTGAGTTTTCATCTAATCTCACACAGAAATGTTTAGGATTCTACCTATTTAGTGACCCCTGACAAGGTTCATTACAATGATGCAAGGGTGTGAAAGGCTCCCCCCCTTTCCAAAATACCTTCTCCCTTGGATGCTCTGGTCTAACAAATTTTTCCTTTAGAGATAACATCCAAACCATAGCCCTCCCTAGGCATGTGAGGATAACTTGTCACTATTTTCTCAGACAAAATTTTTTACTGGATATTTTCGTTGAGGATAGAAAGGCAGTAAAAAAGTTCTATATACCAAGAGGATATTTAGTGCTGGAACCAAAGTGTCATTCCTTCTTTTTTTATTCTTACAAAATCAAACAACCATTTGTTTTTAAACCAGAGCATTTTATTCCTGAAACTGTATGCATGCGGCTTATGAAAATACTAAACAATCAGAACTTGCTCTTTTTTCTCTGTTCTATCTCTCAGGATCAGCAGCTCAAAAAAACAGGGGAAAGAGAGTAATGAAGATAAGACTTGGACCTTTCTAGAATGTCCGTTCCTGAGTGTGGCTAAACTTGTAAAGCAAATGGCTGTGGGAACCAATGCTGTGGTGTGAGGTTACTACAGGGCTTTTGCAGGGCAAAGAGAGGGCTTCTCTGATATCCTTTAAAACGAAGCACACTGAACTTGATCAGGGATGAACAGAGTATTTCTATTATTATTTTTTTTCCTGTTAGAGGTTCTCATTAGAAGAAAATACACCCCCCTGGGCCCTCTTTGAATTCCAAGAAGCTCCTATTCTTACCAGAATTAGAATGTAATAACTTTTTAGCTTAAAAGCTTGTCCTGGCTATTCCTCATAGCCTAATTTCTTAATCAAGTATATACTGTATGTCTCAGTATATACTACATGTACTATTACAATAGTATTTTTTTCCTTGAGAAAATTTAATTTAATTTAATAATTAATTTAATAGTCAGAGTACAGGTATGTAAGCTCTAGGGAACTTTGTTTCCCAATAGTAAAGGTAGAAGGGAAAATATTTATCACATGGTAAATGATGTAGAGAAAAGGATACAGGTCCTAAGTTAATATTTGATTATTAGCTATTATGATTATGATGGTCTTGGGTTATTATGTTTAGAAGATAGTGGCTACTCATTAATAATTTAGCTCCATAATCTTTGGATGGATAGGATTGCGGACAATTTAAAATTTTCCTATAGTCTGGGCATAGGGCTTATGCCTATAATTCCAACACTTTGGGATGCCATAGCAGGAGGATCGCTTGAGCCCGGGAGTTCAAGACCAGCCTGGGCAACACAGCGAGATCTCTTCTCTACAAATAATAATTTTAAAAATTAGCCAGATGTGGTGGCCCGCACTTGTGGTCTCAGCTGCTCTCAAGGCTGAGGTGGGAGTATCACTAGAGCCCAGGAGGTTGAGGCAACAGTGAGTAGTGATCGCACCACTGCACTCTAGTCTGGGTGACAGAGTAAGACTCTCTCTCAAAACAACAACAACAACAACAACAACAAACAAAAACAAACAAACAAACAAAAAAACCAACCAAAAACCCTCTCAAAGCCCCCCAGAAAACCAAATAAAATTTCCCTATATACCATGTTTGTTAAGTGCCTGCAGGATTTTGTCTTAGTTCTGAAAAACATTGCCAACAATTTGTAATGCACTCACATGTTCCCCTCACTTAAAGGATACTGATACTACCTTACCCTTATTTGGGGGTACATCTTTTCCCTGGCAAGGAATTTTTGCTCATTGACTCACACTTTTCTCAAAACCATAGCATGTAAGTCAAGACAAGAGGACAGAACTAATTCATTTCTGGTAGGATTAGGTCACAATTACACTAGTTTCTTTTTTGACATCATATTTCACCTAGCTGTAGTCACTTTTGTTGTGACCATATAAATCATTTCAGATCCTTAGCACTAAGCAATTTCCTTTTCAAACTTCAAATATTCATTCGCAGGATTATTTTACTCTTCCTATGGTCTTTCCTCCTATTAAAGTTCATTGACCCTTCACCTATTTTTAGACCCTCTGGATCCAAAATAGCAAAGAAAATTAAATATTCAGTTTTTTAAAAAACAAATATCAATACTAAGTACTTGTTGGTTTTGACTCAGAGTTTCAGATACCTCAGTATATGACATCATCACCTGGAGCTCCCTTACCCAAATTCTGTTTACAATGGAAGAATCCGTGTGAAGCATTCAAATGTACACGTGCTTTTTCTAATAGAAAGAATGTAACAGGTTGCTATGAATTAAACACACACACACACACACCCACACACACCACAACTCCACTCTTTCTATCCAGGACCTGCCAACAATAATTTTAGTATTTGCAGGAGGCTGTTAACTTGCAAATCTTTCATTTATTTAAGAAATACTGAGTAGCTACAATGTGTCAGGCACTCTGGCACACCTTTAAGTGCTTGGGGTAATTCAGTGGACAATATAGATTTCCCTGCTTCATAGAGCTTACATTCTAACAGGTGTCCATTTGGAAATCTCTCCAATAAGATTAAAGTGGAATATGACATTAATTAATATCTCTTATCATCTACCACAGGGTTATGGTTATAACTGAATAATTAGAATAAATTGTGCCTGTCAGAAAGAGTGGTCCCTGCTCCACAACAAAATGAGAAGAAAAAGGGCAATGATATATATGCACATAATTCCTTAGCTTTAATCTCAAAATCCTAAAGCTTGTGAAGACAGAAAGTTTTTTCATAACTTAGTTGGTGGCAGAAGCTGACCTGATTTCATATGAGTGTTTCATAGTCTTTATTGATCCAACTTAGTGTAAATATTTGTATGCTTCACTGCAGAAATATTCATGTGTTTGCAATGGGGCATTCCCCCAGATGTCACTGGGGTAGAGTTCTACCCATTGCGGTAGAGCACAATACTATCTTCCCGAACCCCCCCACCCCTCAAAAACCCAAGCAAACAAAACTGAATTATTTCTGGCAAGGATTTTGGATAAGGAACTATGGGCCTGTATGTATGTATCTTTTTGAATCTACCAACCATATTTTCTCAGAAAGGCCTATCCTTTATTTTTCTTGCTTTGGGGGTAGGAAAATATTATTTCTTTATGTTGTGATAGCATAAATATTGGTTTGTTCTGTTTTCAGATAACTTTATTTAGCAAAATAGAAAGATTGTCAATCCTCTATTTTTTTTCTTAACATTATGCTCACCTGTGAAATGTGAAACTCAGGCGATACTGACCTGATCTAACAAACTTGTTGCCTAGACATTCATATTCTAGACATCTGCCCTATTATTTATTATACTTCTTTACAATGATCCACTTAAAAAACTGAACTATTATATCACTACCATAAATGGAAAGCCTGTATCACTTGCCATGAATAGCATCTGATGGCACTTACACAGGCCTAATAATGGTATATACTATATTGAAATACTGTTTATATGGACTTAAATTATAGAACGTTCAGAACAGAAAACAAAAAATAAGCAATTAGGGTTACCTAGGGAAGCAAAATAGTGCTATTTTGAAGAGCCTATAGATTCATTTGTGTTCTCTTTCTTTGTGGGTTATATGCATGCACAGTATTACCAAATATTAAAAAATTATCTCAAGAAGCCAGGAATGAGTATGTGTCTAAACACTTTTTATAGCCTTTGTAATGAACAATTTTGGTGACTTTCACTCCTTTCCATTTTCCTTTCCTTCTTTCCCTTCTCTCTTTCTTGTCTATTTCTTTTTTTAAATTATCATAATCAAAAGCAATTATACCTTATATATGACATACAAAGCAGCTCAATTTCACAGGTGTCTGCCTAGAAAAAGTGAAGGGAAGATTCATCTTATTTGGTTCACTACCTCAATGTGGCATTGTTGCTTCCCCAATTGGTGGTTGTTGGTTAATTAAATTTTAAGAAACACTGAGCCTAATAGAAAATTTTACTTCCAGCAAAGGTTTCACTTACATATCACATATATTATTTGCCTTTCTATTTATTTTCTATGAGAGAGACAGTTTTTTTTATGTTGTGTTTTATGAGCTTTGTGTACTTATAAAATGTACAATATCTGAACTCTAAATTATGTGTATGTATGAGAATTTGTGCATTCATCTATTTTTCCTTATCTATCCATCTACTCATCGATTGAAGAGAAAAATGAGAAAGAGCAAAGAAGCAAGTAAGCTTAGTTCTTGATTTACACGGCAGCTTGTTGAAACAGGAACTTTGTATCTTGGGTTTTAAGAAAAACATAAATATTTGTTTGGAAAAAATATAGAAAACAATATATAGCAGTCATTTTTAAATTCACACAAGGATAAATAAAATGTCTTATTTTCTTCGTGCAAAAAAGATTTATAGTCTTGAAAAACTAAAAATTAAATAAAAGTTTTAAAAAAATGCTCTGTGCATTTTCCCAAGGCATTAATAACCACTTCTAAGTTTATGCAACATTAAAATTGGCCACACAAATGGGTCCCACCTTCTTCATCTATTAAATGAAGTTGAAACGAATACTCTCTCAGGACACTCTGAACTTTCTTAAAAATTCTCTGCTTTGAGGGGCCAGCCTACAGTTAGGCACCTTTGTGGCTAATGTATCTGCTGTTTGAAAACTTTGACAGTTTTCTTCTAAGGGGAAGAGGTCAGGGGGAAAAAGCTGACATTTGAGGCAATGGTTTGGAGAGCCATGTTTTGCCACCATCATCATGTCACTGTTTTGGGGGGCCATACTTCTGTTTCTTGTTAGATTCCAACATGAGCGAGATGAAAATGTGTATTTTTGTTTGGGTTTTTGAGAGCCATCCAACTCTGGTTTTTGCCGGCTTCTTTTCTGTCCCCTTCTTTGGACTTTATGAACTGACTGACAGGAGACAGTGAAATGCATTGGCTCTCAGTTCTTGGTGTACAGTTGAATCAATTGAGGACCTTAAAACGCTACATGAAAGACTGGGCTATGCCCTTTGAGATTCTGATTCTACAGTTCAGTTTCACCTCCCCATAACCCTCTACATTTCAAATATGCCCCCTCCAGGTAATTCTGATATACTCCAGAGGCTGAATAACTACTGGATTTTCACACACCACAGGCTTTACTCATTTCCCAGAAACTGAAATGTCCAGGGACTGCAAGAGAAGAAAGAAGTGTGGGAAATCTCCCTGCAGTCTTCTACTTTTTTTTTTTTTTAATAACCTCCTTTCCATGCTCTTGTAGACAGCCTTCTGAGTTAAACCATTATCATACTTGGAGACTCAAGGACAAGTTTAAACATCTATTGTGTATGGCTATGCTAAGTAGTATTGTTTTTAGCAGTTGCTAAATCATTTCCCCAAAATATTGCCAGTTAGTGTATAATAATTGGTATTCACATTGTACAATTGGTTGACGTATGAACTTTTAGGTAACTCATCTGAAAGCATTCACCATTAGCTCTTAATAGTCAATTATTCAGTCATTCATTTATTAACTTAATCGTGAATGCATTCACCAAACATTTATTAAGCACTTTTCAATAGTGCAGTGATTATTAGCAGCCTGAGCTCAGGGATCAAAATTCCAGGGTTCAAACCCAGGTTGCATCATTTCTCAACATTTTTACCTTGAAAAGAGTACCTAATTTTACAAATCTACATTTTGTTATCTGCAAAAGGAATAATGATACAGCCTGCCTCATTGGTGAAGGTATGAGGAAATGAATTTGAAAACTCTTAGCCCAGTGCCTAGGACATAGTGACTGTACAGACATGTTAGCCATTATTATTACCACAATGTGCAAGGCAGGGGACTAGGTCCTGAGGATGCAGTGATGGATACGATTACATGACTTAAGACTGTAGAAGGGAGGAGGCAACACCAATGCTATAACAGACGTGGAGTAAGTGTGCAGAAAACACCTGGTGGACCCAGTGTCTGCTGGGAGTGGGTAGGGGAGGGAAAGTCGTATGTGCTCAGGGAAGCCTGAATGATACGATGTTGGAGCAAAGTGTTGAAGAAAGATTCGTAATCAACTACATTTTATAAAACATATTTACTCTTGTCTTTTATATGATTAAATGTATACCATTTATAAAAGTTATATGCAAACTTCAAAATAAAAAACTACTTAAAATATTTAAGTTTCCAGTAATGATTTAGGAGGAGGGGTATAAGTTCTCAATTCCATGGCTTTCAAAGGCAGAAGGGAAAGCAAATATCTTACACTGGTAACAATCGTAGCTGTCAACGTTGCCATAGAAGAGATTCCTGTGTCAGGGTTGGAAGTTGGTCTGGAACAGTGGTTATCAATTTTGCAATTTTGGGAAGGGAGCAATTTTGCACCTTCCATCCCACCCCAGGGTTCATCTGGCAATGTCTGGAGATATTTTTTATTGTCATGACTGAGGAGCGGGTGCCACGGGCATCTAGTGGGTAGAGGCTAGGGATGCTGCTCAACATCCTACAATACACAGGACACTCTCTCACAGCAGAGAATCATCTGGTTCAAAATGTCAGTAATGCCAATCTAAATCAGTAATATTCAAAATACAGTGTACATCAGAATCACTTGGAGAGCTTGTAGAAACCCACGTCTCTGAGTCCCACCCCCAGAATTTTTGATTCAGTGAGTCTGGAGCAAACCCAAGAATTTGCATCTCTAACAAGTTCCCCGGTGATGCTGATGCTGCTGGTTGGGATCCCATTTTGAGAATGACTGGTCTATATAACTATATATTCCCTCTCAAATCTAAAATCTATGATTTATGTGAGTTTTTTCATCTATACAAGATTTTGGGTGAAAAGTTACCAAAGTTATATTTATGTCATTTACCAACAAAGGTTATTCAGTGAGTTCTAGAAATATGTAGAATTAAGCTAGTTATAAAGTTACCCCAAATTTCAGCTGCTGCCTTCTGGATGCCTTCCCTCAAGAGCTTTCCTGGCCAAAACTAATGTTACATATAAATATGAGGTATAAAGAATTACTGGCAGTCTCTAAGATTCAAGCTTGTTACAATAAATCAGCCCTTTGACATTTATCAAATAATTGATGTTCTCAATTAAGGGGTGACAACATTAATAATGCATTCACCTGCCAATAATTATGGTATGATATTTGCCCCATGCATGGACAGTTTCATTATGCTGGGTTTTTCCTCCAAATAGGCAGAAGTCTAGTTCTGTTCTTCTAATCTGATGAAGGGCTTGGGGATTTAAGGTGGGTTAAAGAAATCCATAATAATGTTAGAGAACAGAAGATATGCAGAAAAATTAAAGGGAACTGAATTACAGATTACACAACAGAAAGATTTGTAATGCCTTGCAAGTACATTTGTTCACTCTCTCACTAATTATTATTTATTTGATAAAATATATGAAGTATATAAAAGCCATAATGATGTCTGGCTAATTTCCATTTTCAGGACTGGCAGAAGCAGGCATAAAGTATGCTATAAAGAAACTGGAAAAGAAATGAGAAATAATTTGAACAGTGTTAAAATTGGTAAGACTTGCTGAGAAGTTATGTAATATATTAAAAATCAGGCAGATTTTATTCTATTTGTGTGGTCTGCAAATGCCTGGCCCAAAAGCAGGGGTATAGAATATTTGACCTCTAGAGCTCTGCTCAGCATCTCCAGGAAAAACCTATTTTTGCTTCTGAATAGAAAGCATAATATTATCATTTATACAAAATGATGACAGATTTTTCACTTACAAAGAACCTAGGATTATAGAAAAGAAAGCCATATCACAACCCTCTATTTAAATTGCAACATTTGAGACAACAAGATTAAAAAAATTACTCATCACATGGTATTGAAATTATCTTTCTACTTCTCTGTAACTGTTTCCAGATTTTTAACTTCTTGTGGGCAAGAACCTTGTCTCAAAATGCCTATAATTCCAGTAACCAGCACAGCACCCAACGTGGCAGCTGCTCAGAACTGCTCACTGATGAATATGCACCATTCATTCCTTACATTTATATTACATTTATTTATTTATTATTTATTTTTAGATACAGGGTCTCACTCTGGGTCCAGGCTGGAGTGCAGTGGTGCTATGTTAGCTCACTGCAGCCTTGAACTCCTGGGATCAAGTGATCCTTCCCCCTCAGCCTCCCAAGTAGTTAGGACTACCGGTGCATACTACCACGTCCAGCTAGTTTTTAAATGTTTCATAGAGATGGGGCCTCACTATATTGCCTAGGCTGGTCTTGAACTCCCGGCTTCAAGTAATCCTCTTGTTTTGGCCTCCCAAAGTGCTGGAATTACAGGTATGAACCTCTATGACTGGCTTACATTTTAATTTTCAACTTTCAAAGAACATAATTTGATTGGTACTTCGATTCCATAAATGGAGAACTGGAACTATTTACAATAGAAAACTTGAACATGTTCGCTTGCCTGAGAGAAAAATAAAAACATCTAATATTGAAAAACACCTGGAAAGTTCATGAGAGAGAAGTGAATCAGTGAAAGAAGCTATGGTTTCTGCAGTCATTCTCGGGCACTCTCTCCTCAAGCATTGCAATGAGTTCTTTTTTCTTTTTTTTGAGACGGAGCCTCATTCTGTCGCCCAGGCTGGAGGTGCAGTGGTGCAATCTCAGCTCACTGCAAGCTCCACCTCCCGGGTTCACGCCATTCTCCTGCCTCAGCCTCCCGAGTAGCTGGGACTACAGGCGCCCGCCACCACGGCTGGCTAATTTTTTTGTATTTTTTTTTTTTTTTAGTAGAGACGGGGTTTCACTGTGTTAGCCAGGATGGTCTCTATCTCCTGACCTCGTGATCCACCTGACTCGGCCTCCCAAAGTGCTGGGATTACAGGCGTGAGCCACCGTGCCCGGCCAAATGCAATGAGTTCTTGTTCTACTTTTAGATCACTTCAAAACTCTGTATTTCATCCTCACATTGCCTTGTAAGACAGTAATTATAACACTGAAAAATTCCTTTTTAAACCTTATTACTCTCCCTTACTTATCTCCTGGTAGGCTTCAAGTACGAGGAGTTCTTAATCTGTGATCCATGGACCATGGTCCCCAAAGGTCTAGGGATAAAGCTCTGCTTCAGTAGAATTAGTTTCCTTTGTTACGTATTTTATCTTACACATTTAAAAGAATTATTCTGTGAAGGGGTCCATAGACTTCACCAGATAGTTAATAGGGTCCAGCGCACAAAAATGGTTACAAACACTTGGCTGCCTTAGCTCAAAGATAATTATTTATTATCTTTCCTTCATAAGCTATAGAACCGGGGGAGGAGCCAAGATGGCCAAATAGGAACAGCTCTGGTCTACAGCTCCCAGCCTGAGCGACGCAGAAGATGGGTGATTTCTGCATTTCCATCTGAAATTTGAAGAGAGCAGTGGTTCTCCCAGCACGCAGCTGGAGATCTGAGAATGGGCAGACTGCTTCCTCAAGTGGGTCCCTGACTCCTGACCCCCGAGCAGCCTAACTGGGAGGCACACCCCAGCAGGGACAGACTGACACCTCACATGGCCAGGTACTCCAACAGACCTGCAGCTGAGGGTCCTCTCTGTTAGAAGGAAAACTAACAAACAGAAAGGACATCCACACCAAAAACCCATCTGTACATCACCATCATCAAAGACCAAAAGTAGGTAAAACCACAAAGATGGGGAAAAAACAGAGCAGAAAAACTGGAAACTCTAAAAAGCAGAGCGCCTCTCCTCCTCCAAAGGAATGCAGTTCCTCACCAGCAACAGAACAAAGCTGGACGGAGAATGACTTTGACAAGCTGAGAGAAGAAGGCTTCAGACGATCAAATTACTCCAAGCTATGGGAGGACATTCAAACCAAAGGCAAATAAGTTGAAAACTTTGAAAAAAACTTAGAAGAATGTATAACTAGAATAACCAATACAGAGAAGTGCTTAAAGGAGCTGATGGAGCTGAAAACCAAGGCTCGAGAACTACGTGAAGAATGCAGAAGCCTCAGGAGCCCATGCGATCAACTGGAAGAAAGGGTATCAGTGATGGAAGATGAAATGAATGAAATGAAGCGAGAAGGGAAGTTTAGAGAAAAAGGAATAAAAAGAAATGAACAAAGCCTCCAAGAAATATGGGACTATGTGAAAAGACCAAATCTACGTCTGATTGGTGTACCTGAAAGTGATGGGGAGAATGGAACCAAGTTGGAAAACACTCTGCAGGATATCATCCAGGAGAACTTCCCCAATCTAGCAAGGCAGGCCAACGTTCAGATTCAGGAAATACAGAGAACGCCACAAAGATACTCCTCGAGAAGAGCAACACCAAGACACATAATTGTCAGATTCACCAAAGCTGAAATGAAGGAAAAAATGTTAAGGGCAGCCAGAGACAAAGGTCGGGTTACCCTCAAAGGGAAGCCCATCAGACTAACAGCAGATCTCTCGGCAGAAACTCTACAAGCCAGAAGAGAGTGGGGGCCAATATTCAACATTCTTAAAGAAAAGAATTTTCAACCCAGAATTTCATATCCAGCCAAACTAAGCTTCATAAGTGAAGGAGAAATAAAATACTTTACAGACAAGCAAATGCTGAGAGATTTTGTCACCACCAGGCCTGCCCTAGAAGAGCTCCTGAAGGAAGTGCTAAACATGGAAAGGAACTGGTACCAGCCGCTGCAAAATCATGCCAAAATGTAAAGACCATCGAGACTAGGAGGAAACCGCATCAACTAACGAGCAAAATCACCAGCTAACATCATAATGACAGGATCAAATTCACACATAACAATATTAACTTTAAATGTAAATGGACTAAATGCTCCAATTAAAAGACACAGACTGGCGAAATGGATAAAGAGTCAAGACCCATCAGTGTGCTGTATTCAGGAAACCCATCTCACGTGCAGAGACACACATAGGCTCAAAATAAAAGGATGGAGGAAGATCTACCAAGCAAATGGAAAACAAAAAAAGGCAGGGGTTGCAATCCTAGTCTCTGATAAAACAGACTTTAAACCAACAAAGATCAAAAGAGACAAAGAAGGCCATTATTTAATGGTAAAGGGATCAATTCAACAAGAAGAGCTACCTATCCTAAATATATATGCACCCAATACAGGAGCACCCAGATTCATAAAGCAAGTCCTGAGTGACCTACAAAGAGAGTTAGACTCCCACACATTAATAATGGGAGACTTTAACACCCCACCATCAACATTAGACAGATCAACGAGACAGAAAGTCAACAAGGATACCCAGGAATTGAACTCAGCTTTGCACCAAGCAGACCTAATAGACATCTACAGAACTCTCCACCCCAAATCAACAGAATATACATTTTTTTCAGCACCACACCACACCTATTCCAAAATTGACCACATACTTGGAAGTAAAGCTCTCCTCAGCAAATGTAAAAGAACAGAAATTATAAAAAACTATCTCTCAGACCACAGTGCAGTCAAACTAGAACTCAGGATTAAGAATCTCACTCAAAACCGCTCAACTACATGGAAACTGAAAAACCTGCTCCTGAATGACTACTGGGTACATAACGAAATGAAGGCAGAAATGAAGATGTTCTTTGAAACCAACGAGAACAAAGACACAACATACCAGAATCTCTGGGACGCATTCAAAGCAGTGTGTAGAGGGAAATTTATAGCACTAAATGCCCACAAGAGAAAGCAGGAAAGATCCAAAATTGACACCCTAACATCACAATTAAAAGAACTAGAGAAGCAAGAGCAAACACATTCAAAAGCTAGCAGAAGGCAAGAAATAACTAAAATCAGAGCAGAACTGAAGGAAATAGAGACACAAAAACCCTTCAGAAAGTTAACGAATCCAGGAGCTGGTTTTTTGAAAGGATCAACAAAATTGATAGACCGCTAGCAAGACTAATAAAGAAAAAAAGAGAGAACAATCAAATAGACGCAATAAAAAATGATAAAGAGGATATCACCACCGATCCCACAGAAATACAAACTACCATCAGAGAATACTACAAACACCTCTACGCAAATAAACTAGAAAATCTAGAAGAAATGGATAAATTCCTTGACACATACACCCTCCCAAGACTAAACCAGGAAGAAGTTGAATCTCTGAATAGACCAATAACAGGATCTGAAATTGTGGCAATAATCAATACCTTACCAACGAAAGAGTCCAGGACCAGATGGATTCACAGCCGAATTCTACCAGAGGTACAAGGAGGAACTGGTACCATTCCTTCTGAAACTATTCCAATCAATAGAAAAAGAGGGAATCCTCCCTAACTCATTTTATGAGGCCAGCATCATCCTGATACCAAAGCCGGGCAGAGACACAACCAAAAAAGAGAATTTTAGACCAATATCCTTGATGAACATTGATGCAAAAATCCTCAGTAAAATACTGGCAAACCAAATCCAGCAGCACATCAAAAAGCTTATCCACCATGATCAAGTGGGCTTCATCCCTGGGATGCAAGGCTGGTTCAATATATGCAAATCAATAAACATAATCCAGCATATAAACAGAACCAAAGACAAAAACCACGTGATTATCTCAATAGATGCAGAAAAGGCCTTTGACAAAATTCAACAACACTTCATGCTAAAAACTCTCAATAAATTAGGTATTGATGGGACGTATCTCAAAATAATAAGAGCTATTTATGACAAACCCACAGCCAATATCATACTGAATGGGCAAAAACTGGAAGCATTCCCTTTGAAAACTGGCACAAGACAGGGATGCCCTCTCTCACCACTCCTATTCGACATAGTGTTGGAAGTTCTGGCCAGGGCAATTAGGCAGGAGAAGGAAATAAAGGGTATTCAATTAGGAAAAGAGGAAGTCAAATTGTCCCTGTTTGCAGATGACATGATTGTATATCTAGAAAACCCCATTGTCTCAGCCCAAAATCTCCTTAAGCTGATAAGCAACTTCAGCAAAGTCTCAGGATACAAAATCAATGTACAAAAATCACAAGCATTCTTATACACCAGTAACAGACAGAGAGCCAAATCATGAGTGAACTCCCATTCACAATTGCTACAAAGAGAATAAAATACCTAGGAATCCAACTTACAAGGGATGTGAAGGACCTCTTCAAGGAGAACTACAAACCACTGCTCAAGGAAATAAAAGAGGATACAAACAAATGGAAGAACATTCCATGCTCATGGGTAGGAAGAATCAATATCATGAAAATGGCCATACTGCCCAAGGTAATTTACAGATTCAATGCCATCCCCACCAAGCTACCAATGACTTTCTTCACAGAATTGGAAAAAACTACTTTAAAGTTCATATGGAACCAAAAAAGAGCCCGCATCGCCAAGTCAATCCTGAGCCAAAAGAACAAAGCTGGAGGCATCACACTACCTGACTTCAAACTATACTACAAGGCTACAGTAACCAAAACAGCATGGTACTGGTACCAAAACAGAGATATAGATCAACGGAACAGAACAGAGCCCTCAGAAATAACGCCACATATCTACAACTATCTGATCTTTGACAAACCTGAGAAAAACAAGCAATGGGGAAAGGATTCCCTATTTAATCAATGGTGCTGGGAAAACTGGCTAGCCATATGTAGAAAGCTGAAACTGGATCCCTTCCTTACACCTTATACAAAAATCAATTCAAGATGGATTAAAGATTTAAACGTTAGACCTAAAACCATAAAAACCCTAGAAGAAAACCTAGGCATTGCCATTCAGGACATAGGCATGGGGAAAGACTTCATGTCTAAAACACCAAAAGCAATGTCAACAAAAGCCAAAATTGACAAATGGGATCTAATTAAACTAAAGAGCTTCTGCACAGCAAAAGAAACTACCATCAGAGTGAACAGGCAACCTACAGAATGGGAGAAAATTTTTGCAACCTACTCATCTGACAAAGGGCTAATATCCAGAATCTACAATGAACTCAAACAGATTTACAAGAAAAAAACAAACAACCCCATCAAAAAGTGGGCAGAGGACATGAACAGACACTTCTCAAAAGAAGACATTTATGCAGCCAAAAAACACATGAAAAAATGCTCACCATCACTGGCCATCAGAGAAATGCAAATTAAAACCACAAAGAGATACCATTTCACACCAGTTAGAATGGCAATCATTAAAAAGTCAGGAAACAACAGGTGCTGGAGAGGATGTGGAGAAATAGGAACACTTTTACACTGTTAGTGGGACTGTAAACTAGTTCAACCATTGTGGAAGTCAGTGTGGTGATTCCTCAGGGATCTAGAACTAGACATACCATTTGACCCAGCCATCCCATTACTGGGTATATACCCAAAGGACTATAAATCATGCTGCTATAAAGACACATGCACACATATGTTTATTGCGGCATTATTCACAATAGCAAAGACTTGGAACCAACCCAAATGTCCAACAATGATAGACTGGATTAAGAAAATGTGGCACATATACACCATGGAATACTATGCAGCCTTAAAAAAGGATGAGTTCATGTCCTTTGTAGGGACATGGATGAAATTGGAAACCATAATTCTCAGTAAACTATCACAAGAACAAAAAACCAAACACCGCATATTCTCACTCATAGGTGGGAATTGAACTATGAGAACACATGGACACAGGAAGGGGAACATCACACTCTGGGGACTGTTGTGGGGTGGGGGGAGGGGGGAGGGATAGCATTGGGAGATATACCTAATGCTAGAGGACGAGTTAGTGGGTGCAGCACACCAGCATGGCACATGTATACATATGTAACTAACCTGCACATTGTGCACATGTACCCTAAAACTTAAAGTATAATTAAAAAAAAAAGCCATAGAACCAATTTCTGATGCCATATTAATCTTATTTTCTCCCAAGAATACTGGCCATTTAACCCTAACTACCTGGTAACTTCCTATGTCTCAAATTTAACTAAAATGCCCAAGAAAACAGTGCTTCTGCTATCATATAAACAATTGCTAAATTATACCTATTCTTAACCTAGAGTAAAAGTGATTTTGCATTACATTGATTCCTAAGGTTAGAGTCTTTTTAGTGCTTTATAATGTTCACTTGGAGGGTTATGCCTTGTTATAGGCTAAATGTTTGTGTCTTCCTCTGCCCAAATCCACATGTTGAAGCACTAACCCCCAATGTGATGGTATTTGGAGGTAGGGCCTCTGGGCGGTAGTTGGGTTAGATTAGGTCTGAGGGTGGGACCTTCATGATGGGATTAGTGCCCTTATGTGAAGATGAAGATGGAGAGATTTTGCTCTTCATACATATGCACCAAGGAAAGACCATGTGAAGGCATAAAGAGAAGACAACCATATGCAAACCAGGAAGTGGGCCCTTACCAGACAGTGAATCTGCTGATACCTTGACCTTGGACACCCAAGCCTCAAGAACTGTGAGAAACAAATGTTTGGTGTATAAGCAACCTAATCTATGATATTTTGTTACAGCAGCCTGAACTATGACATACCTCTTCCCATTTAGAAGCCTGTATTGGCAAAACAGCTTCAACAATACCAACATGCTTTCATAAAACAATAACTTTCTAAGGAAAGCATTATATTTTTTGTACTCTTTTTAGCTTGGTTCAAGAAGATATTCATAGTTGGGAGGAAAGAAAGAAATCCCAGACATGCTCCATTTCTTCACCGTTCAACCCTGTCACCATCATTGGCTAAGAGGCAAGAGAGGAATTTTGTACATAAGAGACTTAATGCATATGGTTTAAGATTTCAGCCTCAACTGTTAGGTTCTTCTCCAAACATCTCAAAAATCTGCATTTGGACAAACAGCTAGATGGCTTGTAGATATAGCTGAAGAATGTTGATCCACTCTTAGGCTGAGGACACTCAATTCAAGCTCGACGCATTTCACTAGCAGCTTTGTTTATTCATGTTGAAACTCAGTTTCAAAGCCCAGTAACCATAGTATGACTAGATAAAATAGAAATTTTATGTCAAAGTTTTCTCATTGCAACATCTCCTTCTATGAAAACACTATTTTTTTAATACCTTTCTTTACCTTTATTTCTCTGAGGAGCAAGCATGTGGCAATGAGAAGGGCATGTGCTACATTTTCTCACCGTTAGCCTGGGCGGCATGGGGTTCCAAGAGGAACACGAGAGTGGGGCTTAAAATGACCCTTCTCACTTTTAAGTGAGATGTGCTTGTGTAAAGTAAGAAGTTGAAGATCAAGTTAGACAGAAGTTGAAGTTGGGTAAATTCCAAGGAATAAAATTTAACATTCACAGATAGGTACTCAAGCAACCTTTTGAAGGCCCCAAAGCTTGTGGAAATCCAGGCTTTTGCAGAGTTTCAGAATATCTACCACCACTTGCAGACCCAATGCAGTGGGTTCTACATAGATATCTTACACACATTTCCTTTTCATATTCTTTCCTTTGCCACTGAATAACTCTGTTCGTCCCCTACCCAGCGCCTTCAGCTTTACCCACTCTCCTTTAAGCAGATCTGAGACCTGCACATTTACCTTAAAAATCAGATTCCTAGGGCTACAAGGACTTAAAAGACTTCAATTTAGGTCTTGATTGATCAAAAACAGAAAAAGAACCTGCAGTTGGACTGTATGTTTGTCACAGTATTTTTATGTGCATTATTTTATTTAAACTTTCATTCATTTTATGAGCAATGTAGGCCAAGAGTGGCTTTCCCAGCCTAGAGAAGAAGAAAATCAGTTCTAGTGAAGCATAACTTGTATGAGGCCACTGTCCTTTAGTTTGTAAGTGAGATGAGAGTTGTTCTGGGATTCTGATATCCTGAAAAATGCTCTTCCAGCTCTTCCTGGTCAACTTGAAAGGGAGAGAAGAAAACTAACTTTCAACAGGAGCGTTGTCCCAGCTTTCTGCAATTCTAGAGAATGTTTGAGAATCTTTATTATGACAGCATTCTTTTGATGGCCTTTAAAATGTTTTTGGGATGATGTGGGGAGCAGGAAAGTTTGAAGGCAGAACCTGATGTTGCATTGTAGGAACACAATTCAAATGTAGGCTCCTGGACTGATTAGATCCAGTTCACTTTCTATTGTCAAATGATAAATTCCCACCCTACTTTGGCATGAACTTTAAAAGGAAACACCAGTAGCCAAAGGCCAAGAAGAGAAAGGAACAACATTTACTCATATAAATAGTGAACACTGCCAAGCACAGAATTTACTGTGCACTTGTCTTGGATTTTCTCCACATTATAGCTTCACAAAAGCTGTGGTTCCAAAGTTGCACTGAATAGGATTCTGATTTGGTACATTAACACATCATGATACCAGTAGCACCTGATACGTGACTTCCTCTAGGTTTTAAGAGCATCTTTTATTCTGTCCCAAATATAGAAGGCAAGTTTTCTACCAAGTGGCCGGAGCAGGACAAATTGTGACCCAAGGTAGTAAAAGGAAGGCTGGGTGAAGGCCAAGATGTGGATGAAGACAGCCAGTGGCTGGAAGCCCAGAGAAGTCTCAGTTCCTGGCCTTAACAAGAAATGAAGTATGATTGGCAGCTGCAGAGCCAGGATTTCTAAACCAACATTGTGAGTTTTCCACCGTCTACATCTGAACTATTTACACATTCCATACTACCTAGAAAATAGGCTAACCTGTTGTTCTCAGCTGAGAGTTGTGCTTGGACACAAAATTCTAGAACTAGGTTCTGCAGGATTCTGTCTACTTTCTGTGAGTATGTGACTGCTCTTTTTTTTTAACCCCTTGTTATTTTTTGGCTGAGGCTGTCCTCCATTAATAGATTTAATACCTGTTTATTTCCACTGCTATTAAAAAATTTTTCTGAAGGCTGCCAAAGGATGTTTTTACCGTGTTCCCAGCAATGAATAGTCCTGTCTTTTTCTGCCGATATAAGCAAGCCTGTGATTGACTGCCAAGACTTAAAATTCCCGGGTTGAATCAAGTACACTAAAGCAGTGTTTTTCAAACTATGGGTCCCAACACATAAGTGGGTTGTGAAATCAATTTAGTGGGTAGCAAGCAGTGCCTTTTAAAAAATGAAATGAAGTAGACTGGAAAGCGTCAGTTCACTGCGTTTCTTAAGAGTTAGGATTGTTTTGTGAAACTTTTGTTTGATTTACAAACACACACCATTTGTATGCTTGGTCGTTATGTAAAATGTATTTCTTACTGTGGGCTGTGGTCATCAATTGGAAAGCCACTGCACCAAAGCAATGCCAGAAACACTGAAAGAAGTGACTTGCTTAAGGAAATAAAGCCCTTCTGATTTCTGACTGTTGTCCAGAGTGCTGGCTAAGAAGAGGGAGGGGATGAGGAGCCTCATGAAAAATGGACAAGAGCCCAGTGTGGGGTTTCAAGCCAGAGCTTGCTGGCCAAATGGGAAGGCTGGCAAGTGGACAGACGAGGGCTTCATTACTGCTGCCTATTAGCTGCATGAATACTAAGGAATTTTTAAAGAAATGAAACACGTAGGATTTAAAGCACCAACAAGATCTTTAGGTAGACAACTTCACTATGAGAAAGATGTTTCATAAACTGTATCACAAATTTCTAAATGTTTAGTAAAGACAAACACAAGTTCAAATGTGCTTGGATGCATATTCTTTTAGGTTAAAACATAAAAAATTGCCAACATTCAGTCATTTTAACCTACAAAAATGGCAATTTTATATAGTTTTCCCTTCAAAGAGATTGCATTCCATTTTTTTTTCTTCAGGTAAATAGCAAGTTCATCAGTGTCTACTCATCCACTTACCCATCTACCTATCTATCCCTCTATCAGTCTTTTCTTTTTTTGGAGTTGAGGAGGGAGGGACCAAGAACTAAAATACAAGTTGCCTTTCAGAAATGACGTGAAAATTAAAATACCACTTGGCTTTTTATTATAGCAGCTACTCAAAGAAAACCTAATTATTTCGAGGAGTCTGTTTCTTGGTTAGTGGATATTAATTGCAGCCTAGGCTAAAATATCGAAAAGGCTGTCACATTTTTTCTTTCATGAAATCTCTCTAACATATTTTTAAATACCTTGAGGCTGAAGTCAATCTCCCTACTTACTGACATGACTAAAAATTCATTATATCTATATGTATACCTCAGAGTATTGGGATGTTCCCTATCATGGTGACAAACCTAAAATCTCTTCACCTTTACTTATAGATTCCCCCATCCCCAGCAAAGGCCTCCAGTGTCTTTCATGAAAAACCTCCTTACTTTTAAAGTCAATGCCTAGCTCCTCTCTTCTGATTTTTAACTGTGGCAGACAACATTTACTCTTCTGGGCATTATTTCCTATAGAAAAGAAATGAATTAGGTTGTGCTTTCCCTGTTTCCTCAGCCACCCAGAGACATGTTTGCAAGGCAATAAAGTTTTCCATAGTGTCTGAGCTGCAAAAAATGAGCCAAGAAAAACCTCAAAACACTAGCAGAAAGAAAAATATTTGGTGCTTAGTTACGTTTCTTTTGAGATATGAAGGGGTGGGGTTGGGGGGATAAATCTTTCAGGAAGTTTACTGGGTTACTTTAATTAAATGCAAGGCCTGTCTCTCTCTTGGGCCATACATTTGGAGTGTCTGCCTGCCATGTTCTGCAAACAACGGAGAGGCACCAGGCCGAGACCCTCTTTGGGCCTATCTGAAATGTCTGAATTAACACGGGAGACATCTTATAAACAAAATGTTCTCTCCAGTGAGCATCATATCCTGGGCATGTTCACTGTAAACTTCAAAAACTATACTCAGCATTTTGAAACAAAATGATTATGAATCAAAGTTCCTCCCTAGTTATATTCAAAGGACTTTGGTCATTAAAGTTTTGATTCTCTGACAACTCAATTCAGTTTCTCCTCCAAGAGACACGATGCACAATCAAGTGGTTAAAATACCTTAATTAATTAGATATTAGGGGAAGAAATGTATTTTTCTGACAAGAAGCCTGATTTTTCTAGCAATTGTTGATCCTGGGATGGCATTAAAATCAGTCACAGCAGCAGAATTGCATAGTAATGACTAACCTTGAAACCTTTTTCTTGGAAACCCCAAAGCAGTCGTCTAGCCCTAGAAGCTAATATTTTTCTATGCTCTGCCAGGCATGAAATAAAATACCTTAAAATAATTCTTGGAATTTTCTTGACTAACTTGACTATAGGGAGGTGGCATCTGTTACTCAAGTAAGATGTCCTGTTCTCATGAATTTCCGTACCAAAGAGAAGTGGTTCAGGCAGATCAACAGAGCCCAGGCTTTGGGACTACAGAGGACTGTGCTTAATTAAGCAAAAAACACTAATTGATCCCCTCCAACTGCCCTCCCATTTTCCTTAATGTACCTTTCCACACCTTACCACCTGAGAGCGTTACCCAAAAGAGAGATCCACAAAATAGGTTCCTGTTACAGCCTTCCTCTCACAATAGGAGATTAGAAGCCAAGTTGTACTTGAAATTTGTAATTTGGATTTAGTAAACTAAATTCCTATGATGCAGCAGTTTAAAGACTTTAGAAGAAAGACACAGAAAATGGGAGGCCTTTTGAATATTGAGTCCTGCCACTTCCTTTTATTAGCAAATGACACAGGGCTCTGCCTAGACATATTTAAATATAAAGTGCAAACTCCTCTTTGCTTTCAAAGCTTCATCAGTGTTTCTGTGCGCACATGAGTTATTGTCCATTGTCCCTTGGCATCTGTGGAGGACTGGTTCTAGGACCTCCCTTGGACACCAGAGATGCTCAAGTCCCTTATACAAAAGGGTGTAATATTTGCATAAAACCTACAGACATTCTCCCATATGCTTTAAATAATCTCTAGATTACTTATGATACATAATGCAATGTAAATGCTATGTAAAGAGTTGTTATACTGTATTGTTTAGCAAATAACAATAAGAAAAAAGGTTTATACATGTTTAGTATGGATGCATTTTTTTTCCAAATATTTTCAATCCATAGTTGGTTGAATCCATGGATGCAGAATCCATGGATATGGAGGGCTGACTCTACATTTCTTGCAAAATATAACTGGGGCTCTTTTGCACATTGTCAACAAGACTGCAAATTAGTCCAACATTTTGGCAATATCTGACAAAATTCCAAATGTACATGCCTTTTGACACTGTGATTCTACATCTTGGAATTTATCCTGCAGACATAGTCATTTATGTAAATATATATGTATATATATATGTTCATTGTAGGTTTTATGAAATTGCAACATTCTGGAAATAACTTAAATGTCCATTAACAGAAGACTCAGTAAATAAATTTTGGTACATCTAATCATTCAATGGACTAATATGTGGCTGTTGAGAAAAAAGAGTAACATAAAGTGAAAGTTATATAGAGAGGTATGAAAAGGTGCCAAATTTTATTATTTAAGGAAAAAATTTAATCTGTGTTACATACAATGTGTGTGCACATGTTTGTACTATGTCTGCAATATTTCTGGTAAGGTATACAAGAAAATGAAAAAATGCAACTAGTGGTCACCTACAGGGAGTAGGGCTGGAAGATAGGGAGGGGGCCTTCTACATTTCATTTTATATCCTTCTGAACTGCTCAATGTTATTACTATTTTTACCATAAACATGGATTGCTTTTACTAAAATGCTTTTTTAAGTGCTCCAGGGCCATAGTAGCTGTAAAAATTAAGTCTTTCAGTCCCCAGAAGCATCAGGGACACATCCAATTCTAATATTTATATTTTTAGATGGTGGCAAGGCTCTGAACTGAGATGTAGGTGCTGACCCCAAAGTGTGCTGTGCTGGTGCCGTCCTCTAAGCTCCCTGTCCTCTCCACTGTGTGCATCACCTTGTTTCAAGCCCTTCTCCCTGGCTCGACGTTAAGCTTCCTGCTGGGGGTCAGGAACCATCTTGTCCTCATTAATGACTTCCTGGTTCTCAGCACTGTGCCTGGCAAATAGTGGACTCTCAATAAATCTTGTCGAGTAAAGAAGTCAGTGGTCTCATTTCAACTACAGTTCTAACAGGATAATTAAATGTTAGAGTTAAGAAAATCAATAACAATAATAGAATGCTATAACCAAGGGATTTTAGCTGCATGTTTGGACCAGATCCCTCGGCTCCTGGGCCCTCTCACTGATCTATGGCAAGGGAATCTTGGACTATACAAAACATTGGGGTCCCATAAACTACACTGAGGCATTTCAATGAAAAAAAACAGAACTTTGGCTAAAGTTAAAAAAGTTTAATTTATTTAAAATTTAGTCAATTTTATCAATTTTCTAAAAATAGCATTTGATAGAATTTCTCAGCTGCAAAGTTTTTGTTTGTTGCTCATAATTTTTTGCACCTGCTACCACTCACTGGTCTGTCCCAGAATCAAGTATAAAATATAAGCTGGTTTTACCCAAAATTAGGCATGTTACTTTTAAAAGTTCCTGGCCATCATCATTTTGGGGTGGTCTGAAAGGGTATCACGACTTCTACAAGCTCTGATACCTGAATGAATTTGAGAATGTTGAGACGTGTTGATCATTAAGCTATTGAGCTTTCCCTAGAATGTGGAGTCACCCATCCCAGTATCATTCAATCATACTGCAGAGTTCTCCCTTCCTAGGCTGTGCCCCTAGCAAGAGAAAGAAATGAAAATCATAGAGAAAGGAATGAAAATCAACTAGAAATGCCTTTCCCCTTCTTACTAAGAAAACTCTAGCTCATTATGGTAATCTGTCATTTTATTTAAAATTATATACTATGTCAAACATGCAAAAAAGAAAAGAAGACAATATTGCAAAATCCAAGGACATGCTACCTCAATTAATCAAATTGTATCATTTTGCCATAATGCTGAATGTAGTGTTTATCTGTCCCATGAACATTTTTATTCTGTTACAAAGGTACAGTAATCTATTCTTTTACCAACTAAAACTTTCAATAAAATGAGGCCAGATGAATTCAGTTCATTCAAATGGAATTTGGGTATAGGGTATAATTTCCTGAGCATGGCCTGATTACATTCCCAAAGGCCATCTAGGGTAGGGAGGCTTAACTAAAATAGGCTGTGTCCAGGTTGTGATCAGTGCGGCAAAGCAGATGCCATTGTGGCGGCTGCAGCATCAAGTTTAGTTTAGACTCACTGTTAATTACCCACCCTACTCAGACTCTTTCTTACCAACCATCTTGTTTTCCTTCAGAGTCTGAAAATGCCTGGTACTTGGATTTCCAGTGTGGTAGATTGTTTCCACAAATGGCTGCAATAATCACTGCCACCCTGCATGTCTCTGGCAATGTGACTTTGCCATTCCTTTCATCAAGAGAAGTGGACTCCTTCTCAATTGAGCTGACCCTGCGGCTTGCTTTGATCAACAGAGTGCATAAGTGACACTGTGTGGCTTGAGACTATGTTTTAAGAGGTTTTGTAGTTTCCACTTTTATACTCTTTTGGAAACCAGCTACCATGTAAACAGTCAGACCATCCTGAGGCAGCCATGCTGTGAGGAAGCCCAAGCTAGCTAAACGGAGAGACCACGTGAAGAAAGTTAGATGCCTGGCCAACCCCCAGGACATCCTGGATGTTGTAGCTCCAGCAGATGCCATGTGAAGCAGAAATACCACATTGCTGAGCCCAGCCCAGACTGAAGAATCATGAGAGGTAAAAAATAGTTGTTTAAAGCCACTAAGTTTTAGAGTGATTTGTTACACATTATTGAGTAACTGACTCACCCAACCTCCCTTAATGCTAAGGTATGAGCCCATGACCCAATTCTGGGCAATTAGATGTAAGAGGCAGTTTGCTAGAGGTAGTATGAGGAGGGTTTCTGGAAGAGATATTTTCCTTCCTGTAATGAAGACACATGTGACAAGACACTGCTTCTCTTTTGGTCTTTGGATGTGGCTGTGTGAACATATGCTGCCTAGAGAGGTGACTCTGAGCGGACAGCCTGGGAACAAAAGGCAACACGGAGACAATAGTAGGGCAACAAGATGGAGGGCACCTTGATGACCTGTCATGCCACCCAATTAACTAAATTAAACCCACTACCTTGGAGTTCCTGCTTTGTGAAGGAACTCCATTAAGTCATTTTGGGTCTAGAATTCTGTATTTCAAGTCAAATGACACAAATCTTATTTGTTTGACTCTAGGGACTAGCAAGGAAACTTTCCCTTAATGCTAGCAGCATGCTGCTTTCTAATAATACACTGGCTCTCAGCACAATCATCCAAGGTGCTAAAACAAACAGGATAGAGATGTCTTCACTGAAATGTAAGAAATCACCTGTGAATTCAATAAAATCCATGTTAGCTTTCTGAAATACTATGTCCAAAAATGTCCCTGTAACTATGATACCAACTCAAATTCCTCACACAATTATATTTTAAATGCTGTCCTAGGTCTGAAAACTCACCACCTGGAAACCAGATTTAAATATATAACGGGGGCTGATATTCTTTATAGGAGGTCAAACATAGGCACAGCATTGTATTATCGAAACTAGCTCAAGATAGAAATATGAAAAAACATTTCACAACATTTGGAAAAGCCAAGTAATTAATATCTAAAGATGGTAAGTGATAGCCCTAACCACATGCATGTATACTTCGAAGATGCAAGAAGGTACATTTTTCTTTGGGGACTATTTTACTACACAATAATACAGTATAGGATTACTAGGGCAGGCATTTAAATAGGCACAAATGTGTGCATCTGAGGTTATTGATTAGTATGCAACTGCTTCACCTGACATTAAATTGAGTGATTGAATGGTACTTTTTACTGTGACATAACTTAGTGTTTTGACTTAAGTACAAAGACAAGTTTTTGTTCAGAAGTTAAGTTTTCCACTTAAGACAATTATTGTGCCAGGAGTTTTTTGCTTGCAAATTTTATTTCAGTAAGTTTGCCTGTATAACACTACTTAATGGCTACTCTGCACTTTTGAATTCAATTGAAACTTGTTAGCCCTCTTCATTTTCTTTGGCTTAGGAAAACCCCGTATCACAGAGTGTTAATGAGGCCAGCTTGGGGTTCCTGAGGCTTGGGTCTCAGGTCTAGGCCAACTATGTATGAATCCTTGGGTCAGTCACTGAACTTCTCCAGCTGTCAGGTTCCCTATCTGTAAAGCGATGGAATTTATCAAGCACTGTCCAATAGAACTTTCTGTGATAATGTCAATGCTCTACATCTGCACTTTCCAATATGGGAGCCATTAGCCCTGTGTGGCTACCAACCATTTAATTTTATTTAATTTTATTAATTTACATTTAACCACCTTTGGCTAGTGGCTGCAGTAATGGACAGCACAGATAGGTGATCTAGGTCCTTCTGATCTAAAGATTATTTGCTCCTCCTACCCCAAATTTCCACTTAGTTTTCTCTTTCCTACATTTGCCTCTGTAACAACTCTCCAGTCTTTTTATTTTACTTAGAATTAAAGGTCAGATATGCCTTTATTGCCATTCCAGCCTAGAGTCAAGAGCTTAGAATTAACTATAAGCATTAACCCACTTCTTGAAATGGAGAAAAGGACCAGCTCTCAGAGGCTCTTTGATCTTCCATTAGAGCTCAGTTGGAGAGTCAAGAGTTATTTGGATGGAATAAGATCTGACATTTATTGAGTCAAAAGGCAGCGTTGATGTGGCTTCCTATTTTAGGATAATGTCGGCTTCGGTTAGAAGCTTGACTTCCCAAAGCTCCTGCTAATAAATATGGCCACATTGTTAGGACGGGCAATTCTTTTGCAAACACCGTCTACTGCAATTACGTGGTGTGACCCCTACTATGTGCCAAGGCACAGGACTGAGTTCAGAGGCTGAGAATATGAGTAAGTTTCCCTCCAGTAATAAAAGCCTAGGTCTAACAGAAGAGCCTGACCAGAAGATAAATATTTATAACACACTGTGACACATCCTATGACCAGTACAGGAACAAAAGTGCTGTAAGAGTACAGAGAACAGAGCAAGCCCTGTCCTCCTTTCTGGTGAGCCGGGAGAGCATAAAGGAGGTATCCTGTGGAGGGTGATCAGGAGTTAACTCCAGCACCAAGGAGGGGGAGGATGTTCCTGGCAGAGGAGCATGGCTCCTTAAGGGATGTCAGTTAAATAGGGCTATCCACACACTTTAGGTTTGAGTTTCAGGGAACTCAGCAAGAACTGAGTACTGATTTTGTGACTTCCTGCCGAAGAGCCCTTTAGCAAGGTGATTTCTCAAATAGGTAAAATGATTCAAACTTTGGGTTCTGAATCTTTGTTGATTTCAAGGAGCAACTTTCACTTCCTTCATAAACAATGAGTGGCCCTAGTACTTCTAACCCCATTTAACTCTACCCGTATAGTATGAGAAATCACAAGGCATATCTGAGGGAAGACATCTTTTGAAGGCACTGAATGCCAGGTAGTATCCATGGGTTAGAAAGGAGACAATGAATTAATAAGAAGTGTAAGTGATGAGTGAGTAATAGGAAGCATAAATTTTTCCATCAAAACAACCATTTCTTATCACCACACAGACTGAATCTTGGAATACATACCTTACTTCCAACAGTCTACTGCTAACCTCTTTGAATAACAGGCTTTCAGTCTTCAAGACGTTTGTTTTTCTGCATTTCCTCTTCCTACAGTGAAGTCACTGGGGGCAGATGAAATATAAAATGCTGGAGTTTGCCTCTCTGGCGAGCTGCAGAAAGGAATTTCTGCATTATTGTGATCATCTATTTCATTGTAGCACTTAGTTGCTTTTACAAAGCAGTTCTCCTGTCCTTGCCCCTGCCATTTAGAAATTTACAGGCTAAAAAGATGGTGATGACCCAGACGAGTTATGAAGGCCCTATAAACAAATGCATACTCATTACAGAAACATATAGTAAGCACTTGCCTTACGTGGCATCCACAGGCCAGGGAAATGGTGGGATGCTGGCGGCTTCGTCTTGAGGCAGTTAAATGATGTGAGGTTCCCTCACTGTTCTCGCCTGCTGTTAAGTAGCTACAACAGACTTCCAAACTCCTTCCCTCTGTTTTAGAGAGCTGTTCCACACTTGATGCTGCACATTATAATCACCTGGGAGCTTTAAAAAACCTGGATGCTCGGGTCACACATCCCAGACCAATTAAATCAGAAGCTGTGGGTTTGGACCCAGCCCATAATGCATTTTAAATGCCTCAGGTGATTCCAACTTGTAGCACGTGTAAGGGCCCGTGCTTTAGACTTCAGAGCAGTGGCTCCTAACTTTTGAATTTAAAAAATACATATTTCTAGGCCCCACCCCAGATCTACTCAATCACCATCTCTGGGGGGCAGATTTTCATGTTACTTTCTAATAAACTCTTAGGTCAGTTTGATTCCAGCCCTTAGTTGAAAACCTTGTTCTAAAGCATCGAATTTCTATTTCTTCTTTAATGTTGTGCATATGAAATGTGAGAAAATGAAAATAGGTCCGTTAAAGACTACATAGAGGATATTTATTTATTTATTTTGGTTTCAACTTTTTATTAAAGTGTCACATACTTAAAAATAGACACATGCAGAGATTGAAAGTGAGTGCCTTGAGAAAGGATCACAAATTGTGTCACTGGCACCCAGATCAAAAATCTGAAGCTTACCAGTCCCCTACAATCCCTCCCTTCTAGGTACTATCCACGCCCCATGGGAACCACAAACCTGATTCTAACATTTCTCCCACCTGAAGTTTTATTTGTTCCAATTCGGTACAATTGCAGTAAAGTTGACTTAATTTCATGCAAATAATTATTCAGATATAATTAAGAGGCCAATAGTATTTTGAGGACAAATGGCCTAACACATCTTGTATTGCATTTGTTTATGATTATTTTAAACAAGGAAGAAGAAAACGAGGCCAGGAAGAAATACCGTCTCTGATTTTCATAGATTGTTAGTTACTGGGTACAATTTTCAAATACTTTTTACCCTAAGCCTTGTAACAACTCTGTACAGATAAGAATTATCGTCATCTCTACTTAACAGATGGAAAAATAGAGCCTTAGGGAGGAAGTGAATTGCCAAGATTTGGCCTCATGTTCCTCTTACATGGAAGGCCTTTCCCTCCATTGCTGCATGCACACCGTCTCTCACCTTTGTAACCTCCTGTAAGAAATCAGCATGAAAAAGGGTCTCTAGACATGATTATGGATTGTGACTCATTTGATTGTTTTTTAAAAATTCATTCCAAAATACTTTATGAACTATAGTTCTCAAATCACATAGATAAGTTTTTTAAGTTAATATTTTTTTTTCTGCTTAGAAAAGTAATTCAGGCCGGGCGCGGTGGCTCATGCCTGTAATCCCAGCACTTTGGGAGGCCCAGGCGGGCGGATCACGAGGTCAGGAGATCGAGACCATCCTGGCTAACACAGTGAAACCCCGTCTCTACTAAAAATACAAAAAAATTAGCTGGGCGTGGTGGCGGGCGCCTGTAGTCCCAGCTACTCGGGAGGCTGAGGCAGGAGAATGGCGTGAACCCGGGAGGCTGATCTTGCAGTGAGCCGAGATAGTGCCACTGCACTCCAGCCTGGGCGACCGAGTGAGACTCAGTCTCATAAAAAAAAAAAAAAAAAAAAAAAAGAAAAGTAATTCAGGTTCACTGTAGAATAAAATAAAAATGTAGAGGAAACTAAGAATCATGCATTATAACTAAGAGTTCTTTAAAAATAAGAAAGACCTTAAAGAGCCTGGGCTGTGTAGTTCTCCAGCCTTGCCTGGGGGAAGGAGAATGAGTAACTTGATCTTTGGATGCTTTTCAAGAAATTTAATGTGAATAACTTATTTGTAAGTGTCCTGTAGTTGGTACAGACCCGATGCTGTATCCTATACAATATGCAAAAAATTTGAAAAGATCAAGAACTCTATCTGATCTCTGTTTTTCACAGATTACCAAGTGTAACTGCATTTCCCCCACAATTTTTTAAAACAGTTTCTGTGGTCATAAAAACTTTCTTTTTTTTTCCTATTTGTTAACAGAATTGGCTGAAATTGTGGTATTTAGAAATTTATCATCAGTACATCTGAATTCTTAACAGAAATTCCAGGAAGCCTTGAGGCTTCTGGGGAAGTATGCTTTTTTATTTATTTATTTATTTATTTTTTTTTTTTTAGCAAACATACCAGAGTTTATACCTTTAAATGCATGTGGTTTTCTCTGGAGGAGGAAGCAGTGTACTTTTTCAGTGTGTTCCTATTGCTGAAAATACTCCAGGGGAATTACAGGAAAGAGGAGCAGGACAGCTTTGAGTTGCACATCCCAACACTGACTCTCAATTCCTAGACTAAATGGCATAAAATTTTTCTCACTTACTCAGCAATGACTCTTCAAAAGCCACCGATTACATCTCTAGATCTGTCCAGCCAACACAAAACAATATTTTCCCTATGCCTGAGGGAGGGCAGAACACTTTGCTACTCCTGGAATTTAGCATATACTCACAGGCAGTGCCACCTCCTCACCTGAGGCTGAGCAACCAGAGACCCAGGGTGGCTGGTTACACGTGACTTTGCTCAGTTACACCAGGAATTAAGGACAAAGTTGATACACTATTCCAGGTGTTGCGACTCAAAAGAAAGGAATTTTTTTCACTTAAACCCTCAAACATGGATTCTTGCATGATCTACCAACCACTCTGGCCATGATAAAACCTAATACTCATCCATCCATGTAGTTCTCGAATCTCTATGCATACAGTATATAATATCCATGATACACGTGCACCACATTTATTTCCCAACTATTCCCCAATTTCTGGGCATTCGCTTGGTTTCCAGATTCTTCTTTCCCTCCCTACAACAATGATGCAATAAAATTCCTGTACACAGAATCTTGCATATCAATGCTTTTATTTTTATGGGCTAGCTTCCAAAAGCTGGGTCATATATGATATCTCCCTGTGTTTTTTATTAATAGAGTTTGCCAGATTGCTTTTCAAAAGTTCAAAGACCACAGGAATGTATTAGACTCCCCCCATCTCTTCATCTAACTGCAGTGGTGGATATTATCGCTCCTTTGAAATATTTGCTAATTATTTTTTAAATCTGTAATACATATATTTGGTAGATTTGTATTTGGAATATATTACAAGCTTGTATATGTCAATGAAAAAAGTTAAAATTTTACTAATTTGATGGGAGGGGTATCTCATTGTAGTGACTGAATGGTGGACCCCCAAAACATATGTCCATGTGGTAATCCCCCAAAACTATGAATATGACCTAATTTGGAAAGGGAGTCTTTGCAGATATAATTAAGGATCTCTACATGAAATTATCCTGGCTTATCTGGCTGGCCCTAAATTGAATGACAAGTGTCCTTATAAGAGACACACAGAGGGGAGACACAGGGAGAAGCGGTGAGGGCCAGGTAAAGATGGAGGCAGAGACTGGAATTACACATTCATAAATCAAGGAACACCAGGAGCCACCAGACTCTGGAAGAGATAGGGAGGGATTCACTCCTAGAGCCTTCAGAGGGAGTGTGGCCCTGTCAACACCTTGATTTCAAACTTCTTCTCCCCAGAACTGTGAGCATATATTCCTGTTGTTTTAAACCACCAAGCTCATGTAATTTGTTACTGCAGCCCTAGGAAACTAAATATACTCATTGTTACCATAAACTTTTGTGTTTGTCTGAAAACTTCTGAGGTTGAGCGTATTTTCATGTGGTTTTAATGATCATTTGAATGTGCTTTTCTGTGAGTTAACTACTTATATCTTTTCCCCATTTTCCCTACTGATTCTTATGAATGCTGTGGCAAAGCAGACATTAACACTTTGCCACATGTTGTAAGACACCTATCTAGCCTGTATTTTTTAGTTTGTTTATGATATGTTTGGTCATGCAATTAAAAAATTACATGGTACAGTATGCTTATCTTTTTATCTATCCCTTATTAATTAGCTCTGTATTGATTATAAACATTTCCCTGACACTTGGGGTATAAAATTATTCTCCCAAATTTTCTCTAAAATGTTTGTGGTAGGCACAAAGATGGTTCCCCAAAAAGTCCATGACTTTATTGCCGAATCCTGTAAAAATGCTATCTTACATGGCAAAAGGGACTTTGCAGATGTGATTAAGGGTACAGATTTTGAGATGGGGATATTATTCTGGATTATCCAGGTAGGCCCAATCTAGTCACCTGAATCCTTGAGCGGCAGATGTCACTATGGAAGAAGGGTTGGAGAGATGCAACATTGTTGACTTTGAAGATGGAGGAAGGAAGCCAAGGAGTATGGCTGACCTCTGAGAATGGCAAGAAAGTTGATTCTCCCTCAGAGGCTCCAGGCTGAAACCTAAGCCCTTGTGAAGCCTGTATCAGACTTCTTCCCTACAGACTGCAAGGCCCTAACTTGGTGTTGGCTAAGCCGCTAGGTTGGTGATAATTTGTTATGGCAGCAATAGCAAATCAATACATGTTTGCTGCTTAATTTAAATTAATGTGTACCATTATCCACCTATCATTTACTTTTGAATGTATTAGCAAGTAGGGCAACAACCGTTCTAGATGTACCCTCCATTCTGTTGTACTGATCAATTTGTTTACTCCTTTGCCAATATCCAGTTGTTTTGATATAGTCACTTCTACACATTCAAGTACCTGGTAAAAGACAAGTTAGCCTCTGTTCTTGTTTTGTTTTTTAAATAGTTTCCCTGGGTTTTTATAGATTTTGTTTTATGTCCTCTAAATAATCATTTCTTGTTGTATCTTATTAAGTCTTTTAAAATTTATGTTGTTATGGTGAAAATTCCATCTCCATTTGTAATTGATAATTCTTGTAAATAAAGTATACCACATACAACCGTGTCTCAAGGCCTTTGAACTTGCTGTTCACTCTTCCTGAACTGGAATGTGCTTGTCACAGTTGTCTGCACAGCAGAATTTGTCACAAACCTCAAGTTTCTGCTCAAATGCCAACTTATTGTAAGTGAAGCCCTCCCTAATCACCTCATAGAAAACAACACACCACTGCCTGCCATCCAGTCCATCGGCTAAGCATTTACTATACTTCTTCTCTGGCTTTGTATTTTTCCCCATAGCACTTGCCACCATCTGGCTTACCTACTCATTTATTTTCCATTACCCCCAACTAATATATAAGCCCTATGCAGAAAATGATTTTTTTCTTTTGTTCACGACTGTACTAGGGACCAGATGAATGCTTATTATTCAGTGAGTGTTTAATAAATATTTGTTGAACGAATGGCTATAAAGAAGACTTACTGATTTTTCTACATTTATTTTTTAGTCCAACAGCCTTGTCAAATATTCTTACTGATTGTTGCACTCCAGTTTTTTACTGGAGTCCTTCCACTCTTACAGGTATACAATCACATCATCAACAAAAAAGGTAATATTTCTCATTTGGTTGTATTCATTATGCCAGTTACATCTTGGCCAACTAAAATCACAGGGACCCCTGAAACAAAGATGAATAATGTTGATGGAAGCAGAGATCCTTATTTGTTTTTCACTTGATAAAACAAATACAAAGAAAAAACAAATACAGAGACTCCTCCCTGTGTCTAGGCCCTGTGCCATGAATCTTTGCTGTGAATCTTTGCAGTGCCCTCATATTTTGAGTCTAGGCTTAGTGAGGTGAGTGTTTGGGCCAAAGGGTGGTCAGCAAACATGATGCCTGAAAAGTGCTTCTCACACTAGACTTGCTCTTGCTTCTCGGCCGCTACCTGGGCTAGCCTGCTGCAGGAAGAGAATATGTTGTGGAGTTTTTCCAATGTTCTAGTAGAGGCCATCCTCAATCAGCCCACAGCTAGCCAGCCCCAGACACCAGACACGTGAGCATGCCCGATTATCATCGCAGAGCTGCTGAGATGATCTATAGCTGACCACAGACGTGCAAGCAGGCCCAGCTGAGATCCCCTGATTCCCACTGTGAGCTACACATGTTAATTATCACTTGTCACTGAAGTTTGATAGTTATGCAACATTACTGGGACAAGAGATAATTGATACATTCTCTTACGTCTAATTTTACTACAAGGAGCCTGAGAGTTTTGCCATTAGAATTCTGTTACTTGTTAGTTTTTGGTGGATAGTCTTTATCATGTTTAAGTGAAACAGAAGGATACACCGACTAAGTTTTTTAAAAATGGCTGCTGAATTTTACAGATGCATTTCCTACATGTACTTTTATAATCTTTTTCCTCCTTTAATTTATTGATTGGACAAATATTTCGATAGATTTCCTAATTTTTAACGATGTTTAATTCCAGGAATAAATTTTTCTTGATCATAGAGTATTCTTTCTTTTGAGATGGCTTTGGAATGTACTTGGTAATATTTTATTCCAAAGTTTGCCCTTATGTGTATATGTGAAATTAGCTCATATTTTTTTTTAGTCTGTATTTTCTTGGTCAGATTTTAGAATAAAGATTATATTAGCTTTGGGAAATGATTTTGAAACTTTTGGAAGTGATCAAGGAGCCCAAATACAAGAAAGGACATAAATATTTGAACGACATATTCTACACACTCAATCTAATAGATTTGTACACAGAACTCACATCATATGAGTTAATAAAATAGATTTCTGATTGTCCATGGAATATTAATAAAATATAAATCACAAGGTTAAAATGAACACCTTTTTTTAAAAGTAGATATTTTGATAGGATATAATCTTAGATCGTAAGCAAATAAAATTGATTTTAAATAAAGCAATAGCTAGTAAATCTTATCTACTTGAAAAATAAGAAACATCCTTTATAATAGCTGTAAGATTCATGAGAAAAGCAAAATTAAAATCATAAGCTATCTAGTATTAATAAAAAAGAGAATATGTTCCATCCAAAGTTATGAAACACAGCTAAAGCTATACTCAGAGGAAAAATGTGTGGCTTATAGCTATAATAGCTTCATTACTGAAGAACTAAGACGTTAACATAGTACTAACCTTAGTAAGTTTCATGAAGAACAAAAATGTAAACCTAAATAAAGTATGAAGAAGGAATTAATAAAGATAGATGCTGAAATATAGTGGAAAACAAAAATAGTAGAAAGAACAAATACATTCAAAAGCTGGTTCTTTTATAAAATATATAACCATCTTATTAATATGATTAAAGGAAGAAGAGGGGGAAATACTAGGATTGAGCAAATAGAGAAAAACATGCACACAAAAATGAAAATGATTATTAAGAAAGTACTAGAACTAGCCCCATTGTAATAGATGTGAAACCTAGAAAAAATGGATGATTTCTTAGCAAAACAGAAATTAACTGACCCAAGAGGAAGCACTAAAATGTAATAAGAAGAGACAGAAATGGTGATTAAAAGTCTATCATTTAAATGGGGGGAAGAAGTATCAGGATTACATAATTTCACAGCTGGGTTCCATTTAACTCTTAAAGAACAGATAATTCCAATGCTATTTAAACTAGTCTAGCCCATTGAAAAAGACGAAAACCTCCTGAGTTTATTTTATGAATTATATAGATCAGTGGTTCTCACAGTATGTTTCCTGGATCAGCAACATCAGCATCAGCATCATATGGGACCTTGTTAGAAAGGCAGATTATCTGTCCTCCCCTGAGACCTACTGAATCAGAAACTCTGGGGTTGGGCATCCAGGACTCTAAGATGATTCAAGTGCATGCTAAAGTGTGAAAACCATTGCTGTAGAGGTAGCTGGCCTACATTTTATATACAAAAGGCTACAGGTTGGGTAGGGGTGGTGGATGTAGCACCAACACCCTAGGGTTGGGACTTCCTCTAGCAATAGAAGTTGCATGTGTAGGGTAAGGTCAAGGGGGATTACAATTACAGTATTAATGTTAGCAGCTGCTTATATAGTGGTAGAAATCATAAGTGGTAATTGATCCAAAACTAATTTAGACATGGCCATTTGCATACTGCATTCTCATTACCAAATGAGAAAAATTATATTTTCATTGTAAAAGCAAACTGGTTATAATGGGTTGGAAGCATTTTAATATATTTTAATAATGAGGTAAAGAGTTATGTGAGCTTCACACCACAAATTTCAGGCATTTCACATCCATTCTTATCTCATTTCCCTCTGTATCTACCACAAAAAGTATTATTATTAGCTCAGTTTTTTAGATGAGGACAGAAAGGTTCAGAAAATTTCAGGAACTTTACCAAGAATACCTAGTTCTATGCAGCATTCAAAATCAGGTTTACCTTCCTCTAATCGTGCCTTGGCATCTCCTACTAAACTTCTTAGAACTTTTTTTCCAAGACTGGGCTGACTCCCAAGAAATCTGAGTCTATCTCCTCCCCCAATGGGCTTCTAAAAGTGTTTCTTCCAATAGATAACAAACATACTTCCTCCTCTTGCTAATTTAGACATGTTTCAAAGTAAAAGTCCTTCAATTTTTGTTGTTGTTGTTGTTGCTTTACCTCAGAAACTAACAAATCTTTACCCAGGCTATATAATAGAAACCATTTTAATATTAATAGTCCAGTCATTTGAAGATTAAGGGCCCGGGGTTTGCTTTGGCATGCAGAAGGAATACTGGTTACCTGCAATTCTGGTTTTCAGAAGGTTCATAACTGTAATAGATAGCAGCTCCCCCGAATCTAAATTTCCTGGCACATGCCAGGCCTGCGCTGGAAAGCTCAGATTTCCTTGCTTCAGACCACCCACAGGGAGGAGGCAGGAATCTGTCAACAGTGTGGTCTCCTCTATAAAGCTGCCTTCCACAGAGGGCTCTGGTTCCTCACAGTGAGATGCAGTGCACAGGCCAAGATGATTGGGTTGTCATAAATATAGATTCCCTGAAAGCAGGAATTATAAATGGGCTGGGGAACAAGGGAAAAATTATCCCAAAGAAAAATAGCATAAATATTCTTTGTATTTTCCTGCATGTATCTGGCTAAAATCGACTCTAGGAATGGTGGTGGCTGCATCACAAAATTTGCAAGGTGATCAGAACAGCTGATCTCAGGTTTTTTTTTTCTAAGGCATAGCATACTTTGGCTACTGGGTCAAGAAACAAAGTGTTAGGCTTACACCCTCTGCCTCCAGCCCATTGCTCAAAGTCTTTGAATTGGCACATTACTGTACCTTGCAGAATGTGATACACAACCCTGTAACCACGTACGGTTGGAGTTTGATGAAACTTCTCAAGAGAGCTAAAATCTATCTGGATGTAAACAGTTGTCTCTTTACTTTCCTACAATTAACTGATAGAGTTTAATAATCACTTAGGTAGGCACACTATTTATTAGGAGCCAATTAATTAGTCTATCATATCTGGTTCTAAAAAAAGTCATATTTTAAAAGCAAACCACAATTACAGATCATTCTTTTTTTCTCAAAATAAAAAAATGAATCATATGAGAGTTCTTGGCTGTTTTTATAAATATAATAATAAATTATAATAAAATATTAATGTTACTTTCTTACTTGGCAATAATTTTTAATTAAACTAAACAAGTATATACTCACTGATGTTGGCAAGCAAATTTTGATATCCTACACAGTGCCATGTGTATGCTGAACACTATCTGAAACCATGAATTAGTTTTAAATTTACTGAAGAGAAATAACATGGTAAAGTCTGAGCTAAAGTTTATTTGTTTAGAACATAAAAGGAACACATGCTCTTTGGAGAAAAAATTTAAACTACAGAAAAGTATTAAAAAATCACTAGTAATGCAACTATTCAGATCTCTCAATTCTTATTTCCTTTAGTTTTTTATGCATCTGTTTTTTATATAGTTGAAATTCTAAATAAATTCCCTTCTTATTTTTTTCCACCTAACATCATAACCGAACCATTTTCCCACGCTATAACCTCTTCATAAACAGCACTTTCAATGACTTTATATAGTTCACCATGTAGATATAACATTAAATATTTAACATTCTCCTATTGAAAGATATTTGGCTGATTTCCAAATACAAATAATGCCACAAATAACTTTCTGTGCCAAAATTTATTTCTGAATTCTGGATGGTTTTTTTTAGGAAATATTTTCAGAAGTGTTCCAGAAGATCCCAAAATTACTGCTGGAAAGAATATGAATAGTTAGTATACTATTGATATGACTGCAAATTGCTGTTCCAAACCATTTGCTTAAAGGGTCCTTCAAGAATTTCCCTGTGACTTTGCTCTGTCCATACTCAAAGATTTCTGCCAGGTTCCAGTTGCCTTGAGCTGAAGTATAAAAGGTTGCCTCCAGGAGTTTCAGGCCATTAGCTAATGGCCTGTTTCCATAGTTCACTGTGGTCAAGTTAAGACTATGAGTCTATATGGGCAACCACTGAAATAGCTTTTGTTGCCATCGCTGCAGCCTCTGTGAATTTTGCCCATCCGGCAAAGAAAGTGAGAGGTTGAGTTTTGAAGAAGGGCAGGCTGTAAGTTGTCAGAAAGGTTGGGGAAGGGATATTAGGTAGGACTATAAAATAAGAACCACCATGGCACATGTTTACCTATGTACAAACCTGCACATCCTGTACATGTAGCCTGGAACTTAAAATAAAAGTTGGAGGAAAAGAAAAAAATAAAAATTAAAACAAAAGAAGCTCTAGGCAGTTGAACTTACTAAGGGAGATAGAGTGTATTAAAATAATGATATTATCAATAACAATAATGGTTAGAAACAGGCATAACTACTACCAAAGTGCAGGCTTTAAAATTTGGAATTCTATGAAAGAATTAGGGAGGCTTAACAATACAAGGTTAGGGTGTTACGAAGGTTTTAAGTGTCTTTGCCAAGCCTTGTTTGAGGTCCTACTATGTAAAATCACTGGTGGATACAGAACATCCCTCTGTTTTGAAATATAAAGTAGAGTAGGTAGCTAAATAGGCAGAAATCATTCTGGAATGAATGAAATCTTTGTTATAAAAACAAATAGAGAAAAGTAAATTTGAGGCATGTGAAAAACTGCCTTGTTAAACGGGAGAATGGAAAATTGTTTTATTAAGAGGTAGATTGCAATCTTTGGTCTTTTGTGTAGATGTGTACTTAGAACTCTATACTTACATTTTCAAATTTGTGTTCTTCTTTAAATACACCATAGTTAACACTTTGCCCATGGTATAAACTCAATGAATATTTGCTCAATTTTAATTGAATATGTTTTCTTTCTATAATTATTTGAATTGGAAATTTTCTAGGTCTTTGAAGTGAAACTCTTCTTCATTTATGGAATAGGTGCATGTTCCCCTTTTGTTTTTGTGCCTCTATCAACCAAAAGTTCTAGAATCTTTCTTCCTGGGAAGGAAAGAAGTAAACTGTTTATTTTCTTTGCCATTTAAACTGCCATACCCATGCTACTCAGGCCCCAAACAGAACCTCTGCCCTTGGTGCTCCCTTTGTCTGGAAAGCTCTTCCCTACCCTTTCCTCTGGCTCCCGTTTTTTGGCCAGGTCTAGCTGGAATACTGCTTCATCAGAGAGGCCATCTCTGACCACACAGCGAAAGTGGGTTCTACCTCCTTGTACTTCACATTTTTGTTATTTTCTACCTTACCTCCTTGGCCTTTTTGTATATGTATTATGATTTAAAATTCCAATATTTTTCAAACTTTATAAGTTGATAATCAGAAATGTTTTACATTGATTCATGCACACACACACACATAACTGCAACAATAGTTTGACAAAACAACACGCTTAAGAAGTGTTAGCGGAATAAAGTTTTGTTTCTTTACTCTCTTTGAGTTTGCTAATTAAAGGAACAATCACAAAAGCTGTTTGTATCCCATTAACTTGATCTCATAACCCACTAACAGGGTGCAATCCAAAATTTGAACTATTGAGTTGTTTTCTGTCTGTTCTCCCCACTCCTTCCCTTCAGCCTACAGAAAAAATGTAAGCTCCATGAGGTAATAAAATTCTACTGTATTTGTCTTATTTCTGGTACACAGTTGATATTCAGTAAATATCTTTTGAACAAATCAATACATAAAAATGAATAATTAATAATGTCTTACTAAGTTCATCTTCCTTATTTTGTTATGCTTTTAACTAAAAATAATTATTTAAGTTGGAGCATCATTTCCTTTTTTGATAAAAGTATTTTTGGAATCTAATTTAATGTTCAGGGATCCATTAAGCATTTCAAGGAAGACACTGACATTACTAAATTGTTCAGCAATGCACAGAATTTGAAAATACACTTGAAAAATAGAACTTTGATATAAACTTGTAAAATACGTAGGATGTATACCACTGATTAAATAAATTAAAAAACTCCATTCCCCTATTCAGTGCTGTGTTGGGTAGAAAAGGGGTAAGTGAACAAACAAGTGGAAAAGAAAGTTAAGGAAGAACATAGAGAAAAGGATTGTTTTGCGCAGACATCTGGCTTTGCTTCCCCAAAGCTACTGAGTACGGGGGCAGGCGAGTGGGCTTGCTACCCTAAATGGGAGCCATATATCACATTGGAAGCTCCATGTCACAATTCAATTCTACTTGCAAAATGTTTCTCTGTGTGCTTATTTAAAATCTCTCTTTGTCAATGTGATATTCAATCATGCTACTACTTACTGTTTAATCTTTGTGAACTTGGGAAAAAGGAATTCTGTTCAGAATAATGAACTTTTCATGTGACTTATATATTGTTTTCTATCTATAAGAATTTCCCATGATAGGAAACGATTTACCAATAACCTTTGCTTTTTAAAAATAAAATGATGTACTTTGATTTCATTTCTTAAAAAGGAAAGGAAAACAGAAGAGAGAAGACTTCCCTTTAATTCAAAATCTTTCTTTACATAAACAACTACTTCTTCCAGAACTTCAGTGACCACTCATTTGCTCTACAGCAGTGATTCTCAAACTTCAGTGTGCATCAGAATAATCTAGAGGGTTCCTTAAACATAGATTGCTGGGCCCCATCCCTAGAGCTTCTTTCTCAGTAGGTCCGGGTTGGGGTCATAGAATTTGCAGTTCTAACAAGTTTTTAGGTGATGCTGATGCTCCTGATTTGAGCACCACATTTTGGGACTCACTGCTCTAAAGCAACGATTCTCAACTAGGGGAAATTTCATCTCTCAGTAGACATTTGGCAATGTCTGCAAACATGGTGATTGTCACCATTGGGTATGGGGTTTCTCTATTGGCATCTAGTGGGTAGAGGCCAGAGATGCTGTTAAATACCCTACAATGCACAGGACATTCCCCACCACAAATAATTATCTGGTCCAAAATGTCAATAGTGCTGCTGTTCAAAAATCCTGCCCGAAAAGGAACTCTCTTTCTCATGGCAGGACATTGTTTAACAAGAGTTTAAGTAATAGGTAAAACAAGAGCTACTTATTTCAGAAGCCTTCAACTAAAGTGGGATGATGTCACAGACATTAATTGGGTGGTGTCTCAAGCAGATATCTATGGTCATCTTTCTCTGTGTCTGTCTCTCCCACATTCACAAGTCCATTAAGCTTATAAAACACCACACAGCCTAGACACTTACTCACCCAAAATGTAAATGAGGATCTGTGTATGGCTGAAGAGGGATGGGAAGCCAGCTGGAATGAGGAAACACTTTTATTCCTCAAGGGGCCACAATTACTTTGTCCAAAGTAGATAGAATTCTGACTGAGGAAAATGTAAATCCCAAGCAGGACAGAAAAATGGAGTTGGAAAGGCTTTGCAGTTAACTAGAAGATGCAATATTTCTTTTAAATACTGTGTATTAATGAAAGAAGAACTTGCTTGACATCTTGGCCAGGGCTTAAGCAAAATTAGGAGGGCTTCAATGGTTCTCTATGATGCCCTCTCGTCTCTCCTCTCCATCTTTCATAGACTCTTCCAACCATCTATTTTCAGAATTTCCAGAGCCCATGCTACAAAGAAAACCTGATCTTAGATTAGAAAAAAGAAAGGCATTTCACTAGCAGATGTGACATCTCCCTATCTTTCCCTAAGCCCCTTTTTTACACCTGAGTCCGTATCTTAGCAAATGGTCCCCTGGGAGGTGGAAACTTAGGAATCATTCTTATTGTTCTTTTCATTTCCACCCCTATGTCATCCAGTTAATCTCCAAATGTTGTGAATTCCCCCTTTTAAATCTCTCTTCTGGACTCTTCATCCTTGCTCTTTCAATGTTGGTTCATACCAACATTATTTCTCACCTGGATTATAGAACAGCCTTGCAAATGGCCTGCCAATTTTAGCCCCTCTTCATACTCTATCCAGACTGAGCTGTCTACAACACGTATGTAATCTCACTGCTTAAAACCTCTCATTTACTAGTAGTAGGTCCAAAGACCTTGCAATGGCTTATAAGGCTTTGTACGCACAGGCCACCAATTACTTCTCATACCTTGCTCCTCTTCTCTCCACTTCCTCCATCTTGCCACTGTGTTGCAACCATCCTGAACTTTTCTGGGTTCCATGAAAGTGTCATGTTTTTCCTTAACACTGTGTTTTTGCATGTGCTGTTTCCCCTGCCAAGAAAACTTGAATGCTTGCCCTTGCCTTCTGCCCTACTTCCCACTATTTCAATTCTCAGTTAAATGTCCTTCCTTTGGGAAGTTTTCCTGACCTCTCAAGTCAGAGTTAGGTGCCCCACCCATGTGGGGGGTGTTCTCACGGCACCTTGTAAAACTCCTCATTGTAATTATCTTCTGTGGTAATTGTCTGGGTCCCCAGTAGTCTGAAAAGCAGCAAGAAAGTAAAGTCCTCATGTCTATTTTCTTTTTATTTTTTTCATCATCATAGCTCTTGTACCTAGCACTGTACCTGGCACAGAGTAAATACTAACTGTACTTCCTCATAGGTGGGAATTTATGAAGTATATTGTCCTGGAAAATAATTTAATGAAGCTGGTGAAAGAGCTAAGTTTTGAGATACAAAAGGTTCCTTCCCAGAGGTCCTTGAAATCAAACCATGCTTCCTACGTATACGCCCACATTTGTGTGGCAGAATCATTACATAAAACCGAGCTCTCCTGCTAATTTTGAGAACTGATCTCCTTCTATATCCTTCAATAATTTTCACATTCTTTTTTTCTCTATTGTACATCTACCTAGATCAAAGAATCATAGGAAGCCAGCGTGGCTCAGCCATGGTGAGTGAGGGGGAGAAGAAGAGGGGGTGAGATCTGTGAGTCTGGGCCACATCACACAGGGCCTGGTAGGCCATGTGGAAGAGCGAATATTTTATTTTTAGTCTAATGGAAAACCTTTAAAGAGTTTAAATCACAGTGGTGACTTCATCACTCTGGCTTCTTTGTGGAAAATGGGTTGGAGGATGATCCAAAAGACCAAAGAGAAAGACCAGTTAATAGATCATTGAAACATTTCAAAGGGAGGATGGTGGCTTGACCCAGCAGGACAGAAATGGAGATGGTGGGAGTGTGCAGACTCAGGATCTATTTTGGAGGCAGAATAGGTAGGAGTTGCTGAGAGTTTGGATTTGGGGGTGAGGGAAAGAGGAAGCAAGTATGATTTCTAGGTTTTGGGATTAAATACCTGGGTGAATGGTGCCGCCATTTACTGAGATGGGAAGACAGCAACTCCCAATTTTCAAGGCTCAGCTCAGTCCTCACTTCCTCCATGAAAGCTGTCATCAGGTCCAGTCTCCAACCTTCTCTCTTTCCTCTCAACCACTCGGGAAATCATTGTCTGCACCACTCATCTTTTCAGGAGTATGTGCTGAACTCCTCAACCTGGCGCACATTCCTTGAAGGTGAGGGACCCCTTTCACATCCAGAAATGCCTTGGATGTAGTGCTCCATCAAATTTGCTGCTTGGGGAATTAAAGACAATTCCCATGCAGCAAACATCCTTGAAGCTGCTAAGAATATCCTGCCACCCACGGGACTAAATGTTCACATCCTCCAGTTCATATCTCAATTGAACATTTTAAAAAGCCCATTACCAAAAGCCATTGAAAAATATGTTTCTCTCTACTTCTTAAAGAAAGGCATTTAATGTCTATTATATGCTCTATTGTTATTTAGTGTTATCCCTTTTCACTTGATATATAGTTACTTTTCTTCCCCATTATTAAGTATTACCTTAAAATGCAACCTCATTTCCTCTTGTACTAAATAGAAATTGAGGATAAGTTTCTCCTCACTGAAAACACTTTGAAATATTTCAAGTACATTTCCTTTTCTACACTGTTCATTCACAGTTTGGTTCAAAGGCTTTTTTTAAAAAAAAAAACAACTTTAAGATACCATAATATCACCTTTCAGTTCATTTTTAAAGTTTTTCAGAAATATAAATCTGATGCAAATTTGGAATTAGACATTTATTGTAGCTTCCCACACAAAGCTAGAATGCTGTCTATAATATTCTTAACAGTAAAAAGGGAACATAATCATGAAGAACTTATGCAGAGGCAGGAATTAGGCTTTTTCTTGTTCTTCTTTTCGATTCATGACCTTTGAGAAGTACTAAGAAAAGTATATTTTTGTTCATAATCTACTGTAGTACTGAGATAGGCGTTTTATACACCTGCTGTCATTTAACTAGCCCAATCACCTAATGATAGATTTTTATCTCCATTTCACAGATATTTGGCAGGGTTTAATGATTTGTCTGAAGACACACAGCTAGAAGAAGCAGGTCTGCATCCAAATCCAGGTCCTGGTGAATCTAAAGCTCAAGGTATTTTTTCTACACAATTATTCATTCAGACTGTAGGGATGAGGAAGGGAATCACCTTAGGAAAAGCCTAGTTCCATTGCAGCAATAACCAAACTATTTGTAAATTCTTCCTTAAATCAAGCCAAATCCTGAAATTTTTATTCACTGTTGGTCCTACCATCTAAAACAAGAGATCTTTAAATGTATTTTACAGGGTCCTGTGAGATCCCTGCTATTATGTGGCAATTTTGCATTTATAATAAATGTATTTTCTGAGGAGAGGTCTTTTTTTTAAATAACATCAAACTGCCAAAGGGATCTGTTATCCCTCTTTCCCAAAGGATAAAACTCTTTTCCTGAGGGAAATACAGGACAAGTGTCTTCCTTGCTCTGTGCTTCAGTCCTTCTCATGCTTAAAAATAGCTGTAATCACTCCTGCAGTCTTTTCTTCTCCAGATCGCACATTCCCAATTCTTTCAGCCTTTCTTTGTAACATGGAACACCCCAAACCTTCAGCCTCTACAGAGCCATTCTTTGGAACATATTCCAGGTGTCCCCTCAAGTATGGTACTCGAGGAAACTAAATGTCTCTCAAAGGATGGCACTAGGAATGGATTACACATTTTTTATTCATATATTCCTGCAGGGTCTTATTTCAGAATAGGAAGGTAATTTAATTTCCTTTTACAATTCTCCTTAACATTTTTGAAGTTTAAAAAACACAGGATTATAATCTATATCGATGTATTACCCTCCTTCCTCTCCCTGCCCCCGACGGAAAAGCTTGAAATTTAGGAATTATATTTTCTTTGTCTTTTAATTCCAATTCAGGACACATGAGAATTACTGGACAAGTACGTTTCTGTAATCCCACCCTTAGGAAGGATACATTAGAATTTTAAGAGAAGTTGTCCATTGGAAGCCCATGCCCTGATGGACACGTCTTGACCCACACATTAATTGCAACACAATCTCCTTCAGTGTTCACACACAGAGCATCACGGGGGTGGTTTGACACTTACCCTGCTGTCCTCTGGGCTTTTAGGACCTGCCGACATCGCTACATCCTCAGCATGAGCTTCTCATTCTCTACTTCCAAGTCAGATAGAATGAAGGCATTCTAAACAAATAAACCACCTGGGACCCAAAGCCACGTCCTGCACTTACGTGGCTAAGCTATCCCAATTATATGTTCTTGAAATGCACCTTAGATGCCTGTGGTGACTGACGCTTGGCTGGCGTCATGGCTGTGTGGATTTTGCCACATAACGCACCCAGGCAAACAGCTCACTACTCCAGGCTGCTCTCTCTGGCTCAGGATTCTGCACTGTGCCTCCCGGCCTTCTATAGGAGCCAGTATTGCAGCAGGAAGATGAGCAAAGCTTGTGGTAACCTAAACCCCTAGTGAAATGAGACTCCTATGGCACTGGGAGGCTGCCTGGACAGCTAACACCTGACATGCTACCTTATCCACATCTACATACCCTGTTACGATTAGAACTTTACTCTCCTCTCAACTCCCATATACTTACACCAGCCTGATAATAATAATTGCAGGGAGAAGTAGTTCACTCCACTAATTATGCTGCTTATAACTGGCACAGAGAGCAGCGATAATTTGGCTTAAAGTAAGGTTTTATGATCCTCATATGTTTAAAGTTTCCTTGGGTTCAAAGCCATTATGATTCAGGCTTGACAATTGTGAGGATGAATTTCAAATATCTCCGTATGTTTCTGTTTTTTTTCTTTTTTGTTAGAAAAGCATTATTTTGAAAGTGCTCCATGTGACAGCTCTTGTTTGCTCCTGAGGTGCCCAGCTATGAATTGAAAATGCTTTATTGCACTCTTTAGAGAACATGTTTCTGCTGGTGTGTAAGGCCTGGAAGCTGTCTGCATGCCAAGGCAATGCCCCCTAAATGAAGTCTTACATAAACCTGACAAAGTGTCTTTAGATAGAAGCAATCTCAATGGGCTACTACAGAGTCATGAAAATAACTGCTGGTCAACCACCAAAACAAAATTTGGCTGAGCACATACTTCTAAAAGCCTGAATCATAGGACTATCATGCCAGTAACATTTCATCATAATATATTTTTTAAATATACTGGTATATTCTTTTCTCTCCTCTTTCCATCCTTTCCTTCCTTTTTTCTCTTTTCCCTTCTCCCTCGGTTCCTTCCTTCCTTTTTTCCTTTCAGAAGACATTGTGCTCACCCTCTCCCCCTTTTTTCTTCCTTCTCGCCCTCTTGCTCTCACCCTTGTTCCTCCTCCCCCACCACATGCTACAGTTCAGACTCTACATTTAATTGTCAACTCACCTGATGCCCCTAGAGTCTACACAACCTACACTGCAAATTTTCATCCTCTCTTGAATTATTGCAATGTTATCCAAACCAGATCTCTCCAGAGGGTGGTTTATCAAGTCTCTCCTCTACTTAACAACCCTCAATTACTTCCCACCAGGTACAAGCTAAAGTCCTACTTCTCAGCTTCACATACAAGACCCCCGCTCCCAGCCCCAAGTACCACCTTCCACCAGTCCTATTCCTAACTTCAGTCTCCACAGCACACCTTAAAACATCCTCCACCCCCCAGAACACTTGACACCTCCCAAACAAGCTATGCCTTATCACAACTCAGAACTGCCCTGTCTGTTCACTCCTTTTCGTGAAAGGCTGAGCCCGTATTTCAGGCAGAAGCCCTTCCCTAACTTCCTCAGGCAAAGTTAGTGACTTTCCTCCTCAGGTTAACATTGCATTACAAACATTTATTACTATCTGTCTCCCCAAATCGGTTAAGAGTTTCTGGGGCAAAGGTGTCACTGACTCACCCACCAGGCAGTTGCTCAACAAAGGTTTGCTGAATGAACTTTGTTCCTTTGAGTTTATCCTGTATATTTTATAAGTAAAAAGAAGCCGCATAGTATGGGGTCTGTAAGTATGAGTTTGTGGGTTCAAATTCCACCTGTGACTTGAGCAGGTTATTTAATATCTTGGTGCCTCAGTTTCCCCATATGTGGAAACTTTCCAACTCTAGGGTGCTTGTGAGAAGTAAACAAGTTGCTACATAGATGGAATACTGCATGGAAAATCGAAAGAGGTGCATGCTACCTGAGTGTTTGTTAAATATAATGGAGGTAATTCTGATACCCCATGGCTGCCTCTGTTGTGCTCACGGCAGAAGGTTCCCAACACCATCAGGACTCGCTTGATTTCAACGAGCAGATCTTTTATTAGAAATGTAAGTGTCTGCCTTACTCCTCCAATAAAAAGAGAGATGCTAACACCAAGAACATTACTCAATCCCATAAGAAAACTAAAAGTGGGCTTATGCCACACTCAGAGCCATTGCACTGGCTAGGGTGTTGGGTCTGGAAGGCATACAAAACACAACACAACACAACAAAACAAAACAAAAACCTAGTTAAGAAACTACAATTCAATTCTTAGACTACCATATATGGGAAAATTCACATTGGTTCTAAACTGTTAAATAGAAAATATGTCTATATTCACAAAAAGAGATGGAAAGAAGTCTAACTTCAGCCAGGTTCAGTGGCTCATGCCTGTAATCCCAGCATTTTGAGAGTCCAAGGTGGGCAGATTGCTTAAGCCCAGGAGTTCAAGAATAGCCTGGGAAACATGGCAAAACCTCATCTCTACTAAAAATGCAAAAAATTAGCCAGGTATGGTGGTGTGTGACTGGAGTCCCAGCTACCTGGGAGACTGAGTCGGGAGGATCACCTGACCCTCAGGAAGTCGGGTCTGCAGTGAGCTATGATGGCACCACTGTACTCTACCTTGTCTCAAAAAAGAATGAACGAATGAAAAGAAAGGAAGGAAGGAAGGAAGGGGCCTAATTTCATGCAATTTGGCTTCAAAAAGTGAGTAGAAGCGAAAATTCAGAGTTCAGAGACAGTCAAAGGGAAGTATGATTCTTTTTGTTTGCAGGTAAATCAAAAGGGAGAGTCTCTGGGTTGAAATTCTGCAAAATATATTTCACTTAAGTACATCCTTCATGATCAGCCCTGTACACATCCTGGCTGTATCTTTTGCAAGTGCCTCCTGCATGTGCCTTATGCTCCAGCTGTGCCAACAACCTTCGAGAAACCTGCGCAGAAGCTCACCTTCACACCTGTGCTTGGTAGCTGCCTTGCCTGGGATGCCCCCCTTCTCGTTGTAACACTCACTCAGGTGTCCACTTTTCCTGGGAAGACTTTTTCTTGCTCTCTTCAAGGACCTTTGCTATGAGCCTCCAAGCCCCCTGAAAATACATACACATTTTGCAAAGCATTTATCACATTGCATGACAATTAGTATGTTCACTTTCTCACTCCCTCACTAGACAGTGAGTCTTTCAAAAAAGAGGGGGACTGTGTCTATTTCCCTGTTGCTTTCTCAATGCCCAGCACAGTGCCTGGAACAAAGTATGTGCCCAATAAATGCTCACTGGATATTATTGAACAGACAGGATTCCCTGTGTATGGAGAGGCAAATTCATTGCCAAATGCCTATGGTAGCAATGTTGGGTCCTCCCCTGTGCATTGTTTATCAAGGCCATGCCATGGGGATACCACACTAGGGATGTGGGTGAGGAATTTTCACATCTGACTAGGCTGAGATGATTGTACAATTACACATCACTTCTCTCTAGAAAGAGAAATAGTTAGGATTCCTTAAAAGGGTTAGGAATTCCTCAAAAACCATTGCACATGCAGTAGCCTGAACCAAGAATTTAAAAACTTCTACATGACATTCAACGTTTATGACTCACCCATTTTAGGTGAAAATGCAAAGGAGTAGGCATATTAAAGCCACAATGAGAGACTATTACATACCCATTATAATGACTAAAATTTAAAAAGACTAACATTATCAAGTATTGTAGAAGATATGGAGCAACTGAACTCTCTTACACTGTTGGGGGCACTGTAAATTTCTATAACCACTTTGCAAAGCTGTTTGAAAGTTTTTAATAAAGTTAAACATATATCTACCCTATAGCCTAGCAAATCTTCCCCTAGGTTTATATCCAAGAGAAATGGATATGTCCACCAAAAGACAGTCCCAAACTGGAAACAATCCAGTTTTCTGTTACACAAGAAAATGAATAAACATACTGTGGTATATCCATGTACTCAATACTACTCTGCAATAAAAAAGAATAAAATACTGACATATGTAACAACAGGTATGAATCTTACAAATGTTATGTTGAGCAAAAAATGTCAAATACAAAAGAATATGTATTATGTAATATGTAAAAGAAGTTCAAGAACAGATAAAAACATTTATCAACGGTGATGAAATTCAGAAAAGTGGTAATCCTGGTATGGGGCAGGCAGTGACAGAGAGGGGCATGGGCAAACTTCAGTGTTGCTGGAAATGTTTTGTATGTTCTTCCAAGTGGTAGTTACATGGGTATACAACTACATAAAAAAATGGAGCTTTATATGCTTTAGCATGTGCATGTTATAGCACACTAAAAAGTTTTTCTTCATAAACTCAATGGACAGATCCCCTAGACGAGTAGAAGGGACAAAACACCCCATCACTCATATAAAATTCAGAGAATGGGTCATATACACCCTTGCTTGTTCAGGGAAAAAGATCAGCACCGAATAAAAGCTGACACATGTTCCAGTGGAACTGGCATGGTTGCGGAACACAGCATTATGGCAAACTCAGTGTATTCAAACAACCGAGGGCAAAGACATCCACTGCTCTGGAGGTCACACCTGTAGCATGACTCCCTTTTGGGGATGAGTGGACATCCCAGCTACGCTCTCTATTATGGGAGTCTAGCAACAGAGGCCCTTCTCAGTCATATACTTTCAGTCAAGTCATTGCTTCGGGTGCCACTTTTTGAAAGTCACTTCATAAAAGAATAATGCTAAAACCCTCCGAAGAGTGTAAGCATACTAAAACCAGAAGAGAGAAAATAAAGAAAAACTTTGCAGAAATGTGAGATTACCCTAAGATGATCAGAAATCTCAAATACTTGAAGCCTGCTGTGTCTGCTATGCCTGTCCAATCGAAAGGAAAGAGATGCTCCAGAAAAATGTATTGTCTGCTCTTTACCAAACAGGGTTTTGGCTCCTAATAAGAGTTGAACCGGATTATCACGTGAGGAGCTGCAGAATTTCTTTTACTCTTTCAGTGTTTCTCAACAAGGACATTATGGCATTCAGGGCAGGACAAATGTTTGGGTGCAGGACTGTCCTTGTTCTGAATGTCCTAAAGGCCAGTAGCATCCCAGCCCTCCCATCACTGTGACACCAACAAAATGTATGAACATGTTTCTGAGTTGAGAACCAGCACTGATGTTTTGGCAGAAGATTTAATTGGCATCCTGATGGCCTAATCCACCCTGAATTAGAATCTACAGTCAGTCTTCTGGTTGGTGTTTCTAGTATTAAATATCAAGTGTAAATATCTAATGTTAAACATAATATTAATAACAAATTAGTCAACATTTGACAAAAAAAGGGGGAGGACTTTGCTCAAAGGTCCAAATTTCCAGTCCCTCAAGAAGTGACTCATTGAACTTACCCACCCAACCCTTGCTGGCATTTGCATTTGCAATCTTGGACTTGAGGCCTATGTGGCAGGAAGGTCAAGCAGCCAGGCACTTATTTCCTTTCTCCTCTGTCCATTGGGTCTCACCAATTAGACTGTGAAAGGAGGAAGCTAGCAAAGAAGATGACAGAAAGAGCCATCTCTTTAAGGCCTGGAGCAGAGCTCATCTAAGCCACTACCCAGGTCTCTTTCTCTTACCAACCCTTTCCCCCAAGAGGACAGAGTTTCAGGTGTATCTTCTGGCAAACAGAGCCAGGGAAGAAAAATCAGCAGAAGAAAAGTATTTCTTTAGAATTATTTATTCTAAAGTCCATGAACCTTATCAAAGTGAGTGACTTTGCCCAGTTTTACACCCCCAGTCTCCATCTCAATGTGTAGGCTTAAATAACATAACCAGTTGTGTTACTATAATGACCTAATAGCACATCCCTGCAGACTCCACTTCATTCCTGCATCCATTCAGAGGAGGCCCAAAAGCAGGGTCTCTTCATCTGGTTTCCACATCCCTAGGCAGTGTATCCCGAAGAGTGATATGAAAGATAAGTTTAGGGGGTAGGTTTATGAATTTTTGAAAGAATAGTACTAATTTTTTTTACAGTTATCTTTTGCTTTTAATAAATGATACATTTTTCATTTATAGAAATAACATAGATTCCTTTTAAAATAATTTATGTAAATCCAAAAGGTCAACTATAAAAAAATGTGAGACTGGGGATGAAATTATGGCAGTTTGGGATGATTTTTACCTCAGGAGGGTCTAAGACGGGCTTCTAAGGTTTCATAAATTCCTTGAAAATTTATGGGGGATTGTATGCTAATATAATTTTTTTTTTTCTGGGAGGAAGGTCCACAGTTTTCATAAGGTTCCCCTAAAGAACCGTGAATCCAAAATGTTAGGAATGATTGTCCTAGAATCTATGCTGTGATGTTCAACACTGTAGCCACTAGTCACTAACCACACATAGCTGCTAGGCACTTCATACTTGCCTAGTTCAAATGAGATGTGCTATAAGTATAAGATACACACTAGATTTTGAAGACACCATGAAAAATAGAATGTAGAATATCTCATTAATATTTTTCTGCTGGTTACTTGTTGGAATACTATTTTACATATTGAGTTAGAAAATGCAGTATTAAAATAAATTTCACCTTTTTTTTTAATGTGGTTACTAGGAAATTTAAAATTACAGATGTGAGTTGGATTTGTGGCTTACTTTATATATTTAGTGGACAGTACTGGGTTATAGTATAAGGCCAAGAAAAATAAGATAATCTCTGAAGTCCAAGAGAAATTAGAATTATGAATATATTTTAAGGCATATTTATAATGTAAGAAACAAGATAAATTTTGAGAAAAAAATGAATTTTTACAAAATATTGATTTGGAGAGAAACAATTATACAGGTATACACTTCACTTTGTCCCCTTAATCACTTAGCCAGGAAAATAAACCAGTAGTAGAAGCTTAAACTGTTCTATTCTTTCAAATTAAAACTACAGTTTCCATAGATTCAAATGAAGGTAGAAAACAGTAACGGTTTTAAAGTTCCTGGGAAAAGTAGGTAAATGATTTAAGTATCATTTTCTTTGGTTAATATAATCTATATCCACCAAATAACAAAGAGTTTATTGTATTTGCTTTGGGCCAGGCCCACCTCCCATCTCTGTCTGATGGCCCCTCACTAGGATAATTAAAATGTCTAAGTCTTTTAGAGGAACTCCTGAAACTCCTTTCTTTGCCTGGACAGAAGCTTTCATCTCTGGGTCTGCACATCTTGGGGCATCACAATCTCTCTTCAGCATTTCCTTTCTGAACTGAAAGCTGATTCCTTCAATGTATAGTTGCTCAGGTGCAAAGGAATATTACTGTGAATTGTTTTCTTTTCCATTGTTATTATCAAGGCAATGGTTCATCTAGATCCTTCTACTGGAAGTCATTTCTTGTTACAGAAGCTTGTATTTTCTATGGCTGATCAATATATGAGAATAGTCCCATGTTCATTTTATTGCATGGTCCTGCATCTAATCATCTAATCTTTCACAGAAAAGATTAGCTCCATCTCTCCTACCTAATATCCTGCCACCTTTTGTAACACAAACACGATTTGGGTGCTAATAAATGTATCAGTCCCAGATCGGTACAGATACAGAGCTCATGAGTGAATTTGGCCATAAGAGCATTTTTCTTATGAGCATTACATTCATGCCCACTTGTTTCCCATTCACTCCCATTCTGTTCCTCAAAAATCTATAGCAGAAGGCCTATTGGTGTTTAGGGTTTCCATAAAGTGATGTCATTCCGTTGAGCTTTAAGTGGCCCACAGATAATGTTACCATCATGTTTTCTTCAATGAGATGACTTGTTCTAACTAAGTCAGGCCCCAGGCAACCACCATTCCTACGCACGGTTTTTGGTTTTTTTTTTTTTGGATCCTGTTGTCTCTTTACTTTCTGGGAGCAGCATTTCTGCCCTTTAAAATGGCAACTGCTCCCCAAGCCAAGCAAGACAGGAGCTGTTAATGGCTCTGTTTGTTTTCAAATAGCATTCTTAGGGAGGAACAACCATCATACAATACATCTAGCTATGTGGAGTGCAAGAGCTCCACTTGCATGTTGACTTGTTGACTCAGCCTTCTCCAATTTTACTGTGCATAAAAATCACCTGGGATCTTGTTAAAGTACAGATTCTGATTCATTAGATCTGGAGTGAGTCCTGAGATTCTGCATTCCTAACCAGCTCCCTGGTGGGGCCAATGCTTCTAGCCACAAACCATGCTTTGAGCAGCAAAGGATCATCTCTAAGAAACTTTCCATGTTCATTGTTCTATAATCCTGTGAGATCAGAAACACCAATAGTTGGCATAAGCAGATGAAGATTCTCCCCAGGACCTCCACTAGAATACTCCAGAAGTCATAATACCAGTTGTAGAAATTTATCTAAATAGGAGGATTTAGAAATTAAGTATGGGAGTCAATCCCCAAATCATTTCAGTATCTTGAAATAAAGCAATCAGTGGACCAAACTTACTATCTAATAGTTCTTTCAAATGTTTGAAATGTTAGGTTTCTCTTTGAATTTCAAATGTTTGAAATGATTATGTGTAGTCAAGGATTAAACCATAAGCAGTACTGTTATAAACCACCATAATGTGCTACATCTGTTAATAAAAGACCTCCTCTTCCAGCTTCCACCTTGGTCTGAACACCCAATATGAAAGTTTTCTACAATCTCCCCAGCCACCTTGGATACCACCCCTGTGGGCACTTGACCTGCCTCAGTCTCACCCCACGCTTCATCTCAGTTTCAACTGAGTCACAGGTAGGTCATTTCTACAGCAGATCTACTAGGATCACACACCGCACATCTCAGTTTCTTTATTGAGGACCTGAGAGGTCATAGAAAGAAGTCACTTTGTTAACTTTATAGCCTCCTGTCTTCTCTGTGGTGCTTTGTCCAGTTTGCTCATTCATTCATTTCCATCCATCCATTCATTCTATCTTTCTCCTTCTCTTCTTTAGAGTAATGGCCAAAACCTCCCCTTGTCTACAGCAGAACAGTTCCACTGTCACCCAGATCCTTTGGAAATTTATCTTTTTACTTCCAAGCACACTGACCAAGGCATTTTTTTCCAAATAAACAGCTCCTTTCCTTGAGAAATTGTGTTGCTAGTTGTTACTAGATGTCATTTGCCCATCCTGTTACATCCAGTTACTTTTTTTGCTCTAACCTCTTTTTTATTGTGAAATATAATATACATACAGAAAACTGCATACATATCAACTTTTTACCTTCAACTTCTACTCTCTTTGAATTTTAATGGAGAAATCAGTTACTTTTCATTAACAACATATTAAATAAAAACATAAATCATTTAGTAACATGGCTATAATTGTAGTCCACAGATCCAAGATGTAAATGAACCAAGGCCAAGCTTAAATGAGAACACTAAAGGTCCATGTAATCTGTTGGTTGCTAAATGGGATATGCTCAAATCTTTGTTTCTTATTCCTGATTTCCAGAAAATCAAGTAGGTAAATGCTCTTACAATGAGCAGATTCAATGCTGTATCTACTTGCTGAAAAATATGTATTATACTATTTAAGATTACATGAGAATTATAAAATATGTATGATAGGATTTTGGATTAAATGGGAACATCAAAATAAAATGAATAAAATCGATAATTTCAGCAGGCTCTTATGTAGTCAGGGTCTATCTCTTCAGACTGTGTATTAAATTCTTGCTTCTTGCTTTTGGCTGTCTGTCTTTTATAATTTTACAGACAATAAGAAGAAGCAGCAGAAGAGAAAGAAGTCAAACACATAGTCTATCAGATGAAATTATTATTTATTAATCATTCTCATGAAAGATTTGCTGGGGGAGAAAGGTTAAGCTTATTACTACATGGTGGTCCCTAGATTGGTAGGTAGTTCATCATTGCTGCCTCAGACCCTGTTAACATTGATAACTAATGGCTGGCATGATGCCTGTCATATTAAATGCTTCCTCTCAAAGGAAGAAAAACAGCACTGAAAGAAAGTAATTGGTTCACTCTCAATTAATTGCAAATGGTTTTAAAAGAGCAAGGAGAGGCCGGGTGCAGTGGTTTATGCCTGTAGTCCCAGCACTTTGGGAGGCTGAGGCGGATGGATCACCTAAGGTCAGGAGTTCGAGATCAGCCTGGCCAACAGGGCAAAACCCCATCCCTATTAAAAATACAAAAATTAGCTGGGTGTGGTGGTGCCTGCCTGTAATCTCAGCTACTCAGGAGACTGAGGCAGGAGAATCACTTGAACCCAGGAGGCAGAGGTTGCAGTGAATTGAGATTATGCCACTGCACTCCAGCCTGGGCGACAGAGTGAGAGACTCTGTCTAAAAAAAGCAAGGAGAACACTTGCTGTTGTCTTTGATGATCAGTCTAAATATAACAATCCCTGCCTGTTTTTCTTCATTGATTAACTTCAATTTCAAAGGTATGTTAGTGTGCCAAATGTTTGAGGTAGAAAAAATTTTCCAACATGTAATAAATCATAATATAGCAACAGTCCAGAAATGATACCAAATTGCCTTCAATAATGAAAACAACAACAAGAGAACAAAACCTGCTAAGTGTTGAAAATAGGTTTTAGGACTGATAGCCCTCCTTCCCTCCCTCTCCCTTTCTCCTCTTTAATTAAAGTCAAATTCCACTTATTCTTCTAGGCTTGATACAAATTCTAATGCCCTCAGTCAAGGATTCATAGATCACTGCAATCCACCATCATCTTTTGCTCTTCTTAATATCTTGAATATGTGATATCTGCCCCATTCATCTGTAGTTGCCAAAATATAAATAATAAATAACTAGAATGATTGTTCACCTTTTTGTGAATATGTATCCTGATTTCTCCCCACCTCCACCACCACGGTTAGTTACAACTTTCTTTTTATTTTATTTTTCGAGATGAAGTCCCATTCTGTTGCCCAGGCTGAAGTGCAATGGCACAGTCTCGGCTCACTGCAACCTCCGCCTCCCAGGTTCAAGCAATTCTCTTGCCTCAGCCTCCCAAGTAGCTGGGATTACAGGTGCCCACCACCATGCCTGGCTAATTTTCATATTTGTAGTAGAGATGGGGTTTCACTATGTTGGCCAGGCTGGTCTTGAACTCCTGACCTCAGGTGATCCACCTGCCTCGGCCTCCCAAAGTGCTGGGATTACAGGCATGAGTCACCGTTCCCGGCCAGTTACAACTTTCTTAAGGGAATTGGCTGTACTTTTTATACCTCCCACTGGCATAGCATGGTGTTTTGCATAGAGAAAAGCTTAGTAAATATTTATTTGACAACGTGTTTTCCCAAAGGGAGCTAGTAAATAGTTGTTCCCTCTGTTATTAAGCAAACTCCCAAACCAGAAATTGTTTGGCCTTGGTATGGTTTCTTCACTAGAAGCTGTCCAGTCTTGTCTTTTTTTTTTTTTTTTTTTTTTTTTTGAGATGGAGTTTTGCTCTGTCACCCAGGCTAGAGTGCAGTGGCGCAATCTTGGGCCACTTCAACCTCTACCTCCTGGGTTCAAGTGATTCTTCTGCCTCAGCCTCCTGTGTAGCTGGGACTACAGGTGCGTGCCACCATGCCCAGCTAATTTTTGTATTTGTAGTAGAGTCAGGGTTTCACCATATTGGCCAGGCTAGTCTCAAACTCCTGACCTCATGATCCGCCCGCCTCAGCTTCCCAAAGTGATGGGATTACAGGCGTGAGCCACTGCTCCCTGTCAAAGCTGTCCATTCTTTAGTGTGGACTTCTTATATGGTTGCCATTGAGAGTGTTCATAAAATAAGTCAGCATAACATAGGAATGAACAATTACAAAAACTTGTGTTTAGAATAAAATCGGTAATTAGACGATTTTGTGAGAGAGATGAACATTTTTTGATGAACTATTTTGTTCATCCAAGTAAATGCTCAGGGACCCCCCCCACCGCCACCCTCATTCTCTCACTTCTAATTGATGTATTTAGGAATTAAGAAATTTGAATTTTGTTTCTAATTCAATCAAAGAGTTGCTGTAAGAGTATTGGGAAATCCTAATGGTAAGTGTTTAAATCATTCATCAGTAGACAATGGAATAAATCAGATATTCCAATCAGATCCTAAAGGATACATTTATATGGATTAAAAGTTGAAACCCTAGGACAATAAATGACCATATAAAAGCAATTAATATTCACTTAACCAATAGATACTAAGCACCTACTATGTGCCAGGCACAATTCTAGGTACTTGGGATATATCTGTAAATAAAACAGACAAAGGTTCCTGTGTCCTTATTCTCAAGGAGCTTACATTTTAGTGGATGGAAACTAACAACAAAATAAATAAACTATATTTTATGTGAAAAGGTGAAAGATGCTATGGGATCAGAACTGTCAAGAGCTGTCCTTGTTGGGGATTTGAAGTAGCAAATAGAATGGACCTCAATGAGAGGATAAAATTCAAATTAAGACTTTGCAATAGGCGAGGGAGTGAGCCCAACAGGCATATTGGTGGGACATCTGAGAGTATTCTACTGCTAGAACAAAGGTAAACAAGAAAGTAGAACAACACATTGGCAATGCATGAGATGGACAAAGAGATAATATCCTTAATAAAGAAAAAAAGAGTTCTTAAAAATCATTAAAAAAAATCAATACCCTATAGGAAATGGGTGCATGACATCAACAAATAATCCTTTAATGAAGTTCAACAAAAAGTGAAAAATGTCCAACCTTACAAATAATCAGTAAAGTACACATTAAAGCAGCCTCACTATTGGGGTTTCTAGTTTGTTAAGATTAAATAATGTTGGCGAGGCCATAGGGAGGCAGACATTCTTCTACAATGCTAATGGAAGCATAAAATGACACAACGTCTTGTAAAATAATTTTCCTATATTTATCAATAGCCTTTATTTTAGAAACACTTCTTACGGAAATAATCAGAAGTTAAGACAAAATGTATATATAAGTATATTTACTGCAGCAATATTTATAATAATATATAAATACAAGTGATTAATATCTAGATATTATCCAAACTGAAGTCTGCAGCCCAGGAAATATCCATGAGCATTTGACGCCTCCACATAAATGTTCCATAAATACCTCAAACTCCAAATGTCCAAACCCAAACTCACCTTCTCCAGTCCCTATTCCGGCCCTTAGATCTCTTCCCCTTGTCTTCCCTAGTTCAGTGAATGTCACCTACTTACACCCACTGCTTAAGACACAAACCCAGGACTCATCCTTGATGGCTTCTCTCTTGCTTCCCACATTCTATCAATCCCCATGTTTCGTCAATTCTACTGTAATGTTTCTTGAATACATCCATCTTCTCTATTCACACTGGAACTGCCCTAGCGCAGCCCTCACCATTTTATACTTAGGCTAATGAATAGCTGCTTACTTGGCCTGGTCCACTGTGGCCAATCTTACCTCCAACCTACCTGTCTTCCTTGCCCTATAGAACTCTTTCTAAAATATAAAACTGGATCAAACAATTACTTTGTTTACAATTTTAAAATGGTTCCCTACTGCTATCAGATTAATATCCAAACGCCTTAGACTTTCATGATCTGACTCTTGATGGTCAACTTTCCTGTCCTGCCAGCATGAATGTTTCTTCTTTTTTTTTTCTTTTTGAGACAGGGTCTCCCTCTGTCACCCAGGCTGGAGTGCAGTGCCATGATCATGGCTCACTGCAGCCTCCAACTCTTGGGCTCAAGGTATCCTTCCACCTCAGCCTCCCATGTAGCTGGGACTACAGGCATGCACCACCATGCCCCTCTAATTTTTTGATTTTGTAGAGATGGGGTCTTGCTATGTTGCCTAGGGTGGTCTCAAACTCCTGGCCCCAAAAGATCCTCCCACCTTGGCCTCCCAAAGTTCTGAGACTACAGGCATAAGCCACTGCACCTGGTCCAGCCTGAATTCTTAAACTCCATCTATTACCATCTTCTTACAAATTACATTTCATGTCTTTGCATATTCTACTTCCCCTGCCTGTCCTCCTATACATTTACTGTTGGCCAGACAACTTCTCTTCACCTGTGTAGACTCATCTGAGGTATCCTATCTTCCAGGAAGCCTTGCCTGACTCCATGCCCCCAATTCATTTTTGGGTTTCATTGTTCTATTGATCTCTCAAAGAACATCATGCATATTTATATCATAACATGTATTACACTGTTGTGCACACATTGCTTTGTTTCTTTGGTAATTCTTTTGACTGCCACATCTGGCTAAGCTGTAGTACTCCAGTGGGCACCATTTACACAGTGACCAAACTGCACAACTGTATTGAACAGTCATGTATCCTTTCCACCACAGACAGATCATCTTTATACATCCATGCACAATAATTGGCCCAGTTCAAGTGCTAGAATAGACACATTTATATAACAGACATTTGTTTAATGAAAGAAAAAGTGAGCAATCAACAAAACTCTAGTTGTCTTGATGAAAAATTCCTTCAGACCAGTGATTCTCAAAGTGTAGTCTCTGAATAAGCAACATGCATCACTGGGGAACTTGTTAAAGTGCAGATTCTCAGGCCCCACTCCAGACCTACTGAATCAGAGACTCTGGCAATGGAACCTAAGACACTGTTTTAACAAACCATCTAGATGATTCTAATGCATGCTTTACTTTGAGAAACACCGTCTTAGACTGCTCAAAACTAAAAGTAAAGATTTCATTTCGGCCAGGCGCGGTGGCTCACGCCTGTAATCCCAGCACTTTGGGAGGCCGAGGCGGGTGGATCATGAGGTCAGGAGATCGAGACCATCCTGGCTAACAAGGTGAAACCCCGTCTCTACTAAAAATACAAAAAAAATTAGCCGGGCGCGGTGGCGGGCGCCTGTAGTCCCAGCTACTCGGGAGGCTGAGGCAGGAGAATGGCGTGAACCCGGGAAGCGGAGCTTGCAGTGAGCCGAGATTGCGCCACTGCAGTCCGCAGTCCGGCCTGGGCGACAGAGCGAGACTCCGTCTCAAATAAAAAAAAAAAGATTTCATTTCAAGGGTTCAAATCACTTTGCCTGTAAGGAAGTCATTTACTTAATTTTTTAAAAAGTTTAAGTTATAAGGCAGTTCAGACATTCAAGGTATATAAAACAATATTACAGACACCCATGTACCCACCATTCAGATCTGCGGGTATTTGATCCATCACCCTAAAAGAAATAAAACAGCAAAACACTACCAACCCATCTCTCTCTCTCATCTCTCACCAAGCTAACCACTGTTTTACAGTTGGTGTGTGTTTTTCCCATGCATGCTTTTATACTTTTACTACGTAAGTGTGTAGGCATCTACTTATTAATGAGAGACTTTGTCCAGGATGTCAGAACAGAAATCACAACACTTGCCCCAGCAAGCTGCATGGGAAGACACCTGGAGTAGCCAGCAGCCAGTGCCAACCAAACCTGCCCCTCTCCAGCATTTGGTGGGAAAAAATAGAGCTCACATGAGCTTTACAAAATGCAATCAGAGGGGGTTAAAATAAGAAAACCAAGTTATACTTATTTAACTGTTGCTGACTGTAAAAGCTAAAATAAAAAGTAGGTTTTGCCTTGAAGCTAAGGGTGTCAAACACATAGTACCAAGAAAGTTGTACTGACAAACTTTGTCATTTTTGTGTAGATTACACACACAAGGGATGTGTGCACCTGCCAGTGTATCGTGCACCATGGATATAAAGAGTTCCAAAAGAGCTATGATCTTTTTTTGGATATAAGGAGTTCCGAAAGAGCTGGCTCCAACTGTCAACACCATAGATGAGTCTTGATTTTGTCTTCTGAAAAATGGCATTACCTGCTGTCTTATGGCTTAAAAAAAGGGAGTGATGATGACTTGAGCGTTAATTTCTTTCTTATTTGGGAGCCTATACGTTTATGAAAATATGATTACCAAACTCATAAGTCTACTCCTCCTAAAATTAAAAAATTAAAGACAAAAAGAAAGAAAAAAAGAAGGGGAGAGAGCAGGGAAGGAGGGAATAAGAAAGGGAAAAAGGGAGAACAAAACTTAACAACTATTTTCTCCCCGTCCTGACTTTCCTACTTTCTCCAGCTTGGCTTCTTATGATGACTTCCTACTCATCTTTACAACTGGCTTCTTATGATGACTTCCTAGTCATCTTTACAATTTCTCCTTCTCACATTCTCTTTCAAAGCCTGTAATTTAGCCTCTTTTTCCAGGTGATTCTTAGGGATACCAAAGTGTGAAATCATTGCTATTGGTGGTATGGAGCCCTAGAAAAGTTTTACATTGTTGTTTTTGTTTTATGTATGCATGTGTGTATGAATATACATACACATATATAGTGTGTTTATATACATACACACACCTCCGTGTATGGTGTGTGTGTGTGTGTGTGTATGTTTAAACATAGTTCACAGTTTTGGATGGCAGCTAATGAATAAACACATTCTCCTTGGTCAATTTACTCTACAAATTTGATCACATGCATCTATTTTCTCCTATCCCTGATACCATGTCACTAATACCGAGCTTATAACCACAAACTACAGTACTCAAAACCCCCTTTCATCGTTCCCCTTTTTATCCATCATACACTTGGCTACAAGATCAGTCCCTTGAAAGCCCCACCTTGACCATTCCTCTCCGTACTTGAAGGGCCTCCAGTAGCTGCCTAATTGTGACCAAGTCTGCTAGGTGTCTCCGCAATGTTCCCTCACAACGAAATCCCACTTTCATTCCGGGTGGCAAGGTACCCAGCCACATTTTCCCACTTCCTTTGCAACTACGAGTCGGTAGATGAGATTGTAGATAGAAGTTGCTTGATGGGCATTCTGGTAAGACCCCCTAAAGAGGAAAAACACAGCTAGTAATGGGTGCCTTTTTCTACCCCTCCCCCATTGTTGCTGTTGTCTAGAATTTATACATGAAGGCTAGCACCCCAGCAGTTACCTTGAACCAAGAGGAAATCTTGAGGATAAAGCCATATGCTAAGAATAGCAATGCAGAGTCATAGAAGGTATCTGAGTCCCTGCTGACGATAGAACCACGACCCCTGCTTTGGAGAAAAAAATAAACCTTTGTCTGTTTAAGTCACTGTTTTTAATGGTTTTCACTATGGGCAGCCCCAAAATAATACTTTGATCTCTTCACAAATTTAGCTATTTCTCCAATTTGGCCAATGTATTATGTTGGTATACTTTGATCTATTGCTTCTCTTCCAAAGAACAGGGGCTTGCAGATAGACCCATCTGAGTTAAAGCCCAGCCCTGCCACTGTGACAGTGAATTCTTTAGGCACTGCTCCTAACCATTTTACCCTAAGTTTCTTTGTCTACAAACAGAGAATAAAAATAATATACACATTGGGGTGTTTGTTATTTTTCTTTCAACCTGCTTTTAAATCGTTAATAGCTCAACAGCACCAATAGGGAAACATTTGGGGAAAGGAAAAGGAGATAAAACTCAAACACGGGCTGGGCGCAGTGGCTCACGCCTGTAATCTCAGCACTTTGGGAGGCCGAGGCGGGCGGATCACGAGGTCAGGAGATCGAGACCATCCTGGCTAACATGGTGAAACCCCATCTCTACTAAAAATACAAAAAATTAGCCATCTCTACTAAAAATACAAAAAATTAGCCGGGCGTGGTGGCGGGTGCCTATAGTCCCAGTTACTCAGGAGGCTGAGGCAGGAGAATGGCGTGAACCGGGAGGCGGAGTTTGCAGTGAGCGGAGATCATGGCACTGCACTCCAGCCTGGGTGACAGAGCGAGATTCCATCTCAAAACAAAAACAAAAACAAACAAACAAACAAAGAAACAAAAAAACCTGAAACCCGGATATATTTTCTAACTTGTGAACAGCTCTTACAAGCAGTTTGGTGGATGAAAATGCATACTGTTTAAAAAAAAGTGGAAAAATGTCAATAAATTGGGCTTTAACAATTGACATTTTACCCTCCCATTCTCATGAATAACTGGAATCTGACTACACACATGTTACATTAGCCACTTGACCAAGGAAGAAGAAAAGCAAGAGAGAGAAAAGAAAGAAATAAATTTCAAGAACTTTGGCGCTAGCAGGATCAGTTGCCCAAAGTCCCCGGAATGGAGAAACATATGATTTATATCTTGTTATTTTCCATTTGGTTAAATTGACTCTTAATGACTTGAAATAGGTCCTTTCAAATGGAATTGCAAAAAAGTAAATTCTGCTCAAACTCTTACATTGTGTAATTTCATGTCTGCTCTCATGCACATTAAACTAAACTGGTTGGAGAAAAATCTCTTGCTAAATTAAATTTGGTTTGATCAGGAAATTTGTGTGCATGTGCAGGCAAAGCACAGTATGTGTGGGTTAAAAAAATGTCCTGCTTATTTAAAGTGTTCTTTTTCACGTATGATTCAGTTTTACCATAGCTTCAATAGTGAACTAAATTTGTGTTAATGTGGATCTGTGTTGTGAGTGAAATAGGCTTTGGTCCTTTGTTGGGAAATCACTCAAATAGTAGACATTTTGTCCTTTCTGAAGAAAAATAATACAGCCTCAAAGGCTGGAACATTTGAGCATCTTTAAATCCTTCCTTCTCCAGCTCCACATGACTCTTCTTGCCGTTTCCTAACGCCGTCATCATTTCCTTTTTCAAAAACCTTTTCCTTGCTCATCCCAGTCCCATTTCGCTCATCAGGCTCTAAAACGCAGAATTGGCCCCTGGGTCCCATCTGTCCTGGCCTATGTCCTTAGCTGTATTTCTGCCGCAATAATTACCTTCCACTTTACTACCTGACTTTTAAAATATACAATAACAAAATTCAAATGAAGTTGTTTCAAAGAATTTCAGGGCAAGGAAAGTGCTTTTTAGACGGTCAAAATGCCCTACTGCAATAACACAGGTACAGGGCCCATTATTTCATAGTTCTTGCCCGTTGAAAGCAAAAAGACTGAATTCACAAGTAGCCTGTTTGACAGGTACCACTGAAGGCCTTTCAACCTCAGTCACCAGAAGTTCCACTCTGCTAAGATATATGAGAAGTCTGCATTTTATAGGGCATTTAAAAAGCAGTCAGATGAGTAGGAGCAAAGGATTAAAAAAAATTATGAAGAATTTGAATTTGATGAATATTTTTAAAAGCACATGTTAAAGTAATGCATGACAAAAATGAGGTTTATATCAGTGAAGTAGAGATTACTGAACAACATAAAATCCCAAATTAAAGAAAGGCATCTTTGGGATCCCCGCAGGATGGGGCCTCACTATGGCATCTCATTTCCCCAGGCAATGAGCAATATGGTCTTGGATGGAGAGCCAACAACAACCAATTACATGCTCAGCGCCTCCAGAGGGCCCCAAGCTTATTTTCATCTTTCCTCTCTTTCACAGTATTCCTGATTGCATCGAAATTCTGGAAAGGGGCTCAGGAGGGACATTTCTTTTGGGGGAGTGGCTGAAGCTAAGACTATCCATAACTCTTAGGGTGAGTTCAGATCAGTGTGACCCTGCAGAACCATCCTGAATGTGCCAGACCTGGACCATGTCTTTCTGTACAATCTTAGGAGGCAAAGTCCAGCATAGTTAAAAGCGTAGAATTCCATGTCACCTGGCTTATTAAGGAAATAATATACACCAGAATGGGTATACAACATGTGTAACGTTTGTCACGTGTTTCTCACTTACGGAATTCTTTATATACATGGAAATGGATAGAGAAGCCCAATACCTAAACAGATAAAAGTCCAGCTGCATGTTGGGTGGTGACCCAGATGGTCTCTCCCCACCAGCACTCCTCCCAGCACAGACTTTTAAGGGGCTTCTCAGAGCCCTAAAAGCTCAGAGGACCCCATCTGGAATATGGTGCCTCTCTAAACCTCCTGGGAGCTACACACTGGGAGGGCAATGATTCTTGGCCTCTGTGGTCAGCGGAATCAAATATTGTCCTCTGAATCTCTACTCCCAGAACTCCCAGGTCTCACATCTTAGCCACGTTACAGGTTTCATTGCTTGGAATTCCTTGAGAGTTTTTTCCTTCTGGATTTGGTGATTATTGAACAAAAAATATTAGAACAGCATGATTTTCAATCTTCAGAAACTCTGCGTAATGACTTTAGACTGGATCCAATAAACAGCCCACATAGCTTTAAGGACATTGATCAAACTCAAATATTTGGCTACAGTATTTTCATTCACTAAATGCCGAATTTATGTTTTCTTTATTTTCCTCTTTGTTTTTATTTTTAATGGAAGTACAATTTATATAAAGTAAAATGCACAGGTGAGTTTTAACAGATGCCAGGTAGCCCACGGTTCTATAAACATTTCCATCACTCTAGAAAATTCCCTCATGCCCCTTGCCAGCCAATCCTCTCTTCTCCCCAAGGTAATCACTATTTTGATTCTTACCACCACAGATTAGTTATTCCTTTTCTAGAACTACATAAAATGAATTAATACAGTGTTCATTCTTTTGTGTCTAATGCCTCAGGTTTTCAGCATTTATAGAAATCTCTTCTTAGTTTCCTTATCTGTAAATTGAGGAGAATGCCTTGTAAAAAGAGTGTGCAAGTATTGGGAGGTGCCCCCAGTTTCCTGGTGGGAATGGAAGACCTCTGAGGTCACCTTGATTGAGGTGGGATGAAGAAGAGGCTGGGGACTGGGGTTGCAGGAGCCTTCTCATCTTTAAACAGAACAGCTGTCCTTTTCCATGCTTTACAAATTGGGGGCCACTGGAAGATTTCCAATGGGAAAAGGAGAGGGCTATTTGTAAAGATGAAAAACACTTAGAGAACCATAGGTCTTGAAGATTCTTAGTGATCTCTTTTTCTTGAACATTCTATAAATTACAAATAGTGTTTTTTGATATGAGAACTATGGCTGGTCCTCTCTAGGGAGGGCTGGGAGACAGAGGCAGCCAGACAGGGGGCCCCAAGGGAGGGCCTGGGCACTGAGTGCTGTAATACTAGCACTGGTTACAATCAGATAGCACCACCCCAACCCAGGCGCCTCGACAATAGGCCAGAGGCCATGGGCAAGAGGAGGCACAAAGACAGCATTCAAAAGGCCTGGCTCCCGCAGCCAGTGAGCATTTCTATAGACTCTGCCAGATCCTGACCAAGCCTGAATGTCACCTTATTACCAAAAAGCCATTTTTCCATAGTTTTTAAACTGCTAAAAATAATAAACACAGAAAGGAAAGTTCTGACACAACCTTATATGCAGAGATAAACTGAAACTGTGTTGTTATAATAATGAAAACAAACTGGATCCTAAATTATAACCCAGTGATCTGAATGGTTGCTTGATATGACCACATACCTCAGGACTGAAAGGCAAATTCAGAAGACTTGCTAGTCAAGTGGATCTTTACTGCACAGGTGCTTGTACCCTATCTGACTCGCTGGAACCAATGGGTTATCTAATTCTCATGCTTTTTTTTTTTTTTTTTGAGATGGAGTCTCACTCTGTCGCCCAGGCTGGAGTGCAGTGGCGTGATCTCTGCTCACTGCAAGCTCCGCCTCCTGGGTTCACACCATTCTCCTGCCTCAGCCTCCTGAGTAGCTGGGACTACAGGCGCCCACCACCACGCCTGGCTAATTTTTTGTATTTTTTAGTAGAGACAGGGTTTCACCATGTTAGCCAGGATGGTCTCGATCTCCTGACCTCATGATCCGCCTGCCTTTTTAGCACTCAAGGAAAAGACACATGGGAAAGGATTGTTGGATCTTCACTGAGCACAATTTTCTGGCATAACAAGTGAAAATGGGCTCTTTTCTCTCACTGCCCTGTTACTCTTCTTTTCTCGAGTGAATCAGTATCATTGCTTTTCTGTTATGTTTTTAGTTCATTTAATGCTTTATATTTTTTCGGAATACCTATAGAGTTCAAAACTACATTAAATAACAACAGCAGCAACACTACACATTAGGAGATAATTCCAATAATGCTAAAAAGGGACAATTAATAGCAAAGATCACAAGTCTGCAAATAGTCAAGCTGACATCTGACCTTCTTATTCATTAAATCATGTGTGGAACTTGGCACCCACGCAGGACAGCCAACCAGAAGGAAATCGCAGATCTGGAAAAAAGGAAACACAGAAGATAAATATAATTTGTTGTTTTAAAGTTTCCCAACATTCGATTAATCTACAACTGTTCTTATTTCTATGTTTAAATAGGGTCTGGTTTCAGAGCTATCTCTGATTTTGAATAGATGCAAATAGACTTAGATAAAATCTTATTCTAAAGGGGAGATGGTTTCAGGGAAAGGGACTCTAACACAAGGACTGTAAGAACACATTACAGGCATGGGACAACTTTTGTGAATCTCAGAGATGTACATTTCTGTGGAGTTTTAGGAACAAGACCCAAGAGCTTTGGATTGGCAGTCTGGGAAGATGAATAAAAGGCAAATGTGAACCTCAAACTGTTTAGCCACTGTGCGTTAAAGGGAATCCTGCTTTATCTCAGTGGATGGTTCCTGGAATAGGTCTCAACATATAAGAGCTGCAATTGAGCTGTCGGGTGGGGCACTGCCATATGAACCTGTGGGGAAGCGATGGGTTCCTCATCAGGGTATGAATGTAAGCATGAAGCCATGGAGCTGTCTAGATTGTGCTAAATGCAATCATATGGTGAACACTTCTCCCAGGTACAAACAAGATGAGAAAGGCAGCCAAACAGACCACGACACCTGCCATGCCGCAGAGGATGTCGCCGAGTGGCTGCCTGCATGGCAAGTGACAAGCCGCTTTTCAACTAACTGCAGTCCTACAATTTTTGTTGTTGTTGTAAATAACGTAGAAATTTTAGAAAAACAGAGGTTAGCAGGGAAAACATCTGGGTTCCCACTACCCCAAATATAAACATTTTGTCACCTGTGCTCTAATTTTTTTTAATTTAAAAAAGGGTATATTTTAAAATAACATGAAGAATGCCTTTTTTTAAATTAGAAAAATTGGAGCATAGGTATAATCTCCTTGACAACCCCACACCAAGCCCAGAATGTGAGTTGGTTTGTATCTTTCAAGACCACTATTTTTCCTTTTTAACATTCACATACATAAATGCATATCGAAGGCAATGAACAATGTTTGTGTATTTTTAATTTACCTATATGATATGAATCTCTGTTTGTGTATCTTTTGTTCTACACTTTTGACTCAATATGATGGATGTGGGCTTGAACCACGCTAATCTATACCAGCTCATTCCCTTTAACTGCCACATTGAGTAAATACATACTCAGTTGTTGGCTTTTCACCCAATATCCAACGTTTATGGCTACATAAAAGCCCTTGTTATATCATTAAAGCGATTGTTGGTTATGTGTGGGTGTGCATATGTATGTGAGCATAAGCACATTTTCTCTGCTCTTGACTCTGGGCTTCTGAAGAAGCTGCCCTGTCTTGTTTCTGCAGTGGTTCTTCCACCCTATGACTCCATGCAGTGGACACTCAGTATGTTAAAAGGAAAAATGTATTTATTAAAATTGACTTGCTTATTACTAATTTTCTTTCCTTTTAAAACAACATTAAGGTAGACTTTGGAGTTGTATTTATTTATTTTCTTCAATATCTCTCTGCACCGCCCATTTCATAAACCTTCAAGTCCAAAACCTTTAACTTCACCTCACCATTTGGCTGACAGTCAGAAACTCTGATAATGTGCGGCTGAAGACCAAGGCAATTAAGAAGCTTATTCAAAGAGGATTCTCAAAGACTACATTAACAAAGCCAGGAAGGCTTGTGTTTGTAGCAGTTGTTATGACTTTATGGCAATTATGTATACATATACACCATTACCCCTGACATTAATATATAAATACAAAACTATATATATATAGATATTTTGGATGCAAAAATTGGACCTCAATATTTTTTTTTGAGAGTGTAATTTTGATTTAGGCTTTGAGCAATATATCTGAACTTGACTCTGTGAAAAACCTAAAAATTCTCATATAATTAATAAGTTTGTATACACAGCATTTATTAAACACACATTATGGACTGGGTTGTTCTAATTATTTTGTCTAATTTCACATAAGGTAATCCTCACAATGACCGTATGAGGTAAGTATTATAAATGACCCCGTTTTCCAGATGAAGAAAGGAGAGGAGAAGAGTTAAGCATTTTGCCCAAAGTCAAACAGTGCAGAAGAGGCCAGCCAAGAATCGCACCCAGGCAGTCTGATGTCATGGGCCTTGTTCTAAATGATTGAGAACAGATTTAGGTTTTAAAGATAAAACTGCAAAGAAGAAAATGAAACACTGTCACTGAGGTGGTTTCCAACTTTTGCTATAATACAAACATGCGGCATCTTTTTCATGCTGTGCCTCCAACCGAGAACAAACCAAATTAGAGTTCTTCAAGTAGACAAATTGAAAGTGATTTCCCAGTGATGAAGGAAATTTAAAGCAACAAGTTCAAGCCCCAAACCCTTCCAACTTAAACATACCCATTTTCAGTTCTTCTCTTTAGGAAACAGGGGCTGTGAATTTCTTCATGGCTCAAAGGAGACTGCCTAGTTTTGTTTACACAAGACTCAAAGCAAAAATGAGAATCACTCCCTGGGACAGCTTTAGCTCAGAATGTGTGTTCTTTGCACATTTTTAATTGGAGCACAAATATATTAACAGTGTGGTTATTTTGTAGTTTCAAAGGAATCTGTTTTGTAACTGATTCATATTTATATTTGGAATATAGTTATTTCTGGGCATGAAACAGTTCATTTTGTTAAGCCATCTGACCTGAGGTGAGGTTGGCACTATTTCCCATGACTGCTCCCAATTAATGCAAATTGAAGGTTAAAGGATAAATAAAGTCCCTTTAACTTGGTTTACTAATATGTTATTTATAAATGGCTCTTTACTGGCCTGTTTTTTGACAGTAACTTTGTATGAATGAAATTGCACAGAACAAACTAGCAAATACATAATGCATATTTTGTTGCAAAGCATTTAAAGGGTTAAATTTAAGTGAATTCAATTTTAAAGGGGTTAATATTAGAGCAAAATTAATTCCTCCTCCTTCTCCTTCTCCTCCTTCTCCGCCTCTTCCTCCTCCTCTTGCTCCTCCTCCTCTTCCTCCTCCTCTTCCACCTTCTTTTCTCTCTCTCTCTCTCTCTCTCATCTCTGGTTTTTCACTAAATCATATGAAGCCTGAGCTAGATTGATTGCATTGTATTAGTGGCCTTTTTTTTTTTGTAAAGTGCTTATTCATTCTTTTAAAGTTTTATTTTGACAGTTAAATAGTATCCCATAATATCACACTTATTGAAGGCCAGTGAAGTCTTTTCTTCTGCTATCCAAATAGGACTACAAAGCATAACACTGTGTAAGTGCCAGTTCTCACACATACAAGTTAAAATATGGAACAAATCTCAATAGAATTGGCCATTCAATGGGAATGCACATTTTACATTGTGATTGTATTTCCAAATTAGATTCTATAGAGGTTGTTTCAATTTATGTCTACGTCTGAAAGTCCTGTTTCTCCATATCTTTGCTAATATGTTATTAAACATTATATTTATCTATTTGATAGCAGATAAATGGAATCCTAGTTAGAATTCACATATATCTTGGGTAGGTAAAGCTGTAAATCTTCTGATACGTTTAAACATTATTTGTATTTCTTATTGTGTGAATTTTCCTCCCTGTTTCCTTCCTTCTTTTTTTCCTTCCTTCCTGCGTTCCTTTCAATGATTTGCCCATGGTTTTCTGCTACGTTGGTGGACATTTTTTTATTGACAAGCCATCACATTATATCTTCTAGAGAAACAAATTCTTTTTCTTTTGGCTTTGCTTTTGGGAGTTTTGTCAATATCTATTTTTTTTTTTCTAATTTTTCCCTCCTTCCCTCCCTCCCTTCCTTATTCCTTTCCTTTCCTTTCGTTTCCTTTCCTTTCTGTGGTAAAACAATTAACATGAGATTACCTTTTTTTTTTTTTTTTTTGAGACAGGGTCTCACTTTGTCACACAGGCTGGAGTGCAGTGGTACAATCTTGGCTCACTGACACTTCCACTTCCTGGCTCAAGCGATTCTCCTGCCTCAGCATCCTGAGTAGGTGGGATGACAGGCGTGTACCACCACACTCAGCTAATTTTTATATTTTTGTAGAGATGGGGTTTTGCCATGCATGTTGCCCAGGCTGGTCTCGAACTCCTGAGCTCAAGCGATCTGCCTGCCTCAGCCTCCCAGAGTGCTGGGATTATAAGCATGAGCCACCATGCCCAGATTATAACAAATTTTTAAGTACAAAATACAGTATTGTTAACAATAGGCACAATACTTTACCCCTCCCTGCATCTACCCTTTTATCATGTAACTTTGTAGTTCCTCTCACTGAAGAGGTTAAGTCTATTCTCCTGTGCTTTTTGATTGTGTTTTTGGCCATGTGACTTGCTTTGGTCAATGGAATGTTATCAGATATGCTGCATATAGAAGTCTGAAAAAGTTCTTGCTACATTTAAGTATTTTCTCTTGCTCTCCTGTGATTGCCATGAGAATATGCCTTAGACAGCTTGTTATGGATGAGAAACACATAGCAGAGTTGACTCACATCAGTTGTCTCCACCAAGGCCACCCCAGGTCAGCCTAGACCAGCCAAGTCCCATCCATATAAGACAGCCCAAGGAAGATGAGCAGAGTCACCTAGCTGACATACAGCTGACCACAAATGCATGAGTGAGCCCACCCAAGACTGGCAGAATCACCCAGCCAACTCTCATACTCATGAGCTACTGAATGCTAATCATTTCAAACTATGTTTTGTGGTAATTTGTTACTATCCCTGGTAATTCCAAATAATGTCATTATGCACTAGATAACTGATAGAGGGCTTATCCCTGTTGCGCTCAAAAAAAAAAAAAAAAAGAGAGAGATGCCTACATAGAAAATGGTTTAAAAAATTCAGCAAATATCCATCAAACACCAGCTGTATCAATCAGGGTTATCCAGGAAAACATAAACTGGTTTAAGTATTTAAACAGAAAGAGAATAATGCAGGGGATTGATTACGTAAGTGAAGGAAAAGATGTGAAGTCGAACAGGGGAGAATGAGGCATCCAGCAGGAAACCCCTAAGCTATCGAGATGAGAATGGAGGTGTTGATATTGGAGCCCTGGGGTGGGGGTCATTCAGCAGAAACTGAAAGCTTTAACTGGCCACTCCAGCAGGAACTGAAGCCACAGAGGAGACACAACTGTTGTCAGAGATACTGTCTGAGGCAGAGAGAGTGGAGAAGAAATACCCTGGCTTCTCCCTTCCTTCAGTCCTCCGATCTTCCTCCAAGGCCTTCCAATGGCTGAACCCAGAGGAGGCACATACCTCAGGAGGCAGCCCCTCAGTAATACAGAGGCAGGGCATGGAGAGGATCTGTGGGCAAGCAGGTGAATACACAGTCATGCTGTGCAAGGTACCATACAAGGTGTTGCTCAGTGCTTTTGTGACATCCTTAAAAATAAGAGAATCAGAAAAGATACAGGGCCTGAAGGTTAGAAAGGGCCCAACTAGGTGGAAATGAGGGAAAGAATGCCCAGGCTGCAGCAACTATAGGAGCGAAGTGCAGGAAATACCGAGGGAATAGCAAGTATTCTGGTTTGGCTTAGAAGGTTGTGTGTTTGGGAGAGGGAAACAGAGGTAGAGAATGGGTGATGAGGCTGCAAAGGCAGAAACAGTGCTACAGCTTGAAAGACTTGGTTCTAATCCAAGCAGATTGGACTTTTGTTCTAAAGGCAATGGGAAATTTAATGGCTCTGAGCAAAGGATAATATAATACCTGTTGTGCATTAGGAATATTAGCCTGATAGAAATGTGAAGGATCAATTAGAGAATGGCAAACCAGACTAGGGGTTATTAATTTAAGTGTAGACCTCAGGGAATTCACAACCCTCCTTAAGTAATTTGTAGAAGTTTGTTCGAGCATTCAATTTCCTGAGAGATGGTGCATAGCTGTTGCATGGATTTCAGTGGAGTCTATGACCTCTGACCCCATCAAAACTGTTTAAGCACCAGAAGCAAGGAAGTCATCTAGAAAGCTTCTATCATAATTTCTTTAATGAGGGTCAAAAACATAACAGTGGCAATGGAAATAAAAAAGGAGAAAATGGAAACATTTATGAGGCATGGACTAAACAAATAATCTAGCTGAACCTGAACAGAAACGAAACAAGCGCAAGAGTACTGAAAGGCTTAACTATGGGCAACATCCATCTGTTATTCTTTTTCTTCCTTCTATAAAATAGACAAAGCAACTCCTGTTTCCAAGATACCATAACAATTTACTAAACTAGAAAGTTCTAAGATAAACATAAAGCATATATATCATCACTGCCCATCTCCCATGTTCACCACAGAGATGACTAATCAATTGCAATCTTTCTTTACTACTGAATCCAACCACAATCTCCAAATCCTTCTCAAATAGCACCCAGACAGGCATTGCCAACCAGTTTAAGAAGAAACTTACATGCCATCTCTGCTGTAAGGCATTTTCTAGAGCTAGTATTTTTATTAATATTTATTGTATTGACTGTTCTTTAGTTTCGTAAAGATCTAGTACCAGTGAATGGGTATATTTGGCAGAATGTATTACATACTGATATATATATATTTATTTATATATTATATATTATTTATTTATATATTATATATTATTTATATATATATATATTTATTTCCCACATGTGGGAAATTTAATCACATACAGTTGGATTACTAACTAGGTCTTACCCAAGTTCATGAATCCATTTAATGTTAATTCAAAGCAATTGACACAGATTTTAACTAAGCTGAATTAGGAGGGAAAACTGTATTTACATGAAAACTTACTCTATTATACAATTATCATAGTAAAGTTTTAAAAACAGCACATGTCATCACAATCAACTATGAGCAACTATATTGTTTGGTAAATTCTGAACTCCAATCACTGGCAAGTAGGTGTATAGTATTGCCAAAAGCCACCTGTGTTTTAAAGGATGGTGACTTTTGGGTTGGCATTTGAATGTCACTATGGTGATTTTATTTCCTTGGGATGTTTTCTATCTGACATTTGAAAAGACATGTAATTTCAACATAGAACCACAATAAAGACAGATTCAGATAAGCCAAATTTGTTTTCTACTTGTAGTTGATCAACAAGAAAATTACTACTCTCTACATCAGCATGAAGACTTTCCCTGCTCCCCTGAACATCAAATTCTGACGTATGACCTGTTCAAACAGAAACAAATAACATTTGGAAAACTATCTATATAGAAAAATATTCTCACAAAATTGTAAAAAAAATCCTCTAATGTACTAAATTCCCAGCAGTAATTATTTGACCATGATCCACAATAAAAAATAATGTTTTAACCTGTAACACACATATACACAAATATGTAGGGATATATATATATATATCTCCGAAACAAAAGTTCCACAAAATAATATTCTTACTCCTGTGATACACTTGGATACCTTCTATTCCATTTAACTCTACCCTATTTTGTTCTATTTTATGTACTATTTCATTTTTTAAAAAGTTAGTAATAATCTGCTAAATTGATTTCATTACCCACTAATATAGCCCAACCACAGTATGAAAAACACTACTGAAGCAAAATGACTAAAGTACTCTGACTTTATTCACCAATGTAAACATATCCACAAAAGACCAATCCTGAGCAACTTAGCAGGGGAAAAAAAAAATCTCTTGGCTTGCTCCCTAGTATCCTGGATGAAGCCAAGGTTTGCTGAGCCAATTTTTGTAGTTTGTGGTTGACAATGACTGAAAACTGAAAGGCAGAGATCAAATCCTCACTTTCCCTCTCAACACATCTCTTCCGCTGGGTAATTTATACGGTGCAACTATCAAGCTATTCAATTTTGCTGTCATTTACTGTCCTTTTTCCAACAGCAATGGAAACACAGCATCAGTTTACTGTCTTCTCTCTTAGGTAGAATTAGATTATTGTCCCTCCTACCCCTTTAAACAAGGATGGCATTCACCACTTCAGAGAATCATTCCTAGAGGATCGCCAAACAAAGCATGGCAGGGAAACCACTATCCATGAAGGAGCAATAGCAGAATCTGGGGATTGAGGCTGTCAGTCAAGGTTATATACAAGAACAAGCTTTATAATGGTTCTTTTGATTGAGTGGACACAATTAGAACTGAAACAACATAATAATAAAAACAAATAGACACTTTAGGCATGCAGAGTGCAGCAAACTACTCTGTGCCTCAAGTTCCGTAATAGGACAATAACAATACTTAATTTATAGAGACGTGATGAGGATTAAATTAGTAAGTTCAATATTAAAAATGTATAAAGTGCTTAGAAGAGTGCCTGGCTCAAGAAAGCATGCTGTAAGTGTTGTTTTTATTATTATGCTGGCCCAGGGAATTGGCAGATATTGGTCTAGTTCTATGCTGAACTCAATACAAAAACCCAGGAAAAGAAGGGATGGTTCTAAGTGCCCCTAGAGTTATGCTCCACATTTAAAGTGTCAAACTGGGACACTTTTGAGGAGTGTTGGATTGGTTCATTGTATTGATTGTGGGGATGCTTTAACAGCGTATACATATGTCATAATTTATCAAATTGTATATTTTAAACACAATTTATTTTATGTCAATGAGACTTTAATAAAGCTAATAAAGTTTGCTTTATTTAATTAAAATTAAATAAAGTTAATAAAGCAGACCAAAACTAAAAGAATATTTAAAGAAGTATACTTCCAGTAGAAGGAGAAATATCCCAGATGGGAGCTTGGAAACACAGGAAGGAATGATGAACAACAGAAATGGTAAATACGCAGTAAATCTAAATGAATATTAACTACTTAAAACAATAATTGTTATATCTTGTGGGATTTAAAACATAACTAGAATTGAAATGTGAGACAATAATACAAAAGGGAGGAGTGGTAAGTAAAATTAAGTCCCTTGCATTTTCTGGAAAGTAGTCAAAGTCACAACTTATATTATATACTAATAAATTAATGATTCACTTTGTAATTCCTAGGGTAACCACTAAAAGAAGAGTAAAAGAATAAATGACTAACAAGCCAGTAGAGGTGAAATATTTCATTAATTCAAAATATGGTAACAAAGGAGAGGAAAAGGAACAGTAAATAACTGGGGCAAATAAAATGTCAAAGAGTAATATGATGGATTATAACCCAGATATATCAGTAATTGCATAAAATGCAGAAAAACAGTTCACAAAATCTACATATACTATATTATTTTTTAAATCCCAGTTAAATGCTGCTTAACTGAGACACTTTTGATATTAGGACACACAATTTCAAAGAAAAAAAGGATTGAAAAAATTACATGTAAATTATGTTAATATCAGATACTGTAAACTTAATGACAAGGGATATTACTAGAGATAAAAAAGACATTTCATAATAGTAAAAGAATCCAATAGAAAGATATGAGCGCTAAATCTGAATGTACCTAGTTATTAAGCCTCAAAATATATAAAGCCAACATTGCTAGAACTAGAAAAAGAGATAAGAAAATCCACAATTAATGTGGGAGGGTTTAATACACCTCTCTCAGTAACTGGTAGAACAGGCTATTAAAAATGAGTAAGAACGTAGATAAGGATAAGGTGATGAACACATTTGACCTAATTGATTTATAACATTACAGCCAACAATTACAGAATACACATTGAACATTTACCAAAATTTATGTGTTGATAATAAATGAGTCTGAATAAATTTCAAAGATCAAAAATCAAACATAAGATGTTTACTGACCACAGCATAATTAAACAGAAATCAATAATAAAATAACTAAAAATTACACAAATATTTGGAAATTAAGCAGTACCCTTCTAATTAACCCATGGGTCAAAGATTAAGCACAATGGAAATTAGACAATATTATTAACTGAAATAGAAGAAAACATGCCATCTCAAGTGTGTGAGATGCAGCTAAAGGTGTGAGTGGAGGGAAATTTCTATACTTAAATGCATGTATCAGAAAAAATGACAGCCAAGGATCTAATAAGACAGTCAATGATTTAAGTATCCATTTCAAGAAGCCCTAAAAATAATACCATATTAGGGTCAACAAAAGTGGAAAGGAGAAAATAACAAAGGTCAGAAATTAGTAATACAGAGAACAGAGTTACTGTAACAGAGAAAATCAATCAAGCCAAAAACTGGTTCTTTGAAAATACTAATAAAATCATAAACCTATAGCCAGATTTATTAAGATAAAAGAAGAGAAAGGAAAAATTACATAAAAATAATAAATAATAAAAAAAGAATAAAGAATTTTTCTTTTTCTTTTTAAAGAAAAAAACCTTTAAAATTTTTAAAAAATTTCTTTTTAAAGAATAAAAAAAAGAAATCACTATAAATCCTACAGACAATAAAAAGATAAGGGGATACATGAACACTTCATGGCAATATTTGAAAATGTCAATGAAATGGACACATTGCTTAAAAAAAAACCTTACTCAAACAGGAAAAAATAATAAAAATGTGAATGGTACTATACTCATTAAAGAAACTGAATTTGTACCTACAAATCTACTCACACAGTATTCTCTGGGCCTAAACTGCTGGAGAGTGAGTTCTACTAAATACTTAAAGGAAAAACCACACCAATTTTACATAGTTCATTCAGGTTATAGAAGAAGTGGGATCATGTCTCATCTCATTTGATGAAACTCATTTTATGAGGCCAGCATAGTCTTGATCCCGTAACAGTATAAGGGTATTATAAGAAAAGAAAATTATCAACTAGTATTTTTTATGAATTTGGAAGAAAAAGTAAACAAAGTGTTAGCAGACCGAATCCTGAGATAATTTTAAAAGGATAACACGTTAACGCAAGAGGGTTTTCTTTTAAAAATATAAGGTTGGTTTAATATTAGCTATCAATGTAAAGCACTCTATTGACAGAAAAATGAAAAGCATCTGGTCCTTTAAACGGATGCATTGATCTATTCATGATAAAACACTCAGCAAACTAGGTGTATGGCAAATTTTGAAAATGCCTGAACAGCCCTACAATAGATTGTGAACACGCCCTGCCCCAGTGACCAGGTTGTACTAGTGTAATAAGGCTGGTCCCTGCCACAAGTCCCCCTTCTTTCCTTCCCCTGAATGTCACCTAGTGACATTCAAACACACCAATGAAATCCCCTCATGCCTTTTCCTTGTATATGCCTTCCTGACCCACTAAAGAGGCACAGTTTGTAGGTCCTCACTCTCTTCGCTCCCCAGTTACTTAGTGAGCCCGCTCACCTGGCCCTTTTCCCATGCGGCCTTCTGCACGATGTGCTGTGCTTTCCTTTCTAGGACCTGCAAGCATAACAGATCATTTAATTGCATATGCCTCTCATAGTATTTCCATGGCCTTACTGAAGTGATCCTTAAAGACCTCACAAGGGGGATTTACTCTCCAATTTACAACACACTGGGATTGGAAGAAAACGCTCTCAATTTGATGAAACTGTATAACAAACATGCTAATGATGAATATTGAAAGTTTCCCCTAAGACTAAGAATAATTCAAGGATAATTTCTATAACCACCTCTATAAAACATTATACTAGAAATTGCAGGCTTTGCAATGAGGAAAAAAAAGACTGAAAAAGGAAGAGATAAAACTGTGGTTATTCTTTGAAATCATAATGGTGTATGAGGAAAACCAAAATATCCTCCAGATAAATTATTAAAACTAATAAGTTAATAAAGCCACACCACTGGATATAAGATCAACATATAAAAGTCAATTGGAATTCTATATACCAACGACAAACATTTAGAAAATAAAATTCAGTAAATTATACCATTTATATTGGCATAAAAATATCAAATACTTTAAAATCCATTTTTAAAAGATATCCAAGACTTCTAAATGGGAAACTACAAAACTTTACTGAGAAAAAGCAGAAGAGATCAATACATGATCATAGATTGGGCGCCTCAATATTGTAAAATGTCAATTCTCCCTAAATTAGTATATAGATTCAATATACAGTAATCCCTATCAAAATCTCATAAGTCTTGGGTTTTTTTTTCTGGTGGAAATTAGTAAACTAATTCTAAGATATATGTGAAATAGCAATGAGCCAAGAATAATCAAGGCAAAATTGAAGGAGAAGAATATTAGAGGACTTAACACTACCAGTTACAGGATTATAAATCTACATTAATTAAAACAGTATGCTATTGACACAGGATAGACAAATAGATCACAAGAGCTCCAAAGAGAGTACAAAAACAGAAACACATATACCATCATTAATCATTAAAGGTGACACTGCATTGTGGTGAGAAAGGGCATTGTCCTGAATAAATGGTGGTAGGTTAACTGGATACCCATATTGTAAAAAATATTTTTGTACCTCACTTCACATGATACAGGAAAATCAATCCCAGGTGGGTTGCTGGTAAAAATGTAAAAGGTGAAACACGAAATCCTCAGAAAGATAACATATGGGAATATATTCATGATTTGGGGGTAAACAAAGTTTTCTTAAACAGGACACAAACAGCATTAACAATAGAGGAAAAAAGAAATAAGTAAACAATAAATGTTAAAAGGAGGTAATAAAGGAAAAGGTAAGAAATTAGATTATATTAAAATTAGGAACTTCTGTTCACCAAAAGACACCATTATGAGAGTGAAAAGTGGGAAACAATAATTGCATTACAGATGACTTACAAAGGAATCATATTCAGAATATATATTGAACTCCAATAAATCATTAAGAAAAAGATAACCCAGTATAAAATGGCCAAAAGACTTGGATATTCTCACACAAGAAGATACTCAAATGCAAACCAACATATAAAAAGTGCTCGACCTCATTATTTATCAGGAGAGTGTGAATTTAAAACACAATGAGATATCTATACACGTCCACCAGAATGGCTAAAATTAAAAATACTGCCAATACCTAGTATTGGAGAAGATGTGAAGAAACTGGAATTCTCATACACTGTTGGTGAAGTATAATCATTTTGACAGTTCTATAATATCTCCTAAAGCTGAATACACATATATTATTAACCAGCAACTTCACTCCCAAACCTAACAGAAATGTGTACACGTGGTCACCAAAAGACCTGTACAAAAATGTCCATAGCTGCTCTTTGCATAATAATGAAAAGCTGAAAACAATTAAAATGTTCATCAATAGTAGAACAGATTAAAACTTGTAATACAGTGCAATTCAAGTCAGAAATGATAGAGTCTTCCAAACATAATATTGAGCAAAATATGCCAGACACAAGAAAGTATATTCTATATTAGGCCATTATATACAGTTCAAAACTAAGCAAAATTAAACTCTGGTTTTAGAACTCCAGGGAGTTCAGTCTCTCCTTTGGGGACAGGCTGAAAGCCGGTGTGAAGAGAGTTTTTGCTTCTTGTCAGTATTGCATTTCATGATCTAAATGGTGATCATATAGGTGGATTTGTTTTGTGAAAATTTGTTAAGCTGTATGCTAATGATTTGTGTACATCTCTGTGTGTATGTTTCATTTTAATAAAAAGGTTTATTTAAGGTAATTTCTTTAAGAAATATCAATACTTTTTTTTCTACTTAGCATTCATAAGAATACAAACATGTGGCAGGGAACAGTGATGGGACCTACAGCTTACATCAGGGAAAATTTCAGACATAACATGGTGCTGTCACCCTGCATGTAGTATCTATATGAAATGGTATAAAAGAGGAGGCTAAAAGAAACAGCATTAAGTTTTCAGGATTTTCTGTAAATACGCTGCTTAGTATGTTATTCATTTTTTTTTCTTGGTGAAGAATAGCAGAAATTTTTTTCTTGTGTATAGTTGTAGATCAGCACCCCAAATCATGCAAGAAATCAGTTTTTTCTCTTCCCATTGGCTTCTAAAAAACTCAGCCCTAAATTTGTGTATACCCTTAGATCAGTAGTTTTAAAACTTTCTTTGCCATGGCCACAGAGAGAAATTTTATATCATGACCTAATGCACAAACACACACATAAATCTGAAAGTTACGTAAAGGATATAATACCCTTACTTTGTGCAATGCCCTCCGATATTCTGTTCTTGCCTTCACATCCTAATCCTTTCAAAATGATGGGCACTTACTAAGATGGTTTCCCAGGCCATTAATGTGTTGCAACGAAGTTTGAAAAACATTGTCTTCTAGACAATGGTACATATTAGGCATTCAATAAAATGTTATTGAATGAACAGTGGTATGCATTTTGTTAATTTGGCCTAAACTCCAATTTGTTGTTAGCCTTGTTTTCCTTTGCCTTCTCACCTTTTGTTCTTATTTAGGTCAACTTCTTATAGTGTATGCATCTTTAGAAATTGTCTTAATCTTTTCCAGAACAAGTCCTTAAAACACACTCTCAAAGTCACACAGTAAATCAGTCAGAGCAGAGACAGGAGAGAAAAGGTCATCCCAAGGCACCCAAGGTGCTGGGAATGAGAAGCTTAACACCTGTAGGACAGACACTTCCTGTCCCACCTCTGTAACAATGTCTGTAGTGCTAGACACATGAGAGCAGATGGTGACCGGGACTAAGTGCCTGGAGCTCACCTCTAACCTTACAGGGAACCCTATATACTCTTGCTTTCCATGAAGTTCTCTTGCATTTCCGACAGATGGGAGAGAGTGAGCCAGCTCATTCTGAGAAACACAAAGACACTTTTTGGAAGAGGAACAAAGGGTTCTGCAACTGACAATGAAGAATGGTGTGAGCATCTATGTGTATCACTGTGATAAAGAAGCTCATGGTCTTGAGTTTCCTTTATCTCTCTTTTGAGGGTGTAAAGTCTTTCTCAGGCCATTGACATTTTGTGTCAACAGAAAAGCTAGCAAACATGTTGGAAGGAACTAGTTCAGGCATGTGAGAATAAACCTTATCTTTCTAACACAGGAACAAATTTAACCTTAATAAAACTTTTATTTTAAAAACATTCCTGTTAGTACTATTAAACAAAACTTCCATACAAAAGTTCTTGGATCACTTTTGGGCAAGCTGCCATTCTGGCTTATCTTCAACAACCAAAGAAACGAAAACATGTTTTAGGCCAAGCACCATGGTCCAGTTCAGTAATGCTGTCCCTATGAGGATAGGGCTGTGAGCTAGAGAAGAGAGGTGAACGTGACTGGTCATTGCTTTAGCTAGAAAGGGTCAAAAATGACAAGGAATGTAACAGGGCTTAATGGACCAGAAGCCAAAAATGCAGTCTAAGATTTGCCTTCACAGATGTCTACAGGAACATTTGTTTTAGCAGTATGAAATCAGAAGCAGCCTGCAAATTTCAAACCGGGGTGGTTGGTTTTAAAAGGTCTTTGCGCAGCCATTCAAACTCAAACCTACAAACGCACAATGCAAGAATTCATCACAACAAAATATTAAATGTAAACAGCAGGATGAAAAACTATACACACAAAATATGAATTCAACCATATTTTAAGCATACACATATACTACATATCCATAGAAAAAGACTTGGAAGAAACACTCCAAAATATTAAGAAGAGCTATAAACACTGGCTAGTGAAATTAAGAATGAATATTCAATTTCTTTTTTATTCTTTTCCTTGTTTTTCAAATTCCCACTTTAGGTATAGATTGCTTTGATTGCTTGATAAATAAAGCTATTTTTAAAAATGTAATACTATATTTCTTTATAAACTCTAGTTTTTTCATTCATTGATTGACAAATATCTGGATAAAATTTTGTCGATTTTCTCTTTAATGACAACTTCAGGGGTTAAATTGCAATTCAACAAGGAGAGCAGGCAGACTGAACACAAGAGTGAATCACATGCAGAGTAAAAGTGAAACATGGATTCTTACCCCCCAAGTATATTTGCATAAAGAAAAACCAACTTACAAAAAAAAAACCTCTTGTCAGAAACACTCTTTGTCTTGTATATTTTTTTCATGTGGGATGTGTAGAATAGTTTAAAACTGTAGTCCATAAGTAACGCTAAAGGTTTAGATAGCCTACACACAGTCAGTGTAAATGTCACACAGCCATGAATTGCTTGGTGTAGAGTTTCACAGTTCTACAGCAACTCATGTCACCCAGCTGGCTACAGGCAAAACTGAGCAATAGACAAATCTCTATAGACATTTGACAAGGAAATGAAGGTCGCACAAAGAAATGAGGCTGTGTATTCAAGCTAGGACCATAGACAATTCACTGTGAATTAGCAAGCACAGAAGCATACAAGTCAAATAAAGTGTCTTCATTTTTCATGTGGTTTCTAGTTACTTTGTCACTTTCCTGAACTGTGCAGGTCAGTGTGGATATCACCAAAGGCTCAGTGTTGCATTGCCAGGTGCAGGAAGGAAAAAGGCAGGTTAATCTGTTTTATCATTTATTTCTCTGACTTTATATATTAGGCGATTCCATATGATAAAAACAAAACAAAGCAAACAAAGGAAAGAAAACTCCTATAAAACTTTGTATTAATAAGCCCCTTAATTTTAAAAAATAGGTTTGTTTTTTATCTCTTAATCTAAATAATGCAATATTTAATAAAGCACATATGCATAGCAAATTTTAAACACTAAGATGAGGGCAAGTCATCTCAATCTCTTGCTAAGCATTGCTAAAATTAAAAAAATCTTAGGAGGATACTAAGTACATCATTTACAATATGGTAGTCTTGTGCCCTGATTTCAATTAAATGCTTCTATTAAGAATTTTAAAGGTTGCATAGTATTCCATGGGGTATATGTGCCACATTTTCTTTATCCAGTCTATCACTGATGGACATTTAGGTTGGTTCCATGTCTTTGCTATTGTGAACAGTGAGGCCATTATCCTTGGTAAACTAACACAGGAACAGAAAGCCAAACACTGCGTGTTCTCACTTATAAGTAGGAGCTAAATGATGAAAATACATGGACACATAAAGGGGAGCAACACACACTAGGGCCTTTTGGGTGGAGGATAGGAGGAGGGAGAGGATCAGAAAAAATAACTAATGAGTAGTAGGCTTAATACCTGGGTGATGAAATAATCTATACAACAAACCCCCATCACACAAATTTACCTATGTAACAAATCTGAACTTGTACCCTTGAACTTAAGATAAAAGTTAAAAAAAAGTTAAAGGAACTTCAAATGCTATCACAAATTGGACAGAAATATGTTTACTTTGGAAGAACACACAAAGCATAATGAGTGACTAGGATCTCACCATTGGGTTTTCTTGTCTATATTGGGAAAGCAAACTTTTTCAACATCTTAGAGTGTCTGCCAATCTTAGGCTAAGACATTGGCTACTGAATTTGGAACTGACACTTGGGCTACTGAGAGTACACACTGGAGGAAGGAGAAGGAAATCCGAATGGAAGGGTAGGAGGGGATGAGTTTCGGCTCTGTCTGGATTTCCACTCTCAAATAAAGGATTACTGTGTCAACTCATGAGTAAAAGTGAAGAGCAAACTTCTAAGTTAATTAAAAGAACTTGGTTTGGAAACAAGATTTTGAATCCCCCAAGGCTGTGAAGACTTTCCTTTCCATCCATCCTCCAATGAGGAGCTCACAGAAGGCTCAAGATAAAAAAGTGGATTTCTCCATAAATCCACATTGATACAGATAAATAAACACATGAGTAAACAAACAAACAAACAGAGGAGAAGGGAAAACTCTTCCTCAAGGCAGAATGGATATTAAAACTAGAGGTGAAAATTTAAGGAGGAAAAGACATTTGTATGGTCTCAAGGTATTTAATTTCACATAACATATATTAATTACAAAGAAGAAAATAGTAACTTTCCAATGAGAAAACCCAACAGACAGCACCTTAACCAAGTGATTAAAACTAACATCCTCAATAATGGAGTAAAGTGGCATCATGTGCTTCCTGATATGATGCACTGAGAAGGACATGAGATCATTAATGTGGTGTTTCCTTCCAAAGGCACATCACCTGAACATATCTTTGAGGAAATATTAGAAATACACACTGGAGACATTCTACAAAATAATTGGCTTGTATCCTCCAAAAATACCAAGGTCAGGAAACACAAAGAAAGGCTGAGGAAATGTTTCTGTATAATAAAGGAGCCTAATGAGACATGACGACCAAATGCAGCATGATATCCTGGAATGGATCCTAATTGGGAAAAAGAATTGTTACCAAAGACATGATTGGACAATGGACAAAATTTGAACAGAGGATGTCAATTCAATAATAGTATGTATCAATGTTGAATTTCCTGGGTTTGATAACCAGCCTGTAGTTATGTAAGAGGCTGTGCTTGTTCTTAGGAAATACACAACGAAACACTTAGGAATGAGGGCATAAAAGACAGTAAGGTGGCTGACAGAGACTTAGTAGTATAAAAAACCACAATTTTTCTACACTGTAATTCCTTCCTGGCTATACCAGAGAGATGCCAGTGAGGTCACGCCAAATGGGCAGTGAGGCTCAGTGCATTCACCTGAAGGCAGAAAGGGTGTACACAAGGTATACGTATATTAGTAAAAACACATGGCAGGGTCATCTGTGGGTCTGGAGGAGTTTCTATAATCTTAGCACTTGTATATCAGAGTCTGGCTTATCATGGAAACTCCTACAAATTAGCTATATGAAAAATACCTTCATTCTATTCCAATGGTTCCCCAAGTCTTAACTCATTCTGGCAACAACTCTAAAGTCCAGAGTCTCATCTAAATATCATCTAAATCAGATATGAGTGAGACTTGAGGTATGATTCATCCTGAGGCAGAATTCTTCTCCAGCTGTGAACCTGTGAAACCAGACAAATTATGTGCTTCCAAAATTCAATGGTGAGAAAGACACAGCATAGACATTCCCATTCCAAACAGAACTAGGAAAAAAGGAGAGGGTGAAGGATCTTGAGCAAGTCCAAATCTAGCAAGACAAATTTAATCAGACTTTAGGATTGAGAATAATCCTCTTTGGTTTGATGCTCTGCCCTTCTGGTCCACTGGTGTGGTGGTGGTCCAGCCCCCAAAACTCCAGGTGGTCCTGAACCGCCTCAAAGGTTCCACCGGACAGTCCTAGACCCAAGACTTTAGTGGAAGGCTGTCTGGCCTGTTGAAACTGAGATGGTGGCCCTGATGATCTCTGAATTGTCTTTGCAGGCTCTTCTCCCCTTTTCTTAAGAATAGTACATGCTCACAGCCAAATAGTTCTATGGTCCAGGCCAGTCAAGTCTAAGAAATCCAACAGGCTTCTTTCATTCTGTCCTGTTTTGTCTGTCTCCTTTAGTTCCAACTGGCAGTGTCTTTGCTAATATGATCCCATTCTATTCCTGGCTTTGCTAAGACCCCACTAGAACTGCCCTTAAAGTCTATAATTCTAGCATACACCTCAAAACTCTTCCAGCCTCTACCCCTTACTCAGTTCCAAAGCCACTTCCATGCTTTCAGGTATTTGTTACAGCAGCACCTCAATTGTTGGTACCAAAAAAGTCACTAGTAGGGCCAAGTCAGACATGATGGTGAAAACCATTTTCTATACACTGGGATTCCTCCCTGGCCATATCAGAGAGGCCCCCTGAATATGCAGAAAAGAAGGAACGTACACAAAGGAACCGAGGCTTTCCTTCTCCCACCCTCCTGTCAGACTCCCTTACACCAAAGATGGTCTCTGATTGCCAGTCATGAGAACTTTCTTCAGGGGAGATGGGTTATAGGAAGGTAAAGACTTAGAATAAATTATTCTTTGGCAATATATACAGACTTAGACTTAAAAATTTTCAGCACCTAGCCATGATTCTCGGTGACCTATGGCCAATAATTTAACTAAAAATGTAAAGGCTCTTATTTATGGTGAGGCACCTGACCTGAAGATTGAAATAAAATGAGGTGGTATCCTTGACTCAGTTTTGTTGGTTTTATGTTTTTTTTTGTCCCCCAAAATGAACACCAATATTTTAGGCTCAAAATCTCAGAGCTTCAAGGGATGTCTAAAGATAATTTCATTCAAATTCCTCTTTTCACAATTGGGAAAAGCAAGGAGTCAAGCAGAAAGGTAAAGTGACTTTCTCAGTCTTAATCTTGTGCCAGGACTGGAATCCTTGTCTCTCCCAAAAAAAAAAAAAAAAAAAAAAAAAAAACAAAAAACAAACAAACAAAAAAACACCAAAAAACTCTTACCATTTGAATAGAAATAAAACATTATGTGGTTAAAAAAATTTAAAAAGTTCAAAAGAGCATATCATGAAAAATGAGTCTCCATAGAGTTTGTGACCCTCATTAAAACCTTATTTATCTTCCCAGAAATGTTCCTGGCATACACATACATATATACCTATGTATTCTTTTTTTCATAGAAGAGTATTCATATTATAATGTTATCTATCTTTCTCATTTTGTTTGGCCCTTAATTTGAACTCTTTTCATATCAATATACTCAAATTTATTGTCCACTTCTGAGGGGGTTACACAGTATTCCGTTGTTCTTATTCCATTTATAATTAAAGCATTCCCCTAGTGACAGACTTTTAGGTTGTACGCTGTTCTTTGAGATTATAAACTACGCTGTACTGGTGGAATGTATGTATTTTAACAATGTGCGTCTTTTCATACACTTCCGTCATTTTGTTTTTCTGAAAACTTTGTCTTTAGCAACCACTCCCCTATCATTCTTTACTTCCTTGCCTTGCATTAGTTTCCCTTGCAGATTTATCACTGCCTGAAATAGTACTTGATTGTTTATTTTTTGTCATTTATGTCTGTTGACTAGAATGGAAGCTCCATGGAATTAGGAACTTCGTTTTATTCACTACTATATCCTTAGCCCAGAGAACAGTGACTGGTTCCTGGTAGATGTTTAATAAATATTTGATGAATAAATTAATAAATGCTTTGCACACTTTACTATTAGATATTGTTTTTCTTACTAATTCATAAGAGTGCTGTATATAGTAATTAAATGAGCCCTTGTCATTTGTGTTACCAATATACTTTCCAGTGTATTTATCTGACTTTGTTGATGGCATTATATTTTTGCCATAAATAAATGTTATATAGCCAAACATAACATAACTGTCCTTTATTTTGTAGCTTTTGGGTTTTGTGTCTTGCTTAGAAAGGCCTTAGGCACTCCAGAGTTATTTTTAAAAACTTGTCTGGTACTTTAATGGTTTGTTTTTATGTTGGAGTCTTTGATTCATTTGGAATTTATTTTGGCATAAGTAGTAGCTGTGTATTCAGCTTTGTTATTTTTCCCAAATAGCCCATTGACCCAACATTAATTAAAGAATAATGCATCCTTTTCTCATTATTCTGAATGTCATCTTTATCATATACCAAATTCTCATAAATATTTACACTATACTTTCCAGTCCCTATTATATTTTGTTCATTTGTCTGCCTACTTCTGTGTTGGTATGAATTTGTTGTAATTCCCCTTGATTTATAGTGTATTTTAACATTTGTGTAAGACTGGGCTCTCCTCTTTGTCTCCTTTACACTGATGTTTTCCTGTCAATTCTCGCATGGTTATTTTTCCATAAGAACATCAGAAACCACTGAACCAGTCAATCCACTGTCAAAACATTCCCTTAATATTTTACTGAGGTCAGATTATAATATAGATTAATTTAGGAATAAATGACATCAATAAAAGAACTTAGCTCTCTTGAGTCCTGAATGTTCTTTATGCTCTCACGACTTCCTTGATATACACAAATAAAATGTAATTTTCCTCAATGGGAAGAATGAATGTGACTCTTATACTAAAACTAAAACAAAACCTTCTGTTCCAGTTATCTATTGCTGTGAAGCAACACCATGCCACCCCAAAATTTAGTGGCTTAAAACAGCAACCACTTTTATCACGTCTGATGATTTTGTGGGTCCAGAATTCAAGCAGGGCTTCGTTGGATGGTTCTTCTGCCTTCACATGGTGTTAATTAAGGATACTCAGTGAAGTTCAGTTGGTGGCTGGGCTGGTATGGAAGTACAAGATGGCTTCACCCACTTGCATGACACCTGGGCAAGGATGACAGGAAGGCTTAGCTGAGCTGGGATTATCTCCCAGAGTTCCCAGATGTGGCCTCTCCAGCATGGCAGCTTCAGGGTAGTTGGAATTTTTAGATGGTGACTGAGGCTCCAAAAGCAGGTGTTCCAGTGAACAGGGAGGAGGCTGCATGGCCTTTAATGGTCTAGCCTCAGAAGTCACTTAGTGTCTCTTCTGCTGTATTCTCTCAGTCAGTGAAGTCACAAGCCTGCCCAAATTCAAGGGGAGGGGATATAGACCTTTATCTCTTGATGAGAGAATGCCAAAGAATTTGTGACCATGTTTAAAAACCACCATTCCTTCTAATAGTAGAAAACTAGACAATTTTCTCATTAGTTTAACAACTCTAGACTTTTCTACAATCTTTTTTCTACTTCCCTCACTTCTGTCACTGGAAACATTGCCATGATTCAAAACTATAAGTATTTTATTTTTAAAAACACATTTTCAGTTGAGTTGTATTCTTTGCCCATGTGCGTGGGGACAGCCATGGCCCTCAGCATGACTTTGGCTTTATCTGTCCATTCTTTCTGCTACCCACTTCTGGCCACTTTACAGCTTGCTGGTGCCTCCACCAGAGGGTGGCAGGAGCAGAGAAAGTGAACTCAAATTTGTCCGTTTAAAAAAACTTGTTATTTGGCAGCAGTTTTGCATAAAGGCAGAAAGCAAATTAAAACTAAAAGTACATATTTTGAAGATTAACTGTGAAACTCAACCACTCATTACAAAGAACACCAGAGCTGGCTATTCTTTCTATTAATCCAAGGCCTTATTTCAAAGACCCCTAAAGATGTGCTCCAGTAATCCCCTTCATGCCTTCCTAGATTATGCCTTTCTTTTCTAAATTCCAGTGATAGTAGCAACATTTATTGATTATCTGCTGTGCCAGGTGCTTTACACATGTTTATTATTGCATTTAACCCTAACAGCACTCCAAGGGTGGGAATTGTTATGCTGATTTTTAAGCCAAGAACACTGCTGCCCATTGAAATTAGCTACTAAGGTTCACAGAGCGAAAATGTAGCAAAGTCTATTCACTACACCCTTGTGTCCAGATGTGTTCAGTAGACCAGCAGCATCAGCATCACCTAGGAGCTTGTTAGAAATGCAGAACCTCAGGTTCATTCCCAGACCTTCTGTAAAAAGCTGCATTTAATACGCAGGCGATGCATATTAACATTAAAGTTTTTGAAGCCCTGCTCTCTATCCTGCTTCTCAAACATTCCTGCACACTGGAATCCCATGGAGAACTGCTTTTTACCGATACATAATTGTTCATGAACAACTTTTTAAAAATGCTAATGCCTGAGCACCTTTTCTTCCTCCCAATTCCAATTTAACTGATCTGGGGTGCAACCTGGGCATCAGAAGTTTTCATAGCTCCCCAGGTAGTTCTATCATGCAGCAAAATTTAAGAACCATTGTTTTATATAGTTCACTTGGTACTAAGCATATTCTATATCCGGTATAGTTGTTTATCATTTTTATACACATCATATGTCCCCAACATGAATATATTTTATATATCAGCTCTCTTTACAGAGTGGCGGTTTCTTGCACAAAATATGCACTCACTAAACATTTGCTGCTATTGCTGTTGTTGAAAATGGTGCTTAATTGGTCTGTGGTGGGGCTCGAACATCAGTATTTTTGAAAAACCACCTCACGTGATTCTATTATGCAGCCAAGGTTGAAAACCACTGGGTTGGCTCCTACAGCTCCAGCTGATGGTTGCTATGGAGAAATTTGGGCAGAGGAATGCTAAGTGTCCTGATTTTTGAAGAAGATCCTTAAAACCCAGATTTTTATAATAACTGTTGACAACAAATTCAGGTTTTTGAAAAAACTGTGTGAACAAAATAAACCACATCTGCTGGTCATGTGTGCCTGCACATGCATGAGCATACACTTGTAAAGGGATATGGGATACTCAATATATTTATGGTTATGCACTTGGAAATTCATAACTCTAAGTCTGAATTATTATAAATGCCACCACTACTGCTGCTTTGGAAAAACACACCATCATCATTGCATAACCATCTAGCTTAAAAAAGAGTCACCATATTGTTTCTGTCGATATACATAATACACAGCCCAAAATAGAGATTGTGAAGTCTTGGAGAATGAATAATCTGTGCCTCATTTTGTTCTATGCAATGCCTAAATATGCCAACAGAACAAGAGGATGTGTCCCAAAAAGAGGGGGCAGGAGGCATTTGGAAATTCTGGGAAGAAAGATAGTCTATAAGAGCAGGGTACTATTGTTATGAATTCTACCCACTGCCTGAGCACCACTCAGTGATTAAGGAAAACCAAAGAAAGGAGACCCAAGAAGAAAAACTAGAACAAGAAATAAAGGTATGAAAGAGAAATATGGCCAGAAGAAATTTTCCCATCTGGTTTCTTCACCACTAGTGGCTCCTTATGTATGGATTTGTTTGCCAGAGCTAATAAACAGTGAGGGTCTCTAATGATGTGAAGCTGGGTGGTAAAGGCACTGGGGGCTTACGTCATGCAGCCAATGATGTGTTGAGTGAAATATACCACATGTTGAATTTGCTGGCATCAGCACCTTCTGCCGATTTAACTTATGGGCAGATGATAGCAGGCCCAACACCCAATACTACTTGCCCATATCCTTGCTTTCATTTCATAAAGCAAGAATAAAAGAGAGTCAGTATCAATATCAAAATAAATACCACTAGTAATATTGATGATGTTACTTTTACCACCAATAATAATAGCAGTTATCAATTACCGAATGCTTACAATGGGCCAAGCACTGTGCTAAACACCTTACGTATTATATCTCATTTATTCTCAAAACAATAGCCACACTGATTCTTTTAAAAGAGATGTCAGATCTTGCTTTCACCTCCTCAAAACCCTTCAGTGGCTCCCATTTTACTGAGTGCCACAGGCGAAGTCCCTTTCACAGTCTGCAAAGCTGTATGTCTACCAACTATCCACCCCCTTCCCTACTCATTATCTCTCTGACTCCACCTCCTACTCCTCTTCCCCTCTCTTAATCCATTCCATCTGGCCTAATGAACCTTCTATTTCTCCAACATGAAGCCTCTGCACTAGCTGCCCCCTTCATAAGAGATGCTCTTCCCCTAGATATGCACAAGCATCATTCCTGTCACCTTCTCAGTGAGGGTTTCTCATACCAAGCTGTTTAAAATTGCATTTCCCCATTCCTACATTCCCCTTCTTCTTTTTTCTCTCCATAGCACTTATCACCTTCTAATATCCAACACTGTACTTATTGATTTTTTAAATGGACTCTCATCCACTGGACTGTAAGCTTCATGAAGGCAGAGATTTTATTCTGTTTTGTTGATTATAGTGTCTCCAGTGCCTAAGGCAAGGCCAGGCACTTATCTGGCACTTGATAAACATTTTTAGAATGAATAAATTAATGAATTTAATCCTCACAACAACCATAAGAGATAGGTGCTATAATTATCCTGCTTTAACAAGTATTGGGTATGAAGTTTAGAGACATTATATTTGCCCAAGATCACAAATGAGAAATTGTTAGAGGGATGTAAGCCAAGGACATCAAGACATGTATAATAACATTTGTGACCTGCCTTGTTATTTTAACACTTCGGGCCTTACTTAGAAAATGATACATGTGACAACTGGAATCTAGAAGTGGACCTATATTGGGTGCAGCTGGGACTAGGACAATTACTGGGAGCTGATGGGAAAATGAAGGGAAAACTCCAAAATTGACTATTTTTATTTCCTGTGGTTAGGGTAATTCTTAATTTTTAGAGCAGTTGATACCATTTTTTGGATGATCATTTGTAGAGGAGATGGATCTTCTGAAGTATTATGATCATGGGAAATAAATCAAGGCTTAGCAAACTGTATTTCCTTGGGGGTAAATAAGTCAAAGGCCAATTTAGATCTTAAATCGCCTAAGACATTTCATCCAATGAGAGCCAACTGCAGGAATTTAAGAGTCCAAAGACACTGTAGGAAATTACCACTGCAAACATGTCCCCAGGACTCTTAAAGGCTTCTGCAGAAAGCTCATTAACTCTGTTTTTAATGTTTCAAATACTCTCTCATCCAAGAATAAATCAGATAGAATTCAACTCATGCCAAACACAGGGTGCCTGAGCTAGCTAATTGTGCCTAAAGCCTCAGGGGAACTTGGTAAATATTAAGCAATCCACTGGAGCTGGAGCTTTCAGTGGGTCAAAGTGCTTAGTCCACAACACATTCATTTGTATGGTGTTTGGCTAAACCAAAACGTGAAGCTCAAGGGATAGAAGATTAAAATATTTTCTCTAGATCAAAAAAAATTTTTCAAACACTTTTTGAAGGTTGTCTGAAGAAAAGATATATAAGCAGGAAACATCTTTTGGCAACTCTGTGATGAGTTTGACAGACAAGAGTTTCTTATGTCCTTCATACAATTTAAAGACAAGAAATATACTAGTGACTTGACATTTTAAGCTCATTAATTTCAAGTAATACACTTCATAATTTCCAAAAAAAAGTCATGTCTGTGTATTCGGCTCGTGGCAAAATCTAAAATTCTATGCTTGGAACAAAGAAATTAGAAAAATGTGGCAGTATTCTTTCTCTAATATACATAAAAACACTTAAACAGTTTGTGATTATTTTCCATTTCTTATATGAGTCCCAAATTATGCACTTTATTACTAAGGATGGATGGAGTCTGAGAAGTAATACAAGGTTCAATCCACATATCCAAAATGACTGTCTTGAACTGCAAACATTAGAATTCTACCTAAGTCTTAATGAAACAAAGTACATACTGGGTTCAGTTATAAAGGCCTTGCCACTCTTAATATAAATGTTTATTCATTTAAGGCTACACGGCAAACCAATATGGAAAAGCATATGGTGGTAAAAAATGAACCAGGAGATAGGGGGTAGCTTTGGAAATGGCATCAGAGGAGCATGAGCAAAATGTAAACAGAGATCAGCTATAATCAAGAGTTCTTATCAGTATCCTCAGTCATTTGATATATTAATGGAATGATAACTTGATTATGCCAACCTGAGTGAAGTCATGCAGTGGTTGAAGTATGGAAGAAAATCACATTTTCTAAATGTCTACTATATGTCAGGCACTTTATATTTTTAGTAATAATAGCTAATAGTAAGGATCTATAATATAAAAATAACTTTCCACAAATGAATTCCAATTCTTACAGTAAAACTATGAAGTAGGTGTTGTCATCCCCATTTTACAGATGAGAAAACTGAGATCTGAAAAGATTGAATAACTTGTTCTGTGTCACGTAGGTAGTAAACAAATCAGAATTCAAACTTCATTCTAATTCCAAAGCCCAAAATCTTTCTGCTTCATCATCCATGTACAAACAAGACATAATAATTTGGTGTGATTTACACTGTTCTCTAGGGAAAGGGCTCTTGGGGGTACTCATGTGAAAAATTACAGGGATAAAAATAAACAAATAAAAGAAAGCAGCCTCTACAGGTAACGTTTTTCGGACAAACAACTGAGAACAATAGGTTTTGAAAACTTCTCCTAATGAGGATATTTTAAATGTTAGAAAACTTAGTTTTGCTTTAGAGAAATACCAAAAATCAAATTACATAATTTTCAATAAGATTTTAGCTCATAGACATGTACATATCTATGTGTAAATACCTAGCTTTTTCATATCAGAATGCCCATTTTCAAAAATCTTATGCACTTATATGTTACTTCCAAATATATACAGAATATGCCAGAAGTGGATTTTGTATACCTTGTATATTACAGGTAAACTGCTTAATTCAAAAACATATTTCTAAACCCTGTGTTTATAAGAAAAATCATTTACCTGCCACATGTATTATTAGCCTGGTCATTTCTTATCCAGGAACATAATTTCCTGCCTTATTCACCAACAGTTACTTGAAAGAGTACACTAATCCAGCAAAGAGTCACTGCATCAAGTTTACCCCCCTACCAACTTGCAAAAGCTTGGGAGTGTGCAGGAACAGGCAGAGGGCAGAACAGGCACTCCCTCTGCCCATGTTTGCAAGCTGACAGACTGCAGGGAGGAAATGATTCATGCCACAGAATCTCCAGCCAACTTCGTGTCACTGGACTTTATAAAAACAAATAAACTAAAGCTTTTCAACAGACTGGAACTGCTTAAACAACTTTAGTAACATGGCTGCTTTATAAGGTCCCCGGGCAGTTCAATCTTTAGAAACTTGGGCCATAGATAAGATACTTTGTAAAGAGCAAATCCATTACCAGCTTATTATTGTAAACTGGATTGTCACTTTGGGAATCACAAAGAAATATGATAACTGCAAACAGCAGCAGTCAATTGCCATATGGATAATCTTTATCAGCTGGAAAAAATTAATTTGATTTTCTTAGAAACCTTAATTTTATTTTTAAGAGTTTGAACTTTAAAAGTTTGAAAACTGCATGGTACAATTACTTTATGGAAGTCTCATCAAACAGTATACCTTATAATTCTTATGCCTTATATTTCCTTCCCTATTGACTACTTATTTTATAATGGCTTCTAGAAGCTCATGAGGAATACTAATTCATTTAGAGTTTCTATTTCTCCCACCAATAATTTCAATCTATTGTCAAAGCAATGTAAAAGAAAATTCAAGTAACTTCTATCACATTTGGAAAACTTAAGAGGAGGAAATAAGATATTCTAATCGGGCGTATTTTGACTTCAACTAAATTTATTGGCTAAAATCCTGTGCATTTTGAAGGTCAGAATTGTTTACTTGGCTATGTCCAATATTAACCAGTTAGGTTAGGTACATATTATTTGCATATTGAAATGCATTATTACCTTTTCCAAATTAAAAAGCAAATTATGTCTGACAATACTACCCTACCCAGTTCCAGTTTTTGGCAGTAGAGTATACACATATGTCTATGGTACTTATAGCTATCAACCATCGTTGAATCAGACACTATTCCTATATAACAAGCATTCTCTACTTATACTAATTGTAGCCATCTTGCCTTCTGGGAACATGGAGAGAATTGCCAATCTTAGACTAGAAAGGGGTGAATCCTAGCCAGAAGTCCTCTTCTACTTCATCGTTACCCCCATGCTTCCAGGCAGTCATGACCAGGTGGTAGCGATGGCGGGAGTGAGGGACCAAGGCCTAACGGCTGCTGATTGCTCTCTTCACTCATGTCTTTGCCCATCAACCTATCAGTCTCTCTACTTCCTGGAAGCACGTGTACTCTGATCATTTTAAGGATCCGGAAGTCAAGTTATCTGAACTGCTATTCATCAGGTTTTCTGATTTCAAATCCATTTTTTTTCTGTGACTATAGCACAGCCTCTCACTTTTTTTTTTTTTTTTTTGAGAAGGAGTCTCTCTCTGTCACCAGGCTGGAGTACAGTGGCACCATCTCGGCTCACTGCAGCCTCAGCCTCCCGGGTTCAAGCAATTCTCCTGCCTCAGCCTCCCGAGAAGCTGGGATTACAGGCACATGCCACCACACCAGGTTAATTTTTGTATTTTTAGTAGAGATGAAGTTTCACCATGTTGGCTAGGATGGTCTTGATCTCCTGACCTTTTGATCCACCCACCCACTTCGGCCTCCCAAAGTGCTGAGATTACAGGTGTGAGCCACCACACCATTCCTAGAAGTCAAGTTATTTGTACTGCTGTTCATCAGGTTTTCTGATTTCAAATCAATTTTTTTTTCTGTGACTGTACCACAGCCTCTCACTTTCAAATAATGCTAATCAACATTTGAAAAACTAATGACACATTCATAATTCCTTCAACAAATGTGTGCTAAACACTAGCTGGATGGCAGGGACTGATCTGGTATACAAATGGTCAGAGTTACTACCTTCAAAGAACTTTCAGCATAGGCTGGAAGCAGGACGTGGAGATGTTTCACAGCAATTAGAAGTAGGGACAGAGGTCAACGAATACACTGAAGAGGGATTGAGCATTTGTACATGGCAAGAGATCGGGGAAGCCTTCAAAGTCAGACTGGTGGTTAAACATTCAGTCAATTTAGAGTAAGGGATGGTAAAAACCCTTTTATGTATCAAACCTCTTTGGTTTAGAAATTACAGACAGGGTAGCAAACCCTGTGGTCTTTATCAACCACACTGGGATTAGCAGCGACATGAAATAACAATTCCTTAGGCTTATTTCCTCAATGGATACATACCAACATTCAGGCTTGATATACTGGGTTACTGCACAGTCTAGTAAGCTAGCCTTTGGGTTCTGGGCTCAGTTTGACCAGGTTCAAGTCCTTCTATGCCATCTAGAACTGATAGTAGAAAAGTTGCTTGAGTTCCTGTTTTCAAAAATGGAAATTTTCAAAGCATGTTACATGCACTGTTGTAACATGCTTTGTTGCTACATGCACTGTTGTAACATGCTTTGAAAATTTCCTTTCTTGTCAGTTAGGCTGGATACTCTAAGGCACTTCTCACAGCAATACAAGTAGATTACAACAAGAAATGTTTACAGTACTGCCGGGCTTGCAGGACATCTCTAAAGGGTACACTGAACTAAAACACAAAGAGTAAGTGGTGAGAAATGCATAAACTGTGATTGCCATGGGGACAAATGTTGAACTAACATTGTGATGAGAAGCCTAAGCCTGGGGCTCAATACAAGGAGGGAGAGATAAACACAAGATTTACTTTAAGCCCAAATCCTTAAAGGGACTAGAATAGCTCCCAGGTTAGCACAAAAACAGTTGGAGAGCCAGAGTTGGTCTATGGGTCATAGTTCACTAATCCCACATACAAGATAACAATGCTACTTAACATATGTAATTATTTTATGATTTATAAACTCTTTCCCCTTATCTTATCCAATTTAATCCTTATACAACTCCTGTAAGGTAACTAAAAGAATTATATTCTGCCCTTGGTATGCCACTGCCCTGACATCTTTATTTTGAAAAAAAATACACGGATGACTTTTCTGTCTGGCATACTCTATTACTTCACAGCACCCTGGGGTCCTCTTTGTGCCCCCTGACTTTACTGCGGTATTGTGACAAGATGACCATGGCAGGATGTGTGTACAGTGTGCACAAGAGTGTGCACAAATGAACAGGAGGAGAAGATTCTTCTTTATCCTGTCTAATACAATGTACCATTAATAAGACATTAGTCTACCACTAATAAGACATAAGGCACTAGAAAATTAATGTTAGATACAAAGCAAAGAAGACTAGACACGAAGCTAAAACTTCATAGAAAGAGGAGATGGAAAGGTTGAAGAAATGTTGAAAATGCTCTTTTGGGTGCGACAACTAGCATCAGTTGAAATAACCGCAGAATAAAATGGTCTGTTTTTGCCTAGTTATGTTGCATTTCCTTTCCTCTAAGTACGTGTGTCCTTTACCACAGAAGCCAATGAAGGCCATGAATCAACACACTGCTGATGCTTACCTTGATGATTCTATTTCCCTGGCAATAGCCAGAAAGAATAGGAAATTTATGTACACCAAAACTTCCAATGTCCAAGCACTTCCTCTTCCCACTTTGAATATGTTATAATGATGTCATCCATCTAGGCAAGATTTACTCAGCATTGTAGACCAGGACCAGAGCTCAGAAATTTTCTCATTAAACCCTTGCATTTAAGTGGAGTCTATGAAGGTTCGGAGGGGAGAGATCAGGTTATAAACAGTGATCATATATTACTTGTTGCACAGATGAGTTGTAAATATGTAGAAATTACTTTCAACTCACTGTAATTCTTTTAAAATTATTTATTATTTAATTTTTTTGAGATGAGGTCTCACTATGTTGCCCAGGCTGGTCTCAAACTCCTGGCCTCAAGCAATCCTCCCTCCTCAGCCTCCTGAGAACTCACCATAATTCTATAAAGACATCTTATATGTTTGCATTGGAAGACATAAATAAATGCCAATGCTGGAAAGAGAAGTAAAAAGGTGGAGACAGAGGGGGAAACTAACATCATATCTACTATATGAAACATATGGCACACACTTTTCATGCTACGTTGAATTCAGTTATCACAACTCTGCTGGGAGGTTTGACTCTCGTTTTGCAAAACAGAAAATTAAGATTTAACAACACATCCCAGGCTCTCAGCTTGTGAGTTGCAGAGCTGAGGTTTGAACTCATGTCTATATTGACTGTAAAGCATGTATTATTGCACACATTGCCTTCACAACAAGGAATTCTACATTTTGGGAATGATTATAGAAAGAAAACATGAGTAGAAAATAATATAAACAACTTAAATTGTAAGACGGCATACGATAGAAGTCTATCCATTGGTCTAAATATCACACTGCAGCAGTATTTTACCCCTATGCTGGGCTATTTTTTAACACTCCTCTCCTCTCTTGAACAAAACTTTTTCAACAACAATCAAAAACATTTCACCACCAGTGCACACTCTGTTTCACTGTTCCAAATTTAAAACACAAATGAATATTCTAGGTTGTCACACAGTATGACAAAACTGAAACAACTGAAGATGTATTTCTTTGACTGCACAATCATTGGCTATAATCATTTATTTTGAATCTATTTAAATGCCCAATACCTAGTAGCCCAAGGGTTAAAGACACAACCTGTACCAAAAGTACTGAACATCATTCCAAAGTTTTAGGAACTAACTCTGGAAACTAATGTGTGGAGCCAAATCCCATGTTTTAGAGCTGACTACATAACTAGGAGTCCTCCAAATTGACTTTCATGTAAATTTGTGTTTATTAAAAGATAAGTATTAAAAGATGCTAGTTTGGAGATGAAATATATGTTACTAAAACTCAACAGTAACTGCAGCAGTTGTTTAGAACTTAAATCAACACAACACATTTTTTAGGGGGATATTTTACGACTGAGACTGCTTAGAACGGGGCATTATAATAATAAAAAGTCAGCTGACATTTTTGTCCATTTTATCATTGTTGTAAAATTATTTTCAGATAACTTGTCCCCTTTATTGTCTGCAGTGCCTTGGACAGACCATTCTCACCATCCTGCCCATGGTATGTCACTGCCCTGAAATCTTTATTTTGAAAAAAATACGTGGATGGCTTTTCTTTCTGGCATACTCCCTTACTTCATAGCACCGTGGGGTCCCCTTTGTGCCCCTCTGTCACTGGCTTTACTGTGGTATTGTGTCAAGATGATCATGGCAGGACGTGTGTGAGGTGTGCACATGAGTGTGTATGAGGTGTGCACATGAGTGTGCACAAAGAAGCAAGAGGAGAATGTTCCTCAGTATCAAATACAGCACTCCAAGGAGATAATCATCTATGGAGTGACTTCCTGGGAGGATCAATGCTCCACTATTTCAGAACATTCTCTAGTAGTGACCCTCACTAGTCTGGGGACAGTCTTCTAAACCAAAATGGATAATGATAGGGAATGCTGGGGGATCACACCAGGCACAATGCCACACTTCGGGCACTATATCACTACTCACTTATCAATGCTGGCTTTACTTCTGACAAATTCAGATGGGCACAAGGGCTCCCCAAGCTAGGAGACTGTTTGATTTTAGCTTTGGCTACTCTGGCTCCAGCTTCACTACAATGGCATTGCTGGTCAAGATCCCAACTGAAGTCGTCATTTGAATTTAGGCCAAATCACCCTTTGACTCATTCTTTAAAGAGGTTAATAGCCTAACATTAATTAAGCTCTGTTTGCAGGTAATTTTCAAAAGAGCTGTAGAAAAGGGAAACTATTATTTACCCCATTTTATGGATGAAGAAACAGAGGTTTGAGGAGAATAAGAAACTTGCACCAAGTCAGGAAACCAGCAGGCAACAGAGCTGGATCTCCAAGACAGTTCTGATTCCTAAATCCATTCTCTTAACCTGTATAGTATATTTCTGAGCAATAGAGTGGTTAGAACACCTATCTACATTAGGCAGACATCCAAACTGACAAACTTAGCTTAAGATTAAAGCACTCCTCCCAAAAAGGTATAGGTTTGTCCTTTGCAATACTTATGAAGATATTTTTACCCAAGAATTCTAGAACCTAGGTAACATCATCCAGAGCATAGGTCCACATAAAAGAGAAAGGTTATAATTGAAAATACAACTATTAAACATAACATTATGTTTCAGACATGATTCCTACCATGTCTTCAGGTAAAGAATATCACATTCCTTGAAGTATACTTGATGGAGATTTTATGTATTATCTTATTAATAATAATAATTTACCTGTAAACCATATTATTTGGGAAGTTTCCTTTAGATTTCATCTAAAAGCCTCTGTAGAAATGCCGGCAGTGTCAGAATTACTCATGGTTACCGTTCCACCCACATCCTAGTGTGGATGAGTGTTGGCCATAATGTCAAAGACTGTCTAGCTTCTAGCCCCTTCACTAAGGAGAAATGCAGTTTCAGCTCCTCATGTGTGTTGTCATAGAATACTAGCAGAAGCATCTCCAGGGCTGGAAGCAGGACACTTTGGAAGCTGGTGCTCAATGTATTGCTACATTCAGTGGTCCCAACCCTTGGAGGCGTTGAAGGCATTTTCTTATATTAGTCTATAGTTCCATTTTAAAGAATGGTTCTAAATATGTTTCAAGGTAGTTCAACCTACATTTGATATTTATGATTCTTCAAAAGTATATACAATTTTGTGTTTATAAGACGTGAGTGGCACTTATTCTGTTTCTTGAGGGAAAACAGGGTCAGTTCATGCTTGCTCCTCTTGTTCTTTCTCTATGCCCCCAATAACACCGGAAATCATAATGCTGCCACTTCCAGTGGCATCTGTTTTGCTTTGGTACCTTCACACATATTTGGACTTCCATGACAAATCTGTGAGACAGATGGAGCAGGTATTGTCTTCCATATTTAATACATGAGAACACTGAGGCTTAAAATATTTAGGAGTAGGAGTACTGGGTGTATAATTCAAATCATTCTACAATGGTGTGCTCCCCCTCCCAAAACCCCAATTTATAGTATTTGCTGATTTTCAGGTGATAGTAATTCTACCACAGCTAATTTCAAGCTACCAACATGATGTTACCACATGCAGAGTTAGGATGAGATGTACAAAACTGGCTCTCTTATCCTTCGACCCCTACCCCAGTGTTCTTTATATGCCATGAAATTAAGTATTTATGATGTTAATTTAAACACATATCTATCACCATGTCCTGGAGAGGATGCCTTACGTGTATAAGCATGCACAATATGGAGTTCCCTTATAAGAAAATCAGTCAGAGACATTTCTTCTGCATCCATTGACATGCTCAAGTTTTGATCATCCTACTCTGGTTACAATCAAGTGTACTAGAGAAGGTGGCCCTGAAGTAATCCAGGGCTGTTCCTTTACATAGGGATGAGTCGGAGATCAACAGCTCATTTCAGTCAATCCCATTCACATAATATCTTCTAGCCAAAGGTCTCCAGGTTTTTCCATGCTTCTCTAACCATCCCCATTTTACAGACAGGAGAGTCCAATGTCTCAGGAAATTAAATGACATGCTCAATGTCACACAGTACATAGAGCTGGAGTCAAGACTGGAATGCTTCCCTACTGCACCAGGATGCTTAGTCTATCACCATAAAAAACAAAGACTTCTGAAAAATGTGGCAGAGTTCAGAACACCTATGAGAAGCAATATAGAATATCAAAAGAGAGAATGTTGTGGGCCAACAGACATTCCACAAAGCCTGTTTTTGTCGTGGTTTTTAGACTATGCTCCATGGAGCCTCAAGGGGCCGAGGGGCCTAGCAACATAGAAAGAGATCAGCCTAAGTGGGCAAGACTCTGGAGTCCCCCAGCAAATGTGAATTAAAACCCTTTGTATTCCACTGTTTTACATACTGGGAGTCAGATTAAGATTTCATTTGGAAAGAGGGTTCTACAACTTAAAAAAAAAGTTAGAAAACCCCAACAAAGACCAAAGTCTAGATTGTTAATTTTCAAACAAAGCTCTTTGGTGAGAGTTACTGGCTCTCATAAACTGAAGGAGCCTCTGGCTGCTCTTTTCTCACGATCTGGAGAGATAATGTATGTGCAAACACACTGAAAATAAAGAACGTGTATGCAAACTGAAGTCAACGCAGGCCCTTTAACCCCAGTCTGATCCTTTCTGAAAGGCACTGGGTATTTCAGTACCATGTAGATTTTTCTATCATATGACTTCCCAAACATGCAGACACTCCAGGTCCTCAGCTGACATCTTGGAGGCCAGCCATGACTTCTGGCTGCCTGAACAAGTTCACAAAGGTAACTACTCTTCCCACACTTGCTGGCATGACACTATCATAGGCCACACAGACCTCGATGAGCCCTCTATGAAAATAGATGAAGCGGCTGGGAATAACAATAAGCACCAGGTTTTCAGACCTACAAATATGCAGCCACTTCATACTGCATTCCACATGAAAGGCTGAAAAAACTGTTAAAGCCAACTAAATATGGCCTGAGAAGGATTCCGTACTTCTATACTTGAGTCCTTGTGGATGAACTGTAACCTAGCTTAATAGTCAGATTGAAAACCTAACTTAGGAGTATGAGCCTGTAACAATCGCTAAGTCTTGGCCAATACCAGTGGCCATACTGCAACCATTCATACACTGCTGAGTGTTCAAACTGTGTTCAAATAAGGCAAACGCTAAGCTATCACCAATCCAGCCATTCTGTACCTCGCTTCCAATTTCTGTACATCATTTCCCTTTTTTTTTGGTTTATAAATCTTCTTTCACTACATGGCTGTGCTGGAGTCTCTGTGAATCTGGTGTGATTCTGGGGGCTGCCCAATTCACGAATCGTCCATTGCTGAATTAAACTCCATTAAATTTAATTCAGCTGATATTTTTCTTTCATCAAAACAAAGAAAAATGTCTTAAGTAGCCAAAATAATTCAATTATTTTCAGTAGAAAAGAGACGTACAGGGAATGTACTGAGCCAAGTGGTGTAGATTTAGTTTGTACTATGCTATATTAATGTAGGCTCCACTCAGAACCAATATTAAGTACTAAATATTGTCAGAGACAACATTATAAGCATATAAAGACAGACTTATACTCAAGAACATATTTTTAGACAAATATTCATCCTGAAGCTACAATGCAAAAATACATAGGAAGAGAATACATATATATTGTCTATTACTGTTATGGTTTAAAGTATTTAAATGTTTGTATTTATGTATAAAACATTTAGCTATATGTTTGCTTATGTACGTGTATTTACAATGTTGTTTTAAAGACGACTAAAATGTTACATAACTTCTTGTTAACATAAATAGACTTCAGGGCTGATACTATTATTTAAAATGCAATTAAATATCTTTAAAATATTCAAACCATATAAAATGACTATGAATTAAAGCATTTGTGGAATCAAGGTTGGAAAACTAATATCTATTAGGATAAGGATTATTAAATATTTTGCATTTTTCTAGATTTTGATGAAGATATAAAGTGAGGCTAAAATTTAGTTTTGGGCTTATCAAGGCCTCCCCATTTCACTGTCTTTTAAGATGATGTGTACTAAGAGAAAATGCTTGAATCATGTTGGTTGCTAATAAATGCAACACATTGAGAATAGCTGTTAGTGCCTTACTGAAAAATCCTTACTAAAAAATGCAGGCAGAGATGGAAAATATTCCTCTCTATTACTCTCAAAGCTTAAATTTCACCATACTTACCAGGCATGTAAAAAGTTAATCTTTAGCAAAGCAAATGTGCTTAAAATAGTCTATTGTTCTCAACAAGTTATAAACCTGGATTATAAAACTGTTAAACACTAGAGACACAAAACTCAAATACACTAATTCTTTGGCACAGTTTTTTTTCATTCTGTTACTTTCCTTTTATAAAAGCTCAGGTTTTATGACTGACGATTTAAAAAAAGAGAGAGAGAAATGGAATGCAAACTTCTATACAGAAAGCCAAGTGCTAAGAGCCATGTTTTAAAGCAGCATACACTATCTTTTAAATTACAGTTTTGGATTTGGCTGCTTTGTTGTAACAAAACACTTCATGTTCAAACATTTTATTAATATAATGTTTAGAAATATAATATTAATATATTATATTTAGACATATATTATTATATTTAGACATATAATATTAATATATTATATTTAGACATATAATATTAATATATTATAGTTAGACATATAATATTAATATATTATAGTTAGACATATAATATTAATATATTATAGTTAGACATATAATATTAATATATTATAGTTAGACATATAATATTAATATATTATAGTTAGACATATAATATTAATATATTAGTTAGACATATAATATTAATAAATATTACTAATTATATTGATATACAGAATAAAAGAAAAACTAACTCAAGGAATATGCTAAAATGTCCTTTAAAGCTAAATTTTCTTAGACCCCCCCAGACTACTACTGATAGAAAATAACAAGAGTGGAATATATTCTCAACATCATCACAGCCCTGAAAAGTTGCTATTTTTACCTCACTTTACAGACAGGCAACCTCAAGCCCAGGGACATTGAGGTCTGCTGGAATTTGATTTTCTTTTCTTTTCTTTTCTTTTTTGAATCCAGATCTTCTGATCCCAAGTCTTTTTCTTTTCCTACTTCTACAAAATTGTTTCAACAGATGACCATATCCCAATTTAAAAGAAAATAAGGAGATAATTTACAGAAATATAGACAAATTAGGAAAGGATTGAATTATTCATTTCTCACAAAGGATTTACCCCCAGATTAAGTTATCAGCTCCTATAACTCCTCTAGAGGCCAAAACTTGTCCTCAGTATTTGAGAAAACTTTCTGTAAATATGAAGTAGCTTTGTAGATAGAGCCAAGCTTGGCGAGTGATCAAATTTATGTGTGCTTCAGTTGCAGTATATTGAAAAAAAAGGTTTTAAGTGTGTCTATAATGGAGAAAGGGACGTAAACAACTATAAACATGGACACAAATATTTGAAGCCACAATTTTAGGCACTAGACAACAGTCCACGGCTGTGATCCTTGAGAGGAGGAAGACACAGGAGATAAGCTTTATGTTTACCTTGGCTTTTTGCCTTGGGGCACTTTTCAAATTGCAACCTGGGGAAGTGGAACCCAGAGAGCAGCTGGGTGAAGAAAACTGAGACCTGATTTTTGGGTGGCAGATATGGTAGGAATTTGTGGAGCAAAGTATTAGAGAGGAAGCTGCACAAGAAAAGAACTCTAGAAACATGTATAGGGGGTTTCTTGAGCCTTTAGACAAATATTAAGAAAATCATATGTGAGACCTACCCCAAACAGCTATTCTGTGAGCAGAAAAGGGTGTTTGAGGGCTACAAAAGGTCAGATGTTGGAGTTCCAACCAGCCAAGGAAAAGAGACGTTGCTGAACACTCTCAAGATTCAGCTGAGACTCCAAAAAAAGGCAATGCCTTAGAAGGACTACTCTAATCCTAAAATAAAGATCACTCTAGATTTGCCCTAAGAGAATCTAAAACCAGGCCTCCACTATTTCCAGCTGATCTGCCAGAAAATTAAATGCCTGCCAGAACAAAACTCATTACTCTTTAAAGGAAGACAATGACATCTAAAGTTTTAACATTGTTACACTACAGTGTCCACCATAAAATAAAAAATTACTACATATGTGATCTGGCTGACATCTAAAGTGAATAGCTGCTGTTTCTGCCTGCCCAAAATATCTGTCTCATACTTTTTTTTCTTTTTGAGACAGGGTCTCACTCTGTCACTTAGGCTACAGTGCAGTGGCATGATGGCGGCTCACTGTAGCTTTGGCCTCCTAGACTCAAGCAATCCTCTCCCCTCAGCCTCCCAGGTAGCTGGGACCATAGGTGTACACCACCACACTTTGCTAATTTATTTTTTATTTTAATTTTTGTAGAGATGGGTCTTACTTTGTTGCCCAGGCTGGTTTTGATCTCCTGGGCTCAAGTGATCCTCCTGCCTCGGCCTCCCTGTCTCCTACTTTTAAGAACACAAATTCATAGCAAGAGAATCTTTCTGTCCCCCAGGGAGCACATTCCATTTGGTTCAGCCAGGGCCCATTCTTACTAGTGGCCAAGTGACCAAAGGAAATAGGATGTCCTATTTCTTGGACACAGGGAGGGGCACATGACCCAAGTTGGGCCAGTGACTGTCCTCTTTGGCATAGGTCTATAAAAATGTTGTCATTCAAGCTAAGTGATGTAAGGGTGAGGGGCTGATGGCATTATGTGTGCTACAGGAAGTGAGTCTGTTCTAGGGATGGGGAAATAGAGATGTGGCTGTGGTGATTTCATTTGTGCCCTTGGATTTAGCTCTGTCAAAAGGATTTTGCAAACCTGATATGGTGAAATTCAGAAGTGTTTTAGTTCTGGATTATTAACAACAATAGTTCTGATAGAGCCTTAGATGCTCAAGTTAGCACACATGCTACACTGTGACCCACAATGTAACTTTCTAGTGAGAGAGTCAACATTTGATAGCTGAAAATTGATAGTCCTGGCTCCTTGTTAAAAAGCTGTGTCTTGGGCCAATCTCTTACCTTCCCTCCTCCTCCCTGTACACTGAGAAGAGAGACCTTCTAGGGCTCTTTCTAGTGGCAAAATTCCATGAGTCTATGAAATAAGGGACTTTCCACAGTCAGCTAGATAACAGGTTTAATGGTAATTTACAAAAGTGACTTATTCAAGGCAACAAAGAAAAGGTGTAAAATGAGAGATACAGGAATCCAGTGGCAAAGCTTAAAGAAAAAGCTCATATAGCCTCTCAATGTCCCAATTTGCTGATTCTTTGACCAATTTTTCTCCTTTTGTTTGCAAGGTTGAATTAGACCAATTTTATCCTCCAGTAATTTGGGCTCCTGAGAAATTCACTGTGAGTGAGGCAGAAACTGAATCAGGCAGGGGCATTATTGTTTTCTCTCAGCCCAGCTGTCTCTTAAAGGTTTAGAAAAAAAATCACACTTTTCCAGTTCCCACTTTCTAATGTGTAAAATTACTCATGATTATTTAAGATTGATATGACAAATAAAAATAAGAAAAGATTGTTTGTGCAGGTATTTGGATAAATGTAGTAAAATTATATTTGCTCATCATCTCTGCACTTGTTAGGATCACCAGAAACGCTAATAAATCTAATCCTTTAAATCTAATGGTATTTACTGATTTGTCTTAATGAAAACATGCTCAGTGGGATATTCCTACTGTATTTGCAAAGAGACTATGTTACCTATCTCTTAGCCTTGTGATCACGGTGATCATGGAAAGGCTAGTTCTTAGAAGTGAGAAATGGAAATATGAATAAAGATAAATCCTAGTGACCTATAAAAACACTGTTATCTGTTTCCTGCCATGACGGTGCTCAAGGTTGGGTGTATATAGGCCATTGAGCCTTTCCTCTTTAGAAGGGGAGCAGTTGAGAAAGGCTTCAGGGAGACACATGGGAGATGCCACAGACAGGAAATATATGAACTGAGAATTTCCAACTAAAAAGCTCATTAATAAACATGTATGAATTATTTTCTATTCATAAATACTATTCTAGGAAACTAACTTTATTAATAAAAATTTTACTCTATCAATTTTATTCTCATGTATCTTTTGATAAAGAATATTAGGGAGAAATCTAGAAATATATATAAGCATAAAGAAAACAAAATATTCCAAAATCCAGCAACTCAAATATAACTGTCTTAACAATTAGGTACATACTTTTCCAGTTTTTAAAAAAATGCCAGCACCATTTGAAAGCATTTTATAATCATCATCTCATTTAACCCTTATAGCAACTCAATGAGGAAGTTATTCATATTTTTCCCACTTTATTAGATGAGAGTCGCACAGCCCTGCCTAATTTCAAAGACTGTGCATTTAAGCACTAAACCGCCTTCGATGCATATATGTAAATATATAAATTCTATGTACATATACATATTCATAGATGCATTTATGTGCTCATTTCTACATTCCTATAAGCACAAATTTGTATAACTGTACCCTAAATGTTATAACTATATATAGTAATTTATAATTTATATTTCTCACAACATATCAAGCAAAGGTTTCCAATTAGGTCACAGGAAGCCACAGACTGAGAGATAGGAAAGGTCAACTGCTATTTGTTAGCTGTTGAGCTCCCATAAGGGAGAGTCAAGGGTACAAAATCTTGAGACGAACATTGTCTGACATGGAAAAGGACCCATGTCTCAAGCCAAGAGAAACTCCTAAGTCTGCTCAAAGTAGAAAAGTTTTTGAGCTATAATAGAATGTGTTTGGGTGTTTGTTTATTATTCGTGTTGTCTGAGCCACTTTCCCCCTTTTAGGAGTGGAAGGGACTATAAGGGAAGTCCCTATTCAGCATGAGGATTCTGTAACAAGTCCCTAAAATTGAGAAAGGTGACTCGGCAAGTAGATTTGAGATCCCTACTCAGCCCCATAGAGCTGAGCATAGTCAATGAATGTTTTATAAAAGTGATGCGTGACACCTAAGCTTCATCTACAACTCTACAAGTGACAAATCAACTTAGATCCTCACTACTACAACTCAACAGTTCACAGCAAACTAATTCTTGTTCTCTTTAAACCCTGTTACTTCCAGGTTCCCCCCTTATCCCCTTTCAAAAATCATTGTTACCACCACTATTGCAATCTATCTGGCAGAAAAATTGGGACCTACCTCTTACTCTCCCTTCTTCATTCCTCCCTCCTCTCCTCATGTAGTAACTTTACACATTCTTCCTTTTTGGTATTCTGGCATTGGTTCCTTCCTTTATATGCCCATTGCCTTGGCCCTGGTCAATGTTCTTATGATGTTCTTATAAATATTGTCATCATTTTACTATGAGCAGCATTAAGAAGGAAATAGGCCACTATTAATAATTGTTCTGGAACAACAGGTTTAAACTTGATTGTCCTGGCACACTAGATGTATGTTTACCTACTTATGCAACCCCATCATCCTCTTTCTCCCTCTCTTCATTTTTCCTGCATACTACTGCCACATCCTTAAACATAAAGTGTAAGCTTCCTGCTAAGGTTTTTGTTAAAATCAAATCCAGGCTTTATACTGCATTCAGAATAACTTCCAGATTTCTCAGTCAGGCCTTTATAATTTGGTGCCTCCTTAACCCTCTCAGTTTTTCTTCTGTGACTCTTTTCCATGACCCTGCCATTTCAATTAATTGTGATACTCAGCGTTCCTTAAACATACCAGGTATACTCCATTTACTACTTCTTTGATTGTACCCTTCCCCCTCCTCTCCACCAGAGAATTCCTATCCCTTTCAAGTCCATTCACTTTTCACAACAGCCCTAAATGCTTAACCATACTGCCCTATGAACACATATTCTACTATTTTAGTGCTCAGAATATATCATTCTATTCTTTACTTTTGTCTCTGTGTATCTCATCTAGACAAATAAGAATAAGAACCACTTATACCTAGAAAGAACTGTACAGTACACAAAGCACTTTCTAATACATTATCTGACTTGATCCTGAAAAACAGAAGGTAGCAATTACTTCTTCCAGTTTTACAGATAAGAAGACTGAATCCAAAAGGCTAAAAGATATTGCCAAGGTCACACGGTCAAAATTTCCTTTGCTGGCTGGGCACGGTGGCTCACGCCTGTAATCCCAACACTTTGGAAAGCCGAGGCAGGTGGATCATGAGGTCAAGAGATCGAGACCATCCTGGACAACATGGTGAAACCCCGTTTCTACTAAAAATACAAAAATTAGCTGGGTGTGGTGGTATGCACCTGTAGTCCCAGCTACTGTGGAGGCTGAGGCAGGAGAATTGCTTGAACTTGGGAGGCGGAGGTTGCAGTGGGCCGAGATCACGTCACTGCATTCCAGCCTGGTGACAGAGTGAGACTCTGCCTCAAAAAAAAAAAAAAAAAAATTACCATTTCTAAATTTAGTAAAATGAATAAAAATGTCAAACATTAGACAAAATATACCAACAACATTCAAACAAAGGAAGAGATACACTCTGGTAAAACCATATTTGAAAGATTGTGGCCAAGGAACGGGAGATATGACAATACAAAGACCCAAAGACCAACACTAACTTCTAGCTCCAAAGCAGTTCCAGGAGAGAAAAGCACTTCTAGGAGAGTTGAACAAATTTGGGGACAATCTTCCAAATGCCCTGCAATCCAGAGGGCAGGACTCTGAGGGGTCAGTAGGCAGTTAGAGAATAAGCTTTTTGGAGTAGAAGTCCTGGCTCACTACCACCACATTGACCCACCTAAGGTGAGAATAACTCCTTGGAAGGTGAAGCTATACCAGGAGAAGTAAGTTACATAGAACTTACTGTCTTTATCAAAAGCAAATGTTTCAAAACTCTCTCCAACTTATAGAATAATTTGAATCCAAGAGTTTCCACTGGTAAGACTGAAATATGACCTTGTCTTTAAAAAACATAGATCCCGGTATAAAATGTTAAATAAAATTGCAGAACAAAGAATAGAACCCAAATTAACCAACTATAACTAGCCATAATCTCAGTTGAGTCCTCTTCCCTACTCTCAAGCAAAAGAAAAGTCCTGGTGCTACCCAACCCACGAAGTTCAGTTCTCAGAGAAAACAAAAAGGTCTCGGGGAAGAAGCTATAAAAGTCAAGTATGATTTACAGATACAATCTTTAGAAAAATAGATGGTCTAGCTAACACTTTCCACATTAAATATGAGAAAGAAAAAAATAAATGACATAGCAACTATGTAAAGATTTTTCAAAGCATATAGGAAAGAGGAAAGAATACAAGGAAAGGAGAAAAGTATCAAGCAAATACTGATAAAAAAATACCTTCTAGAAAAAAAAACCAGTGGAGAAACAGAAAAATATCCACTTTGAATCATAAAAGACATTACAAAGAATGAATGTGATGAAAGAATAAAGCCAAAGATAAGATGAACAGATAATAGAATGACTAGAAAAGAGTGAGTTTGGACCTTCAGATACAAAATTAAGACCAAAACACCACTTTTGGAGAACTGATAAATTCTAAATACAAAGCGTCATTAGGAAAAAAAATAAAATAAAGTTGGTAAATTTTGTTAAATGCCTTTTTGGTATCTAATGCATCTATGCAGGTGACTGTATATTTTTTCTTCTTTTGCTAGTCAAAGGATTAATATTCTTAATAAATAAATATTTTACAAATAAGGAAAAATATCATTAAACGAATGGATAAAGATTATGAACAAGACTGGTAAACATTAACAACTATGTTAAAGTTATCGATGGAATAGGAAACCAAGCAATCTCAAATTTGGTTAAAAGGATTATAGCACATTTGTACCATGAAACACAAGGAGCTCATTAAAAAAGGCATTATTGAAAGGGGGAGGGAATCTTCAAAATATACTATTAAGAGGAAAAATGTAAGGTCAGAAAAAGTGTAGAAAAAATCCACATAGATTAAGAAACAGAAAAACAGAGAGAAGCCATCTATATCCTTATCATCTCTTTCCAATCATTACTAAATAATGTGTGCTTCATTTTCCAAAAGACTGAAATTCACCCATTTTTCTCCAAACACATGCTAGTCCAAGCTACTTTCACGCTAGTCCAAACTGCCTTCATTTTTCCCCTTTCACTTCTGCAACAGCCTCCCACCTGAATTCCAGCACAGCACTTCTCCCCTTCTATCCAGTCTACACTCTAACCATTCCAGGCACCCTCAGTTCCTTGAATGAGCTATGGTCCTGCTGGCACAGGGTCTTCTGCATACTTTCTTGCCTCTATCCGGAACATTCCCCTCTAGTCTAACTCAGTCTTCCATTCTTCCTTCAGATTTCAGCACAATCATCCCTTCCTCAGAGAAACTCACGTACTCTTTTATGTTGTACTTAATTTATAATTATACATTTACTTGTTTGCGATTAATATCTATTTCCTTTTGCCAGACTATAAGCTCTAGGAAAGTTGGTAATATGTGTTTTTGCTTAATATTGAATCTTCAACAAAGTACCCGGCTCAGAAGACAAACAAACAAACAAACAAACAAACATTTCAATGTCTCTTTCCCCATTTATCTAACTATTTACCTGTTTGTCCATCCCTCATCCATTCATCCATCCATATATCCATCCATTCTTTAGCTGTATTAAAAATATCTGGAAGAAAACATTAGCCATTATTAATATCTAGGGATTGGGGCTGAGGGAAGAAATGGGGGTGGGCAGATACTTGCTCTTTATTTTAAATATGTGTATTTATTTGCACATTTATTAATAGTAGGTACACTGAATAATTAAAAAATAATTCATATAACAAAACTACTACTTTCTTGTTGATGACACGAAATCAAGTATATCTTAAAAATGTCTTCAGTCTACAAAGGTAATTAGTAGTATCTTCATATCCTGTCACTAGGACTATAATCATGTCTCTGAGGGACCTGCATACTAACACAATTCTCTTTTCTTGACAACTCAATTCAGTTCTATTTCAAGTATAAATAGATCTTCTAATAAGCATTCTTCTGCGTGTTTGTATACTCATGCAAAGACATCTTTTTTCTCATTAAAGGTGTTAGAAAATTTCCCTAGGAAATTCAGTCACGTTGTCAAAGTCTTTTCACAGAAAGGAACAATGTGTAGGAAACAGATTCTCTTGATTTTGATTAATGAACAAAGGAAGCTCTAACCTAATTTGCCTTAAAGCACCTTTTCTTGATGGAACTACTAGCTCCTACCAACAATTCAAGATGGTAAATTCTCAGCAATTAGGAAAGAATTCTTGAAATTAATAACTTAAGGGATCTTTCTTGGTCTCGATTTCTACTTAACTTACCGGCTAGTATCTTTTGGTTACCTTTTTAGTTTGGAGAATTAACACAGCAGCAATATGGGCCATACCAGGTCTTTCCACCTTTATACATGGCTACTGTATATCCTTTTACTCATCAGATTTGGTTGAAGAAATGGGCCTCAGACTTCTAATTTTGGTTTCTAAACAGGGCAAGTCTGGATTTAGAATACAACCACAGAATACCTCTGCAGAATGAGCCCTGTACATTAAAAGGAAAACTAGGCCTTTTGGTATTGTTTTCAAGTTCTCTAAATTGTTATATAAGGGAGACGATCTTATCTAACCATTTATCAAATTCTGCATTCTTATGTGTAGGATACTGTTACAACTTTAAGAACTTCTGGAGACGAAGATGAGCCATGAAGTGTTATAAGAAATCATTCACAGCAAAGAAATCTCATTCAGATAACATCTAGCAGAACACTTGGGGGTGGAGCAATGGTGAAAGGAGGATAAAATTTGGTAGGGATTTGATTGTGTGAAAATCTATGACCACCTTTAGAGGACAGACATCCATAAAATCATTCACCCTCAGTATAATTTCCACCCTTAGTATAATTTACCATTAGTTTAATTAGAATGTGCCACTTCTAATTGCAAAAGTCCAAGGATTAGTCACTTGAATAGGAAGAGTTCTTATACAAGGGACCTCTGGAAAAAAGTCAAGATTACTTCTTAGTACTGTAGCACACTCCAATAAATACATTTCAGAATTTATTGATATGGAAACATTGTACTTAAAATCCATGCACCCCTGACCTATGTCAGAATAGGGGTTACATTTGGAAAGAGATATTGACTGTGAAGAGGCATAAAGGAGGTAGCCTCCTGGGTTTTGGAAATGCTCTAAATTTTATCTGGCTTATGGCTCCACAGGTACACACCCATGGGAAAAGTCATTGAGCCACAGATTGATGACTTGTGCACTGCATGAATATACTACTTCAATTAAAACAAAATTTAAGTAAAAGTATAATGGTTTTCTGAGAAAGAAGGTTAGGGAACTCTGCATTGAAGAAAGTATTTTTAATAAGAAAAACAATGCAATCTGATTGTCATTTCTAAGGTCTAATAAAATTTTATGATATAATAAGAATTCCATTACAAATAATGTTTTGCAGATGTCCTAAAGATGGGGCCCCATTAATAGCAGCAGGAGAATGAGAATGTCATTTGAAATGCTCAATTTTATTAATGATCAAATACAGACAACTGGCCATCAGCCTGCTACTTGGGAGAATAAACTACTTTGAAAATTTTTATAACAGAAATTTCTTTCCAACCTCCACTAATATTTAAAGGAGCACCAAAATTATTAAAGCATTGCCAGAGAAAATCAACTACACTGCAATTCACACACACATACACACACACACACACACACACACACGCACGGCATTTGTGCATGCTGAAGGAGCAAGGAGCAGCTGGATGTGTTGTCACACTCTCTAAGTGTTGGGGAATTGCTCCCTCCTTTTCCACCCAGCATAATCTGCCTTTAAATCCTTGAGAGTTTGGACTACATATTGTAAACATGGATCCTACAATTACATTATCATTAGAGTACAGGTAGTAATGCACACTCACTCTAGCAACTAAGAACTAAATAATATCAGATGATGGCTTAACAAATAAAAGCATAAACCCAGAAGCCAACAAATGACTGAGACAACTGGAACTACCTGAGTTCATTACCATCAATGGGAAGGCAGGTCTGTGTTCCCAAATGGAACTGGCCTATAGAGCTTCTAGAAAATTTCCAGATAAATCATCACGCATGAATCCTGCCCTTTTCCTGGAACATTTTGCCCAATCTTAAATATCAACTCCTACCCTAAACTGAAAGTTCACATACTTCATTTCACAGACCATAGCCACAGTGGCAGGTTACTTCATGTGAAATGACAGGATGTACAATATGACTTTCTTAAAAATTACTTCCTTTATCCTCTATTTAAATGTGTACTTTCATACTTGTCAGCCTACATAGTGTTTCTTCAATAACCTCAACTCGAATCCAGCCAAATCCAGCATCCACCTAAACTTCCAAGGAGGAGGTTCCAGAGTCTCTTCTAGACAGAGCCTCCTGAGGCCCACGCCTCCATTTCCACAGTCTGAATCTGAGCTCCTGCTCTCTCTACATGACATCTTTACCTTCATCTTGCATTCTCAATATCACAGACAAAAACCCGAGCCAAGGCAACAATCAAATTGTCTTCTATTTCTTTCTACTTGCCCTGTTCTTACCCTGCTTGCAAAGTGCCTCCCCAATATTTAGGGGCCTGCTCCTCTCTGCCCAACCACCTCTAGTCCCTCTATTTACCTGTCTACCCTTCACAGCCAGAGTTGCTGTTTCAAAATACAGATATTACCACTTGTTTGCTTACAACCTTCTATGGCTCCCCATTTCACAAGGAATAAAAACCCCAACCCCTTAGCTTGGTATTTAAGGCCATCTGCAAGGAAACTACGGTCTAACTTTCCAAAGTTAACCTTCACACCATGCTTTTCACCTCTCTACCTTACGTTTTAGTCATATCTCCCATATTTCCTCAAACTCAAAACATCATCATACCTTGGCAAAAACAGTTCCCTTCAGTTTGAATGCTCTCCTCTCCCATGCATATTTCAACATCGATTTCAAGTGAGAAACAGTATAATTTTGTGATAAGACACCAGAATTTGGCTTCAGGCAACCTGGTTCAAATCCAAGGGCTACCATTTTCTTGTCATCAAATCTTAAGCAAGGTGCTTAAACCTGAACAGAAAGCCTCAGTTTCTTCATATCTATACAAAGAGGAAGATAACAGCCTCTATATTGCAGGGTTGTGGAGAGAACTAAATGAGTTAAAGCACAGAAAGCACTTAACACAGCCCTTTGTACTTATTAGGCATTCATATTAGCTATTATTGTTATGGACCTTCAAGTCATCATCATTATTATCCACCTCAAGATTTTTCTGCCACATCAATTGGAATTAATACCTTTCTTCTCTTATCCTCTCTCCAGCATGCTCTCCATGGCTCTACATATAATAATTGTCAAACTGTGACACATATGATAGTTATTTATGGCTGCCTTACTTCACAGGGAGGAATATATTCCATAAACAGTTGTTGGCACAAAACCACATCTTAATCATCAGCAGTGATGGTTGTCTACCCAGTGCTTTGCATTTTTTTCCCCTCAGTTATGCCATCATTCATTCATGTCTTCCAAATCTACAATCATTTAGGCCTGCAACCTGGACAGTAGATTAAAGTCCTCACTTCCCCATTTATGTACACCAATATTCACTAAACCTTTCAGAGTCTACTCCCTTAACACATTATAACCTGACCCTCTCCAGCCCAGTTGGCATTACTTTGGTGAGCTGTTGTTCACAAAGAGTATTATAATTGTTTCTAACTACAGATTTTTAATCAAAGTAGCCTCCCAAAACAACACTTCTGATCACCCCTGTGAGAACACCTACCACCCTGAAATTGTCTGCTTATTCATCTGCATTACCAACTAAATACCAAACTTCTTGCACGCAGGAAACCTCTTTTGTTCAAAGTGAGTAGCTTGGTGCCTGGCATGCAGTAGGCTATCAAAAAGCACATGTTGCAAAAATGAGTGCATCATTACATTCCATTACAACTCTGTCTGCTTAGGTTGAAACTGTATCCTTAGAAATGCTCCAAATATGGATTGTAGGCCACACCAATATAGCTCTGAGGTTGGGTCAAGGGGTTAGGAATTCCTCAGGGGGTTTAGGAATCCTGTTCCACTAGCTTCTGTGGGAGACATACAGGCCAGCAAAAGTAGGGAAAGAGACAGGCCCAGAGACAGGATGGGACCAGGAGAAACAATGTGAGATCATCTCTCTTCTCTAGGGCATGATTGTCAGGTCAGTTCAATGTTGATTGCAACCTCATCCTTGTGTTCAGGGGCAACACAGTCCATGCAGAAAAACCTATCTACAGCTATGATGGGTATTGTCACGCACCACCCAGATCTCCTTCAGTAAGATATAACTGATTTCCCAGCTACTGAGAGGGTGGCTGACTCTGATGCATATTCCTTTGGCTGAAGAGAGCCTCCTTACCCAAAGTCATTCCCCTTCCCAAGCAACCCACGTCCAGTGATTGGTTCATGCCAAGGTATAAAGGCCCAGCCCCGTCACCCAACTTGGAACAACTCTGAAGGGCTACCAAGTTTCACTGCTCTTTAAATGTTAGCAGAGACATTTACTGAGACTCCATCACAGTCCAACTTCTCCCTCTATCCACACTCCACACCTGCTTCCTTCCCATTCCTACCACAGACAGCTATCTGAGTAAACCTCCTGCTTACTACACTGTCTCAGAATCTGCTTTCTAGAGCGCCTAACCTGTAACAGCCTGAGATAAAGCATATAGAATGGAATTTTAAGACAGCACACATCATAACCCAAAGGTTGGTCCCTAGAACTGTTTTGTGTGGAATTCATGGGGGTAAAACACTGTGAACTAGTTGCCAACATTAAAAAATAATTTTCAAAAAGCCAAAGCTCTGGCAAGAATGGGCTGGTATTTGCTCATGGCACTGAACAGCTGTAGTTGAGGGATAGTGTTCCATCTTGATGGCTCTCACTGGCTACACTGTGTGACAGTCCCTACTGGCACCCTTCATTTATTTCCTTACCTGCCCAACCCTGAGGGCATTTGAGCTGATGGTTCATGACTGATGCCAGGATTCCCATCCCTAACCTCAAGGCAGGCTACTTCCTTGATTAGCCTACTGCTTCCCTCAACAATTTATATCTCTCATCTGACTTTTCCCACAAAATGTACTCTCTGTGGGCTGGTTCTGTGTAGTAGTAATCTTGGTAGCTCTACCCTAGCAGATGCTCTAGGTTGGTGGACATAGCAGCTGTTCTAATCATGCTTGCTAAGTGAATAAAATTTTAATAGAAAACTCCCATCTCTACTTTGTGATAACTGAGTAGTATCTATTCTTCTGCAATATTCTGAAGGAGACTGTGTGACTATTTGGATGTTTGAAGATGTTTTCCTGACGCACAGAAAGAAGCTGATCTCTCCTTCGCAGAAAGCATAGCCAGCAGTGTGTTTTCAAGGTGTAGGGATGAATACAGATTTTTGGAGTGGTTGAAACCCCAGGGGTAGTAAGTAGCTCATATCATAGAATTCCTTTACTGACTGAAGTCCCCAAGAGCAAATCCCTGGAGAACTTAGCAATGCAGAGCAGGTCTTGGCTGTGCTGCCGGTGTGTAGGTAAATGGCTTAAGTAATTGCTGTCCTTGGGCAGTCAGTCAAAACGCAAGAGTTGAGACTATAAAAGGGCAAGTGCTCCCACAGAGTAAAAATTATAAACTATTGTTAGACAGAATAATATGTGACTGCTGACATTTCACCTTTTATTATTATAGCAACGCTTTAAGAAAGAAATGTAGTTAAGGTTGTCAGAATTTCATTTTAACCCCCTCCTTCAAGGCTGTTAAAAATTCACTCATGCTGAAACTTGCCTTTCAGGTTCTCAGCGAGATTTGTGCTTTGTTTTTAATCTGTTGTTCTCTAATGGAATGCAAAATGTAATTTGGGGGAAAGGGTTTTTCCAAGGATCTTTCTACAAACTGCTTCCTATCTCAATTCCCCCCCTTTTTTTTTGTCTGCCCCATTCTCTGCCAAAAGGTTAGCTGTAACAACAAAAACAACCCAAAAGATACACTCAACTGACAGAGGATTAAAGGCTTTTGGCAGTGCTTATAAAAATAGCTTCAGCAATAAGCAATACTCAACAAGCAGGAATCTGTTCAGTGGCAGTCACTAAAGGCAACCACAGTCTTGAAGTGCCATAAATGTCCACAAGAGATGCAGTTGAATCAACAGGTATTTGTGGAGCACTCACTGAATAAAAGGTAGCCAATGACAGTATAAAAATGTCTTCGTAGGTGTGACAGAGGGGACAATCTGCTAGGAAGGAGGAACCAGAGATGTCTCAAGGCTATATTTGTATAGCAAACCCACTGCTTTAGACCATGTGCTCTTGGTACTCAAAGCTCCCCATACCCCTACCCATAAGCCATCTCCCACTGATGACAACATGCCAGAGGAAGGGGGAAAAAGGCAATGATTCATTGATCAGCTACTAGGTGCTAGGCAGAATGCTAGGCACTTTATAATTATAAGGTACTGTGAAGATATAAAGAGGCATGAGCCCTCTCCCAATCCCCACTCTCCAGCTGAAACACACTTTAGGTATATTCACCGGAGCATAAGTGGTTTTCGAACACTCCTATGCTTGCTTTGCTTATCTTAAACTAAAGCAGCTGTCCAGCTAGACTTACTATGTTGATCAGCACATGACATATCAGCATATATAATATTTACTTTTGTAGACATCCCGCCAGCTCTTTGATAAATGTGTTAGGTCTTGCATGTGCCATCATTCCCATTATAGTAATCCCACAACTTGGGAAAATGCTATAATTAGCCTTTTATTATTATAAGCATTTCTGTAACACTTTCCATTTAAAGATGGCTTAACAACCAACTCTACTCTGTATGTCTCACAAGGAATCAGATAAGTCAACACTTGGTAGCTTTGCTTTATGGCCTTGAATCCTCAGGTTCAAGGTTCAAAGAAATCAAGAGTTATTGTAGTCAGCTCAGACTTAAGACCAACACAGCTGTTTTCTTTTTAGCCAGCCTCTCAGCCTGATGCCCAGCTGCTTCCCAATCTTTACTTTGTAAAAAAAAAAAAAATATATATATATATATAATATTATTTTTAAATTCTTGGAATTAAAAACTCATAGGTAGAATATTGGCCCCAATTCTCCATTTTTAGTATGAATAACTCACATCTTGGGCTTTTGCCAGGTATTGCTGGGATGATTTTGGCAGATCTAAGGCAGCCCTGCAGACAATTTCCCTCAGCTGGTGAAAAAGCAAAGCTGAATCTTTTCAGGGTCCATTTCTCCCAGCCTGCATCACAGGCAGAGTGCAGGTGCACTGTGCAGTCTGGCAGAAGGAGCAGTGGTGCCCTTGGGACAGGTGAGCAGGGGAAGCAGGTTGGTCTTGGGAAACTTCTTTGGAGAGCAATATGGCTGCTCAGGGATGTGCATCATGGCCACAAGAAGGTAAGACCCAGGTGGTTCTGGTTTCTCAGTATGGAACATTTAGCCACTGTTTTAGAACATGGGTGGTAAAATATGGTCAAAAGCATAAAAGAATAATTATAATTCAGCTACAGAAAAGGTCTTGTGGAGAGTTGTCTCTTTCTCCTTAGAGTCACCTTGTTTTATCTACCAGTCTTGAATCATGCTGTCATCCCACATTTGTGGCAATGAAAACGTTTACTCTCCTACATCATCATCTCATAATCTTTATGATACTTGCTATTAAATCTGGAGACAGTTATTCCTTGTTAAACTTAGTTTTGAAACTAGAATCTTCATGGCTCCATAGTATATGTGTAATGATTGTTCAAAATATTTTATTTTTAAACAATGGTAAATGTTGCTAATAATATTTCTGCCAGTACCAAGAAAGACACTTATCTCAGTTTAGAATATACGTATAAACAGGGCATTCATTTCCATTTAAATTCCAAACCTAATTAATTTCTATTATTCTGTTTACTCCTCTTTAAGCTTATTGGGTCAGCTGGTCCGTCCTCCATTTTCAAAATCGAATACTTCCTCTGTCCTCTCCTTTTCCCCCAAATACAACTGCCCCATCATTGTCATCATCATCACCATTATTGCTTGAGCACTTTCCATGTGCCAGAAACTGTCCTCAGAATTCTACATGTACTAACTGACTTACTCTTCGTAGCGGTAATGGGAATTATTATGGTTCACATCTTAGAGATGTGGATCCTGGCACACAGAGAGGCTACATAATTCGCACAGGGCAGCCATGCTGAAATTGGCATGCTCACAATCTGGCTCCAAAGCAACGCTACTTTCTTCTGTGTTCTACTGCCCTCATGGTGGCGACCCCGCTGAGAATTTTGCCATTTCCAAAGCACTTTTATGTGCATCTTTTTATTGAATCTTACAACTACACATAAGGTTTTGTTTAAACTGGAAACCACCATTATATTACTTCCAAGTCTGGGGAAAATATTTAACATTTTATTATGGTTTAATTTACTGAGGGTTTGGCTATTTTTTTCCCAGATGAAAATTCTAGGTTTTATCGAGAATTCTGTTTTTCTATTGATGTTGATACATATTTTTGGGGTATATGTGATATTTTGATACCTGTAGACAATGTGTAATAATCAAGTTGGGGTAATTGAGATATCCATCACCTCAAAGGTTTATATTTTCTTTGTGATGGGTACATTACAACTCTTCTACCTATTTAAAAATATACAATAAGCTATTGTTAACTATAATTTCCCTGCTATTCTATCAAACACTAGGACTTATTCCTTCTATATAACTGTATTTTTGCACCCCTTAACCAACTTAAGTAAAACTATGGACTTCACCTAAAAAATTTAAAGTTATATTCAACTGTAAGTCATCCTCAAATTACTCTTCATGGATTCTTTTCTCCCATGATAAAGCCAAGTCCTACACTTCTCAAGGGGATGTGTTGACCTCAGCAGAAACGGGGAGTGTATTTAAATGTCTTAGGCTATAACTGACTGCATTTCAAAATCAAGTATTTTAGTCTTTACATAGTTATAGTTATATGAGTAACATTTGTACTTATATGTTTAGATTTATATATACCAGGCCAAATTCCTGAAAGGATTTTCATAGATTTAGAACATATACTGCTTGGAATTTATATGTACCTCTATTCTCCTCTTTTGATATGGGGAATAAGTACTTTATTCTACTTTTTATTATCTCTATTTATACCCAGAAAGTTTTTTAAAAGGACATATATAATAATGTGACCTAATAAAAATAAATGCTATTGAATTAATTTCCCTTTTTCATGCTTACTTGTTTGTAGTTTTCAAATGTGTTGTTCCCAATTTTTGACACATCATCAAGCAGACTTCTGAGTTTTTTTCTGTGGAAAACAACTGGACTTAGTTCCATACAAATACAAATAACACAGATGTCACTAATTGAATCTATACATTGTCCTTGGAAGGAAGTCCTTCCCTGCCTTGCTTGTTATTTTACATCATAATCTGCAGAACATTTCAGGGAGGCCCATGAAAGAGAAGATCAGTTATTTTTATATCATGGCAATGGAAGTCCTTAAGACGACTGAATACCCACTATCACTCAAAGAACCATGCCAGATCCCATCACTCCTTGCAGTAACTTCTGCTGAACAGAGTTTTACACACTCGTCTTGCTCAAAGCCTTTTTCCAGTCACATAAATACTCCTGCTGAACAATTAACCTTTCACAGAAAAGTAGCTGAGGGGAGTTTGGGCTTAGGTTCAGCTTCTTGGCCCATAAATATCTGCATAAACAAGTTCTAGGGGCACCTGGGAGAGGTCAGGGCACAGACCAAGGTCACAATACATTCCATTGCTTAACCTAACCAAATGACATAGACCAAGAAAGCGTTTCCAAAAACAGGCAGCTACATTTCATCCTTGCATATTCACAGTAAAGAAAATAAATACCTGCTGTTTTAAACAGCTGGGTACTTCACTGAAATGCTGACGTATCAGCAAAGTCATGGACAGTAGCAATGTTTTACTTAAGGTGGCAGGAAGACCCCAAAAGGTGAGGTCCTATCCTCTGCCAAAGAATGAAGACTTTACAACCACTTAAGGAACAGAATAATGTAGGAGATGGATCTGATGTGTCCAGTGGTAAATCCAATGTCCATTTTTGCTAATGGCCTTTTAAAATCTTTGAATTCAAGACTGAAAAAATGAGGTTTGAAACTGGGGGTCCACCATATCTCCTTTGGTATTGAAAGGGAGGGAGGAATAAAATATATTGAGCTCCCAACTTGGTCCAGGAATTTTACATTTGTTTTTCTCAGTTAATCCCACAATGATCTTCAATAGATATTTTTATTTCTATATCATAGAAAGGGAAGATAAGGCTCAAAGAAGTTAAACAATTCACTGAAAATAATCGAGGTTGTGTGGTGGGGCCAGGATTTGAACTCAGATCTATAAAATTCTGTGCCTATTTTCCTTGCTTGTTTCTTGAGGTAAAAGAGTATTTGCCCAGAGCCTTTATGGGATGTGAGAGAAGTTTCAACATAGTCTCTTAGAGTATATATTAATGTGCCCCTCTTAAGCCAGGAGTGCAGAAGGACATTAGAGAAGTACAGAGGCCATTTGTGAAAGACAAATCTACCTGAGTGAGAGCCAGTACTTTTAGAGCTAAAGAGAGGAAAGAACTTGACTTATTCCTTGACTTGGGCTCTCCATCTGGTGGCCTGGCTGATGAGGGTTTCCCTACTTCCTGGGGAACTGTTTCTAATCCTACCTGCCACCTCCCTACAGCAGCACAGAACATTGGGTATGGATCATACATCTCTACTTTGGACTTTTTGGAGGGATGCTTCGTCTGCTTTTAAGCAGTTTCAGAGAAGAAAATGTCATAACCTTCCTAGAAGTAACTTCTGACTCAAAAATTTCAGGAAGGGTCTTTCCTCACTCAAACAGGCAGGAGCAGAAAGCAATGAAACATCATCAAATAGCACCACAGCATTCAGCAAGGCACTTCCTGACTCACAGGTCACACACTGTAGTTTAAATGTATTTGTGTGGATTCGTGCAATAAAGGAAGAACAATTCCTTTGAAAACCTTTAATGCCTGATATCACGCTTCACTTAATTCCTAAGTGTCCCCCTGCAAGCAGAGAAACCTCAGCTTACTAAATAGAGACTATGTAAATGTGTTTGTTGGTAGCTCCAAGTGTGTGTTTAGACTTTATACCAGTGTATAGACACTCTGGCAGAGAGCAGAAGGAAGCTGGAACTCTCTGGAAATTTATTATTGGCATAGATGCCTCATGAGCCATGCCCCATGAAGTTTGTCACATTGATGAGGAGGCTATTTTAAAAACTCACTCTAGAATATCCACATGCAGAAGAATGAAGCTGGAACCCTTCCTCATGTCATATGGAAAAATTAACTCAAAATGGATTATAAACCTAAATGTAAGGGCTAAAACTATAAAACTCCTAGAAGAAAATACAGGAGAAAAATTTCATGACCTTGGGTTATGCAAAGCTTTTTTTAGATATGACACCAGAAGCACAAGCAACAAAGAAAATATAAAATTTGACTTCTTCAAAATTAAAACTTTTGTGCTTCAGTGAAGGCCTTCAAGAAAGTGAAAAGACAACCCACAGAAGAGAAGAATATATTTGAAAATCATATATCTTATAAGAAATCTGTATCTAAAATACGTAAAGGACTATTATAACTCAATAATGATAAAACGAATAATCCAATTGGAAAATAGGCAAAGGATCTAAATTAGAAGTTTCTCCAAAGATGATAAACAAGTGGGCAAAAAGCACATAAAAAGACGTTCAACTTGATTTGCAGTACACGCAAATCAAAACTACAGCGATATACCATTTCACACCCACTAGAATGGCTATCATCAAAACAAGATAAAAACAAGTGTTGGCAAGGATGTAGAGAAATTGGAACCCTTATATGCTGGTGAAGGGAATGCAAATGGCGCAACCACTTTGGAAAACAGTCTGGCAGTTTCTCCAATAGTTAAACATAAAGCTACCATATGATCCAGCAATTATACTCCTAGATATATATCCAAGATAAATGAAAATGTATGCCCACAAAAAAACTTGTACATGAATGTTTATAGCAGTATTATTCATAATAGCCAAAAAGTTAGAGCAACTCAAATATCCACCAACTGGTGAATGGGTAAACAAAATGTAGAATTATATGGTTCCGTTTATATGGAATATCCAGAATGGGCAACTGTATACAGACAGAAAGTAGATAAGTAGTTGCCTAGAGGTAGAGTGGGAGAAATGGGGACTGACTGCTAGTGGATTTCTTTTTGAGGTGATGAAAATGTAAAATTGATTGTGGTGATGGTGACACAATTCTGTGAATACACTAAAAACCATTGAATGTACACTTTTAATGAGTGAATAGTATGGTATGTGAATTGTATCTCCACAAGGCATATATATATATATAGGCATATATATATTTTTTCTATATATACACACACCCACATACCTCACTATAGACCTTAGTTCTCAGCTACGGCTGCCCCTTAAAATCATCTGGGGCATTTCTCAAATCCCAATGCCTGGGCCATACCCTAGACCAGTTATATCAGAATCTCTGTGGGTAGAACCCAGACATTTTTTCTTTGTGCAGGTGATTACAACGTTTGGCCAACGGTGAAAACACTGAGTTCCTTTCAAGGGGTAAAATGCCACAGTATTCACTTCACTCTGTGGGTGTTTCTGCCTAGTGTTTCAATAGATGACATCTTTGAAGTGAGGTGTTGCCTCCAACTCTTGCCAGTTTTCACTGTGATGCTAATTGTCACCTGCAGGGCCACTCTATAGTAGAGACCAACACTTGTGAGAAGACACTGCACCTCCTTTCCTGGAAAGAAACTATGCACCACTGGGTGAGCGCTCTAAACTAGGGCCTCCGATTTCCTCTGTTTTCACAAGTAACCTGTGTGTTTAGGCTTCCATGGCTCTTTCTTTGAAATCTTTGTAAAGCAGTGTTCAAAAAGGTGTTTTGAAATAAAATGCACAGAACCAAAGCATTTATCTAATTACTTGAGGAGTTTCACTTTGGTTCTTTTCGTTTAAAATCCCAAAGTTTCACAACTATAAATTTAATGCTGGGAAAATGCAATGCATTGGATACAACGAAAGTGGAAGCTGTGTCTAGTGCTTTCCTGGCTATCAATACCAGATATAAAAATGTTGAATGACCAACTGCATTCTTTTAAAAAATTTACCAGTTCTTTTTTTGCTATTCTTAAGCACAATTGGAAATTCAAATACCAGTTTATGTGACTTAAGAAATGAAAACAGTATGCTCCCCAGTCTAAAAGTCAGGACCCAGGGAAACAATTAGAACTCAGCATAGATATTATCATTTAAATTCAGTTTAGTGACATAAAAAGACAAAATATTTTAAAACATTCAGATGTTGTTAATATAATAAAAAGTCAGCTCTGATGAATTTTTAAACAAGTGGAATAAAACATTATGAACTGAGGGCAAAAAGAGCATCTTGGAAGATTACAAACACTGGGTTTGCAAGAGAAAAATTTTGAAGATTAGTTTGAAATAGACACCCCAGAGGGGCCCATCAAAACAAATTATTGCCATTGATGTGATATGTAACTTGGCCATATAGTTGCTTAGAGATTTGCTCCAAGTTTCTGAAACCAGACTCATAACATAAAACTCCATCATCCATCAGCACATACCTAAAAAACGTTTTTTCCGTCTTTTGCTCTTTCATCCTTTAGCACACAATATTGTGTAAGCCAAGAAGCCATATGTTCCTTGCAGTCACAGAGTAATTTTTATTAGCATTAACATAGACAATCAAGCTGGCCCCTGCATGAATGCACATCTTAGCACCTTTAGCAAGTCTTTTTTTTTTTTTTTTCTGAGATAGAGTGTCACACTGTCGCCCAGGCTGGAGTGCAGTGGTGCTATCTGCCTCCTGGGTTCAAGCGATTCTCCTGCCTCAGCCTCCCAAGTAGTTGAGATTACAGGCACCTGCCACCACACCTGGCTAATTTTTTTGTATTTTTAGTAGAGACGGGGTTTCACTATGTTGGTCAGGCTGGTTTCAAACTCCTGACCTTGTGATCCACCCACCTCGGCCTTCTCAAAGAGGGAAGTGGAGCTCATCTGGTCAGAACAAACCAGCTGCTGAGGGAAACAGCCCACATAACACATAGAGAGAAATCCCTCTACTGGTGGCGTCAGACCGAAGAATTCTCTCTAGTTGTCAAGCTATTGTAATTGTAGCCTCTGCAAGAAAGTAAAAATATACAACAAAACAATAATTCAAAGCCAAAAGTATCTTCTATCTTATACTATAACTGCTTATGTATCAATGGACATAATGATGTTGAATAGACAGACTGAAAATACTTGGTAAATACCAGTAATTAACTCTCATTTTTTAAAAAAATGGATTGAGGTGGGGCAAAGAAGCATAGAAGAGGGAAAATGTGGGCAATCAGAAACCTAGGTCATTGAAAATGACCCCAAAAGATCTAATTAAACTAAAGAACTGCTGCACAGCAAAAGAAAGTACCATCAGAGTGAACAGGCAACCTACAGAATGGGAGAAAACTTTTGCAATCTACTCATCTGACAAAGGGCTAATATCCAGAATCTACAAAGAACTCAAACAAATTTACAAGAAAAAAACAACCCCATCAACAAGTGGGCGAAGGATATGAACAGACACTTTTCAAAGGAAGACACTTATGCAGCCAACAGACACATGAAAAAATGCTCATCATCACTGGCCATCAAAGAAATGCAAATCAAAACCACAATGAGATACCATCTCACACCAGTTAGAATGGCGATCATTAAAAAGTCAGGAAACAACAGGTGCTGGAGAGGATGTGGAGAAAAAGGAAGACTTTTACACTGTTGGTGGGACTGTAAACTAGTTCAACCATTGTGGAAGTCAGTGTGGCGATTCCTCAGGGATCTAGAACTAGAAATACCATTTGACCCAGCCATCCCATTACTGGGTATATACCCAAAGGATTATAAATCATGCTGCTGTAAAGACACATGCACACGTAAGTTTATTGCGGCACTATTCACAATAGCAAAGACTTGGAACCAACCCAAATGTCCAACAATGATAGACTGGATTAAGAAAATGTGGCACATATACACCATGGAATACTATGCAGCCATAAAAAATGATGAGTTCATGTCCTTTGTAGGGAGATGGATGAAGCTGGATACCATCATTCTCAGCAAACTATCGCAAGGACAAAAAACCAAACACCGTATGTTCTCACTCATAGGTGGGAATTGAACAATGAGAACACTTGGACACAGGAAGGGGAACATCACACACCGGGGCCTGTTGTGGGGTGGGGGGAGTGGGGAGGGATAGCATTAGGAGATATACCTCATGTAAATGATGAGTTAATGGGTGCAGCACACCAACATGGCACATGTATACATATATAACAAACCTGCACGTTGTGCACATGTACCCTAGAACATAAAGTATAATTAAAAAAAAAAAAAGAAAATGACCCCAAAAGTCCACATATATAATTGTGTCAAAATTATGCCTCCCTCAGTCTACCTGAAGGGCATAATGGTGACAAAAGTGACCAATTTGAGGTTATAATTCCTTTTTTCTTTTCAACCAACAGATGAACTGGGAAAAAATGTATTACCAAAAGGCAGCACTAGCTATATGATTTATCTGGCCCAGAGCAAAATGAAAATTCAGGGCCCTGTTTAGGAATAATGAGAATTGTAAGATGGTGACAGCACTGCATTAAACCAAGTACAGAGCCCCTCTGAGCTTGAGGCCCTGTGTGACTGTGCAGGTTGCAGTCCTTGAAGCTGGCCCTGTCAAAAGGTAACAAATAAGGAAGGCACGGGTCTGTGTAACCCTCATACGATCTTCTAGCTAGTTTAGCTTCTCTTGGAAAAATTTACATATTTACAGACTCTTCTGGCTGAAAAACAGCTTAAGAATGACCTATGTCACTTTCTCATTTATAGAAACAAACACCCAGAGAAATTAAATGACTTGTCTAAGGTCACGCATTGAATACAGAGCCAGAACCATATCCCAGGTGTGCTGACTCTACACTGACATTCTTTTCCTTATACCACATTCTTGGTCTCCAGTTGAATGTAAATAATCAGAAAATATTAACTACCAAAAAAGGAGGGGAAGAAGGTAGGGGAGGACGTTACCTCACCAGAACTTTTTTCTCTCAACTCTTCTGCTCAAAGAATAAAATGCAGTTATAAAAACTGTTTTCAAATTCCTTTTCTGAGTCAACACTTCCAAGTCCTGGGGTGAAGACACCAAATGACGGCTTCAAACACTGAAGCAAATTCTCTTTGCTGAGAGTTTGCTTGAGCCCTAGGAGTTAATGACCATAGGCCAAGGTGGTTATTAGTGGATAGGCAACACGTTAGTAAACTAATCAGTGTTCCTGTACAAATATTTAAAATAATTCCAAGATAATTTGAACTTCAATACTGAGCTAGCCAAACACATTTGTAATCTGAACCCAAGGTTCTAATGAGTTACTGCCTTTTGGATGTCCTTCAATGTGAGGGACATTTTTAGAAAGATTACCACTTTAGTGGAAACAAAGCCTGATATTTTAAATGTAAACATGAGACCTAGATTTTTTTTATGCAAAACAAAATGCATCTCCTTTCCCAACTCAGGTATGTGTACAAATTTAGTACATCAAAATATCTGTTGCAAGGACACAGTCATTGAATGATACCACACAAATTAAACATAAATGAAACAGCAAAAGCTTATGAAAAACACTCAAAAAGAGTTCAAGGTAGACTGGCAATAGCATGATGCAATGAAAAAAACACCTTGCAGGAAGGCAAAAGACAGGCGTCCAACTCCTTCAAACGAGGCACAGTGCTACTAGCTGTAGGGCCAGACAGATCTCCAGGTTGAATCGTAGGTCTATATATATTTCATTGTTGTAAGCCATGGCTAATTCACCAGCAAAATGGGGTTGATCCTAAAGCTAAATGGCTAGATCAGATGCTTACTAAATGTCTCTGTAAACTCTGAAATCCGTGATTCATATACCTTTAATTTTACCTTATTGAGTTGCCCCTCAGAACTTTCACTGGGGGACTAAAATTAGCTTTGCAAGTCCAACACTTTCCACAACTTCATGCTCTGTAAGTAGTAATAAGAAAAAACAAAATATTATCTGGCTTGGATAGATTTTTGGCATAATTACAGGTCTGGTGTTTGGAAAATGAGGGCCAGATGAAAATGGTGCAGAGACATGAATAACCCAAAGTGTCTGAGACTACAGTACTTACATCTCATTAACCACCAATTATCACATTCATAATTTAACACAAAGAGGAAAACACAAACGAGCTTTTAAAAAAAAAGTCCATCCCTTTTATATAGACTTCAGTTTACACCTGGCCTCTAAAGGCACGATTAATGCACTAGGTTGAGAAAGGGAGTAGTTAGATTAAGCAATAAAAACACTTTTGATAACATGTGAGGCTATAAAAATGGCTGGGCTAAAGCTATTAGCCAAAGATAAATAATACCCTGCAGGAGGAAAAGAAACAGCTTTTTCTGGATCATAAGGTCTGGCATGTTTTTAAAGACCTTGCTTTCACTGAAAATGTAATATATCCATTTAAAGAGACTTTTTTTGCATTCAAAAGATTATCTCATGTTCAAGAGCTTTGTCAAAACATGGGAGGAAAAATACTCCCTAGTTATTTATTTTATTTCGTTATTGATTTTACTATTATCACTAGGTCTTTTATTATTATTGCTTTCTAAGGATTACCACTACTACTAGCAATGCTGTTACTGCTACTGCTTCCACGTCTATCAATAACTCTGCCTAGCCTCCTAATGAGGATATAGTTTTAAGTTTAGTGTTCTTACTGCATTTCTAAATTGCAGTGAATAACATTTTATGACTCAACCCCCTTGTGTCCCAGGCTGGCTCTCCACAGTGAGTCTGATTTGCGCTACTTCAGTGTGGTCCCTGGACCAGCAGTTTCCCTAACACTTGGGAGTTTATTTTAGATGCAGATTTCTGGCTCCTTGTCAGACCTACAGAATAAGACGCTCTAGGGTAGGGGGATAAATATGTGTTTAAAAAAGCTCACCCAAAGATTCTGATGCACAAATTTGAGAAGCTCTGCTCAATAGAGGAAGTGGCCCAGGTGTTAGAGAAGAAAGAGGGCTGGGAGAGAACTGAGGATGAACACCTGAGCTACCACCTGCAGGCTTTACCTTGTCTGCTACAGGGCAGGCTGCCAAAGCCAAGGAAAAGAAAGCAAAGTCTGAGGCAGATTAAGCCAAGGAGAAGAAAGTAAAGTCTGGGACAGGTTTTTAGAAAACAGAGCTCTGCCCCCAACCCCACCATCAGGATGTTACAGAGGCTCCTGCCCTCAGCTTTGGCCGACACAAGGAGAGGCACCAGTAGAACTTTTCCCCAGCCACTGTTTGATTCTTTTGCCTGCAGAATATTGAAAATTACAAGACTCCTTATGGTTCATCAATGTAGGCATATCAGATCAAATTAGTTTCTAAATTAGTATTTCTTAATATGTGAGGTTTATGCATTTCAGGGTGTCATTGATCCCCAATCTGACCAAATCAACACCTTGAGGGGTTGCCACAAGCTCTCTAATGCATCTGTGCACTGTCAAATTTGGGAACTGCTGTTCTACTTTTTTGGTCTGATTTGACACTTAATTTGGGATGAGGTTTCAAAATATTCACCAACCCTTCTTTCTTCCTTTTTTTTTTTTTTTTGGTAACAACATATTTCCTCAATAACAAAAGTAGAAAATAAAAAACACAAAGAAGAAAATTAAAATTTCCTATCACTCATTTTGATAAAATATAAAATGTATCAATTAAACACAATTAGGATATACAATGACTACATTATCATCAACTAAAAGATACTACCATTTATTTAACTAATTACCTATCATTAAACATCTAGAAGCTGTTATCCAGGTTCTCAGTTTTATAAATAATGATGGCCAAATGACCATTATGGTCAACTCTTATAATTTTTGACCCAGAAATGTCAACTCCGCCTTTTTATGAAGTATTTGATACGCACTGCCAAATTATCTCCAGAAAGACAGTACCAGGTTAGAACCACACCATGCTGTAAATTGATAAAGCCATGTTGGAGACAACTTGACAATATAGATAGAACAATTGATCACCTAGAGTGACCTTATTTAAAGAAATATTTAAAATAGTAAAAATTTGGAAACAATCTAAATATTCGTTAATCCAGGAATTCATATATTTGTCACACAGCAATAAATTCATACATTTGTCACACAGCAAGAAAAATATATGAGCTAGATCTATACATAACAACATAGATCTCTGAAAAACAGAATGTCATAACATTGAGTGAAAAAATCTTGGTAAAAGCATACATACAGAATGGAATCATTTATGTAAAATTTTTTCAAAACAAAATAAAAATATACTGTTGTGGATCTTTACATACATAGGGGAAGTACAAAATCATGTACAGAAAGAATACTCTTACTTCAACATAACGGTTAATCTCTGCAAAAGGAGACTAGGGAAGAGATGTAGGAGTTTTAGCTGGATCCATAATATTAATTTTATTAACAAACAATTTTGGAGCAAATAAGATAAAACGTTAACATTTCTCAAATCTAGGACACAGTTCTCAATGTATCCGAGAAATTCTGGGGGACTCCAAGCCTCTTGTAGGATATCTGTGAGGCCAAAATTATTTTCATAATACTACTAAGGCATTACTTTTTCACTGTGTTGACATTTGCACTGTTGGTAAAAGCAGTAAGGAGTAAATCTGTGGCACGAATCAAGGTAGCGGCAGCACCTGAACACGTAGTCATTATATGTCTCGCACCATACAATTGCAGAAAAACAAAATAAGCCAGTTCCACTTAAAAATGTCCTTGATTAAACAGTAAAAATTATTTTAATTAAATCTCAACCATTAAGCACAAAATTTTCCAAGTGACGAAAGGGCAAGTATACATATGGCACTGCTGTTGCAGATAGAAGTTTGAGGGTTGTCTTGAGGAAAAGCACTTGTGTGACTGATTAACTGTAAGCTGAACTACCTGCTTTCTTCATATAACATAATTTAGTTTTTCTTGAAAGAGTCACTGAGAAACAAACTTTGATTTTCAGACTTGGGTGTTTCACTTTTTCTCAAAAGTGAATAAAGAGTCTGTCACTTCAACAAAAACAACTGAAAGTATTTGTCGCCAATGATAAAATTCAAGCTTTCAAATGAAAATTAGAATTTTGGAAAATTCATATATACCATCGTGGGCTTGATAGATTCCCATAGTTAAAGACTTTACTCAGATCTGTGGAGATGTAATAAATAGAATCCTGAATATTGTACTATATAATGAAATGTGTCTACATCTGGAAGATCTGCATAACTCAGTGAACCAATATTTTTAAATCAATGCATGGTATTACAAAATCATGCATGAGTAAAAGATCCATTGAAAGTGCAAGATAAACAAATGGATTTTAATGTAACAGGGTACAAAAAGTTCAGTGATAGGGTTTCAAACTCCATATTGCAACTGTCCTTGAAGAATCTACAACTTGTTGAGTTTTGGTGTAGTATCAAAGCAGAATTTTCACACTTATCATAAAAGGCTAATAAAATACTCTTCCTTTTTACAATGCCATAACTGTTTGCGGATTAATTTTCTTCACATACTTCAACAAAAAAGCATACCACAATAGAATGAAAGCAAAATGAGAATAGATATGAGAATTCAGTTGACTTCTATTAGGCCAGACATGCAAAATTGTAAACAATGCTGCTCTTCTCAATCATTTTTTGTTTTTGTTATTTTTCCTTTGCAAAAATTTAACTATTGTCATGAAAAATGTTATTTATGGCAACATATAAAGAATTTATTATTACTACTTTAAATGAATTAACAAATATTTTAAATGTTTCTCTTGTAATTTCTAATGTGGTAAAGAAACATTAGAAACATTAATAAACACAATTTCTTTGGAGTTCTCAACAATTTTTAAGAATAAGATCAAATAATTTGAGGACTGCCAATCCAGGGCTAGACAGATCTCCTTATATTATTTTCTAATTAATTAATTTCTTATTTATGTATATAACTAAAATAAAAGTAAAAAAGCCTACCAGCAGCATATGAGGCTATGCATTAGTCTATAACCTTACCAAACCTAAGAATGATCATTAAAGAAAAAACAAGCAGACCTTGTGAATCCAAGAGTAACCAAATGTTTTATCATGATTTTAATTTGCCTCTTTCACTGTGTGAGTTTGAACAATTTTATATGTTTACTGGTGACTTTAGTTTCTGTTTTCGTGGGTTGTTTTCTTTTATTTATTCACTTGTTCATTCAGCATATATTTGTTGAGCATCCTGTTTCTCAACAAGCCTCATGTTGAGCATGCTTGCTTTTAAGTGTATCTGGAATATAGGCAGCAAACATGTCACAGGTCTATTGCAGGCGTTGGCACGCTATATTCTGTGGGCCAAATTTGGACCACTTCCTATTTTCACAAATAAAGTTTTACTGTAACACAGTCATGACTGTTTGTTTACAGACTGTCTATGGCCGCTTTTGAATTACAAGGACAGAGTTTAGTAGTAGCAAAATAGACTGTGGCACCTGCAAAATCAAAAGTATTAACTATTTGCCCTTTACAGAAAAAGTTTGTGGGCCTTTGGTCTATTGGATTCATAGGAATCCAGTGTCTTTACTACATATTTGTAATACTACTTTATATATTTAAAAATTATGTCTTGTAGATGTTTTCCCATTGCATTTGTAGCCATTTAATTTTGTTTACAGTTTTTTTCATTGTATACAGCTTTGTATATTATGTAGCAACTTGATCAAGTCTTTTCTTTTGATATAATTATTCTTAACCTTTTTGGAACATTGATTACTTTAATAATTCATTGACTATTTTGCTTTTTTTTCTTCCACATGAATTTTTAAAGTATTTTGTCACATTACTGAACGAATCGCCCAGTAATTTTTATTTCAGTTGCATTAAATTGTTGGATTACTTTGGGGAGATTTATATTTCTAAAATATTGATTCTTTCTGTCAATTAGTATAGAATATTTTCTTATTAAATGTCATCTTCCAAATTATTTTATATATATTTTAAAGTGGTCTTATAAATTTCTTTTTATATTTAGTCCTAGTTATTTTCTATTTTAGAGTTGCTAATGTGATATGTGTTTTTTGTTTATTTTCTAATTGATTATGACTAACAAGTACACTTTGATTTTTAAGTAGATACTATATTAAATGCTTGACAGTTTTAATAGCTTTTTTCAGTTGATTCTTTTAAATTTTCAGTACAGACAAATGGAGATTTGTTTCACTTCCCTAATCACATGACCTTTTTTCCTTGTCATTATATTTGCTAGACTTTTGAGAAAAATTATCATTAATTTATATTCCTTCTTATTTCTCATTTTGAAATATATAGAGAATTTTATAATTAAGTGGATATTTAATCTTTTAAAAAAGAATCTTTTAAAACTAATTAACCTTCTATGTTTGTTACATTAAGAGTTTTTATCAGCAATTATATTAAATCAAGTACTTTGGTCACCTATAAAAATGATAGAAATTTTCTCATTTAACCTATTGATAGCATCTATTGTAACAGCAGATTTCTCTAGTAGTAAAAATTTCTTGCATTTTTAAGAATCCGCTCTTGTGGTCATGGTTTGTTATTGTTTATAATGTCTGCAAGACTAAATTTGCCAGAATTTTACTTGGAATTTTTTTAACTTGTGAGTTTGATTTATAAGGGTTTGGTATCATCTTTGTTAGGTTTGCTTGTACTCTTAAAAAAAAAAAGAAATTGAGATAGTCACATGTTTTTCTATCCCTAGAATAGTTTAGAGCTGTTAAGATGATATACTTAGGCAAATTATAAATAACAAAGTGAGATACATAAAATAAGATTAAAAATGAGATTTGGTATAAATGTACTCCACTAAATAATAGAGAGAGACATCACAATCATGCAGTTGAAAACAGCAACAAAACAATTGGAATCAGATTTAGATTTTAATTTCTTGGTAAGTGGGGCAACAGTGAAGTGCCATCCAACCATCTACATAACAGGTGAATATGTAAAAGAATAAGGTTCTCCTGCAATTGAGCTAATTAAGTTAACACTTCTAGGTCTATGGGAATAGCCACTGGACCAAGACCAATTATGGAGCTTAATCCATGATATTAGCACATCCAAAGAAAGAAAAGGTCAACTTCTGGGGCATGGCCACTTTAGATAAACTGAACTGAGAAAACAAACTTTGGCAGTGGGTATTGGGCACTGTCCACAAGAAGAAAACACAGAGCTCAAGAGCTAGAAGCATCCAGTTATGAAAAACGTGTCCTCTAGCGATGGCATAGGCATTTCTCCAGGCCCCACCATGCCCTGGAGAAATGTCCCTCAGGAATACGACCCTTTGCTGATTCCATGTACATGTCAACTTTCTGTTTATGAATTCCGCAATTGCTGCTGATCCTGGGAAAGGTTGTGGGAGGTGCCTAGATCCACAGATTGCAAACATTTTTTTTTCCGGTAAGAAATATCACCCATATATTTTCATGCGCGATTCATTCCCAAACATATTTTCAGGGGATGTGTATATAATACCAGACCTACCAGCTGACACTGCACTTCTTTATGATTTGCAATTCTAGTGAGTTAGTGTGACATTTTTAAAAGGATAATTTCAAATCCATTTTAATTTGTAAAAGAATGAAATAATTAGCTGATTTCAGTACTTTGAACATTAGAAACAAATTGCATACAAGAGACCTTGCTGCTCATGGCAACCTATTCATATGAATCTAGACCCTCTTACTGGGTCATTGAGAACTGTTGCGTTGGATAATCTCAAAGGCATTTTCATTCTATGAACTGATGTGCCATTTTGTCTCTTTGTAACTTCCTAGCATGGTATAGGAGGATTTCTTAGAGGAGTTATCATTTGGCCACCATTTACTTTTCTCTTTACTCTTGTCTATTAGCCAAGGTACCAAAGGATACAGAAATAATTGTAATTCTCATCTTTGGTGAAATTTGCTAGTGACGATCAACTGCTCTATCTTGAGCACTCATGAGGGAATTCATGGATAAAATATATCGAAAATATTTGACTCATAAACAAGTTATTCGTATGAATGAGGTCCATCTTTAAAGTTATGCCTTTTCATATGATTAAAAAGTATGCCATCTTTTAAAAAGTACAGCTAGAAATAAATATTAAAAGGAGAAAATGAATACAATAAACATTCTGTCAGATTGAACAACTGAATTTGCTAATACTATTTTTTGATGAATGATAGACATATTTTGATCTATAGGGCAGAAACCATCAAATACCAGCAGTTTTATCTAACATGTCTCAACCATTAAAGGTTTGTCAGCTTATTTTCTCTTAGAAGTGAATAGAAATATATCCATCAATTTACCAATGACAAGAAAATCAGACTGAAACAAATTGGTCTTATTTTTCACTCAATTATTCAGACATAACGCTCTGAGAAGGGAGTAACATTTGTTTCATGATTTGCTGTCATTTGGCTTCTCTTCCTGCATCAGAATGAATGAAACAATATTGTACCATTCTGCTGTTGTGATCACACCAAATTTCGACATATGTTTAGTATTTGGCTCTAAGTGCCACTATGTCACCAGGTTCACACTTGGATCCATACTTGAGTACAAGTGTGAGCACGTGCATGAGCATGTGTGTGAGCTGGTATGCAATCATATTTGGACATTTGTTTCCTGCTAACAGAAACCCAAGCATATGTTTGAGACCAAAGCTTTCCTTTTTGACAGATTTTCTGTGATTAGATGCATTAAGAAATACAATCAGCATTAAAAATTAAAGGAGGTGTGTATTTGTAAACATCAACTGTGATTATGGCAAAGACCTTTACATCAACTAAAATGTGTCTGCTGGAGTCACAATCCAACCAACAAGACACATTTTCATTTACTTTATAACACAGTTCAAATCATTACAGAAGAAAAAAAATCCTTTCCATAAAAAAATAAAAATGGTGAAATAACACAGGGCTTATTTGAACATTAAACTATACTCTATAAAAATGTCAGCCTAACTGGATTACTTCCATCAATGCTGCAAAAATGGAATCAGCAAATGAGATTTTGATGGTGGCAGTTGAAAAAAATTTTTTTGGTATTTCATTCTTATGGTTTATGAGGTTACTAAAACCCTCAATGTAATTACAGTTTGACACTTTCTATCATTTTTTATTTATAGTCTTCTAAAGGAAGTGGTGGAAATTCCATTCTTCAAAACATCAGTGAACATGTTTTAGGTACCCGAAATGTCATAGGGAGTGAAATACGATGACTCAAAACATGAACCAATCCCTGACTACAGATTTAAACGCATGAAAACTAAAGATAAAGGCCCCACTGTAAGTTAAATTTGCACAGACAGGCTCCACTCTATAGGAGTCTTGGTTTGGTTGATATGAAAGATATTTGGGTATCATTTTTATTTGTTTTAAATCAAGTATGATGAACAAATAAAATTATGTTATTATTGGAAATAAAAAATAATGCAAACCCTTTGTGATAATGACTTCTGGGAGGCAATATAGCATAGCAGTTAAGAATATGGGCTCTGGATTCATACAGAACTAAGTCACATTCTGGCTCTGTCATGTGTTAGTATCAGCTGTATTATCCTGGGCCTCTGACTAACTTCTACCCCTCAGTTTCCTTAGCTGTACAAGGAGAATTACAGTAGCTAGTGTATGCCATATGGCCACTGTAAAATTAAATGAATTAAATGAACTAATCCATGAAAGTGCTTAGCACAGTGCCTGACACACAGAAACACTTGAAAAATATTAGGATTTTTAAAAAGAGGAGAACATCATGCATTTTGAAACAAGAGATTCTGAACACAATACTAACAAACAAGCAGTTGGGAAAATGTGGTACCCATGCAGCTACAACTGTAGAAAATAATGTAAAAAATACCCCTGAAAGCCAGGATTCCATATGTTCCTGAACTCACTGGGTAAGAAACAGTCCATGGAAATATCTGTAGACATTCCTGCATTCAAGGCTCAATCTGTCTGGTTTACCTATTGCTATTCATTCAGATTATTTCAATGTGTTAAGCAGACCTTTGATGAGGTGAGGTAAATGCCAATTTCTAAAAGCTATTTTCTCCATAGGCTATGAAAGTTGATTGCATTTTGATGAATACATTTTGAATAGAAGAGCCTGAAACTGAATATCTATTCATTACCAGAATATACTACCAACACTGCTGGTAAAATTCCTATGCCTTTCTTGATAAGCCAGAAGAAAAATTTAGAAAGCAGTGAGAAAGGAAAATCATTAGAAAAATAATATTAACCTCCAGAAGCTCCCTACTGGGAAAATGTGGCTTGGGATTGGATGAGTATGATCAAAATTCAAAGACCAGGGGTAAATAGAAAGAAGCAAATGTGTCTTCATTCTGAAATTGAGACTATAAACCAAATTGGCCTAGTTTCATGGGTCTCCATTGAATTCCATGCAGTAGGTCAGCAGCAAAAATGCAAATATTCCAAAAGCAGAATTGAGTACAATCTTTGGAATAAAAAATAGATGCAGAGAGCCGTATTTCCAAGGTGGCTACATTTTGTATAACACATACATTAATATTAGGAAAATTTGTCCCAGGGATCCCTGTAAATACCCCTTTGACAATAAAAAACAAATTTTAAATGCAAGTAAAATTCAGTCTCCATTTCAACACTTATACAAGTCTTCCCATTTCAATGAAGAAAATTACCTGATGAGCCATTATATTTACATAATGGCAGGCAAATTTATGCTCATTTGACCCATTCCTTTAAGTGAACTATTAGGAAATAATTTCATGAGTGGACAAAATGTACTTACTTCAAATGCATGGTTAATACTGCAAATTCAAAAGCAAAGTAAAAGTTATTTAAATACCTTCTAAAACTGCAGCTATCCTATTTGTTAATTCACAACAAAATTTTTAACAAAAAAGTCTTTGCCTGAATGATCTATGTTGGCTATAAAGGGAGCTCTGATTTAGAGAGTACTCTTCATTATGTGTTTCTGCAGTGAATTGGTGTAGGAATATAATGCGGATGGTTCATCATCATCAAAGAGATATGACCTTTACTTGTCCAGGCTAAATGGTCCTGGGAGTGCTGAGTCGGCAACATTCTCTGTTCTCCTCTTTCTTTTGACCATTGGCTGAGTGTGGTGGCTGGGGTTAGCAGTGCAGTCTGCTGCTGTGAAGCTGGCTTTTTCTTCTGTGAAGCTAATTGAAACTGCAACATTGGCCTCATTATCATCTTGTAAAACCCCTCTGAGCTAACTGGCTCAGACAGCCATGGTTATATGCTAAAGTCAAAGGCAAGATGATTCATAGAATGACGGTCTTAAAATTTGGGCCATTTTCTCAATATCAAAAAATATTAGATTAAAATTCAGGGCATAATTCATTTGCATGTACCAATATGGTTATCAAATCGACAACTTTTCAAATTTACCATCAACATAGGTTAAGTAGGGACAGGTGAGCCAAAAGAGATCTCTGAGATGTTTTACTTTGAGCAATCATAATGTCACTGTTCTTACTATGGTCATATTTAAATCACATGGCAAAGCAGAATGCCCTGGGGTTAATTTTTGTGAGCCCAATGATAGTGGACCATTGTGCAATTAATTGGAAGGCTCGAGATCTACCCTGATTGTATTACTAATATTATAAATAATAATAATAAATGAATAAAAGTTAAATTTATTACGCTACATGCTGCCTGACTACTTTTATCTGAATCAATAACTCTCAGTGGGGACAGTTTTGTCCCACAAGAGACATTTGGCAATACCTGGGAACATTTTTTGGTTGTCACACTAGGGGTGGGGATGGGGATGGAGAAAGAGGATGGTGCTACTGGAAACTAGTGGGGGATGTTACTAAGCATCCTACAATGTGTAGGATACAACAGAGAATTATTTAACCCCATATATCAACAGTGCCAAGGTTGAGAAACCCTGATCTAAATAACCAAATCAGAATGCAGGGATCTGATCAGCTGAGTAGCATCGGGTCATTACTGTGGCTGAGGGAGAAAGAAATCAGCACCCTGAAAGAGTTTGTGTCAAATCAAGTTTTCAGGACGTTTCTAAATACAGTATATTATTTAGCAATGAATTTGGAGATAGGATAGGTGCAGGAGAGGGAAAGATATAAACATGACATGTACAGAGTACTCCATTATGAGTTATTAAAAAATATTAGTGCTAATTTATAGCAATAAAGGCTGATATTAATTATTGGCAAGATAATCCATATGCTAGCTAATTTGCTTTTATAACATGGATGACAGCATTTTATTTAAACAAAAGTCTTATCTGATTTAGAGACAAATGAGAACTTCATGACCTGATTTGCTTATATATTAAAACATAGCTTAAAATTTCAATAATTTTAGTCTCTCATATTGGCCAAAAATAGATAGATGTGATAAAATACATGTCTTCCAAATAAACCCCAGTTTATATGAGAAGCTTTAAAAAATTACAAAGAAGTCATCACAAATCAACAGTAAAGAGATGGATTACTCAATAATAATGATTTTGAGATAACTGTTTAGGAGCTTGGGAAAAGTTTGGAAAAAGTTATCTCACTTCTCTTCATGTATCAAAATAAAAGTACAGATGGATTAAAGAGTTACCAAACAAAGCTAGGAGAAAATTAAATGCACTGGCTCTCCAAATATAGGAAGATTTTCTCATATTCTCCTACTGTGTCAAGTGGGAGAAATACAAAGGAAAACCTCAGTAAAGCATCCCAACATAAATGAAAAGGGATATTTACATTTGTCCAAACTCCAAATTATCAAATTATCACAAATTATCAAATTCAAGAGCAAACCACCAACTCAGAAAAACATTTACGGCACAAATTTAAAAGTCACTATTTTTACAATTTAAAGTTCATACAAGATTATTAAGATATTTTTAAAAAGCATTAGCCAATAGATAATTGGTCAGAGGACACAGAAAATTTTAAAAATGAATAATATTCCATTTAAAATATGTGAGAAAAAAATCTAATTGTATTAATGCTCTAGGAAATACAAATTTAAATAATATACCATTTTCCACTTATCAATTTACCAAAAAAAACTTTAAATACAAAGGAGCAGTTAAAGAGGCTTTCTTACATTATAGGTGGATTGTAAGTTGGTACAACCCTCTGGCCCACTGAACTCACTTCTAAAAATTAAGGAGGAAACAATCTCAAAATATGGAAGAACAGCTTTATACACAAAAATGTTTACTGCAATATTATTTTAAATAGTCAATTTCTTATGTTCAACAATAGTTGAAGTGATCATTGTGATGCATCCAGCAAATGTTAAGGACCATTTGAAAAGATATTTGCAAAGAATTTTAATAAAATGAAAACATTCTTGTGTTACAATATGAGGTTAAAAAGTTGCTCAGGATAGGTGTAGTGGGCTGAAGGGTGGTCTCCCCAAAAATATGTCCACATTCTAATCCTCTTCAAAGAATTCTATATGGTAAATTCTTTGGGGATTAAAAAAAGGGAGAATATGTTTATATTTAAGTATTGGCAGCAGCATTTGCCACATATATTTAGAAAAATAAAGAAATCCAAATGCCACTCAATAACAGTCTTAATATTCACAATTGAAATTAAAAACATTGACCTATTAACTTTTTTTTTCTTTTTCATCTCTGATTTTTTTTATGATACTTTAAGTTCTAGGGTACGTGTACACAACGTGCAGGTTTGTTACATATGTATACATGTGCCATGTTGGTGTGCTGCACCCATTAACTCATCATTTACATTAGGTATACCTCCTAATGCTATCCCTCCCCCATCCCCGACCCCACGACAGGCCCCAGTGTGTGATGTTCCCCACCCTGTGTCCAAGTGTTCTCGTTGTTCAATTCCCACCTATGAGTGAGAACATACCCCATGGAATAGTATGCAGCCATAAAAAAGGATGAGTTCATATCCTTTGTATGAAGGATGGATGAAGCTGGAAACCATCATTCTGAGCAAACTATCGCAAGGACAGAAAACCAATTACCTATTAATTCTACAAAACAGGAAAGATAAAGATCACACAAGTTTGTTACTGTTAATTGAGCGTGACTCCATATTTTAAAAATTGGACCTCCATAGTATATTTGCATTTTCAGTTATGTTTCAAATAGATATATAGAGAGTAGCAATTCACTTGTATAAGCAAATGGAAACAGTGCATTCCATCAACTTCACCCTAATAGCAATGGCACTGGTGCAAAGAGGGAATTCAGGAAAGACATTGCATAACTGAAACATAATATGCAGCCATGAAAACACATCTTTTTAAAGAGAAAAGTCTGTTTGCAAGAACAAAAATCTGACTGTGAATTCTTTATATTAATTCAGAAGATGGTAAATAATCACTCCCAGTGTTAAGCATGTCAAATTTACTTGACAAAGTCAATTCGGCAGAAGCCCAAAGTTAATGGTAAGAACGTATTTATTGGTTCTCCTTCCTGAGTCCTTCCAGGCATGTTAAATAAACAGAACATATCTATGTGTTAAAAGCTCTACAATACAATCAAGGGAAAATATGCTTAAACACTTGTGTGATAATTCAGGCCAAAAAAAAAGTTAAGTAAAATATTTTCCTTAGCCATCCGGACATAGCCAAATTACAAGATATTTTTAAAAATATACAAACAAAAATATTGCCGCTTCAGGATATGCTTCAATGTTCCCAGAGAATTCAGTTTTGAATTTTGTCTTTTAGAATACCGAAATCTGCAACAGCCACGTAATTCCTATACTAAATGATCACTTAAAGGGGTAAAATATAAAACATCTCTTCAGCTGTATTCTGGAGAGAGATGCATTATATTAGGAGGAAAATAAAGAAAAACAAATATTTGCATGAATACTGTATTATTAGTAACCTTAACAAATGGTACCCATTCTGGTAGAAAAAGTGATTTCCTAGAAAATCTGTCTATTTTCTAATAAATAAAATGTCTAAAATGAAACGGCATTAGCTGAAACTCATCTCTAAAAGGCTCAAGTTAATGTGTTCAAAAACACAGTATTTTCCATGGCATTTTTGGTGGGCAAGTTTCCACCGGTCTTTCAAGTTTCTGCACATCTTGTGAATAGAGGTTCTGACTGCCTTTGTTCCAGAGTAGCTTTCCAAAAATGTATACTGAAGAAACTTGAAGGGTAGAGACAGTCTCTTGCTGCATCAAAGGCAAGGCATACTTAAACATCCCATTATAAAAGATTCAGGTTTGGTAAGCTCAGGGTCCCTTCCAGTAATGCAACTTGCTGCATGTACAGGTGTTCCCTGGATCTCTGTGCATTACCTTGTGGGAATTGGGACTCAGGGAACAGGCATAGGAAAATGCTGATACTCCAGCTACTGCTATTGCTGTGACTAACAAACTCTCCTTCATATCTGATCCAAGAATATCATTCTTTCTGCCATCATTTATGAAATGAGATAAGCTAATTTGTTAGCTTGCAAACAGGGTAAAAATCTTATCAGGCAAGAGTCCATAAGGAATCTATCCCCTTTTGATTTTGCAGGATTGACTCTACAATAAATTTAGTGCTCTCTAATCAAGTTAACTGTTTCTGCCTAGTTTTGGATAAATACTTGTTTTTATTTCAAAGGAAAAGGCATGGTTGTCAACACCACAGAAGCTACTTTTGTTAAGGACTGTTACTGAACAATTTTTTAATGAATTCAACGGCACATGTAGTTGAGAAAAAAAATATTTCAAGAAATCCAAACTATAAGGTATTAAAGGACTGCCATTCTCAAAGAACCATAAAAATAATTATTTATTTCAAATTAAGGGATTCCAGCAGTCTGGAACAATGGTAGTAGAATTATAGAGTTCAAACATTATTCAAGTATCTTGTGCCTTTTTGCTATGGAAATACTGAATGGCTAGTATCCTAACTTAGTGAACTTACTGAGTTGATACAGATCCAGACAGACTCAGTTGATACTTAATAAGTGAACTCTATTGGATTTTGTATGACGGACCCAGTTAATGCTTAATGACTTTAGTTTCTGAACCACTAATCTAGACTCATGATCCAACAAGTATGAATATGTATTCATGGTGCTCATGGAATGGAAATTTGAAATCCAAACTATTTCAGAAGAGTTGTTACATAATATAATTATGTTGTATATTCAAGAGTGCAATTGTGAAATTTCACGTCAATGACCTTGAGGCAAATAAAAAGTATGTTAATAATACTGCCTTATATAAACGTACTTTTAATTTTTTTTCCCCTAAGTGCTTTCATATGGAGTCAAGGACCTGTAAGGAGTAGATACAACAAAAGACACAGGGATACAAGTTTAGAAGAAGAGATACTTGAATCCAGAGTAGCCAGTATCCGCTATCAGGAAGGCACACAGAATAGAATACAGTAGCCAGTAGAAGCGTTCTCCAGGGCAATATGTGTAAATGGCTCGCTGATGGGATGAAGATATCTTCAAGGGCTCCAAGTGACTCCTAAACTTCACTGGGAGCTGCTTTTCAGGAACTGTACTTGTAGGATGAAGTACTAATGAACAGTAAAGGGGATTAAAAAGGAGGAACAAGGGCAAGAATCTGTTTGCTTTCCTTGGAGTCTGTCCAATGCATAAAGCGCTCTATTTATAAAAGACTAATCCAGTTGTTTAATAGGTGCTGCTTTTGGTTTCATATAGGATTCTCCCTTCAGAACAGTCTATTCCTCTGCTCCAATTCTGTATTAATCGAGCAACCTATTAACCTCGTTCTATCCCTGAATGAACCTTTCAGGCTAGAAGGGATAAAATGCAGTTTCTGAAATTCTGATACTTAGAGCACTTGGATCAGAGTCACTTTGGGCTGCTAAAAATGCAGATTTCTAGGCCCTGCTCCAGACTCACAGAATCAATCTCCTAAGGTGAGCCCAGGAATCTGCACTGTAAAAAGCTCCCCAGTTGGATAATGGGCTGAATTTTGAGACTCAATAGACTAGATAGAGTTTATTTCTAACTGCTTTGCTTTAGACGTTAATGTTTGTGAACATGGACTCAATTTGTCCAATAATTCTCTTTATATAAGAAAGCAGATATTTCTTTTGTGTCAGAAAGAAAAGTAGCTTTTACAGGCTCAAAAGGCAGCTTTTAAATATATATTTCATTTATGCATATTTATCCTCCATTGACTCATGAAATTTTAAACCAACACACACACACACACACACACACACACACACACACACACACACGCGCAACGCGTTATGACTGCTTTATCTGACTGGATGCCCCCCTATTAGTAAAGCACATTTTCTACAGCTGTTTAAGAGTGAATTCATTAAATACATATAATTGTGTATTTATGCAAGTAGGCTTGAGAGAACACGCTAATAATGTAAAATAAATAAGAAAGGCCAGGCTGTCAGTGCCACAATACACTGTTCCTGTCTGGGCTTCTAATTCCAGAACTCCCACAAACAGTACTTAAGTCTTTGACTTCTTAATTTTAAAATATCATTGAAGATAAGAAACTTAGGAAACAGTTTCCAACTACTGTGTTTGCAAGATATGTCACTAGGGATTTAGTTATTTCTTTATCAAGGACCTTTTAGGACGATTGATGTATGATGACCTTGGAATGTGCCTTCTCTAATGATATCTCATCATCACTGATATAATGTTAGCGTATTAGTAAGTCTAGGGTTAATAAGGCATTCCTCAGGTATAAGCAACTGAGCCTTGGTGAACTTCGCACACGCTCTCATAAGAAAATGATTCCACATTGGAATAACTATATTGATTAGCTATACTTCAAAAGAGAAAGTCATTCTAGCTTTGACTTCTCTCCCACAAATGTCATTGAGAGCTTGTCGCATGCCAGCACTTTATATTTGTTTTCCTTCTTAATTCTCATCACCACTTGTGCCACTGGTTGAGTAAGTTCTATCCTTATCCAGATTCACAAATGAGGAAACGGGGATTTAGAGGAATTAAGTAATTCAGTCATTACCTGTAATCAGTCAGAGGACTAGTCAAGTGGCAGAGTCACATTCAAACCCAGGTTGCCAGGCCAAAAGCCTATGTGCTTTCAACAATACTGTCCTTCTCTCATGTGACTATTTGTTTGAGTTGGAGTACCTCTTCTAAGGCCTTCTAAATACTTCTCATAATCTTTTTTCCTTCCCTCCTCCTCCCATATCAACTTAGTGTTGTTTAATTATCTCCCAGAAGATGACCCTTGCTTAAAGTCGATTCTACCTTTCAACCTTTCAGCTCTTGTTATAGCAGTCTGCAACCCTGTTCCCCTTTCATGGTTTGCACATTCATGTGCACATTCACATGTCAAGGGTATAGGGATTAAAAAAAAAAAAACCTGTATTTCTGTAACCTTGCCTAGTGTTACTTGGTTGAATAAGCTATGACCATAAGACTTTTAAAAGACTTTTTTTTTTTGTCCTTAAGCTTGGTTTATCTAGGTCCCAAGTTTTGTTTATGTAGACCTCCACCCCCACTTAACACTGAAGAATTTATTTAATCAAACTATTTGTATTTTACAAACCCCTACTGAATTCCAACACCATTTGAAAACTGGTGCTCATTCCTAGTTTAGATTATGATATGGTAAATGAAAATATTGCCGATTTAAAAAATATAATTTTTCTTACCCAGTCTTATAAAGCAATGGTTCTCCCACTTCACATGCACACCTTCATCCCCAATCACTAAGGACATTTGTGAAAATGCAGATTCCTAGGCCTTACCCTCCAAAGATGTTGTAAATAAGTAGGGTGAGGCCCAGGAATCTGTAGTTTAACAGAGCTTATTATGTAATTCTAATACAAATATTCTGTGATCCACATGCTAAGAAATCAACAGAAATATAAATGTTTTTCATGTACATAGGGCAATGCCCTCAATTAGCTGGAAACTTCTTAGCTAACTTTTGGGACTACATTTTTTTCCTCATAGGTACAACAAATTTAACACTTACAGTAATGGCTGTTCAGTCATCCCACAAATATTTCTGGAAAGACTACCTTAATCTAGGAATGGTGAATATCTAATAGACGAGATATGAGGCACATCTATCACCCCCCATACCTGCAGTGCCCATGACAGACATCACTAATAAATCATGGGCATTCTTGTCAGCTCAGCATAGACCCATGACTGTGAAACCACTCCTAATCAATCTTAGAGCAATAGCTAGGACATGGCCACTGGGTCTTTGCCCATAGGGCATCGAGATAAAAAGAAAGCAAAAGAAATTGAGAAATATTGGGAATATTGGCAAAATTTAGAGCTTTCTCCTTTCCTCCCTTCTCACTGAGTACCCTGTACTATCTCTGCAGCTTGGTGGCAGGCTCAATGCTATCCCAGGTCAGCGACCCTAGCTACTGGAGGCAGACAGCTAAAGGCCCATGGACAGGTGAGAAAATTGGCCAAGCAAAGAACTTTCAGGGTATTGAGATAAAAGATCCCTCCTCTATTCTCATTCCTATCCTTCCTCTTACTTAAGGACCTCTCTCCAGATGGAAAGCCAATCTAGGCTTCCTGCCCTGGGCATTAAAAAATTCTATTTAGGGTTCATTTATGATAAAAACCTTTTTACTATGGCTTTGGATCTTCCCCTTTTGATTCCTATTTGAGACTCAGAGAAGCCAAATGACTTAGCCAAGGTTATCTAAAGTTAAAAATAGAATTCAGTTCTCTGGACTCCGAGTTCATTGCTCTGCAGAGATTTAAGAACCTTGATGCAATCTGCAATTAGCTTATAAAAATAACATTGCATAGTCCTTTGTCCAGTAATTCTGAAATAACTTGGTCATATTTATATATCACATCTTCTATCTTTGAGAATCTTTCATTAGGTCTGTCTCAACCAGAAATAAGTTTTGCAGACAGCAACTCTACATTATTGTAAACTATATGCCTTTAATAATATTTAATGTATTTCTGCAGAGGTAGAAAATTGCCTCATTATAATACCCCCAGGAAGAGTAGGTATTTATTATCTCAACCATGGCACAGTCTGGAGGGGTTAAAAGAATAAGAGCACTGAAGGCCCTGAATCGAGGCTCCACCTCTTCCCAGCTGTGTAACCGATGCAAGTTACTTGGCCTCTCTGAGAACCTGTTTATCTATAAAGCGATGAACTTATTTATCTTGCAGAGTTTTCCTAGAAGTGAAATTAGTTAATGGGTATAAAAATGACATAAATTTATGCCTGGCATGTCATAGTGCTTAGCAAATGTTAGCTCCTTCTTTCTTTTTCTCTTACACATGTTACCTCAGTGTCTCCCAGGACCAGCAATATTTGTGAGGTCCAGTGAAAAACAAAAATATGGGGCCATTTGCTCAGAAGCAATTAAGGACTTCAAGATGGAACCAGCAGAGCAGTCAACTCAGCATGGGGCCCTTTTGAAGAACTACCCAGGACACATGTCCACGTAGTCCAGCCCTGGCGGTGGGATTATCTCTGGAATGAATGCTCTCTAATCTTCTCTGTGGCTTTGTTTAGTCAGTGCTGAAGTTCATGGTGAGCACTTGAAGTAGCAGCACAGGGTGAGAAGTGTGTTAGATTCAACCTCAGCTATTCTACTTTCTATGAAACTTCCACACCTCAGAAACCTCTTTAAAAAGTGAGCAAAGGACATGAACAGACATTTTTCAAAAGGAGACATACATATGGCCAACAAGCATATGAAAAAAAGCTCAACATCACTGATCATTAGAGAAATTCAAAACGAAACCACAATGAGACACCATCTCACACCTGTCAGAATGGCTATTATTAAAAAGTCAAAAAATAACTGATGCTGGCAAGGTTGCAGAGTAAAAGGAACACATGCACTGTCGGTGGGAATGTAAATTACTACAACCATTGTGGAAGAAATTGTGGTGATTTCCCAAAGACCTAAAAACAGAAATACCACTCAACTCAGCAATTCTATCACTAGGTATATACCAGAAGGAATATAAATCATTCTGTCATAAAGACACATGCACATGTATGTTCATTGCAGCACTATTCACAATAGCAAAGACATGAAATCAACCTAAATGCCCATCAATCATAGACTGGAAAAAGAAAACGTGGTACATATACACCATGGAATACTATGCAGCCATAAAAAAGAATGAGGTCATATCTTTTGCAGGAAGATGGATGGAGCTGGAGGCTATTATCCTTAGCAAACTAAGGCAGGAATGGAAAATCAAATACTTGATGTCTGACTTATAAGTGGGAGCTAAATGATGAGAGCATGTGGACACATAGAGGGGAACAATAGACAGTGGGCCTATTGGAGGGTGTAGGGTGGGAGGATGGAGAGGATCAGGAAAAATAACTAATGGGTACTAGGCTTACTACCTGGGTGATGAAATAATCTTTACAACAAACCCCCGTGGCAGAAGTTTACCTATGTAATAAACCTGCACATGTACCCCTGAACCTAAAATAAAAGTCACATTAAAAAAAAAAAACCTCTTTAAGGCTTGTAGGAGTCTAATAATAACACTTTCTTCATAGGGCTCTGGTGTAGGTGAAAAGAGATTAAAGCAGGAAAAAGTACTAACCCAGGGCCCTAGCACTGAGGACTTATGTGTTGGCTGTCATTATAGTGTCTTTCTTGTCTTTCTTTCCCTTATACATCTCCCAAGTCTTCAGGCTTTACTAATCCAATAGGTTGTATGTATGACAGTTTCCACAGGACGTGCCACCCAGGACCCTGCCAAGGCACCCATGCCCAGAGAGAAAAGCATGCAAAATGGACAGAATCTCCATCATTGATTATTTTAATGCATGGACACTTCAGAACTAAGCATAGTGAATTGCCTTTATTACAACATAAAATGATGATGATGCTATTAATGAAATTAATGGAAGTAAAATATCTGTAGCTTGTAGTGGCAATTTGTTTTCTAATATATTTGCATCATCATCTCATTTAATGATCCCTTCCTCTAAAGCACCCTGTCTGCAGATTACGTTATCATCTCCATTTTACAGGTGAAGAGATGAAGTTTCCAAGACATTTAGTGATTTGCTCCAAGGCGCATGCTAATCTGATTCCTAGTCTAGTGTTCCTTTTTCCCCATCAACAAGAATGTGGTTAAAGTAGCATTTATGTGTCTGTCTCATCTATTCCTGTGCATAATTGCTTTACTACTTCAACCAACAATGACTATACAAATAATTTCATGTAGTTTTCAAAAACAAAGGGAAATTGGACAAAGTAGTAAATAACTCATTTTACATTTAAATAGGCTTGAGGAGCTTGGGAAAAATGTTAAAGTTTGAGATTCTATCTAATTGTTCACAAAGCCTGTGCTATGTTATCACAGTTTCCATTAAAAGTGGTCATTTGAGAAACTTAGTATCCTGGATGGATAATCTCCCAGAGTAAAAGACCCACTAAGAAGGAATTGTGGTCATCTGGACTTGGGACATGTATTTCATTGGTGCAATAATTATGGGAGAGTTGTCATTTTCCAACCCTGTTTTGGAGGTGGAGGTGAGTGGAAAAAGCCATGTCAGCCCTGCACTGCCTGCCTCTGAACTTTACATGAGGAAAATAAACTCCCTTTTACTTCCCTTTATTTTGGATTTCTGATATTCCCAGCTAAGTCTAATCCTGATACAGCCACTCTCCTCAATTTCCTCCTCAGATGAAAGCTTAGATTTCCATTTCTGGCAAAATGGGAGCTAAAAGACAGATGTGCGTGGCGAATGTGCATTCACTTTTTTCAGCTGCTGCTGAAGATTCTTCACCTCCCTGGCCTCTGCTGAACTTACTTGTGGGGACATGACCATATTGGTGGTTCTACTCTGGAAAGTTCAGGCCTTACATCAACCTCCTCCAGAATCCAACAATGAAGGGGTGACATAGAAAATAATCTCCAAAGATGGCCACCATCAATTTTTTCCTTCCCTATATGCACATGCCACCCCCTCTTGAAAAGAGGGGTCTATTTCTCCTCCCTTTTAAATCTAGGGTAGCCATGTAACTTTGACCAACAGAATGTGGAGGAAGTGATGTTCTGGATCTTGGGACTTCTTATCCCCAGGCTTGAGAGAGGACTGGAAGTTTCCTTTTTGAAGCCAGCTTCTGTGTAAAGGGCTGACTAACCTAAAACCACCAAGCTGTGAGAAAGCCAAAACTAGCTACGCAGTGGGCCACATGAGAAGCACCAGCTCACCATATAACTAAGTAAGTCCTTCTTGGGGCTTCTATCACAGCCCAGCCACCAGCAGAATAAGCCTGAGTCGGTGACCCCCAATCAATGACCAATGAAGCAAAACCTGCCTGGCCAATCCTACCTGAAGTCCTGACCCATAGAATTGTAAGAAGTAATAAATCATCATTATCTGAAGCCACTAAGTTTTGGGATGGTTTGTTATATAACAATAGATAACTGAAGTAGATGGGGAAGGATGAGAGAACACTTCTGAGGTAAAGAAAGGGAGAATTGGTGAGAAAACCCTACTCTGCTGTCAGTTTCTCCTGGCTCCCAGTCTCCCAGCACTGAGATTTTTTTTTTTTAAAGTGGAAAGCACAACTATTATTTCCATAGACAAGTAAACTCTGCATTCCCAAGAATTAATCTACAATGCAAATTTGAAACACAACTTGTTCAGAAGGTGGCAACTTATTCAATGCCCTTCAACACTCATTCTTGACATACATGTGATGTTGAGCGCCACTGTTCATTTATGTGTCAGACTAATGCCTTATATGTGAAGCAGACATGAATATCAGGTTAGTCCTGAGCAATTCCAAGGACAGCAATAGTACTATACAATTGTCTGTGTACTATATCTGGTGTAACATGATTATGGGTAATTATGTTAATCAGTACTTTTTATGGCCATCTATTTATTGAATTTGGTTTCTTTCTAAAAGAAAAAATGAATACCAAGGTATATATGATCTACTGAAAACCTTTACTTATTTCACCACAAAAGGTTCTCAGAGGAAAATTCTCTGTTCCAACCCAGCAGAAGACAAGATATTTAAATAGAGAAATTTTTATAAACGTGCTTTCCAGGGACATATTAAGCATGTCAATGGAGAATCATTTTACTAAACTATCTGCTTGGTTACTGAGAATCATCAAAGCATTTATAGTTCAGTTAACTTAAGAAGAGGACTTCAGTTTTTTAATTTCTGAAATTAGTACAGCTTTTTAATTTCTGAAATAAATATTAGAATAGTAGCTTGAAAGGGTTTTGGTGGACAAAAGTTTTCAACCATGATTGGCTGCTAGAAGCATTTGGAATCCTTTCATTCCCGCCCGTCTACCCACCCTCCGCCCACCTTCCAGAGGTTTCAGTTAATTGTTCTGGGGCGGACATCAGGCAACAGGATTTTAAAAAAATACTCCATAGGATTCTAATACCTAGCTAAGACCGAAAACATTGTTGAAAGAGTGTGGGCTTTGAAATAATCCCTAGGATTGAATTCCAAGCATCAATAGTTTTATAACCGAGGCAAATGGCAAAGCCATGGTAAGTTTCTATGGCAGTGGTTCTCAAAGTGGGGTTCCTTAGTAAGCAGCATTGGCAATATCTGGAGAACTTACTGGAAATGAAAATTCTTTGGTTCCACCCAGACCTACTGAATCAGAAAGTCTAGGGTAGGGGGTGGGGCCCAGCCTCCAGGTGATCCTGCCACAGGCTACAGTTTGAGAAGTACTGTGCTACATGATAAGAATTATAAGGGCTGACTCCATGTACCTTCACTGTTCCTCAATATCTACATAAATTTTCACAGCCTAGAATTCTTCTCTCTCTCCTTGTCAAGGTATCTTGTTTTTTAAAAAATTGTAAAAGCCTAGTAGCAAAACTTCAAAAAAGTAAATGCATTGTTTTATTTCTGATTCTTTAATTCACTTTTATTGTGTTTTAATTAGAAAAGCAGAAAGAATAAAAAACTCCTACTTTGCAATGTTATTAACATTTGATATAAATTTGGTTTTTACAAGAAAAGATCAAATTTTGCATACTGTTAAATAAACTTCTTAATCTTCTATTTCACACACTGCATCTTTTACATGCTACTATTTAATATAATATTTGTACATATCAACATATCATATTTTTGGTGTAGACTTATATTCCATTATATAAATATGCCATAATTTATTTAATCCATCCTTTATCAGTTGATTATAATTTTTGATTTTATAAATAATGTTCCTATTAATTATTTTAAAATTGTTTACATCCATGATGCCATTCTTGGGATCAGTTTTCAAGATGTGGTATTGCTGGATCAAAGCATACAGTGGCTAGTGATGCACGTTGACAAATTGTCCTTAAAAAAAACTGCACCCTTAGCAAGGGATGAGAATGCCAATTCTTTTGTACCACAGTTCTTGCTATATATTACTAGTTTGTTTAATCTTTGTCAATTTAATACAAGGATGACTTCATAGGGTTTTTCTTTAATGAAGTTAAATCTTTTTGCCATTGTGTTTTTGTTTAATGCCTATTTGTATTTCTTTATTCTCATTATTTGTCCATTTTTAAAAAAATGTGAGTACGCACCTTTTTTTCCTATTGAATTGTAAATGCTCCTTATATATTAAGGATTACTTTTACCAACAATTGGAGGTAAGAAAAATATCATAAATACTCAATTGAGTAATATCAGAATGAGTTAATTTCAATTTATTATTAATAAGAACTATAAATAATTTGGTTGGATTACACTATTGCAAATCTGGCAACAATCAGTATCCATTTTCCTTTCCTAGGCCTGAGCTATGCTGAACAAAATTTAGTCCTTCTCTGATTATTAGAGATCTTGTGGTGCCTATGGGGGATTATTCTAAATTTTCCATTGTGCAAAGAGAATGAGACACAGAAAGCCCAAGTCCTGGCTCTACAGGCTACCAGTTGGACAACCTAGACTGGGGCAAGTAATTTAACCTCTCAGTGCTTTGGTTTCCTCATCTTTCAAACAGAAATAACAAAAATAACCTCTACCTCATATGATGACTATGAGAAACGATAAGTGTAAGAGTTAAGCACACAGATTTCAGAGCCTTTCTGGATTTGAATTCCCACTCTACCATTTAATAGCTATTGTCTTGGCAAAGTTCTTAATCCCTCTGGTCCTTACTTTCTTTACCTGTATAATGATGAAAATAATATAACTTACCTATCAGGGTGGTTGTAAGGATTAAATAAGTAAAACCTATTTACCTACCTATCTATCTATGTGTCTATCTATCCATGATACCTGTTCACCTGTCATCCATATAGCTACCTATCGATAATCTATCTGGCATTTAGAAGAGTAGCTGGCAGGTAATAAGCACAGTAATCATTATAATTAAATAAAATAACTTTATGTTATGTCCTTTCTTAACCACAGTCCCTCACAAATGTCACTGGTAGGGACTATAACTGCTATAGGGGCCACCACAATATTGGTAGTTATATAAAATTGGGTTGAATCTCTACCAAACCCAGGACATACTCTGGAAATGAGTTTCTGAATAAGGCTCCAGCATCAACTTGCTTTTTTGGTGATTCACCTCATTTTATTAAATGTGAAGGGCAGGAAAACCAATCTGGCTTTTGTTAGCTGAATAATGACTGCAAAGCTAGCCATGTGAATCGATTTTTTTGCTTCCATCCTAGAAACCCACCTTCAGCAGACAAGCCATAAAAATAGTGTACCCGAGATGCTCTAAGACAGGTTTATGTCGTTTCCTCTCACAAAGCAGAACACTGAATTGATTTTTAGATTAATTGTCTATAGCTGGGTTAACTAAATTCTGTGTTCTCTGATTCATGCTCTGTACTAGCTCACAAGAAAATTTTTGGTCTTAACACTTAATATGAATCATAATTAATGCAAAAGATAATTAAAAGAATCTCTCAGCATTTTGGTCATTTTATCAGATGAAACTCCCACTTTTATCCCCATGATTTACACTGTATAAAAGAAAATATACCCATATGGAATACGCTTGTGAATCAAAAACAAAGCCAGTGCCCAAAATACAAATCAAAAACACTGTCTAGAACAACAGGCTTCAACTAATGAATTAAAATGATTGCTGGTTTCTTTAAAATATTAAGCTCATCGATGCTTGCCAAAAACCCCTTGGCTAGCTGAGGGATTCAAACTGCATTGTTCAGCTAGAGTTTGAAATCCTTCCATTCATCATTGACATGTGAGAGACAAGACAAGGTTTTTGACAAAAAGGGGATGAGGCGCCAGATGGTTTCCATCTGTATCTCCATTGATTGTACAATGAAAACCCACCTTCCCTAATCAGAAGGCTGTGCCATACATGGAAAATGAATACCCAGTGTTTTTAAAGAAGCACAATCACCCCTTCCCAACCATAGATGTATAAATATTAATGAACACAATCTGGTTCTAAGCAAATTTAGCATGAACTTTTAGCAACCCTCCCTTGACAACTTCCTCTCTTTTTAACTGAATTAAGCTTCTAAGTTCTGTGATTAAAAATAGCAAACCCTGCACTGAAGTTGGATCTGTGACTGAGGTAAACCTCTCCCTTCCAGCTAGTAACCAGTTAACGTAGCTCATATGATTGTGTGCTTTTTATAACCAAAAAAGGGTCTTAATTTGAATGGATGCTTAGCAAATATGAATAGTGAGATATAGAATCCATACAAATAAGCAGAAAATTGATAAATTAACCTATCATTTATGCCATGACTATTTCCAAAACTACTTGAGCAAATTTAGAGATTATTACACACAATATTGAGATAGTTGTTAAATAACTTTATTTCTGTAAAACCCTGTAGTACATCATATATTGACTCATATTTTAACTTTCCTGTAAGCTAATAGAGAGTATTAAGACAGTTTTAATAACTAATGTTAAAAAGAAAATAGTAGATTCCTTTCTTGGATGTTTGAACTTGAATCATAGTATCACAGTATCTTTAACCAAGAAGATTTGGTTAGTCTTATTCTTTCTTGATTCACTTCCTGAGGTTTTCCTTGAAATATCAGAAGAGACTTAGATTTGAAAATTTCCATTAATTCCTTCCTTTGTTTCTTTTCTTTTTAGTTCAAACTAGGAAGGTTTGCATACTTGCTCCAGCTTATGTGCCTTTAATCTGTTGAAGCAATGCATTTTCCAAGAAGCATATTCCATGTTTTCACCACTAATGGTTCCCTGTGGATCAAAGTGGTAAGTCTTTAAAGTAAAATATATCAAATCAGTCCAAAGATAATATGAAAAATTAAATCCATATACTAAGCTTCAGTCTTCATGTGACTGGAAGGAATTAATCTTTTTCCTCTCCTACAACATGCATTGTCCTCCTGCTGTCAATAAACAAAATATTATTGAGTACCTACTATGTGCCTGGCATTAAGCTAAGCACTGAACATTGACACATTGGACAGTGTTGCTATTCTCAGGCACAGATGCTATTTCAGAGCCATCCTACAGAGATTGGCTAAAGAATGTTCTTTGCTGTATGATAGCAACATTGTGCACAGAGCTCATATGTATTTCCATTGCAAGTGATCAAGCCTGTCTCTTAGCCCCCATTTGCCTTTTGGGAATAAGCGCTCAGTGGAACTTGCCAGTGTTACCAGCAGTGTTGCTGTTTGTTTAAGGTTCAGTTTCACCAGGTGGTGGCAAGTTTTTAAAACTCTTCCTAGCCCAATTTGTTTGTCAGCATCATGATCAGATATCAGGATAACATCAATAAAGCAGGAGCAAAAGATGAGCTAAAGCTGCAGAGAAAATGCTGAGCTTATCAAAATGCGTTTTTGGTTATGTTCGAGGCAAGAAGAACAGGAAAGGCTAGACCCACAGCTTGAGCCAGATGGTGCAATGTTAGCATTAGACAAAGAGGAAGAGAAACAATGTCTCTCCTTGTTTCTTTTGTAATTTTCATCAAGAAGAATACTCTCCAAACTGCAAAAAAGATACCTTAAATGGTTCATTTTAGTAGGAAACTGAAAAAATAAGAAGATTGAAGGTAAGCCAAAAAAAAAAAAAAGTAAGCACATATATATGTTTAAGTCTCTAGGCTCAGATGCATTGGATCTTCAGAAATAATGGGAAAAAACAAACAAGCAATAAATAATTGTTTTGATATATAAGAAAATTAAATTTTTTCTTGATTATCAAAAGAAGGAGCTGGGGCAGTGAGGGGAGAAACGTAGGTTTGGAAAACAATATCCCATAAAATAGCCATAAAACCCCTAATTCTATAAGTTACATTTTAATACATGGTTTATGAGTACTATTAAAAGAAAATTATGAGGTATTCAAGAAGAGGTAGCACAGAGTTGGGGAGGAGACATAAATATGTGATATATGATATGTGGTATTTGACATATATACTATATGTTATATTACATATACATATATATCAATATATTAAATATATTCACCTTGATATATATATGTAATATAACATATATTATATGTAAGTTATATGCATATATGCAAGGTTGCATCATATCCCTATTTCAGCAAGGTATTTGACAAAGTCTTACAAGATATCCTCAGGGTAAGACTGTAGAATATGGCATGAATGACAAAGAATGAATGAATGAATTGGACAATAGTTAATTAATTAATCAATGTCACTTGAGGAAATGGTATGTAGAAATCTCCCATTGAGCTCTGTCCTGTCAAAAAATTTATTGATTTGGGTGAAGACGAGAGAATTATCATCACAATTGAATGGTTGTAGATAGTTGACATAATCATGTTTCAAAATGAATCTGAACAAATGGGCAAAAACAAATCAGATGGAATTTATTTGTGTAATTATTTTTGTAGAGACAGGGCCTTACTATGTTGCCCAGGCTGATCTTAAACTCCTGGCCTCAAAGTGATCCTCCTGCCTCGGCCTTCCAAAGTGCTGTGCTGGGATTACAGGCATGAGCCACTGTGCCCGGACTCAGATGAAATTTACAGAAGAAACTATAAAGTACTGCACTGAATATCCAAAACTTAGTTAGAAATTACAGGATGCAGGGTTTGGGGAGACAGGATGACAGCAGTTTAAAATAAAAAATTTAAGTTGACAGAGTGGTATGGTGGCAAAGTTGAAAAAAAAATTGTCAGTAGGATCTTAGAGAAAGAGTAACAGAACATGTTTGTCCTCTTCACTCCCATTATTCACTGTCATCCTGGTGATGATGAGGACTATATCATGTACTAGCAAGTGCTATAAGGAGAAATTACCATGAGCAAGAAGTGGCCCTGTTAGTGACCCATTGTGGAGTTTATCAGGATGATCCTCAGGAACTGGCTGACCTGGGACATAAGCAAAGTATGAAATGAAATATCCAGGATCCTTAGAGGAAGTCTAAAGAATAGAAAACAAAAGAGAGAAAGTAAATCAAGCATGAGGTATGGAAATAGAAATAGACAAAGTGTTCCATGACATAGACCAAAAGCAGCTTCATATGTGAAAGCTTCATTTATGAGAGGCTTTGCATTGAAGATCAAAGGGGAACTCATAGACTGCTCAGTAAGTTATGCTAGCACAATTGTTTTTCATATGAGAAAAATGGAATCAGATCCCTACCTCATGCCATATAACACAAGAATCCATTCCAGATGAAATATATGCTTAAACGTAAAGACAACATTTTTAAAGAATATAAATTTATTACCACTGAACTCTATACCTAAAATGCTAAAGATAGTGAGTTATATGTGTATATATTTACTTCAGTGAAATCTTTAAAAAAGACATTTAAGTACTAAAAGAAAGAAAGAAAATATAGACTAGAAAGAAGAGAATTTCTTAAGAAAAGTTGAAAAATTACTAACCATAAAAGAAGAAATTGACAAATTTGACTACATTAAAATTAAGTCCTAGAAGAATGACTCCCACAAACAATAATGGTGAGAAGAAGAGCTATTTTGCCTTTAACAAGGTGGTGACCCAAGAATACATCATCAACATTTACAAGGGCATCCAGGGAGTGGGCTTTAAGAAGTGTGCCCCTTGAGCACTCAAAGAAATTTGCCATAAAGGAGAAAGTACTCCAGATGTGTGCATTGATGCCAGGCTCAACAAAACTGTCTGAGCCAAAGGAATAAAGAATGTTCCATACTGTAACCATGTGCAGTTGTCCAGAAAATGCAGTCAGAATGAAGATTCACCAAACAAACTCATGCACTGGTTACCTGCGTACCAGTCATCACCTTAAAATTCTACAGTCAGTGTGGGTGAGATCTAACCACTGGCTGTCAAATAAAGTTTATAAGACTGCCAATGAAAATAACATATGTTCATTTAAAAAAATTCCATAAAGTGAAATAGTAAGCCAAAAATTGGGAGAACTTTGCAACACCTAAAAATGACAAAGGATCAGTCTCTCTCTCTCTCTCTCTACACACACACACACACACACACACACACACACACACACATTTATAATTACTATGAATCAAAAGAGAAGTGGGTGAAGACATGAACAGTATTTAACCAAAAAAAGGAAGCATCAATGGTAAAGACAGATAGGAAAAGATGTCGAACCTCATTAGAAATCAAAACATGCTTTTTCAGATCACAGTAAGGTACATTTTAGATGGACAAAATTTAAAAGCCTGACATTACCAAATGTTAGCAAGGATGTGGAGCAAAAAGAAGCCTAATGCACCACTTCTTGGAGGGAGTGTTGACCAGTTCAACCATTTTGAAAAATACATTTGAGTTACCTAATAAAGAACATATTTACCCTCTGATCCAGCAATTCTACTGCTAGAAAAACTTAACTCAACATGAACCAAAGACACATGGAAGGAAATTCACAGTAGCTTTATTTGTAATAGCAAATCACTGGCAGTAAACTCTGCAAAGAGGAAATAACCCAAAAGTCTACACAGACTACACAGAACAAAGTGATATATTGCCTAGCAGAGTATTATACAGCAGTGGAAAATGGAAAAATTCTAGCTTTATATTCTGGATGAATACATCTTAGAAATACAAATATGAATGAGAAAAGCAAGTTGTAGGAACATATATATGACATGCTACCATTTTTATAAAACCCACAGACAAGCCAAATTTTAGAATATATTGTTTAGGAAGATATACGCACATATGTAGTACAGCTAAAACTCATCCAAATGATAAACAGAAAATTGATAATAGGGAGGCAGGAGATAGGATCAGGGAGGAATACTACATATTTAATATCAACATTATTGGTAATATTCTACTTCCTAAAATGAGTGTTGGCTTCATGGGGGATTTATTCCATTACCAAGCTTCATAGCCTACATATACGTTATAAGATGTACATTTATTCATACATAAAACAAGTTAAGGAAAGAAAAGAAAAAGAGAGAGACCAAGGAAGGCAGGCCTCCTTAACCCCACCAAAGCTATGTAGGAACTGGCAGGCAACCTAAGGTGTAAAGAAATATTTTGCTTCTTTCTCTGTATTTCAAATGGGTTATGAGTCAACATACAGCTTAAAATTGGATTCTTTCTGGAAATGGGCTAGTCTGTCTAATTTTCCATTAATTCTATATCAGTAGGGCAAGGTTACAGAGGTACATACACCTTCTAGTTAAGAGAGGGGAACCTCTCACCATATTCAGCACTAAAGCTATATCTGCAATAGCATGTTCAATTCTTGGAAATATATTTTATGAGAAGTATTTGAAAAAATAAAGAGCTTCCAGGGAAAGTTAATGTAGACACTGGGGTGTTGAAAATCCACTTCACACGAATGGCTAAGTGAACTTGAATTTGAGATATTCAACTGAGAGAAGAGATTAGGAGAACTGTGATAGCTAACTTCAGAAATTAAAAAGAAATGCTGTGAAATTTTTTTAAAATTTTAGCTTTATACTGCATATAGAGTGGCTCCCCACTGCCAATGGATAGAAATGTACTGAGGCTGATTTAAGGTTTGAAAATTAAAATATCAGCTCACAACAGCTAGTTGGATGACTGATTCTGGGTGGTGGCCTATTACAGTCCAACAATTTCCTAGAGCTATGAGAGAATGTTACCCTTTAAGAATGTTTAGAATTTCCATTTTTCCTATAATGGTTTATATTTTATAATTCAGACCGCAGGCTTAGTATATTTTTGGTCTAAAAATATCTAATGATATAATGTTTATCTTGAATTCAGTTATATCATTTATTTTTTATTTCTACTAACTCAGTTCCACAGATAAAGAATGAATGACTCTGCTTCTCAATAACTACCTAACTCTGTGGAATTTACTTAATCTCTCAAAGCCACAGTTTCTTCAGCTGTAAAATGGGAATAATAACAATACCTATCTGTAGTGGGTTAAATAATGACCTCCCAAATCTGTTCAAGTCCTAATCCCTGGAACCTGTGAATATGTTATCTTGCAAAGGGACTTTGCAAATGTAGTTAAGGATTTTCTGATGAGAAGATTATGCTGGATTATCTGGTGGCCCAGTATGGTCATAAAATTCCTTATAAAAAGGATGCAGGAGGGGTCAGAGGCAAAGGAGATTATGTGATGATGGAAGCATAGATTAGAGTGACGCACTTTCTAAAATGGAGGGAGAAGCCAAAAAATCAAGGAGATGTGTGGCCACTAGAAGCTGAAAAAGGCAAGGAAATGGATCCTTCTCTCAGAGCCTCCATGAGGAATTAGTTCTGCAGACCCTTTGACTTCAGCTCTGTGAAACTCATTTCTGACGTCTGACCTCCAGAACTGTAAAATAATACATTTGTGTTGTTTTAAGCAACTAAGCTAGTGGTAATTTGTTACAGCAGCAACAGGAAATGAATTCACCATCTCATAGGGGTTTTGTGGGGATCAAATGAAATAAACCAGTAAAAAGTTCTTGGCTTCTATTACTATTATCATCGACCTTATTTTCTCAAAATGAAGATTCAGCCTCGCAATTCAGTGACTGCCCTCAGTTATTTCCCTCATAAGGTGTTTTGATACTCCATGTACATTAATGACATGGGGAAAAGACCCTGGATGGGAGTAAGGAATTCACAGCCATAACGCTGAGGGTCCTGACAGCTGCTCGACTTCTCTAGGCCTCTATCCCTCAGCTATAATTAGAGGCTTGATTGTTCCAGCTCTAAAATGCAAAGATTATGTGCTTACTTAGGTAGTCCAATAAATGCTTTCTAAGTCCACCCTCTTGTTCCTCTCTGATGGTTTATCTTGTAGCTAGTGTCTGAATTCTCTAGTGCCAACTGCTCCTAGGTTATCTTTACTTTGGGCACTGATTAACCAGGCAGTCCTAATTCCATGCTTTAAAAAAAGGAAGATGAAGAGAGGACTAGCAGTTCTCAGCTTAAATTTATGTTTAAAAAATATATTCGGTGTTTTACAAATGATGTTCTTGGCAAAAAATCCTCGCTTTAAGGGTCCATATAGATTTGCCTTGGAGCCTTCTGTTTTTAATTCAAGGCAGTTGCTTTCAAGAACAGGGTTGACTGGCCATCCTCACTAAGTGTTCTGCCAAGGCTCTTATCCTCCTAAGTGGCAGAACGTTTGACACACTTTCCTTGTTGCTAAAGGTGTAGATAACAGTACATAGGAATCAAACATGACCAGAATAGAACAGACACCAAAGTAATGTTGAGCACAAGCTCTCTTTCATATCTCCACTTTCTCCAACTCACCATGGAGAGAATGACTGTGAAAAGGCTTTGCCATCCATAAATTATTCTTTAAATGCAAACATTCCTACTGATTTGAACTCAGCATAGGGTGGGATGTTGTGATAGAGACTCAGACAGCACTCAGTTGACATACAGAGAAAGTGCTACTTCAATATGAAGCAACCCTCAAAACTTCCTTCACAAGAGGGTCTTGAAAGAAGAGGACATCTTTACTAGCTGGAGAAAACAAGAAGGACATTTTGGGGAAAAAGAATGATGAGTGCAAATGCAGAGAGGCTTCCTCTAAAAGAAGAAGTTACTGTGTTTGGCATGTCATGGGGAGGAAATAGACACTAATTGAAGATGATGCTAAGGTCAGCTGCTATCAGTCTGTGCTTGCCATACTGGTCATCGGAATTTTACTGTGTAGCATTCAGCAATTAAAGAGACAACTATCATGAGGAATGGGGCATGTTCAGATTGGATTTTTTAAGAAAATAGGTAAAATCTGGTAGAGGTATCCAGTATGTGGCAATAATTGAGGTCTGGGAGAGGGGCTGTCAGAGTGAAAAGAGGGAGGTGTTGAACTGGAGCTGCCTTCATTGAAAACCAAGTGGTTGTTGGAGAGACAAGGTCTATAAGGACCTGGAGGCTTCCAGCTTGGCTGATTAGGTGTATGGCAGCATCACTGGCCATGCCATGAAAAACAAGGATGGAGGAAGACAGAACAAAGGTTGGGACCACAGACACTAAACTGAGCGGGTAGATAGAAGGCAAAGAGAAAATCAGAACCCTAGAGAAAAGAACCACTTGGGCAAAGTAAGGCAAGGAAGCAGACAGGAAATGCGTAGGCAGAGGGACACAGGAGATTAAAAAGGATGATGTCAGAGAAAGCAGATGCGGAAAGATGGACATGGAGGTGCAGATCAGCTGCTGTGCCAAATGTGGCAATATGGTCCGGTAGGTAAAGGACAGAAATGGGCACCACAGAGCCACATCCAAACCCCCCAGGGCCCTGAGCATCCCCATGTGGAGGTGAACACTTCCCCTCTCCCTAACTTGATGAGATACCTCTCACGACATTTGACACGTGCCTTGTACAAAGTATGGGTATATTTGCTACATGAAACCAAAGGGAATGGAAGCTTTCCCATATTCCCACAATGCCAGAAGGCAGAGCCTGGCTCTAGCCACCCCCACTCAACAACTTAAAACCAAATCAGTCCCCAAAGTATTGAAAAGGCAAGATAGGAAACAATGAGTAATGTGGGCCCAGGAATGAAACCAAAGCACGCAGCAATATGCACACATGCAGATGCAACGTTGGCCTCCCCCTCCGCGGCCCTTCCAAACTGTTTAGAAAGAATAGATGATTAGGCCTCAGTATAATTCATTCTCTTTCACTGAAGTAGAAATTAATTGCCGCTTAAGTGACTAGAGAAAGCAAAAAAGTACATAAATGCTTATACACACAATAATCATTAAATGTGCCCTTCAGAGCAGTCGTGGGAGAAAGTGGGGATTGGGAGAGAATTAAAAATGACACTTACGTACTGAGACCTCAGGGTGAGTCAGAAAACAATAAAATTTCTGTTTAAGGAAAAAGAGAGGAAAGAAATAACACTGGTATAACAATGTATAGTATATATCTGGGGGCAAGTGCAGGAAGCTGTGCTTTTCTCATGGTAGGGAATACCTAAGGGAGATCCAAAGAGATACTGCCTTTCTAAGGAAAAGAAAAAAAAAAATAACAGAAGAAGGAATACTGGCAAGAGACTGAGTTACAGAGAGGAAAGCCCAGCACTGTAAGGGAACATAAGAACTACATACACCACTCTACATTCCTCATAGTCTCAGAAAAGGATGACCCAGTTTACAAACGCACAGCAGTAAACAAGACACGCCTCGATGCACGACTTGATCATGAAAGACGGAGTCAGAACTCAAAGTTCAGGTTTCTTAAAATATATAGATAGTATGCACACACACACACACAAATGCACACACACTTCTCTTTCTCAAGTTCGAAAAAGTGTATCTGCTTGAGTAAATGGGAAGTTTAACAAGAGCAATGAGTGCTTTTTAGCTTTCCTCTGAGCCTGACCGTCGAAAATAATTCAAGTTACCAGAACACATTCTACATTTCACATTCTTGCACTGCCCTTGAACATAGATTCTGAGGAATGCATTTCTATGCATAGAGCACACGTTATTCCCCGGTGGGGTGGCCTGGAAGATCACGTACATCTAACCACCTGGGCCAAGCTTCTTCGAAATGCTCTGAGCACTTCTCATTTACCAGGAAAGGTTCTCTTCTTCTGTGTGATATATAATAATGTGAATCTCTTCACATGATGATCAAAGAATCAGCTAATCAATGCTGACAGAATTAGGTGCAGATAGAAACATCCCAGTTCTCAGGTCTGGCCAATGTAGTAAAATCCACTTTAGGAAATGGAAACCCTTAAGTCTCATTGCAGAGGGTTGACGCAAAAGAGATCATCCAGTCCCTGCATCAATCAAATGTGCATGGACCTGGCACTTTTCTCCATTATCATAAAAATGTGTATATATATATCATATATATATCATAAAAATGTGTGTGTGTATATATATATACATACATATAATGAAATATTATTATATTATATATAATGAAATGTATATATATAACGAAATGTATATATATATATAATGAAATATTATTCAGCCAAAAACATGAAATCCTCTCATTTGCAGCAATATGGAACAGAATTGGAGGTCATTGCGTTAAGTGAAATAACCCACCCATAGAAAGACAAATATTGCATGTTCTCACTCATATGTGGGAGTTACAAAAGTGTATCTCATGGAGGAAGACAGCAGATTGGTGGTTCCCAGAGGCTGAGAAGGGTAGGGGGAAGATGAAGAGAAGTTGGTTAATGGGTACAAAAATACAGTTAGATGGAAGGAATAAAGTCTAGCACTCGAAAGTACAGTAAGGAGACTATAGTTAACAATTGACTGTACATTTCAAAATAGCTAGAAGAGAACTGGAATGTTTCCAACCCAAAGAAAAAATGTCTGTAGCAATGGATATACTAATCACCCTGATTTAATCATTACACACTGTACACACGTATCAAAAGACCACATGTACAAAAATATGCACAACTATTATATATTAACAAAAAAGTTTGCTGGAAAAAAAGGTGGGTAACAGATCTTTGTTACTTTTCTGGATTTATTCAAGGATCCTCCTGTCTATGTATGACAAGCCAGAAAGGAGATACAGGGAAGAAAATGAACACACTTTTGGGCTCAAAAACTAAATTTACCCAGCAGGAAATGGGTTTTCCCTTCTCTGAACTCCTATACAACTCTATACCTCCCTGATGACACAGATCATCCCCCACCTTAAATAATTTTTATTTGTGTTTATGTCTCAGCTCTCCTACTATTTTGCAAGCTCTTCACAAGCAGGACGGCATCTTAATATCTTAGCTGAGTAATCTCTCATGTTTTTCAAGGGCTTTATACTTTCCTAATATGCCTTCAGATGCACTATCTCATTTGGTCTTCATGAGACTGACAGTTAGGTGGGGCAGGCACAATTTTTTTTTTTATTTTATTATTATTTCACTTTATACATACAATTGAGATTAAGAAAGGTGAAATGAATGGAAGGTTACATGGCTACCCGGCTTCATTCCAGAGTCCAGAATGAAGCACATTGATCTAGGCTCCCAAACCAGGCCGTCATCCTCCACACCAAGCTTCTCCACCTGCATTCCCACATGCCACCTTATATGGGTCAGCCAGGTGCCCATTACAAGAAAGACATCTAGAGAGAAGAATAAAGAAGCAGAAACATAGAGCAGTTAAAAAGAGAAAAAGAGATGGACACCAACTGATCTTCATGTTTTTCTAACCTGAAAAGCCCCTAGAACACTGTTGCTAGATATGAGATGACGCCTATCTTTTTATCTCCATAAGAGTCATGTAGTAATGCCATTGTCAGAGAGAACAAAAAGGTGTGTGTGTGTGTGTGTGTGTGTGTGTGTGCACATGCATTCTTTCTTTAAAGAATAAAATGGCATTATGAGATCCACGGGATCATTGATGTTGGAGTGGGGAGGGCCCTCAGGGGGCATCTGTTCCAGTGTTGCTGGAGACATCCTTAGACAGAACAGAAAACTGAAGCCTGCTGGGGGATGCTCCTGGCAAAATTACTTCTTTACTTAGTTATAAAGGAGTGGTATCTTGGCCCTCTACCCTCTTATCCAGTTACTGGCCCTCGGTAAGAGAGTAGATGAGAAGGTAGAAGCCCCTGTCAGGTAGAAGGACAGAAGTACAGCAGTAGAAGGACAGAGATCAGAAGTCCCCCTAAACAAGGAAAAGGCAGTGTCTTAGGTAAGGATCCCCACAAGCAAAGCCTGAGAGAACAATTCCTAGGCAAATCAGGCTCTTAATGGAAACACATGAGGGAGTAAGGGAAGCAAGGGAGGGCAGGGGAAAAGACAAAGATGTGGTTTTAGAAGTCTAGTCTGATCCCACAGGGAGCTCTGGGGTGTAAATCACTCAGAGGTCATTCTGCACAGAGGCAAGGGGCCTGAGCTGTTGTACCTCAGCATCAGGTGGTAACTGGTCAAGGGCTGTCCTGTGGCATGGAGGCTGTAACCTCCCACGCATGAGGTAGATGAGGTAGATGTCATTGTCTGGATGAGGTAGATGTCATTGTCAAGGGCAATCCTCCAGAGGGTGGTGCAGATAAGAGGATATGACAGCCAACAACTGCAGCAGCTGGAGGGCAAGGGGACTAGCCCTGTTAAGGGGGCCTGGGTGGGGCACTAACAGCATCTACTATAGGCTTCTTCTCACACCTACAGGAGCTGAACTCCAGGTAGGTGGTCTAATTTAGAGCCGGACGCCCTCTCACGAGAACTATGGCATGGGATCCTCTGTCTGGGATCTGTTGTATTATCCCCTACTTTACAAAACCATATCCATATGTTTCTATATTCTTTACACTTAATGAAACTTTAGAGTCTCTATATATGTTGATGCCTTTCAGTCAATCACTACCTCCTTGTGACAACACACGCAAAAGACTTCACAATTCTGTTTTCCTCCATCCAAATTTCTATTTGTACATCTCAAGGAGAATGGGGTCAATAACTCCCAAAGGCAACCCACTCTATTTTGCTATTAACTACATGTTGGTAACTTTAATAAAGTAAAACTCTATTTCCTTATCATTTCCATTCACCAAAGTGATGAAAAATAGGTCTAATTTTTAGATATTAAATACCTTCTCTTCTACAGGTGAAAGAGCCACAGTTCAGATTGTTCCACCATGTAGGACATGATTGCAAATCTGTTTGCCCATCTGGTCCCTACCCAATGAAGAAATTCCAGTTTGTCCATGACCCCATTTAAGGAGGTGCCCAGAACTACCCAGGAGTCATGTGACCCACATAGATCAAAGGAGGATTATCCTTTTTGTTTGGGACACAGCAGTTCAATTAATGCAGTCTAAAATTAACTTCATGATTTAAATAAACTCTACTATATGATCCATTATGCCACTGATTTAAACTAAGTCGTAAATAACAAATCTATATATATTCGCATGTGCTGTCTGTCTCACCCCAACTTTAGTTTCTAGATTGATTTTTTTAAACTTAAGTATAGGCTTTCATACTTGTTCAATTAAAACTTAACCTTGTTCCATCATTCCAATTTGAAATGGTCTCTCCAGGTAGTAATTCTGTTACTCAAAGTATGTGCCATGCTTCCAGGTTTCATGTCAATCATAATGTTGACACATATACTATCTATACCCTCATCAAAATCATTGATAGAAAACAGTACCTTGATGGGGCTAAGAGTGGATCCTCATAGCCCACCATTAGAGACCAGCCCCACACAGGAGCCATTCTAGCATGCACACAGTTTGATTCATGCCTTTTTCAAGACGCAGCCTCAATGTTATGATCAATACATTTCTTCAGATATGTATTTTGATATACTAAGTTGTGAAGAATACAAAATAAATTATAAAATATTTGTAGTCACATGCATTTATTAGAATATAAAAACAGAATATAAAACCAGGAGCAGTTTTACAAATAAAAATAATCCAAGGAGACAAAGGTCAGAATGACTCAGAGGTCATTCTAGGTATATTCTAGGTATATAGAATATAATTTCAGAATAAAAAGATGATTTTTTTCCCATGTAGAGTAAGTTGACAAGTCTGAGGGGGTGAAAGGGATGATGACTGAGCTCTGGATAGGGACACATGGAATACAAATTGTACTGAGGGAAACAGGTGATCTGAGATAAGAGAATGCAAGAGACTAAATGACTAAATTAGTTATCTATTGCTGCATGACAAATTCCTACCAAATTAACAGCTTAAAAGACCAAAAGTTATTTCACAGTTTCCATGGGTCAGGAGTCCAGGCTCAAGTTAGTTCAGCCCTTTGTTCAGGATCTCACCAGGCTGAAATCAAGGTGTTAGCTGAAGCTGCAAACTCAGCTATGGCTTGGGGTCTCCTAACCTCACTGGTTGTTGGTGGAGTTCAGTTCTTTGCAATTGCAGGAAAAAGATCCCTACTTTTGCTGGCTGGCTGCAAGCTGAGGGCTGTTCTCAGTTCCTAAAGGCCACCTACCATTCTATGCCATGTGGCTTTTTCCACTGTATGGCAATTTGCTCCTCAAGGCCAGTAGGGGAAACACTCTTCATTCTGCTAAAATGGAGTCCTATACTAAGTAAAGCAGTCAAGGGCGTGATTATCATATTCACAGGTCCAGGCCAAGCAAAGAGAGGAGATTAGAGACAGTGTGTACACGATTGGGTAGGAATCTTTGGAGCCATCCCAGAATTCCACCTGTCACAAGGACTTAACGTGGCTGAGGCATAGTGAGGAACTGTGGTAGAGGAGGGACCTGGAGAGGTCTTTTGTGCCCTGCTATGTAGTTTGAATATTATTCTGAAAGCAATGGAGGCACATTAACAGATGCTTCTCCCTTTGGGGAGGTACAAGAAAATGTTATAAGTAATAGTGGTTAAGAAAGTATTCTAGGAAGCATGGCACTTGGAGAGAGTATTATTGAATGAACCGAGGCAATAAATGTAAAACATAGCATAATCCATATATACAGTTGATTCTGTTTATAGTTTACCCATCCCGCTTGCCTACACGACCACTGTGAGAAAGCAAGACTACACCTTGCCCTGTTGCCCTTGTGATTAAGTGTGCCCTTCACATACCAATGACAGATGAAACAAAAATATTTTTGCATCATTAGAGACTCCTTCCAAAACAGAAAACCCTATCTCACTCTAGTCTCCCCATCCAAAAACATTTTTAAAAGACTTGAGCCCCTTCCCTGTAAGTTGCTGGCTCCCCCAAGAAAAAAATCTTTATCTCTGACTTTGGAATACAGATATCTGCAGATACGTGAGGATCCACCCAGGTAGGATAAGCATGTGAGAACTGCCACTTTTTCACCAATGAGGATTCTGAACAGATTAACTGTAACTTTGTGGGCTAAATTTTTTTTTTCTTTAAATACCTGTAGTATCCTTTTTTCAGGGACTCCTGTGCTTCTAAAGGCTGGAAAGCCCTCCAAACATTACAAGTAAAAAGTGCTTCAGTGTTCAATTTGTCTTTGAGTTTTCCATTCACAACTGTGTCTATACCTTGTATCCTCAAGAGCAACCACAGTGTTTATTTTTAAATGTAATAATAATACTATCTATAAGCTACTTATTATATGCCAGGCAAGGCACTGATCTCAGAGCTTCATATCCTCACAATCGGATGAGGAAACCACGGCACAGAAAATTCAAGTAACTTGTTGGAGTTTACACAGGTTGTTAGTGGTGGAGCTGGGATATGAATCCAGGTAGAATATTCTGCAACAGTTCGCAGTCTTGGAAAAAAATAGGCACTTACTACTCTTGTAAGGGTGACCCTTGAGGCACTCAATATGTGATTGCTGATTAACAATTACTACTTTTGAGGTGGCAGGGTCAAAAATATTTTAAAACTAAGGTCTAGCCAGGCGCAGTGGCTCACGCCTGTAATCCCAGCACTTTGGGAGGCCAAGGCGGGCAGATCACCTGAGGTCGGGAGCTCGAGACCAGCCTGACCAACATGGAGAAACCCTTCTCTACTAAAAAATACAAAAGTAGCCAGGTGTAGTGGCGCATGCCTGTAATCCCAGCTACTCGGGAGGCTGACGCAGGAGAATTGCTTGAACCTGGGAGGCAGAGGTTGCGGTGAGCCGAGATCGTGCCATTGTACTCCAGCCTGGGCAACAAGAGTGAAACTCCGTCTCAAAAAAAAAAAAAAAACAAAAACAAAAACAGAAAACTAAGGAATAATAACTACAAGATCATGTCACAGAAGTAAGGTGCTGGGCACGGTGGCTCACGTCTATAATCCCAGCATTCTGGGAGGCCGAGGCGGGTGGATCACTAGGTCAGGAGATCGAGACCATCCTGGCCAACAATGGTGAAACTCCGTCTGTACTAAAAATACAAAAATTAGCTGGGTGTGGTGTCATGTGCCTGTAACCCCAGCTATTTGGGAGGCTGAGGCAGGAGAATTGCTTGAACCTGGGAGGCAGAGATTGCAATGAGCCGAGATCACACCAGCACTCCAGCCTGGCAACAGAGTGAGATTCCATCTCAAACAAACAAACGATACTGACAGAAGGACAATTTTTAGGTATAATATGAATTACCAAAATTGCCACAAATAGAAGTAGAAACACTGAATAGATGAATTGATTAGAGAAAACAATCTGACAACAACAAATAGAAACAACAACAGCAAAAATCTTTAAAAGTTATAAAAGTATTATCTGGTTCAAAAAATAATCCCGATACAGAGAATTTCAGAGAAAAAAAAATTGCCCATGAAAATATAATTTCCATAGGTGCAGAACACAGAAAATGATAAAATCTTTCTAATCATTACATAAAGTTTACATAATTTTGATATCAAAACTAATAAGATAGCATAAAAATTCAACTAAAGACCAAATCATTAGGAAAATTGATACAATAATCTCAAACAAATATGGAATACAGCAGTAAGTTAAGAAAACATTTCATCAGGGCCAAGTAGGCTTTGGTCCAAGAATAAAAAGATGATTAAATATTAGGAAATCTGTAATTATAGTGCACCATTTTAATAGATCAAAGGCAAAACTTATGCAATAATTCAAAAGAAACTATGATACTCCATATCAAGTCTGGTGTTAAACACATTATAAATAATTCTTACTGGATACTCATAATATCCTCACAAGATATTTACATGATTATCTTCATATTACAGAGTAAGAGACTGAAATTCGAAGGGAATAAATAAATTGCTTAATGTTACACAATTCTAAGAGGAGGAGGTATAATTTGACTCCAGCTCTGTCTGGCCATAAATCCCATACTCTGGCTTCCATATTATATTCTCCTCATGGATGATAATTTACCAAAATCATCCAAAAGGCATTTTATAGTATTCCAAAACCCATTTTTTTAATTTTAAAAATTCTCAGCATATTAGGAATGCAAAAAAATTTCTTTAACATGGTTAGAAAAAAATCTATCATCAAATAAATAGCTGTTAAAATCAGAAACAAGATAAGAGTAGAATGCCAGTGAGTATTTTGAACTTTGCTGTGGAAATTCTGGCTAATGTTATAGGACATAATCAACAAAGAAGAGATACATTATTTGGAAAGATGATAGAATCATTTTTTGATTATAATATAATTGTTTATAAATAAAACTCAGGAGAACTAAGTGAAAAATAATTATCATTAACAAACAGAATCAAAAGACAAAATACTAAAAGCAATAGCTTTCATATAACAGTAACCACCAATTAGAAAACAGTATCTTAAATAATCTCAAAAATAATTAAATAAAAAGTATCTAATACCTAGGAATAACCTTAAAAAGAATGCAGGACCTCTACAAATAAATGATTTTTTTGTCATATCACATAAGACTTGAAAAAGAGATATTTTGAAATTATTGAAAATTGTGAAGATGCAAACTTTTCCAAAATAATTCATAATTTGCACATAATTCTATACAAAGTACAACAAGTTTTGTTTTGTTTTTTGAGATGGAGTTTCGCTCTTGTTGCCCAGGCCAGAGTGCAATGGCATGATCTCGGCTCACTGCAACCTTGTGCCTTCCGGGTTCGAGCCTCTCAAGTAGCTGGATACAGGCGTGTGCCACCATGCCTGGCTAATTTTGTATTTTTAGTGGAGATGGGGTTTCACCATGTTGGTCAGGCCGGCTTGAACTCCTGACCTCAAGTGATCCACCTTCCTCAGCGTCCCAAAGTGCTGGGATTACAGGCATGAGGCACCGTGCCCGGTCCAAGATTTTTTAAATTTGAAAATTAATTCCAATACTCACCTTAAAGAATGCTGAGACAATAACTGCTAAAATAAATTTAAAATACAGAAAAATGAAAGAGTTAGGGGCCACCATGTCAGAAACAGGCTATAATACAAATTATAATGGGATATATAAACTATAATATGGTTCTGCTACAATAATTAATAGATGGTTACAGAAATAGAGAGCCCAGATACAGAAATGTATATACCAATTAAAAGATAGATTTAATCAAAAAGTCAGTGAAGAAAAGAGCACTTATTTAATAAATGGCATTGAATTAACTATTTGAATAATTTAAAATGTATGTTGCTATCTCATACTATATGTTAAAATAAAGACAGATAAATGTTATGTTAAATTTTAAAATAAAATAATAAAGGATTATGTAAAATACAGGTGGTTATTTATCAGCTATTGAGCCTAGCAAAATAATTTCTAAACATAAAGGTAGTGAAATGTGTCAGAGAGTAATAGTAGATTTGACTGGAGTAGCAAAGGTGAAACACATTTATATATCAGAGAGCAGAATACTCAAAAGGCAAACACCAAACTGGAAAAATAATTTCCAGAGACATAACACGCAAAGGTAGTTCATAAGCAAAATATTAACATCTCAATGGATAAATGGGCAAAGAACACAGATCAACAAGTTACCAAAAATCCTTATAATTATCCAATAAGCATTCAAAATTTTTAAAATTTTTTTTAAAAAACTAATGCTTAATGCTGTTGAATGTGAGGAGAAATAGTCACGACACAGAGAGTAGGTGTGTAAATTAATATCTTTGGCCACATCGATGAAGAATCATAAAAACGTCCATGCCCTTTGATTGCCTCTCCTAGGAACTGTCCAATAGAAACAATTAAGAAGGTGAAAAAAGATGTAATGCAAAACTATTCAAGGCCGTATCATTCATTCTAGGCAGAAGCATAAACATTCAACCATAGACGTACATCCAAAAGTGCAATATTATACAGTCATTGAATAATCATGTTTTGAAAAATATTTAATGTCATGAGAAAATTTTCCTAGTCAAGTGAACATAAGTAAGATATAAAACTTTGTCCAGACCATAATTGTGATTCTGTGATGTAACCATATATGCAGAGAAAAAAACTGGAAGAAAATATGCCAAAATGTTACAGCAGCTATCTCTGAATACTAAGGTAGGCAATTTTTATTTTATACACTGAATATCAGAATAAAATTTATTAAAGAATAAAAACAATACTGTCATGAGAAATCAGAAGCTGGACACACTGGTCATGACCTTCTAAGGATGTAAGGAAGCCTTCGCCTTTTATGTTCCTCTAATTTTACTCCATGATCTCACAGGGAAATGAGTGGAGCAAGTGGCTCATCAGCCACCTTGGCCTCTGAAAAGAATTGTCCCAGAAGCCATCTCTCTATCAAACCTGGCTAATTTCTTCTCTCCTCCTTCAGCTCTGGCCTCTTCCTGCTCACCTCTGCCAATCTCCTTTCCTTCCACTCAAAGTCTGGCCACAACAAAAAAGAAAGCAGGTTTGGAGAGAGGTCAGTATGCTGGGTTATTGTCAAAGGAGTTATGTGTGTTTGTGTGTTTCTGCAAAAGTGCATTCTGCTGCTGCTAAATTGTCATTCCATACACTATCTACATTGGAAAGATCTTTCTCAAAAAAAAAAAAAAAAGAAAGAAAGAAATATACTTTTGAAAATTCCTGCAATGCCTACTGTGACAGTGACATCAGAAGTCTATTTGTTCTTCACAAGTATAATTCATGGAGCTTTATTGAAACCATATCATTTGATCACTCAACAATATTCAGCAAATCTTTGTGGGGTGCTCTCTATGGTTCTGGGAAATATAATGTGAGAGTGGGCGGCTGAATCATGGTCCTCAGAGATGTCCATAGCTTTATCCTGAAACTTGTGAATAAGTTACTTCCTATAGCAATACTTACACATGTGATTGAGGTAAGGATCTTGAGACAGGGAGCTTATCCTGCAATATTTGGGTGGGCCCAAATAATCACAGAGATCTTTACAAGGAAATAGGCAGAAGAGTCAAGATAGTTGTTGTCCTTGCAAAGTATTTTTTGCAACTTCCCAGTCTCCCATCATTACCGGGGACACAGTTATGCAAATATAGCCTCCATTTTTATAAGAAATGAAGGAATTAAAAAATAGAAGTAGATGAAAACTATTTAGCAACATATATTTTAATTATAAAATTAGGAGGCACAGATTCCCCTTTCCAATTAGTTTTTAAGTCAAATCAATCAAATTTCAAAGAGCAGTTATGCATTTATTTTTAAAATTTAATTAGGAAGAAATTCGAAGCAATTAATGAATGTTATCAATTATAATGCATTACCATGAGAAAACCCCAACAACCCTTAAGTATGATTGAATATTTTGTACTCTGTAATGATGAACTAGGCTTAGCCATTTAAAAAAATTAACTCCTGAGCTTAAAATAATCTCAACAAGTCAAACAGGTCTAAGTGAACCTGCAGTGAACCTAGGAGAGAACTTTCTCATGCTACACCCTTCTTTGCAGTAATGGGAGGGTTTGATCTCAGAGGGAATACCTTTGTTTCATCGTGTCCTGTTAATATATTAATAAGTTCAATTGCCAGCTGTTCATTTTCATGATGACACAGGGATATCTTTATTTCTATTTATCCTGTATATAATCAGGGGCACCATGACCCTCTTCTTTGAAATGAATGATTTCAAGCTTAATGGAAATTTAAAGTACTATATAGCAAAACTCTATGATCTGAGTCCTGGAGGGGAAGGGGTGAGTAGACATTAGATAATAAATCCCCAATGAAAGCCAAGAGAACTCGAGAAAGCCTGACCATTTTGGTCCATAAAATGTGTCAGGGGTCAGTGCTCTGCAAATGGGAGGAGATGGGGAATGAAGGTTTCATAATTTAGTGATCACCCAAATGGTATCGGAGGAGTTTGAACTATAAAGAGAAAAGTAGTTGCCTCTTGCTGACCACCAAGATTGCTACAGGTTTCAAGGAAAGAGAGCGCTAGTCATCACGACCACTTCATTTGGTAATTATTTATGAAGTACCTTCCTGCCCTTGATGACGAATTCTTTCTTTCTTTGAAACCTGTAGCGATCTTGTTGGTCAGCAAGAAGCAACTACTTATTTCTTTATAGTTCAAACTCTTATGATACAGTTGGGTGACAACTGAATTATGAATCCTTCTTTCCACATGTGCCATTTGCAGAGCACTGACCCCTGACACATTCCAAGTACAGAAATGGTCAGACTCTCTTGAGTTCTCTTGGTTTTCACTGGCGATTTATCATTAAGGATGTAAGTATAACTTAACTTTAAAAAAGACTCGCATATATGAAAAAATCAGCATAATCACATAGAAACGCAATTCAGGGATCAAAATGCTATTTTTAAAAAATCTTTTAAAAGTCTCCATTGTAAAAATGATTACTGCTCAACTCTGAGAAAAGTAATGATACCAAAAGAGGTTAACCAGAATGAAATGTACAATGTTGGTAATTAATGATTACTTTAGATAACTATGTAAACATTTTTTCAGAGGCACTTGCTATCAATTAGGAAAGCTACAATACACAGATAAGCAGGCCTTGTCCTGGTTTGTTCCATCGGCTAGAGAAGCAGCCTTTAGCTAGGGGTCTTTATTAAAAAGACTTGTATACCTCCCATCTTGACAACCTAAAAGTTCATTCTCTGAACATAAACACAACCCATTAAGTACCTGTCATGAGGTTATTACAAAACATATAAAAATATAAAACTTGGTCTTTGCACATTTATAACAGATTCAGGTTGTTTGGCTAAATGTACATTAAATGTTCAAGAGTCAGCAAGTTCTGGGTATGAAAACTAATATTTAAACAGAGAAATGCCTTTTCTGAGAAAGAAAACCCCTGCCACTGGCTTTGGAGAGTAAGAACACAAGCCAGCAGATGACAGGGAAGGACTCTATGCCACTAGTTAAAAATAAATGACAGAGAAGCCCATGCAAAAGCAGGCCAGAAAGATGCGAATTTAGAGAATGGCAAACAAAACAGCCAAAATAAGGTCAAGGACAGATGTAAGACAGAAGGAAGTCAAAGCAGGAATGGCTTGAGTTTGAAGGCAAAGGCAGAATTCTGAATTTGACAGAGGGAGTGATGGGCAGCCATGTGGCTAGTTAGAGGGTGATTTAAAGTTGGCCAATGAAAGACAAAGTATGAAAGGGAAAATCAGTTCTTCAGAAATGATTATTAAAAATTCTTGAAGGCAAGCTACTTACAGCCATATTTCAGTACAAGCATGGTGAACACTGTATACCAATATAAGGAGTGTTCCTTATTTTAAATCTGTTCTCATCTATTTTCATGGATTTCACATATATATGACCCATTTCTGACAGCAGGGAAGGTCACTTTCATATTAATATTCAATATGTCACACCACTGTCATATCAACTATCCTCAGGCAGGTCTGATGGCTGGTTGACAGAAATGGGCATTTTGAGAGGAAATTCCCAGAACCAAGTAACCCAGCTGGAGAATACCGCTGCAGGAAAGACAGCAGTACTATATATTAACTCAGCAGGGAAAACAGCTAAATTGTTCTTCCTGCTTATTAATAGACCAACATTTAGTCCAACAGCTCTAATTTTCTGTGGAATTTTTGACTTTCTCTCTTGAAAACTGAAAGTCATGTTAATGGTTTTCTGCATAATGCTTGTCTGTATGGTTTAGGGATATGAGGGAAGATTTTTTCAAAATAGGGAAGCCGGTCCAAAGAATATTAGCCTTATCTTTTCCCTAAATACTATATATGTGAGACTATCTTAATTCAAAGGAGGCGATATAGTGAAAAGCTTTTCTGTGCTAGTTTTAGTAATAACTTGTAATAATGGGAAAAAAAGAAGATTAAGTTTGAGTGAATAATAGGACGCTAAAAAAGAAGATACTAACTTGGCTCTTAAGTTTTTAGTGGGACTTACTGCTTTGATTTATAAGCAATAATCATAGAGGCAGAAATGAGACAATCTAGCATCTAAGCATTCAAATGAACATTTTAAGAATTAATGAGGAAGGAAGGAAAGGAGGGAAGAAGGAGGAAGGGGAGAAGGAAGAAAGGAGGGGAGTTAGCCGGGAAGTAAACAGAGGGAAGAAGGGAGAGAGAAGGAAGGAAACTAGACACTCTTAAAGAAAGCATCATAACTTAATATTTAAGATTCTTATTTTATACAATTAAAAATCTCGTTTAATTATTTAAGAAAGAAAACTTCCACAGGTATAATGTACAACTGTACCTTAGAGACCATGTGATATGTATTCATAGTCTGAAAAGTCTTTGTATTTATTCTTGGGAAATAAGGACTACACACTCAAAAAGAAATTCCTGCAGAGAGGCAGGTAAATGGACAGCACGATTTACAGTAGACCTCACATTTACACATTGGCAACCCTCACAAAAGCTGATATGCCCTGACGTTTATTTCCTCTGAACATTTACTTACGAGTGTCAAAGTCTGAAAGAAACCTCATTACAAAAAGTGACATTTTATCTCCATTTGTGCATTTATGAACGTATTCTACATTTTTCTGAAGTGTTATTTATTCTTTACTTTAAAAATGTACTACCCAATTTATCTATGAGGTCTTTCAGTCTCAATTCATGACAACCTTTGTACTTACTGTTCCTAAAAACTCAAAGACGAGTTTCTGAGCTTTGTAATAAAGAACTTCATTCTGCTGTACAAATTAAACCAGGTGTAGGTAAACCAGTGTAGGTAAATGAAAAACTGGGGTTAAAAAGAAAAAGATGCCAATCTATAGTAGGCTCAGCTTTTTTTTGAGAGAGAGATTAAGGTGCATACAGTCAACTGGTGTGAAGGTCACCAAACAAAATGTTGCAATCTTAAAGTGCCACTGACATGCAGTCAGTGTGCTGCAGCAGCTCAGGATTAATCCATGCAGCTCTTTCTCCTTCCTTGCTATTGTTTCAGAATCCTTCATAAATGTGCATTATGAAGTCTGTTATATTTGCAGGAAAACATTCTAAAAATTAGACAAATTTTTCTTCAAATTGAAATAAAAATATGTAAATAATATAACTTTTAAAAATTTGGTTTCCCACACCCAGGTTTTGTTATAGGAAAAGTGACCCACAGGCTCAAAACTCCATAAATATTTCCTTGTGATACATATGAGCTATGACAAGTCTAACCTTAATTATTTATTATCCACTTACTAATGACGTCTAAATTACCAAATATTTCAGTTGAAGATTTTCTGATTTTCCTGGGAAACAGCTGAAAGCTACAAGCCACTACATGTACTTTTTTTTTTTTTTTTTTTTTTGAGACAGAGTCTCGCTGTGTCACCCAGGCTGGAGTGCAGTGGCGCGATCTCAGCTCACTGCAACCTCTGTCTCCCAGATTCAAGCGATTCTCCTGCCTCAGCCTCCCGAGTAGCTGGGACTACAGGTGCCTGCCACCATGCCTAGCTAATTTTTTTTGTATTTTTAGTAGAGATGGGGTTTCACTATGTTAGCCAAGCTGGTCTTACATTCCTGACCTCGTGATCCACCCGCCTCAGCCTCCCAAAGTTCTGGGATTACAGGCGTGAGCCACCACGCCCGGCCTACATGTACCTTTAGCTTTCAAAAGTCAGAGTCAAAATCAGAAGGAAGCATTCCTGGTTCAGGGACCTCTATTCTCTTTCACCTGCTCCTGACCTGCTGCTTTCCTTTTGGTGAGGACAGCTCCTTATAAAGCAAATAGCTCCCCACTCTGAATGGAAAGGCTCATCTCCTCAGTCCATGTTGCAAGCACAAATCTCCCTGATAGTCATTTAGGGAGTGAATCAGACTTGCAGCCAATAAGCACAAAGCTGACCTTTAAACCTCAGCCTTTAATAGAGCATTGGGTTATTTTACTTTGTGTTTGCTCAACATTTCCAGGGGTCAAAGGGCCTGGTTTACTGACGTGGGGTGAACTAGGGAACCTTGCTTCAACTTCTATGTTGCAACAGATAAAAAAGCACTGGGGGCTGGGCTGGTAGGGGCCTAAGCCCCAACCTCAAGTATGCCCAGTATCACAGGTGTTAGAATACATTCTGAAGTCTTTAGCATTTAGAGATGACTAGATTGCCCGAGGCTGAGGACTAGCCCTTAGCTAACAACTATGGGAGAAATGAGAAAGAGTCTTGGGGGCTGGGGAGTAAGCTTTCACATTTTCCCAGTACTGCACCAAATGACAGATCTTGAGGTGAAAGGAGAAATCAGTTAATACTGATTCTGTCTTTATTTAAACATTAATATTTATTTTACCATGGGTATTTGTGCATTACTTTTGATTTTTAAAAGTAGTGCATTAAAATAATATTTGTTGTGATTGCCTGGATTTTTGGCACCCCCTTCCGTTTGGTGCCCAAGGTGCGTGCCTAACTTCCCTCACCCTAGTCCTAGCCCTGGTCTGTCACCTCATGGTTCCCATCCAACATTTTCACATAAAAATGGGGGTAGATTTAAGCAGGCTGGTGGAGATGCTTACAGCAGGGTTGAGAAGGGGAGAAGTGTCCAAGTCATCCAAGAAAATCATTACTGAGCATGTAGTATGTGCCAGATGTACATTCCTTTGGTCCTCACCTATGAGGAAGGCCTACTAATCTTCTGCTGAGAAAGATGAGGCTCCGAGAAACATGCTTCCTTCCACTTTCCTCCAACCCAGGAACCGGCGCTATAAACCACCTGGTGCTCAAGCAGAAACGTGGGGGCTGTCCATGACCCCTCCTTGCTAACCCACCTGTAACTATTTATGATCACTCAAATAGTAAATGGAGGGGTAAAGTTCAAAAGATGGTCTGCTTGATGACAATGTCCACACTCTTTTTGCTATATCTGCAACCTCTCCCAAGAAAACTGGTCTTGTTAAATTGTTCTGGCATCCTGTTGGCTGGTCCAGGACAAGGTTAAATTATTTTTAAGTGCTGTTTTGCAAATTTCTCCAGTATATTTCAGTTCGAATTTGAATACCAGCTCTATCTCTGGCCCAGGATGCTACTTGAAGCCCGACATCTCTCCACTCAGATATCTCACATCCATCCAAACAAACAACTCCAAAATAAGATTCTTGACCTTCCTCTCAAACCCTTATTCTCCCCAGTTTCCTCCATCTCAGGCACTGGCACCACCAAGTGTCTTGTACACAAGCCGGATACCTGTCAGTTGTCTTTGAAACTTCCCTCCTCTTCTCCATCCAAACCATCACCAACTCTTGTCTATTTCAGTAGTCAAAACAATTAATAGCAGCAACAGTTATTAAAGCATTCACTATGTGCCAGGTACTCTTGTGATGCATATACAGCATTATTAACTCATTCGATTTTCATAACAACTTCACATCATGGCTCCTATGATTATTTTCATTTAACGGTGGCATAGGAAAATTAATTTGCCCAAGGTCATACAGCTAGTAAGAGAGGAAGTTAGTACTATAACCCAGTCATTCTGGCTTCAGAACACACACTTTTAGCCATGACACTCTATCCAAGATAATCCCCAATCCATTCACCTTACTCGTTTTCCACTGTCTCATTTTAGTTCAAGCTCACTGATTTTAGTCATTGCTCACTCTAGCAACAGCAAAGGTCTCCCAAGTGGTCGTCTTGGTTCTGTTTCTACCTCATTTTCACACATCAATCTTCATGAAACAGCTAGCAGGATCATCTTAAAGTTTATATTGGATCACGCCATTTCCGCTGCTAAAATCCACAAAACCACTCAACTACTTTCTGAATGAAATTCAAACTCCTTAATGTGGTCTCTAAGGTGTATGTAAACCGGCCCCTTCCCTCTTCCCAGACTTTGTCTCCTACCCTTCTCTACCTTACCATCTTTCTATTCCACTGGCCTTCCTGCTCATCTTTAAACCCAGCAAATTCATTCCTGTCTCATGGCCTTTGCACATGCTGCTCCCTCTGCCTGCAGTGTTCTCCTAGCCCTCAAGACAGCTTCATCAAATCCTCAATGTGTCTCAGGGTACTTTCTTGACCCCTTTCCCCAAACTAAAATAACCTCTGTATTATTTTATCTTAGCACCCGCTCTCTACTTTCATGGCAATAAAAAAATGCATTCCAGGAGGAAATATAAAACGAAATAAAAATTTTGCAAATCATATCTCTGATAAGAAACTTGTATCTTGAATATACAAAAAACTCAATAGTAAAAAGGCAAGATAATTTAAAAACAGGCAAAGGATCTGGAATATTATTAAGCAATATAAAGAAATGAATTTTATCGATACATGGTATGACATGGATAACCTTTGAAAACATTATGCTTAGTGAAAGAAATCAGTCACAAAAAGTCAAACATATTGTATTATTCCATATACATGAGATGTCCAGAATAGGAAAATTCATAATTCATACAGACAGAAAGTAGATTAGTTGTTGCCCAGAGCTGGAGGAGGGAATGAGGAGCAAGTGTTAATGAGTGTGAGGTTTTTGAGGGGAGTGACAAAAATGATCTAAAATTAATAGTGGTGATAGCTGCAAACTGAGAATATACTAAAAATCACTCAATTGTGTGCACTTTAAGTGGGTAAATTGCATAGCATGTGGATTCTCAATAAAGCTGTTTAAAAATAGAATGGAATGTAGTTTTTACTACACTTTAAAATGGACCTGTTTGGCATTTACAAGGCAGGTGTGGCTTAACTAAGAGTATCTACAACTTGCTTTTGATAGGAGAAGATAAGTTTTAGATGAAACTTCCTCATATAGAATTTATAATCTCTCTCTCTTCTCATAATTCCTAGTCTTTTTGTCTTTTTCTATAGATATTGTTGAAATCTTAGAATAAGATGTATAGAATTTTAGCATGGGACAAGATATAAGAGATAATGTAGTCTCTGATTTTAGAGGAAAGAAAACATACTCGGAAAGAATAAACATCCTTTCCACGATCACAAAGATAATGAGAATGAGAATCAGAGCTTTCCAGATCAAAGCTTTATTTTTTATTTTTCAACAGCACCATAGAAAATGTAGAGTAGTGAATGGTATTTTCCAAAATATCTTCTTGACCAAAGTCGCTAACAATTGACAAGGATGAAGTCTACACAGAGATTGCTTTTTATTGCAGTCATTCCCTCAGTAGCCCTTGACCGAGTGCTTGGTTTGTATTAGTCACTTTGGGAATAAGGACTTACTTTTTTTTTTTTTTTTTTTTTTTTTTTTTAAGGCAGTATTGAGTAGGAAGTTTACATTGGAGTCTCTCCCTCAAGAGTTAGGTCTTCATAGGTACTGAACACTTACACCAATCACCTCCATTACTCAGCTCCTAAGCAGAGATGGAAGCCTCCTAGGTGGAATGTTGAATTTGATTTTGAATTCTCTCTTCAACATTTTCAGCATAAAATTCTTTTCCACTCCTAGATAATATGCCTTTTCTATCTTCTCTTCTCTGTAAAACACTTGGCTTTGAGATCCTGAGAGGTCTTACTTAGTTGTGGGTCTTTGATTATCTCAGGTTTTCTTTTGTCAGCATCAGTGGGAAATAAGAAGTGAAAAAGTGATTTCGTTTCTTAGTGTTTCTGAGTTAATAATGGAAGCACAACTTTGGTTAAATCATTACTTTTGATTCAAATTAAAACACTGGTATCAACATAATACTTTTAAAAATAATCAGACTAGACAATCTGTTCAGATAAGCATTTGACCTCAAAAATATTTTTTACTTCTATATTCCTTGACTACCGCCCCTTTCCAACTTTCCTCTATTTCAGAAAGTTTAAATTGCCTAAAAGAATTCCGGCTTCATTCAGTGGGGTCTTTTATTAATAGGCAGAGAAAAGAGAACTGTATTATAAGACTCAATGACATATAGGATGGATTTTTGCTACTCCATTTCGTCTGGCTGATGACAAGAAATGCATGTGTCCATGCTCAGTGTTGGTTTAGGTGGGCTGGAGAAGGTGGGGCTACTATTTTGACATCACTGTTATTGCTCAATTCTCTGAAATATATTTTTAAAGCATTTTATCAGCTGCTTCACTGAATTTCTCTGCAAACTATTATCTTCTCACATAATCCAGTAAAAAAGAAAGCACATAGTCCTTTTAGATTCCCAAAGAATTTAAAAATAAGTTCGGCCAGGCATGATGGCTCATGCCTATTATCCCAGCACTTTGGGAGGCCAAGGCAGGAGTATTGCTTGAGGTCAAGAGTTTGAGACCAGCCTGGGCAACATAGTGAGGCCTAATCTCTAAGAAAAAAAATTTTTTAAAAATTAACTGGGTGTTCTGTCACACACCTGTAATCCCAGCTACTAGGGAGGCTGAGGCAGGAGGATTGCTTGACCCCAGGAGGTGGAGGCTGCAGTGAGCCATGATAGCAACACTGTAATCCAGTCTGGATGACAGTGTGAGACCCTGTCTAAAAAAAAAAAAAAAGTTAAAAATGTTTATGAAGCTTATAAAAATGCATTCATTCAATCTGTTTTGGTTGTCACCTGATAGAAATTCTTGAAAAGGCAACCAGGTTCCTCTCTACTATATGGGACTATGAAATAGAGTTTTCTACATGATAGTGAATGATAGTAATAAATATGTTTAACCATCTTCCTATCATTCAGTAACCAGTTTGTATACTATCTTATACAAGGTAAGTATTATCTTGTATTAAATATTAAAAATATTAATTAAAACATTAAATTAAAATTTAAAATATTAGTTTAATTAAAAATATTAAATTAAAATATAAAGATAAGTATTAATTATCTTGTATAAGATAGTAAACAAACTGCTTACTGAATGATAAGTATTATCTTATGCTTATCTGATAATATAAGATAGTATACAATATCTTATACACTGTCTTATTATATAAGATAAACTTACTAATAATTCTCTTTCAGAGTTTCATTGTACCATTAGTTAGCATCTAACTTAGGTAGAGAGTAAAGAGGCAAAGGTGGTGAACTGTGATTCTATCTAATTTCTGATTTTTTCATTCTAGAAAAAGTTTAGGGGAAAAGAGAATAAAACTAGTGTAAATTGTAAGGTTTGGGGCTTTTTGGTGTCATCAATTGGCAAACCTCTCCTAATTGTGTTCCTAATTAAGCTTTATTGGACTACACAATATTTAGAAGGGAAGAAAAAAGAGAGGGAGGAAGAAATTATTAATTCACAGAAACTTGATTTAATTGCCAATAGTTAAAAACCTTAAGATTTCACACAAAAATGAAGATTTCTATTTTTTCTTCTTAAAACAAGACAATATAGTCACCCTAACTAAGCCTGTATTACCACAGGACAATACTGAGGGGTAGCTGTCCTGTTTAGGCAAGCTATACTCACCCTTCACCTTTTCCTGGCCAGGCTGGCTAAATTCTTTTATCCTCTTGATCCCTAAAGGCATTTTGTCCATGAGACCCTTCTGATCTAGGCCATCCTTCCTAACATTCTGGCCATTAAAATGAACACTTGGCATTTGATTAGCAGGTATAGATGCATAAAAGATGAATGAGAAAATATATGTCTTCTAGTCTGACTCTGACCTCAGAATCTAATGTCTTCCTAAATAAGAAAATACAGCACACATACCTACTTTTTAAACTATTTTCATCAGCTGACCAAAAATCTGGATTTTTCTGACATTGTCTTAAAAGGCAACAAACTAGTGACATGCGAACAGAAACCACAGGTTTAAAGAACATTGCTGAAAATATTATACGTTTGGTATCTGTGCAAGTGTTTTCTCAGAGTGCTTTCATCTTTCCTATTTTTATTTTTTCTAAAAATAGGACTGTTTTAATATCAATATGTCATCAAATAATCCATTTAAGCAGCAGATTACCAGGCAAAACCAAGAAACATCAATAGATAGGAGTGTAAGACACTGTGTAGCCCTGCACTTCTCTGAAACAGCAGATCAGATTTCCCAGTGAGGACATTTGCCTTTAGAGTAGAGTTAGGCGCATTTGAAGGCTATAGGAGCTCTTCAGAGTCATGATGGTAGTAATTACTCAGTAACTGCTTTAGTGATTTAAAGCAGAGCTTCTCAAACATGAATGAATCACCTGGGCATCTTGTTAAATGAAGATTCTGGTCCAACAGGTCTGGGGTGGGGCCTAAAATTATGCATTTCTGACAAGTCCCCAGGGGAAGTCTATGGGGCTGGCCTAGGGTCCACACTCGGAATAGGAAGGTTCTAAAGAAATACAGCATTGTAAAAGGAAAAATAAACATTTTGAGGCTAAATGACAGCAGTCATTGTGGGCTGATAATACCTGCCAGACAAATTATCTCAGCATCATTTCTTGTTCCTAGGAGTTGAAGCAGCCAAAGTTGGCTGACTGTGTGCTAGCTCTCTTTAGAGATCCTGAGCAGGCTGAAGACCCTGTTGTACTGGGTAGTTCTGAAGCACAAAAGACCACGGAAGAGTTTTTTAATCAAAAAATATTTGAGGTAATCTCTGAAATGCTTACAGAAGACTGCAATTTGGTCTGTAGTTTACATTCAGAATAATTGCCTTTGAAGATTTAAAAAAAGAAGGAGCTTTGAAGAATACCCCATTTGCAACATCATTGCCTCTCAACCAGTTAAACATTTTCGATTCTTTCAGTCCACTCAGTAGGGTCCTAGTTAATGCACTGGTTACTAACAATTTAGCAATTAGTTTCAATTTCCTCCACCAAACATTTTATAAATGGTAAAACTGACTAACTCAGATACCCACTCCCTCCCCTACAGTGCAGCAAATGTATCAGCAACCTGAAGGAAAGAATGTTCCTCCATGAACATCCAACTTAACTGAGGAGTGATTTAAGTACTGAGAAAATTAATCTCATACTATTCGAAAAGAAGAACCGAACTGCAAACCAATAGTCACATTACAGAAAAGATAATACTTAGCTAAAGCTTCAGATGTCCATGTAGGATGGCCTTCACCTTCAAATACGTTAAATATTATAAATATTCTAAAAGAAAAAAATTCAAGGTTCAGTTTTTTCCTCTTTTACTTTCTGATATTTATGTATTTATTATTTATTTATAAATATTTATATATTTATTTATTATACTTTAAGTTCTGCGGTACATGTGCAGAACGTGCAGTTTTGTTACATAGGTATGCACATGCCATGGTCGTTTGCTGCACCCATCAACCTGTCACCTACATTAGGTATTTCTCCTAATGTTATCCCTTCCTTAGGCCCCCACCCCCCAACAGGCCCGGGTGTGTGAGTTCCCTTCCCTGTGTCCATGTGTTCTTGTTCAACTCCCATTTATAAGTGAGAACATGTGGTGTTTGGTTTTCTGTTCCTACGATAGTTTGTGATAGCTTGCTGAGAATGATGGTTTCCAGCTTCATCCATGTCCCTGCAAAGGACATGAACTCATCCTTTTTATGACTGCATAGTATTCCATGGTGTATATGTGCCACATTTTCTTTATCCACTCTATCATTGATGGACATTTCGGTTGGTTCCAAGTCTTTGCTATTGCGAGTAGTGCTGCAATGAACATACCTGTGCATGTGTCTTTACAGTAGAATGATTTATAATCCTTTGGGTATATACCCAGTAATGGGATTGCTGGGTCAAATGGTATTTCTAGCTCTAGATCCCTGAGGAATCACCACACCGTCTTCCACAATGGTTGAACTAATTTACACCCCCACCAACAGTGTGAAAGCGTTCCTCTTTCTCCACATCCTCTCTAGCATCTGTTGTTTCCTGACTTTTTAATGATCGTCATTCTAGCTGGCGTGAGATGGTATCTCATTGGGGTTTTGATTTGCATTTCTTGGATGACCAGTGATGATGAGCTTTTTTTCATGTTTGTTGGCTGCATAAATGTCTTCTTTTGAGAAGTGTCTGTTCAGATCCTTTGCCTACTTTTTGATGGTTTTTTTATTGTAAATTTCTTTAAGTTCTAATATCCAGAATCTACAAAGGTTTAGTTTTTATATAGGTACTTATAAATATTTTTATTTGAAAATGTATTTGTTTGTATTTTGGGGGCATAATATCACGCTCTTATTAATATATTCACAAGACATTTTGGTAAACAGAGCAGTTAAATTTTAGCCATTCAATTTTAAGAAATCACTTGAAACCATATGGGTTAGGCAGTGCCTAATGTTTTACCTGCTGTCCTCTTTTCTTTGCTTCCACTTCCTCTAAAAGATTATTATTCTATGCTCATTAAGGACATTTTATTTAGCACATTTTCTAAATGGCTTTTGAGAATGTATTATCTGGTGAACTCTGTCTTTAAACACCAAAATGGAAAGGTTAAAGTGACAGGCTTATCTATCCGAGATGTATCTTTCTAAAAATACGAGAAGGTTATTATTTTTTTTCTTGTTTCATACCATACTGGGTAAATGAATCTATGGGTTTAAATTATAAAGCAAACATCATCAGGAACATCACAGAGTTCAGAGATGATCAGACAAATTGCACTGAAAAAGTTTACCCTCAATTATCTTTATCAGCAATGGGAAAAGTGACAGGATACATTCAAACCACTGTGTTGGGTTTGTAATATTCATGATTATTATTTTTGAACCAGATTTCTTTGTATTTCCTTAACATGTTTGTACAGACTAATATTTAAACAATTTTCTTTCATTCCTTTAATCTACTGTAATTAAAGGGAAGAGAACATAAAGCTTAACTTTATAATTCACTAAGTAATGATTGGCTATCTTGAGAATTATTTGTCTATGAGATTGTAGCTCCAGAGTTATGCTGTAGTTATGACTGAGTGTCAGGTACTAAAACTTTTAGAGGATTCATCCAGAACTGCCTGGTCATAGAAAAGATGGGGAAAAGGTAAAATTTGTAAGAAGTGCTTCCAGGAATCTTAGTTTCTATTTACTAAGATTCTGCTCCAGACAAAACGTCACAATTTTAGTTGATAAGCACTTCATGTGTTCTCTCATAAGGTTATGTAACTTCATCTAACTCTTACAGGGTTATTTGTATTTTAGCAGAAGATTTGCATTTTAGCAGAAGATTCCAAAAGCCTGGAAAGTTGTAAAGCCCCCCAGAAGTATAAGAGCCTCACTGGTCAATTGTAGGGGTTTGCAGGCTAGAGGCTATGTATCTCTAAAATTTAATTCAAAACTGTATACATGTTTTATGCACACCATTTTCTAGGCAACAGTACAGACTCTTAAATGGTTCTGCAATCCCTAAAAGGTCAAGAACCACTGCTAATAATGGAATATGAGTCACTAAGAAAAAAGAATTCATCAGCATCACTTTGGAGAGGTTGGCTACAGTCTTGGGTTTTGAAGTGAGGCAGGCCTGGGGTCAAGTCTGTAGTTTGCCATTTACTCACTGTGCCACCGCAAGCAAGTTACTTAACTTCTCTGAGGTAGGTTTCCTCCCTTTATAAAGTGGAGATAAAAGTAGCACCTACTTCAGTGGGATGTTGTGAGAATTAAGCGTAATGTTTATCAAGATGTTGGTACATAGCTGGTATACTGTATACTCTCAATAAACAGTAGCTGCTACTCTTAGTACTGTTAGTATTACTTGCTTTATTAGCATTATAAAAAACATTGTGAAGGCAGAGGACTTATCTGCCAAGTTAAGGCAGATTATTCTAACTCTTCTTGCAGCTGGCTAATAAAATAGAGATGTGGCTAATTAACTTAATGATTAATCCATCGTTGACCAAGTCAAAGCTTAACAGATTTGTTCTTTAAAAGTGATCTGATTTTATTTGCATTAACTATAAGCCAACTAATCTAGTGAAATGAAATAATTGAGGGTTTTAAATATTCTCTGGTCTTCTAAGAATTTCCTAAATTATAAAATGACTATGATGTCTATACTAAGGGGGCATGTCATACAGCATGCAAAAATAAGCATAAATTTATTGTCAGCTATGTTCAAGACAACATCTTAGCGTTAAAAATCTGGTGTCTTCCCAAATGGTCATCAATGAGACTTATTAGGTATTACGGCACATCTTTAGCACAGATTGCCATGCACCTATTAAAAATAATTTTAAAGAATAATATTCAATGACATGGAATAATGTTCATGATACATTTAGTGAAAAAAGATGTCCACAAAATTATATAAAGCCTCATCCTGTTTCTGTACAATGATGAGCACAGAAAACTGCCTAGAAGGAAATACACCAACATTTCAACGGTGGGTGACAAGACAATAGGTGAGTTTCTAAAATGAGCATTCATTACTTTTGTCATCAGAAAAATAATAAAAAGCATTAGAACATAATGGCTAAAAAAAAAAAACTTTTCAGCAGCATGTTATCCCAAAAAGGGCCCCAGATGGCAAGGACTTGGGCTTGAGCCCAAGACACAGGCACCTTTAAGGGATAGGCTTGGACAAGTTACCTCCTTTCTTTTGGGCCAGATATTATTCCTTAGAATTAAGAAGGTTTGACTAAATGATCTCTATGTATCTCTCCAGTCTTACATTCTAGAATTGCATGTCTCTTGCTATGAGAAGAAGATGAGTTTTTAAGAAAATTCAGACAAGTAGTCCTTCAAATTAAGTTGGTTCTATTACTCACGGCATTTCAGGAGTAACGTATTGCCGAGGTCATAGCCCTGTTCTAAACTATTACATATTAGAAAATTATCTATGTGATTAAATTTGTTCTGTGGTAATACATAGTAAAGAAATCAATTTACTTGGAGCTCCAAATCAAAACAGAACAAAACATGTTTTAAACTGCTACCATTTGGCTCTGTGTATAAAATGAATGCATAAAACCCTACTTTGCATTGTCCTTGCAACATACAGAGGGGAGAAAATTCTTCCTTTGTTCCTGCCCAGATTCTTCCCCTTGGAGCCAGTGGGCTCTTCAGATGCCACTGAGGAGTTTCCTCGAGGTGCTTTTCAAATGGCATTGAAAGATGGCAGCAGTCACCCAGAAGCCTGGGAAAAATACCCAGTTTCTCAGGCTACCAAGCTCACCCTCATCTGGGCAAGGCACCCAGCTGAGAGGAACTAGTACCCAAAGGCTGATCTGCTTCTATGCATGAGCAAGAACAATTTTCCACCCACTCCCTGTAACCCCCCTCCTGTCACTGCTATAGGGTCACACAACTTGGCTTCCCTCCTGGACAGAGGGGAAACTCATTCCACAGTATCTATTTGGGCTCTGCTATTGACAAAGAGCTTGATTTGCCCTGATTAGTAAGACAGTATTGTTTCCTCTAGCCAGGGCTAGTTAAGGGAGAAGGAAGAAATATCTGAAACCTTAATGGAGTGTTAAGGGATTAAGATTTCTATGTAACTTTGTTACTAGAAAAAGTGTTGAAAGGAACGGGGAACGGCTTTTCTCTTCACACCATCTCATTTCTAAATTTGATAACAATCTTTTTATTTTGAGACAGAGTCTCATCCTGTAGCCCAGGCTGGAATGCAGTGGTGTGATCATAGCTCACTACAACCTCGACCTCCTAGGCTCAAGCCATCCTTCCACCTCAGCCTGCCAAGTAGCTGGGACTACAGGCACATGTGCGGCTAATTTTTTTTATTGTTATTATTACTATTATTTTGTAGAGACAGGGTCTTCCTGTGTTGCCCAGGCAGCTCTTGAACTCTTGGGCTCACCTCAGCCTCCACAAAGTGCTGGGATTACAGGCATGAGCCACCCCGTCCAGCCTACATTTGATAATAATCTTTCAAAGACTCCCCGATACTATATTTTTCAAAGGCACAGGTAAATATGTTGCTGCTACATAAAGCAAGTTTAAAATAAAATATGCTGCTTGGGGAATTTTCACTGTGATTAGAAATTGCTTCAAAAGTATACTTGATTTGGACTTAGAGTCTCATGGTAGACAAACTATTTCCCAGAAATTAGAAAGGCAGACTTGAGAGCAGTCTGTCAGCAAGCATTGCCAACTATTCTGTAAGTATTAATGAACACCCATGAGTGCAGAACTATTAATTTACATCACAGTGCCACCACTGATGACACTGAAGCAGTAATCTGTTAAATGCTATCCCCTTTGTAAGAGTTATCGACACTTTGAAAATGCAGTAAGAACACTCTTAAGAAATGGTTGCGGCTGGGCGCGGTGGCTCACGCCTGTAATCCCAGCACTTTGGGAGGCCGAGGTGGGCGGATCACGAGGTCAGGAGATCGAAACCATCCTGGCTAACACGGTGAAACCCCATCTCTACTAAAAATACAAAAAATTAGCCGGGCGAGGTGGCAGGCACCTGTAGTCCCAGCTACTCAAAAGGCTGAGGCAGGAGAATGGCGTGAACCCGGGAGGCGGAGCCTGCAGTGAGCCGAGATCGCGCCACTGCACTCCAACCTGGGCGACAGTGAGACTCCGTCTCAAAAAAAAAAAGAAAAAAAAAAAAGAAAAATAAATGGTTGCATTAGTTTGGTTAATATGGCACATTACAACACAAATGCACAGATAAAAATAAATCTATGTCATTAAACTTTAGCCCAAATAATCAATGGTGATGACAGTCTTTCTAAGATCTTGACTTAATATTTTATTTTGTCTAATATGAATATTGCCATTTTAGCTCTATTTTAATTAGTATTTTTCCAATGTAGCTATTTCCATCTAATTACTTTCAAACTTTTTGAGTTACTATTTTTAGGTCTGATGCTTGTAGACAGCATATACCTGGATTACGGGTTTTATGCAATCTGGAGGTCTTTCTTTTTAAGCTGAAGAATTTAGTTCATTTACTTTTAATGTGATTAAATATATATTTGGACTCATTTCAGTTGTCTTATTTGTTGTTATTGTTTTCTGTTGATCACACTTTTTTTGTATTTGTTTCTTTCCTGATCTCTATTGAATTGATTATTGAATTTATTCTCCTCTACAGGTTTGGAGTCAAACATTTTATTTCTGTAGAGATTATTTCTAAATTTGTAAACCAACCAAAATCTAAAGAAAATCTTTTTTTATCATTCTATAAAATAATAGAGACTGTGGAAGTTATTACTTACAGTTCCCTCTTGCTCCATGCTGTTATAGTAGTTAAGTTCTGTATTTTTTTAACAAATACCCACAAAAAATAGTTACTATTAATGTCACTGTTGTTATTTTACAAACAGTACTTATTTAGATTTCCCATTATGTTTACAAAATTCTTCACTCACTATTTTTTTTTTCCTGCAACCTACACCTTCTTTCTTGGTTCAATTCTCTTCTCATTCAAATATATTCTGCAGTAGTTATTTCAGCAAGGGTCTGTGAGTGGTTAGTTAGCTCAGTCTTCTTTATCTAAATCAATTTTTAATTCATCCTTAGTTTTGAATTATATTTTAGCTAGTATGGGATTTTGGGTCGATGATTTTGCTCAGGATTCTGAAAAACACATTCTGCTGGTATCTAGCGTCTATTGTTGCTAATGAAAAGTTAGCTGGCTATTTAATTGATTTCTTTGCAAGTAACGTTATCTCTACTCCAACCCCATTACATTTGATTGGTTTTATTCTCATCAGGATGAGGTGAAGTGGGAATCTGCCTGGGGTTTAGAATTATTTTTTGAGACTGAGTCTCCCTCCGTTGCCTAGATTAGAGTGCAGTGGCATTATCTCGGCTCACTGCAACCTCCAACTCCTGGGTTCAAGTGATTCTCCCTCCTCAGTCTCCCAAGTATCTGGAATTACAGGCATGCACCACCATGACAGGCTTAATTTTTGTATGTTTAGTAGAGATGGGGTTTCACCATGTTGGCCAGGCTGGTCTTGAACCCCTGACCTCAAGTGATCTGCACACCTTGGCCTCCCAAAGTGCTGGTATTACATACTTGAGTCAGCGCACCCGGCCTAGAATTTTCCTTTAATCTGAACCTCTAAGTCCTGGCTGTATGCTAGTTGATTTCATCAGCACTATCTTCAAGTTCAAGAGATTTTTTTCCCACATTTATATCTAGTCTGCTCTTTAAACAGACTTTAAAAATTGGCTTTGGTCCTTATTTTTATTAAATTTATACTTTCACGTGGCTTAAAATGTCAAATAATTTTATAAATTTGTTATGAAGAACTACTCTCCCATCTCCCCCTTCCATTTCTTCCTTCCTAGAGATAATCACTCTAAGCTCTTTATTTATGAGAAGGGAGTCTTTACCTCCATGTCCATAATAGCATGACTGTATTATGTGATATTTCAGTTTTAGGCATTATCTATTTACTCCCCAGTATGGAGAATAAGCAATCAGCTGGTTTTCCTCTGTGCCCAACATACATGTGCAGCCTTCTGAATTAGTTTGTAAATGACTTCCTTCTTTCTATTTTTTTTTCTGTTCTCCCTTCCTGATATTTCTCTTATTAAGATGTACTGCTGCCAAAACTAGTCATTTGATTATCTTGGGTTTTATTGTTTTTTTTCCTCTTATTTACCATCTCCATTTTTTTCATTCTTTCTGGGAGATTTTTCTCAATTTTATCTTTTACTTGTAGATTGATATGGTTGGGCAGAATTGAGGGTACCCTCAACTCATCATCCTTAGTTTCTATCACTTGGGCTACTCAAATTTCCCTTAGAAGACTTATTTTCAAACTACCACCTGGAGAGTGAAGGCTTGGATGGTAGGGTTCCGGAAACCCAGTGGGGAAGAGTTCTGCTGGCTCCGTGTTCAGTATGCACACATTTATCTAATTCTTGTTTAGAGTACCCTCCAATCTCAACTACAGGCACACTTTGGAGATACTGCAGGTATGAATTTAGACCACTGCAGTCGTGGATATTGCAATAAAGTGAGTCACATGAATTTTGCTTCCCAGGGCATATAAAACTTGTGTTTATACTATAGTGTAGTCTATTAAGTGTGCAATAGAATTATGTCTAAAAATAATGTATATACCTTAATGTAAAATATTTTATTGTGAAAAAATGCTAATGATTATCTGAGCCTTTAGTGAGTCATAATCTTTTTGCAGGTGAAGCGTCTTGTCTTGATGTTGCTGGCTGCTAACTGATCAGGGTGATGGTTGCTGAAGGTTGGGGTTGCTGTGGCAATTTCTTAAAATGAGACAATAATGAAGTTTGCTGCATCAATTAACTCTTTCTTTCATGAAATGTTTCTCTGTAGTGTATGATGCTGTTTGATAGAATTTTGCCCACAGTGGAACTCCTTTCAGAATTGGAGTCAATTCTCTAAAACCTTGCCACTGCTATATCAACTAAGTTTATGGAATATTCTAAATCCTTTGTTGTCACTTCAACAATATTCACAGCATCTTCACCAGAAGTAGATTACATTTCAAGTGACACCTCTTTCTTTGCTCATCCATAAGAAGCAACTCCTTAACCATAGAAGTTTTATTATGAGATTGCAGCAATTCAGTCACATATTCAGGCTCCACTTCTAATTCTGGTTCTCTTGCTACTTCCATAGCATCTGCAGTTACTTCTTCCTCTAAAGTTCTCGAAGTCATTTGTGAGGGTCAGAATCAACTTCTTCCAAACTCCTGTTAATGTTGATATTTTGACCTCCTCCCAGGAATCACGAATATCCTTATTGGCATGTAGAATGGTAAACCATTTCCAGAATGTTTTCAATTTACTTTACACAGATCAATCAGAGGAATCTCTATCTATGCAGCTATAGCCTTAAGAAATGTATTTCTTAGATAATAAGACAAAAAGAGTCAAAATTACTCTTTGATCCATAGGCTTCAGAATGAATGTTGTGTTAGCAGACATGAAACAAAATTAATCTCTTTGTGAATCTTCATCACAGCTCTTAGGTGACTAGATGCATTGTCAGTGAGGAGTCATATTTTGAAAGGAATGTGTTTTTTCTGAGTAGTAGGTCTCAACAGTGAGCTTAAAATATTCAGCAAACTAGGCTGTCATCCAGGCTTTGTTGTTCCATTCATATAGCCTAGGCAGAGTAGATTTAGCATAGTTCTTAAGGGCCCTCAGGTATTCATAATGGCAAATGAGCATTGACTTCAACATAGTCATCTGCTGCATTAACCTCTAACAAAAGGGCCAGTCTGTCCTTTGAAGATTTGAACCAGGCATTCACTTCTCCTCTCTAGCTATGAAAGTCCTAGATTGGCCTCTTCTTCCAACAGAAGGCTGTTTTTTCTACATTGCGAATCTGTTGTTTGGTGTAGCTATTTTCATCAATTATCTTAGCTACATCTTCTGGATAATTTGCTGCAGTTTCCACATAGGCACTGGTGCTTCATCTTGTACTTTTATGTTATGGAGACAGCATCTTTCCTAAAACCTCAGGAACCAACCTCTGCAAACTTCACATTTTTCTTCTGCAGCTTTCTTACCTCTCTCAGCCTTCATGGAATTAAGAAAGTTAGGGCTTTGCTGTAGATTAGGCTTTGGCTTAAGGGAATGTTGCGGCTGGTTTGATCTTCTACCCAGAACATTAAAACTTTTTCCACATTAGAAATGAGGCTGTTTCACTTTCTTATCATTCATGTGTTCATTAGAGTACCAGTTTTAATTTTCTTCAAGAACTTTTCCTTTGCATGTACAATTTGGCTGTTTGGCACAGGAGGCCTAGCTTTTGACCTATTTCAGCTTTTGACATGCCTTCCTCATTAAGTGTAATCATTTCCAGCTTTTGATTTAAAGCTTAAAAAACGGGTAACTCTTCTTTTCACTTGAACACTTAGAGGCTATTGTAGGGTTACTAACTGGCCTAATTTCTACATTGCTGTTTCTCAGGGAGTAAGGAGGTTTGAGAAGAGGGAGACAGATGGAGGATCACTGAGTCAGTGCAGCAGTTAGACACACACATTTATTGATTAGGTTGGCCATCTTGTATGGGTGTCGTTTGTACTGCCCCAAAACAATGACAACAGTAACATCAAAGATCACTGATCATGGATCACCATAACAGATACAATAAGAATTTAAACATTTTAAATGTTGTGAGAATTACCAAAATACGACACAGATAAGTGAGCATATGCTATTAGAAAAATGGTGCCAATAAATCTGCTTGACGCATAGTTGCCACAAACTTTCAGTCACATAGTTGCCACAAACTTTCAGTTTGTAAAAAAATAAATTAATATCTATGAGGCACATAGATCTTAATTTATTAAATCAGGGTAAAGCAGGGTTCAATAAAATGAGGTATGCCTATATATCTGAGGTCCAAACTCCAGTGACACACGCACAAACACACAGACACATCCCCATGGCTTTGCCAAGCTGACTACTACTAATTCTTCAAAACAAATTAAGCATCACCTCCGCTGGAATGTTTTCCCTGATCTCCTCAGTAGACACCCCAATTTAAATGTGTCATAGAAAACAGGGGTTCCCTCCATCATAACAGGTATTCCCTGCCTCTTTAATTGCCTATCAAAACATCTATTTCACTCCAGAACCAGCTGGATCCGTCTTGGATTTCTGGGCTCATAGCACAATTTCTAGCACATAATGAGCTCAATACGTTCATGAGTTATTAATTAATTCTTAAGGCAGCCCCATTAAGGGAGTTGCTCATATGCACAGGAGCCACCCAGGAGCTGGGAAAACACCTCGGTAAACTCCACTGATGCCTTTAGCATCACCATTAGCCCTATCCCTGACTGTGCAACTCCCCAACAAACCAGGGAACCCTAGACAAGCTTTTCCCCTCAGATGTCTTCCTATGTCTCAGATGTTCTCATTACTTGAAATATGTAAATCAGGGGAAGCATTCAACCTACTTCTGAAGAGTATAATGAAATATCTATGAAAATGATTATTACTGCTTTAAAACACAATGGTGTTAGATACATGCAAAAATCAAGCTACACTACAATGAGGTGTAAGAAAACCAGGCAAGAAATAGCTACTGTATAGAAGAATACATTTTATTAACTTATTTAGAGAAAAGTGTTGAAGAGCAACAAACTATGAGCGCGTGGTAAAGAGTGAGGTACGAGTAAAGAATGGAAAACCGTTTGGGTAACTTATTTTTATACCTGCTTTAACTGTGACAGGCATAATCTTTTAGAATCTGCATAAAGTTTCAAGTGAGCAAAGGGAAACAATGGAACAATCTGATGAAGACTGACACTTCAAATGAATGAAGTCAATGTCTTCCATAGTGTAGAATTTTAAAGTCAGAAGGTTAGTTAGTCCAGCTTCCTCCTCTAGGTGCTATCCATGACTGTTCTTCTAGAGGGTCATTTAGAATCCAAGAAATACTCCCAAAGCTGAAGCCCTGGCACCTTGCTGGATCCCATCACTGATAGGTTTTGTTACCCTTGAGTCATGTGACTCACACTAACTTTACCCACTGCTCCTAGCTTTGCTTGAATATCACAGAACTCTAAACACCAGACGCTAGATAGGCACATTACGAATACTCTCTTTGACTATTCTGAACAATTTATGAGAAACAAATTGTCACTATTTTGAAGATGAAGGGACTGAGTCACAGAAACATTAAGGATGTTATTAAGGACTCACAGTCAACAACTGGAGAGGAGCCAATAGTGGACAGGTAGTATGATGGAGTATTTAAGAACTTACACTTCACGTGACTGCCTGGATTCAAATCCCAGTTCCACCATGTACTAGCTATGTGACCTTAGGAAAGTTGCTCAACCTCTCTAAATCTACTTTCTAAGGCTGTTACGAGGATTAAATAGGTTAACATACGTAAAGTACTTGGAACGGTGCCTGGTACTTAATAAGCCCCATAGAAATGTTTGTTGGATATATAAAAGGATGGCAGAACTGTGAATCAAAGCCAGGTTTATCTGGCTCCAATGTAGAGACTTTTTTTTGAGACAGAGTGTCACTTCTTCTCCCAGGCTGGAGTGCAATGGTGCGATCTCGGCTCACTGCAACCCCTGCCTCTCAGGTTCAAGCAATTCTCCTGCCTCAGCCTCCCCAGTAGCTGGGATTACAGGCACTTGCCACCATGCCCGGCTAATTTTTGTATTTTTAGTAGAGAGGGGGTTTCACCATGTTGGCCAGGCTGGTCTCGAACTCCTGACCTCAAGTGATCAGCCTGCCTTGGCCTCCCAAAGTGCTGGGATTACAGGCATGAGCCATCACACCCGGCCAAGACTTTTAACTAAGACACTTCAACATGTCAATCTATCAAGTGTTTGAAGGCTGCCACACATCTCTGAAGTTTTTCTCTTCTCCATATATTCCTCTTTCCTCAGTGGTCCTTAATATTAACTGGTTGCCTGAATTTTCTACATCCTTCTGGATTTTGTTCTGACTGAAAGAGTGGGACCCAACATTGCTACAATACTTCAGCAGATTACAATAAAAATATTACCTCCCAGATTTGAGTAGAATTGTTCTTCTAATGCAGTGGTTTGTAGAAAGCAGAAGTTTCCAGGAGCATCAGCATCGTCTGGGAAATTGTGTGACATGTAAATTCTCCAGTTCCACCCTAGACTGACTGAATCAGAAACTCTGGGGATGTGATGCAGCAATCTGTATGTTAACAAGCTCTCCAGGTGATTATAACGCCGCTCAAGTTTGAGAACCATTATTTTGATGGAGCTTAAATCTGCAATAGGGGTTAAGGCATCTACATGCTTATCAGTGCATACTAAATTAATAATTGATAGTCTTTTAGAATTTGGGCCTCCAACATATATCTAATGCAATGTTGTGGTTTTAAATCCTTTTTCAGGCCTTCTTGATTTGGACCCACCATTCCAGTCCCTCAAGATCTCTCTAAATCCACACTCTGTAGTGGAGCATTTTGGCTCTCCTTCCCAGCTTTGTGGCCCTTGAACATTTGGTAAGCATGTCATCCATATCTTCATGGTGTCCCTTACAACATCCACAGAGAGGACTGAGGCAGAGAGCCAGAGGGCTTTGGCAGATCAACCCTCTCTAGTCTGCTGCTAATCCACAAAAACATCTCATGCATATGGTTGTTCAACTTGTGAAATTTCCTAAATACTATCAGCCTGCATATCTCCATTTTATCCAAGATTACACCACGGAAGACTTACTTTGTTCTAAAAATAAAAGCCAGAAACAATCCTTATGAGTAGGGAAGCTATGGATATTCTTCTGAGGCTTCCCTTTGTTCCTCCCTTTGCCTACTCTTTCCTGTCCCCACAACCAGAAGAATATGGCCTGGAAGCCAGGCAGACCCTCAAAACCTTCAGACCAAAGGCATACCTCTGCTAAGAAGAGTTTCTTTTCTCTTTCAGGTATTTTTAGTCTTCATAGTCCTACAGAGTAGGACATTTTCCTTAAAAACATTTTTACAGAATTAGAAATTGAATCTCAGAAAAATTAAGCAATTTTTTCTCAGATCTTATCACCTAGCTAGTAGGGACACCCATATTTATAGTCCAGTCTGTCCACCAAGGTTCATACTTTGCCTGCTATGTTATATCAATACTACTGTGTCTATACATGCCAGGACAAATAAAAATGTTGAGGATCTTTGAGACCCTCTTAATCTACTCTTCATTCCAGAGAGTACTAAACTCAATTACTGATGGACAAAACAACACATATCCCAGCTACCTGAATGGCAACATCTTGAAACATCTATAGGAATCCAGCCCTCAGTAACTTCTGCAAGAATCCCCTAAGGCGTGAAGACTCATCTGGCCACAATTCCTTTTGTCCTGGAGACTACTGACCCCTAAAAAGGAATGTCAACTGTGCAAGGGGCTTTTACACAAAGCCAATTATCTCCTCCTACTCTCTCTGCCAATCTTGGAAAAGTCAAGTCCTGGACTTGTTAAAGAAGGTGATTCATCTCTGTGTGGAAAGAATGCCAACAGCAACTGTATAAAAGGTTTCTTTCTTCACATCCCTAATTCCTGAGGACCTGATAGTCACTTACTGTAAGGTAAGTAATTGTGAGCTTCCAGATTTGGCAGACAGTTGAGTAATAATGGAAGGGAACACTATTCAGACCTTCTCTCACAGACAGGTTTCAAGGGAGTCCAATCAAATTGACTGACAGAAGATTCAATTCTTCTTGGTGAAATAAGAAACACAGGCTCGGGAGACCTTCAAGCAGCAAATTTGCACTCTTGTGCCCTTTTATTTATAAATTATAAATTTTTATAAATTCTTAATATTTACAAATTTATACATTCTTTTATCTTCCTATCTTAGGAGACTCAAGATGAGCTTATCTGTGACTCACCATCTGTCCTATGCTCTTATATACAATCTACTTCCTTCCCGTTCTTCATGTAAATGGACTGGCCAAAGCTTTCTGAGAGGATGAGTATTATAATTAAGAAACAGAGTAGACAATAAGGCAAATGATAAATTTCACAAATAAACATGTAATAGAAACTTCAGCATTTTAACATGTAATAGAAAATATTGTTTATAATTTTATTCTGAGAACCTAGCATGTTCTTCTAAAAGTTTCAACCATTTTGGCATATCAATTTTTAAAATACGATTAGTGATGCATTTATTCGTAGTCTCAGGACTCAGAAAACCAAAAGAGACAATTAAAAAGTTCATTGTATTTCTCTAATGACCAGTGATGATGAGCTTTTTTTCATATGCTTGTTGGCCACATAAATGAGATACCATCTCACACCAGTTAGAATGGTGATCATTAAAAAGTCAAGAAACAACAGATGCTGTAGAGGATGTGGAGAAATAGGAATGCTTTTACACTGTTGGTGGGAGTGTAAATTAGTTCAACCATTGTGGAAGACAGTGTGGTGATTCCTCAAGGATCTAGAACCAGAAATACCATTTGACCCAGCAATCCCATTACTGGGTATATACCCAAAGGATTATAAATCATTCTACTGTAAAGACACATGCACACATATGTTTATTGCAGCACTATTCGCAACAGCAAAGACTTGGAACCAACCCAAATGCCCATTAATGATAGATTGGATAAAGAAAATGTGGCACATATACACCACATATACTATGGAGCCATAAAAAAGGATGAGTTCATGTCCTTTGCAGGGACATAGATGAAGCTGGAAACCATCATTATCAGCAAACTATCACAGGAACAGAAAACCAAACACCACATGTTCTCACTCATAAGTTGGAGTGGGAACTCATAAGTGGGAACAAAGAGAACACATGGACACAGGGAGGGGAACATCATACACTGTGGCCTGTTGGGTGTTGGGGGATGAAGGGCTAGGGGAGGGATAGCATTAGAAGAAATACCTAATGTAGATGACGGGTTGATGGGTGCAGCAAACCACCATGCCACGTGTATACCTATGTAACAAACCTGCATGTTCTGCACATGTATCTCAGAACTTAAAGTATAATTTAAAAAAAGTTCGTTGTATGCTTTGTTTTATGTGGTATTACACTAAACCTGCCAATCAAGAAACAAACACTCTTTTGTAGTCTCTTTTATTTACAAACAATTTTCCTGGTTAACTGTTAAAAATAACATTAACATATCTTCAGAGCAAGTACAGTACTCCTTCAAAAGCATGAAGCATAAAGCCAAAGGCAATTCAATAGGATACTATCCTCAAAATTTAGTCTTCCTTTGGTATGGGCACAGGGTAAGAAAATGCATGGCATTTGGCCCATCATACTCTTATACTTCCTCCATAGCAGACATCACTAATCAATCACAGTATTTTTTACTGCTAACCTCAGAGATCTGGCCTTGTAATACTTCCAAACACATCAGCCCTAACAGTCACCAAAATCTACTGGAGTTGGCATAAAACTATTTGCCATCCTAGGCTTTGTGATAGTCTACCAGAATTTGTAGAATCAATGGCTACTGTTCTGGTTCAGGTTTCCTATGTAAGGAAAACAAAATCAAACAAAATACAGCTACAGCAACTCAAATACACAATCCTTCCAGGAAGGATTCTTTGATAGTTCATTTAAAAACAAATCCTCAATTTTTCAATGGCTCAGAAGACTGCTGCAGACCATATGTGCTATACGTAGGTAATAATGGAACTGGAAGTACAGGGAAAAGTTCAAGCCTCAAACATAATTTACAGATGGGCAGAGCTGATTCAACTGTAAGGACCTGTATCAGATAGGTGACTGCTGCAATACTTGCTTTTCTTACTAATTGAAAAGTATATATGAAATTTGTCCAATACGCTGTAGGTAGGATAATGACTTAATATGATGAACTGCACTTTTTAATTGAAAGAACATTACGTGTATCATAAATCACAAAGGAAAACTACCACACTAATACGTGGCATTCTATACCTCATGTTCTAAAAACAAAATGTTCTATTTGGCTTGGGCCTCAAAATTCTTCATGTTCTAATTAGTCTTGAAGGCAACAGGGCTACTTTCTACAACTGTAACCATCATGCAACAAAAAGTGAGAGTCTGAAATATGATGTAAGGATTTTTTTCAAGTGAGCAAAAAATTGCTAAAAATATATTACAACAAATACGAATAGCTATAATTTGATATTATTTAAGTTAATATTTTATTTTGTAGAATAAAAATAATTTATGAAAATTGCAATGATCAAACACAATATTGAAGAACTATAATTTACTTATTTAGAAATAAATAAATGTAAGAAGTTGTTACAAGTGCTACCATTTGCAATATCTTCAATATACTTTCTTATACTAATTTTCAAATTACACATACTTAATATATATACAATGTTAGAATTGTTTTTCTGTATATTTGTATAATTTGTGTATGTGTGTATATATGTGTGTAATTTGAAAATCATATATGTCAACATATATATAGATAGATAGATATAGATAGATATAAAATCTGAAAGGCCATGCACTAGCAAGAAGATGACACTACTAGTGACTAGTTCTGGAACAATTAAACATGACAGTTTTTTAAAAATGAGCAAAACCACACACTGTAACACTTATGCCTAGGCGAGAACACCAGGTATCTCATCTTCACTATCAAGCAAATTATTTTAAAATTTCCCCCAAAACACATCATCCTTAAAGAATATGAACACCATCAACTGTTTAAAAATGTCTAATAAAGTAAAGATTCTATATAACAGACATCCTGATTACAAAAGCTAATAAAGAAAACATGTTTACAGTTCCTTAAAAGCATATGTAAAATCATGTTTAATATAATACTGCTTTAAATAGCTCACTCAGGTCTTTCTAAGGAATCTCTCAAGTAAACAATCATTTCAGGAAAATCTGAGGCCCTGAAGATCAGGAAAGAGCCTGAGGGCACAGTTGGGAAGCTCAGAAGAAGCTGCTAGGTCCACCCAGCTGCTGCTCTTTGGTGGGGAAAAGGCACTTTCAGAGACAACTCATTGTCTGGCACAGATTCTGCCTGCAAGATCGAAAGTACTTCCCTGGAATTGTGTCTCAGCCTGGCATTAGCACCCTGCTGCACAAACCACCTTGGTTTCACCCCATGGACTGGTTCTTTCCCACAGTGGTGAAATCTGACTCTCCAAGGGTTCTCTGAGGCTTGGCTTCACCCAGATCACACCTGAAGAGCAACTTGGTTTTCTTTCCCTCTACAGGGTGTTCATAGCTTCAGAGGGATTACTGCTACAAATGTACAAATTAACACAAAAGTTTTACTATCTAAATTTAAGTACTCATTTAGGTTTGTTAATTTTGTATAATCTTTTAAATTTTTAAGGTATTGTTTCAATGGTTGCCATCTTCAATCAGAGGAACTGAAACAAAAAAATTAAAATGAAAAATTTACTTTTTAAATCTGCAAAGCTAAATGAGTGTTGAAGAAATGTAAATGATTAAAATTCCAAAAAATTAGTTGCAAGTTTGTATCATTTACGGAACCGCACTACCAATTTGGGAACATCCTGTGTCTCCCATAACCTGGCGAATTTCTTTTGGATTCAAAGGTATTATTCCCTTCAAGTTAATGAATGTCCTTTGGGCAGCCTACATTTGTTGTTTTTCTCTTGAATTAAGATGAGTGTTTCATTAAAGGTATGGTTTTTGGGATTTTGAGAAATTATCTGATAGAGTATGGTTTTCTAAAATTAAGAAAAAAATTAAAATTCTTATTGTTATTGCCTTGCATTTGAGACAATTTTAACGTTCCTATTTGCTATTTGGACATCTCATTCAGGAATCTCAACTGAAGAAAATGATCTCATTATCTCAATCATGTGGACAAACATCATCAAATGCTTGCATTTGAACACTGGCCAATATATAAAAAGAGACATTGGGTATTTATGGTAGTGGTTTTCAAGATTTTTTTTTTTTTTTTTTACTGTAACCCCAGTCAGAATTCCATTTTGCAATCATGATCCAGGACATACATATAAAGGGGTGTGTGTGTGTGTGTGTGTGTGTGTGTGTGTGGTTTCACATTTTTTGGATGAAACAAATGTTTCAAATACATTTGATATACTCTAATACTTTTCTATTTTAGTCTGTTTACTTAAAACTTTTGTTGATCGTGACTTATTATGTTAATTCAAGGCCCACTAATGTGTTGGCAGGTAAGTCTGTAAAACAATAAACTAAGTATAATGGGTTAGTCAATACACAGCAGGGTTACTACATTAATCCTTTTATAGTTTGTTTTCTGCACTTTTTAAACTTCATTAGAAGTAGAAAAGTAGGAAGAGAACAAAAGTGCTTCTCAAACTCCAGAGTGAATCCAAACTCCAATGCAAATGAATCCCCTGGGGACCTTGTTTAAATGCAGATCCCGGGTTCAGCAGGTCTGGGCTGGAGCTCTAGATTCTGTATTTCTAATCAGCTCTTGGTGATGTGTATACTGCTGGTCTGGGGGCACCACACTCTTGAGAAACGAGGATATGGAAGTCAGTCTGAGGAGATTGAGAGGAACAGACCTAACAGAAATACAGAAATAACTGCATGGGACATTCCACTACTTTGTAGCTAACGCTGCCAAAGCAAGGGTCCTAACGCAGGATACGTACAGCACACACAAGGCAGCAAAAGAAGGCAACATCGGGTCAGTAGATCTCTCAGTGACACCGGCACCATCATAATCTTCTTCTCTGTGATCTTTATCCAATTTCCTTTCTCCATAACCTACACCCGCCCAAAAAAGTACAAGCAATGCAATCCTGTTTCTGACTGCTTGAAAGCTACTTAGGAATAGATTACCTGAATATGTGGACAGCTACTAGATCAGGCAAAGCAGAAACTGGTTACAGAAAACCAGCAAAAGAGGATCCAAACAAAGAGTGTGGAATATGTATTAACATTTTATTTAAGGAACTTAAACTGTGAAATTCACTTGTCAAAATGGTCTATGTTCCTAAAAATATGTCTTAATGTGAAGAAGTAAATCCTATCATTCAAAGCATCATTTCATAATTCTAAACGATATAGTTAGAATTACCAAACTAGGAAATGTTGAGCCAGTCATTGTAACTGTTTCTGGTACAATACTGGGTTTTTGTACTTTCAGTCTCCAGATTTTGGAGTATGCATATATTGATAAAATAAAAATATTTTTAGTTTTGAGGAAGCTATCTTTTATGTCATCATTTTTTGTAAGTATCTGGAGGGGCAGGGAATATGTTGTTCACTACTGTACCCAAGCATACCTCTGGCACATATTTGGTGCTGAATAAATATTTGATAACAAAAGAATGAATGGATGAACGTAATTTTAAAAATAACATGTTACATCTTACTATATACTTTATTAGCTAATTTGCCATAACATATTCACTTTATTGTACTGAGCAGAAACCTTTAAAAAGGAGGCAGAAGTGAAAAGTGGAATTCTCCAAATTACAATTGTTTACAATGCAGATGGGGAAAAAAGGAAGGAAAAGAAAAAAGAGATAGAGGAAGAGAGGGGAGAAGGATAGGAAGAGGCAGTGAGAGACAGAGTACAAGTGTAGGACAATGATTCGTAATTTCTGGGTGGAGTAGAATATTGGCCCACGGAGCAGGAGGTGTGTCAGAATCAACCGGAGAAAATGTTCCAATTTTCCGGATTTGGAAACATCTCCCCCTACCCCATGAGGGCGAAGATCATCATGATGAAAAAGCAGCTATAACTGATGAAAAGCTTAGGGGGTGGGGAGAGATTAAGAGGTAGAACTAAAGTCTAAACAGTGGTTTCCAACAGGGATGATTTTGCCCCCAAGAGGATACTAGGCAATGTCTAGAGAAATTTTTGATTGTCATAACTGTGGCAGGGGATAGGGGGAGCAGTGCTAATGAGATCCAGTAACTAGAAGCCAGAGATGCTGCTAAATATCCTATAATGCGGCCGGGCGCGGGGGTTAACGCCTGTAATCCCAGCACTTTGGGAGGCCAAGGTGGGAGGATCACGAGGTCAGGAGATCGAGACCATCCTGGCTAACACGGTGAAACCCCGTCTCTATTAAAAATACAAAAAAAAAATTTGCCTGGCGTGGTGGTGGGCGCCTGTAGTCCCAGCTACTCGGGAGGCTGAGGCAGGAGAATGGCGTGAACCTGGGAGGCGGGGCTAGCAGTGAGCTGAGATTGCGCCACCGCACTCCAGTCTGGGGGACAGAGCGAGACTCCGTCTCAAAAACAGACAAACAAATAAACAAACAAAAATTCCTAAAATATCCTATATTGCACAGGGCAGCCCCTCCGACCCCAACAAATTATGTGCTCTAAAATGTCAACAAGTCTGAGGCTGAGAAACCTTGCTCCAGGGGAACACGGGGGCATGGTAGAGACAAGAACAAGCTATTAGGAGAGAGAGCATGCACTCACCATGACCAGTAGGCTGTCTCAGGTGGAAAGTAAGGTCTTAGAGAATGAAGACAGTATGGGAGGAAGATGATGGGGCTGAGGAAGGCAGTGGGAGATCTGGCTGTGACTCCTGGTTCAAGGGATCCCTCTTTAGTAGATCCCAAATCAAATGCTGGTGTGGTCAGCTTAGTGTTCCAGCTAAACGCAGTTTGCCCCTCATGAGAACCATGCAAAAGTCCAAATGAGGCCAACAATCCTCAGGTGGAAGTCGGGGTTACAGGCTGCCCTGCTGGTAGATGCTGCTGGTGCCTCGACTATACTCCCATGGCACCACTTCAGCGCCCACCACCTTGTCTTCTGACTGCCAACACCTGCATTCCTTTGCCTGGAGGATTACTCTTGGCTGCCCAAGTGATAGTCCTGAAATGACAGGGAATCATTTGCCTCTGAAGGCAGTCCCCAACAAATGCCTGACAGATTTTGGTGAATAAATACCTACTCCCTTGCCTCTAGGATGGGTCAACCACAAGACAAGCATTCCATGCTGTATAAGAGTCCCCCAGTGTGACTAAGCTCCAGGTGCCCACAATGCTTAACTGATTTGATAATGCCCACTTTACTGGCTGCTGTCCCTTCCTGGCTCTTCCCCAATTTCCTACTGGTACTTTCTTTACCTCCCCCCTAAAAATCACTTGCACTTGAATTTTCATCTCAGAGTTTGCTTCTGGGGAGCCCAAACTGATGGTCAGTCTTTTGAAAGAATATTGCACTGGAAAGCACATGATCCTCAGGTTCCTCTGATGTAAGAGCTCTCTGGGTCCACAGTATCCCTTCCCTTAGGAGGGGCCTCAGGATTACTAGAGATTGGCCAATTTTTCCATCCCCAAAGTCCCAGGCACAGAATCCTCAGAGGACCCACTTCCTTCAGACCATTAGAAATACAACTTCAGGAACATTTCATTCTCTCCCATTGACAGAAGCAAAACCACATATTTTGCTCAAGGATGGCAGGGATCAAATGACTCTGGAGCACAAACATACTCCTTATTAGGGCCAATGTCCCTAAAGTCAAACTTGTACAAGAACTCTAATGAGTAACAACACTTGGCTCCAAGAAGGGACTCTTACTATAATTCTAAGAGGCAAAGAGGAAGAGTGACAACTGCCATGGTTCAAATGAAACTTGAATGAATTGCTGGTGGGGATTTAAAACCACAAAAGAGCCAAAATGAAACAGTTATTTCAAAACACTGCCAGACAATGAAGAGAAATGAATTGTATAATAAAATCCCTTCAGGGCAATGTCCAATCACTCATCCTCCATGTAATGGAATTCTGAGATGCTAAAAATCTTAAGAAATAAAAGGCCAAAGAAAGCCAGGCATTGTGAAAGCTGCCACAGGAGCTCTGTGTCCAGTGAGTTCCTCCTATCAGTGAAAAGAAAATTTAAAAAGCGATGGAGCTTGACACTTTCTGAACAGTCTCACAATATCATCCCTGCAGAAATTTGAACCTGTCACCTAAGGAAGTTATTGCTGCCATACAAGTTGAAGAATCAGGCTGCCAAGCTCTGGGTCTTTTTGCCGTAAGCCATTCTTAAGCAAGTTTCCTTACAAATCATCAGATTGTGGATTTTTGCTAGGTTTCATCTTTGCAGAGAACATCCACTTTGGGGCCATGATTCTTCCCAACTTAGTTGAGGAATTGAGAAGATCGTCTATCTCAGTTTTTATATGTGTGGATGCGTTTCTTTCTGTTTTTTTTTTTTTTTTTTTTTTTTTTTTACGGAAAAAGAAAACAGCAGAGCTTTTCTGCAGGACAACCTATTCCCTTATTTATAATGCAGGACAGCAGGGCCTTGTAAGTGTATATTCTGGTTCATCTGAGGACACGCGGTTGCTCATTTTAAAATTAGATTCATCCTAATTATATGAAAAGAGCTTGCATGTGGTTGGTCAAAACATCAGGAAAGTATTACTCAGCACGTACCTGCTGGGCTTGCCTTCTAACCTGCACTGAACTTGTTTAACACACAGTCCTTGCCCTCTTAGAACTTAAAATCTAGCAAAGAAATATCTCATTGACAAATAAGGGGTGTGGACACTGAATAGTGAAGAAATATAGATATATAGCAAGTGACTAGACATGTAATACTACCTGTGGACAAAGGGGTGAGGGAAAGTGTCATTGGAGTGGCATGTTTCAGTGGGGCAGAACCAGAGAGGATTTTAATCTCAATTCTAATTAATCAGGGCAGGATTTCAGGAGTTCCTTGAATAAAGGATATTGGGAAGTCAGACTGAAACATAAGTGGGGGAAAATATGCATTGGACTCCAAGGGACAAAAGTTTGAATATGGACCATAAAAAAAAAAAAAAAAAATCCAGAACAAGGGAATCCTGAGCAGGCTGGAATCCTGAGCAGGTAAGTGAGTGCCTATTATTATTACCTTTTGCAAACCCTGAGGGATCATTAACTTGGACAACTGACCACAGAACACACATCTTTGAGGCTGAAAAATACTAGGTCATCTATAAAACAGAGATTGTTATCAATAAACAGACAGTAACAATTTAAAACTAACTAAAGAATAACTTATGCAAAATGATCGAGTAAATTTGGAGTCTGACTTCTGGGTCTCTCTCTTTGATTTCCTGCCTTTTGGACAATCATGCTCCATACATCCAAGGTACAAGTTTACTCAACAAAATTAATTTTACTACTTCCGTAATAATGAAATAGTAATAAAATTGTTTTCCATGTATTGAGCACTCACCAGGTACTATGTCCTGGCTAAGCAGTTTATAGCCATTATCTCATGTAATTTCTTCCACAGTGCTGTGAAGTAAATACCAACATTCTTTCCCTTGCACAGATAGAGTGATTGAAGTTCAAAGAGATTAAACTTGCCAGAGACCATAGCTGGAAGGTGGCAAAGCCAGGCATCCAACTCAGTCTGCCTTTCAATGCAAGCATAGATACCTACCCTTCCCTTCAACACCACTTCCTGATTCATTCATTCATTCATTCATTCATTCGTTCTTTCTTTCTTTCTTTCTGTCTCCCTCTCTCTCTCTCTCTCTCTCTCTCTCTCTCTCTCCAATGTCCTAGCTCCCAACCAATCCAGGACACAGGACCCCCAGCTTCCACCCTCTCACAATACACTCAACCAATAAGAGAAGGGGGTTTCTCTTCCCTGCTCCGTGACAGGGCATTAAAATAGGACATAATTGGAGCCCACTGCTGTGCGATATGCTGAGTCCTAGAGACCTTAATCACAGACCACAAATACACTGGGGATTGACAGCATTATTTCTCACCTATTATGGAATATTAATAGTTGGCTAGATTCTGTACCTGAGCGACATTATCAGAATTAACTTCTTAATATTGCAAGTTTCCCTTATAAAAAATATTTAAACTCAGAAATAGGCTTGTGAAGTAGAAGACAGCCTTATTCAGTCAAATAGAAAGACACATACTGTTTATTTTTCTTTTATATGTTCTCTGCATGATACTTCTTATCATTGGTTAGTCTTATTTCTTAATAATCTAAAATGCATGTGTCTGTCCTTTGTGTCTTACTTCTTAAAATATTTAATAATAAAATAATAATGTTTTCAAAAAGGTAAAATATGCATAGTTAGAAGAAAAGATTTTCTTTGTTCTTTTTACTTACCTCACTTTTATTATTCATGTCCCTTATATTTCTTTCATTTCTATAGACCTGGCTGAGTATTTAATAAAACACACTTATAATTTGGGAAGAAAACAAGCAAATATTCTTTTGGATTAGAAAAGTGTGTGTCCCATTATAGTAAGAAATTATAGAGTAATTACTAGGTTAAATATTAGGAAAATTGGTATTTTTAAGTCAAGATATTATGTAAAGTCATTTATTTAAATAATCTAAAACTGTTATAAAATTATTCCACGAAAAATGGGTTCAGTACCTCTGTCAACATACCAAGAATCAGGTCTGGCCTTTGCTTTCTGACATCTCTATTTTAAATTTTAGTTCTCTTTAAAAAAAAAAAAACATGTTAATAATGTGCTGATAATGATATGAGGATTCATCAGCAAGTTCCCAACACTCTTTGCATACTATGAACTACACAGATTTATCAAGGAAATAAAAATGATGGTCAAAGACAAAAAGGTAAAACCAGGTCTAGCAAGGTTAAAGATGACCCCATAAGGGTGAGAAGGAAGTAAGGAAACAGAATTAGGTCAGATAGGAGGGTGGTATGGCACAAAAAGTAGAACTTAGTTACCTCATTGAATTAAAAAATAGTAGCATAGTGTAGCAAAGACAATTCACTGCTCACCAAATTCTTGCTCCCCTTTCCACAGTACAGACACATTGCTGAAAAGCAGCTTCCCAGTAGGAGCTATATTTCCCATCCCATCCCGCTTTATTTAGGTAGGGGACATGCGATTTGTTCTCACCAAGGGAATGTGAGCAAAGTGATTATGTGTTTCTTCCAAGCCAAGGTGGTTAAGAAGCCAGCATACTCTTCACTTTCTGGTTCCCCTTTCAGCGGTCTGATGCAATGAGCCCATGACCTCAGAGCCATGTCCTGAAGATGGAGGAGCCCAAGACCAGAGGAACCCCTGAATCACTGTGGAACAGAGCCATCAATCAATCAGGAACAGCAATTTTCAACTCACATGAGTGAAAAATAAACTTCCATTTGTTTGAGCTACTGTGCATTTTTTATTTTATTTTTGAGTGCAGATGGTGTTTTACTAACCAATATATCTGGCAAGAAAAAGAAAATGTCTCAATCACTTGAATTAATGATATAATTTACTTTTTCATGGAATTTGATAGAATCCCAGAGTTTTAACTCTAGAGTCCTGTCATCAAATTACAGTAGCTACTAGCCATAAGTGGCTATTAAGATGTGCTGCAAGTGTAAAATACACACCAGATATCAAAAGCTCTTTAGAAAGTAAAATATATTCTTAATATTTTTATATTGATTACATGTTAATAATATTCTAAATATATTAGGTAAAATAAAATATAGTATTGAACTTAACCTTACTGGTTGCTTTTCACTTGTCTATAATGTGGCTACTAGAAGAATTTAAACTACATATATGGCTCACGTTCTATTTCTATTAGACAGTGTTGGGCTACCAGGGGTTAATAAACTATAGCTCATCGCCTGTTTTGTAAACAAAATTTTATTGGCACACAGCCACACCATTTGTTCACATATTGTGTATGTCTGTTTTTGTACTACAATGGCAGACTTGAGAGTTTCAACAGAGACTGTGTGTCCTGAAAAGCTTAAAATATTTATGATATAGCCTGTTATAGATAATGTTTGCCAACCCCTGGGCTAAAGATAACTTTGGAATTATCTAATATACCTACAAGTATCATTTTATGACTAAAAATTAAAGCTCAGATCAGCCAAGAGACTTGTCCAGAATATTTTTATTCTTAATTAGGTGATATTTCCATAATGCCACCCATTCCTGCATTCATTCATTCATTCATTATCTTCATCCATTTCTAATCTGGATCATTAAAGAAATAAAATCCCCATCAGTTAGAAAATCACTTAACATTAAATACTGAAATGCTTCACACTAAATAATGAAACTCAACACGACAATGTCAATGCTATTTCAATGTAATCATATAGAAACACGTTCCTGTCAGACAGAGGAGCTATAGGCATGTACATACAATGGCAGAGAAACCCTTGAAGTAATATTCAACTATGAATAGGCTGTGAGATGGTCTTTAAATTAAGCTTCACTTGAAAACATTTTAAAGAGAATCTATCATGTAATCTGCTTTCAAATTAAACTTGAAATTCCCCCAAATGTAGAGCTAGCTTGCTAAAAATATTCATTATTGGAATTAAATTAGAAAAATTTTGCCACATCTCGGAGAAAGTGAAATCTGTTCCCAAAGACATCACAGCAATGTATAACTGCCTCAGCTCCAGCAGGCATCATCTCTCAGTGGACTATTCTAAGAGTCTCTAACTGGGCTCATCACCTCCAGTCTCTCACTCAAGACCTATCCCAAAGAACTCTTTTAAAATAAAAATCTGATTTGCTGAACATTCTTAAGTCTCTTCAAGCTATCAAGACAAAGTCAATCTTCCTTATTGTGCCCAGGAAGGTCCTCGCCATCTGGCTCCTGCCTGCTCCAATGGCCTCATTTATAGTCCTTTGCACATGAGTCAGGCTGGGCTCCTTACAATTTCCCAAATGCTTCATACTTTTACTTTCACTTCATAGGCATATCATATTTATTTCTGCCTAGAACCCTCCCACCCCTATGGGTTCCCACAATGTACATTGTACTTAACTATGTCATTGGACTTACAAATATTTTAATTGTCTGCTAAAGTATTAATGCTACCACTACTATAAATAGCTAATATTTAGAAATACTTGACTGTGACTCAAGCACTATATTATTTCATTTAATCTCCACATATGATAGATGAGGAAACTGAACACATGCAATGAAGCCAGGTGAAACCAGCATACAAATCCACACATTTCCCACTCCACGGCCCCAGTTCCAAACGTCTACACCAGCTGTTCTCAATAGGAGCAGTTTTGCCTCCCAGTAGACACCTGATAATATCTGGAGACATTTTTGATGGTCACAACTGGAGGGTTGGGGGAGCTATTGGCATCTAGTGGGTAGAAGCCAGCAATGCTGCTAAACATCCTGTAATATATACGACAGCCCTCCACAGCAAAGGATTATCTGGCCGCAAATGCCATAGCGTAGAGGAATTACCAGGCTCAAAACTCAAATAGTACCTCTGCTGAGAAACACTACTCTACACTAAATCACCTCCTGTAGATTGCCCCAGAAGATTCCGAGCATCTCATCCATACGACAAGAATTTTTAAATGCTCTACCATGGTGTCTTGGCACTTACCATCGTGTCTGGCACTTGGCAGATGTCCCATGCATTTGTGACCAACGGACAGACTCCAGAAGAAAAAAATTACTTATTATAAGGCTTGATTTTTGTGGCAACTTCAATAAAGATAAATTGAAACACATATTCTTAATCAATGATACATGAATGCATGTGCACCACATTCTAGTGCATGGCTTCACTTTAGCAATACCTTATGTTTATGAACCCATAGAGTGGGAGATAGATTAATAAGCCAGATGCCTAGGATCTTTTTCTCACAAGTCCTCAAGGAGATGAGATGCTTTTCAAATCCCTTATAACTGCTACATTACAGGACAAATGTATAGGTTTATCATCTACATAGGTCATAACTTAACTTGTTTCAAAAAATATTTTCTGTGTAAGGTTCCCTTGGTTCCTTTTTTTTTAAAGAAAAATAACACAAGACTAAACAACCTTATTCTATTCCCTGTTGCAGCTACAATTCAGATATAGGTACTTTATTCTAGATCTCCAGATGTTAGAAGTATAGCAGAAATTGCAGTGAAGCCTAGGTAAAATTTTAAAAGTAAACAGAAATACAGCAGAAATAAACCATTCTCCAGCTTATATAAATTAATACACCTAAACAGCAGAAAGAAAGTCAAGGAAAGATTATGATTATAATGTTTTCAAAGGGACAGAAATTTAGCAGGACTTTTGCATTCTTGCAAAACACTTCAACAACAGGCAGCATTAGCCAGTGTTGTATACAAGTTGCTAGGGGTTTGTGTGTGTGTGTGTGTGAAAAAGCAAAAAGGTTCTGTTGTGGTGCTAGATACTGGTCATTTGTCACTTTTTATGAACTGTATTAAAAGGTTAAAACATATGAGCCTGATTTTTAAAAAGTGTGATATAGTGAACTGTTCCTCACAACCTATTGTGCTGAACTTTTGCCACTTAAGGTTTTAGACACACAAGCACACACACACACACACACACACACAAATAAAATGGTGATCAAATGAATTTTGCTACCTGCTCTCCCCTTTCTTGGACATTTATAATGCATGCTAGTATAAAAATAGGCTCTGGAAACTTTTACAAGTTGTTAAACTCAAGATTTCCCAAACATAATTGAGCCTAGAGTAAAATAAACAAATACAGCAGTAAAAGAAGCAAAAAGTAATAATATAAGAAGAGGATCTGTCAACATATTCAGGAGCAAGTAGAAGGGACTGAAAACAATGACAGGGTTTGTGGCTTGGGACATCAGGGTGACTGTAGCATTTCTCACTGTGATTTAAAAGCTGAGCATGGGAATCACAGCAGAAGCCAGAGACAAGCAGTGCCTTTTCCACTGTATGTGAGAACATGACACACACTTGTCACAGAGACAGATTCTGCAAGTATGGACATGCCAGTTGTTAAGACATTTATGACTATAAGACAGAAATGTGCAAAAAGATGACCAAGCCCAAGAAACATTATGATTGCTATCATCAATCATTATTTTCTGAGCACCTGCTTTGTGTAGACATTGATGAAATCAGAAAAAACAGAATCCCAAGAGAAACAAATGGCAAAGGGAAGAAGTACATCTGAACCATCTTGAGAACCAAGGAACAACATGTCACAAGAGTTACAATACTCAACAGGTTCCTGAATGTCAGGATCATATATTATGCTACTAACACCATGACTATCTTGTCAACATTCCTCATCACAAACATTCCTGAGCCTCCAGGAGTCAAGTAAGTATATTCCCTAATAAAGAAGATATGCCTGCTTTCAGTCTACATTCCTTTGTCCACACTTTTGTTTTAATAAACTTGTCACTCATGACTTTCTTATAAATGCCTAAATTCTTGATCACAGAAGAGAAGCCATGACTCCCTGAAGACCCTCTTTGGGAAGTAGGAAGTTGAATGAGCAATTCAGTCCAGACCAATCCTTTCCTAATTGTGTATGCCTCGTCTGCAGTCCACTCTTAGAACACAGAGACATGTATGTATTGAGGTGTTTGTGCATGTGTGCATATGATATGAAATAAACTATAGATAGTATTTGTTAAAATAGGATTAGGAAAAATAAAAATTGGATAAAACATGCAGATCAGCAAGACAAACGTAAGTTGAGATATGTAAGCCACAAGTTTCTTCACTGTGATGAGTTGGACCATGAATTTGCCTTCTTTTTTTTTTTTTAATCTCTAAATCACGATTGTCTCAGCAGATCTGAGACAGATGTCAATGATTTGCACATTGTCCATTGTTCAGTAATTTTCAAATAACTAGAATAAAATAAGCTATTCAATACAATTCAATATATCTTAACTGCTAAAAGAATATACTTCAAGATCCTTCACTGCCTTAAATGAATGAGTAGTAACTGGAAAAATAGCTTTAATAGACAGAAGGCACTGTCTGACAAATAGCAAACAACTGTTTGCTTTTAGCACATAAAGTGGTAAGATGATATCACAGAGGGTTTTCGTTAAGTTCCTTTAAATTATTTTGCCATAAAAGATTTTTTAAATAAAAAATATTGCTTCTTAGAATAATTTTAAACATATCGATGGATGTTGGTCAATCAATAAAATCAACTGAATGATTTCAGTGGTGGTTCATGCCTGTAATCCCAGAACTTTGGGAGGCTGAGGTGGGCAGATCACGAGGTCAGGAGATCGAGACCATCCTGGCCAACATGGTGAAACCCTGTCCCTACTAAAATTACAAAAATTAGCTGGGTGTGGTGGCATGTGCCTGTAATTACGGCTAAGGCACAAGAATCCCTTGAACCTAGGAGGTGGAGGTTGCAGTGAGCCGAGGTTGCACCACTGTACTCCAGCCTGGCAACAGAGCAAGACTCTGTCGCAAAAAAAAAATAAGAAAAAAAAAAGATTTAAACCACTATACCAATATCATTTAATTTCTGGTAAGCACTGACCAGCAGACAGTACAAGATTATCACAGATTATCTTCTTGCAAAAGCCTCAAATGCAAGTATTCTGGGTTGCTACAGGTAGATCTGCCTTCTGTGCAAATTTAATGTGTCTGAGCAAGGGAGATGAGCCCTGTTATCAAGCACATCTACATCTATCAGAAACACTTTCCAGGGAGTATATCAGATTGTTAGGACTGACTGTCATGATGGAAAAGCTACAATATGGTTCTCAGGACAGTCAAGGTTCCTAGGTCCTAATTCCAGACTCCCCTGATTTGCTATTTGGAAAAGATCCTGAAGTTCACAGCAGAACTCAGTTTCTCAACTCAATAAAAATAGCACTGCACAAGAGCTGACAGTATATAAAGACTTCAAAGTCCTTTGAAATTAGGACAGTAGGGACCAAACAACATTAGCATTGAGCATAGATCACTATTCTAGCTGTCAGTTGGCCAGGTTCCTGAGAGGAAGATATGGAAATATATTACTTGTGACTCAGTGATTTGGATACTCCCCCCCACTTGTTTAAATGCCAAAATTGACTAACAAGTTTGGGAACTTAAATTGGAGAATGAACATTTTAAATCAGAAGCTCACCGGTCTAAATATATTCAACTCCCCTACTACTTGGATACAAGAGATTCTTGAGTGAATCTCACTGGAATTTACATTAATATACATGGGCTATAGAAATCACAAACAATCACCTCCTCAGATATAAAATAACTATTTTTAGGGGCCATATGAGAGACTCCAACAGGTATACTCATCTCATCACAATGGAGACAATTTCAGAATCCTTTTGTATTAATATGTTGTCTCATAGGTCACTGGGCTGCATGCTGAACTGAAAAATGGCTAGCAGAGCCAGGTACATAGTAGATACATAAATATTTGTAGACTGAATGAGGAATCAAATCAAAGAATCAGAATGACTTTAAATAAAACAAGGAGTTAACTTGCCATCCATTGCTCAACCAGCTTTGACACTAGAACAAGCCCTTCAAGCAAAACAGACAGCTGTGATCTGGACATATGATGCAATGCAGGCAGCAAACGTTCACTCTGGACAAATCCAAGTCCAAATATGACACTTAATACCAACCCAGAAGGGAAAGAGAAGCACTGCCTTTTCTACCCTTCCATTCATTCTTCCAACAGTGTTTCACCTGTGCCCATGTACCAAGCTCTTTGCTAGGCTATGGGGAGTCAAAGATGAATAAACCCACACATCGTGCCTCATCACAACTTAGAGGTGGGAACAGAAATGGAAACAAACTGCCCTGCAGGGTGATAAGAGCTATATAGACTAAAGCCCAAAGCATCAGGGGCCACATATTCAGGGGTGTTTATGGCCATAGGGTCATTTTCAAGTACCTCGTTGTCCTGTCCTCTCAAATTGCTCTAATCAAAAGTTGGCTGACACACTAGATATTTGGGAAAATTAGCTTACAGAGTGTGGTAACCACTCATTCCTCTAGGTTTCCTGAGCTTTATTTCTGCATTGGGATTCATCACCAGAATCTCCACTGATAGGCCATAGTAGCTCAGGCCCCCAACAATAAACATACTGGGTTACTTTTCATTATTATGTCTTCTGCAATTTTTTTCCATTCCAGAGTTGGTAACAAGACAAGATCATATAAAGAACCTCACTTCACTTTATGTAGAATTGAAGTTCAAGTATTATCCATGATATAATTTGATATTTCATACGAGTATATACTAGTTGGCAAGCACCATGGCAGGCACTCTACATGTGTCATCCTTACAAGTTTAATGCATGCCACCTCCAGACCCCCTTTTTTTCTGTTAACTTGGCTACTACTAAGAAGCTCAGAGCCAAATTAAATACTCTAAAGCAGTAAGCACTTAGGATTGTAGTTTAATTATCTTCCCTCCTCTACAAGATTTTGATCTTTCTTCCCCTCCCATTTTTAACAGTCTGATTTTGTGAAATTTTTACTATGCATTTACTCAGCACACTTATGAAAGTCAATACTCTAGACACAAAAACAAATCACCATAATCTTCAATTATAATTTCCTTTTGCTCTCAATTGGCAAGAGTTTCCATGAATAACTAATTTGAAGATGACTCCTTTGATATTATGCTCTGGTCACTTGAAAACTCAAATAATGCAATATTTCCCACCATCATTTGGTTCAGAATACTTTTATGAAGCGGCAAAAGAGGGCAAAAAGAGGCTGGCTGACTTAACTAATAACATATGATAACCATCAGGTTATTTTCAAAGCTATCACCAAGACCTATTTATTTCTATCTTGTGTTGGATCCTGACCATTACATTTTGCCCCCTCACCAACCACCACTTTTGCAGCCCAAATTGTACCACCATGCACTGGTTGGTCCACTTAGGGCTGCCATTGCCAGAGGCACTGCCAGGACCTGCTGAGTGAGAAGACACTGCCATCACCCAGTGAAGTCTAGTCCCTGGAATTTCACTCTTAGCACTGGCAATGCTTCTGGAACTCATAAAGATTCTGCTGAAATTCAGGGAGTTGAAGGTCAATGTCTTCCAGGGATCAAGGTAACATGTCAGAAAAATTCTGCTGCTGAGGATTTCCATGTATTCAAGGCAAATGCCCTTAGGAGGAACTCGCAGAAATAGCTCTTTGCATTGTCACTACACAGAATGGAAGACCAGCTTTTATTTCGAAAAGAAAGAGAGAGAGAGAAAAATAAAGAGTGAACCATATAAGCATGGAATGTGTGCAACACACACATACACATGCACACACAGAATAGATCTTGGCATGCCCAACTGGCACCCACTTAGGATGTGTAGTCAGGTATTTTTGAGAACATAATATTTGGACACAATCATTAATTTATTCACCAAAGAGTTATCCAGCACCTACTGTGTGCCAAGTATTGTTCTAGATGCTGGAAAATAAGAGTGAGTGAGGCAGTCAAGAGTCCTGTGCTCATGGATTCGATATTCTAGGCAAGGATACAGGCGATCAACAAGCATCAATTGAAATGAACAATTCAGATTGCAAATACAATAAAGGAAAGAAAAAGAAGAACAAAACAAACAAACAAAGAGAAAAACCAGTGTGATGGGTCTGAAAAGGAATGAGGGACCGCCTTTGCTCAAGTGGTCAGGGAAGGGCTTTCTAAGAAGGTGACACGTAATCTTACACTAGAATGAGAAGACCAGGGCGAAGAAACCAATCACCTTTACTCTGATTTCCATCAAAAAGATGGGCTTACTAAAAAAAGAAACATGCAATACCATTTGTGGCTCCACACAACTCATGCTTTAAACAACTGCAAAAACCCCAGGAGAGGAAAGGAATCCACAGCTTTCTCTGCTTTTAAGGCGATTTTAAGAAATCACCTTTCCCAAAGATAATGGATTAAAAAGTTGTCTTAATTCATCTCTAATTATGGCAGAATTTACTACAAAGAAACTGAAAGGAGATACATGGAATATTCATTCCTCTACATAATGTCAGTTGCTTTATGTAACAATATTCCAATGTCAATAAAAGTATACCTTTGCATTGTAATGCCAACAGGAATTATTTCACTTTAAAAAACCAGTTCTGTAGCTATACTCAGTATTATTTATTTTTCACTGGCTATAAAATAAAGCCAAACTGTATTTACTAGCAGATGGTCTCACTTCCAATATATAATAAACCTCTGAGATCAGGTAAAAATAGATTCTGTTAGTATTTCTTTAACATGCTCAAATTATAAATGATCGTTCACCAATGTCTTTGTATAAAACACTCCAAACAAATCACTTGGTACTGGATTTCTGTTTGACTCAATTAAAACACTTAGCCACCTGGCATGAAAACATCCTAAAAACATCAACTGCTTAAAATACTTTGCACTGAAACACGTTTTTCATTGTTTCCTAGCCTCTGACTGATTTCGGAATTAGAAAGAATTAAGCAGAAGTGAATTGGGGAGCAGGTCAGTCACTGAATATTCAGAATGAATCATGAACACGTTAAAATGCAATTTTTATTTCTTTGCAGTGCATTGCATGCTATACATTCTTACAATTTAAATAAGCATACTAAACTAAAGCCAAATAATGTGAAGATTGCCCAACAGGTCTACATTACCTAATACATTTATCATTATATAAACTGCTGTGCTTGATATTAATACACTGTGCAAGGAATGCTTAATTTCTTGAACTTCCACACAGGTCTTTAAAACTGAATCTCACTAGTACCCAAGACCAATAATGTGCTGAGGAAGAAGGTATTTCAAATATATTTACTGATTACACAGTGTTTGAATCTTCAAAAATTCTAAATTTATGTGGACAAAGGAGAATGGAGAATCTGAACTTGGCTGTTCATGCAAACTCTTTCCTTTCTTTGACTCACTTTATGAATTGTTATGTTTCTAGATCCTTCTTTTAAAATTTTCCATTTGGGGAAACTTGTACATTTAAAAAAAATTCATCTCATTTTCTCCCTCCCCCTCCTTAAAATAAATAAGAAGGCTTAAGAATTAACACTAATAATAATCCCACAATGGTCATTGGGAAATCCTCCCCCAAAGTGACAACTGCCGCTAAGAAGGGCAAAATCCACTAAGAATGAAAATTCCCCCAAATGAGTCCTTCTCCGAGGGGGTGGAGGTCACACAGTTGGCACAATTGGTATCACAACCAACTCGAGGAGACCCAGAGGAAGATGCTGCGCCAAGAGAAGCAAAGCGAAGGAGCGCGACCCAGGAGGCTAGCGAAATCCCCGCCAAGCCCCCAGGAGGCGGAGAGAAGCCCAGTCGCCAGGCACCGGCCACGGCGCACGCCAACATCCAGGATAATTCTCCTTTCCAAGCCCGGGAGTTCCGGGGCAGGCGAAAAAGGGGGGATGGGAGACCCACAGTCCCTTTAACCCTCCCCCCTGGCCTGCCAACCTTTTCCGAACCCCCATGTCACACAACTTCCTCATCATGGAAACTTCCACTGGGTTCGGCGCTGAGGATGCCAAACTCCATTTCACAAGGAACATGTCAACAGCTGGGCTTGGGGTTTGAGGAACAGAGCCGCTGCGATTGGAACAGAGCCCGGCCACCCTGTTCCACCACTGTCCACTCCGTAGCTCCCAGCCTGCCGCCGCGCGGTGCCCGAACACGAGAGGGCACCTCCTCCCAGATCCGGGGCGCAGAAGCCCCGCGGAGGCAGGTAATCAGGCTGATGACACCCCCACCACCCACGCTCACCCGCCTGCCCGCCCGCGCGCGCTCGGCTTAGCCGCCCGCACCCCTCCGGGTTCTTGCGACGCTCCGTCACCATCCCGCCCACCCTGTGGACAGTTGGAACTGTCGCCCCCTCCTCCTCTCACCCCGCTGCCTCCGCGCGGTCCTCTAGCCAAATTACCAGTGCCCTGGAGCCGGTTGGGTTGAGCGCCCCTGCCCGGGGAAGGTAGCCTGCGGGCTCTTGCCCCGAGCCCGCGGAGCAGGAGGTCTCTTTTCCAAGCGCACTCACATTATTCATGCAAAGTTAATCCCCGCCGCGTCACGGCCGCCCGCCCGAGGATGTGCGCCTTCCTTGGCCAAGCCCCGCAGTCTCCACCCTCCTCCGCCCCCTCCTCCCGGCGGCGGGGTCCCGGGGAGCGCCGGCGACTGGGCGTCGCGCGAGTCCTGCAAAATGTCAACTCCTTGGGCGAAGAGAGGCGGCCGCAGCCAGGGCCGCGCCGCACCTCCCCGGTCTCTCCACTTTTATAGGCGTAGGAAGCTACTGCGGCTGGGGCACCAGAGTCCCCGCCTCTCCGGGTCCCCCGCGTGCCCGGCCCGCCCCGGCCCGCTTCCCGGGCGCTGTCTTACTCCGGGCCCGGGGCGCCTGCTCCGCGCCGCGTCTGCGAACCGGTGACCTGGTTTCCCCTCCAGCCCTCACGGCTGTCCGACTTGCGCGGCGGTGGCGGCGGCGGCCAAGAGCAGGCAAACCCGGCTCCGCCAGGGGCGCAGCGAGGAAATGGCCTCCTGGCGCACACCCCGCCGCCGCCGCCAGCCATCGCCACCGCCCCGGGCTGCCCAGCCGGTACAGACGCCCCCTGCCAGGCTCCGGGCCAGCGCTCCGACGCGCTCACAGCGCCCGGCTTGCCGACCCCGACCCCGACCCCGAGTCCTACGCACTCGAGGTCCCCGGGCCGGCCGCCTCCGCACCTGCCTCCCCAGGTGTGGGCGCTCCCCCTCCTCCTAATCCCGGCCGTGCCCTCCCAGGGTTGGTGACGGTGCTGTGGGTTTGGTGGCCGCGCGTCCACCCACCCGATTGCCTGCGCGCATAGGTGCGGGTTTGGGCGTCATTACTCTAGTTGGAGAAGAGGAAAGAATGGGGAACGAGTGACACCGGGACCGGAGGGCGAGTCTTCCAGGAGCACGTCTCGGCCTTCTTTGCCCGGCCCGACCGGCCCGACCCGTGCCGCAGCGCTCCTCCCTCCGCTCCTAAACCACTTGTGGCGCGTGTCGGGAATACAGGGCGCTCTGGCTCTTCTTGGGGCCTCCGCTGGTCCGACCATCTGGCAGCTCTCTTAACCACCACGGCCACCCCACGAATGGAAGTTTGGGACGTGCCTGGGTTGCCCTTAAGGAGGACACCCCCGCCCCCACCGCCATTATGCATATCGTGGGAGAGGCGCGTACAGGGCTGAGACACTCCTCAGGTCCCAGAACGGCCGCCCTATTAATTTGTCTTTGCCCTGGAAATGTATAGATAAAACCAGGAAGACAAAAATAATGTATACTCTTCAAGAGATCTTTCCCGGGCAAATATAGGTCTCTCAAATGCCCCCGACCTTAAGTCCTGGAGACCAGGAAGAGACTTGCTTTCTGAGCTAGAAGGATACTTGGGAAATACCGAGTCCTCACTCAGCTAAAAGGTAGTCAATAAGGAACTATAGTTGCAACAAAACTACTTTGACAACAGAGTACAATTAATTTCTTATAGACAGTATTAAAATAATTCCGACATCATAATTTAATATTCACATCTATTCGTGTAACACGCAGTATAATAGAGTTATGACGATATGGATCCTCAGCTGCCTGACAATGTATAGGTTATTTATTGGAAGGTTCTCTAGATTTCCAGCCAGTGACATGTATGTTTTATTCTCGCTTCTTCTGAGCGTCCCAGGGAAAGGGGTGAGAGGCCCCCCACCCCTGCTGACAGCATTAACAACCACCCCGCTGGATAAGCAGGGTTTCACTGATGCACTTTTAAGAAAGTTGCAGGCCCCAGAGACCCCATTTCCCTTTGGTCCTCGGTGAGAAGTCCGTGCTTTCTTCTCTACTCTTAATAAGTCTGCACCATAGGACTTGCAGGCTTCTGTAGTTGGAGAGCTGTTCTCCTTTGCAGGGAAGTTCCTGGGCTTTGCTCCAAAGCTGCCCCGGAATGTTTTGGTTGGTTTGGAGAAAAGCTGTGGCGTCTACACCACTTGTTCCAAGCAGGCGGCCCCCTGGTGGCTAACGGGGGGTGAGAAAGCTGGCCACTGAGGAAGAAGTCTGGCGCAGGTAGGCCCCAACAGTTGACAACCTAGTCTTCGGGTCTTCTTCACAGCGTGTGAACAGCTTAGTATTACCGCGGGGGGGCGGGAGGGGGTTGGGGGGTGGTGAGGTGAAGCAAATCTTCCTTCAACACGGTGGATCATGGGCTTCTCGGCCTACTGGAACTTTTAATTTTTTTCTCTTCCTGAGTATAACTTGGAGCTAAATTATTTAAGAAGGAGACATACAGAGGACAAAATGAAATGTAACAAAAACTGTTGCTTCTCTTTGTTCAAGGGCTTTGTCTTTCTGATCTCATTTTGCCCAGAAAATTCAGAAATGAGCCAATTAAAGCATGAAATAAATAAAGGGCGTGGCATTATTCAAACAATCCATGAGACTGTGGTAGTAACAATGTTCTACAACAATGGGGGAGGGCAGTTTTACTGCAATGTTAATGATAACGTGAACTACTAGGGTTCCATTTTGAACAGGACCTCTGAGGGCTGTCCTACAGGCTGCATGATGATGGTAAAGAAGGGTTACCAAGAGATCATGTCATTTATTTTTCTGGTTTTACACAAGGTAGGACAATGGAGGAGAATGTCATGATGACTTGATTGAAGGAAGAACATTTATTCAAACTTTAGATTATGTGGTCATGTGTTCCAGCTGACTTGAGAGGGCACACCAAGGCTGTTTCCAGGACCCATTCCCATATTTCACCATAGACATCCTCATTACCAGGATCTATACCTTTAAGCTGATGACTCAGTTCAAGAAAGCAATTCATTCATATATTTATTTATTTAGCAACTACTGGTGTAAGAAAATGAATGAAACAGAACCTCATAGGGCTCGGATTGGGCAGAAGTGAGTGAGGCCAGTGATACAAGTGCAGGGTCTGAGCCTGCCTTTATTTAAAATTTTGATGTATTGTTCATCATGAATAATTGTTGCATTAATTTTGATTTTTAAAATAGTGCATTAAAATATTTCTCCTGATTTACTGAGGCTTTTTTTTTTTTCTTTTTTGGCATCCCCTTAAATTTCACACCAGGGATGAGTGCCTCACTTGCCTAAACCTAGTCCCTGCCCTGCTATGCCCTCAGTGTTACCAGAGTCTTTTCAGAGAAGCAAAGTTCAAGTTAGAATGTCCTAGATGTCAAAGATAATTAATATATAGTGAAGGATTTGGGGTCAGGGAGTTAGAGACGTGGGCGTGAGGGGAGGGAAAAATCAGGGAAGATTTCATGGAAAATGGTGGCACTTGAACCAATCCATCAAAGATGGACCACATTTTGCCAGGGAGTATTGGGACTGGAACCCCTGGTATTGTTTTGCTTATTCAGCTACTTCTCAAGCTGGCTGTGCAGCCACCTGACCTAGCCCTGGAGATTCTGCTTCTGTCTGTTCATTGTTAGTTCTTGGAACTTATTTTTTCTATGAGGGCTCCAGTGATTCTGGTCCATAGCAGCTGGGTAAGAACTCCAACCCTTCAGGAAAGACAGCTTCTTGGGGAAGATGACAGGGTCAAAATTATCTAATTCAAGTACACTCTAATTCACAGCACAAAACTAACTTTTTTATTTCATATCTTGATATATGCCCGTTTTTACCAACACTCTGCCTTTGGCTTACTTTTGAATAAAGGAGACCAGAAAGGAAAAGGAACTATAGGTTGCCTTATCTTTCTCTTTCCTTCTATGTCATCATTTTCAAACTAAGTGGTTACAGAGAAGTATTAACATAAGAAAAGACAGAGAAAGTTTCCTTGGTTGTTACCTTCTTTTTGCATTCAAATCAGGCTTTGGTTGGAATGGAAAGCGTGGCAAACCCCATTTTGGGGTTGTCAGTGTCCTCACTTAGTCATTGATGTGACATGCTTACCTCATACTCAATTTGAGTTTTGCAGAACTCCCACACATTGTGTGCCCACAGGGATTCTGTGCTTATGGGGCAACAAGAATGCTATGTGTGAGTGGAACAAGTAAAGAATGGCAGCAGCTATGCATGTTATCTGTATTTCCTCTGTTCATGCACATGCTCCATTGTCCCATCAGCCTTCATTTACAAAACAAAAGTTCAAAGATAAAATTATTAGGAATTTCATTACGGTGACAACAGAGCATTAAATGAAGTGCCAGGCCTCAAGCACCAAGCCCTTCCCAGCATGGGTTGTATGCAGCTGTCCAGATCACATGCCCATGAAGCTGGCCATGGGGAAAAAACTTGATCCTTTATTGTGGTAGAAGCATAGGGCATGTTGGAGATGCAGTAGACATGCTGGCATGGCTGGTTATAGCAAGGAGTACATAACATAGCTAACATGTATTAGACATGTATTATGTTTTACGTACTGTCCTAAATATTTCATACATCTTTTAAAGTTTGCCAGAGGACCCTGTGAAACAGTATTATTATGTACTTCATTTTCCAGATGTTAAAAATTAGGAAGATCAAATAATCTGCTCAAGCTCAGGCCTGGGTACTGGGTGACAGAGGGTATACTCTTAACCAGCTCATCATGCTACCTGCATGCAACACAAGGAGTTATTGGATAGGCACATGAGGCTGGAAAAGGTGAGCATGTTCTGGCAGTCATGAGACATCTCTCTAGCCCTTCATTTAAGGAACTACTGTGCACCGGGACGATCAGAAGAGCCCTAAAGAAAACATGTTATGTCATTGGCTAGAAAACTCCCTAATCACATTCTCTTACCTTGTTTTCCAACTACAGGTAGAAGATTCTGAGGCCCTGGGCGGGAACTAGTAAGCCACAATCTGGAAGAGTCTTTTACCACCATGTGGAGGAGAACTAGAGCACTCATGTTGAACTATTACCGAGAAAAGTAATCAACTTCTTTTGTGTTAAGTCACTGAAAGGCAAGTGTTGATTTGTTGCAGTAATTGGTGCTCCCTTAACACACCTGTCAGCCGGGCCAAACTCTATCACAGCATAAATAATCTTTTCCTTAAATAAATACAGGTAAAAGAATAAAGTAGACCTAAATGCATTAATATGAATATAGGCTCAAAGCAAAATGTTGGGCTATAAATGTTCAGAGTGATAATTTTTTAAGTTGATGTGTAATTTAGTACAGTAAAATAGATAAAACCTAAATGTTCAGTTCAATGAATTTTTACATGTTCATGCCCCTGTATAATCACCTCCCAGAACAACATAGAAAATACTTCATATAAATGGAATCATACAGTGTGTTTTCTCTTGTGTCTGGTTTCTTTCACTCAATGTTTTTGAGGTGAATCCACATTATTGTGTGGATTAGAAAGTTGTTCTCTTAAAATTTCTGTTTGACATTACGTTATATGAATATGCCACAATTTGTTTATTCATTCTCCAATTGATGGACATTTGGGTTGTTTCCAATTTGGGACTATGACAAATGAAGCAGCTATGAACATTCTTGAACAATTATTTTTGTGGTACACGCACTCATATCTCCTGGGCATATGCATAGGAGTGAAATTGATGGTCATATATTTATCTGAGTTATTCTATTAAAGCTCAAAATGATCAATATTCAAAACTACCGTTGCCTTATGTAGCAATTACAAGCTCTGCCTGCAGCTGCAAATCATTTTTATGAACTAAGCTACATATTAAAGCCTATGTAAAAATGAAGATGCTGATAAATTAAAGTATATCAAGAAAAAGGTGAATGGCTGAAAGGAAGGTAAGAATACCAAAACATTTCCAGATTAAATCTTACTTTTCAGCTGTTTGAAAGATAGGTTTAAGACATGCTGAGTAATTGCTAATTGGACTGTAATAACCTATGTTCACTGTGAGTGCACAGAAGTACAGTATATTGTTAAATTCTTTGTCAATCACAAAAGAAATCTAGTGGTTCAAGACACATCTTCCCAAAACATGCCAATTCAGTGTCCTTCCTTTTTGAGTTATGCTTATATGCATCAAAAATGGAAATGTAATTGTTAAATATTTGGGGAAAATATCCTTTTTTAAAGGAAGGGAATGAGGTAAATCTTACTCATTTTCATGGAATAAACTTTAATATATCTAGATATAACAACACATATAATAAAATGCTATGATTATGGGCTATTTTCAGATCCTTAAAATCCCTGAATGAGTCATATCTGAAGTGACAGTCATAACTTCAGATTTGCTTGCCTTTGTCAGTTATTTTAAATGAAATTCTCAATTTGAGGGCAAGATGGGTCTTAGTGACACCTCCTATTTTCATATATTATAGCTCTCTTTCACAAATAAACTTGCCTTATCCTGTTTACAAAGTATTGCGTAAAATGCTAGTCATAGCTCCTACAAACACAACTGTAGAACATATTTTGAACTTCTATAAATGATACATTTGAGGCAAACAAATCTACAGCTAGTACAAGAAAGGATTGAGTTTTCATTATGCAGATTTAGAACAAAACCCTGCAATGTAGTTCATGCCAGATAATGAATAACAATAATTTGAGTTCCAGGTTTGCGTCCTTTCTAATCATGTGATTTGAGCATGTTACTTAGCTTCTCTAAGCCTCAGTTTCCACAACTGTAGAAATGAAGAAAACCATTGTACCTACCTGATAGGGATGGTATGAGGAATCTGTGGTAATAGATGGATAATGCTACACACGGTGCCTGGCACACAGTAGGTGGCTCATTAATGTGATCCATCATTATTATTTTGGAAAAATATAATTTATGGTATTTGAAAACACAAAAATGGCAAAGGCAAAATTTTTATCTTGAAAGATACTTTTTTCCTAAATCAATTATTCAATAAATATTTACAAATATTTGTAACAATACAACTGCCTACTACCTGGGCAGACAATTCTAGGCTGTCGAGAGAGAAGAGTGGGCGAGAAAATAAAAATCTTTCACGTTGTGGTGCTTACTTATTGAACAGGATGCAAATTCTTTGAAAGAGAAGGAGCACTCCTATCTTTGGCAAGGATTGAGCACAAACCCAAACACATGGCTGAATTCAGACTTGCAGAAATAATGTCTCTGGAGACAGACTCTTTTGCCCGTCCATGAGTTCAAGCCCTTAACAGTGTTTTTTTGGAGGAAATAACTCAGTTCTTAGAGAGAACTTTTAGTGAATATTTTCCCTGTAGCATTTCCTAACCGCTACTAATCTCTTAAGTTTGAATGCCCTTCTCTAACATCCAGCTTCGAGAATGCCAGGAATATTTTTTTCTTCCAATACAGGAGAAACTATTGTAGAGTCATCTAGAGATTTCCAAATGTTGGATTTGGAGCCAATCTGATTTGAGCCATGCTCATAATTGTGTGCCCTTGCCTTTGTCATTTCTTCCCTGGTTCTCCTGTACACATGCATAAATGCAAGGACCAAGTAATGCCTAAAATCTGTCTCAGCTCTTACATTCTAAAAGTCAGTGCAATTCTACCCCCATTAATGATCAGATAAAGATCTTTATTTTCTGGAGTGCTCCCTATTCCTTCTTAACAATATTTTTGTGTTCATTATTAGCTAAATGAAGACACTTGGGAATGTATGGATTTAAGTTCCATTCCTAAAGGCAGCTTCTTTTGGGAAGGCAGAAAAGCAGCTTTTTTGTTTTTCTGATGATTTTAATGCATTTTTTATTAGGCAGGTAAGTCAAATGACAGGATGATTTTATTCATTAGTTTGGATAAACCACAGCTTGAATTTACCATCACTTTTGCTTTAATTAATTTAAATCAAAATTAATTTAATTTAAAGCAAAAGGTTGACCATCACTTTTGCTTTAATTAATGGCCAGAGGATCTGTAAATTCAGGTCATAAAATGTTCTTTGCTGGTATTTCTTTCAATGATTCCTACTCATTCTTATACCCATTCATGAAATTTGAAATATCATACATAATAAAGTATGATCCTTCATATAAAGACATTTGAGATTTCTGAAGGTGATGATGGACATTTTCTCTAGCTTACTTTTCTTTAACCCCTTTATCTATGACCATAAAAGAAATGATATTGATTCACACTGTTGGATTGATTGACATGAACATGTCCCTGCCAGGAAGTGTCTCACTCTTATCATTTGTATGCCTCCTCCTGGATTCTTCCTCTAGGCCTCAATGTGGTATCTGAAAAAAGGCTCTGTGGCTGCTGAGGTTAGAGGAAACACAGGCAGTGAGAATTGATGTTGAGTCAGTCACATTATTGCCGTAAGATCCATTAGCTAACTTCCTTGTGCCCCAGCTTTTTTTTTTTTTAACCTATAAAATGAAGAGATTCCCCCTTGCTAAGGAGATTAACTAAAATCATAGTTTTAAAATGTTCAGCAAATTGCCTGGATCTTGGGTGATCAGTAAAAATTAGTTTTCCTTTTCTTCTCACAAAGTTTCTTTTCCTTTACTTCTTTCTGAGTAAAGCCATGCAGTTTTATGATTGATGGCAAAAATAAAGTGCACCTAAGAGACAGGCAGAGACCTGAGACCAAATTTCCTCAAGAGAGGCAGTGATGGGAAGATTATGAGCTTGTCTCCAATCCCCTGCTCCATGATTTACCACATACTTGCAAGAGCTTGGGAAAATCAGGTTGCCTATCCAAAGAAAGACCACGTGAAGAGAAACAAAAAGAAATGTTTGCTGAGTGTTCATTTCTCTGAGTCTGTTTTCTCATCTGTAGTATGGGTAGATAGTTTCTGTCTTTCCTGCATGAGGAAATTATATTATGAAGATCTAATGAGGTAAAGAATGTGAAAAACATCTCCCAAATGTAGACATTCTAAAAAACATAATCCATTTTTATCTGGGAAAACCCACAAATACAAAAGGAGCGACATTGAAATAATGTGTCTTAACCTGAAAAATCACAGATCCTCCTACAAACCAGAAGCAAGACTGTGAATTTAAGTTACACCAGTTTTGGTGTCAGAATCGAAACCAGTAGACCTCAACAAGTGAAATGTGACAGATGAGCAGTTTCCTCTTATGAGTTTTGGCCACTAACTTAACCCAAATTCCTTAATTCTCAAAGTTCCCTTTTAAGAAAAAAGAAAAAAAAACTGTTTCTAAATGTGAGTCAGGAAAATAATTCAGCTGAAAGCTGGACCCTGGACCCTAGTAGGTGCTATAAGCCATAACTCATGAAAGATAGTCACTCATAATTCATGCTGTAATGGGTGACAAGGACTATGGCTCGCTAACATAGCAATGGGTATTAAGAAAACCAGTCCTTGCTATTCCTCCAGCACAAGTTCAATTCTGCCTCAGGACCTTTGCACACACTGTGCTCTCTACTGTAGCTGTCTTCCCAGGTTCTCACGTGGCTTCTCCCTCACTTCAGTGAGGTCTCTGATGATCAGAGAGGCCTTACCTTACCATTTTATCCAATAGAACAACCTCTTATCATTCTTTAGCCCACTGGTTATCCAAACATGGTCCTCCCTCTAGCAGTATCAGCATCACCTGGGAATTTGTTTGAAATGAAAATTCTAATTCCCTACTTAAGAACACTGAATCAGAAACCTTGGGGGATGGGGCCTAGAAATCTGGATTTTAACAAATCTTCCATGTGATTCTGATGCAAGCTGAAGTTTAAGAACCACTACTTTAGCCCTTTACTCTGTTTTACTACACAGTCCTTATTACCAGCTGACATTATATTAGCTATTTGTTTCTTCTCAGATTTATTGTCCAGCTCTACTGCTGGAATACAAGCTCTGTATTGGAGCTTAATTATGAGAGGGTATGTAGAGTCACTATATTAAAGACTATATTAGAGGATAAAGACTTGTTCATTAAGGTATCCCTAACACTCTTCAAAATAGTACCTGGCATAATGGTGGCCCTCAAAAAGGATTTTGAGCTGAATTAATGATTTGCCACTGCAGCATTGATACAGCCCATCAGAAACAAAATATAATGCAGAACATGAGTATCGATGCAGCATCTAAATTTCTATCTAGGTGACAGGAACAGATGACCTAGAAGGCTTTCAGGGCAGAAATTCTATTTTTCATTTTATCAAATTTTACCAAGTTAGATTTGTTAAAGGTCCTGCAGTTTGCAAATGCTACACTTAGGGCCAGGACCCAAATCTCCAAGTTCTTGTACAGACCATTTACCATTATATTCAGAGTAGGGTTTCAGCAATGACTATAATGTTAAGAGCATGATGCCAAGAGGTCATGACATCATGGAAAAATGATGTCACATACTGACAAGTTGGGGCTTACCTTCATTTGATGTCACAAACATAGGGAAAAACAGACTGTGGCCAAATTATACAGTGTATATGTGCATAGAACAATTGTGCAGGGTGTAGTCATCTTATCACAGAAAAGGGAAGGACACATGCTTTGATAATCTCAGTACAGTTGAGAGTCAATACACCTTGAGTTGGTAGTTTGGGAAAGATGGGGCTTTAACATATTTTCAGCAGTTTTGTATGTGTGTGTGTGTGTGTGTGTGTGTGTGTGTGTGTTTATTTACTTTGTGGATTCTTATTATCTTTAATTTGCTAATTTGTTTTGCAAATCTCTAAGTTGAAAATGCTTTAGAATGCAGTGATTCCCAAGCTTTGGATCAGAAAGTCCCTTTTTATACCTTAAACATCCTTAGGAAACTAGTGAGTTCCACAGACACTGCTGAACTCACACAATTTATAGACATTTGACTTGCCTCCTTGAGAAAACAGGCAGTAATATGCTATCTGTGACTGTTACCAGTTAGCTTTTGCTGCATAACAAAACCACTCCAAAAATTAGTAGCTTAAAATGGAAATCACTTGTTTTTCATGAATCTGTAAGTGAGCTAGACAGTTCATTAATTTGAGATTGGAAAATCTATGGTCATCTCACTTACATGTCTGGTAGTTGGCAGACCGGTCAGCCTTGGGGGCCCTCAGCTGGAATAGATCAGCTTTTTTCCTCATTGTCTTTTATCTTCCAGCAGAGTAGTCAGGGATTCTTCACACAGTGGCCTCAGGGCCCAAATATCAGCAAGAGAGTGAGCTCTAAAGAAAATGTACTATTCAAGTCTCTGCTTATGTCACATTTACTAAAGTTCTATTGGCTGAAGCAAGCCACATGTAGAATGTCCAGCTTCAAGAGAAGGAAAGATAGGCTCCACCTCTTCAGGGAAAGATCTGCAACGTCATGTTGCTAGGATATGTTTAGAGGCAGAAGCCAAACATCTGGCTTGAGAAGTTTAAATGAGAGCAACCATAGGCCCCTTTTATTCCTCTCTTGGAATTGAGTAACATCTTCAAGGGGGTTCTCGACTGTCGCTGGTTCTTTGCTCAGCTTAAGGGATTCATCACTATACCAGGAATTTTTCTGTCTCAAGATTAGCCATAGTGCTTCAGAGATTGGTACAAAAAGCTAAGAGCAAAGGCCTCTGTGTATGTGGAGTTGTGAAGTGGTCTTGGAAAAATGATGTCACATACTGACAGATTGGGGCTTACCTTCATTTGATGTCACAAACATAGGGAAAAATAGACTGCGGCCAAATTATACAGTGCATATGTGCATAGAACAATTGTGCAGGGTGTAGTCACCTTATCACAGAAAAGGAAAGGACACATGTTTTGATAATCTCAGTACAGTTGACAGTCAATACACCTTGAGCGGGTAGCTTTTATCTCACCCACACAACGTTTATTGAGGGCAAAGTGTCAGATGCCAGGGTCTGAAAATGTCATGGTAAAGAAAGCAAAATTATCTCTTCCTTTGTGGGCCTTTGAGTCAAATGAGATAGAAATACAACTAAATGTATATCAAGACAGCCTGGGCGACAGAGTGAGACTCTGTCTAAAAAAAAAAGTATATCAAGAGACATATAAAGATACATATGTACATATATAATATATATATATATATATATATATATATATATATATATAAATGGAGGAAAAAAGAATGTGATAGATAAGGTAATGTATGAAGGTATTTAATTTACATGAAATAGTCATGGAAGGCCTCTCTGAGAAAGTAACATTTCAGTTAGGAGTCAAGGTATGAATAGAATATATTATTATATATTTGGTATATATATTAACAATATATCATTTATATATTGTCCATATATGTGATATATATTAATGATTAATATATGATTATACATTATATATAATGTGTATATATACACACATGTATACATATACATTATATATAATGTGTATATATACACACGTGTATACATATACATTATATATAATGTGTATATATACACACATGTATACATATACATTATATATAATGTGTATATATACACATGTGTATACATATACATTATACATACACACATATATAAATACACACACAAACACACACACATACACACACTTATATAAATGAAATAGAAACTGGGAGTAAATCAGAAAGGATAGACTAAAGCAACAGGTAACATGTAATTAAATCATGAGAGAATACACCAGAATGTGGCCTGAAAAAGAAGAGAACTAACATTCAAATCATTGTGAAAAATATAAAACCCTTTATCCTGAAGCCCCATCAATGTTTCCCCATTTTTTCCCTTTATCATATTGCTGGATTTGAGTGAAACATAGTTTAGAAGAACATCTGCTTTAAATTATCATTCTGTTCTAGAGGCTGTGATCTCTAAGCCGAATAAAATGTGGAAGGATTGCATAGACTCTGTCAAGTTAAAGATCACATTTAACCATTAGTTGATGCACTATTGGAAAAGGGGAGAACACATTTCATGGTGTTTGGTGATGCCACATTCAGATTTTACAGTTTATTAAAGTTAGGAATAACAAATACAACAATGTTTAGAATGAACACATGGTCATGATTCACTGTAATGTAATAGTCCACCCATGTGTACTTCCTAATGACATGCGGAACACAAAGGAACAAAACGTTTCCTCTCTTCTTGTACCCTAGGTGGAGTTCCTCCTTTAGGGTTGCTTTATTTCCACCTTTGAAAAGGATCTTGATCCAGTGTGTAAAGTTCAGACTGCCTCCCTCATTTTCATTTGTATTTGTATTGAAAACAGTTGTAGGCCCAGGTTTCTCAGTCTTAGCACTATTGACATTCTGGGCTGGGTAATTCCTTATTGTGAGCACTGTGTTTTGCACTGCAGGAAGTTGAGCAGCACCCCTGGTCTCGACCCACTAGATACCAGTAGAACACACTTCCCCTGACCCCCTCAGGTTGAGGCAACCAAAAATGTCTCCACAAATGTCCCCAGGGGCCAGAATCATCCCCAGTTGAGAACTTTCTGTTCTACCTTCCGCTGTCAGAAAATTTGAATTTTGTTGCTGCTGCTTAAATAATTTTCTAGATTAAGAATCTGCTGTCTGGCATGTTTTAGCACCTTATAGAGAATAGAGAAAAACATGGAGCTTATTAATAACATATGTTACTTAATACATTTCTATCCTAAAACAATTCAAATCAGAACCTTAATGTTTTCCTCAAAATAGATGAAAAGAAAAAAATTCTGAAGCATGACATTTCAAGTAATATATTTCTCACAAATTGCCCAATAGACAGAAATAAATGTACCAAAAATAAGGTTATTTTTACAAATATTGCTGCAAAGAAAAAAAAAGCACATTTACTAATTATGAATCATCTACAATTCTTATGTTGGCAGTTAGTCCCCAGAAATGTAGCAAAGGAAACTGATAATCTAGGAAACACACAGTACCCCTAGAATACATCTGAATATTTTATAGTATCACCTTGCTCCCTTATATGGAAGTCTCTGAATAGAGAGCCAGTGTATTTAAATTTGTAACTCTATACTTCTTCCTCCCTCACCCACATGATACTCTATTACTCAGTGGAAACATTGCAACATAAAACAATTCATCTTTTCAGAATACATCAGCACTTAAAATAGTGTGATCAGATTGAAAGGACTGTAAAAAGGTTCATTTTCTCAGGTTGGGGATGAGACAAAGTAATGCATACTTACTACCACTGCCAACATCATAAAATCATGAGAGCAAAAAGGACCTAGTTTACCTACTGGAGGTTAGCTACGCAATGATGATAAATTAGCAGGGAGTTGTTAATGTGCCTACATGACCCATGACTAGTTAGCAAAATGTTTACTTCCGAAATAAAAGCCCAAGTCAGTGGAACATTTACAGGTCATTAGAAAAGATAAATGAAAAACCTGTCTGACCCTAACCTGGACTTGACTACACACACCCATTGCCTATGGGAAATAAGCGCAAATCAGACAGCCTATCAAATAAAACTCATGTATTGTTAAGAGGGTCCTCATTAATATGTTGCCACTCAGGGAAAGAAGATGTGGAATAATGAAGTAAAGTGAGATTTATTTTAGTTTCCTCCAAATTCCTTTCTATTTAAAACATTTTCCCATCTGTCATTAACAGCTATCACCTTGGCAATAGCAAATGAGAAAGCAGGGCTTATAGGGTATGTGTATATACATGAATACAAGGCAGTTGTCTTAATATTGTGCTTGCAACCATATTTAATTGAACAATGAATATATTCGAGCAGAATATACAGCATTATGTATTTCATCTTCTATTAATTTGTAGCAACCTTTTGGTAAGTCATCATTCAATAAAATAAATACAATTTTCTCTGAAATGTGAATGATAATTGAGTAGAAGATAGTTGAGTCTCTTATACCAACATATGAAAGCTCAGGAGGCCAAAGATTGAATCGTTTCATTCCTTTGGAACATAAATGTAAGAGAAAACACTCTCTGAGACTCTAGAGCCAAACTCCAAACAAGTGGTCCCTTATGTTCTCCATTGGTCTGCTTACTCTTGTTGCATTTATATTTCTTGTCAAGTCTAGTTATCTGGTTTCACAGACCCTTGTAGAGCTGAAAGAGCAATCTAAGAGCAGGTTGAAAGAAGACATACGAGAAAGGATAAAATTTGATTGAGCAGCAAGAGATGTGTTCTTGAAAATTAAGGTTAATTTGCTGTCATCCTGGCAGCAAAGACCACAAACTCTAAGGCAGTCACATACCTATTTTGGCTATTACACTACAGTATCATAACAGGTAATCAAGTGATCATAACTATCAGAGAATCAGAGTTCTGGATTGTTTGGGCCCTCAAAGTCTCCTCTGGCTGTCCTTCACACCCTTTCTTTATTGTCTGTCAAGTGGTCTTGTCTATGTTTTCATACCCCTGAGGAATGGGAATGGGTTATGTTCTGGCTCATCCAAATAACTGAGAAAGAATTAGACAAAGCCAAAGACAGAACTCTCTGGCACTCTACAAGCAATATCTACCCAGGTTGGCACCCATCCATTAATCAACTCAACACATTTTGGTATTGCCTGGTAAGCCTGGCTAGTCCAATATCTATGCCTATATCATTTCTCCAATTTACCAATCTAGTAGTCATAACAATAAAAGAAATAAAGTTAGCTTTACCTACTTATTCTCAGGGAACTCGTGCTGACTTGTAAGTTTCACTACTATCTCTTCTCAGGATCTATGACTGTCCCTTCAGGAACACAGTCCGGAAATACTGCTCAGGTTAATAAGTTCATAAGTCAAAAGACCATGCTTATTTATCCCTTCTGAAACCAAGAGGAATTATTTGATAACTTCAGTCAAAAGAAAAGCTAAGTGGTATTTAAGAGCCCCTTGTTCACATATATAAGAATAAAAATGATACATTTTAGAAAAGTTTTCATCAAAAAGGAATTAAAATGAAAGTGTCGCATCTGAGGCAACCTTCACTTGTGTGGAAAATTTACTTACCAAAGATTCATCATCACTTAATAATCATGCCAGTTATAGGAAGTAATTCTGTAGATTGTTGGTTCTCAAAATGTGGTCCCCAGACCAGCAGCGTCATATCACCTGAGAGCCTGTTAAAAATGCAGACTCTTAGACCCCACCGAAGATCTACTTACAGAATCAGTATCTCTGAGGATGAGGCCCAGCAATCAGTGTTAATAAACCATCCAGTTGATTCTGGGGCACACTGGAGTTTGAGAACCACTGTTGTCAAAGCTAAAATAGAATTAAGATTATAATGGTTAGCCTTCGAGCATTCCTAATGTAATGTTAATGGTGATGACGATGATGATAATTTTAATAGACAACATTATCTGGCCACTTACCTGTGCATGTAAGCCTTGTGCTAAGTACTTTAGGCCCTATATCACTTGTCAGTAGAGTCCAACAAAGTACTGCTATTCCCATTTTATAGATGAGATAATGAAATTGACAAAAATTAAGAAATTTGCCCAAGGTCAGCCATTACGTTGCAGAGTTGAGATAACCGTCCAGGTATAGTTGATTACATACACACGCCCCTCCACCCCTCACACACGTACGCACACCCTCATTCTTCACTACGATGCCATGCTGCCTTCTAGAATCAAGAAAAAAAAAAAACTTTCCCAACTTAAAATGCCTCTGTCCTGAGGACCTCATCAGGAATCATCCCCCATTGTCCACCTTCTCAGCAGCCAATTATCTGACCCTTCAGATGAGTCCTGACCTTCTCTTCCAATCTCTTGGGGCTCTAGAGACAAAATTCCCATGTTAATATGAGATTAATTTTTCTCAAAAGTGAACCTGAATTTTTCATTCTTTCTTTCTTTTTTTTTTTTTTTTTTTTGTGAGACGGTGTCTCGCTCTGTCGCCCAGGCTGGATGGAGTGCAGTGGCACCATCTCGGCTCACTGCAAGCTCCGCCTCCCGGGTTCACACCATTCTCCTGCCTCAGCCTCCCAGGTAGCTGGGACTACAGGCGCCCGCCACTACGCCCGGCTAATTTTTTGTATTTTTAGTAGAGACGGGGTTTCACCGTTTTAGCCGGGATGGTCTCGATCTCCTGACCTCGTGATCCGCCCGCCTCGGCCTCCCAAAGTGCTGGGATTACAGGCGTGAGCCACCGCGCCCGGCCCCATTCTTTCTTTATATACAAAAATGGGCCAGTGTCTTAATTATAAACTGGATTGAAGCTGAAAGAGACACTCACTGGATACCATCTGGATCTTTACTACTCAATGTGTAGTACCCAGACCATAAGTACCAACCTCATTCTGGTACATGTTAGCAGTGCAGAATCTCAGGTCCCACCCCAGACCTGCTGAATCAGAATCTTCATTTTAACAAGATCCTCAGGTGATCGCACACATATTGACATTTGAGAAGCACTGGCTTATCTAGACATATCCTGAGGAAGATGAGATCCCAGGAAATTGAATGACCCATTCAAGGTCACAAATCTAGTTACCCTCCCACTGAATATGTTTTTTTTCTATATCCCTGCAGCTTTCAACTATGTTCCATAAAAATAATGTTATTGCTGCTGCTGTTGGCTGTTATTGAGCACTTCCTATGTTCTGGACATTGTGCTAATTACTTTATATGGATTATCTCATTTACTCTGTTACCACATCCTATGAATTCAGTACAGTTCTATTATTATCTCTTTTTTTTTCTGATAGGGAAACCAAGGCCCAGACAGATTTAAATACTTGCTGTAAGTCGTGCAACTTCCAAGTGGTGAATCAGGGTTTAGAACTCATGTAATTTGACTTTGAAATCGGCCTGTATCTACTGGCCTGCATGTGTATCTTTAACTTTTCTCATCACTTTCAAAGCTCCTATCATGCATCTCAATCAATGAATCAATCAATCATATGTCTATCTAATTGTTTCGAGAGCAAAATGTTTATAAGATGTAGCCAGGCCAGGCGCAGTGGCTCATGCCTGTAATCCCAGTACTTTGGGAGGCTGAGGTAGGCAGATCACCTGAGGTCAGGAGTTTGAGACCAGCCTGACCAACATGGTGAAACCCCATCTCTACCAAAAAGTACAAAAATTAGCAGAGTGGTGCATGCCTGTAGTCCCAGCTACTCGGGAGGCTGAGGGGGGAGAATCGCTTGAACCCAGGAGACGGAGGTTGCAGTGATCCCAGATCATGTCACTGCACTCCAGCCTGGGCGACAGAGTGACACCCTGTCTAAAAAAAAAAAAAAAAAAAAAAAAAAAACAAAAAAAGATGAAGTCATACTGCTTGATGTTTATTTTCCATTTATCAATCTCAGTAATAGCAGTTCTTTTCCATAACTGCTTAGAAAAGAAAGCAAAAGGCCCCTTGCCTTCCATCCCATCATCTCATCCCTTATAGCTCAGTTGTCCTGCCCTTCAGCTGTCCTTCCCAGCCCCTTTCCCATCACCTCAGGAGCCCTGGTTTAGCAATCATTGTGACTTTGATGTTGTAAAGTCCTTGCCTACTGAGTTGAAAAGACAAGAGGGCTGTTGATTCCCCACTTCAGGAGTGCTCAAAAGTTAGAGGGAAAAAAACGTAGTTAGGAACAGTTATGACAGAGCCATATCTTAGATTAATGAATTGCTTTTGTGTGCTTTCTTGAAAACTTAACATGTAAGAGGTTATTTCCAGTAGCAACTTTTGCATACCAATCAACTTAACATCTGAAATGCAACCCACGAGTAAATTAGAAGGAGTCTATGTTATGTTCCAAAATGATTATAAAAGTTCCGCTTCTCTATAGCACCTTTAAAAAGTGTTGAATGTTCTAGAGTAAAATGATTTTCCTTATAAGATGCTGGTACTTCCCCCTCACACTATAGACACACACATTCAATAAGTAAAAACAATATCAGAAAAGCCCAGATCTATAAAAAAACACCTGAATTAGAATATGACTTTAAAATTTGAATTTGAGTTAGCTATTAAGCATCATGAAAATAGTCTTCCATTTGCACAAAAGCCAATTTCTACATAACTTTTCAGACTCTGGCTAGTATATGTTAACAAGATGAACTACAGATACTTTTGCTAGGGTCACTGTGGATCTAGACAATAAACAAACACTTTAAAAATCTTTGCTATGTGAATCATAAATAATATGACTGCACAGATTTGTAACATTCCCAAAGAAAAGTATTCAAGAATTTTATTCATATCTGGGAACAAACTCAGTTCATTTATTGGTGTTCTCCATAAAGCATGCACACACACACACACACACACACACACACACACAAACTCTCTCTCTCTCTCATGCTCACAAACAGACACGTGGTGCTTGATTCTAAATATCTTCTTTTAGGCTTCAATATCCTCAAAGTAAAGGCATTTCCTTATTCATGTTTTAATTTATTCTACTATAGCTACATGTTTTCTTGTCTTACTAAATGTTTGCTGAACTGAATAACACACCTTAACTACATATATCTGGAATTTCTGTTGTGAACTTTAATGGCAAATGGAAACGATTTGTGGGTTTTGTGGGGCTATCATTTTCAAACTCCTGATTTTTGTGATTTTTCGGGGCTGGCCATAATGCTATAGAGTTCTCTGATTTTATTTCTTTGGTACAAAAAAAGCAAAATGAATGAATTGTGATTGAGCCATGGAACCCAGTTGCTTGCATATGTAATAGGGATTCTAAATTACCACATAAACACAGCTGCAGTTTTTCAGTCCGAAGGCCTCGAGAAGCATGCCGACTGGGGAGTGGGGGTATTTGGAGCTCTAAATTTAAGTGCATTATTATGAGCTGTGATAGACAATCATCTCTTCTTATTTAAATCTCTGGGCAACTATAAAACTAGACTGAGTCAAGTTTCTTATCTATGCCCAAATCTGAACAAGCAAGCTTAGCTCATATCTTAAAAGTTGACAAATTGTACTTTATGGTATGTCATCAGCTGCTACATTTATGAAGCTACCGGAAGGTTAACAGTTTAGGAACAGTTTATATTTTAATTATCTCATAAAAGATATTTCAAGTCATCCAAATTGATATAAATCATGTTTTCTTGCAGGGCAATAACTTCACACAGGAAAATAGATGTTTATTTACATATACAGACACATATATACACACTAAAACCTTTGTGCATGAATTTTAGCTTGAAAACAATAAGGAAAGGTAATTTTAAAATATATTTTCTTGCTAGTTTTTGAGTCACTATATTGGAGGAGAAAATACCTCTAAATAAACTTGTTTACTAAATTTGTTATTTAAATTAATTTAACAAGAAATATGTTTCATGATTTAAGCAGTGCTTTAATAAAGTTTATATATTCAATGCCTTCTTTTAATATGCTTAGTAATATTTAAGATATTTTGAACAAAATTAATTACTCATTTATGGAAAACAGAATCCTATGACTATAGTCCCTTAAAGTATTCAATTGCATCAAATCAAATCAGGAAAGTTTTGCATACAAAATGAAATGAGAACTATCACCATGCCTTAATACTAATTAAATTAATTCAATAAAAAATTGGAATCAGAGTCAATGTTATGTGGCCATTTTGTGTGTGTAAGGCTAGCTAGATTTAAGAAGAGTCTAGTGACAAAAGTCAGGATTGGACAAACTGAATTATAAATTATCTACTTTGTGGTCTAATCCTAGCAAATTATAAATCCAAGTTCTTTTCCTGTGGGTAACCAATACTGTTATGGGTTATCTTCTTTCTCCAGCACCTTGGGGAAATTCAATCTAAATCTGGAGTTAACTGAAACAACACTGACAATAACAGTATCACAACAAACAGAGAAACGAAACCAAAACAGGTGATCTGTCCTTTACTCCAACCGTTTCAAATCAGATAGATTTAGGGAGAAGGGAATAATAAGTTAAATAATTCCTTATTTTTTTGTTTACCATTAAACATGTTGTAATTGAGGATTATTTGTTTTTTATTGAAGAAGTGTTTGTTTTTTATGTTTTCTGAAAAGAAGTGATACTTCTTTCTAACATTGTTCAGACCACACGGTTAATTCAAATAACTATAAAAAGTTTACGTTTTTCCATTATATTAATATTTGATTTTTCACAAAACAAAGGCATCAGATGCACAAAGAGTCAGCAAAAGCATCACTTTCTACTGATTCCAGTTAAGCCAACTTTAGCAAAAAGAATCATTGCAGGAAAATTGGTCTTCAGCAAAATGTATTCATTTATAACAAATCAAATACAATCAGCACTTTTGAAAAATGAACAGTTATACAATCCCTCATGGATGTGTAGAGATTCACAGTACTCTAGAGTGGGAAGAAATTACAGAAGTTACCTAGTAGGAACTCTTGTTTGACAGTTGAAGAAAACTGAGATGCACAAGATGGAAACCATTGACCTCAGACTGCTGTAAGCCCTCGAAAGTGGAGCACCTGTGTCTAATTCTGTGTTTGTGAAAACTATATTGTCCCTCATTATATTTTTCCTCTTCTTCCTTGGCAGTAAAATTTCTAGCTGGACATATGGCTCCCCAGAATGAAGTCTGTGCTCCCTAGCATCCCTTCAGCATCTTTGGTGCTACCGGATAAATTCTGAGCAATGGACATATAAAGAAGTGTTGTGTGGTTGCATCTGGGAAGTTCCTTTATGCTTTGTCCTTTATTTTTCACCCTCCTCTTCATGATGGCTGAACATTTGTACAATGGCCAGACCTGGAGAAACCATCTTGGGGGGACTTGGGAATGGAGGTCCAGCCTTGGGGAGCAACAAAGTCAGAGGATCCTAAATTTCATGAAGGAGGATCCTGGAACTTGGGCTTATAGACTTTTAAATGAGAGAAGATAAAAAAAAGAAAGGCCTATTTCATTTAAGAAATGAATAGTTTTTATTTTTCTATTACTTCTAGTCAAATCTAATTCCATTTCCTATTTGGCTGTGACAGCAGATCCTTGTGCAGTGACTGACACATAGTGGGTGTTCAATAGATGTTTGAAGCAATCTGGGAGGTATCCCTGATACCTTCTCCTTCCCCATATCCAACTCAGCATTGATGTCTATCAGTTTTACCTTCTGACATCTCTCAAATCTGTGCACTTGTCTTAATCTCCCTCCACCCATGTGAGCTGAAGCTTCTCTAGACCTTGTGTTGCCTAGGCTACTCAAAAGCCTTCTAAATGGTCTCATCACATCACATCCTTTTCCACTAAAAACTTGATTTTTGTTTTTTTTAGGAGCCAAATCCTTGACATAGGCTATGGGTCTTATTTCTCATCATTTTTAGTCTTACCATATGAGCTCCCCATTTCCTTCCCACCTCTTCTGAATTCACTTCTAGGAATCCTCAGGCCTCCCCTTAGCACTTCCTCAGGAAAGACTTCCTCCTGCAGAAAATCTCTCACTATCTTCTTATAGCACTGCACATTTCTGTATGTGTCATAGCCTGTCTCTCCCAGTAAACTGTAAGCCCCAAAGAGGCAGTCATTATGGATGTTTTACATACTTTTATATCCTTAGTGTCTAGTATGGTGTCTGATACATATTAGATGCTTAATAAACATTTGCTGAATGAATAAATGGTATTGCAAATGCCATTGTTGGGATTTGGAAAATCGGTGGGCAGTGACTGGGTTTTAAAAGACAGAAAGAGAGGAGGAAAGAGAGAAAGGGAGGAGAGAGAGAGAGAGTGAGAACTCTTATGTTTACCTTATAAAATAGCCATTTAGCTCATTAGCTTAGTCAAATTCTAAATAATCTTAACTCCTAAGATTGGATGGACTAAAGTTTGAAGCCTACTGTCTTCCCATCACTGTCCTGAGCCTGACATCTAATAATTAGATCAGCAGTCATCAAAGTGATTACAAGACCATTTCTGGGGGTCCATGAGATCCTGCCTTTCCAAGCTGGATATGGTCATATTTTCTTCACATACTTCAACTCAAACAACATACTACAGCAGATTGAATGCAGAAGCAGTTACGGGACTCCAGCTGTACTATTAAACTAAACGCTATGGTTTGAATGCTCACTCCAAAAATCATGTTGAAATTTAATTGGATAAATTAATTGGGACATGGGGCCTTTAAGTAGTAGATTAATACCCTTATTGCAGGAGTTGGATATTTATCTCAGGAGTGGGCTCCTGGTAAAAGGATGAAGTTTGGTTTCCATTTTTCTCTCTGCCTCACGTGCTTCCTTGTCCTTCGGTCATGTTACGATGTAGCAAGAAGGCCCTACAGATACAGCCCCTTGATCCTGGACTTCCCAGCCTCTAGAACTATGAGCGAAATAAATTTATTTTCTTTTAAAGTTACCCAGTCTGTGATGTTCTATTAGCAAGAAATGACATTTAAACCTTTTGCAAAAATGTAAAATAATGCCTTTTGTTCACTAAATAGTTTCTTATTTTGGAAAATATAGTTGTTTTTTAAAAAACATGTTCTTTACATTAACACATAAGGATTTATCATTGCTACTTTTAAATGATTAGTAAAAATATTTTAAACATTACTCATTTTCCATTCTAATACTATTGCTGCTATTTATAATATCCTATTTATTGATGCTATTTATATATCCTATTTATAATCCTCAGAATCAAAGCTCTTTGGGGTCTTCAATACTTTTTGAGAGTATGAAAGGGTCTTGAGACCGAAGCATTTGTGAACTGCTGCATTAAAAAAAATCATTTCTTTGGTTTAAGACTTAGTCTCCTTAGTCTCTCAAACTACAAGTAAGTAGGAATGCAGCAGTAGAAAGAACCTAGATTTTTGGCATTAGTCAATGTGGCTTGGAAAGCTGGTGTAGCCTCAATAACTGGTTGTGTGAACTTGGGAAAGTCAGGTAACTTCTGAGAGTCTCATTTTTCTCTTAGGATAAAAACACCTCAGTAGGTTATTGTGAAAATAAAAGAAAAACATGAGAAAGCACTCAGCATAGTGCTGGCACATAATAGGTATGTGCTTGGCACACAGAAGTATTAAATTTTATTGTCAACTATACATTGGTGTGAGTTTGTTAATCTTTTTTCAAACGGCTTTTAAGGATCTGGTGATGCAGTGGTACGTGGTAAAAGTTTAGTAACTAGCTCTCTGGAAATAAAGATTCCTGTTTTTTAGAATTTGCTGATTCTCATGCTGTAAATATTTGCACCTTGGCTGATTTTAATGTCCATTTGGAGGAGATGGGCTCAAATCACTTGTGAACAGGTATGAGACAGTTTCAGCATAAAATGTTCTGGGCCCAAGAGTGGAATCTAGAAAAAGGAGACACATAAGGTAGAATAAGAGTCTCAGGACGTGATGGTGAAATTTCGGCTAATTCAGTATTTTGCCTCAAGCCTTTCCTTTAACGCTTAGAGTTCCCAGTTTTCTTTTTGGTTGGATTGAATCACTGGCATCACCAAGAGGGTGCCATGAAGACTTTCGTATCCAAGTTATCTGCCACCGAGTCTCATATTACCACCAGAAGAGTAACTATTTGGGGAAGCATATTGTCCAGATAACCTAGTTAAAATAAGGGATCATTGACAGATTAGTCTGGCTTAGATGTCAGAGGTGTAATGCCCTAAAATGATGCTGCAGAACAGTGGATCTCAAAGAGTGCACCCCAGACAAGCAGCAAGGTATCACCTGGTTGTTGGAAATGAAAATCATCAGATCCCACTCAGCCCTATTAAATTGTAAATTCCGGGGGTGGGGCCCAGCAATCTGAGTTTTAACAAACCCTTCCTACAGAACCCCTGGTGTAGGAGAAGTTCACGAACCCAGATAGGTGGGAAGACTGCAGTGATTGGAGCAGGGAGTGATCTGGGCATCCTGGGTATCCCAAGGGAACCTGGGGCAAAGACAAGCTGAGACTGGGCACAGCGGGTGCTGTTGGTTCCCGCTGGAGCCCCTTCACTGATCTGGTACTTCCCTCGCCTTCTGTGGTGTGTTGGTTGCTAAGGACTCGAAGATGTTCCCTTCTCTGGAGAACTGCCAGGGCTGCATGACAATAGCTACAAAAGCCTCCCCCTTTGCTTCAAAGTGAAACTAACTCTGTGATGTAGTTCATGTTCCTAGTGGGACAGACTAAAGCCAGTCTCCAGTAGGGATGACAGTCTTGCTCACCTTCTCGCCTGCCCAATTCTGCTCCCCTTACTCTTCTCCTAAAAGCACTCCTGACGAAAATCGCCTCAGCATGAATCTTGGTCACAGGTTCTGCTTCTAGGAAACCTGACCTGAGACCGGGTTTCAAAGTGAGACAATTCTGGGTTTGCGTCTGGACTTCCCCGACTGTTAACTATGTGACTTCAGGTTTGTTGGGTAATCTCCCTTGTCTTAGTTTCCTTAGGTGTTAAATGGAGATAATGATGCCCACTTTGCGGGTTTGCTGTGGCAATGAAAGGGACACTGTATAAAAGTCCTCAGCACAGTGCCTAGAGGGTGGTATGGACTGTCCGGAGCCTCCTTTGATCTTTTGCTGACTCGCCTTTTGGCCTTGGGCATGTTAATGTTTTCATGTTGTCTGTTTCCTTCGTAGGGACTCACCGTGTATCTAACACCAGGCTACCTCACCAATAACTAGAAGTGAGAAGTATTGGTTCAAGTGGTAAAGTACTTGGCAAAATGTGGAGTGCGGGCATAAAGCATAACGGGCACTAACCATACAACAGAAGGTGGAGATATTGGGAAAGAAGTGTCTGGGAGTTCAGAGGCTGGGAGAGGTGGGTGCTCTGGCCAGAGGCTTCCTGGGATTTTCCTCCCCCTACCCCCTCCCAAGTAGCAGCAGCACAGTGAACTTGAAGACCTTGGAAACCGCAACTTGGTTTTGCCCAAGTCTGAGGAGTCTGATAAACCCGGAGGCAAAAAAAGGCAGGAGAGATTGGGGTGACTTCCTGCCTATGCCCTGTCTTTATCCAGAGTTCCTTCTTGTCTTTGAGGTCTAGACTCAGTTGTCCCTTCACAGAAGCCTTTTCCAACCAGCCCATTTTAAGTGCCCTTCTCCATCTCATGGCCCAATTCTACTATTTTCCCAGCATTTACCTCCACTAGGCAGTAGTTTGTCTGGGTGTTTGCTGAGGTGTGTATAGTCTGTCTCCTGTTGGAACTCCTGAGGGTAGGGGCTCAGTGTGTCCTGCTCCCTGCTCTTTCCCAGCTACACAGTAGGTCCTCAATCAATACTTGGTCTTGGAGTCACTGGATTCGAATACATTGTTGATAAGTGGTAAGCAGGTGCAGTCGTTTGGAAACCTGTTGGCCATGTCTACCAAAGCTGAGCAAATGCCTTCTTAAGATTCAGCAATTCCATTCCTAGTCATTTATCCACAGAAATGCAAAAATGCCCACCAAAAGGCATGTACCAGAATGTTCACAGTAGCATTTTTTGTAACAACCACAAAACTGGAAGCTACCTATATCTTCATTAAAATAGAATGAATAAGCTAATTGTAGTATATTCATACAAAGAAATACTGTGTACAGCAATGAGAAACAACCATCTTCAACCATAGGCAAAAGCATGGATGAATCTCACTAACATGCTATTGAGTGAAAACAAACCAGACACAAAAGAGCACATTCTCTATGATTCTATTTACATAAAGTACAAAAACAGGCAAAACTAGTCCTGGTGTTGGAAGGCAGGGTAGGGATTGCCCCGATTGGTGGAAAGAGCTGAGGGGGCATTGAGAGTGCAGGTCATGTTCTGTTGCTTGGTGTGACTGCTAGTTAAACAGGTGTGTGAAGTTCGTGAACAAGCATCTAGCTGTGCACCAGGCACCTTTGATACTGCAATGAAATATACATTACAACAATTGCATGGGGTTTTCCCCAGGACAGTGTAGCCAGTCTCAGTAACATTTCCATTAAATAAGACTTGCTGGGAGCTTGGAGCCCCAGAGTTAGGAGCTCACTCTTGCAGAGATGTGCGCGGCCCCACCCGCCCTGTTCTTCCGACGCACTGCCAGGCCAGCGAGCGCTCACCGGGCTGCCTAACGCGCAGCGGAGGGGACTCGAGTCCCGAGACCCGGAAGGGGCCGCCCAGCGCTCTCAGCCGGCTCGTAGAGCCAGGGCCGGGCTCAGGGAGCTTCAGAGCAAGAAACACCGAAGGTGTAAAGCCCGAGCGAGCAGCTCGAGTCTCAGTCCTGCAGCCTAAGGCAGCCCCTCCAAGCCGTGGGCGCCGGCCGTCCGTCTCCTCACCGTGGCGCCCTTTACTCGGCCACCCGGGGCACAGCCAGGGGCTTCACCGAGCCCCGGGTCCACCGTGGTCGCGGCCGCCGGTCGCCGGGAGCCCGGAGCCGGGACGCGAGGGTTGGGGGTTGGGGATGGGTCCCAGTGTCGCGCGGGAGTTCAAAGCCCGGCACTGGCACGGGGCTCCGCCGCCGCAGCCGCTGGAGCCTTGGGCTCCCGCCGCGGGGAGAGCGGGGGTAGGGCGCCTGTCCCGGAGTGACCCGGCGGCGGAGGAAGGGCGGGCCGCAGGCGGCGGGCCCGGGGGACCTTGAGCGGGCGGGCGAGGAGCGGGTGAGACCGAGGTCGACAGAGTGGGGGCCCCACGAGGCCCGCGCCTGGTCGGGAAGAGAGTAGGAGATTCCCCCGCGAGCTCAGACCCGGCACTGAGGGAAGAGACACTCCGAGTCCTGCGTCTCCAAGTTTTGCTCCAATGCCCTTGACATTGAATGCATGTGTGGCGTCTATCCTGGCGCAGGCGATTTGATATTTTCAATAGGCCTAACCTCACCAGTGGCGTGCCCGGCCCGGCTGGCTAGCGGCTCCTGTCCCCAAGACCCCCGCAGTCACCAGACCTTTGCACTGCCCAGCGCTGGAGGGGGCGACCAGAGCCTTACAGGCTCCACGGTGGGCGGGCTCTTACCTCCTGACTTATTCCTCCTGGCGCTGCAGGGGGGACTGAGGTTAGGTGTCCGGTGGGAGGCTGGACTGTGTGTGCGTGTGTGTTGGGCGGAGGCGTGGGGGGAAGGGAAGTGGAGGGTAGGTTGCTGAGCCCAGGGTCCGTAACAGCAGCACATCCCAGGTTCCACCCCCACCCACAGGGCTGGTAAATCCTCCCCTTTCCTGGGGTCTGAGTGAGAGGATAGTACAAAGGTCAGATTGTCCAAAAGGATAGTGGGTTCTGCTGTGAGATTTAATTGTGACGGCATCACCAAATGGCCGTTGAATTTCTCGATCATTTCACAGAGGAAGACATCCTATTTTGAGTGTCCTGAAGTGATTTTAATTTTCATCTGGGCAGGTGGTGATAACTTCTGGAAACACCAAGGACTAAAAAGGAAGGAAACTGCAGAAAGTGGGGGGCCACAGAAGCAGCAGCTCGCAGTCATGTTCCAAGACTAGCAATCCATAAACATTGCTTGCCCTGGGGGGGGGAAAATAAAGATTTCGCCAATACTGCATCTCTTCGATTTTTACCCATTTCCTTTACTTGGTCCTATTTTTACTTGGTCAAAGAAACACGTGTATCATATACTCAGAATTTCCCCTTAATTATAAGTTTTTTACAAAAAGTCAATAAAAGACAAAATGGGAAGTGTTGAAGCACTGTCCAGAAACTATAGTAATAGCAATATAAAAAGAAGGGTAGTGAACTGACCTTAGCAAATTTGCTCTGCCACTAATTTGCTAGTCAAGTGACCCTATTTTCCTGACTCTGTTTCTTTAGTAAAATGTGGATGTTATCATAGGTGACCGCAGATCCTGAAGTTCCTTTGTGTGTGGGGGGGGGAGGGTGGGTGAGATTTAAAAATTTGATTCAAATAAATTTCCATTCGCTCTATGGTTCAATATTTAATGCCCTGCCTGTTTTAAGCTGAGGAATAGATGTCTGAACATACATTTCCTCATCCTAAATCCCTTTGATCCTCTCATAATGCTCAAAGTGCAGTGTTGATGTCTGGCAGGCTTTGTGTTCAGTTTGTACCATTTGCAAATGTAGTGAGGATTACAGTGGAATGGAGGAAAGAATGGCTGCAGGATTTCTTGGACCAGAGAAACTCACACTTCTCTTTCCATTTTCACTCTCATTAGCACACAACTTTTAAAAGTTGGCCTGGGCACAGCAACACTTTCACACATCCATACTAAAATCCATGCTAATCTTTCCCATGGGATGTAATTCAATTGAATTGACATTCTAATAAAATACTGGCGAAGACACAATCACAGTTTCCCTGCAATGCATAATTAAAATAGCACTATGCAGTTGCTTACACTTCAGATAATGGCTTCCTACATATTGTTGGTTATGAAATTTCAGGGTTTTCATTTCTGTATGTTAATAGAACATTTAAAAACGACCCTTTTTAGCAAAGTTGTAATCTTAGTTTGTCATTGCTAGGAATGTGCTAAAGCCTAAGTCTGCTTTCAGATTGGTCTTGGGCAGTAACTTAATGTATCAAAAACTGCCTTCAAATCTGTGCTTTCTGTTCATAGCTTACTGAGCCCCCTCTCCTACCTTGAAATCATGTGCTTAGGAGTGGTTTGAATCTACCATATATATATTTGGGAAGTCTTAACTATCTTCTAAAAGACTAAAGAGTAAGGGATGATTTACCTTGGGTAATGAAACTCAGATTTTGCTGTTGTTTTTGTTCCAAAGTGTTTTATACTGATAAAGCAACCCCGGTTTAGCATTGCCATTGGTAACACTGTGCAGAAATACTATGCACTTTGGGTTCCTTCACTTCACTTAAAATCTGTGGTTGCTAAATTGTTGATACTCTAGGTTATGAATTAACCAGTAGTCAAACTGAACAATTCCCCATTGACAGTTTTTGTTTAATGGCCAACAACACCTGAAATTTGGATAAAGGAGCTGGAAAAGAAGAGTGGGCCCCTTTGTGGATTCCTACATGTTTTAGGTAAAGCTTGATTAGTTGTTCCTCACCTATATTATGGGGCTATTTTTAGCAATGCCCTTAGCTAGATGTATTTACTCATGGGACATAACCTTACTGATACTGTACATTTGTAGTGTTAACAATCTCTGACTTAGGAATGTGGTCTGAGTCATAGAACACCTCAGAAAGTGGGTAAAGCTTATTATCGAAGCTGGGAAGGGCCACATCCTTTATTGGGGCTCAAGGCATTTAATCACCAATGATTCACACATGAACTCTAAACTAGGTTTACCCTCCAAAGTGGAGATAAGTCCTGGGTGCCCAGACCAGTGAGGAGCGGGAGGATTGAACTGTGAAGTGTATTGAAGTATATTCCCTACAAGTACTTCTCTTTGAGCAGAGCTATATATTTAGGTAGACTGCTCTCAGGCAGAATGAAACATGATGGCACCTGCCACTCACGACCAGGAACCAAACAGGAAAGAATCCAAATTCTGTGTTTACAGGGCTTTCATGCTCAGTAAAATGCATAAGCACTTTTATTAGGGTTCTTAAAATTAGAAATCTATACTCCTATTTTGCTTTCATTTTCCTTTGGGATTTAAATAAAGCACTCCTACCCTCCCCGCCCCCCGATCCCAAATCACACCCTCTTTTGGCTGTGTTAACAAAAGTTAGGTCCAGGAGACAGAAGGGTTACACATATATGTGGGAGCTGTGCAGAGTGAACAGTATTGGTAAAAGAAAATTCAGCTCAAGACAGAAACTAAATGGAGATGTGAAAGAGCAAGGCTAAGCTAGACTTTCAAGCAATTGAACATTTCTCATTTGTTTTACAGTGAGAACTGCTGCCCTACCAGACCAACAGTATTTTAAATGTGAATTCTGTCTCCTTACCAGCTGTTTCAATTAGGCAAGGTAGCTGTGTAACAAATAGACCCCAAGATAAATAATGGCACAAAGAATAGTCAATGATAGTTTTTCTTGGTTGGGGTGTAGTGGTGGCTATTCTCCTTCATGTTGTTACTCTAGGACCCTGGCTTTTCTTATCTGTGGCTCCACTATCCCTTTGACGTAATCTTTTGCATCTAGGTAGAAGAGGGAAAGTAGGGTCAAGGAAGCATCTGCTTGAAAGCTTTGAGCTAAAAGTGGCACACATAATTTTTGTTCACCTTCTCTTGGCTAGAACTCAGCCTTGTGGCCTTACCTCCCCGTGAGAAAGCCTGGGGTATACAACCTAACTGTATGACAAGGAAGAGAAGGGAACGGAGCCTCAGTGCACAGCCAGCAGCCTGAGCCACATCATCTTGGTGTCCCAAATGCTGTAGTCACAATAGCAAATATTTATTAGTGCTTATTATGTGCTAAAGACTTCACATACATTTTTTCCCCACTTAATCCTCACAGCAACCCTATAAAGTAAGAAATATCACTCCCATTTTACAGATGGTAAAACAGAAGTTTGGCAAGGTTAAAAAAAACTTGCACAAAGCTGAACAGCAAATGGAGAGTCAGAACTCATACTTAAAATGCTCTTTGTCTGAGGGGTCAGAATTCTTTTCTAAGCTAGAGAATTGGCCTGGACAGGGAAGCAGAGACAATACCTCACAAGTATCTTTCCCTCTTTTGCAAAGAACCAAAGAACTGTTATTTCTTCCTCCTTTGCCAAACCTCCCTTTGGAGATGCTGAGAGGAGAGAGGCTGAAAGAATTGGAGGAGGGAGGTGATTAAATCACCTTAAATCTGTTTTAAAAATCTCCATTTTCAAAAGCTTTCTGTATTTAACAATGCTTGACTGTGAGAGACACTAGCCCCTTTTTGGGGCCAGCAGAGTAACAGAACGCAACTTCTAACAGACTGGCCGGCATGCTAAGGTAGCAATTGTATTTAAATTTCAGTATCAGTAACTCTAGCTGGAACCACCTAAAGCAAAAGGAAGGAAGGGGTATCAGGGCACATTTTCACTCCTTCAATTGCTCTGGGGGCTAGAAATGGAAAGTTTTATGTGACAGAGTTTATTTTTGCAACTTGCAATTTTCCTCTCCTTTGAAAATTAAGGTGGCCTGAAAGAGTTTTATATGTGGGCCAATACAGCAGCACATTTATGAAGTGAAAAAGTAAAGGTTTCGTGGTATCATAAGCTCACCCACACTATACATAAATTTATTACTTAAAATGCTCCAGATTTAAGTTTTATTATGGAGATAGTGTGTTATAAGCAAACTAACTTTGGATTTTGGAGTTTTTGAAAGTAAATAGCAGCTCATGGTGCTCATGTAATTTGTTTATTTTTATAGCAATGTTATGTCCTGAAAATAAACAAACAAAAATTAGAGTCTGAAAAGCTTCAAGGTTTGTATGTACCTGAACACAGAAAGTCAGAAAACATTCACTTTTAATTAAGCCAACATTTTAAAATTTAGAAATTCTTTTAAACAAAGTCAAAATTTGGATGATCATTTTTAATGCTTAATTATACATATACATATATATATGTATATGTATATGTATATCCATAAGCTATGAAAGTTAGTTAACAAAGGCATAGAAATAGGATGAAAAGTGTTCTTTGAAGGCGATTTTCTAAACTTCCTCACGGAGTTCTGTTTATCCTGACCTGGCAAGGCTGCTGTATTTCAATTCAGGGCTCTTTTGCATACAGAAGTACAGACTTGCTGAGCTGAGCCAAATCTGTCTATCCAATTACTGGGTAAGAGAGCTGACTGTAGCTTTAGGCAAAACCTGTAATCTGTAAAACTCTATAGTATCAGTGACAGCCTAATCACAGGGAAGAACCAATAGAGTGTATATGTTACTTGAGTGTTACACAGATGCATAGTTCTCTCTACAAATAACCCAATTCAAATCTAACACCAAAGAGCAATGAAATATACAGAGCCTTGAAAAGAAATATCATTTGCTATCTCTACAGTAATTTTTGGATAGAATGGTTTTCAAAGGGAAATAAATTCTCTCAATGTATTGCAGATCACTTAGCTGAGTACTAGTTTGAATGCTTTTATTACGTTCAATAAAAATCTGGTTTAGCAACTGTTGCTCTCAACATCTAGCTATTTTAGTGACTTTATAACATTTGGTAAAATTATATTTTGCTAGAATTTACATTGTTTATAAGGAGAATGAATTCAAGGGTAATGTTTGATTATATTTTATCACACAAAATCCAATAATGATTTAAATTTAAGATGAAAAGTTAATCTCTATAAAAACATAACATTCAGTGAAAGCAGCAAGATACAAAACATGTACACACTGTATATGACATACAATTAAAAGGCAGGCAAAAATTTATTTATCTAGCATGTTAGAGGTCAGGAGAAGGAATATCTCTAGGGAGGAAGACAGGCAGAGTGGTTGGGGGAAGTAAATAAGTGGGCTTTTAGGGTGATGATAATGTTCGATTTCTTAACCTAGGTCCTGGTTATACTGGTGTGTTCATTTGTGATAATTCACTGAGCTGTAAGCTTAAGATTTGTATATTTTTCCATATGTGTGTAATAAGCTAATTTAAAAAGTTAAAAAAAGTTCATCTCTACAATGTAATGTTAATGTTTTAAGAAAGAAAGGATGATAATTATGAGCATTGATTGGGTATTTTTGAACCAAATATTAGTCTTGTAGTCACAAAAGAGCTAGTCAAACTTTTTTTTTAAATTCAGATTTCTTCCCATTTTAGTTTATAAAAATAACTCAATTTCTATGGAAAAAGTGAAATAGATTTAATCTGTATGGCTTACAATAGGAAAGTGAATTCTTTTTTTCATGCATGGAAATATGGGCAAGAATGAAATCAGGGCAGGGTATACTTAAGAAGATATTTTAATTCATGATATCAGTATATCTTATAAGAAACCGAAAACCCCTGTAAGCGAGATTTTGCTAGGCCCAGCGTTTTTAGTGGTAATGAAGTTTCATGGCCATTATCGTGATCATCTGGTAATCAATACCTGGGATATCTACTCCAGTGGAAATAAAAACCCTGGTAAAATGTTTCCATTTATAGTTTTTTAAAATAGAGGAGGGAGCAGATAATAGATGACTTAGTAAATGTATGTTAAAATGGTTAAGCAGCTAAACAATTTTTTAATAAATTATGGCTTAAGTTTGATTTAGTTTTTTATTTGTTTTAATTTCTTTTAAAATAACAGCAAGAAATTTCATGTGAATTTAGCCTCATTTATAATGGCAAGCCAAGTAACTTAATGCTTTTATCCATCCCCCAGCATTTATTGAGGGCTTCTATTTGCCAAGCCACTGAGAAACAACGGTGCAGGAAACACATCCTTCACGAGCTTACAGTTTAAGAGGAAGAGTTAATCTGTCTCCCTCTCTCTCTTTGTCTCTGTCTGTCTGTCTGTCTGTCTGTCTCTCTCTCTCTCTACACACACACACACACACACACACACACACACACACACAAGCATTTACTATGTGTCAATATCTGTTCTAGGTTCTGAGGAGCTTCAGAAAGATAGAAGAACATTAAAACATTCTCGTCTTTTTAGGAGTTACATTCTGCTAGGAGAAGACGAACAATGAACACGGTATTTGAAGAATTCTTCAAATATATATTTATAATTTTTACATAAATATAGATATATAAATGTAGTTACATGTGTTTAAAGTGTGCTTCTGGTAAATAGGATGTAGCTGGATCTTGCTTTTTTGCCTGGTCTGACAATCTCTGCCTTTTGATTGGAGTGTTTAGTCCCACTGTGTTTTCTGGTGCACATGTCTTACAAACCAGGACACTCCCCTACATACTCACAATATCACCATTGAAATCGGGAAATTAACATTGATTTATTACTGCTACCCAGTCTTCAAACCTCAGTCAAATTTTGTCAGTTGTCTCAATAATCTCCTTTATATAAAGAAAAGGGCCCATCTTAGTATCCCTTTCAGTTCTTCAGTCTTTACTTGATTTCCACAACCTTGATGCTTTTGAAGATTAGAAGTAGTAATTTCATAGAATTGTTCAATTTTTTCCTAACTTGTTTTCTGAACTCATATGGTTAAGATTACACATCTTTGGCAAGAATATCCCAGAGGTGATGTTGTGTCCTTCTTGTTGTAGACATCAGGTGGCACACAAGTTCAATTTGACCTATTACTGATGATGTTCACATTGACCACTTGATTAAGGTGGTGTCTGTCAGGCTTCTCAACTGTAAAGTTACTTTTTTGTCCTTCACAATTAGTAAGTGTTTTATAGGGATATGCTTTGGAAGTTAGCAAATATTCAGTTCTGCATTAACCTTGAATTTATTCATTTATTTTATCAATATGGACTCATGGTTTCCAGTTTTAGCCAATAGGTTATAATCAATGACATTATTCTTCATTTTGTTGCTTGAATTTATTCTGCTGGCCCTCCAGCTGGCTTCTGAGTTTTTTCACATGTCCTCATCTTTCTTTGCGTACTTCCTTGTTCTCTGGTACAACAAAAGTTCTAGGTTTGTCTATTATTTTCTCTGGCCCAGTCCTAGAATCAGTCATTTCTCTCTTTTCTTGAGTGAATGTCTTCCTCACTCGTCTTAGGCTCTGATTTCATATGGTAGGCCCTCCCCTTGTAGGGACCCCTCCTCACCCTGCTTTTACAGTTATTCACACATTTCCCATTTCCAATGCTCTTCATTCCCTTATGTAGATTTAAGTTTCCACCCATATCATTTTCTTAAAGCCTGAAGATACTCTTTTAACATTTCTTGTAGAGAAAAATCTGATGGTGGTGGTAAATTCTCTAGGCATCTGCTCATCTTGAAATATTTTTAGTTTGCCTTCATTTTTAAAGGATATTTTTACTAAATATATAATTCCCGGGTGACAGCTTTTTCCTTTCGGCACATTATAGATATCATAGCATTGCATTCTGACTTGCACTGTTTCAGGTGAAAAGTCAGTGGTAATTCTCACCGCTGCTGCCCTGTATGTATTAATATGTAATGTGTCTATTTTTTTCCAGCTTCTTTAAAATTTTTCTCTTTGCCATGGTTTTAAAATTAGATTATGAAGTATCTATATGTAATCTTTTTTTTCTTATTTTAAAAATGCTGCTTATAGTTAATTGAGCTTTTTGGTTGGTAGTGTTTTTTCCCTCAAAATTGGAAAAATTCCAGCCACTATTTCTTCAAAAAAATTTTGTTCTGTCCCCTCCTTCTGAAACCCTATCTGCCTGTATAATAGTCGGCTTGCTATTTTCCCACAAGGCACTGGTTTGTCAGAACCCCAGTGACTCCTGGCCTTGAGCCTCTCTAGAATCTCTCTTCAGCTCATCGTTCTCTGGCACTTGTTTTCTTCCAGACTTTGTGGAGTATTGTCCTCACATGCATGCCTTAGTATTCAGCTAATGACTAATGGGAATCCCTGGGAACTTTTGGGGAGTTTCTTCTTTTGCAGCATTTTCTGCTCTGGTACTCTGTCAGTCACTTCAGCACCCCTGAAGTCTAATCTCTCTTTCCTCGGTTCGGCAAGACCACCATGTTCTGCTTGGGCTCTACCCACCTGTGGTTTAGAAAGCACCTCCAGACAGAAAGCCAGGACTACTGTGGGGCTTATCTAGAAATTTCCCTTCTTTCAGTGACCATAACTCTGTTACCTGTTGTCCAATATCTGAAAATATTTGTTTCATATATTTTTTTTCAGTTTTATAGGTATATATGTGAGTAGCATTAATTTGATACCAGTAATGGTAATTTGATACCAGTGTCAATTTGATACCAGATATCACAGCCAGGAATGAACACTGGGTAAATTCTATAGTGTATTAGAAAGTGATAAATGCTCTGAGAAAACAATAGAATACAGTTAGGAGGCTGGGTAATGCTGAGTGAGGGAGGTACAAGTTTAAATTCCATATCAGGAAACAGGTATTATAATTCAGCATAAGTATAAGGAGAGGGTACTATAGGCGCATCAATGAAAGAAGAAGGGACACCTAAATGATCTAGGGATATCTGGGAAGATTGATCTGAGAAAGTCATATCTAGTCTAAGACCTGAAGGATTAGGAGCTAATTGGGCAATGGAATAGGGTGTGAGAGTGTTGGCATGTTTTCTAAGATACTGGAAACAACTTTTAAAAAAATTTTTTTGAGACAAGTTCTCACTCCAGTTGCCCAGGCTACAGTGCAGTAGTATGATCTCTGCTCACTGCAGCCTTGACTTTCTGAGCTGCAATGATCCTCCCACCTCAGCTTCCCGGAGTATCTAGGACTACAGGCACACGCCACCACACCCAGCTTTTTTTTTTTTTTTTTTTTTTTTTTTTAAGTAGTCTTGAGCCACCATGCCTGGCCCCTGGAAACAATATGTTTAAAGATCCAATGAGAAGCATTAAGAGCACATGGTGAGATTGTCAAATATAAGTAGTTGCCTATGTATGAAACAATTGTGCTGTAAAGCAGAGGCCGAGTCATTAAGGGCCTTGCAAGCCCTATTGCCAGGTTTGCATTTGTCATGGGTCATGGAAAACCATTAAAGGGTTTTATGCAAGCGTGAAACTTGATCATAATCTCTACATTTCCACATCTCTGTCTATAGAATGAGTATATCGAACATAATGGCATCAGTTGTTTATTTTAGAAATGATTCTACTTTTTAAATTGAGGGTTCAAGTTTTGTATCCATATGAAAAGCCAATGTCCACTGCCTAATAAAAGGCCTTGAAAAGATACTATTTTTCTGTCAGGCACGGTGGCTCACGCCTGTAATCCCAGCACTTTGGGAGGCTGAGGTGGAAGGATCAGTTGAGCCCAGGCATTGGAGATCAGCCTGGGCAACATGGCAAAACCCTGTCTGTACAAAAAAATACAAAAATTAGCTGGGCATGGTGGCACATGCCAGTAGTCCCAGCTGCTCGGGAGGCTGGTGTGGGAGGATCACTTGAGCCCAGGGGGTCCAGGCTACAGTGAGCCAAGCTTGTGCCAGTGCACCCCAGTCTGGGTGGAGCAAGATCTTGTCTCAAAGAAAAGAAAAAGATATTGTTTTTCAAACAAACTTGTGGACTACATATTTTCTGAAAGATAAAGTGATCTCAACATAAAAAGGAAATTGATCATGAAACTAAAAACAGAACACAAAACTTTGATTTCTCAATTATCACTATTAAAAGATGTAAAAGATTGAATTATAATAGAGAGTAGTCAATTGAATTATGATATTTATGAGTATATACAAAACTAGAAACAGTGAATAAAATGTTTATACTGAAGGTTTGGTAGAATCACAAAAGAGAGAAAAGGAAGAGAATAAAAAGGAAGTCAGCAAACGAGATATCAGTCTTTTTATTTCCATGCCAGATGGGCCAGATAGAAAAAAAAGTTTTTTCTTTTTTTTTGTATTTTTTTTCAACTCAATTCAACAAACATTTATTGGCTTTCGTGCTAGGTACTAAGGGAATGAGAAAAAAAAAGATGACTAAGACTGTTTTCACACCAAAGTCATTTATAAACTTGGGGAAGCAGATGCTTCTAATTATTTGTTACAAATGGCAGAATAAAATGAATGGGTTCCACCTTGAGCCAGGAGAAAAAAACATGTGAACATTTAACTACACGAGAAAGCACACAAAAATAAATGCTACAAGAGAGGTACAAACAAACAAGCTCCCATGGGAAACCCAGGGTTAACAAATTCTGACTTGAGGAGAGAGAGAACTTTCACAAAAGACAAAGGTTTGGACTGTATCAAAAGTTGAGTGGTTATTGGATAGTTGGACAGAGTAGAAAGGTTATTCCAGGAAAGGCATGAAATAATGGATGGACTGAGCATATCTGGAAAATATCATGTATTCTTGAATCATATGGTTTTTCTCTGTGTCCCCACCCAAATCCCGTTTCAAATTGTAATCCCCACGTATCAAGGGAGGGACCTGGTGGGAGGTGATTGGATCATGGGGGCGGTTTTCCCCTTGGTGTTCTCGTGATAGTGAATTTTCTGGAGATCTGATGGTTTAAAAGTGCCACTTCCCCTTTCCCTCTCTCCTGCCACCTTGTGAAGAAGGTGCTTGCTTCTCCTTCACCTTCCACCACAATTGTAAGTTTCCCGAGGCCTCCCCAGCCATGTGAAACTGTGAGTCAACTAAACCTCTTTTGTTTATAAATTACATAGTCTCAGGAGGTTCTTTACAGCAGTGTGAAAACAGACTAATAAATTGAATGACTGGAGTTGGGGGCAACAAGGTGAGATATATTTGGAGATGGTAGGAAATATTGCTGCCCTGGTCAAATCCACTTTAGTAGGTCATGTGCCTCTCCCCCAGCTGCAATGACTGTTGGCTGCTAATAAGATCACAGCTGTATCTTTTTTTTTTCAGAGCGCTGCCCTCAGCTGAAATGAGAGCCATCTCAACAGAAAGCTTAAATTCCCCCCATCCTTAGCCCATGGTCCGTGACACACTGTTGTGGTGTTATAAATGAGCAGCTCCCTTTGCCTCAAGATGGAATTAACTCTGCGTTGCAATTCATGCTCCGGTGCCCTCTGTGGAATTAGGCTGAAGCTGGACTTCAGCCAAGACTGCATCCTTGCTTAGTTCATTTTCTTGCCTTATTCTACTTTCCTGGATTGCCTTCTCCTGAGAGCACCTACTCCGCCAGTAAATCACAAGTACCTCCGTCTCTCCTTACAAGCAATTGGAGCTAAGATGGATTGAACTGGAAAGGTAGGTAGAACACAGGCTGGGGAGAGTCCCAAATACTATGCTAAGTTTAGATTTTATCGTCAAGGCAGTAGGGAACTGACTACGGAGTCTTTTTGAATGGGAGGAGAACTTGCTCTTTGAAAGGATAGCTCTGACAGATGAAACATTGCAGAAGTAGAATTTTTAGGACTCGATAGCTGGATATGAGATAGGAAGGAAAAAGAGAAGAAAAGATCGTCTTGAAAGTTCTAGTGAGAGTTGTTGAATTTGAGATGCCAGAGGAAAACCAATGTGAAAATGTCCATCAAGCAGTTGGAAATTCAACCTGTAGTTCATGCACAGGATTGGAATGTAGATTCAGGAATTATCACTCATTAATTTAATAAATGTTTATTTAGCATTGCTGTGTTTTACAAATATAAGGACAAATTAGACATTGTGGAAGACAGAGATGTTACAAATATTTCAACGAGAAGTGTTAATTGTGTAACACACTTAAGTACAAGATGGTGGTAGGATACTTTATTAGAACAAGTAAACAGTTCACTAAAGAGGCATAAACTAAATATCCAAAATCAATGGTTTCCTTCTGCATCTGTATCAAATACTTAGAAAGTGAAGTGAAAATTATCCCATTCACATTGACCACGAAAGTATCAAATATCTAAGAACAAGTTTAACTAGAAAGGTACAAGAGACTCTTTGAAAAAATATATAAAACATTATAGAGAGATGTAAAAAAAATTGAATAAATGTACAAGCAAACCATACTCCTAGATAGGAAAGCCATATTGGAACAATGTCTGTTCCAAGCTAATATCTTAAATTCAATGAGATTCTAATGGGAACTGCAATGGAATTTGGGAAAATCTTGTCAAATTGATTCGAACATTTTTGTTTTTTTAAAAAAAGTCTGGGCCGGGCGCGGTGGCTCACGCTTGTAATCCCAGCACTTTGGGAGGCCGAGGCGGGCGGATCACGAGGTCAGAAGATCGAGACCAGCCTGGCCAAAATAGCAAAACCCTGTCTCTGCTAAAAGATACAAATTAGCTAGGCATGGTGGCAAATGCCTGTAGTCCCAGCTACTCAGAAGGCTGAGGCAGGAGAATTGCATGAACCTGGGAGGCAGAGGTTGCAGCAAGCAGAGATCACATCACTGCACTCCAGCCTGGGTGACAGAGCAAGACTCCATCTCAAAAAAAGAAAAGAAAACAAGAATTTATAAAGTTTGTGATACTAGCATGAAAGCAGGTAATTTCAGGCAGCAGTATAACAAGTTCTATACAGATCAAAGAATATGTATCAATCTAATATATAAAAAATTTGCCTTAAATAAGTGAGGAGAGGACAGATTATTCAATAATTTGTGTAAGAATATTTGGCTCTTTGGAGAGAAAATAAATGTAGGTCCCCACCTATAAGACATATAAGTATATTGCGCATGTATTACGTGTTGTTGTAATATTATTCTTGTATTATTAACTTGGACAGGGAAAATGCCTTCTTGCAAGGTATGAAATTTTGAATCCATAAAGAAAGAGATATAACTACATAAAATTTAAATTTCTGTTATGTTATGAACTGGTACGGAAAGACAAGCAACAAATTGGAAAAATAGGTGCAACACATATAGCAGACCGATGGTTCATGTAGTTAAGATTCAAAGAGCTTCCGCACAGAAATAAAAATATACAATATAAAAATGGGCAGATTATAAAAATAGGCCAAAAATATAGATGGCCAAAAACACATGGAAAAAAACTTAACTTCATTCATAATTGCAGAACTAAAAATTAAAACGATGATTCCATTTTTTTTCTATTAAATTGGCAGTTTGTCAAAATGTACATTTAAAATTAGTAATTTGGCAAATGTATTATATTTATACACACAAACACACTTTTACCTTTTCATTGTTATTTGACTTTGTTTACTATATTTTTGCCTGTAAAAATGATAAAGTTTTATTATTTTATCAAATAGTTCAAACTTTGCTTGTTTGATTTCTGAGTTTTCACTTGTTTTCTTCTAGTTATTTTGAAGTTTCATCTTAACAAATTTACATCTTCTATTGGTCTGGAATTAATTTTGTTAAAAGAAACTTAGTAGTAATCCTGCTAAATTTTCCAGGTACTAGTCTATTTTAAAATACCTTTTGTTACATAATCCACCTTTGCTCCATTGGCTAAAAATGCCATCTTTATTATAGGCTAAGTCCTTTCACGTATTTGGATCTGTTTCTGGATTCAGTTCCATTATTATGTCTGTTCACTCTCCTACCAGTATAATACTATTTTAGGTATTGTGACTTTAAACTTTTTAAAATGCTGATAGTGCTTGTCTTTTCTCTTTACTTCTCTTTTTTCAAGTTTCTCTTAGCTATTTTTCACATATTCATTTTTTCCAAAGGAATTTCAGAATTATCCAGCTTCTTTCAGGTTTCTCCTCTCATTTGCAAACTTTTCAGTGTTTTGATTGGGTTTTCATTAAATTTAGAGATTCAGTTTTTGAGATTGCCTTTTTGGCATTTTCTGTCCAATGTCAAGATATATCTTCTGTTATTCATCATTTTTATTGCCCTCATAAGAAGCTTAAAGTTCTATGTACTACACATAGAACTTTTGAAATGTATTCACAGATTTTTGCTATTACAGATAGTACCTTTAAATCATTATATTGTCTACCAGGTTATCATTCGTATTAAAAAAAAGCTGTTGATTTTTGTATAATTATTTTGTAACTAATGGGTTCCTGCCAGGATCTTTTCAGCTCAAGGTTGTTGTTGGTTTTTTAACATGCAAATTTCTCAAACTTTAAAGATCAGATAATTTCAGTCCAAATAGACTGAATGGTTTTTTTAGAAAAAGAAGAAGAAACAATATCCAAATTCCATTTGCAAGGCCAGCAAACACTATTCCATAGACAGGCCCTCCAAAGGAAAGCACAGTTCAGTATTGTTTGTGAAAATTATGTCAAATGACTGAAAAAAATCTCATTGTTTCTAGGTTTCTTTCTTCTGTTGATGATCCTTAATTTTTTATGCATACTGGTATATCCTCTGCAAATGACTACAAGTTATACTTTGTCTGAATGCATTGTTTAGTACTTTGTGAGCAATAGGAAACTGGAATTTCTTTTCTTCTTCCTGACATCAAAGGAAAGTGTCCTCATTTTTCTGTATCAAACATGATGATGCTGAGATGACTATTAGTGTGTCAAAAAAGTATCATCCACTTCTATTTTGCTTAGAGTTCAATTTTATTAAACGTCTTATTTGACATCACTTAAAGCACTCATTGGAATTTGTTGTCTTATTAATATGCTATTTTATTTATTTATTTAGAGACCGGATCATACTCTCTTGCCCAGGCTATAGTGCACTGTTGTGATCATAGCTCACTGCAGCCATAAACTAGCCTCAAGTGATCATTCTACCTCAGCTTCCTGAGTAGCTGGAATTATAGGTATGAACAACTGTGCCTGGCTTAATGTGTTATTTTAAACAAATAAAATTCTTAATATTGAATCATTCTTACCCTTTTTCCCCACTTTTATTTTATTTTTATTATATTTGTTCATACTATATTTAGTATTTTTGCATAATTTCTGCAAGGGACATTGACCTAATGTTTCTTTTTGGTGAGATATCTATGTCAGGTTTCTTATCAATATTTTTCTATCTTCAAAAAAGGTAATTGAAAGGTTTCTTTTATGTTTTGGAACAGTTTAAATAGACTGGACTTATCTGATCTTTGAAGGCTAAAAAAGCTCACTTCTTAAAAAACCTATATCTGAAAAAATTCTGGCAGAAAGCCCACTAAAGGTAAAATGGCTGACTTCGCATATGAGCTTACCTGCGATTTTTCTCTTCTCCGTAGTTTTCTAAATTTGGGCAATTTTTGAAACAAACATTTTGTAGTAAATATGAGAGACATAAAGCAAGGAAAGAAAGAGAATGAGGGAGGTGGGGCATAGTTTTTATAGGATGAATAGTAGTTATTAATAGTAAAACTGGCAGCAGGAAGATGATTTAGGGAAATATTATAAAAGACCAGGAAAAAAAAAGGTAAAAATATATATTAAGGGAATGGCCAAAAAAGGAGAGAGTGAGCAGGGTTGATAAATAAAGCCTTGAGGCTGGATGAAATAACACAAGGAGAACTTGTAGAGATAAGAGAGAAAGTGGAGCTGAAGTTAGAACCCAAGGTCAGAGCCAAGCACATACATCCCATTCAATAGTTACATGTGGTATGTGTGAGTAAATAAACCTAAGAAAGATGTGACTAGGAGCCCAAGTCCCAACACCAAGGGGAAATGATCAGAGATGCTGGGAGAAAAGTGAGACGACACTGACTTGAGCCAGGAAAGAAGAGGACTTCCAGAAAGAGGAGATGGTCCTTAGGGTGAAATGCTGCATGGAGATCTTCTAGGGTTACCAGATCATTGGCATCTTTTGAGAGAGTAGTATTAAGAGAACAGTGTGGAACCAAACCATGAGTCAGTAAGTGAGTTGGTGGGAGAGGGGGAGAGGTTTTCAAAATAAGTGAAGGGAAAAAGAGATGTAAGTGTAACTTAAGCAGCATTAGGTGGAGGGAGGGATTTTTATAAAGGGGGAAAATTGTAGAGCAAGGGGAAGACCCTACGTTCTTGGCTAAAGTAGACTGGCTTTCTGTTGCTGTGGATTTTTTTGGCGACCCTAAATGCCAATTAGAAAGTAATTTATTTCATTTTTTACACTGGATCCAGCTGAATCAGTAAGATGACAAGAATAACTCAGGAACACATTTTTTTTTCTTCAAGATCTAAAAAGGTCCCCATACTGGTCCAAAATATCAGGGAAACAGTTATTTCTGGGCTTTGTAGAATTCTGATTATAAGCAGTCTATTTACTGGTGCACCCTTTATTTCTGTTTCCCTCTATCTTCTAAGCAGTACAATGGAAAAGTTATATTAACTCTTCCAAAATATATGGAACATTATCCGCATAACCTGAAGTTGAGATTTTACTCTCCTTATTGAGAAGGGAAAACAAAAAGAGGCACAGCTGTTTTGTTCTTGGAGAGCCAAGTTCTCCAGCAACTGTGCCAAGGTTCACCAGCCAGTTCCTTGTAAAGTGGTAGGCTTTATCTTGGCCTCTCATGCGGAAAGTGCCCTGCCTTTGGAAGTTGTCATGAATGTCACTCTGGGAAGTGCTGCCTTGGTCACTGACCTTGCTTAGGGCCTGGAAGTCCTTGGTTTGATTTGACAATTGGGAAAAGGCCAATCCTGCCCTACAGTATTTTCAGAACTTCACAAACACCAACAAATATTTTCTGAAGGATACTACTTATGTTTTGTAGGTGACCTTGTAGGTAAAACTTGTAAGTTTCAGATGCTATTTTTCCAAAAAGATAAAGTTATTCTATAGCCCTGTATAATTATTGTGAACACATTATGCTTGTACTACTATCTTATTTCTAGGAAATCGGGGACATGAAGCATATAGGATACTTGTAACATTCTTTTATTTCAAAATAATGGAATCACATTCACTGGAAAACATTGAAAAAATTATATGTGTATCAAAATATTAAGTATTTTCAATAATGATGTTTAGCAATCTCATACTCATCTTCCCTTTGCAAACATGAATAGTAAACTCAGTTTTAGGCTTATATGCTTCCCTGTGAGAGTTTTTTATATTTTAAAACCATATACTTTTTCATCACTAAGACCTAAATGAAGACCTTGTCTAAATATCTAAAAATATCTAAAAAGATTTAGATATTTTTTAAGACATTTGATTAATAGAATATAGATAAGCTTCATTTGAGGTACAAACATTGATAATAAGCAATTTGTCAAAATTTTGAGAAAAGCCAGGCTTCTCAATGAAAGCTCAAGAATGTACAGATCTCAACTAATATTTTTACTACAAAGACAGTTTTGTAAACCGATGTGTTCTGGTGTCACACTTTACTGTCGGAAACATGCTTTGAGTGGCAAAAGTAATAAAGATGCCTGAGAGATAGATTCCAGGAGCTCTTGTATCACTGAGCCCTCCCTCTTCCCTCCTTTTCTTCAGAGTATTGGAATCTGTGGCTTTTTTTTTTTTTTTTTTTTTTTTTTTTGGTCAGAAGGGTACACTTGTTTCTGGATTGCTGGTGTTCAACGGGCATCTTGTATATAACGCATGGCTATATATGGAGGCATTGCCCTGACTCCCAGGTAATGGGGCCACCCAAGTCTTGGAAGCATGGCCTGCTTATTTGGGAAGGGAGTAGGTGATGCAATGTATATGGGTGGTCCCTGTCTATCTGAGAGTGGTCTGTATCTGATATAAGTCCCCGGGCTTTTCTTCCTACTCAGCCATTGTTTTTACCACCAATGAAAAGAAGGCTGGAATTTCTCTTAACTCACTCTTCTCCAGGAGGGCTATGTTCAAAATTTTCTTTCAAAAGTTTTGTTTTTGAAGATACTTCTGTACTTATCAGCCAAGCAGAATTAAACAATCAAACCTGTTAGTGTGCATCAACAACTGAGGCCTGGTCCTGTAGAAGAAGGCGAACATTTGTTCTTTTATTCTGCATTTCTGAACGAGTGCCTACTATGAGCAAGGACAAGTTAAAGTTGCAGAGAGGCACAGTGATGAACTGTAAGGCATTCAGAGGAAGAGATGCAGTTACTGAACATACTAAGTGCCAGGAATTTGATGTTAATGTAATTAACATATTTAATATCCTCATTACATTTAATCCTCTTTGCAACAATGAGAAGCAAATATCATTATCCTTCTTTTCTACAGGAGAGAAATTGGGGGTCAGAGAGGTTAAGGTTTGAACAGAGTCACCATTTTTCATACCTGTGAGAGATACCGTTCAATAGAATACTCAATAGCCCTTTATGAGCCTCTTCTATAAGGGCTAGAAGTCTGGCACTTACTTTTCCAGCCAGCTTTGCATCTGGGGCTGGCCACATGACCTGAGCTCGTAATCAAAATGTAAGCAGAAATCTGGTGTTGGGGCCTCTGGAAAAGCTTTTGCAAATGCTTTCTGTAAAGATCCAGATAGTAAATATTTTTGGCTTTGTGGGTCGTATGATCTCTGTAACAACTACTCAGTCCTGCCCTTGCAGAATGACAGTAGCTGTAGACATTACAATACATAAACATGGCTGTTTTCCAGTAAAGTTTTATTTATAAAGAACAGGCAGTGGGCCAGGTTTGGTCTGCTGTTTATATATTTGTCCCTCAGTATTCTCAGGGGATTGGTTCTAGGACCCCTATCTATACCAAAATCTGAGCATACTCAAGTTCCACAATCAGCCTTGCAGAACCTGTGGATACAAAAAGTCAGCCCTCCATATATATGGGTTTCAGATCCGAATACTGTATTTTTGATCCTTGTGTGGTTGAAAAAAAATCTGCATGTAAGTGGACTCAGGCAGTTCAAACCCAACCACAATTTGCTGACCTCTGGTTTAACGGAATGGCAAGATATTGTTGAATAAAATAATTTGATTTTTAAATATCTGTCCATTTCATATTACTGCAACACTGAGCAGTTTGAACAGTTAGTAAAACATAATCCATGTAAAAACTAAAGTGATCTTTTGAAAGTACAAATTACATCATTTCATTCTCCTGACTAAAACATTTCCTTGCTAAGGCTCATATTCATATACAAGGTCTGAATTCCAGTATTTTTATCTTCCTAAGAAGTCTTTTCTATTGCTCATGATAAGTTTTGCCCCAACCTCACTATTCTCTCTCAACTACTTACCATAATAAGTAGTTGCATTTTCATTTATGTGTTTGTTTATTGAACATTTGTTTTACCCATTAGGTCTGGGACTATGGTTTTTGGTGTCCATATATTGCACAGCCCATAGAGGATATGCAATAAATATTTGTAAACTAAGTGAATAATGTCACAGAAGCATCCTGTCACCTTCTAGATATGAAATTTTAAAACACTTAAACAAATTACACAAGTAATGCATATTGATTGTTGATAAATTAGAAAACCAAGACTTTGTGAAGGAATAGAATTAAGATAAAAAGAGGGAAACTGCAAAGCTACTATGAGGCAACCAAAGAGCAGAGGACCTAAGACTGACTGACTTGGACTTGTGTCAATCTTGGCTGCCTCAGCACCAGCAGCAAGAAGGGCAAGGGAACTGTGATCATGATACTACAATGAAATAACCACATGCAAATTAAGTGAGTAGGAGAAAGAAGCCTCATGTGGTCTTGTCAACTCCATCTTGGAGGATGGTCTGAAGGAGAACCCTGGAGGTGTTCAAGCCACACAGAGAAGTAGAGGACAGAGGGAAAGAAGTTGAGCTATGTAAAAGGTGTAGAGCGAGTTCATGAACCTGAAGATGGAGCAGACTTGTCTCTCTGCTAATACAGCCACATTGTCTTACCTGTGGAGGCAGATTACTGACAAGCTAATGATTTATGGAGGGGTTTTAGGGGGTGACAAAACTGGGTTTTCTTGTTTACTTCTGGCTGACATTCATACATCAGCTTGAAATTAGAGCAATCAGGGCAGCCTGATCCTTAGATTGTATCCCTTCTTTCAGAGGGAAGTAAAGAAAGTAGGAAGGGAGGGAGAGAGGGAGAAAGGGGAAGAAAATGATCCATTATTCCTATACCAGTGATAACCAGTGTTAACATTTCTGAATATATACTTCCACATTTCTTTCCAACTCACAGATATGTTAGATGTACTTGTTAGAGATGAAAATTAGATTTGAGGTTGAGTAATGTTTAATGAATAGTGTCAACCTCTTTTTTTATCAAAGAGCCACTTAACCTTTCTATATTGTAGATTATCTATAAAATGTAGTTTGTGGACTAGAGAGTAAGAGAACGAATAATAAAGAGTTTTCACATTTTTTTATAGACAAGGCTCAGAGACATTAAGGGACTTGCTTGATATCGCATAGGTAGCAAGTTGGAGAACAGAGGTGAACTCAGTATGTGGGTCTCCAAATTTCATGCCTTTATTGACCTGGAAAGTATCACGGAATTCAGTGGTTTTTTAAGCTTGACTACATATTGAAATCAATTGGAAAGTTTTAAAAAGTCCTGATGTTTGGGCTCTACCCCTAGAGATTATTATTTAGTTCATCTAGAGGATGGCCTGAGATTCAGGATTTTTTAAACCTGTAACCAAAGTTGAGACCCACTGTTCTAGCTCTAAAATGTTGTTACATGACTAGAAAGTGATATTCAGCTTTAGATTTGGAAATAATTTCTGTTATTGATTGGTAAGTGTATAGAATATGTAAAGTTTATAAGCTCTACCATCTTACATAAAAGCACTTATCTTTTTCTAAAGACCTTTGAAGATAGTAAGTGTGCCTCTCCAACAATCATTTCAGGATACCTGACTATTAATAGCGATGCCTCCATGATTACTTCCTGTCAAATCAATCCATGCATTATATTGTCCTCTCTGAGCACTTACCTTTTAAGATTCCAGAAAGTTTGCCACAAAAACGAATTGTAATAATTTTACCAATGATCTCAATCTTCAGAATAAATATGGTGTCTCTTGTCAACCTAAATAACAGAGAGAGGCTCTCTATAAGAAAAGATATTTATTTCGGAATACAACATTGCAGTGGGAATATGCAGGGTATAGTAAACTATGTGCATATTCTTGGAAGTTAAAAAAAGACAAAGGTTTCTAAAGGAAAAAAATGAGGAGGATTACATATTTTTAAAAATAATAATTAGCCTTGGCTACAAAGATCAATATCAAGGGTGATGCCAGTCTGAGGTTGGACAGGCAGTTACTGGACAGATGTTCTTGTAGAAGTCTTTTTTGTGTTAGGTTGCAATGGCCTTTGTGCAAGATTGTAGTCTTTGCAGTCTTTATGATAGTTTTTGTTATCAGGCATACAAGCATGAGGACCTTCTCTTTGTGGCCTTCACTGGCTCTATTTGTCAGAGTTTTCTTAACATTTGTGACTCCGTTTTGATTCAGACAACTTTCACGCACTCTTCCTTTCCTCTCACACACTCTTCCTTACCCTTCACAGTGTCCTGTGTTGTTTTAGGACCCTTGAATACATATTGTGAAGTGCTGATGGAAGATGAATCAAGTAGAAGGGGTGATGGTATTCAGCGTCTACTGTTTTTTTAGAAAGAGGATTGAAGGAAACATATGTGTAAGACCCCTCTCTTTCATATGAAATTTGCAAAGCTGATGCTCTTTGACACCGTGGCTTCTCAGACTCTTTCTACATTGAAGAGACATATGACTTATTTTTACATTTAGAGTATTCCACTGCCTGTCAAGAGTACATTGGGGTTTCTGAATCTCAATAACTATTTGTTAAATGTTGATGATGGTGAAGGATGAGATACAAATTGTACTTTTTCCTGTATGTAGGCTCCCCTTATTTTGGGGATGTTGAATCCCCTTTGCAGGCTTTGAGGAATAGAAAGCTATTTATTCCATCACAAACTCCTGTCATAGATAGGAATCTGTGGGGAAATTTGTTGTCTCTGGGAAGAAGGAACATTGATTAGAGGACATAAAACTGAATTTATGATTGCTATAAAATATTTTTATTCTTTTAAATATAAAGGGGATAGTAGCTGCATTTTATGTCTGTGGGAGAATTGGGATTTTAAAAACCATATGAACAACAGAATTCATTTTCTTACAGAAATTACAGATTGGAGAGCTAAGACAAATAAAATACATATTTATTTTTGGAAATATGCATTTTGAAAATGTGGAGCATTTTATTTTCTTGTCCCATGAAAACTGAGAATGTTAGCATATCTATAAATGATGGTTCAGGGTATATGTACAAGTTTAGGTAGTTTCCCCCTAAATTTCTTGTGCTTTCTGAAACCTCAGAATGCGAACTTATCTGGAAATTGGGTTGTTACATATGTAATTAGTTAAGTTGGAGTCATACTAGAGTCAGGTGGGACTTTAACACATCATGATTGGTGTTCTTATAAAAAGCAAAGAGACATGGGGGATGATGGCCATATGAGATGAAGACTGGGGTGATACTGTCAAAAACCAAGGAATGTGTGAGGCTACAGATGCTGGAAGAGGCAAAGGAGGATTCTCCCTCAAAGGATTCAGAGGGAGCATGGCCCTGCCAACACCTTGATTTTAGACTTCTCCAAGAACTGAGAGAGAATATAGTTATGTTATTTTAAGGCATCCTAGTTTGTGATACTTCTTTATGGCACCTTAGGAAGCTAATACAGTGCCTAATCATAATGTTTATATTTTAAAAGTCCGGACAAATGTCTAAATGTTGGCAAGTGAGTTAGTTAATTGTGTTCTATCAATAAAATATTTTACGGCCTATAAATCTGACAAATATGTGTAGATTAGAGACACATGGAAAACTCTTTGCTAAGTAATAAATAGCAATCACCTGGCATGTGCGCAATGATTACAATCATATAAGAACCATATATTTATAACAGTGGAAGTTTAGAGTAAGACCTTGGCTTTTCCAGTTGGTAAAATATGATAACTATTTCTTGTTACTATTTTTTAAATAAAAATAATACATATTTGATATAAAAACTTTAGAAAAATTAGTGGCAAAAATAATTTGACATAAAAGTCACTTTTTAAAACTGACTTAAATTATTATTTGAACCACATTTTGTTCATGCATGTGACTTAATACATTTTTCTCTTTTGTTATTGATTTTAAACCTGAACTAGTAGCATATTTTATAAGATGAGACAACTAGCCCTTTAAAGAATTAGGGCTTGTGGAAGATCTATAGGTTATTTCAACTCCCTAAAATGTTGAACTTCCTGTAGAGTTAACAACAATGAAGTAAACAACGATAACAAAATAGAATTATGGCCAAGCAATTTAGGAACCAACAGACATAGAAGCTTACAGCTCATTCTACTTGTTTTTGTAGAATCTAAACAATAATTAATACTTCAAACCCACAAAAGGAGTGAGATTGGAGGGCTTGGCTTCTGGAGAAATACTTGCAGTGAAAGTTAAGAAGCTGGTGAAACAGCTTATTAAACTAGACCATCCCATATAAATACCATAGTCCGAGTAGTGATGAAATCTTGTTGGAAGCCTCCAAGTGAGATTTCAGAGCCTGGGTCAGTTTTCATTATACAACTGAAGTTGGCGCTTTTTCAGGCCAGCTGACCTCTTTTTGCAAGAGTGTGGCCCTTCTGGCTTCTCTAAAAATAAATATTTGCTCCTCTCTCTACAAGGACATTTTTGGAAATCGATTTGTCATTTTGGTGAGTCACAGTGGTATCAATGAATGGCAAATGTGGAGGAATTAGAATGCAATTTAACTTAATAAGGAAGCTGCATTATTGATCATACCCACATGAAATTCAGTTGCCATTTATTTGTAGAGCAAAACAGGAAATAATTATCTAAGCGAACCACTTATTAAGAATGAGTTTACATAATTATTACATCTACTTCACAAAACCACCAGTATTTAAAGCAACAAATGCTTTCTGAATTTTCTAAGATTTTTCTTCTTGGCAACTGGAAGAAGATGGACATTCGGGAGCCACATTGTGAACAGTCAGGTCGGCTACTTAACAGTTTTTCAGGAAAAATGCCATCAGTGAGAGAAGCAATCAAGGCAAAGGGTACTGTTCTAATTGTAAATTTGGTCTTCTTTCTCTACTTGGGAGGGAATCTATATGGCAGTGTTTTGTGATCATCAGTTCCGCCATCTTATGGATTAATCTCAGTAAAATCTCTTTCAGAGATTGTCTTAGAAAATGAAAGTACAGAAAAAATAAATAAAGCACTATAGGAGCAGAAGAGACAAAAATATTCATATACTTTTGTACACATTCAGCCTAATTTTCCAATATATAGTAAAAAGAGTGGCCTCTGAACTTTTCCAGGATGAAAGTCTCAATAGGATACTAGTTCTTTGGGTGATTTAGACTCTGGACAATTCTTGGTGGGCATATGTATATTCTGGAAGCCCTGGCTGAAACTGTTTGGCCCACAGAGATCTGACGAGGTGCATTAATAGGATTATTTCATCTAAAGGTTAACAATCCCCCTCTATACAAAGAGGAATCTAAGCATCATTCAAGAGACATCTAGGTAGAAATGGAATCTTGAAACTAAGGTTCTTGGTGTGAGAATGTATTTTTCATTTGAATAGCCCTAAAAAGAAATAGTTTCAGTCCCTTTACCTAATGTTAAAATGATTGTTATTTTTCTGGTGTCATTTTCTTCTTTTTCTAACTAGGCTAGATGCTCCCAAGAATACAAAGATAAAGAAGATTGCCTGCAGTTGCCCAGATGCCTGGTGTGTAACCTCACTGATTACTTTTTCCCATTTTAAAGATATTATTGCTTAAGTGGTGCTACCTTCTGCAAATGACACTAACTGAAACTTTATATCTTTTTATGAGGGGTGGTTTTAATTGATTGTCAGTAGAGACTGTTTGGAACAGACAAGTTCTAGGTTTTACATATTCTTCCAGGCTCACAGGGCATGAAAAAGGCCATTTCCTGTGAGTATTTTGCAGACTGAGGAATTATGATATTTTATTTTATTGCCAATTTCCAGAAAAGATGATTCTGGAACACATCTCAGTGCTATTAATTTTTTGTCCGAAAATTCCAAATGAAGCTTATTGAAAGTAAGAAACATAATTTTTAGGCTCTTTCTGAGGGTTATGGAACTTTTTTGATGTTCACCTTGTCTAACAGCCTCCAGGAGTGACAAAAGGCAATATATGTTCTTTTGACAAAGAAGATTGTAAGTGAGATCATGTTACTGATGGGACTTGGTCCTAACTCAGAGGATGTTATTCTCATCTCCAATAATCAAAGAGATAAAAATACCCAGGGAAGGGCATTTTGTCATTTAAGTCAAACTTAAGAATCTTCCTGTTTTCTTACTCTAAATAATTCTTGAACAATAGTTATGTTCGTATTTTTGGCTGGCCTATAAAGCAAAACATTGTAGGTAATGAATGTGGATAGACCAAATGATCTGTCCACAAACTGCATTCTTTAGTACTAATGAACACTATAATCAACAAAAATAGATACATATATAGATACATATATGAAAATAAATAAATGTCATATCTCAATTAGCTATTCTAAGTGGATGTTTTGAGGTTAGGGAATATAGAAGTATCCCAGGCTAACTAACATTCTCACATTGTATGTGGGAAATTTCAAGTTCATCATTAGCTAGTCCTAACCTGAAACATAATGATCATGATAATGAAAATGCCAATTAACATCTGTTAAGGATGTGGACCAAACAATGTGTCTTTCAGGCATTCTTTTCATCTTCCTTCTAGCTTTGAGAAGACTGAACAATATCTTCAGCAGAAGTAGAGAATTGTACATTTAATTGTTATTTATTTTATTCTAAACTATAAATGTCACTGAGAGAATACTGAAAATGAAACTAGATTAAAGCTTAAGAAAATATTTAATGAGTGATCTCATAGAGCCACTCTTTTAGTCTGTTCTATGATTTGCTGCACAGATGCTGTTGAGTGTCCAGGGTTCTGTGGCACATTTGAGCTTGTGCCAAATACCAAGGAAATATGAGCAAGTAGCTTCGAAGCTAATTTTGGTAAATGAGGGCACGTTTTAGAAATGAATAATCACTTCATCAAAATAACTTTATTTTACACACTTTCCCCTCATTCTACTCTTCTCCATGGACTAATGTATTGTTTGCTTTTTAAATTTGGATGGTAATTCACTAGTTAGATTGCTTATTTAATTTAGTGCTGCCAAAGGCATTGGTCCTACTTGACTCAAAATAACAAGTAACAATCAACAGAAGTTTAAACTAGAGTGACTACTACATATTATTAATTCATTGTGCCACCACTCTCCCAACTACTTTATAAGTATTATTCCTTTTATTACTCACAGCAACCCCAAGAGGTGGATACTATCACTATTGCTGTTTTGTAGCTAGGGAAACAGAGTCTCAAAGAACTTAAGTAACTAGCTCAAGGTCCCAAAGTCAGTAAAATGTGGAGATCCAGTACTTGAAATCAATTCTGCTTAACATCTGAGTCTAAAACCTAAGCTCTACATGGTATCACATCTTTGAAAGCAATACATGCAGTTCTTGATGTCTCTGGATGGTCTTTGCTATGGCATCTTGTTCTTTTTTTCATGGTGTCACTATCTTCTCTCATGTCTCTGATGATATCAGCAATAACTTCTTTAGAGTTGTCATTTCCTTGCACAGTCTCTGTTTTTTTTTTAGTTTACTCTTTTCTGATTGTTTTTGTCTCTAGCTTCCATGTTATAGGGAAGGTTTTTAGCACTAGGCATGATCAGAATCACCTAGGGAGCTTTAAAAAAATACTGATGTGTAGGCCACAACAGGCAAGTAAACCCAGACCTCTGCTATTGGGACACATTTCTTCATGGCTTACCAGTTGATTCTAATGTTCAGATTGGGTCAATCCTTGGATGTCTATATGTCTGTATTTAAGAGTGGAAGACCAAAAAGCTAATTGGGAAACAGGCCCACGTGGCTTAATTGGTGAAATCTATTTAGCATTTAAAAAAGAAATAATACCAATTTTACACAAAATCTTTCAGAAAGTGGAGGATGACAGCCCTATTCAACTCATTTCATGAAATCAATAACACCCTGATACCAAGGCCAGACAGAAGCATTAAAAATATACACTTAAAAAAAGATATAAATGTATATATACATGCATACACATCAATGCTCATGAACATAGACCCAAAGATTCTTAATTAAATGTTAGCAAATAAGTTCTAGGAATGCAAAGCTGATTTAACATTCAAGAATCAATCAACTAATTCACCATATTAACAAAGGAGAAACAATTATCATTTCAATAGACGTAAAAAGAGTTTGAAAAAATTCAATATCCATTTATGATAAAACATTTCATCAAATTAGAAACAAAAGGAATTTCCTTAATCTGGAAAAGTCCATATATGAAAAATACACAGCTAACATCATATTTAATGTTGAAAGATAGAGTACTTATTCTCTAAGGTCAGGAACAAAACAAGGATGCAGACTCTCACTACTTATGTTTAATGTAGTTTTGAAGAACCTAGCCTTTGCAATTAGGCAAGAAAGAAAATAAAGTCTAGTCGCAGATGACATGATTGATTATGTAGAGTATTCTAACATCTAGTCACAGATGACATGATTGATTATGTATAGTATTCTAACAAATCTACAAACAACACTATTCACAATTGTTGAGCTAACTTAGGAAGGTCACAGACTATAAAGTAAATATACAAAAATCAATTGCTTGCTTATACACTAAAAGCTAACCATAAACTCTTGGTATGAGAGTGGGGCCAGTTGACATTTAGTTTCAGTTTAGGATAGTCAGCTAGGTTGTGTGTTGGGACAAACCAATGTTAGTATTTTATATATTTACTCATGGGCTCGTTAGATTCCTCTGAGAAGGGTTTTCCAGTTGTCTCCCTGCAGGGTAAAGGTCTGGCTGCCCAGTGTCCTGAAGATGGGGAATTTCAGCATCCAGTAAGCATATGTTCAGTTCATGCCCATTTTTGGTTCAAAAATTATATTCTCAACTATGCTTGTAATTCCCTGTACAAAGTCCTTCCATTTGCCCTCTCCAGAAAATAAACTTACAGTCTTTTGCTAGGGTGAAGGAAGAGCTTTTGCTGAGCAGCATGGGATAGTAAAGAGGTTTTGAGAAAGTAACTGCTTCTTACAGTGCTTTTACCCAATCATTTTTCTTTTAAGTCCCTATTCCTTCACCCTCTTCCAAAAGCACCTGTTGCTGCTCATCTCTGAGTCCTTTGAGAGTTCTGTGGCATGCAACACGTTTGGTTTTCAGTGTTTGCTGTTGCTGACTCAGGATTTAGGCTTGCTGAATTGGTATTTGCTCATCTGCCCACTTTCTAGCTTACAGTATGTTTATTGCTATTCTCTCTTCCTCTGTGTTCCCATCCTTGTATGTCTTTTTAAAAAGCTTCCTTTCCATCTTTTTCATGAAATACCAAATGGATATTTCATGAGAAATTGAAATATCAAGATCACTGGCTGATTTAAAGGAATGACATTTTATAGAAAATTAAGTTACATGTTTTCTTATAGTAATGCATTACACTTACATAAGGAAAAATAATTAAGCATCTTATTTGTAGAGTTGAGAGTAATAGTGTTTTAGATGGAAAAATTCCATTTTGGACTAGACAATTTTGTTACCTCTATTTAAAACAACTCCAGTAAGAAAGCCAAAATATTAACTGGTTTGGTCAATATCAGTGAGGTACTTTTCACTTAATTCTGCCTGTTATATACCACTCATGTATACCTTACATTTTCATGGTAGTTTGAAAGAATTTTGGTATAATTGTAGCCATGGCCCCGAGGAAGTAAAAGCTACATTTTACATGCAGTGCTAATTATTTCAACAAATCTTAATTAAGTACTTACCTTGAGGTAGGCACTGTTCCTGCTGCTGGAATTGGAGAAGTAAACAAAATAGACCCAAATCCCTGTCCCTCTGAGGATTCTATTCTAGTCAGTAGACTTCTGGTATTAAAGTGAGCATAAAGGGCACCACAAAAGCACGTTCAGTGATTCCCATGGAACAGGGTCCCTCTGTTTATACATATGGGTATTTCTTATTATGTTATTGCTGTCTGTGTTCTTGTTCTTGACTTCCGTAGTAGATAGGAGTGGCAAATTGGATAATGATTTAACTATGTTGCTTTGTTGTTGCTATTGTTTGTTCATTATAGCATCTCTTTCTAAAGATGATTCAAAACAGATTTTCAAGATATATAATGTGTCAAAACAAGTCAAAGTCAGTCTGAGAACTGATTCAGAGTGAGAATATGAGTAGGAAAATAGAATAAAGCTGAGTGACCACAGTGTACAACATGCATGTCCTGAAGCCCTATTCCTTGCCAAGATGACACATTTTTCTGTGTTTTTCACAGGCATCTTAAAAATGAAAACATAATCAGTTTCCATGAATTAAAAAGATCGCCAGAGATTTAGTGATATAAAAATACAGAAAGTTCTCCTGTGGATCTTCATAAGGAGATCTTTGTTGGGAAATGTACCAAAAAATATTGTTACAAAAAACACAACCACCAGTTCCACTTGACTATTTCTTCCACATCCTTCCTGTAGTCCAACTACATTAGCACAAAGCATAATTTTGTAAGAGTTATTATGCCAGATATCTAAATTAGAAAAATTTGAAGCCAGGCACAGTGGCTCACGCTTGTAATCCCAGCACTTTGGGAGGCTGAGGTAGGCGGATTGCTTGAGCCCAGGAGTTCAAGACCAGCCTGGGCAAAATAGGGAGTCTTCATCTCTACAAAATAAAAATTAAAAAATTTAGCCAGGCATGGTGGCACATGCCTGTGGTCCTAGCTACTTGCCAGGCTGAGGTGAGAGGATTCAAGGCTGCTGTGAACCATGAATGCACCACTGCACTCCAGCCTGGATGGCAGAGTGAGACCCTATCTTAAAAAAAAAAAATAGAAAATCCCAAATATAGTCACTTGAAAAATATGTGAATTTTGCATTCTCCATGTAGTTATAATAAATATACTAATATTTGCAACTTATCAAATACTTTCATATGCATTTTCTTCTGAGACAACTTTAAGGCAGCTATCATATCATCATGATGCTGTATGTTTCAGTAGCTGGTTCTTTTTTTTTTTTAAAGCAGCTTTATTAACACCTATTTCAGATACCATAAAATTCACACATATAAAGTACACAGTTCAGCAATTTCTAGTATATTCAGTTGTGCAATTATCACCAAAATATAATTTTTAAAGGTTTTTAAACCCCCAAATAAATCTCAAATTATCAAATTAGCAGTGGCTCCCCATTCCTGCCTATATGCCCCCTGACCTTCAAATATGCCCTAGCTCCAGGTAACCACTAACCTACTTTCTGTATCTATATGGACTTGCCTGTTCTGGATATTTCACATAAATTGAATCATAATATGTGGTCCTTTGTGACTGGCTTCTTTCACTTAGCATAATGCTTTGAAGGTTTATCCTTTTTGTAGCATGCATCAGTATTTCATTCTTTTTTATTGCTGAATAATATTCCATTTTATGAATATATCATGTTTTATTTATGCAGTCATCAGTTGATGGACATTTGAGTCATTTCTCCCTTTTGGCTATTATAAATTATGTTGCTATGCACATTCTTGCAGAAACTTTTGTGTGGAAATATATTCTAATTTTGTAGGCTGTATACCTAGAAGTGCAACTGATGGGTCATTATCTATGTTTAACATTTTTAGTAACTGCCAAACTGTTTTCTACAGTGATTTCACCATTGTACATTCACAGTAGCAATTTACGAGGGCTTCAACTTCTCCGAATCCTCACCAATACTAGCTATTGTCCATCTTATTTGGCTATAGCCATGCTAGTGGGTATGAAGTGATAGCTCATTGGATTTTGATTTATAGTTCCCTAATGACTAATGATGTTGAGCATTCTTCCATGTGTTTATTATTGCCAATTTGTATAGCTTCTTTGAAGAAATGTTCATTTAAATCTTTACCAAGATCACAAAGATTTACTCTGATATTTTCTTCTAGGAGTCTTATAGTTTTAGGTATTACATTTATGTATATGATCTGTTTTGAGTTAGCTTTGGTGTAAGGCATGAAGTAGAGGTCCAAATCTTCTTTTGCATGTAGATAACAAAATTTACAGACAACAATTACTGGAAAGATAATTTTTTCCCATTGAATTATCATGGCACCCTTATTGAAAATCAATTGACCATAAAATATGAAGGTTTATCTCTGACTTCTCAATTCTACTCCATTGATTTTTATATCTTTTTTTTAATGCCAGTACAACATTGTCTTGATTACTATAGCTTTGTAGTAGGTTTTGAAATCAAGAAATGCACGTTCTTCAACTTTGTTCTTTTTTGAGATAGTTTTAGCTATTCTGGGTCCCTTACTTCCATATGAATGATAACATCAAACTGTCAATGTTTTCAAAAATGGGCAGCTAGAACTTTAACAGGGTTTGCATTGAATCTGCAGATCAATTTTGGGAGTATTTACTTCTTAACAATGTTAAGTCTTCTGATCTGTGAATATGGGCTGTCTTTCCACTTATTTGGGTTGTATTTCATTTCCTTTAATAATGTTTAATAGTTTTCACTATATATACCTTGCATTTCTTTTGTTAAATTTATACCTTGGTATTTTTACTCCTTGTGCTGTTATTTCAAATGGGATTGTTTTCTTAGTTTTCATTTTAGGATTGTTCATTGCTATTATTTGAAAGTACTATTGATTTTTAAAAGCATTTACCTTGTATCCAGTCACATTATTAAATTTGTTTATAATTAGTTCTTTTTATTTCAGCACAATATTCCATTATCTTTTTTCCTATTAAGGAACATTTAGATTCTTCCCAGTTTTCAGACATGCTGAATAATGCTGATATGAACAGTTTTGAACATGGGTTTTTGTGGACATAGATACTCATTTATCATGAATATATACCTTTAAGTGAAATCTCTGCATTATAAGCATTTGTTTAGCTTTAGTAAACGCTGTGAGTCAGTTTAGATGATTTGCTTTTGTTTCTATACTTTGGCTATATCAATAGTTTGAATTAATTCACAATGACTTCTAACTCATTAGTGACTGATTGGTATTTATAAAAATTGAGAAAATGGAAAATACTCCAAAAGACTTTATCATTAACGTGGTGAGTCTTAAGGTGTGACATTGATAGAAAGGTAAAACAAAGAATCAGAATAAGGAGAGGAGAATGTGTAGCTTAAAAAAGCATATTCAATAGATTTTGTTTTTGTAGCATAAACTGTAGAAAGTAAAAATTGGAAATTATCAGGGTGAGAAATCCTGATTTAGTGGTCATTTATAGACATGGTTAAAACAGAAATAACATACCAGCTCCTTCCTACCTGCCTAGTTTTAGAGGTCTGCCCTTTCCTCTACTATATAGCTATGTCTTACCTGAATTTGCCTTAAAATGCCGCATAAGAAGTAGTTAAAAGACAAAGTAATTTAACTTAAATGTAAAGAAATGAGTTTATAGAAGTAATTTAAATGCTATTTTCCCCACACTGTACCATCTTGATGATAAAAGGAATCAGAAATATGTAAAAAATTAATTCTTCCATTAACCAAAGAAGGGCAGTGAGGTTAACTTTTTCTTGTTTGAAGAAAATTCTAACCTGTTTAGGAGAACCTTGAATAGGTGGCCCAAGATCTTTTTACATGGGAACATAAAGAAAAAAATCATGAAAATGTATTTAAACTTTAATTTAACTAAAAATAGGTAAAACTATACATTTCAACATTGGCAGGATTTCGGCTCCTAATGAGAAATGAAAAGGAAGCCAAATTTGAAGAAAAATTGTTAAGCATATTTAAAGTTTGAGTAGTTTGTTTTGTGGGCACTTTATAGAACATTTTGATTTAGTATTTTTGGATACAGATGATGGATTATAAAGTTCTTTCTTTTAAAAGTCAACATAGTTAACACTGTAAAAGTTTAAAAGTTTTTTTTTAGTTTAAGGGCCTTATTTTTATTAACATCATTTGTATTTTTCTATACATCTTTTCTTAACATTTTCTTTGGTTATTTTAGTATACATGTTTATTACCTTTTCAATATGTTAAATCTATAATTCTGTCACCTTCCTTACTTTCCAACAACCTTTCTAGGCTCTTTATTGCACCTGGTAAGTGAAGACGTCTGGGTTTGAAACTCTGCTCTTGAACCACTACTTCCATTCATCTCTCCATTGTCACTCTTACAAAACCTGTTCTCTCTCATTAAAAAACTTCCCTGTTCCAGCACTGGTTGTGGAAGGTGACCATAGTCATAGTGATGTTTTAGTAGTTGAGAGTGAATGTGGGCAAGTTGCTCAACAATATCCACAGGTATAATTCTGAGAACCTGGCCTCCCTGGGGAGCTATGTGGAGATACAGGCCAAGGAGAATGCCTGTGATCTAGAAGCCAGCTTGACTGTCCTGAAGCTGTACTAGTTCAACCCAGCCTTCTTTCAGACCACGGTCACCACCCAGATCCCGCTGAAGGCCTTTACCAACCCATGCCACACCAGCTTCACCCTGTGCAAGCACATGGTCATCCAAGCGCATCAAGAAAAGCAGCTGATCCAACAGATTTTGTACCTGGGAGATCTGCTGGAGACTTGACACTTCCAGGCCTTCTGGCAAGCCCTGGATGAAAACATGACCCTTTTGGAAAGTATAACTGGCTTTGAAGGCTGTTAGAAAATTTGTCTCCCATGTCATGGATATCACTCAGCCGGCATATTTACTGCTGGCTGCTGGCTGAGATGCTCGGGGATTTGACAGCCAGCCAGCTGAAGATATGGATGAGAAAATATGGCTGAAGCACCGATGAGTCAGGGCAGATCTTCATCTGTAGCCAAGAAGAAAGCATGAAGCCCAAGAACATTGTGGAGAAGATTGACTTTGAAAGTGCATCCTGGCTGGGTGCGGTGGCTCACACCTGTAATCCCAGCACTTTGGGAGGCTGAGGCGGGTGGATCACAAGGTCAAAAGATTGAGACCATCCTGGCCAACATGGTGAAACCCTGTATCCACTGAAAAATACAAAAGTTAGCTGGGCGTGCTGGCACTTGCCTGTAATTCCAGCTACTCGGGAGGCTGAGGCAGGAGAATCACTTGAACCCGGAAGGCGGAGGTTGCAGTGAGCCGAGATCGGGCCAGTGCACTCCAGCCTGGTGACAGAGCGAGACTCCTTCTCAAAAAAAAAAAAAAACCAAAAGAAAGTGCATCCAGCATCATGGCCTCCTCCTAGTAACTGCAGGTTTTAATAAAGATTTGTTGACCTAGGAAAGCAAACAAACCAAAAATCCCTTCCCTCTCTTATTCCCAAATCCTCTAGCATCTACCAGAGCCTTGCTACTTTTTTTGTAAATCATTATAATTAATGTTCTTGATAGCATCACAGAAATAATTTCTCCTTTGACTTTCTAGCTTGTGGGCTTTGCTGATTCCCAACTTTTGGTGAACACCAAAATCTGTTCCTTCAGCTGTCACTTCTGGAGACTGAATTCTCCTGGAGGAAGTCACATAGTAATTTTGATTGGCTGAGTATTCCAGAAGGAAGCCATATGAACTTTCTGATTGAATTCTTCTGTACATAGAGCCTCAGTGTTCTCATAAAGCCACGATTCATTTGACACTTTGTTCACTTCCCTCTTATAGCATGGGCTATTGACATTTTCCAATTTCAACTCCTAATTTCCACTTGGGTCCCCTCTGTACTTTTCTAAAATAAGGCAATTTGTCAACCTGCCTCTTGTCTTTCTCAAAATCTCTTCACCTCTGCTTCCATTCTTTCCCTTCTATAATTGCCCCTTTTTCCCCTCCAAAATAAGTTCCCACATAGGTGCCTTTGATCCCATCTACTTTTTTGCAATCCTGCCCCATCATTGACCTTTTTTCCAAGGTCAATTTCTTGAACTCACTTATTTCTTTAAGGAAATCTTTCTTTCTGTAAGCCAGTAGTTCTCAATTGGAGGTGACTTTACCTCTTAGACAATATTTGGCAATGTCTACAGATACTTTTGGTTGTCACAGCTGGTATGGGGAGGTGCTACTGTCCTCTGTTAGTTGGGGACCAGGGATGCTGTTCAACATCTGCATGGGGAAGGTCCTCCTAACGAAGAATTATCCAGCTCAAATGTCAGTAGTTCCATGGTAGAAGAACCCTGCTCTAAACCTGAATCAAGCCCAAATTTTGCTTCTCCAACAAATTTAAATAATATGTTTTTATGACTATGTTTACTTCTTTGAGTTCTTCATTTATCTCCCACTTTTACACTAGCAAACTTCTAGAGTGGAAGTCACTATTTCTGGCTTAATTTCCTTGCTATACACTCCTATCACTGAAAAACACATGATAATGTTAAAAATTGCTACCCACCAGAAATCATTAAGGTCCTTAACAGACTCAACTTTTTCTCCTGGGTGCCTCAAAATGACCTAGGGAGTGAAGAAAACAGATGGGAACACATCCTAACTTGTGAATGAATTCTTAGCAACAGGAGCCTATGATACTGAACTTAAATACTTATTTATTTATTTATTTTTATTATTTTGAGATAGTCTTGCCCTGTTGCCCAGGTTGGAGTGTATTGGCATGATCTTGGCTCACTGCAACCTCTGCCTCCCATGTACAAGTGATTCTCCTGCCTCAGCCTCCTGAGTAGCTGGGCTTGCCCAGCTTATTTATTTATTTATTTATTTATTTATTTAATTGTATTTTTAGTAGAGACAGGTTTTTGTCCTGTGGGCCAGGCTGGTTTCGAACTCCTGACCTCAGGCAATCCACCCCCCTCAGCCTCCTGAAGTGCTGGGATTGCAGACATGAGCCACTGCACCCAGCCTATATACTTATTTAAACATTTGTTAAGGTGGATAAAAAATTATTCTTGCTGATTTTTTGTGCTGAGAAATCCTCAACAGTCGCTTCTTGAAACCAGTATTCTTGAAGACACATTTAAAATCCAATTGTGGAAAATAATTTTCTAAAATACATGAGTGTTTTTCAGGAATAATAAAATTGATTAAAAAATAGTCAGGCTGCTTGTACAGATAGGGCTACATTTGAAAGGCTGTGTTGTGGGCGTGGTTCCTCACACTGAGGGCATCGTGCTTCTTGAAAATGTCAACAAATGCTGCACTCTTCACGAAGACACCTTGCTCTAAACATTTCCTTCCCAGTTTTCAGTGTTTAATAGGATAATTGAATACATGAAAAAAAAACCTCAAATTTTTAGTAACATGGGAAATAACCCTAAATTCTTTCTCTCCCCTGTTACTCACATAGTCAGTGGGAGGAGTTGCTCAGAATACTGTGCACTCAGGAATGAATTCTTATTTCCCTCCTTAGAGGAAAGATGATGAAGCATCAAAGAGCAAAATCCCAGACAGAAGCCTTTGTCCTAATGATAAAGAGTAGCTTGCAAAGTTGGATTTTTCTTTCATAGATTTTATTTTATTTTTTGATTTCAGCTCTATCTAGAAACTATTCTTATACAAATCAAACTCTGCAGTGAAAATGAAACTTGTGATGAAAAGAGGGGCTCTGACTTTTGATGCATTAGTTCTTATAAAAATTAATCATCAACTTACTTGTTTTCACTAAAAAAGGCCCTTGAGAGTATTCCCTTAAGGAAATAAGGAGACTTACTAGAGACTCAGATCTTTTCTGTCCATTTCATAACCCAAGTGGCATGGACTCTTACCAAAAAGAGACAGTGAAACTTTTATGAAAAGTAACCTGAATGTAAACAATCTAACTCTGTTACATTCCATTTTTAAAAAACAGGCAGTCAATATAACAGCATCTTATTTATTTGCCAGTGATATAGGTAGGGAAAACTTTGTGGATGAGGGGCCCGACTAAGTTGGTGGAAGACTCTTGACAGTAGAGGTTATGAGCTTGGACTTACATCAAGATAGCAGTCAAACCTTAATTCTAAAAGTGACACATGCCATTAGTATTGGTAGATTTGTATAATTTTCCCACATATAGAAATGATTTAATTCACAATCTCATCTTCTAGAAAGTTGGCATATAACTCTTTGTACTGTTTTCAAGGAATTTGTTCAGAAAGTGAGAACATGTATTATGAATGCCTTCAAGTCATTTACCATAACTATTCAAAGAAGGAATGATAAAATTTATAGAGGACAATTTCAGTTCTCTCTAAATTATTCATTTTTAAAAATTCAAAATCAAGATAAAGAGGAAAATAGCTAAAGAAATCCAACAGAATTCTTGTTTGACAGTAATTGGAAACCAGTGATTGGAAGCAGTTGGTGCAATATGTTCTACAAAGGACTTTTTTAATTTTATTTTTTTGGTTGCTTTCACAGCTCTTCACCCTTTCAATGCTGCTTAAAGAAATGCAAGTGCCAAAAATGGTGCTGAAGAACTTTCCTAGCTGGACAGAAAAGTTTTGAAAAGAGAGCTGCATTTTTAATAGACTAACTTATATCTTATTCAAATTTTAGGAAAGAATCCTCTCATTGTGAGTTTCTTTTTTTTCTGAAAATAAGAAATGACTCTAGAAGAAAATACAATCTGTGAGCATGATTCAAGGATTTTCTTGCCACCCATGCCTGGTTCTCTGTAGGGCTAAAGTGATAGACACATGACAAAAGGTACCCTCCCCCACCTCCATAATGAGCAGCCAAGCTTTTACTCTTATGGCTCTTTGTTTCTGGGGACTAGAGGCAAAGGGTACCACTTTCAGGCTAGCACAACTTTCTTCCCTTCTGAACACCTCCCTACTCCACATCCTACTATGTTCTGGCAGATAGAGTTTCAACACGATTGTAAAGATGCTAGGCATCCCTTTGGAATCCTAGAAAAGCAGAATTGTGCAGGAGAATGTCACTCATTTTGGTTACTACCCCAGATCTGTGAGGGGAAATGGAAAAAGGATGAAGTCTCCTACTCTATTTTTTCCATTCTTTTAAATAAGGGATTCTGTCTTATTTAAGGACAAAGCATCATTGGGCCATATGGTTTTTCTTCAACTAGTTCCATGAGCCTTATAGTTAGAAATATATTCCTAATGCTGGCCTTAGATAAGTTGTATTAATTTTCAGCATTGTTATAAGATCTCTGGAACTTCAAAGATATTTGAGTTGGAAAGCGAAGAGGCTAACTCAACATGCTTTTAAATGAAAAAACCTAACTTTACCAGTTTTCACATTAAAGAAATTTATGTCTTTTGGCCACACACACACAAATCCACCAAATATTGAGTGTTGAAATTGGAATTTTCATGAACATTTAAATCAGATCCATATTTTCAATCATGACTATTTTTCTCTTTTTCATGGGCATGTCATCAATACTGTGAAAACCCTAAAGGAGAAATAAATGGAGAAGCATGCCAGAATCACACGTGATGTTGAAATGGGTTCTAATGCTTTTCAAGATTTTACTGTTCCTTTTTCTCATATTTATCCCAAGAGTATAAAAGTTCAGTGAAATGCTTTCCTGGGGATAAACTCTTTTGTGTTTTTGATCTATAGCAATTCTTTGTAATTTTGTATAATAAAGTGTGTGGTAATCTTAATCTAATACAAATTAATATTTTCATAGTTTTCCAGTGTTGATAATAAACAACACAAATATGTTCTACCTCTTATATTCTGAAGTTTGAGACAGGGTTTTGTTTTGTTTTGTTTTGTTTTGTTTTGTTTTGTTTTGAGATGGAGTCTCGCTGTCGCCAGGCTGGAGTGCAGTGGCGTGATCTTGGCTCACTTCAACCTCCGCCTCCCGGGTTCAAGTGACTGAGAGAGTTTTAAACCAAAAAAGTTACCTTCTTAGTGGCCAATGATTATCTTTATAAATTCTTACAGCCAGGTCTTGCCTTCTTATAATCACCAATAAGAACATAGACTTAGGAGCTGGGTACTGTTACTTAACCATGAGTGAATATTTAAGTTTTCTAAGCCTTAGCTTTCTAATATGATTAGATATAAAATGTAAATTATAATATCTACCTTATGGGTTTCGTGTGAAATTTATTGACTTATCTAGCATAGTGTTTACCATAAATGAATATTCCTTTAAAGTTGGATATTGTTAAGTGTTATTGTCCTTAGGAATTACACCAAAGACCAAATGAAGTTTTCTTCTGATTGTATGTCTTCTAGAATATATATATTTTCTAATCAAATCATACTACATACTAATAAGCTACTTATACACTGAATCCCATAAGTGTACACTGAATCCCATAAGTGAAAAAAGCTAAACCTGACTTATTTTGTTGGGGATGGTCTTGGAGGAGACTTAGAAAATCATAAAATAATGCCTGCACTTGGAGTCTTAGATAATGATGACCAAATTGCAATGTGTTATTTGTCCTATATTGAGAATGGATGTACATATAGCTTTTAGAAATATGGCAATCAATAGCTGTGGAAAAATATTTTTCCATCCTAAGACAATTAGGACCATACAGTATAGGTTTATATAACATGAAGTTGGGATTGTGTCTTTCCAGGAATTTTAAACATCTAGTGTCCACTGGGGCTCATACCTGTAGTCTCAGTGATTCTTGAGGCTAAGACTGAGGCAGGAGGATGGCTTGAGGCCAGGAGTTTTAGGCTGCAGTGAGCTATGATCACACCACTGCACACCAACCTGGGTGACAGATTGAGATTCTTTATCTCAAAAAAAAAAAAAAAAGTTCAAAAAACCCCAAATCTAGTGTTCACCTCAAACATCTAGTTTCTACTTCAAACACAATTCCAACAAAGATATCTGTTCCCTATATATTAATACAGTATTCATAGAACAACATACTGACATACGATTTCTTTTTTTTCTGAATGAGTCTCCTGGAAAAGAGAAGCAGTGGCCAGCATCCCAGGTTAGACTCACACCCTGTGCTATGGGAGAAAGACTGAGGAAGGTCACTGGTGGTAATGCTTCCTCTCCTCCACTGCCCTAAGAAATTAAAAAGTCTGGTTCCAAACATGCGTCCTCTACCGTTATATAACTGCACCTAGCCTCGTTCATTAGAAGTTGGCTTAATGATGCTCAGTGATTATGCCTATGATGGGGCCGTATAGGAGTCTTATCTCTAAGTGGTTTATTAAATTATTCCTTCAAAACACATACACTATTGTTCTTTTTATAATAGCTATTGTTGCATAGTGAACTGCCTCAAAAGTTAGTGGCTTAACGTAAAAATCATTTTATTTTTTTCATGATTTTGTTGTCCAGAATTTAGGCAGAATTTGGCAGGAAGATTTTTGACTAGCCACTCAGAGGTATTCAGCTAGTAACTCATCTGGTCTGGGGCATTCAGGATATGCCTGCTGCCTTACAGAATGACTGCAAGGCCAGGCTCGTCCGGGCCTTCTCTTTCTCCATACAGCTTCAGAGCCCCTCCACATGGTTTCTACAGCAGTGTAGTAGGCTTTTTACATAGCCGATGGCTTTCTCAGAGTGAATGTTCTTAGAAAAAAAGTGGAAGCTATAAGGCTCCTTCTGACCTAACCTCTGAAGCCATGCAGGGTCACCTCCACCTCATTCTGTTGGTAAGAAATGAGTCACATGTACAGCCCAGAGTCAAGGAGAGAGCAGACGAATACATGTGAGTATGAATACTGTGAACATTTTTCTTCAGCTGCCGGCATTGTTCACTGGAGAGCTATCTTCAGGGACTAGTCTCTCTGGGAGGAGTCTAGTTAAAAACAATTATTTCAATTTGATATAATTCCAGTGACATTTTCATAACCCTTATAAATTGGCACCTTGGAAACTGCCTGGTTAGCTCAGTCCTTAATCAGTCTCTGTCCATGCCAATGACCTGTACTAGTTGTTCTGTGAGATATGTCTATAGTGTTTCTTGTGGGACTTTGGTTGACTTGAGTTTATTTCAAGAGCCTGTCATGTGTGAATTGACAAAAGACCCTCTAAATTTGCAAAACTGAGGATCAGGTTATCAACTGCACCCCAACCACCGTGAAGATCTAATTGGAATATTTAGCTTGTCTCATTTTATTACTATATAGCTTAGTCTGACCCATGCTTAATATATACCATCCCTTCAGCTTTGTAAGTCACTGTAATTCGGATCTTACATAATTATTGTGCAGGACCTGCTGATTTCACTGTTTGATGCAGTTTATTGTTGAAACAACCTTCTTCCTATTCTCTCTACTTCAGTCCTTTCTCCCTAAAATCTAATCTATTGTAAATATAGTGATCCATTAAAGTCTAAGACAAATCATGGCACTTCTCTGCTCAGATCCCTTTAATGGTTGTGTTTTTTAAAAATAATTTTTATTGTGTATAAATAAGGCATATAGCATGATGTTATGGGATGCATATACATGGCAGAAAAGTTACTATGGTGAAGCAAATTGACATAATCATCATCTCACATAGTTACCCTTCTGTTTGTTTTCGTGGCAAGAGCAGGTAAAATCTACTCATTTAGCATGAATCTCACATACAGTACAATTTTATTACCTATAATTCTCATGTTGTATATTAGATCTGACCTGTTAATCATACATATTTGCCACTTTGTATTCTCTGACCTACATCTCCTCATTTCCTGCCCTCCCCACATCCCTGGTAACCATTGTTTGTTCTCGATCTCTGTATATTTGATTTTTTTAACAGACTCTACATATAGGTGAGTTATTCGTGCAATATTTTTGTTTCTGTGTCTGGCTTATTTCACTTAGCGTAATGTCCTCTAGGTTCATTCACGTTGTGGCAATGACAAGATCTTGTTCTTTTTAGGGCTGATTAATATTCCACTGATACAGGTACTACAGTTTATTTATCCATATGTCTATCTATAGATACTTAGGTTGTTCTCATATTTTAGCTTTTGTGAATAATGCTGTAATGAACTTGGGAGTGCAGGTATCTTTATCAAGTGGTGATTTCATTTCCTTTGGATATAATCTCAGAAGAGAGATTGCTGAGTCGTATGGTATTTCTATTTTAAATTTCTTTCTGTGGCATTCTCATTCACAAATAATGACCTAAGTGAAAAATAAATCAAGAAAATCCCACTTACAATATCATCCAAAAATGCCTAGGAATAAATTTAAGCAAAGAAGTGAAAAATCTATATAGATGCTCCTTATGATAAAATTACCTTCTAATAAGCCCATCAAAATTTGAAAATGTAAAGCATTTAATAAACCTAACCTAATGAACATAATTACTTAGTATAGACTACCATAAATGTACTCAGAACACTTACATTAGCTTACAGTTAGGCAAAATCATTTAAAACAAAATTTGTTTTATAATAAAGTGTTGAATAGTTCATGTAACTCATTGAATGCTATACACTATGTTGAAATTTTGATGGTTTTGCACCACTGTAAAGTTGAAAAATTGTAAGTCAGACCATTATAAGTTGGGGACCATGTATACACTGAAAACTATAAAACATTGATGAAAGAAATTAGGAAAAAAAACACAAATGAAAACATATCCCTGAGTTCATGGATTGGAAGAATTAATATTTTTTAGATGTTCACATTACCCAAAGCAATATACAGACTCAATGCAATCCATCTCAAAATCCTAATGGCATTCTTCACAGAAATAAAAATAAACAATCCTAAAATTGTATGGACCCATGAAAGACCCCGAATAGCCAAAACAATTCTGAGAAAAAAAAATTGAAGGCATCACATGTTCTGATTTAAAATTATATTACAAAGCTATAGTAGTCAAAACAGCATGGTACTGGCATAAAAACAGACACATAGACCAGTAGAACAGAGTAGAGAGCCCAGAAATAAATCCAAACATATACAGTCCACTAATTTTTGAAAAGGGTACCAAGAGGACACAATGAGGAAAGAATAGTCCCTTCAATAAATGGTGCTGGAAAAACTGTATTTCAACATGCAAAATAATGAAATTGGATCCTTAAATCATACCCAAACTTCATATAAAATGGATAAAATACCTAAATATAAAACCAGAAACTATAAAACAAAGGGGAAAACTCTTGAACATTGGCTTTGGCAATGATTTTTTTTTTTTTTTTTTTTTTTTTTTTTTTTTTTTTTTTACTATCACACCAAAAGTTCAGGTCACAAAGGCAAAAACAAATAAATGGGATTGCATAAAACTAAAAAGCACAACAAAGGAAACAACAAAATAACACAACAGCCTATGGATTAAGAAAAAATTATTTGCAAACCATATACTTGGTTAGGGGTTAACATCCAAAATGTATAAAGAACTCATACAATTCAATAGAGGAAAAATAACCCAATTTAAAAATGGACAAAATACCTGAATAGACATTTCTCCAAGGAAGACATAAAAATGGACAATGGGTATATGAAATATGTGATATTGCTCAATATCATTAATCATCTGGGAAATGCAAATCAAAACTACTATGAGGTATCACCTCACACCTGTTAGGATAGCTACTATCAAAAAGTCAAAAGATAATAAATGTTGGCAAGAGTATGGAGAAAAAGGAACTCTAGTACACTATTGGTGGGAATGTAGATTGGTACGGCCATTAAGGGAAACAGTCTGGAGGTTTCTAAAGACATTAAAAACAGAACTACCACATGTCCCAGCAATCCTGGGCTACTCTTTTTACTCAGTAAAATCCAAAGTTCTTACAGTGACTTATGAGGCCCTACATCCTCTTCTTTCTCCCTGTCCTCATGCATTCATTTATTCAGGAAATATTTGTTTAGTGTTTACTATATATTGGACACTGGCTGAGGGTACAGAAGTAAACAAAGCAGAAAAAAATACCTGCCCTTATGGAATACCAACTAGCTTACTCTTCTCCATCTTCATTGGCCTTCTTGCTATTCCTAGAAAATTCTAACCATGGTCCCATTATCAGGCCTTTGCAATTGCTGTTCTCTCTACTTGGGAAATGTCTTCCCCTGATAGCTACATGGCTTGCTCTCTCACTTCATTTAATTCTTTATGCTCAAATGTCACCTCCCCAAAGTCTATTTCTTGATTACCCTATATAAAATAGTAGCCATCCCCATACCATATTTCCTTCCTCCTGTTGTCTTACTAATATTTGCACCATAAGACAGACTATATATTTAATTGTGTGCTTGTTTCTTACCTGGCTCTTTCCACTAGAACGGAGGCTCTATGAGGGCAGGCCTGAGTATGTTATTCAGTATCATAGCCTAGTGTAAATCATAGTAGGCTTTCAGTAGGTGCTTGCTGAATGAGTTTTTAGATCCAATAATGTAAATTCTGTTAAAAAAACAGATAACTTGGTGATCGATGCAGAAATCGGGTGATTTCTGCATTTCCAACTGAGGTACCTGGTTTATCTCATTGGGAATGGTCAGACAGTGGGTGCAGCCCACGGAGGGTGAACTGAAGCAGGCGGGGCATCGCCTCAACCGGGAAGCCCAAGGGGTCGGGGGATTTCCCTTTCCTAGCCAAGGGAAGGCGTGACAGACTGTACCAGGAAAATCGGGACACTGCAACCTAAACACTGCGCTTTTCCAATGGCCTTAGCAAATGCCACAACAGGAGATAGTATCCTGCAACTAGCTCAGTGTGCCCCACGCCCACGGAGCTTTGCTCACTGCTAGTCCGAGATTGAACTGCAAGGCAGCAGACTTGGCTGGGGAAGGGGCGTCCGCCATTGCTGAGGATTGAGTAGGTAAACAAAGCCGCTGGGAAGCTCGAACCGCGGGGAGCCCACCACAGCTCAACAAGGCCTGCCTGCCTCTGTAGACTCCATCTCTGCGGGCAAGACATAGCTGAACAAAAGGAGCAGAAACTTCTGCAGACTTAAACGTCCCTGTCTGACAGCTCTGAAGAGAGCAGTGGTTTTCCCAGCACGGTGTTTGAGCTCTGAGAATGGACAGATTGCCTCCTCAAGTGGGTCCCTGACCCCTGTGTAGCCTAACTTGGAGACAACTGCCAGTAGGGGCTGACTGACACCTCATATAGCCAGGTGTCCCTCTGAGACAAAGCTTGCAGAAGAAGCATCAGGCAGCAATATTTCCTGTTCTGCAGCCTCCACTGATGAAACCCAGAAAAACAGGGTCTGGAGTGGACCTCCAGTGAACTCCAACAGACCTGCAGCTGAGGGACCTGAATGTTAGAAGGAAAACTAACAAACAGAAAAGAATAGCATCAACATCAATAAAAAGGACATCCACACCAAAACCCCATCTGTAGGTCACCATCATTAAAGACCAAAGGTAGAAAAAACCACAAAGATGGGGAGAAACCAGAGCAGAATAGCTGAAAATTCTAAAAACCAGAGGGCCCCTTCTCCTCCAAAGGATCGCAGCTCCTCACCAGCAACGCAACAAAGCAGGAAGGAGAATGATTTTGACGAGTTGACAGAAGTAGGCTTCAGAAAGTCGGTAATAACAAAGTTCTCCAAGCTGAAGGAGGATGTTGAAACCCATCGCAAAGAAGCTAAAAACCTTGAAAAAGATTAGACGAAGGGCTAACTAGAATAAAAAGTGTAGAGAAGACCTTAAATGACCTGATGGAGCTGAAAACCATGGCACGAGAACTACGTGATGCATGCACAAGCTTCAGTAGCTGATTTGATTAAGTGGAAGAAAGGGTATCAATGATTGAAGATCAAATTAATGAAATGAAGCAAGAAGAGAAGTTAGAGAAAAAAGAGTAAAAAGAAATGAACAAAGCCTCCAAGAAATATGGGACTATGTGAAAGACCAAATCTACATTTGATTGGTGTACCTGAAAGTGATGGGGAGAATGGAACCAAGCTGGAAAACACTCTTCAGGATATTATCCAGGAGAACCTCCCCAACCTAGCAAGGCAGGCCAACATTGAAATTCAGGAAATGCAGAGAACACCACAAAGATACTCCTCGAGAAAAGCAACCCTAAGACACATAATTGTCAGATTCACCAAGGTTGAAATGAAGGAAAAAATGCTAAGGGCAGCCAGAGAGAAAGGTCAGGTTACCCACAAAGGGAAGCCCACCAGACTAACAGCGGATCTCTCAGCAGAAACCCTACAAGCCAGAAGAGAGGGGGGGCCAATATTCAACATTTTTAAAGAAGAGAATTTTCAACCCAGAATTTCATATCCAGCCAAACTAAGCTTCATAAGTGAAGGATAAATAAAATCCTTTACAGACAAGCAAATGCTGAGAGATTTTGTCACCACCAGGCCTGCCTTACAAGAGCTCCTGAAAGAAGCCCTAAACATGGAAAGGAACAATCGGTACCAGCCACTGCAAAAACATGCCAAATTGTAAAGACCATTGATGCTAGGAAGAAACTGCATCAACTAACAGGCAAAATAACCAGCTAACATCATAATGACAGGATCAAATTCACACATAACAATATTAACCTTACATGTAAACAGGCTAAATGCCCCAATTAAAAGACACAGACTGGCAAATTCGATAGAGTCAAGACCCATCAGTGTGCTATATTCAAGAGACCCATCTCACGTGCAGAGACACACATAGGCTCAAAATAAAGGGATGGAGGAAGATCTACCAAGCAAATGGAAACCAAAAAAAAGCAGGGGTTGCAATCCTAGTCTCTGATAAAACAGACTTTAAACCAACAAAGATCAAAAGAGGCAAAGAAGGCCATTACATAATGGTAAAGGGATCAATTCAACAAGAAGAGGTAACTGTCCTAAATATATATGCACCCCATACAGGAGCACCCACATTCATAAAGCAAGTCCTGAGAGACCTGAAAAGGAGACTTAGACACCCGCATTATAGTAATGGGAGATTTTAACACCCCACTGTCAATATTAGATAGATCAACGAGACGTAAGGTTAACAAGGATATCCAGGACTTCAACTCAGCTCTGCACCAAGCGGAACTAATAGACATCTACAGAACTGTCCACCCCAAATCAACAGAATATACATTCTTCTCAGCACCACATCGCACTTATTCCAAAACTGACCACGTAGTTGGAAGTAAAGCACTCCTCAGCAAATGTAAAAGAACAGAAATCACAACAAACTGTCTCTCAAACCACAGTGCAATCAAACTAGAACTCAGGATTAAGAAACTCACTCACACAGTGCAACCAAATAAGAACTCAGGATTAAGAAACCACACAACTACATAAAAACTGAACAACCTGCTCCTGAATGACTACTGGGTAAATAACGATATGAAGGCAGAAATAAAGATGTTCTTTGAAACCAATGAGAACAAAGACACAACATACCAGAATCTCTGGCACCCATTTAAAGCAGTGTGTAGAGGGAAATTTATAGCACTAAATGCCCACAAGAGAAAGCAGGAAAGATCTAAAATCGACACCCTAACATCACAATTAAAAGAACTAGAGAAGCAAGAGCAAATACATTCAAAAGCTAGCAGAAGGCAAGGAATAACTAAGATCAGAGAACTGAAGGAGATAGAGACACAAAAAAACCCTTCAAAAAATCAGTGAATCCAGGAGCTGGTTTTTTGAAAAGATCAACAAAATTAACAGACCACTAGCAAGACTACTAAAGAAGAAAAGAGAGAAGCATCAAATAGACGCGATAAAAAATGATAAAGGGATATCACCACTGATCCCACAGAAATACAAACTACCATCAGATAATACTATAAACACCTCTACACAAACTAGAAAATCTAGAAGAAATGGATAAGTTCCTGGACACATACACCCTCCCAAGACTAAACCAGGAAGAAGTTGAATTGCTGAATAGACCAATAACGGGCTCTGAAATTGAGGCAATAATTAATAGCCTACCAACGAAAAAAAGTCCAGGACCAGATGGATTCACAGCCGAATTCTACCAGAGGTATAAGAGGAGCTGGTACCATTCCTTCTGAAACTATTCCAATCAATAGAAAAGGAGGGAATCCTCCCTAACTCATATTATGAGGCCAGCATCATCCTGATACCAAAGCCTGGCAGGGACACAAGAAAAAAAGAGAATTTTGGACCAATATCCCTGATGAACATCGATGTGAAAATCCTCAATAAAATACTGGTAAACCGAATCCAGCAGCACATCAAAAAGCTTATCCACCAAGATCAAGTCGGCTTCATCCCTGGGGTGCAAGGCTGGTACAACATACACAAATCAATAAATGTAATCCATCAGATAAACAGAACCAAAGACGAAAACCACATGATTATCTCAATAGCTGCAGAAAAGGCTTTCGACAAAATTCAACAGCCCATCATGCTAAAAACTCTCAGTAAACTAGGTACTGATGGAATGTATCTCAAAATAATAAGAGCTATTTATGACAAACCCACAGCCAGTATCATACTGAATGGGCAAAAACTGGAAGCTTTCCCTTTGAAAACCGGCACAAGGCAGGGATGCCCTCTCTCACCACTCCTATTCAACATAGTGTTGGAAGTTCTGGCCAGGGCAATCAGGTGAGATAAAGAAATAAAGGGTATTCAATTAGGAAAAGAGGAAGTCAAATTCTCCCTGTTTGCAGTTGACATGATTGTATATTTAGAAAACCCTGTTGTCTCAGTCCAAAATCTCCTTAAGCTGATAAGCAACTTCAGCAAAGTCTCAGGATACAAAATCAATGTACAAAAATTACAAGCATTCTTATACACCAATAACAGACAAACAGAGAGCCAAATCATGAGTGAACTCCCATTCAAAAATGCTGCAAAGAGAAAAAAATACCTAGGAATCCAACTTACAAGGGATGTGAAGGACCTCTTCAAGGAGCACTCCAAACCACTGCTCAACAAAATAAAAGAAGACACAAACAAGTGGAAGAACATTCCATGTTCATGGATAGGAAGAATCAATATCATGAAAATGGCCATACTGCCCAAGGTAATTTATAGATTCAATGCCATCCCCATCAAGCTACCAATGACTTTCTTCACAGAACTGGAAAAAATTACTTTAAAGTTCATATGGAACCAAAAAAGAAGACAATCCTAAGCAAAAAGACAATCCTAAGCAAGACAATCCTAAGCAAAAAGAACAAAGTTGGAGGCATCACACTACCTGACTTCAAACTATACTACAAGGCTACAGTAACCAAAACAGCATGGTACTGGTACCAAAACAGAGATATGGACCAATGGAACAGAACAGAGACTTCAGAAATAACACCACACATCCACAACCATTTGATCTTTGACAAACCTGACAAAAACAAGCAATGGGGAAAGGATTCCCTATTTAATAAATGCTGCTGGGAAAACTGGCTAGCCATATGTAGAAAGCTGAAACTGGATCCCTTCCTTAGACCTTATACAAAAATTAATTCAAGATGGATTAAAGACGTAAATGTTAGACCTAAAACCATAAAAACCCTAGAAGAAAACCTAGGCAATACCATTGAGGACATAGGCATGGACAAGGACTTCATGTCCAAAACACCAAAAGCAATGGCAACAAAAGCCAAAATAGACAAATGGGATCTAATTAAATAAAGAGCTTCTGTATATCATAAGAAACTACCATCAGAGTGAACAGGCAACCTACAGATTGGGAGAAAATCTTTGCAATCCACCCATTTGACAAAGGGCTAATATGCAGAATCTACAAAGAACTTAAACAAATTTACAATCAAAAATCAAACAACCCCATCAAAAAGGGGCAAGGGATATTAACAGACACTTCTCAAAAGAAGACATTTATGCAGCCAACAGACACATGAAAAAATGCTCGTCATCACTGATCATCAGAGAAATGCAAATTGGAACCACAATGAGATACCATCTCACACCAGTTAGAATGGCAATCATTAAAAAGTCAGGAAACAACAGGTGCTGGAGAGGATGTGTAGAGATAGGAACACTTTTACACTGTTGGTAGGAGTGTAAATTAGTTCAACCATTGTGGAAGACAGTGTGGCGATTCCTCAAGGATCTAGAACTAGAAATGCCATTTGACCCAGCCATCCCATTAGTGGGTATATACCCAAATGATTATAAATCATGCTTCTATAAAGACACACACACACGTATGTTTATTGCGGCACTATTCACAATGGCAAAGACTTGGAACCAACCCAAATGTCCATCAGTGATTGACTGGATTAAGAAAATGCGGCACATATACACCATGGAATACTATGCAGCCATAAAAAAGGACTACTATGCAGCCATAAAAAAGGATCATCGTGTCCTTTGTAGTGACATGGATGAAGCTGGAAACCATCATTCTATTGCAGGACATTCTATTCTAAGGACAGAAAACCAAACATCGCATGTTCTCACTCATAGGTGGGAACTGAACAATGAGAACACATGGACACAGGGTGGGGAACATCACACGTTGGGGCCTATAGTGGGGTGGGGGGATGGTGGAGGGATAGCATTAGGAGAAATACCTAATGTAAATGAAGAGTTAATGGGTGCAGCAAACCAACACGTCACATGTATACATATGTAGCAAACCTGCACGTTGTGCACATGTACCCTAGAACTTAAAGTATAATAATAAAAAAACTGATAACTCCTCACTGGTCATAAGTCTCCTAACTATATGTATTTTTTATTTATCTAGACTGTTCAGCTGTGTACACTAGATAGCACCTGGGGACTTGTCTCCTTCTTTCAAGGTTGAATACTTTCTAATTTATTTTAAACTGTAGTAGCATAATGAGAGAGGCAGCAGAAATCCTAATCTGTGGTTCTACAGAACAATTAAAAGCCTCCTTTCTACTTCACTGGGAGAAAAAATACATGGAAGAAGGACCCTGAGTCATCAACTTTAGATTATACAATTTTCATATTCATGCATTACTCTCACTCCTAATTTATTCTGTTAGGCAATGAAGCAGCAAATGTTGGTTTACTTTAATTAAAAAGCTACTCAAATTAAACCAACATCATTTAAAGTTACATTAAATGAACCATCATACATCATGTAGTAATTACAACTATACACATATAATGTAGAACTGGACAGAATTAAAAAAAATTATTACTGATGATGCCCAAATTGATCAATTTAGGCACAAAACACCATTTATTTGTTACCCATAAATTTAGATAATGACTTGATATGCCATGATGCTTATGTAGACAGATTAATTTCATTTTTCCACCTTTCACTTTCAAGTTACATACGATTTTGAGCTATTAAAACAATATTAGTTCCAAAAAGAAAAAATATAATAATTGATGCTGAGCTCTTCCAGTAGATTTAAAACAATATAAAATAAATTGCAGTTGGCTTTTGAATAACATGAGTTTGAACTGCGTGATCCATTTTTACTAAGCTTTTCTTCCACCTCTGCTTCCCCTGGGACAGGAAGACCAATCCTACTTTCCTCCTCCTCCTCGTCCTCAGCCTACTCAACAATGACGACCTTAATGATGATTCACTTCCACTTAATGAAAAATATATTTCTCTTCCTTATGATTTTCTTAACAATTTTTTTCCTAGCTTACTTTATTGTAAGAATACAGTGTATAATACATATAACATGCAAAATGCGCGTTAATTGGCTGTTTTTGTTGCCACTAAGGCTTCTGGTCAATAGTACGCTATTAGCAGATAAGTTTTTGGGAAGCCAAAAGTTAAACACAGATGTTCAACTGCATGGAGGGTCATCGCTCCTAAACCCTCAAGTTGTTCAGGGTCAATTGTATAATCATGAACCATGATGGAAATAGTAGTAAGATTAATGATTTAATAAAGGGCTTACCAAATTAAGGCTGTGATATTAATTTCTCTTGCTGCCCATTTGTGTTCAGCCAGAGAGCCAAGTACAGTATTATATTTCTGAATGGTTGAAAAAAGTCAAATAAAAAAATATTTTTTTCTTTTCTTTTTTTTTTTTTTAATGGAGTCTAGCTCTATTGCCCAGGCTGGAGTGCAGTGGTGCGATCTCGACTCACACCGAAACCTCCACCTCCCAGGTTCAAGCAGTTCTCCTGCCTCAGCCTTCCAAGTAGCTGGGATTACAGGCATGTGCCACCACGGCCCGCTAATTTTTGTATTTTCAGTAGAGACGGGGTTTTACCATGTTAGCCAGACTGGTCTTGAATTCCTGACCTCAAGTGATTCGCCCACCTCGGCCTCCAAAAGTGCTGGGATTACAGGCGTGAGCCACTGAGCCCAGCCAAATAAAGAAATATTTAATGACATGTGAAAGTTATATGAAATTCAAATTCAGTGTCTGTAAGTCGTTTTATTGCAACCCAGCCACAACTGTTTATTTACATATTGTCTATGGCTGCTTTCATTCTAAAATAGAGTTGAGGCCGGGCGCGGTGGCTCACGCTTGTAATTCCAGCACTTTGGGAGGCCGAGACGGGCAGATCACGAGGTCAGGAGATTGAGACCACAGTGAAACCCCGTCTCTACTAAAAATACAAAAAATTAGGAGGGTGTGGTGGCGGGCGCCTGTAGTCCCAGCTACTCGGGAGGCTAAGGCAGGAGAATGGCGTGATCCCGGGAGGCGGAGCTTGCAGTGAGCCGAGATCGCGCCACTGCACTCCAGCCTGGGCGACAGAGCGCGACTCTGCCTCAAAAAAAAAAAAAAAAAAAAAAGCAGAGTTGAATAGTTGAAAGAGAGATCATATGGACCACAAAGTGTAAACAAATAAACGATCCAGACCTTTTCAGAAAAAGAGTTTTCTGACTCTGACTTAACATATTGATTCCCAGAATTTTGTGTAGACTATGCGCATCAGAACTAACTGAAGGAAAAAAATTAAAAGTGCAAATTCTTCATCTTTCTTTCAGACATTCTTATTCAGTGGCTCCAGAGCAGTTTTAGGGCTCAGCCTCTGGGCTTATCAGAATCTGTAGGGAAGTACAGGGCATCAGTAGTTTTGGGAATCACCGACTCACTGTGCGTAGAGTGCTGCCTTTCTAGTAAGTCAATATTTCCTGGTTCATCCTATATCATTCATTGTGCGTATAAATATAAATGATATTTTAAGAAAGCTAACTCTCATTAATAATGACCATACATTTTTCTCAGAATATATTTTGTTTATATTCTTAGAATATTTTTAGTTACACCTTTAGGTTAATATGCTAATTTAAATAGGCTAATATAATTTAAAGAGAGAAAACCCATAAGGTGATATTACAGATTAAACTATTTGCCATCTAGAACAGATTAAGTACCAATATTCACAAGCAAAACTATCACTAGTATCCCATTAATTTAAATTCGCCATGAAAATGGTGCTCAATCATGAATTATGCCAGGAAAAGAAAAAGGAGATTGGGATCACTTATTGACTAAGACATGGAAAGCCCTCCAGGTGACATTACACAGACTGCAATGGGTGTTAATCCATGTGTTCTGCAACTCTTGCTCTATGTGGAGTCTAGGTAAGGATTTTGACCTAAATTCTCTAAAACAAGATTAGAGATGCTCCTAGATATATGTGAAACCCTTATTAAATCTCTCTCTCAATTTCTCTCTTTTTTTAACATTGCTGTCACTTATTTATCAAATAAAAATTTTTAGCTTATAATGTAATTGTTATTTTCTTCAGGGGTTATTTAAAAGCTTAATTATAAAAAATTTTTTATGGGCCATATAGGTAGTAAATGTTAAATAACAAAATATAATTTGTATAACTTTTTTTTTTTTTGACAGAGTCTCGCTCTGTGGCCCAGGCTGGAGTACAGTGGCGCGACCTTGGCTCACTGCAAGCTCTGCCTCCCGGGTTCACATCATTCTCCTGCCTCAGCCTCCCAGTAGCTGGGACAATAGGCACCTGCCACAACGCCCGGCTAATTTTTTGTATTTTTAATAGAGACTGGGTTTCACTGTGTTAGCCAGGATGGTCTCAATCTCCTGACCTCGTGATCCGCCCGCCTCGGCCTCCCAAAGTGCTGAGATTACAGGCGTAAGTCACTGTGTGGGGCCTAACTTGTATAACTTTTCAAATAAAGGGGAAAAAGTGAATATTGTGAATGTAATGTAGAATAATTAAGTCAAGCTAATTAACATATTCATCACCTCATATATTTCCCAATTTTTGTGGTGAGAACATTTGAAATTTACTGTTAGTGATTTTTGAAATGTACATTATTTACTATATTCACCACACCGTGCAATGTATCTCAAAGTAACAAAAAAAGTATTTTTCCTGTCTAATTTGGGTCTTTTACACTTTGACCATCATTTCCCCATGACCCAAAATCCCCAGCCTCTGATAGGCACCATTCTACTCTCTGCTTCTTTGAGTTCAATTGTTTTAAATTTTACATATGAGTGAGAACATGCATCATTTGTGTTTCTGTGTATGGCTTATTTGCTTAGCATAATGTTCTCCTATTCCATCCATATTGTTTCTTTTTTTTTTCTTTTTCTTTTTCTTTTTTTTTTTAAGATGGAGTCTCACTCTGCTGCCCAGGCAGGAGTGCAATGGCACGATCTTGGCGCACTGCAACTTCCACCTCCTGGGTTCAAGCAATTCTCGTGCCTCAGCCTCCCGAGTAGCTGGGACTACAGGTGTGTACCACCATTCCTGTCTAATTTTTGTATTTTTAGTAGAGACAGGGTTTCGCCATGTTAGCCAGGCTGGTCTCAAACTCCTGACCTCAGGTGATCCACCCACCTTGGCCCCCCAAAGTGTTGGGATTATAGGTGTGATCCACCGTGCCCGGCCTCCATCTATGTTGTTTCAAATGACAACATTTCTTTCTTTTTAAAGGCTGACTAGTATTCCACTGTGTGTATACACCACATTTTCTTTACCCATTCATATGCTGAAGGACACTTAGGTTGATTCAATAACTTGGCTATTGTGAAGAATGCTGCAATGAACATGGGAGTGCAGATACCTCTTTGATATACTGACTTCAAGATTTGGGGGTAAATATCCAGAAGTGGAATTGCTGGATTATGTGGTAATTTTATTTTAGTTCTTTTAGCAAACTCCACATTGTTTTTCATAATGGCTGTGTTAATTTACATTCCCTTTAACAGCACGCACGTGTTCCCTTTTCTCCACATTCTCTCCAGTACTTGTCATCTTTTGCCTTTTTGATAGTAGCCATTTTGACAAATGTGAGGTGATATCTCATTTTGGTGTTAATTAGCATTTTCCTAATGATTAATAGTGTTGGGCATTTTTTCATATATGTGATGGTCATTTGCATTTCTTTTTTGAAGAAATGTGTATTCGGGTCCCTTGTAATTGGTGTATTTAAATTCTTTACTTTTCAGGTAATTATTAATTTTTTACTGATTAAATCTGCCATAGTATTTATTTACTTTTTTGGTTTTCTTTGGTTCCCATTCCCATGTTCTTTTCTCTTGACTTCCTGTGGTTTAACTTGAATACTTCTAGAGGTCCATTTTGGTTTGTTTACACTGTTTTTGAGTGTATCTCTTTGTATAGTTTTCAGAGTGGTTGCCTGAGTATTACACTAAGTATTACATGTGACTTATCACAGTCTATTGGTTTCAACATTTTACCACCTTAGTGGAATATGAAAACCTAACTTCCTTTTAGCTTCCTTTACCTTCCTCACTTCTAAATACTGTGTTGAATATGAGATGGTATATAGATTTCTTTGAATAATCAAATGTAATTCATAAAAATCGTGAGAAAAATGATAGTCTATTTTATGTACCTATATTTCTCTTCTTTACGTTTTTTCCTTCCTTCCTGAGACTCCACGTTTCTTTATTTTACCATTTTATTTCTCCTTGAAGCACTTCCCTTATTCAGTCTTTAAGGATAAGGTCCGTCAGCAACAATAACTTTTAAGATTTTTTTTTCCATTGTCTCATTTTAATTTTCAGAGGTTTAATTATGATATGTCTGGGCATGGATTTCTTTGAGTTTGTCCTGTCTGGGATTGACTCAGCTTCTAGGACCTGTAGGTTTATGTGTTTTGCCAAATTTGGAAAAATTTAAGCTGTTATTTCTTTGAATATTTCTTTTTGTCTTACTCTCTTTCTCCTCCTTCTATAACTCTGATGATCTAAATGTTGGATTTTTTCTTACTGCCCCATAGATTCCTGAGGTTCTGTTCATTTTTTTCTCTATTTTTTCTCTATTGTCAGATTACATACATTTTATTTTTCTGTCTTCAAATTTGCTGATTCTACTTTCTGTCATGTCCCACTCTATGAAGTCCATCAAGCGATTTCTTGATTTCTGTTATTGTTGTTTTAGTTCTGTAATTTCCACTTGATACTTTTTAATAATTTCTCTTTCTTTTCTAGGGTTTTCTTTTCTTTCCATTCATTTTAAGGAAATTTGTACTTGATTGTAAAAACATTTTATGACAGCTGGTTTAAAATCCTTCTCAGATAATTCCAACATCCAATTTATCTCAGGATTAGCATCAGTCGATAGTCTTTTCTCATTCAAATTGTAATTTTTTTGGTTCTTGGTATGACAGGTAATTTTTATTGTATCCTGGACATTTTGTGTATTTTGTGAAGAGATTCTAGGTCCTATTTAAATCTTTTAGTTTAACATGCAAGTCACTCTGTTTAGTTTTATCCTGCAGATCCTGGCATACTATCGTGGGCTGTGGTTCCAATGACAGTTTAATTTTTAAAGTCTTTGTGGTGTTATTTTGGTCTGCTTGGGTTTATCTGGTGCCACTGGAACTTCTATTAATCCCTACTGGTGCTGCCTAAGGGGTGGGAGAGGTTTCTCCACACTGGGGCACAGATGTCTCTTGGTGGGGGAAGGGAGTCTCCGGCTCATGAGGACAAAGAGGTTTCCCCGCTCTCATAGTGATAGGATCATGCCTGCCTGTGGGAGACAGAAAGCATTTCTCAGGCCAGGAGCTTGTTGTGGCAGGATCTCCCCTAATGGGCACTCCTGTTTTTCTGGTTGGTGGAGGGAAGTCTCAGGCCTGTGGAGGCAATGAAGCTTCGGCCAGGCTTGTTGTGGTAAGATGCCTCTTGCTGATGCTGCTGGGCCCCTCAGTATCTTTTGGTGGGGGAGGGGAGTCTAAGCACAGCAGAAAAGGGGAACACTTCTCCGGCCAGTTTATTGTTAGTGGGGCTCCCAACCAAACCGCTCTTACAATGGGACTAGAGGCTTACCTGGTGTTGTCAGAGGGTCTGTTCGAGCCATAGGAGGAATGACCTTACCTAGACTGCCTTCTGTTGCTTGTTTAGAGTCAGAAAATGTTGGGTCTGAGCCACCTTTTTCTGTTTGGTGGGGAATGTAAGACACCCTGCTGCTGTGTTTTTCCTCCAATTCTAGATCTCGAACGAGTTTACCTTCTTCTTCATGCTTTTTGCAGTTTTTCTTTGGTTGTCTCTTGTGCTATTCCAAGGGTTCATAATTTTACTGGGCAGAGAGGAGCAGAGAGAAATGGACCTATGCCATCTCATCTAGGACTTTTACCCAAAGTCTTAGGTAAACGTCTTATTCAAATGTAATGCATCTATAGAGAAGGAATATTCTATGCTATGGTTGAATTGTGGCTCCCAAAGAGATGTGTTCAAGTCCTGATCCCTTGAACCGCAGAATGTGACTTTATTTGGAAATAGGGTTGCTGACGTTGTAATGAATTAGATGAGGTCCTACTGCAGGACGGTGGGCCCTTAATCCAGTATGACTGGCGTCCTCACAAGAAGAGGATATTAGAACACAGAGATGCAGACACAGAGAGGGGGACATCAAGTGATCATGGAGGCAGAAATTGAAGTTTTGTAGCTGCAAGCTAAGGAATGCCAAGGGTTGCCAGTAAACCACCGGAGGATAGCAAGAGGCAAGGAAGCATTCTCCTCTACACGTTTCAGGGAGAACATAGCCCCACCAACCCTTGATTTCAGAATTCTAGCCTCCAGAATTGTGAAAACAATACACTTCTATGGTTTTAAGCCATCTAGTTGGTGGTATTTTGTTACAGCAGTACTAGGAAACTCATATACTCTATATTTTGAAAATCTCTCCCAGCCAGAGGAAATATGGCCTGATGGTGATGTCAAACAACTGGTGTGTCACAGAAGTGTCAAATATCTTCCTAGTCTATGACTAAAGTAAGTGCTACTAGCCATTATGTGTATCCTAAGTATTCAACTATTTCTAAAGGAGGGAGATAGGACAGAGTGGTTCCTACATGTTTCTTTTTATAACATATTCTATTTGAATACCTACCTACTGTGACGCACAGAGACAAAGCCTTCTCCGCTGCTTGGCAAACCTTGTATTCATCTCTTGTTGACTCCCTGTCCATTTTTCTCAGATTTTTTCTAAATTTCTAATTTTCTAAATTTCTCTCACACTCTGACTCTCTCCAGATGACCTGCCTTCCTACTCATTTTATGAAATGGGGGATTCATAAATGCATCCTCTCAACTCTCCTCCCATCATCTCCCAAGCAGTGTTCAAATCAGCATTATATCTCCTCCCACATATTTCCACAAACATTCATCTATGAAGATAAAACTCAGCTTCAGGACAGCCAGGTCTATCTGGGGAGAAAGTGTTGGGAAAGTACAAGCGGAAGTATATCATTTAGGTGTACTTCCTGGCATTTCTGGACCTTCAGCTTTTTCATCCATAAAAGGAGGATATGGGATTAGATTATCTTGAGATTTCCTTCCAACCCAATTTCAAAGATCACTTATTGTGATGGATAAATTTGAGAGACAGGCTGTTAGAAGAGAGCAGAAGATCTGTCCAAGAGAATGTGGCAAGTCATAGACCATCTCCTTCTATTAGTTATACTTTACTTTCTGGTGGGAAGTAATGGGCAAAGAAAGGAGTTAGGATGGAATGGGAAACCTTTGGAGAGTCAGTGCACATGATGTAAGGGAAGACGTGTCCAAAGTGAGATGCAAGAATCCTGGAGACTCAATAACAGCCAGTTTTGTAGTCATGCTCTATTCCAGCACCGTCATATAGAAATGTCATATGAGGCACAGAGATGAGCCATATACATGAAAATCAACAGATGAAATCCACATTAATAATATATCTGAGTTAACTCAATATACTCAAAATGCCATCATTTAATCATGTAATCAATATAAAAATTAATGAAATACTTCACTTTTTTTTTCTAAGTGTTTGGACTCCTGTGTGTATTTTTCACTTACATCACATCTCAGTTTGGCTTGTGACATTTGAAGTGCTCAGTAGGCATGTGTGGCTAGTTACTACCATATTTAATAATGTAGGTTTATACTACATACTATTGGTGACTTCTGGTTGTGTATATATTACTTTTTTCAATCATCACTAAACTGTTTGCAAATTATTCCTCTTCTTTTAGGTTTCTTCCTTGCTGTCCTTGTTGCTGGATATTCACCTTCATGTCTGCTATTAGAACTCCAAATTAGGGTTTACAAGGATAATAATGATGCCTCTTAATCCTTCCTTACCTAACCAAAATGATAATATAAAAGAAAGCATACTGCAAAGAAGCCTATAGGTTGTTTTTATTTTATCTTAGTTTTATTTTTAAGAAGAGTCTCCCTGTGTCACCAAGGCTGGAGTGCAGCAGCGTGATCACAGCTCACTTGCAACCTCAACCTCCCAGGCTCAATCGCTCCTCCCACCTCAGTCTCCCGAGTAGCACTGCTGGTGTGTGCCACCACACCCAGTTACTTTTTGTATTTTTTATAGAGACAGAGTCTTGTGTTGCCAAGGCTGGTTTTAAACTCCTCGCCTCAAGTGATCCACCTGCCTCAGCCTCCCAATGTGCTGGAATTACAGGCGTGAGCCGTCACTCCTGGCCAAAAACCTCTAAGTTGTTTAAAATGCTATTTAATGTATTTGTAGTGTTTGATGATTTGCCACGTGTTTTTGCTACAGTGCCTTATTTAATTTTCACAGTCATGCTGTGAGGTTTTCCCACCAGTGTTTCCACCTGCTTTCTAGGCATACCTAAGATGTCAATATGTCAAAAGCTAAAATCATAGTTCTTTATTTCTATGCTTGTTTTTCTTTCTGTATTCTTGATCTTAAAAAGAGTTGTATCATTATTTGCCACATTGGCCTATCTGGCAAACAATCTATACACCTACTGTACTTCTCCCCTCTCTCCTCTTTAAACCTGATATCTAATTAATATACCATCAAGTCCTACTGATTCTATCTTTCAAATATATCTTAATTGTATATGCTGCTTCTGCTTTTTTTAAAAAAATTCTCATTTTGATGTTTGAGTCTGTAACGTTTCATGCCTAAACAGCTGTCATATCCTTCTAACTGGTCTGTGGCTCAATGCCAGTCCCCTACTCAATCTTCTACAATCCCCTTTCTAAAACATAAATTTATCATGACACTTCCCACATGAAATTCTAATGACTCCCCATTGTCTAGACTCATGCCTCTCCAAGTTTAATGTGAGCTCAAACAATCTGGGCATTTTGTTAAAGTGCAGATTCTGACTCAATAGGTCTGGGCTCCAGATTCTGTATTTTGAACAAGTGATGACAACGCTGCTTGCCCACGGACCACACTTTGAGTAGTAGCGGTCTAGGGGATAAAGTTACAAACTCCTTGGAATTGCATTCACTAAGCTCTAAAGACCTGGCCTTTCTCTAGTTCTCAGCCTTAAAACCCGTTTTCCTTCATCTTCAATCAGCCTAAAGTATTTATCTACTCTGTAAACTCTCCAGTCTGAGATAGTCCTTCATTTTTAGCATTTGAAAAAAAGTTCACTTGAGCTAAAACCCCCCAATTTAAAATTCCAGTAACTTTTTGTCTACCCTCACAACCCCATCACTGAAGGCAGCTGAGACAGGACAGGCAACAAGCCCCAACCTCAGCATTCATTCTGCCCTCTTGTGGCTTCTGCTTTCAAATAAATCCAAGGTGAATTTTTTGCTGAGCCTTCATAATTCCATTTATTGCCGGTCCAATTCAGCATATGGTGGGTTGGAGTTGGGGATTGGGGAAGAACTACTCCAGATCCCCGAGGCTGACACTGGTGGATCTTGTTGAAGCTGCGTGATGGCTGGGATCCTTTTGGGGGCTATTCCAGACGGTTCTGTGATCGATGGTATCTCTCCTCTCTCCTTTCATGACCATGGCCCTTTAATGTCAGGCCGCCAATATTGTCCTGTTGTCTGGAATTTTCCTTAGTTTTGTTCAGTGCATAAACCTTCCTTCCTCTTACCAGTCAAGGTACCGGGGTCAAGTCCAATGTCCAGCTCTCAGTCTTTCCTCATCCACATACCCAGAGTGCTGCTACTTTTATGTGTTTCTTAGTTCCCATTCTACAAATCTTTGTAGAGCAACTGCTATGTGTCTGACTCTGTGCTAGGTACTGAGGATATAGCGATGAAGAAGGTAGTCATGACTCCTACACTTAACACAGCTTAAAGGCTGTGAGTGAGACAAACCACTTAAACAGGGAAACAGATGAATGTGTTAAAAAAAAAGAAAAGAAAAGAAAAGAAAGGTAGGGTGCTTTGGGAACCTGTAGCTTGCCCTGTTAGCCTGGAGTTCTGATAATTTAACTCACCCCAAGATATTGATATCTGATGATTACTTGCTGCATCACGGCTGCAGTAGCATTGCCATTTAAAAGTCATCTTTCTTTTTATTATTACGATTGTTATTGTTAGTTATAATTTTTTATGATCAGAGGTCAAATATTTTAACTACATTATTATTAAATAAGTTAACACCATGTATTAATCAATTGTTCATTTAATTGTAAAAATCAGAACCCAGCCTGAAGTACTTAAGCAAAGAGGAGGAAACCATGATAGTTGTTGAGGGCAAAGTTGAACAACCAACCCATGGGAAAGACAGAGGGGCAGGTGGATTCATAGACAATGGGAACTTGGTACTTGGACATCCTCCTCTCTTTCTCTCTATGCTCCTCATCTATGTCTCTCCATGCTGCTCATCTATGTCTCTCCGTACTGTTTACATTTCGTAGCTTCTGTCTTTAGGTGGAAGTAGACTATTTTTCCTAGTTCCAATGTGAAAAAATTCAGAGAACTCATTAGTGATCATCTTTGGACCAATCGTGTGTGGCCAGGGGAAAGAGCATGACAGCTTTTACTATGGCTGTGTGGGGGGGAGGGGAGAAGGACATGGGTCCAGGAGAAGGGAGGAGTGCTGGGCAGGCAATACTATAAATGTCTGTTTGCTATGCCTGGAAAGAAAATTGCTAGTATTTCCAAGTTCTGACACATTTTAATATTTGGAATTCAGAAAAAGAAATTGGAATTCTTGGGAATTTCCAAAATTATGTTATTCTTAAAATATGTCCAACAGTCTTCATATTCTTAAAATGCATGATTGTGGCTACCTAGAAATATTTGATTAATAAATAAAAAATATTAAGTTTAGAAAAATATTTACTAAGAACTGTAGCCTACAGTGAATATTTAAATACTGGAAAATGGTAGTGAACATTGTTTGGTAGTATTCAAATAATGTTACATTTACATCTTCTAGTAAGTTAACAACACAATACTAAACTACGTGTCTAAATTCCCCACTTAAGGATATATTTTGTTTCTCAAACTTGATCGATGGAATGCCTCTCACAGGATTTGTGTGAAGGATACCATACGTATAGGCTATGAATACACACGACACGGCAGCTGCGAGCGAGAGTGACTGATTAGACTGGCTGTTTCTCTCCTATGTAAACCTGTTATGGTGCCTGAAAACCTTGACTTTTACCTTCAATCTTTTGTGTCAGTTTTTACTTCTCTTGCTTCTGATTTGATATTTATGCATTTCTTAGAACCAATGAGGTGTCTAGGTTGATTGGTAAGGTTTAATTCTTGCAGGAGAATTATAATTCTTTTCCCTATTTTCCTGATTTTTCAATTTTTCTTGGAATCTAGGATTTGGAAAATCGTTTCCCATGAAATTCTGGCAAGAAATTCCTACCTGAAAACACTGCTATTTATGCATAACTTCTAGAGGGAAATGTGTTTCAAGTTGCAAATGACTAATTTACCATTGTGAAAATTCTTGAAAAAGCCCTTTTTGGGCAAAGACGCTTTACAACATGGCCCATGTGGTTATTCTTCTTTTCCCTAGAACAGAGATGGAATTACTATATTATGATCACTGTTCCTAAAGCAGACTTCTAAGATGCTCCAAATGTCCCTTCTCAAATTAATTATATCATAGTGCAGCAAAGTAAGGAAACCTGTCATGCTCTGTGAATTTCCTAGGTAAGCTTTGTCCAGACGTTATACTTGCTCACAGGTTTAACATTGGTATTTTTAAAAATGGGGAAAAAAGAAGCCTTTTCCTCAGTTTCTTGAAAAAACTTAGAAAGTGTGATTCAATATCACGCAGTACAGCCCCCAATTTTTGCACCAGCAGAAGCTATAAAAGGGATCAAAACATCGCCTTGCTTTGAGGCATGTGTCACCAGGCTTGGCTGTGTCCAGTGTATAGGTTCTTCTGGGGCTGACCATTATCCCTGAGCATCCAAAATGCTGCGATATTTGAAAGAAGGAAATAATAATCCCACTAGCAAAGAACTGAAAGTGTGGGTGATATGTGGACTTGAGGAGATTTTCATGAGAACTGCAAATGAAAGACACAGAAAGTGACAAGTCATGAACATCACAATGATGGTCCCGCCAAACACATGGGTTGAGTGATTCCTAAGAGATTAAACACTGTAATGTGGGCAAATAGAAAAACAATTGAAGTCAGGTGCCTGGCACGCAGACATTCAGGGGACATTTGCTGTATTGAATTCAAGTGAGTGCCTTCCCTATGTTGCTTTGCAATATAACTGCACTGGTGAACCAAGTCAAAACGGAAAAACTCTCAAAATCACATCTAAAGAAATTTATAAGCAAGGGCAAATAAACATAGGGTAAACTTACCACTGCTAAACCTCAACTCATCATGACCATACTAACCACAGCCCCTAATTATCCCTGGAGTTGTAAAGAAAGAACAGAAACATTAGAAAACAAGCTGACCTTAGTGTCTATTGAGAATCTAATATTCTGCCTTCTCTAATTGCAACAAAAATAGTACACAGTGAAAAATAATATGTTTGGAATGATCAATTTTAAATGCGAAAATGGCTCAAATAATGAATAAAATGTGTCTGCTCTTTAGACTTTTTAGTGAGGTAAGAAGATTTAAGAAAATTTAAATAAGACTTCAAACAAAATGGTTTTGTAACCAGAAAAGTTAAATGAAGCAGAATGACTAAATCTCTACCCATTGTGGTTAATTGAAGCTGCTTTATATCTGGGTGCCAGTGGGAACTTGGAGTAATCATATCATAGGAGCTTGTAAACCTTCTGGATTTGCAGGGAGTTATGAGGATTACCAAGATTTGACTTTAGTGATATGGTAAACAGTTTCTCTAAAACCCAACCTTCCAACTGATACAGCCTTCTACCAGGCTCCTGTGGGTCTCTGGGAATTTTCATTTGAACCAAGCAGTTAGTGGTAAATGGAGTGCATTGGGAAATTTCCACCTGGGGGGATCTGATATCTGATTTCTTCCCTCCAGTGCACCCTCTGGGGTACTCTCAAGTGTGGCTTAGCGTCATTTGAGCAGTCTCCTTCGACTTATCTCCCATCCTATCCGTCTCAGCCCCAAAGCTGCCTTGGCAGGTAGTGTGGTAACACAGGATTAGGGTTGCAGCAGCAAGGGAATAGCCCTTCTAGAGTCTATACAAAATTCTGGACAGTCACCAAGAGAGAAGGGCAGAGTAGCTAACCTTTCTCTTCTCACGGTGCACATGCATCTGCTGCAAACGTGGAATACCACAGCAGTCTGGCAGCTCAGGTACAGTCAGCAAGGAGCCATGGGAAGGGCTGGGAGCCTGGAATAATTCTCATTCCAAACCCCTATTGAAACCAGAAACCCCAAGAAACCCAAGAGTGATTTCCCACTCCCTGACTCCTTTAACTTAAAGCAAATTGTAAAAAATTTTTAAAGCAAATATAAACAAGCAAAGTGAGAAAAGGAAAGAAGGAAAGGGAGGAAGGAAAATGGAAGGAAGAAAGAAGGAAGACAGAAAGGCAGAAATGAAGAAAAGAAAGAAAGGGAGAAATGAAGGAAAGAAAAAGCTGAAGTTTTTATTTCCCAGGACTGCAATTACAAAGCTAATTATGGAAGAAATAAAATACAAAAATGGTAACTAGGCAATCCTTATGGGAGGAATCAATACCTCTCCACCAGGAAACTACCCAGAGGACATCCTTAGCTATATTTTAAAACTTGTTATTGAATAATAAGATTATGACTATCACCAACATAATTTTGAAAATGATGGTGGTAGCGTATTGGGCAGAAAACAGAATAACATTGTTCCCATTTCCTACGATGAAAGCTGTTAATGAATTATATGATATGACGTGAAGTGATGCTATATTGCATTTAAGTTATATAGCTTGCTACAGGGTTTTTTTCATGGAGGCAGATTGCCCATGGAAGATATATTTCTGAAGTAGGAACAAAATGAAGTTGAGCATTTATTTTTAACTAAAGAAATTATTTGATTTTTCTCATGAAACTAAGCTACCCTGTCTGGTTACTCTAGTCTTTGACTCACAGTTCATCCTGTGTCTTCCCCGGTAGCAGTACTGTTGGTGCCCCCCTCATATCCCCTCAGCTCCCCATTTCTGGGCACCCCAACTGGTGAGCTCTTGTGACTTTTCCCCCAAGAGTTTTCTCTGGTTCCTGGGATTCACCTAGTCCATGCATGGGGCAGAGCAGAAATGCCTAGGAGGTAACAACTGAAAGCCAACCTTAACCAGGACTGAGGAAGGTGGAGAATAACCCAGATAATAATGCTCTTGGTGGAGAATAACCCAGCTGCCTCCCACCTTAGTTGGGACAATACTGAAGTGTGTTCTACACAGTTAATCAGAGTTCCCCAAAGGCAACGGTCCTAAGTTCTCCACCTGCTGGTGTTACCTGCTGAATAGCCTCTTGTACCACATCCTTGTCTCAGGATATGTTTTGGGGAAACCCATGCCAAGACATTAATCAAAGGCCCAATTTCACCCACTTTATCATCTTTCTCCCTGAACTCTTACCCCAAGTCACCTATGGAGCAACAAGTCTCAGAAGAACTTTGGCCTAAGACAGAAATGAAGTGCTCAACTGTCTTCTTCTCTCTTCTGGCTTGTACCCATTACAGACCCTCCTGTACCCCCATTTTCACCTGTAGTCCCTCCCTCCCCTCTAACCCAACTCTTACACTCCTACCTGTAAGCTGCCACTCATGGCAATGGTAGCCACTGCTAATTCTTGTTCTAAAAAATGAAGCTTCATGGATAAAATAACAGATGGAAAAGATAGGTACGTATCGACTTCCTGCATGCAACTCTTCCCAATTCATTAAAACTGGAGTTTCTGAGGAACATCCGGAAATCCAGACATTTCCTATGATTGTTGCAGCTAAGATAAAAGCAAGCAGAGCAAGCCTCTGATTCTATGCCCACCACCCTCTCTTTCCCTACTCCAAGATAATAAATTGTTTTAAAAGTTTGAAAGTACCATTGCTTTAGCTCTTATGATATATTACTTCTGTTATTGCTTTCTATTTATATCTCTAGTCCAACAGTTCCTGGAACTGTTGATGTGTAAAGTTTAAACCAACTGCAGCAATTCTGAACAAAACTGACAGCTCTCTCTGCATTCTCTTATTAGGAAAGTCTTTAAGGCAAAGAACTGGGTAAGAAGAGTTTATTATACATTCCTGAGCAGGTACGTACTTTGTGATCTAAATTAGTAAGAGATATTTTTCCCCATGATTTGCCCTATAAGTTATTTTTATTCCGTGATGATCATTCTTTAACCTCTTTGTTCAGTGGGCCATAGCTTTTCTCCGACTTGCATTTATTCTCTTTCTGTCATTTGATTCCCCAACTCACAGACTTTTGGACAGACCAGTGAGTTTAAAGAGTTTCCTGAATTAAGGTTCCAGGCCACCTGAATCAGCATGACATGGGGCAGTGATTAAAGAGGCAGATTCAACAGGTCACTCACAATTGACTTGATGCAGCTTTAAAGGAAAGGCAAAGTGATCCTTACATACAGATACATTTGAAAACCACAGATTTGAGTGTGCAAATATGACAAGAAAGTTTAGACTATATAAAGCTTGGAACAAAGTTTTCCTTCTCTCTCCCAGGACTGAATTCATGGCATTGACCTCATTAGCTGGCTGTAGTGACTTAAGCTAATAAACTTTTACACCGATGCTTATTCCTAGGAGTGACAAAGATTCATGCCAATCTCTTCTGCTAGAAAGTGGAAAAAAGAAAACAAAGAAAAAAATTGCTTACAAAGAGTGAAAGGCACCCATACTTTCTAATGGAAAAAATATGGCAATATGTGAGCATAACACTTTAGGGGGAAGGAGCAGGGCTCATGTTTTCATTATTTTGATGAACTTTTCCTCTGGGGGCTAATCTTTGAGCAAAGAAGTTCTAGTTTCCTAACTGAGATGATAGAAAAAAAAAAAAAACCCAAAGAGATTAATTTGCATTCTTATTGGGAGAAAAATGTTCTTGTTTTTATTTTTTATTTTTTTCTAAAATTAGTGATCATGTGTTTTTGTTGATATCTTTAGTTCAAATCTCGTGTGGTCTATGTAAATTCTCTCTCTTTTTTTCATCTGTCAAGATGTTATTAAGTAAATTCAGTCTCTTTAGAAATAATCATTGTTTCCTGGCCCTGGGTTTGGAAGGATTTCCAAAGAAGATGACAGAAGCTTGGATCAGAATCACACTTGGCATTGTTGAGACAGGATTCATTATAGGCATATAGAGTATAGCTCAGCTTCAGGAGGAGGGGGGCTTTACTTTAGAATCCCATAGTGAATATGTTTATGGATGTCAGTAAACCATTGTGAGAAAACATACATGACTCTGTTGAGTAAACAAATACATTCTTTCTGAGCAGAGAATGAGTGTGGGATCACTTCATCTATGTAAGAACAGAACAATAGTAATATCTTCTTAAGACTCTCAGTTTGCAGAGCAATGTGCAAAATACACATCTTTGATAAAGGATGTCACATTTGCTACTGATGAGAGATGGCAGCATGTGACATTTGCCCATGAAATGTTTGTATTGGTCTTTGGATATTGCAGCGTGTCCCTATATCCATTTTAAATAGAAATGTGACTGACTAAAGGATTGTGGACTCTTGCCCTCTGAATGGCTTTATAAGCTCTACTGTTTTTCTAGCCTGATAAGTTACACATTCCCTATCATATAGCTCTCTAACTGTTTATATCTCACCAATAATTTTCTAAGTCACAAGATCTGGAAATGCTTCTTTATCATTTCAATACCAGCAACATGAATGAATAATATTCTGCACAGATTTTCTGTTTATGAGTCATTGACCCAAGGAACATAAAGCAATATTTCAGTTTCTATATATTTGAATCTTTGTTTCTCTCCTCATAATTAGTGTCCATTGTGTTTCAAAAACCTATTTTAATTTATTTATTAATAGCAAACGTATTAAATGAAACCATAGAAACCTCTGGAGGAGAAGCAGTTCTGTTTCTTTTTAAAAACAAGTAATTAGCTTAACTTATTTTCCAGTCAAATAGAAAGCTTTAACAGTTAAAAATTATAATTTAGTAACTAACTTTTTTCTGCATTTAATCTCTTTGAACTGCGACCTCTTCATATAGTCAGCCAACTCTTTGAAAATAATTATTCTAATTAATTAAAGTACTTTTAAAAAAGTTTACAAATTATATACATGTCTTAAGTTTTATGCTTTATTCAGTAGATGGATTTCTGAAATGTTATGTTAAAATCTCATTTTTAAAAAGTAGTTTTCATTTCTCCATCACTGGTATAATTGAACTGGTTTGTTAGTTTTGTTTTGGCTTAAGTTTTTTAAATGTTGACTTTTAGATTTTCTGCTTCAATGTCATTGTAAACCTAACACCCAAACTTCAGCTGAATTTGATAATCTATAAACCATTGCCACTCAACATATGGTCTATGGACCAGCAGCATCTGGGAGCTTGTTAGAAATGCAGAATCTCAAGCCCCAACCCAGATCTGCTGAATCAGAAGCTACATTTTAACAAGACTTTCTAGGTGACTCTTGACATTAAATTTGAGAAGCTCTAGTCAGCCTAATACTTCCTCTTTATAATGGCATTTCCAAATTAAAGGAACTCAGTATAAATTAAGGTATCTTAAAAATGTACCATAATAACCTGAAGATAGTGAATCTTCAAGGTAGAGGAACCTGGATGGTTTACTCTTCCACTGAGCATCCTCCTGGCAGCTCAGCCAGGGCTGCAGATTGTTAAGTGCTATGGCTTTTACATGGTGAACTCCTGGCACTGTACTGGAGACATGGTTAGAATGTGTGTGGTGAGGAAGCTCACAGTCAATAAGGAGAGACTCATAGGTAAATATGTAAATATAATACACTTCACAGTAGAGATACAGAAGTAGGACAGAGGGAGTGAATAATCCTGTGGGTGGAAGGTGGGGCAGAGGACAGAATAGGAAGGTTCCCAGAGAAGATGACTCAGTTTTAAGCATTTCACCCCATGGGCAAGTTGGAGGATGTTCCAAGCAGACAGGCCTACAGACAGTGAGGCAGATAAGCATCTCTGAGGAAATTCTCATGGTTTGATTTTGCTGAACAAGAGGTATATGTAGGTGAGGGGAGCAGCGGGTAGGAGTGGACCCACGGAAGTGGTGGGAAATAAGCCTGAATAATAGACACAAATGGCCTATTGTGCGAGTGTGGCTTTTGTCAAAGGGGGCCTGGAGAATCCTAAACAGAAGGGTATGGCCAGAGTTGTGTTTTGAAAGGTCATTTTGGATGTCGTGTAGAAAATGGACTGGATTAGAGTCAGGAAGCTGAGTATGTAGGTGGCTGCAGGGGCCCAGGTGACAGATAATGACTATCTGGCATGAAGTCATGGCAGGAGGATGGACAGCTCAGAATAGAATCCAAAAATAAAGAGGAGGAATTCCTTTTGTGATCAGATGTTGATCCAAGTTGACCCTTCTGCCATCAGCCACTCCTTCAAACCTTTGAGGACAATCGTTATTTGCTGAGTCTTTGTTTATTCAGAGCAAATGTCTCCAGGTCTTTGAATTGCTGCTCATGTGACATGATGTTATATCCTCCTTCAAGTATTTCAGTGTATTTATATTCCTTATACATTGCAGTTCCAAGAGTTGAAGAGAAGGTAAGATTGGGTGGGGAAAGGGAACAAAAAAATGACCGGGTTATACACAAGCCAAGTGCACCACAACCACTGGCTCATTTAGTTTCTAGAACCCTGCAAAATGTATTATTACCTCATTTACAAATGAAAACAGTAAGGCTTTGGAGGTTAAGAGTCTCACTTTTGGATTACCAGCTACTAGTAATAAAATCTGAATTTGTACCCTGAGATGTGTGTTTCGTATGTTAAACTATCTGCCCGGCAAGGATGCTTACAGCATCTTAAACTACCACTTCGCTATGGTTTGCTGTGACAATAACAAGGACTTCTTTGGCTACCAACCTTGCCCATCTGATACATTCCCAAGAACTAGATTGTAAGTGGAGAAGACCCCTAAGCAGCCAAGTAGATGGAACAAAGTCCAAATTCTCTATTTATAAGAAGGGACATCACCTTCAGAGCTTGTTTACTTTGTTTGTACACAGTTCTCCCAAGCTTGGCCATATGTTTCTGCAACCCACAGATGATTAGAAACAGCAAATTCAGACTGAGTAGGAAGCAAGTGAGATCTAATAGCTGATAAGATGACATCAAGGGAAGAAACATAAAAATGTAAAGAGCCATATATATAAAAAGTCAGGAAGTCTTGGTAATAGTTTTGGTCACTAATATAGAGAAAGACAAATCCATCATCTCGAATAGTCCTTGAGGGCACTTTGATTATAGCAAAGATAATAGACCTTTAGAGTCAGTATAAACCATATCTCTCACCTGAAGGAGAAAGTCACAATATGACATCCTGGGCCAGAGGGGTATTATTTTTTTGTCTCTACTTAGGTCTTAGTGGAGTAAGGAATGCATCGCTCTATATGCCAATGTACATCTCTTTTGTGATTAGAAGTCATTAGCAATCACAGAAGATTTTTTTATTTTTATTTTTTATTATACTGTAAGTTCTAGGGTACATGTGCACAACGTGCAGGTTTGTTACATATGTATACATGCGCCATGTTGGTGTGCTGCACCCATTAACTTGTCATTTACATTAGGTATATCTCCTAATGCTTTCCCTCCCCCCTCCTCCCCACCTCTCCCCACTCCATGACAGGCCCCGGTGTGTAATGTTCCCCTTCCTGAATCACAGAAGATTTTTATAGTCTGCCAACCCAAATCTCTTAGAAATGTTTAGTAATGTCTGCCAATTGGCCAGTGTTTGGTGCTTTTCTATATAATAATCATCCAAATATGAGGAGACAAGAGTTACCAGTGTGGAATGGTAATCAGAAACTCCAGGATCACAGACAGTCTTCAAAGAGCATCTCCTCTTTTGGCTCCCACTTCCTTTCAAGTCTGCTCAGAGGCCTTCAGCCCCCTGCAGTGCCATGCCCAAGCCATTTCTGCTCAAACTCAGGGAAAAAGATATTCTACAGTCACTTCAAATTGTAAATACCAAAATAATACAGTTATTTAAAGTGTCCCAATCAAACATATTAATTGATTTTTCATTTTCACTGGAAGTAAGTCATCTTCCTGTTCTCCACACTCCTGCCTCCAGCCTTTGAGGATGAGAGCGTGGCAGCCTTCTCCATGCTCTCCCTTGCTTATCTTCCAACTCTATAACTGCTGCTTGCAAACACAGAGATCTCAGCAGGGGAGAGAGAAAAGTTAAGGGGGAACAGGAAAGTTCTTGCTTGACTAATACCACCTCAAACCAGTTCCTAAGTCTTAAAGTTTAATGTGCACATTAATCATGTGGAAATCTTATCACAATGAAAATTCTGAATCAGTACATATGGGATGATGTCTGAGATTCTGCATTTAGAATAAGCTCTCAGCTGCTGCAAATGGTGCTAGCTTATGGTCCATGCTTTGAGTAACAAGGATTTAGAGAGTTCCTTTTGGGTTCACTCACTATAATTCTTTTAATACAGAAAAGGCTGCTCCTTCAGTGAGTTGTCTTTCAACTCCAGCCCACAGTGTTATACATCATTGCCCCTTACTGCTGGGGACCCTCACTCTGGCAGGCCACCCCCTTGGTCAGAATACTTTTCAATATAACCTCAGATTCAGTTTCCACAGATAACACCTCTGGTCCTTGGGTTTCACTGATTTTGATCTCCATTTTGACATGAGTGCTGCTGCTTCCTAGGCAGCCATTTTTTTCTGAGCAGCCATAGAGCTCTGTAACTTTCCAAGAGATGAATCAGGCCCCAGTCCCTCTGTCCTTCAGGTGCAGAAGATGCGCATCCATCTCTCCCACCACACTGAAGAACACACACTGGGCTTGGGCTTGGGAATGAGGGGATTGAAATGGAATGTACAACTGTCTCTGAAGAGGTTTCTTCACAATTTTTCTTTCCTTATACAAAAGCTAGCTCTTTTGAATTCCTAATCTAGATGAAGGGTCATATATCCTGTAACTGGTTCTCAATATTTCATTTGAAAATTTGTTTCTTGGCGATTGCTCTCACAGCTAACTTTAGTATCTCACAAAGTACAATGTATGTTTGCTCTATTCTATAACAACCATCCTGTTTCTGCTTAATACAAATTTTGAATATTCACTATTTTCTAGAAACCTTTCTATTTGTCAATATGCTCTATGAAATGAGGGTAGCTAGAATCAGACATACTCCACATAGAATCTCTATACTCCACATAGAGACTGAGCAGCCCAGAGTTCACAGGGAGGTATGTTGCTGTCTTTTATCTGTTTGACTTCTATTAGGGCTCCTAGAAGTTGAGTGTATAAGGAAGAGAAAAAGGAAAAAAGGGAGGAGTCAGTACGTATAGACTCTTAAGCCTAAACTACCTGAAAAAATGAGATACCATTAATAGAAAACAAAAAAATTAAGATAGAGAGATTGAATACAGAGAGAGGAGTTCCGTTTTAGATATGTCGAATTTGACATGCCAGCAGGACCCTGTGTGGAAATATTCAGTAGATAGTAAGCAAACTGGAGACTGGAATATACTGGAGGTTAAACTTAAAGAGAGAGAGATTTGGGGATTATCTTCATAACGATAATATATGAAGTCTCAATAAGAGAGGATATATTCAGGTTGAGCTTGTGGGGCCTGAAGTTCAGGCCTGAAGGTGGTGAAGGTTCATCCAGATTTGAAGAGAAGGCAACATATTCTCTGGAACTCTATAGCTACTTAGGTGAACTAAAAGTATTTCTACCACTGGCCTATCATATTGTCTGAAGTTTCCATCCACTTCATTTATTAGGGTTCTCCCAAAGGCGAGGAATGCATTATGCCACCTAAGAGGGGGTCACATATTAGTTGCCTGACACATCATAAGGAACACATTTACCTGATTGATAACTCATTGCCACTCACTATAAAACTAAACCAGAATCATAGGAGAATGGGACATGGGGTTTGGATTCCCAGAAGCAATTAGAATTGAGCTCTGAATCAGTGGGGAGAAAACAGGCTTGAGTAGCCAGGGATTGAGTGAGTCACGATAGAGGAGTGTTTGCAAAACATGACAAGGAGGGTTTATTGCTTCAGGGAAATAGTGTATATTTAAAACGAGTTTAGAATTGTATTGAGTAATCCTCACCTAGCCAATGATTTTATGAAAAAATTATGTATTCTAGTTAAAATCACTTTAGGTTTACTTTTTTCCTCCCTTAAAAAAAATTGGATTCCATTATAGCATATGTTAGTCTATTATATATTTGTATATAATAAAATATGTGGTAATGGCAGTTTTACAGTAATCCATGAAGAAATGATACAATGAAGGCTTGTTTTAAAGCATATCCATAAATCTTTTTGCATTTTTCTATTTTGAAAATGTACTTTTCTACTTGAAGCTGACATCAAACATCTAAACTTCAAAATATAAATACCCATTATAAGTTTTGATTATTGTTTTAATTTCCATAAACAAAATACATGAGATAACCAGTTTATTCTAGTATTCTATTAATCTTTTGGTTGAAATGCTCATCAGCTGTCATCCTGACTCTACAAGCAACCTTGTGATATATGAATATCTTTGCAGTAGATATAATAATCAGTTCTGAAAAATCTTTGTTCAGACCTGTTATATCTTTTAAGAGAACATATTCAGTAGCATAATTCCTGTTGGAAACTTTTTTTAGCATTATACAGACCTTCATAAATTGATAATGTCTAGTAACCTTTGACATTGCCTGAAAATGCAAAGATGGAAATCAGAATTTTGAGGATTCATCAGGAAGGTGTGAGGCATGTACCAGAACTCATGATAATGTACCACACACATAGCTTTGAATAGCCACGTTTTTAATTTTCCAAAGTTAGTCATCTCCAAATACCACAGTCAGGGTTAAAAATACGTGTAGAAAAGGCTGGGTTATTCAGCATAGTCAACTGAAACTGTCAGCCAGCTTGAAAAATTGTAACACAATAAGTAATATTCACAATGATGATTCTCAGGATAAAAGTCTTAGCTATCATTTCTTTTATATCCACTATGTGGCAGAAACTTTAATATAGTTTCTAATGGAACATATTGTTTAAGTAACAAAATGTCTCTATGAAATAGGTGGTATTAGGTAGTGCTGTGTTCTCCTGAGTCCAAGGAACACTTATGTTCTAAAATTTGTCATTTACTCATGCTTGGAAAGCTGGTAACCCATATTTGATAAAATAGAGTACTTTACTTTCAACCATGTTAGATAAGAATATTTATTTGTATTCATGTATATTGGCTGTCCCATCTATGCAAATGTAATAACAGCATGGTCAATAGAATACATGTTGCAAGTTATTTTTTTCCACTGTTAATGATGGCTTTGGGTGCCATTTTCCATCCAGTGTCTAGATCTATCCATCAGTCCTCTAGTGACTAACAGACTTCCAAAGATGGAAGTCCTGAGCTGATATTGGAGCTGGTGGCCATAGCTTGGAGCAAAGTGAAATGATTACTTGCTTGACTCCGTGATCTAACACATATATGCACACAGATGAATGGAAAGATTTAGAGTTTATATATAATATAGATTTGGGATATATTTAGGAAGTAAAATCAGTAGAATCAAACATTTGCTTCTAGTGATTCTATTTTCTAAATATATCCCAAATCCTTCTACTTCTATCTGTTTCCACAGCTGCTACCCTAGTCCAATTCATCATCATCTCCCTCCTGAACCAACAACATCCTAATTGGTCTCCTTCCTTTTAGTCCTGTCCCCACCTCTTCCAGTCCATTCACCCCAGTGCAACTAGCGTGCTCTTAAAATGCAAATATTATCATGTAATTTCCCTGACTAAAATCCTTCACTGGCTGCCCACTTAGAGCCCACCAGATTTGACCACTGCCTATCTCTTCAGTTCTCATCTTGAGCTTTCTTTACCTTGATTTCTTTATTTGAGCCACACTGACTTTCTTATGGTCTGTCTTATTTACTAAGCTCCATCCAGCTTCAGGACCTTGGGGCATGCTATTGTCTTAGTGGGAACACTTCTCTTCCCTCTCTTTACCTAGCCAACAGGTATTGATTCTTGAGGACTTAGCCTGAATGTCAGTTTTGTTAGAGCAACTTTCCGTGATTCCCAGAGTAGGCCATGCCCGACAATCAGACACTTTTACATCACCCTGTCTCTTTCATAGCATTCCCAATAACTGTAAATTAAATAATAATTTGTTATTATATATTAAAGCCCATCTCTTACGCTTAGTTGTTAGCTTCATGAATTGTTAGCGTCTGAAGTTTTCTTATACACTATTGTCTCCCCACACCCTTGGCATGGTGCCTGACATGTAGAGGCACATTTTGCTATGTTCAAAATATTGAGCTTTTCACCCTGTAATTTTATAAGATAAATGTTGGCCTATGTCTTAGAAATGTCTGCAAGCTCTTGTGGGATTAAATATTTTAATATCAAGAATTTGGCCACATGTACTCAGGAACATATCACTAAGACTGATAGGCCATTGTCAACTCAACTTCCTTTATGTTTGACTATCCATTAATAATGTCACTTATTGATCGTTAAATAAAGGAACTAAAAGGACTTAGAAATGGGAGATGTTGAATAAAATTAGGAAAACAGGAACCAAAGCCAAGGATGTAAGATGAAGGTAGTATTAAACACTAAGGGGCTAAAAAGGAAGAAGTTACATGGATAAAGATGCAAGGGAGAAAGATGTTTTCAGAAAAGAAATCCATTGAATAGACAATATTACAGATGTGTCAATAAGTTTAGGCCGAAAGCAAGAAAATTCAGCTTTTTTTCTTTCTTCCTTTCTTTTGCCCTTCCTTCCTTCCTTTCTTTCTTTCACAATTAATGTACTACTCATGAGAATGGAATTTTTTTACAAACACTGGGACAAAGGTCAAGGCGTGGGCAATGCTAAAAGAGAAAAAAGGGTTTCGATTAGGTAATTTGCTGGTAACACCTTCAGTAAATAAATGTGAGAATAATACGGGGTGTTTGTCATTACAGTGAGTCTTTAATCAAATCCATTCAATAGAAAAGCTGTAAAGTAATTTGCAAAGTGCTTTGTGATAATGAAAGACTATATAAAAACAGTCTTAACCTAGCAACTGAAATTATAAAACTATTTGTTTTAGGGAATTCAAACTCTGGCATTTTTATCTCCCTTGAGTAGTGAGAATAAATTGATTTATGACCCTGAGTGTTTCTTTATTTGAATTAAATGGTTCTATAAGTATTTACACTGATGAACTGTTAGGGGACGTACACTGCTAGCAATAACTTTACTTTTGCTTTTGCATTTCATTTTAAATTGTTCAAGATTCCAAAAAATAGCATTTTGTGAACCACATCTGGTGTGCAGGACATGGGTGAGCTTTAAGCCTATGCTTTATTGGCTTGATAAAAATGAGAGAGAGAAAATACAAACAAAAGCCCCAAAAGCGTCATCTTCTAAATGCGTGGTCAGTAAGTAACTGGAGATGAGTAGAGATGTCTAGCAGACTGATTCCATTTTAATTTTTTCCTGTAATTAAAAGAAGAGAATCTTTATCAAAACTCATAGTTCAGTTTCCCTTTTTGTAATTTATTTACTAGGGGCCACTTGCAGAAGTGGAGGTTCCCAAGGTTCAGAGAAACCATAAACTCAGGCTGAAGCTCTTGCTGCGAGTTACTACACTAAAAGCCCATAGATACCCATAGATACCCATCTCAAGTCTATGATGAGTTTATCTGCTGGTTCATAAAATGCCAAAGACTTTGTGGGAAAAGGGACAACAGCATCACACTTTTATTTGATGTCTAACATAGAGGTTCCAACTATTTTCAGCATAGTCTACAAAATTAGAAATTTACCATACTCAAGATGTTTGCGACTTTAAATTGATCATCATGGTGTGTTAAGAAGGTCCTACATTTAGAAAAGGAATATGCCCCATGATCTCAGTGGGAGGGAAGTATTCATAGAGGCTTCATTCTATCTATTGTTTTTCGATCAGGACTAGGTCACAACGTCCCAGTCCTGATGTAATTTTAGGGAAATTAAATGGGAAAAACTGAAAATTACATCATTAATTATATTCAGTATCAATTGAAATTACTTCTTGATACAATCCTGGGAGTAGAACACATACATGAGATTAGCTACTCACAGCTTCATTTGTGACTAGGCCCTAGCATATTATAGATTAGGTAAAGAGATAACACCTAATACACACACACACTCACACCTACACACGCATTGCTTTATTGCTTTCCTCCTAAAAATCTCAGGTTAACAGTAGGTTTTAAAACTAGGCAATTGCTCTTGTCCTGGGCTGGGTGGTTAAAAGTTCTAAAACTTGAAGTGTTTTAAAATATATATTGATGCCAGCTGGGGCAGTGGCTTATGCCTGTAATCCCAGCACTTTAGGAAGCCAAGGTGGTCAGATCACCTCAGGTCAGGAGTTCGAGACCAGCCTGGCCAACATGGTGAAACCCCGTCTCTACTAAAAATACAAAAATGAGCCGGGCATGGTGGTGGGCACTTGTAGTCCAAGCTACTCAGGAGGCTGAGACAGGAGAATCACTTGAACCTGGGAGGTGGAGGTTGAAGTGAGCTGGGATCGCGCCACTGCACTCCAGCCTGGGGGACAGAACAAGACTCACACTCTCTCTCTCTCTCTCTCCATATATATATATATATATATATATATATATATATATATATATATATATATATATGCCAAGTCTCCACTCTCACAGAGTCTGGGTCAACTGGGCTAGAAGAAGGCCTAGACATTCCCATTTTTTAAACAGTTGCCAGATGATTATAATGAGAGCTCAAGATTGAGAACTACAGATAAATGCTCTTTTATTCAGTCCTCTTGATAACATTAATAAGTAGGCTATACCATTAGAATTTTGCTTATCAAGAAACTGACACTCAGCTTAAAGCTAAGATTTGAACTAATGTCTTTAGATTTTTAAATCTGTGATTTTCCCCATGAGTTCATATTTCTTAAAACTTCTGGTGAGACCAGGCAATTTCCATGGAAAGCTGTGCTATTGAGAGAGAAAGGAAAAAGAAAATTCAATTATTTAGGCTAAAAATAGAAAATGTATTTAAGCTTTTGAGCAAAAGTGTTGTAGCATATTCACTGAAGTTTTACGGGTTTGCCGCAACAGAGAGCTTAATGAATCTTACCTCATTACATGATGTTACTTTGGAAAAAGCTGGCAATGAAGTATCACATCCCTCCCGATTCTGCTGGCCAAACTTTAAAAATGAGGCACAAAAAGATAACATTTCAGAGAGTTTTTTCCACATATATTTTAATGTTACAGAAAGCAAGATTTTTACATCATATTTCTCTGACACGTAATCTCTTTCATAAAAAATGGCCAATATGAACTGTTATGTGTATATTTTGTTACTATCATTGTTGGGTATTGCCTTTGAATCTCTGCTCCTCGTTTATGTATGGGGACATAAGAGAAGAATATTGTTGAATAGGCAAAATATTATCATGGGCATCTTATCCCTATTGTACCCTCAAAACACCAGTAATTGACCAAATGTAAAAATCTAAATCTGATCTTTAGGTAGGTCAGTTTTATCTAAAATCAAGTACAACTGCCTCCCCCTCCTCTCCATTTTCATTTGCTCTCTTCGGCAGAGCTGCCAGCAGCAGATGTAGTAAGAATGCGTAGGGCCGCCAAGACTCTTACTCAAGTCCTTGTGATTGTTGTGGCCGTCATGTCAAGTTTCAGATTCAGAAACACGACTTTATTAACTCATCCACAAATGATCGGGTTCTTGAGGGGGGGGGGAGGAAAAATTTGTACTGACAAAACTTATGAGCAATCAATTTATAAATCATGACGGTAACTTGTTAAATTACAACAGAAAAGAATCTTGGCCCCGGATCAGTTTGCTCTCTGGGGTTGTATTCTTTTTGGTTTGTTCATTCTATCAACAACAAAGTATTGAATGCCTGTTTCTTGTAAGATACTTTTTTCACTGGGTTTGCCTTCACAGGGTAGCTGATTGTAAACCAGAAGTGGTTTGGGTTGTTTATCGGTTGCAAAGAGTGGAAACTCACTCAGGCTTGTTTGAGTTAAAGGGGATTCACGGAAAAATAATGGACACATTCAGAAATAAAGTACAGAAGTATAGTCAGGCCTTGAGGACATGGGGATGTTAGTAGGCATCTCTCCCTTCTCTCTCTCCTGCTCTGGTGCTCTCAGGCCAAATGGTGTCTCATCTCTACAGTCCTCTGCACATTTGCCCCATGACAATCAGACTTGCTTTGCTTGCATGCAGCCTAACATGTCTGTCAACCCAATGTGGCCCCTAATTCAGAGCATACAAGCACTTACAGCCAGCTTGGAGTGCCCATGCCCACTCTATCTGCCCAGTCTCTAGGCTTCTTAGTGAATATCCTCTTGAAAGGAGTCTGATTGGCTTAACCTAGACCATGGATATTTCCCCAGATCATGTGTCTAAGTCTGGCTCAATCACACTTAACATACCTGGCTCTGGGACCTACCCCTTCTCCAGGGGGCTAAGAATTCTATTTCAATGGAGAGAATGTGGGTGGAGGACACTTGGGGAGGGGCATCAAATATATTTGTGAATATGAGGCATTCTTTAGGTGTTCTCCTGGTGGGTGTAGGGGTATGCTCAATGAGGTCTTGAGGACTGGGACCAAGCTGGTGGGGCAATGGAAGCAAGGGTCATTTCACCATGCCATTCTGCCATGGAAGAAAGAATAAGTCTGGGAGGCAGGGCCAGGAGAAAAGAGGCAGCACCCCAGAGATTTCCATGCCTGCAGCATACACAGCTACTGGGATGTGTCATCATTCAAAGGGTTTGTTACAGCCAGTTCCCCCTTCGCTGCCCTAGAGAGAGGCTTGTAGATAGCATCCCTGCAATGAGTTTGGGGAACAGGCAGGACAATACCAGGAGAGAAAGAGGCTAATACTCACAGAAGAGAAGGCACTGAGGCTTTCTGGAAAGGATCCCAGGCACTGGGTATAGTGGGCTGAATAGTGGCCCCAAAAAGACATGCTCAAGTCCTGAACCCCAGTATCAGGTGAAAGGATCTTATTTGGAAATAAGGTATTTGCAGATGTAAATAAAATAAGGATCTCAAGATAAGATCATTCTGGATTAGGATGGGCCCTAAGACACAAAAAGACACAGGAAAGAAGACCACATGAAGATGGAAACAGATATTGGAGTTATGCTGCCACAAGCCAAGAAACACCAGGAGACCCCAGAATCTGAAAGGAGCAAGGGAGGATTCATCCCTGGAAACTCTGGAGGGAGTGTGGCCCTACTGACACTTGGATTTTAGACTTCTGTCCTCCAGCACTGTGAGAAAATACATTTCTATTATTTTAAGCCAACAAGTTTGTGGCAATTACTCATGGCAGCCCTAGGAAACTAATATACTGGGCTTATGACAGGCAGAGCTCTTCTAGGAAACTGAGTCTGAGATGAAGGAGGTAACAGTCAGGCCCCTCAGGGCATTCCTCAGCTTTCCTTAGTAGCAGCTCCCAGACCATAAACATAGGGTGTGGGGCACTGAGCACTGGGTTTGGGGGTCCCAGTCTCAGTGAGGACATAGGCTCTAAGCCAGACTACACAGAATGGTCTTTGCCTCCCCTGTCTTGAGATGGAAGTGCTGCATCCATGACATTATGAAAAGATTAACTAGGCTTACAGCTCACTTTGTCACTGACTCCCTGTATATCCTTCTACAAATTCCTCACTCTCTGAGGACCTCAGTAACATTAATCATTTATTTTTAAAAATTACACAAGATGGCCTCTAAAGGTCTTTGTGCTCGGGACCTCCTTGTCCATAAACCTATGTAGTTACAGTAAGGGAACAGTCAGGCCTGAGTCTGCAAGACTGCCTTGCGGACTGGCTCCCTCAATGGGATGTACCAGCTTGATAGAGCTATTGCCTCTTCCCACCACCCTGCTGGAATGATCCTTAGATCTGATCCTCTTTGTGTCTCAACTACTACCTGGGACCAATGGGTGCTTTGAGAGGATTTGGCCTTGAGTTTCTACTTACAGCCAATGTCCCTGCAATACCTCTTGGGGATACATTTGGCACTCGAGACATAGCACACAGTTCCCACAGACCTTGCTGGGTGTTCCATAAGGCAGACCCTCTTTAGGACTCAGGCTGATACTGGAATGCTCCAGGTGACTTTGGAGGCTTATGAGAGTGAGCTATAAGTGTCCTACCTGAGATCCTTTTCTGAAGGCACAGTCTGGAACTGCACTATTTAATATGGTAGCCACCAGCCAAATGTGGCTATTTAAACTTAAAATTCAATTAAAAAATAATTCAGTTCCTCAGTTTCACTAGCTTCATTTCAAATGCTCAGTAGTCATGCATGGTTAATGGCTAACATAGTGGAGCTTGTTAAGTAAATAACATTTTCATTATCACAGGAAGTTCTATTGAACAGAACTGCTCTAGAGAAGTGCTTCAAATTACCTGAGGATCTGTTAAAATTCAGATTCTGATTCATTTGGTCTGGGTTGGGGCCTGAGAGTCTGTAATTCTACCAAGCTCCTAGGTGATGATGTTGGGGATTCATGGACCACGCTTTGAGAGGCAAGGATAAAGAAAACTACTGTATACGAATTAGGGCCACGATGTGAGCTGTATGTCAAATGGGTAGGAGCATATTTCATCTGAAGGAAGTAGAAAAGGGACTAGGGTAGCTTGATTGAAGTAGAGGCTTCAGGGAAGAAAAAAAATGGAAAGTCACTTGGCTAAGAAAGTGAGGCCCTAGGCTGGGCCCAGTGGCTCACACCTGTAATCCCAGCACTTTGGGAGGCCGAGGCGGGTGGATCATCTGAGGTCAGGAGTTCAAGGCCAGCCTGGCCAACATGATGAAACCTCATCTCTACTAAAAATACAAAAAATTAGCCAGGTGTGGTGGTGGACACCTGTAATCTCAGCTACTTGGGAGGCTGAGGAAGAAGAATCACTCGAACCCGGGAGGCGGAGGTTGCAGTGAGCTGAGATCACACCACTGCACTGCAGCCTGGGCAGTAAGAGTGAAACTCCATCAAAAAAGAAAAAAAAAAAAAAGGAAGGAAGAAAGAGAAAGAAAGAAAGAAAGGGAGGCCCAAATGTCATTTCAGGGAGTACAGACCTTCTCCAATAGATCAAAGCCTTCCAATTAAGGGGAGAGATATACTAGTGCAAGGGTTGGCAAATTTTTTTTTGGTAAAGGTCCAGATAGTAAATATTTTAGGCTTTGTGGGCTATACCGTCTCTGTTGCAATTACTCAAGTGTTCTGTTGTAGCATGAAAGCAGCTATAGGCAGCACATGAAGAAATGCATGTGGCTGTGTTCCAATACAACTTTATTTCCAAAAACAAGCAGCATGTTGGATTTGGCCCACGGGGGCATAGTTTGCTGATTCCTCTACTGGTGGGTCATATTGGTTGAGTGAATTTGTAGTGAAGTTACAGCAAGTCAATGAGCGGTTCTACATAGCACAGAACCTGTCTTAGTCTCATTATTAGTTATAGCTAATAAAATAACAGTAAATGTCAATTATTAGTATAATTGGTTTCATTTCAAATTCAAAGCAAGAATTCTCTAACGCATACGAAACATTTCAGTCATTATTGAAGTTGAATCATGGTATGTAGAGATTAAAAGCTGCCCCAGAAACACAAAGTGAAACAAACTCTAGACAATCAATTTAAAAGCAAAATCCACTAGCTGGCCCCTTCTATTATCATGTTAAAGCAGAAAATTATCATCTAAATCCCAGATTGTATAATTGCCTTATTTACCGTGAGGGGAAAATAAAGGCCTGGGGAGAGCCACTGGTCCAATGTCCACAGTTTAATGGATGACCAACTTAGGATAAAACTAGGGCTCATATTTCCTAAACAACATCTAACCCTTCGGTGACATAGCCTCTACAGAATAAAGGAGGCACTGCTCAAATATTGTTCAAGTGCAAGGTGCTCCTACTCAGAGAAATGGCACTGAATTGTGGCTGTAAACACAAGCATAGATATTATAGATATTCGTTGAACATTTCATAAATCATTTCCTTGTTTTCTTAGAGTTTTAGGAGAAGGATCTAGATGATAAACATCTCTCTAAAGGGCTATCTAGTAAATTTTAAATGAAGTCTTTAGTCATTCGACAAGAATTTCTATGTGACAAGCGAAAAACAGAAATCAAGATTATTTCATTTATAATTATTTTATAAAGAACAAACTACCATTCCATGCAACAGTTCTGTTGGAGGAAGCACTGAGCAAGATGTTAAGAGGTCTTAGATCAGTCGAGGCTTCTGATGACTTGGTTTTCTGAGATCTAAATTTCAGATCACCATTATCTTCCCTCTCCTCCATCTCTGCCTGCTTCTCCAACATCTCTTCAATGTAAACACATTATCTTCTCAAAGACCTGCCTTTCTTCACACAGTTCAGTTGGCAGTCATTCAACCAAGCGCAAGATCACCATAAGCTTCAGGGAAAATCACTTCGACAGTATCATGAAGGGATTCGGGTTAATGTTAAAGGGCTACGATCCCATGACACCTCTCTGAGGCATGCAGAACAAATAATATCAATCCTATTTCATAGATGAGGGAACTGAGGCTCAAAGAGTAGCAGCAACATGCCCAAGACCATTTGGAAGGTGTAAGACTGCTGCCACTCACATCTGCTGTCTCTAAGTCCGGGCCTCCTCTCCCGTGCTTCTTGATGGTTGTGGCAGCTTTGTCATTTTTCAGGGCATGGTGGGACCTTGGATGGGGGCAGGGCCCAATCACGACGGAGACAAAATGTCCCAACAGCCTCATGTGATGGATGAATTCATGGTCAAAATTATTTTGATGAAAGAAAGAAGTAATATTTCTTGAACCTTAGTTTGTAGACTGATATTTACCCTCTGTATAAATGAACAAGAATTTATATGTAAGAACAGTTGTTTATTGCAATGGAAATGTCTTTATCTCAGCCAATAAGCCAAACCAGAATCTGGGGGTCAACTTTGACTCTTTATCTGTCCTAATTCATCACAATAATCAATCACCCATTTAATTTTAAAACAGTGCTTTATTGTTGGATTTTTAAAAAATCATAGAAGTAATACATCCTCTTTAAAACAAGTAAAACACTATAAAGATAAATGAAGAGAAAATTAAAGTTCTGCTCTTTCATCTCCGTTTCTCCCCCTGACCTTGAGGCAATTAATTTAACATTTTGGGATGTCTCCTCCAAAACATACATATGCATAGCTAGGGCCTTTCTCTCTCTTCCTCTTTTTTCTCTTTTTCTTTCTTAAGAAAGCAAGATTATACTATAAATGTAGTTTAAAAACCTATAATTTGCTCTTTTTTCTTTACAAAAAAATTGCCTCTTGCTGTTGTTTTAATTTCCCAAACAAGAGTGAGATGGAGCATATTTTCATATGTTCAGTCACTATTTGTATTGCTCATCTTTTGCTCACTTTTGAATGTTAATCATCAATCTGTTGCAGCTTTTAATATATCATGGATATTGACCACAAGGTGGCAAATAATTTCTTCCAGTCTAACATTTGCTTTTAGTTTGTTTATGGCATCTTTGCTCTATAGTTTTTCATTTTGATGTACATTAGTCAACTTTTTTTTACTGTGCTGTCTGGGTTTTTTGTGTTACCTAAAGAGACACTTCTCACCTACCCTTAAATTATGTGTATAGTCACCTATACTTTCTTCTTATATTTTTATGCTAGAAATATTAGCTTCTTTTTATCCACCCATTTCTGTTTATATAAGGTGTTAGAAAGGGATCTACTTTTATTTTTTCCAGATGGATAAGCCATTGACCCAACTGAGTTAACTATAACATCCATCCTTTCTCAGTGAATTGGGATGGTGGCTTAATCATATATTACCTTCCCATATATTATAGAATATATTTTTGGAATCTCTTTATGTCCCACTCATCATTTTATTGGTTCATTTGACAGCTGCCTTCTCTTAAAAGTTTCCAGAGCAGAAGCTGCTGACCTGCTCCCAACTCCTGTTTTGCAGATGAACTCCTCGGCAGACATATTTTTTCTTTTCTATCTGAAGCCTAAAGGATTCCACATATATTAAACAAACATAAGGAGGGGGCACCAATGTCTTAAACATGGTGATCTACTTCCCTGTGACTTCAATAAATACTGAAATCTTATCCCAATATTCTGAAAAGAGAAGACAGAAAGATTCTCTTAGGAAAATGAGCAGCAGGGCACCATATATTCTCTCAAAATGCCAACCCCATTAGCCTTTCTCCCTGATTGAATCCAGTTTTTCTCTAATCTCATTAGTCCCAGGTGCCATGCCTGGAGTCTGAGGCCTCATCCATCCCACAACTATCTATGTAAGCCCTGATCCAACCATCCCCATAAATGAGACACCACAGAATGTAAGGAGATCAGAAACTCAATGCTTTTGCCTTAAGTGCTTTGAAAATTAAAACAGAAAAAAAGGCAAATTTTCCCCACATATCTGAAGCCCTATTTTGAAAACCATTTTAAAAACTTGGATTGATGATAACTTCTGAGCTGTTCTCTAAGGAAAAATAGTAATAGCAACAATAGCAAAGATAATAAGATAAAAAAATTGCTTTAAATTATTTTAAGCAAGGAAAAAAGAATCCCAGCAGCTTTTTGTCTCTTCCCCTTGCCACTTTTCCTCTCAGTCTCACCAGGTACCTTGAATTCCTATGTAAACATCAATTTTAAGTGTGCAGAGATGCCACCCTTTGAGATGGAAGGTCTCAGTGTAGAAAGCAAATGTATTAAATTACCAAGCAGAATAGAAAACAAGGAGTCTGCCTTTCACACTCTTAAATCTCTCTCCAGTGTGCCAGAAATTCTTTCAAGATAGCTTCAAAACACAACAGCTTGTGAGGGAGCTGCATGGCCGCTAGCCATCACAGTTTGGCATCCAGTCCAGCCTGTGACCATTCTCGACCCATCCTCACCTAGAGACTTCAGGGTTTTAGAGTCACCTGTAAAGGTGGATTTTCACCTCCTCAAGGCTCTTGTATGCCAGCTGCTTCCCCCAAATTGTTGAATCAGACATTTCTGGTTCCCAAATCCCTTCCAAAAGATATGGAAAATGGATATAAAATATGCGTGCAGATCCAGAAAAAGGCTCCACCTCTGTCTCCTCTGAATCATGGGGACTTTGTGAAATTTATTGCCCACAAGGGACAAAAGAGCAAAACAGATGGTGAGATTTCATGCTGTTTTTGGAGAGTTAAAAATATCATCAATCATGTAGTTAGAAATTGGCAGTAACTGGATTTTTGTTATTCCATAATTTATACCACACAGAAAGTTTTATATGCAAAAGAGCACAGATGAACCACCTGAAGTAGATATTGTTGATTTCTAGCTGCCCAGTGTATTGGTAGAACCCCGAAACTTCATTCTCAGTTTCCCTTGTAGCTGTAACCGCAGCATCCTGAGTTCCTCCAGTCAGACACATTCACTATGACACCTCAATTTGGGAGTGAGCAACTTGAGAAGGAAGTGCCGTATAGACTCCATGGGAGGGTGGCGTGCAGAGGCCTCCAGCTTCTAGGGTGGCCACAGGTGTGAGCCTGAGCTTTGTCCCAGGAGTGACACTGATGGATGGCAAGAGCAGTGGTCTTTCTCTCCTCACCAGGTCAGTTCTGCTGTGGAGTTTTGGACATTGTTCCTGGAAGCTGAGCTTGGATGTGGATTTCCATTCTCCGAATGATTCTGTGAAATGGACAATATTATTTTCGTAAACTTCTTTTCTGCTTTACAAACCAGAGGCAACTTCTGTTGCTTACAATTAAGAATCTCAACTAACATAACACATGGCTTTCATTCATGCATATTGGACATGAAAAAATACTTTGATTTATCCTGTCTGGATGAAGCCATGGATACATTTAACCAGACAAAAGAGGTCTAAGATGCCAACATTTCTTCTAGGGTAGGGAGATCTTTGAACTCCCAGAGATCCTGCTCAGGCCTTTGAAGGAACCTGCAATAAGGTGACTGACATGGGTCAAGAGCCCTCAAAACCTTCTCTCTGAGATGGAGCAATATACTCAAAATATCTCATGTGCCCCAAATCTGGAGAATGGATGAGCCAAGGAGATATTATTTTAGACATTTGAGCTGTTTCTCATTATCTTTCTTTAAATCATGCAGGCACTACTCAAATAATTATGCATTAATTATGTTTGATGTGGTTGCTTCTTCTATATAAGATTGAAAGGCCTATCTCTGTGTGTGAAGAAGGAGGAGGATGGAACAGATGCCCAGCATCTGATGAGATGCTTGGGGAAGAATGTGGTGAGCTGGATACTTTTATTTTCTCAGTAAAAATTGTGAAATGTAGCACACATACAGAAAAGTATATAAAATGTATATGACTTTTAAAGGATTATAATGAAGTGAACACACATATTACCATTGTTGTAATGAGACCAAAGAATATTACCATCTACAAGCCGCATGTCTGACTCTGGTGGTGTTTCCCCTTCCTCCCCTTTTAGAAGTAACCATTTTCCTAACTTTTGTGATAACTATTATTTTGCTTTCCTTTATAGTTTATCATCTACATATGCATCCCTAAAAATATTGTTCAGTTTTTTCTGCTTTTAAACTTTACATAAATATACTATATGTATCCCTTTGTGTTTTTCCTTTTGCAAAACACTGTGGTAGTGAAATTTGTTCATATTGTTGCATGTGGTTGCACTTCATTCATTTTCACTGTTGTGAGGTATTTTATTGTGTGAATACCTTGTTATTTACTTATCCGTTCTACTGTTGATGAACGTATGGATGGTTTCTAATACTTAAAGTTTGCAAATAATGTTGCCGTGAACATTTCGAGTGCATCTCCTATGGTACACATACATGTATTTTTGTACATATAAACCTCACAGTGGGGTTGTAGGATTATAGGATAGGGACATTTTAAATATTTCTGAGTAATACTATACTATTTTTCAAATGGTTGTATCAATTTACAGTTTTGGCAGAGAGAATTCCCACCTTCTCCCCCACACTTGTTGATGTTTGTCATCTTGTAGCTTTATAACAGTATCTAAGGGCGGTTTTTAGTTGCATTTTTCCTGATAATATATATTAGTGAGGCTTAGTATATATTTTTATTTATTAAGTTATTGGTAGCTAATTGGTTTCTTAGTAATTTGAGGTGTCTCTGAAGTACGTTTTAAAGTCTTTTATCAATTTCCCTGTTGGGTTTTTATTGTCTTAGCCCAGGTTGCTCAGAGAGCAAAACTTGCAGCAAATGAATGTGCACTAGTTCTTTGTCTTGGAGCATCCTTGGAGATGCTGGAGTATGAGGAGAGAAGAGTGAGGCCTGGGGAGGGTGAAGGCACATCTAACATGGGTGAGGGTGTTTTGCTACCACAGTTTACTTTTTCTGCTTAAACAATAGATATTTAGTTATAATAACTTAATAACCATCTATAATATTTCATTAGAAGTGTACCATATTTTTATTAAGATAACACAGTACGGTAAAGGTGTCAATTTCTACTAAATCCACTCAAATTTGACCTTATTTTCAAGAGAAACCAATGAGGATTTTTTTTTTAAATACAAAATATACTTGAGAAAAACAAAATATATAAAATATTGAAAAAAAAACAGTCATGAAGAAAGACTTGCCTACTATATAATAACATGTTAGCTGGCACAGTGTTAGACATATTGTCGAAGGCCCATTTAAAATCAATGAGGCAAAACATAAATTATTCTAAACCAAACCCGGGCAAATCAAAATAATAACTTAAAGCTATACTTCAGTCCTCATATCTCCCCATCCTGGACACCACCCCTCTCCAAATAACAAAGGGAGAAATGGGGTGGTGGGATGTAAGAACAGTCTAATCACAAAAGCTAGGAACTGTACGAAATTGGTGGATCTGGCTAGAAAAAAACCTTAACCTCTATGTAGAAAAGCATAATATAAAATAAAGTTTAAAAATAACCTAGGTAAAACATTTGTAATACATAAGCCTAGAAAAGACAAAGAAGCTTTTTAAATTAAAAAAAAGAAACACCAAATCAGAAAAAATAACTTCACAAAAAAGTACAATGGTAATAAACATTGAAATTATGCACAGTCCACACTAGAAATAAAATATTTTTTTCACTTTATATATTTAGAAAGATTTTAAAAGCTGACAAAACTCCGAGTAGGAGAGAATGTGGGGAAGCAGAAACTTTCACACAAGTTTAGTGGGTTCAAATGTTATAACTGTACTTCAAAGTAGTCATGTCTCTTGAATCAGTAATTCCACTTTAGAAATGTAGCTTAAGGAAACAATCAAACATGATTAAAAAAATATAAGGACAAGGATGCCTGTCAAAATGTTGTTTATAATAGTGAAAAATAGAATATATCGCAACTACTTCTGCACCAACTTAATGAGAGATCGTTGATAGTTTACTCATATAATAGAATTCTATTCTGCCTTTAAAATTGATGAGGAGTAGAATGAAATGAAAACTCAAACTTATGGTCAGCCAGAAATAAATAGTTTCAAATGAGTAAACAGTCTTGCATTAAAAAAAAAAAAAAAAAAAAGAGCTAGGTCAATTTACCTCTAACTAGTATCCATAAGATGCAATGAAAAGTAAACTTGTAGTTCTTTGCAAAGTTTGGGTCTTAGAAGCAGAATACGGTTGGCACACATTTGAAAGAAAATTATTTCTATTAGGACAGCACAGGGACCAGGCCAGGTGTTCTAGGACCTCAAGTCTTATTAGCATGCCCTGGGCATTCAAGGAGGTTGGTCTTTGAACCTGATCTGGGCTCCAAAATTGATGGAATGCACGGTGGTACAAATAGTAAAGAATGGGTGAGATCCTAAGCCGAATCATGAAGGAAACAATGAAAGAGAGGCTTTAGCATCAGCTGTGTTTTTCTATGCAAAATTTACATTTGAGGACATCTCAGAAGTCACAGACCTTTTGGTCCTTCCATGAATCCAGGCACTAATCAGCTAAGTAAGCATGTGATATGATATTTTGGGGTCTTTGCTGCTTTCGACCATCAGTATCCCTGCAAATTCTCGTTCTTAGGTTGGGAGAAGGTGACATTCTTGGCAGTATTTGTGGGATAAGTTGGGATTTTAGGGATCCTGGAAGGATTTCTACCTGTTTTTATACCTGCAAAGATAGGGAAACTTTATGGAACACAAGAGGATTTGTCAGCCTTGACACTATTGACTTTTGAATGGATACTTATTTTGTGTTGTTGGAGACTTTCTTGTGCATTGTGGAATGTTTACCAGAATCCCCATCTTCTACCCACTAGATGCCAGTAGTACATTTGCCCCTAGTTGTGTAAACCAAAAATGTCTTCAAATATTATCAAATGTTTCCTGAAGGAAGATGGCCTCTGGATGAGAACCACTGGAACAGGGACTAGATGATATCTTGTTAAGTGGGATGGTATCTTTAAGTGAAAAAACAGTTAGAATGTGCACCAAGATCCTATTTTTATTAGAGAAAAATAAATATTCATATACAGAAATACATTAAAGTGTTTATGAGTGCCATTTTATTCTATGTGTTTTTGTCTTTCTTAATACTTTGACAATAGACATGTAATTGTTATATTGAAAGAAAAACATGTATTTAAAATCTTAATAATATTTGCACATATGCATACAAATCCTGAAAGGATATATGACAAAATGGTAATGACAGTTGTTTGTTAGCATTAGACTTTTTGTTTTTCTTGTTCTTATTTGTATTTTATAAATTTCTTGCAGTTTACACATACTAATTTTGTAATCAGAAACAAAGTAAATTACTTCAAATGTAAATCCTAAATTTCAACTAACCACTAGGTCTCTGCAGATAATTAAGCCTATTAAAATGCATACTTCTAACTTCAGTTGCTTAATTCTTTGTAATTCTTAGACAATGGTTTAATGACTACTCCCAGTGGAAAACCCAAAAGTATGTCTCACAAATTTTCTCCAGTCACCTCATCACATCTCCATCTCAACTGAAGAATCATTTCTTATGTGATGTGAAACTGATGCCATTCATTGTGATCATCTTCAATTTTTGTCTTCTCCCCTCAAAATCTCTCTGCATATTGTCTTTTCTTTTTCTCAACATCTGCGTTTTGTAGAGAATGGTCTATGTATTTTTTTGAAATGTACAAATAAGTCTTTCCTCTTTTGCTTTTCCTACAAAAATTAACAAGCAAGTCCAGAAAGGAAATAAAGAGGAGGGTTTTTCTCACTCTAAGATGGTGGTTCACAACTAAGGTCAGGGACCCAGGATTGACTTGGAGAGTTTTCCCTATAAGGTATACTTCCTCTTCTTTCATATTTCGTTACAGTGAGAATCTAAGGATGGAAAGTAGGCATGGTATGTGAAGCTTGAAAAAAATTTACCCCACTCCATGTGATTTTGATATCAGCCTCTGGTTCAAGCAGTTTTGCATCTCCCTCCAACCCCAAAACATACCATGTGATTTCTTCCACAGTCCTCCACCCCTATCACTGCAGGGGTGATCACATGTTTCAAATATGCTGATCAGATTTCCTCTCCCTGGAATTTAAATCACTGGTGAAGACACATAGGTCAGAAAATAGTTAGGGCTGAATTATCTGGTGCAGGAGATCCCTGGGGCTGCCATGGCTCTTGAAGGGTAACCACTGTGCATACATAACTATTCATGCCTTCCCAATACTGTCCATCCCCAAGAGAACCCTTTCAAGTTCTAGTTTATCATATTTAGGCTATGAGAAAAATCTCAGCTTAAGCTTAGGCTAAATTTCACAGCAATGGAGAGTAGACTGTAGTTGTTTCTGCAGGTTTAGTAAGTTATTGAAAAAGTCTTATTCCTACCAGGTGAGAACATGATTGGCTACAGCTTCAAATGGAACTTTAACCTGAAAAAGAGAGATAACTCATATTTTATCAAAAGCTGAAAACATATCAGTGATGAAATGAGACAGGGGCTCCCCAGGATATGGAGCTGTAAGTACTAAAACTGGAAAAGTCCTAGGCAGACTGTGTTGAGAGGTCAGGCGGGCATCTATTTTAACAAACAGAGTGTATTTAATATAAAATTGCTAAGATCTGTAAATTGCTACAATAAATTAGGGAAGAGCTTTTTCCACATCTTTTTTCCCCAGCATCTACAAGTCTTAGTTTTATGGAAAAGGAGTTTTAGAAATTACCTTATTAAAACATTTCTACTACAGTAGAAATAGAACTATAGGCTAGCTCTTTTAATGACACATTTCCAAATTGTATTTTTATTGCCTTTGAGTATAATACACGTTTAGGAAAAGCTTAGTAAGCTTACTTGTTAATCATTTACAACAACTGTTATCGTTGTTAACCCATCATTAATTTTCACAATAGCTGTTGTTTTATGACTCAAGTAATTAACTAAATGATGTTTCACAAGCATTTTAAACAACTATTACATTAAGGGCCTTAATGTGTGTAAAAAGAATCTAAATTAACAGGTTTATTGGCACTAGGAAAATTTTTGCCTTGTCCTTGGGTGTCAGGAGCTTAAGAAATTTAGTCATATCAGACATTTGGCTGCTTTGATACTTAAACTCTCAGTCTTCCAAATTGTGCTACCAAGTTATTTGCTTTTCAGAAACTGACTTCCATTCTTAATGGAAAAGTTTATTTCTAGTCCTGTATTTTTCTAAAGCAGAGCATATAAGCTTTTCTTCAATATTCTGTCAATTTTGAGGCTTATTTCAACACCATCTTCCCTCAAAACAAAATCTCACAAATTGCCTTTCAAGCTTCTTCACCCAATCACTGCTATTCATCCCATAGGGCTTAGTTGACATGACACCTCCTCAGAGAAGCCTTCAGTGATTTCCCTATTATACCTGCCTATAGCATCATGACAAGTTTTGTAGCAATAGAGACATAATTGTTTAATGTCAGTTTTGCTTTTAGAATAGAAGATTCATGAAAGGATCATGTCTGTTTTCCCCCTAGTCACTAGTGCATTGCTTAGCCAATAGAAGGTGCTTGGGGAAGCCAGCCTCCAAGATGACCCCACTTATTTCCACCTCTGGTGTTCACATTCTAGTTAGTCCCCTCCTACATGTAGCAGAATTGATCTGTTTTGTAACCAGTGTAATGCTGTGGAGGTGATAGTACATTACTTCTGAGATTAGACAATAGAGTACTGCAATTTCCATCTTGGGTGTGCTCTCTCTTCTTGGGGAAGCTAGCTGCCATGTGGTGAGAAACACTGTAAAGAGGCTCATGAGGAAAGGAACTGAAGCCTTTGGTCAACAGCAGAAAGGAACTAAGCCCTGTCTACAACTGTGTGAGTGAGCTGAGAGGTGGACTTTCCAGCCCAAGTTGAACTTTGAGATGACTGCAGACCAACACAAGGCAACAGTTTTTCTGCAACCTCTGGGGAGGGGCATTTCACCTAGCTAAGATGCTCTTGCCTCCTGATCCTCAGAACTGTGTGATAATAGATGTTTGTTGTTTTATGCTGCTACATTTTGGGGTTATTTATTATGCAGCAATGAATACCTAATAAAGGGCTGATTAAATATGTGATGACTAAATGACTAAAAGGTCTAGGAGGTAGTGTGATTCATTTAGAACAATTCATTACAAATAATGTATTTCTACTTCTGTGACCTTTATCTTGCTTGTGTCAGAACAAAGATTGACACAGATCTGGAGCACGAAAAAGAACATGTCATTCTTTCAATATCTTAAACTTCTCTTTAAGATGATATTGTTGTGTCATATATAGGTTGATAATCAGATTTGCAGGAGAAATCAGTTTCCTTTCACCTTTATTCACTAGTATTTTCTATATTGGAGACATTGTGGTCAATGTCGGGGGTGACTGCTTAGTGAATGCTGTAGGATTCCCTAGGAAGTAAAATTGAGATACATATTAGCATGCAAGAAATGTATTGGTGAACTCTCTCTTGAGATCGACACCTTTGGGAGGAAAAGGGAAGTGAGGAAAGGGAAGGAATCAGGATTGGGTAGAGGGAAAGCTGGGCTGTAATATAGTCTCAACAAGGACAAAGCTGGACCTGGAGCTGGGATGGCTCATTGTAGTTGTTCAGAGATGGGGTAAGGGAAACTGTCCATTATACCCCCATGCTGATTAGAAGTTAGATTGCTGGCTGCCCCAGGAAGGAGTTATGTCCTTGGACAAGGCGGGTCTCTTTCACAAAGGCAATTCAGGAAAGGGACTGACAGCTGAGAATGGTTATCTGTCTGTCCTCCCAGCAAAAGGGGAATCTTGGCAGTACATCTTAGAACCCACCACATGATCAATAATATATACATGTATATTTTTATAAAGATAGCTTTATTTTTCTTGGAATAATTTCTTAACTCTTTGATGTATTCAAGATGATAGGTACACTGAATTTTTATTCTTGCATCATTTTGCTTATAATATTTTGTCATTATGCCAAGTTAGTCAGAAGCAAATGCATTTTAAAATAATTATTTTCTAAAGGATTACAGTTTCTAAATACAGTCCTTTAGAAAATAATTATATATAATACAATTATATATGATATATCCTTTAGAAAATACATTATTTGTAATGAATTGTTCTAAATGAATCATATTACCTCCTAGACCTTGTATTACACAGTCTATACTTTAAAAATAATATAGATAATTTGTAAAAGAGCATGGCTCACTGCCTCTAACTGAAGTTTTAATGATAGGATAGCATGACCTCCGCTTTCCTACAGTGTATTTGATAACAGTTGCAAATGTATACTTGATAAACGTGTTTCAAATCAATATTTTATTTAATATACTCCAATAATTCATTGAAGCCCAAAGATCTTTGCATAGTTGTTGGAAGCTATAAAAAATTGAGTGGTGTCGAAGTTTTTGCTTTATTTTTCATTTATTAAGTTTAATAAATGTGCAGAAAAGAAATAAAGAGTTATCTATAGGTTTTTTTTAAAGCATTTTTGTTATAAGCTGTTATGTTTTCCATATACATTTGTGGTTTTGTTGTATCCCTGGACCCACACATTTTTTTTGGTCTAGATTTTGCTTTGGAAATTATCTTCGTTTCTGTGTGTGTGTCTGTGTAGTCATGTCAATGAAAAAAATTCTCCAAAATGTTCTCAAAAAGAAATATTTATATTTTAGAGAAACCATAAATCTATTAATAATTGCTATCTGGTTTACACTGTTTATATCATAAGTTGAGAATGATTTAGAAATATTTATAATTCCTTAACCTTATTCTAAAAGATTTCAGTCACTGCTATAATTATATGTATTTTGTTATATATTTTACATTCTCAATTACTGTAATATTTTGGTTTCATTGTTGGTATTCTGAATTGATATTCTGACTTAAAATAATCAGAAGTTTTTACAGTTTCTGCTAACTGAAGAAAATTAACATTGTCATGCTTCTGTAATATTACAGATGATCCTTTACTAGAAATTGAGTGTGAAAAAACAGGCAATTCATCTTAAAATTTATATGGCATTTCTAGAGATGCTAGATAGCCATAACAATCTTGAAAAAGAACAAATTTGGATGTCTCATAAAAACATATAGTACTGGTATAAAGAACAACATAGACCAATGCAATAGAGTAAAAAGCCCAGAAATAAAACCCCACATATATGGTCAAATGATTTTTGACAAGTGTGCCAAGACCATTCAATGCAGGAAAGAACAGTCTTTCCAACAAATGGTGCTGAGAAAACTAAATACCTTCATGCAAAAGAATGAAGTGGGAATCTTAACTTTCACAATATAAAAAATTAATTCAAAATGGATCAAAGACCTAAATATAAGAGCTACAACTATTACAATCTTAGAAAAAAACTTAGAGGAAAAGCTTCATGCTATTAAATTTGGCAATGATTTCTTAAATATGACACAAAAGCATAGGCAACAAAGGGAAAAATAGATAACTTTTAAAAAGAAATTCCCTCAAAGTTCACCATATGGAATTCCTAGAAGTAGATTTATTTTTACCATTTGGAAGAATTTGTGTTTAATATTTCAAAACCTTATTACCTATTTCATCTTTTGGAAAATAGAAGTTTCATGCTTGGAGTGGATAACATTCAATGAGACCAGCTGTTGTTTAATATTTGGATTACTCTGCCATGTAGCTCTGTCACCAGAAAAAACATTGATTTTAATGGAGACTTTTTTTTCCTCATCCAGTTTTCTTTAAAATTAGTATATTATGATTGAGATGATGTTAGAAAATAAGTTCATACTTTGCTCCATTAATAATGTAACTGTGAGTTACTAGCTCTGAAAGCAGAAATTATTAGAAATTTTGTAACAGAAGTTATTAGTTCTAAAATCCTTTTCTTATATTCTAGCTATTTTCCCTCAAATTTAATAATATAAGTCTATTTTTAATTTTCACCTTAATACCTTGTCATTTTCTGTTTTTTGATCCTGACTTTCTATACAAAATTTTCAATTTTGCAACAGAAAAAATATTTTGTCTGGAATTTGTAACATTTAGCTTGCTCAATTTTAACAGTGATTATTTTTTATACTAATGAAATTTCCATTTAAAACACAATGACTAGAATATTAGTGTGATTATGTTTATATAATATGTATTTATATATCTTTAAAGGTAAATGAATTTGGTTATTACACAATATTTAAAGACATAATTAAAGTAGTTGTAGAGTTTAGAATATATAAGTAGCAATCCCAAATATCAAACTTAGCCAACACACTGAGCGCAACATTGAAGAACAGCAGCTACATTTTAGTGGCACAGGTTACTTGAGGAGTTGTTAGATCAACAAGCTGTTTTAATTGTTAAAATTGTTTCTACTTTTAAGTTTTCATGAGCAATACATTTCAACCATGTTAGAGTAAAGCACTTTATTTCCATCAGCCAGAAAACTCACATTATATACTTATTTGGCTAGAAGAAAAGAGCTTACTCCCATCTGTCAGTCAGCTTTAAAAATTATGATACAAAATTGATCGATTACAACCAAAACTTTTCAAAATAAGAAAAATTATAATGATATAAATGGCACTCTGTTAGAGGTGGCACCTGTGCAGTACACAGCTTGAAAAGTCAAAGGTAGCACCCTTGCAAAGAAGTCGAAGGAATAAATAATGCACATGTGTTCTTGAAAAGATATCCAGGAAGAGATATTTTGTATATAAATCTTACATTTAGAGTACAAAATTGGAAATCCTTTCCTCTTTTTTGAGATAGATTAAAGATACTTTGGTTGAGGTTCATGAAGTCTGGCTTGATATTAAACAGTTAAAATATTAATACATTTTTTCCTTTTGAGTAAAATAATTTATGTTTAAGGCTTTTCAATAGCAGTCAGATATGTAGTAGATGTTGAATAAAATAATATTTGCTGAATGAATAAATGAATCAGTGCTTTTTGAATATTTAAACGTGTAGTTATAACTAGATGAAAATTTTGTCTTCATTTGAAATTAAATCACAAATCATACTACACTATATATATATACATGTATATATGTATATATGTATATACGTGTATATACCATATATGCCTATATATGATTAAATAGTTTTATATGCTAAGGAAATAAGGGACTATTCATATATATTTTCAAAACCTCCCATTTCCTTCAAGCAATATGTAACTTTTACAACAAATAAATATTGTAAAATTTTAATACACTGCTTTAAATAAGGCTGGCAGTCAGGGAGTATTTCTGCATTGACTGAATGTTTTGATAGATAAGTTTCACAATTATGTTATTAAATGTTTTATATGTTAAACATTTATCTTAAAAATGTAATATATTCTGTGTATAGTATATACTTACATGCATATATTTATATATATTTTAAATATTAATGTTAAAATTAATATTATTATGAATATTAAAAAACCATTCAGCTTAAGAAATAACTCAAAATTCTTATAAAGCTTTGATTTACTTTACAAAAGTTGTGCACAAATACCACTACATGTACGAGAAATCAGCGTGTTAACCTTAAAGAAAAAGATCTTTGAAGGGAAATAGTAAAACGGTAAATTAAAAAGATATATTTTCAGCTTTGTAAGGTAAAACAATCACTTTAATAGCAAATAATTCTATGAATCCTTTTTTTCTTATAATCGTAAAACTTTCACAAACAGCAATCTGATAGTCAACAGATATTTATATCACAAGTACTGGGCACACTGGAGATGATCCACAAAAATTTCTTAAATATTATTATATATTTATTAAATGTGATCTAAATGGAACATACCATAGTACATCATGTATTTCTTCTCTTCACAATAACCACTCTTAGAATTTTGAAAGAAAGCTGTAATTTACTCCTTTCCACATCCCCTGGCCTTCTCTGCCAATGGCTGCCTCTAGAATTTCTAAAAGATTTTGGAATTTTAAAATTCCAGGCAATACATTTACCCCATTTTTGTATCCATTCCTTGATGATTGCCTTCAACTTCTTACCACCAGAAACGACAGTGAGATAATCATCTTTTTAGGTTTCCTTGATTATAAATGTTCTGTTACTCATTTTGTAGCTGGAAGGGTCCCTGTCTTTTTCTTGTTAATTTACAGGAATTATTTGTACTTTCTAGATATTGACCCCTGGATTTTTTTTCTTTTAGTCTGTCAGCTGGCTGTTACCTTTGTTCCTAATGTACTTAATTGAACAGCACTTTTATATAATCAATTCCTCCTTTTTGCTGCCATAATTCATATTTTTTAGGGTTTTAATTATGAAGTTCTTTCCCTTAATCACACTTCAGACACAAGAATTTTCCCCTGCATTATCTTCTTTTACCTTTTTAGTTTTAACTTTCACACTTAGGTTTTTAATCCATCCTGAGTCTATCTTGATAAGATGTTAGCCAGCTATTCAGTTTTACTTTTCCTCATAGATGAGCCAGTTTTCTCTGCACTGATAATGGGTTCTTTTCACATTGGTTTGTGATTTCATCTTAATAATAATGTTTTCTTATACACATAAGTTTTTTTCCCCCCTGAACATTCCATTTTTTCTAAAGCTCAATTTCTCTGTTCTTGAATCAATATAGTCACGTACCACATCATGACATTTTGGTCAACAGCAACCCACACATACAACTGTGGTTTCAAAAGATTACAATGCTGTATTTTTACTGTAACTTTTCTATGTTTATACATGTTTAGACACACAAATATTTAGCATTGTGTTACAATTGCTTGTATTATAATATTCAGTACAGTAACATGCTGTATATGTTTCTAGCCTAGGAGCAGTAGGCTATACCATACAGCCTGTAAGTGTGCAGTGGGTTATACCATCTAGGTTTGTGTAAGTATGCTTTATGATGTTAACACAATGACAAATTTCTCAGAAAGCGTCCCTATCCTTAAGTGACTCATGACTATAGAATACTGTTTTTGTAATGTTGGCTTTTTATGTTTAATATCTGGTAGGACAAGCTTACTCTCTCTTTTTAAGTTAACTTAGCTATTTGTCACCTTTATTTTTTCACTTACAATTTAATTTATTAAATTCCTAAAAAAATTTAAAAATTTTATTTGGAGTGTATTGAATTCATATCATTTTTAATTGACATCATTGTATTATGAACTCACTCAGTTGAATAACATGGAATATATTCCCATTTATTTATATCATTTTCTATGTTTTTTATCAGTTTTTAAATATTCCCCCTTAGGGTTTTTGTGTATGCTCTGTTATTTCTGGATACTTTGTAATTTTTGATCCTATCAGGACTGGTCTCTTATTTTTATTTATAATTTGTATTTGGTTATATACGCTGTAGAAAGATTTTTCCAAGGTGATATATTTACCAGTTTTACTAAGCACTGTAATTCCTATTCCATTGTTTTCTGTCTCTGTTTTTCTTTCATTTTTTTGGGGTTTTCTTTGATGCTATTTTTCTAACTTCCTAAGTTGAATTTTTAGTGTGTGGTTTTTTAACCTCTCTTGTTTCCTGGTCAACGTACTAAAGCTATAAATCTCCGTGTTGTTTTAGCTGTGTCAAATAAATTTGGATATAGAATGTTTTATTGCCATTTAGTTTAAAGCATTTCATTATTCCTTTTTTAGTCCAAGAGCATTTTGGCAATACATTATTTAGTTTCTACACATACAGGAATTTTTAAAATCTGGTTTTTTATTATAATTTCTAATTTTATTGCATTATAATAAGAGAATGTAGTCAATATTACAGAGAATCTATGGAATTTATTGAAGTTATTCTTGTGGCCTAAGGTACAGTCAATTTTTGTGTATATCCCAAATGTGCTCAAAAAGAATGTGTTTTCTCTTTCTTGGTTTCAGGATTTCATATGTATCTAATACCTTAAATTTATTAATTAGGTTGCTCAATTTATTTCCAAACATCTGCAGACTTTTCATCTGTTTGATCTCCAAGTTTCTTAGACAGGGTATGTAAAAATCCTCAACTATAATTATTGATAAACATATTTCTGACTAAAATTCTGTAAATGTTCTGAAGTTGTGTTGTTAGGAGAGGATGCATTTTGGGTGGCTAAAATTCTTGTTCTATTAGGTCTTTTACCAGTACATAATTTTTTTTTAATGCCTTATACTATCTTTTACCTTGAATTAAAATTTGCCATATATTAGGATTTCTATTTTAGCCTTCCCTTGGTTAATTTTTAAAACCGTTTTTATCCTTTTATTTTTTATTTTTGTTACCTATTTTAAATATATCTTTTGTAAACATCAGGTTGTAAATCTTATGTTTTTAAAAACCCTGTGGCTGACTTGCTTTGCCTCCAGTGCCTTCAAATAGCTTCATTGTTTGTTCTTTGTTTTTTTGAATTTTACACAAGTTTTTACAGATGTTCTCAGCGGGAGGGTTGGTCTGATTCTACCTACTCTGTCATATCCGGAAACAAGAGAAACACATTTTTAAATTAAAACAAAAACTCATTTGTTTCAAGTAAATGAGATGAAGACTATTTTTTAGGAAAACAGGATACTTTTTAAATAAGGATCTTGGTAGCAGTTAGACACAGGGCAGATAATACATTAACTAATTCAGAATTCTTTAAATGTAAATGATTACAATTCACTAATCATTCTTATCTTCCATGTGGTTTTCAACCCCAGGATCTTCATTTAATGCAATTATCAAACACTATTTCTGAGAATTTGTATTTTGAAGGCAACATAAAAATTAATCACATTCCCAAATTCACCCCCTGTGCACAAGGGCATTACGTATGTGGTATAAATCACCATCCTGGACACAAAGCTTCTAAGCTAGAGGCTTCTAAGTACACAAATATCCAAAAGCCCCACCCTTTGATATTTTATTCATTTACAAATCTCTTAAATCCATATCTTCAATGGTCATTTTGTCCATAGTGGTAGCTAAGTTTTGTATCCTGTGATGAAATCATCACCAAAATCAAGTGTTAAATCTGATTTGGCTACATCAATTAGTACTGATTATAAACACAGCAAAATCTATTCCAATGGTCTATTTTTAAAAATCTACTTAGAAATAGCTATTTGGTGATCATGAAGACTGCATCTTGCTAGAGGGAGAGCGCTTTGGATGCCACTGTATTCCCAGCATCTGGTGCAATCTCTGGCGCATAGTAGGTTTACCAATGGAGGGCTATACCATTAATTCTTCATGTCAATCATCTTACCCATAATCGGAGAACAAGTCCACTAATTTCAGGACTTGTTTCAACAAATCTACCATTAGGATTAAGGCTGATAGATAAATTCCCTTGCAAAGTACTTAGGCAGAACTCTGGTGAAAACGACTTTGTAAATGTTATCTCCTGTAAATGAATGTTGATTGGCTTAAAGTAGTCAGTGTACATTAAATGTGTAAGGTGACTTTAAAAATATTCTCATAAAAGCTTTTTTGCCTTAAACATCCACTTAATCCATTAAAAATTACCTTTTAGAATACACAGAATTGCCAAAAGGGAGTACTGAGACAACAAGGTGATATGGTTTGGCTGTGTCCCCACACAAACTTCATCTTGAATTCCCATGTGTTGTAGGAAGGACCCAGTGGGAGGTAATTATTCAATTACCACGGGGGCAGGTCTTTCCTCTGCTGTTCTTGTGATACTGAATGAGGGTCATGAGATCTGATGTTTTTAAAATGGAGAGTTTCCCTGCACAAGCTCTCTTATCTCATCTGCTGCCTTCTGCCATGATTGTGAGGCCTCACCAGAGGAACTAAGTCCAATAAACCTCTTTCTTTTGTAAATTGCCCCAGTCTTGGGTATGTCTTTATCAACAGCATGGAAACAAAGGCATTTGGTTTTATAAGGGAAGCAGAGTATAAAAGTTTGGAAAATTTCTAGGCTGACAATGATAAAAAAGAAAATCCCATTTTCTGAGGAGAAATTCAAGCCTGCTGCAGAAATTTGCATAAGAAATGAGGAGCCAAATGTTAATCCCCAAGTCAATGGGAAAAATGTCTCCAGGGCATGTCAGAGGTGGAGGTCTAGGAAGAAAAAATGTTTTGTGGGCTTTTGAGTTAATGCCAAAATGAGTTAAGACTTTAGGGGACTGTTGGGAAGGCATGATTAGTTTTGAAATGTGAGGACATGAGATTTGGGAGGGGCTAGGGGTAGAATCATATCCTTTGGCTGTGTATCCACCCAAATCTCATTTTTAATTCCCACGTGCTGTGGTGGGGACACAGTGGGAAGTAATTATTCAATTACCATGGGGGCAAGCCTTTCCCTTGCTGTTCTCATGATAGTGAATAAGTCTCAGGAGACCTGATGGCTTTAGTCCGGGCACAGTGGCTCATGCCTGTAATCCCAGCACTTCAGGAGGCCAAGGCAGGCAGATCACCTGAGGTCAGGAGTTCAAGACCAGCTTGACCAACTTGGAGAAACCTTGTCTCTATTAAAATACAAAATTAGCCAGGTCTGGTGGCGAATGCCTGTAATCTCAGCTACTTGGGGGCTCAGACAGGAGAATCACTTGAACCTGGGAGGTGGAGGTTGCTGTGAGCTGAGATGGCGCCATTGCACTCCAGCCTGGGCAACAAGAATAAAACTCCATCTCAAAAAAAAAAAATAAATAAATAAAAAGAGATCTGATGGCTTTAAAAGGGGGAGTTTTCCTGCACAAGCTCTCTCTTCCCTTGTCTGCTGCCATGTGAGATGTGCCTTTCACTTTCTACCATAATTGTGAAGCCTCCCTGGTCAGGCAGAACTATAAGTCCAGTAAACCTCTTTCTTTTGTAAATTGCCCAGTCTTGGGTATGTTTTTATTGGCAGCATGAAAACAGACTAATACACATGGTAAATATAGATAGTTCATCTTCTGGCCTACACCTACACTCTCTTGGGCTCAACTCTCTGGGAAGATGATGAGGGAGCAGGGAGAGGTCAGTAAGACACAGGCTAGTATAATCCTTAACCAATTTTTGAAAAAACCCAAGAATAAGACCTTGAGCTTCTCATCCAACATGCCTTACTTGCAGGGATAACATGAGACAAACTAGGTGAGACAAACATATGTTTGAAACTGTGTCATTTATTTGCACTGACTACAACAAAAAATGTTGGAGAAAAAAGTCTTCACAATATCCAGAGCTCATACATCTGGGTCCAGTTTAACCATTTGTAAGTAAAATGTCAACCCTACCCCTTATAATCACATCCTTTGTCTATTGCAGAAATTTCTTTCAATCTTTTCTCCAGTTTTTGCCCCAAGATGGAGCTGACAAAACTACCTGTTGTCCGTGCTTGGTTAACTTTTCACATGATTTACATAAACCTTTTCCATTTTAATGTCATCACATGTAGAAGGTGCCCTTTTACTGCAGTAATTAGGATTGAGGTAATTTACAGACGTGATTGGTACATGCAAGTTCAGTCTTTGCCAGGACCTCTGTCTGCTCTAAGAAGTTGAATTTCAGCTGTAGTATTGACTCATCGCATAAAGTCACAGGTGTTGGAAAAAACAAAATTTGCCTCCTTCCTATGTAAGTAATTGACTAGGAAAGCATTCCTCATTATTCCTCCAACACAATATTTTAATATATTTTCCAAAATTTCTTTCCTAGAATAAAAATATCTGATATAATAAAATTCCCTTCTTTCTATCTCCTATCATAGGTAGATAATTTCTTTGCTCTTTTTGATTAACATGGATAAGGCCAGTTTCTAAGGTTAAAAAATAAGTTAATAAATATGTTACTATTTCACTTAGGTATTACAAAAAATATGGTCATGTCATCTATGTGATTTGGACATTAGAATAAGTTTTTTTTGTTTTTATAGTTTGGATAGAAATCAACCCTGGTCTTAAGTACTTTTTACAAAACTATGCAATGTTCCATCCACATTTAGTATAATGTGAATTTGGCCAAGTTACAAATCCTGTTTGAACAGAAAGGAGTAACCACTGTGGGATTATCATGTCCAAATTTAAAGACAACACAGAATGTTTTATTTCTCAAATTTAGAAAATATGCATTACTGAAATTATTAGTGCCTAAAAATAATTATAATCATAATTTACTAATTCACATATATTATACCATTTAGAAAAACAAAGATTCAAAGAAAGCTTATAGCAATTAAGGCTCAAAAGTAGGAGTTCAGTTGCAGCCCAATATAAGTTTTCAAATTAAGAAGGGAATTTCCAAAGAGGATCTTTACCATAAAATAATAAGAGGAGAACAGATAAGAGACTTTATGTAATTTAGGTTTACTTTAAGGAATTATTTTTCAAGAATATGGCTTACCAGAATGTGTGACTGAGATGAGCTAAAAATCCATTATTAAAAACCTAATTTCTGAGTGTCTTTTAATGAACGGTTAGATTAAGAATGCTTTAAAAAAAAAGAATGCTTAACTTGGGGTCCACGTTCTGAGGGGCTTTATATGTGGGCTTCAGGGTCCTCAACTCTCCTGAAATGATATGCAAAGAGTATGTAAAACGGAAAATTTTCCAGGAAGAGGGCCTATAACTTGTATCATATTCTCAAAAGGGTCCATAATGATTCCTACGCTCTCCCCAAAATTACAAACTAGTAGAAAAATGACTTCATGGAGCTCTTTGTTAATAGCAGTAAGAATGAAGGGTACACATGTATTTCATCTTTTACTGCCAGGTACAATGAGTAGAAGTAATCCATCTAAGTGGATATGCAGAGCAAAAAGAAAAAAATTACAGAGGAAGTCCCCATGGACCTCTTCTTAAACATTAATAGCTAAATAAATTGCCACTTTTTGATATTATTACCTAACAAGTTTCCAGATTAGATTGGGGTACATAGCCAAGAAAATTATTGAGCTTTAACTTAGACAAAGATGATACACTCTCTTTTTAAGGATTATTTCAACGTTAAATCACTATGCAAGAAAAAAATTCCATTTTTGATAACATGAATCAGAAGATTTGAACCTGCAAATGAAATTAACTTAATCAGTGGCATTTGAAACTAAATTTTTTTATTGCCAAAACACTGTCATGAGCACTTCTGGTATCATTGTACTTTAGCAAGGTTATTGAAAGATTAAGTTTGATAGTTAGGTTTTATTATTTAAAAAGCTAAAGTTCTTGTTATGATGGCTTAGTTTTTATGTTACATATTTTGCTTTTAGATAAGTAGGTCATAAACTACATAAAATATCACTTATCAAAGTCTGTTTATGACCTCTTTTAAATCCAGAAATCATACTGCTGTCAATTCATTTTTAGCAGCAATCCTAAGTCAACATGAGTCTATGTATCTTGAGTAATCCTTGGCAGGGTGCAGAGCAGTAAATCATATTTTATTACTCAAGATGGCAGAAGCTAGAGCTATCTGAAACTTTTTATCACTTCTTCTTGTAAGGTCTCATTTGAAAATCTATGATCTAGAAGTTCTGAAGACATTTTAGGGTTAGTCCTTTGCCAGTATAATATTAGTAAAAAAAAGGTTGGTGTAACCCCTTCTACCCTCATCTTCCTCTCCCTCAGCCTTCCCCAACCACTCTAATTTTCATATCCAAAACTCTTTGCTTCTAGTCTTTACTCTTGAAGGACAGTCTGGCGGGCTGCAAAATGCGTGGCTTGCGTATACTTTTCATGGGTATCTTGTAGTTGATCCACATGCTCTGGTATTAAATGTTGTAATGGAAAGGTCTGATGCCAGCTTAACTCTCTTTCCTTTATAAATGAATTGATCTCATCTCGATGCCCAAAGAATTCTTTCCTTGTATTAAATTTTAATAATTCTAACAGTATATAGCTTAGCATTGACTGTTCTGGGTTAAATTGATCTGCATTATAGTGTTCTTTTTCAATGTATACATTTATTGAATTGTGTTTTGTAAATTTGTTGAATTGCATGGTAAGTTTTATTGAATTTTTTTTTTTTTTTTTTGGCTGGGCGTTGTGGCTCACGCTTCTAATCTTAGTACTTTAGGAGGCCGAGGCCAGTGGATCACCTGAGGTTGGGAGTTCAACACCAGCCTGGCCAACATGGTGAAACCCTGTCTCTACTAAAAATATAAAAAATTAGCTGGGTGCAGTGCTGCGCACCTGTAATCTCGGCTACTTTGGAGGCTGAGGCAGGAGAATTGCTTGAACCCAGGGGGCAGAGTTTGGGTGAGCCAAGATCGCGCCACTGCACTCCAGCCTGGGCTACAGAGCAAGACGTTATCTCAAAAAAAGAAAAAAAAAACATGATGTCAACATGGCTTATCATTGCTGATATCCTGACTGGGGTAGTGTTTGTCATGTTTCTCTACTGCAAAGTTGTACTTTTCCCTCCTTTTCCCTACTGTACTCTTTGGAAGGAAGTTACTATATCTAGGTTATCCTTAAGGAGTAAGGAGTTATGGCTACTTCTTTCAGGACAGAGTATATATACATATAAATTATGTAGAATTTTTCTGCCTGTGAGCATTCTCTCTTATTTATTTATTTAAGCATTTATACCAATATTAACTCATGGTTATTTATTTAATTTATTGGGTTATAATCCAATAGTACTTTATTTATTTTGTTGCTGAAGTTGTTCAACCTTTGGCCATTGGTAGCTCTTTCAGTTGGCTCTTGTGTCCCTTTGACATATTTCTTTCATTGCAGGTTATTTATTTATTTGCACTTTCTTACTTTCTGACATTAAGCTGCTCCAGGGTTATCTTGTATATTTCCTGCCTCAGCCCTGGAATCCTCCATTTCTTCAAGGAGCCCTGGTTCCTTTCACTGGAGAATCATGTTAGTCTAGGCACTGTGTGTGCTTGTCACTACTGTGTTGTTGCTTCTAGGTCTTCTTAGATGACAGAACAAAAACAATATGCTTGAATACTAATTTGGATATATACACATATCTATAAATACTTCTACAGGTAACCATTGTATCTGTATTCAACTGAATACATTTCATATCAATGTTTCCAACACCAACCATTACCACATGGATCACCCTCCCCTTTCTTATGCATAACCTCTGGCTCCAATATTGAGAAACCTGGGCCAACTATCCACTACTCCATTTACTTAATTCTTCTGTATAATAGTATATACTAATATCAAAATTGTTAATAAGTATCACCTCTATTGTTGATAAACAATCTTATTAGAGTACAGTACTTATATATATTTATATATCTATATTTTAATATGTTTATATGTGTAAACAATTTTTTGTTTTAATATATTTTATAAATATATATAAAGACAAATATATAAATATATACATGTATTATAAAGATGGAAAAGATTTATATATAAATATATAATTTATATATATAAACTACATATAGTTTATATATAAATTATAATATACACTATATATAAACTATATATACACACTATATAGAAAATATATAAAAGTATATATATATATGCCTTCAGTCTTATAGACTCCCTTCATTTCCCAAGTTTCTTAGGTCAGTAACTTTTTTCCTTAGTCCCTTAAGTAAGATTGTTTCATACATTTTTAATACAGTTAGATAATTGTCACATTCTACATTCCATCCTAAATGAGTTTTTAAATTTTTTAATACAGTAAGGCTTAGTCTTGGTAATGTAAAGTTCTTTGGATTTTGACAATGCTTAATGTTATTTATCTGCAATTATAGTGTCACAAAGAATAGTTTTGCTTCCCTAAAAATTTCCCTACACTTTACTTATTTAACCTTCCCCAACTTCTTTCTGAATCCGTGACAATCATTAATGTTTTTACTATTCCTATAATTTGCCTTTTGCAAATTATCTTATGATTGGAAATATATAGTATGTAGCTTTTTCAAGCTGGCTTCTATTTACTTACCAATTTGCATTTAAGATTTGCCATGCTTGCGGCTTGATCACACATTTTTAGTTTTTGCTGAATAATATTCCATTGTGTGGATGTACCATTATTATTATTATTATTATTATTGAGACAGGGTCTTGCTGTTATCACTCAGCCTGGAGTGCAGTGGCACAATCATGGCTCACTGCAGCCTTGAATTCCCAGGCTCCAGTAATCCTCCCACCTAAGCTTCCCAAGTAGCTGGGAGCACAGGCAGGAGCCAGTACTCCTGCCTGACATACCACTATTTTTTAATCCATTGTAGTTATGGTTGCTTCTAGTTTTTCATGATTATGAATAAAGCTGCTACAAACATTCATGTGCAGATTTTGTGTGGACATATGTTTTCAAGTCAACATGATTGCTAGATCATATGGTAACTATGTTTAGCTTGTAAGAAACTGCCAAACTTTTTTCCAAAGTAGTTGTATGATTTTCTTTTCCCAACAGGAATAAATGAGAATTCCAACTGCTCCATGTCCTCACCACCAATTGGTAATGTCAGGGTCAAAAATTTTTTTAGTTATTTGCATAGTTATGTAGTAGTATCTTGTTGTTTGAATTTGCAATTCCCTGATGATAAATGATATTGAACGTATTTTCATATGCTTTTTTTGCCATCTGTACATCTTCTTTGGTGAGGTATCTGTTCAGATCTTTGGCCCATTTTAAAATGTGATTGTTTTCATATTGCTGGATTTTTAGAGTTCTTTGTATATTTTGGATACAAGTCCTTTATCAGATATTTATTTTGCAAATATTTTCTCCAGGTTTGTGGCTTGTCTTTTCATTATTTTAACAGTGTCTGTCACAGAGCAGAATAAAGTCCGACTTATCTTTTTTTTCTTGAATCATGTTTTGGTGTTTTACCTAAAGCCTAACTGGGAAATCCAAAGTTACCTGAATTTTCTTCTATATTTACTTCTAGATGTTTCACAGTTTTGCATTTTACATTTAGACCTAATTCATTTTGGGTCGATTTTTGTGAAAGGTGTAAGATCTGTGTATACGTTCATTATTTTGTATGTAGACATCTAATTGTTTCAGCAGCATTTGTTGAAAACTCTACCCTTTCTCCATTGAATTGTTTTTGCTCCTTTGTCAAATATCAGTTTACTATACTTGTATAAGCCTATTTCTAGACTCTCTATTCTGTTCCTTTGATGTATATGTCTACATTTTTCCTGATTACTATGGCTTGATTACTAGAGCTTTGTAGTAAGTCTTGAAGTCAGGTAGTGAGAATTCACAAAGTTTGTTCTTCAATATTATCTTCACTGTTCTAGGTCTTTTGCATTTCCACATAAACTTTATATTCAGTTTGTCAGTACCTACATAATATCTTGCTGGGATATTTATTGAGATTGCATTGACTATAGAACCAATTGAGAATAATTAATATTTTCACAATATTGAATCTTCCATTTATGATCATAAATTATTTCTCCATTTATTTATTTATTTATTTATTTATTTATTTATTTATATATCTATTGGGATCTCACTCTGTTGCCAAGGCTAGAGTGCAGTGGTGCGAGCTCGGCTCACTGCAACCTCTACCTCCCAGGCTCAAGCCATCCTCCCACCTCAGCTTCATGAGTAGCTGGGACTATAGGCATGCACCACCGAACCTGGCTAATTTTTGTAGTGACAGGATTTGCATGTTGCCCAGGCTGGTCTAGAACCCCTGGGCTCAAGTGATCAGCCTACCTCAGCCTCTCAAAGTGCTGGGATTACCGGCATGAGCCACTGCAACTATTTAGCATATAAATTCTGTGCATATTTTTTTTAGATTTCCATCTAATTGTTTAATTTTGGAGCACCAGTTTAAATAGTATTTTTAAAAATATATAGCAAATTCCAATTGTTCATTGCTGGTATATAGAAAAGCAATTGATTTCAATATTATCATTTTTGATACATTAATGCACTTTTTGATATTGTTAGTATTTTCTTTTTTGAATTTTACTTAAAGTTCTGGGATATATGTGCAGAATGTGCAGGTTTGTTACTTAGGTATACATGTGCCATTGCGGTTTGTTGCACCTATCAACCCGTCATCAAGGTTTTAAGCCCCACATGCATTAGGTATTTGTTCTAATGTTCTCCCTCCCCTTGCCCCACAACTCCCAACAGGACCTGATGTGTGATGTTCCCCTCCCTGTGCCCATATGTTCTCATTGTTCAACTCCCACTTATGAGTGAGAACATGTGGTGTTTGGTTTTCTGTTCCTGTGTTAGTTTGCTGAGAATGATGGCTTCCAGTTTCATCCATGTCCCTGCAAAGGACATGAACTCATTCTTTTTATGGCTGTATAGCATTCCATGGTGTATATGTGTCACATTTTCTTTATCCAGTCTATCATTGATGGGCATTTGGGTTGGTTCCAAGTCTTTGCTATTGTAAATAGTGCTTCAGTAAACATATGTGTGCATGTGTCTTTATAGTAGAATGATTTATAATACTTTGGGTATATACCCAGTAATGGGATTGCTGGGTCAAATGGCATTTCTGGTTCTAGATCCTTGAGGAATTGCCACACTGTCTTCCACAATTGTTGAACTGATTACACTCCCACCAACAGTGTAAAAGCGTTCCTATTTCTCCACATCCTTACCAGCATCTGTTGTTTCCTGACTTTTTAATGATCGCCATTCTAACTGGCGTGAGATGGTATCTCATGTGGTTTTGATTTGCATTTCTCTAATGATCAGTGATGATGAGCTTTTTTCATATGTTTGTTGGCTGCATAAATGTTTTCTTTTGAGAAATGTATGTTCATATCCTTTGCCCACTTTTTGATGGGGTTGTTTTTTTCTAGTAAATTTGTTTAAGTTTCTTGTAGATTCTGGATATTAGACCTTTGTCAGATGGATAGATTGCAAAAATTTTCTCCCATTCTGTAGGTTGCCTGTTCATTCTGATGAAAGTTTCTTTTGCTGTGCAGAAGCTCGTTAATTTAACTAGATCTCATTTGTAAATTTTAGCTTTGGTTGCCATTGCTTTTGGTGTTTTAGTCATTAAGTCTTTGTCCATACCTATGTCCTGAATGGTATTGCCTAGGTTTTCTTCTACGGTTTTTATGGTTTTGGGTTTTACATTTATGTCTTTAATCCATCTTGAGTTAATTTTTGAATAAGATGTAAGGATGGGGTCCAGTTTCTGTTGTCTGCATATGGCTAGACTGTTTTACCAGCACCATTTATTAAATAGGGAATCCTTTCCCCATTGCTTGTTTTTATCAGGTTTGTCAAAGATGAGATGGTTGTAGATGTGTGGTATTATTTATGAGGTCTTTTCTGTTCCATTGTTCTATATACCTGTTTTGATACCAGTACCATGCTGTTTTGGTTACTGTAGCCTTGTAGTATAGTTTGAAGTCAGGTAGCATGATGCCTCCAGCTTTGTTCTTTTTGCTTATGATTGTCTTGACTATACGGGCTCTTTTTTGGTTCCATATGAAATTTAAAATAGTTTTTTCTAATTCTGTGAAGAAAGTCAATGTCAGCTTGATGGGAATAGCACTGAACCTATAAATTACTTTGGGCAGTATGGCCATTTTCACAATATTGATTCTTCCTATCCATGAGCATGGAATGTTTTTCCACTTGTTTGTGTCCTCTCATTTCCTTGAGCAGTGTTTTGTAGTTCTCCTTGAAGAGGTCCTTCACATCCCTTGTAAATTGTATTCCTAGGTATTTTATTCTCTTTGTAGCAATTGTGAATGAGAGTTCACTCATAATTTAGCTCTCTGCTTGTCTATTGTTGGTGTATATGAATGCCTGTGATTTTTGCACAATGATTTTGTATCCTGAGACTTTGCTGAAGTTGCGTATCAGCTTAAGGAGTTTTGGGGCTGAGATGGTGGGGTTTTCTAAATATACAATCATGTCATCTGCAAACAGAGATACTTTGACTTCCTCTCTTCCTATTTGAATACCTTTATTTATTTCTCTTGGCTGATTGCCCTGGCCAGAATTTCCAATACTATATTGAATAGGAATGCTGAGAGAGGGCATTCTTGTCTTGTGCTGGTTTTCAAAGGGAATTCTTCCAGCTTTTGCCCATTCAGTATGATATTGGCTGTGGGTTTGTCATAAATAACTCTTATTATTTTGAGATGTGTTTCATCAATAACTGGTTTATTGAGAGTTTTTAACATGAAGGGATGTTGAGTTTTATTGAAGGCCTTTTCTGCATCTATTGAGATAATCATGTGGTTTTTGTCATTGGTTCTGTTTATGTGATGGATTATGTTTATTGATTTGCATATGTTGAACCAGCCTTGCATCCCAGGGATGAAGCCAATTTGATCATAGTGGATAAACTTTTTGATGTGTTGCTGGATTCAGATTGCCAGTATTTATTTTCGCATTGGTGTTCATCAAGGATATTGGCCTGAAATTTTCTTTTTTTGTTGTGTCTCTGCCAGGTTTTGGTATCAGGATGATGCTGGCCTCATAAAATATGTTAGGGAGGGGTCCCTCTTTTTCTGTTGTTTGGAATAGTTTCAGAAGGAATGGTACCAGCTCCTCTTTGTACCTCTAGTAGAGTTTGGCTGTGAATCTACCTGGTCCTGGGCTTTTTTTGGTTGGTAGGCTATTAATTACTGCCTCAATTTCAGAACTTGTTGTTGGTCTATTCATGGATGCAGCTTCTTTCTGGTTTAGTCTTGGGAGGGTGTATGTGTACAGGAATTTATCCATTTCTTCTAGATTTTCTAGTTTATTTGCGTAGAGGTGGTTATAGTATTCTCTGATGGTTGTTTGTATTTCAGACCACAGTGCAATCAAATTAGAACTCAGGATTAAGAAACTCGCTGAAAACCACACAACTACGTGGACATTGAACAACATGCTCCTGAATGACTCCTGGGTAAATAATGAAATTAAGGCAGAAATAAAGAAGTTCTTTGAATCCAATGAGAACAAAGAGACAACATACCAGAATCTCTGGGACACAGCTAAAGCAGTGTTAGGAGGGAAATTTATAGCACTACATGCCCACATCAGAAAGCTAGGAAGATCTGAAATCGACACCCTAACATCACAATTAAAATAACTAGAGAAGCAACAGCAAACAAATTCAAAAGCTAGCAGAAGACAAGAAATAACATGATCAGAGCAGAACTGAAGGAAATAGACACAAAAAAACCCTTCAAAAAAATCAATGAATCCAGGAGGAATTTTTTTTGAAAAAGTTAACAAAATAGACCACTAGCCAGACTAATAAACAATAAAAAAGAGAAGAATCAAACAGAGATAATAAAAAATGATGAAGGGGATACCACCACTATTAGTGATTTTAACCTTATATCCTGTTACCTTGCTGTGCTCACTTACTAGTTACAGGAGTTTTTTGTTGATTTTTTTTTTTGAGGGGTGAATTTTCTATATGGACATTCATGTCATGTATAAATAAAGACAGATTTGTTTCTTCTTTCCCAATCCATATCTCTTTATTTCCTTTTTTCTAATTGTACTAGCTAGAATTTCCAGTATAATGTTGGACAGAATTTGTGAAAGAGGGCACCCTTGCTATTTCCCGTTATAGAGGGAAACCATCCAGTTTCTCATGTTTAATTATGATATTAGCCGTAAGTTTTTGGTAGATGTTCCTTATAAAGTTAAGTAAGCTTCCCTATTCTTAGCTTGATGAAAATTTTTTAAATGAATGTGTGTTGGATTTTTGTCAACACTTTTTCTGCATTAGTTAGTATAATATTATTTTCTTCTTTAAACTGTTGATTGTCATGTCATTTTGGAGAATTGATGCTTTTATCATTGTGTAATACTTCTCTTTATCTCTGATAATTATTTCTTTTGTTCTGCAGTCTGCTTTGCCTGAAATTAATATAGCTATTCCAGCTTTCTTTTGATTAGTGTAGCATGGCATAGCCTTTTCTGTTCCTTTACTTTTAACCTTCTGAGTCTTTATATTTAAAATGAGTTTCCTGTAGACAAAATATAGTTGGATATTTTTAATCCCCTCTTCCAACCTGTTTTAATTAATATATTTAGACCATTCACATTTAAAATTATTATTGATATAATTTGATTAATAGCAACCATGTTTGTAACTATTTTCTACACTTGTTCTTTGTTTCTTCCTCCTCATCTTCTTCTGTCTTATCTGGTTTGAATTGCACATTTTAAGTGATTTAATGTTATATTCTTTCTTGGCATATTAACTATACTTGTTTAAAAATTTTTATAATGATTGCCCTAGATGCTGTAGTATATATTTACAACTAATGCAAGTCTACATTCAGATAACTCTATACCACTCCATGGGTAGGACAAGTATCTCATAACAAACTGTTCCCAATTTCTTCCTCCTATCTTTTATAAAATTGTTATTCATTTCACTTATCCTTATGCTAAAATCACTGAATACATTGTTACTGTTACTACTTTGAGCAAACATTTATCCATTAGATCAATTAAGAATAAGGAAAACAGATTACAATTTACCTTTATATATTCCTTCTATGATGATTTTTCTTTTCATGTGAGCATCTAAGTGTTAGAACTATCTGATTTTTCTTCTCTGTGAGGTACTTCTTTTAGCCTGTCTTTTCGAGCAGGTCTGCTGGCAATAAATTCTCTCAGTTTTTATTTGTCGGACAAAGTCTTTATTCTTCTCTTCTTGAAGAATAATTTTCTGGATATAGAATTCTATGTTGGTGGGTTTTTTTCTTTCAGCACATCAAAATTTTCACTCTCTTCTTGATTCCATGGCATCTGATGAGTAGCCTGCTATAATTCTTAACTTTTCCCTCCAGTACGTAAGGTGTTTTATTTCCTTGGCTTCTTTCTAGACTTTTTCTTTGTCTTTAGTTTTCTGCATTTTGAATAACATATATGTGGGTGCAGACATTTTGATATTTATCCTGACTGGCATTCTCTGCATTTCCTGTATCTATGGTTTAGTGATTGTCATTAATTTTCAAAAATTTTCATCTATTATTCATTTCAACACTTTTTGTTTGTTTTTTGCTTACTTCTCTCTTCTTCTGGTATTTCAATTACACTTATGATACATCCTGTAAAACTGTCCCACAGTTCTTAGATGTTCTGTTCTATTTTTTTCTCACTCTTTTTTCTCTTTGTATTTTAGTTTGGGAAGTTTCTATTGACCTAGTTTCAAGCTCACTAATTGTTTCTTTTGCCATGTTTAATCTACTGATGAACCCATCAAAAATGTTCAGCATTCTTTATTTTGGTTATAGTGCTTTTGATTTCTAGCATTTCTGTTTGACTCTTCCTTAGAGTCTCCATCTCTCTATCTGTTCATATTATTCATCTGTTCTTGCGTGTTGTCTACTTTTTCCATTGGAGGTCTTAACATATTAATGATATTTATTTTAAATTCTCCATCTGATAATTCTATAATCTGTGTCTGGTTCTGATGCTTACTTTGTCTCTTTGGACTGTTTTCTCTGCCTTTCAACATACCTTGTAATTTTTTGTTGAAAGCTAGACATAATAAATTGGTTAATAGTAAATCAACTTTTAGTGTAAAGTTTTATGTTAATTTGGCGAAGAACTGGGCTATATTTCATGTTTTTTGTAGCTGTAGTTGCCAAAGGCTTCAAATTCCTCTGATGTCATTGTTTTTGTCTTCTTATTGTCTTCAAACTTCCCTAAGAACTCCTCCTCTGAGGGCACCTTGCAGCTCTTATAGTTTAAATTCACCGTTCTACTAGAGTCCTGTTGTTGTAGTGGTAAGGTATGGGACAGGGAAAGCATTCTATAATCTTATGATTAATTTTTATTCTTTTTCAGAGCCTGTGTTCCTGGACCATGACCTCTTCAAATGTTTTTTAGTTTATCTTCCCTAACCCCCACCCTTTAGTTGAGACAGATTAGAGGAGGATGAAGTCAGAGAAGGCCCTTCCACTGGATGGGATAAAGCTCTTACAGTTTCTTTCCCCCTGGAGAATAGGCTTTTGTTATGGAGAATACTCTGGGTATATTTCACAATAATTACTCTTTCTGCTTTCTCTTCCTAGAGTCATGAGGGGCTTCTTGGATCTTCACTGTGAGACGTTGGTATGACTCCTGGAGGCAAAGCCTACCAAAAGGCATGCCCCCAAGATATTCTCATTCTCAAGTTAGTCCACACTCAGTCTCCAGCAACCTAGATTCACCTGTCTCTCCAGATTTCAGGGTGGTGACTTGCCTTGCAACCTCAGTTCTCTAATATATCTAAGATATGTTATTGATTTTTAGTTTGTTCAGCCTTTGCTTGTTATAAGGATGGTGTGACGACTCCTGAGCTCTTCACTTGTCAAAGCTAAAACTGAAAATCAGTTTATTTTTATTCCTGTTACCAAATTTGAATGACTTGCATTGTCCTGGACTAGTTATTTGCAGAAGTTCCTCTCTCTGTGGAGTACAAGGTGGGCGGTGGGAATAGATGAGTTTCCAGGGTTTTTCTGCTTTTTCTTCCTTTGTTGCTACCATGATGGATTGTTTCTTGCTGATAAAGCTGTGTAGCCAGCCTTCCTTTGGCTCTAAGAAACTGACTGGACTTTGGAATGCTTCTATCACCATTCCTGAACTCCTTAGGGTCCTTCGCTGGCTGCTACTACCAGGAGACATAGCCCCTGTCTTCCAAAACATTCTTTCTTTTTCTTCTTCTTCTTCTTCTTTTTATTTTTTTAAGGTGTCACTTTTTGATATTTGTCTTCTCTGGGTTCTACTCCAAATTTTCATGCCTTTCTCTACCTTCTCCAGCAATTATACTGTCTTATATTTAATTTGTTAAAATATGTCTTCCTTAGAATGGGATATTTGTTGATTTCTGACATTTGATACCAAAAGGCCTCCTCTCTATTCCCTGTTCTACCCCAGTACGCTGTGACAGCTTCCTGCACAGGACTTGCTGATCTCAGTTTCTTTTGGCCACACTTACACATAATTTGGAGTTTGTGGATTTTTCTCTGTCTCCTACTTTCACCAAAAATGTATTTCATCACTTTATTTTTGTTCTCCTTGTTGCTCTATTTGGTTTCCAGGAGAAGTGGGATGATCCAAAACTAAGCAGTCACCATGTTTCTAACCTCTGTTCCAAATTTGGAAATGAGAAGAAACATTAAGAAACAATGGGAAAATGAATGCCAGGGTCACTGTGTTGCCTGATGTGGAATGCAGTGTAAATGGTGCCCTCTGGAGTGACATAATGCAATAGCCTTTATCAATACACAACCTTCTCTCTGTACCCTTATTCCTGTGACCTAAAAATCGTATGTTCTTTTTCTTCTCAAGTGCTCCCCACTTGAATTTTGATAAAGAAACAGGTAGTGATATGTATGCAAAGTAATTTGCTCTTACTTGGAAGTGTCAGGCTTTCAGCGCTTGACTTTAATGAGATAATAACGGTGAGAAAGGCAATTAAACTTGTTTTTACTTTGCCAGAATTTGTTTTTCCTTCATCTATGAACCATGACTATAAACAAATGATTGTAAGTGATTCTAAAGTTCCCTCCATTTACCTTAACACCCATATATTCACATAGGGAGACTGCTTTTTCTATGTACACAGGCAGTCCAATAAAGTGTTTAGGAGAGAAATATTCCTTCAGTAGTCTATGCCAGTTTCCTTTTGCAAGGCAGACAATTTTAAAATAAAAATACTTTCAGTCAATATGGTTTTCACATTGCTTCTGACTAATTACTTACACAGCAATATCAAATATTTTAAATACATTTTCATTTACATATAATTAACTATATCCGTATAATTTGTGTTTAAAAGAAATCTGGTTATTTATTTAAGGAGCTAAAAGAAACATCAAAATCTGTTCTCAATAAGAATGATTTTATCGAGTTTTTTTTAAAGAATGTGTGTTGAAGGAGAAATTTGGTGTCAGTCATATTTTATTTGGTGTCAGTCATATTTTATTACAAAATTAGGAATAAATGGCATAGTTTTCATTGCATCTTTAACTCTTCCATGGAGCCAATTTATTTTGACCTATACAGCCCTATTTAACCATAATGCATTAGTTCTTGAGAATAAAGCTGCCTGAGCACATTTCCAGAGCCTCTCCACACCTGGAAGACTTAATCAAGCTGTTCTAGTCCTAAGAAATCTGATCTGGGTAGTGACTTTGCAACTGGAAACAAAATGGTCAAAACCAGACTCTAGAAAAAAAAGCCAGGATAGGCTAGGTGTTCTTTACCAATTATCTATCAAACAGGTAAAACCAGCAGGGGAAGTAAGGCGCCAGAAAACACAAGGAAGATCCCAGAAAGCTCCTCCACAGTGGCCAACCTGGAAAAGAGTCAAGAAATAGGGGCAGAGATAGGGACACACAAAGCCCATGTGCTTTCTTGGTCGGTCTGAGCAAATGGTTTAAGCCTTTAGGGAAATGGAGAGAATTCTGGGTATAGACACAAGGTTTAGGAAAAACTAAAGGGGAAAGATTTGCTTTCATTTTCAAAACTAGATAAACAATTCCTTTAGAACTGGGATAGTGGCAACAGGAAGTAATAAAATAGAAGGTCCTTGAGCCCAACTTCCTGGATAGAACCATTAGGAAGGAAGTAGCCTCCAAGAAAGAACTCATGCTTGGTTCAACGCTCTGCTACTGCTTTCTTGAAAATCTTAATGATTTTATCTTTGAACCTGATGGGGAAAAGGAGAATGCCTATGAGCAGAGATCCCATTTGCCAGTGCACCATGAGCTCAGAATTCTAATGGCCTCAAAATAAGTCATGTTATGTCTGTGACTGAAGAAGCAGGGGTCACTGATACCCCCAAGAGTCCACAATTTTATTGGAACTACAACTCGCTTCAGTGCAGATAAAAGAGAATGGCACTCTTAAGAAACACGGATGATCAAAAGCAAGGAATTCACCTCCATTCTCCTTTCCCAAAGTTATTATTTTTAAAGCACTGGACAGGAGGGGTGAAATATATTTTTAAAAATATACTTCTTAAAAACACTAAAGGCATCCATATTAAGGAAAAAAAAATCAACAATGCCTTTTGACCTAAAAGACTCAAGATTTTATTAAGTCCATACACCTTAGACATTCAGACTCAATTAGAAGTGGTGCTTTTATAAAGGAATAGCATGGCAGATGTGGTTCAGAACTAACTAGTGACTGTTTTCCCTCAGCCAATTTTCCTTCTACAAAACTTACCTGTTTATATGTTGTTTAGGTATCCACTTTCCACCATTTGGCCCTGTTTTTAGGGCAGGCCTTCTTAAATTTCAATGTGCATGAGAGTCACCTGGGGAGCTAGCTAAAATGCAAATTCTGACTCAGTAGGTCTGGGGAGGAGCCTGATAATCTGCATGTCTAACAGGCTCCCCAGTAGAGCCAGTTCTGCACCTCTATGAAGCACATTTTGAGGAGTAAGACTTTAGGGAATGCAAACCCATTTTCCAGCTCCAAGATGTGGATCCCGAGTAGACAACACCAAACATGGCAATCTCATTCCCCTTGTCAATGTTTACACTAGAAATGGGAATGTGGGCTGGGCACGGTGGCTCACGCCTGTAATCCCAGCACTGTGGGAGGCCGAGGCGGGCGGATCACCAGTTCAGGAGTTCGAGACGAGCCTCTCCAACATGGTGAAACCATGTCTCTACTAAAAATACAAAAATTAGCTGGGCATGGTGGTGGGTGCCTGCAATCCCAGCTGCTAAGGAGGCCGAGGCAGGAGAATAGTATGAACCCAGGAGGCAGAGGTTGCAGTGAGCCAAGATCGCACCATTGTACTCCAGCCTGGGTGACAGGGTGAGACTCCGTCTCAAAAAAAAAAAAAAAAAAGAAATGGGAATGTGACCCAATTGCAGCCAATATGAGACAAAGGGAATTCTACTGGGTGGATTTTGAGAACAGCTTACTGCTCCTACATAAGCAATGAAGAGATGTTCTCTCCCTTCTCTTCATTGTGTTGGGCCTCATTGTGAGTCCTGGCGATTCAGTGGCCATCTTGGGACCGTAAAGTAAGCAGCTTGTGCACAAAGCTACCTCACTGAGGAAGGCATCATGGGAGCACAGAAAGATCCAATTCTAGATGCAACTGCTGACCGCGGAGCCATCTGATCACAGAGCTGGCCCCAAATCAGGACTTTATATGGAGCGAGAACATGTTTCTCAGGCCCACTTGCTTTGGGGTTTCTGTTACTTGCAGCCACTGCATCCCAATTCAAGAGGATAATCTCAAACAGCTCCCCTGTTAATGATGTATGGAAACATTTGTGTAAACAGTTAGAAGTTCTCAGTGGAGTAAATGTTGGCCATAGAAATGATGTATGATAAAAATCTAAACCTTCCTGTGAAGGAGATGTACATTCTGGTCTCAGATAAATTCATTGCCAACTTCTGAATCTTGCAGCAACTCGAAGATATTTATGTAATTTCTGCTTTAAGATTTCTTCCTTTCAATTCATGTTCAAAAATATACTGCATATGTAAAATATATAGTTTGGAAACACAGACTAGAGGAAAAAATTCCTAAAAGTTGTCCATATCATTAAAACTTTAAAACATTTAATTTCTGTAAGACATGGTTAACTCTTACTCAAGGGAGTGAAATCCCAATAGGTGAAAAATGAATCGAGCTGATAATTTAATGAGTTGTGCTTGGTGGAGTGGGAGTGAGGGCAATAGATTCTTACTCACCATAATAACAAGGCATCACTGCCAACATCATTGCTTATGGTTGTTTAAAAGATACATTATTTGTCAAGTAATTTTCATTTGTCACCTATATCTCTGGAGCAAACCCAGGAGATGCTAGTAGAAAATCAGCTTTGACAACTCTCTTACATCCACCTGCACTTGTACACTCTGAGCTTGAACAAGCTGGCTCTCACTTCCATCTCCTGGCCTTGCTCTTCAGTTTCCCTCACAGGGTCCTTCCATTGGCAGATCTGGTGTACTGTTTCTCAATTTGGGCTGCTCATCAGAATCGACTGGAAACTACAAATACTGATGCCCAGGCCCTACTCCCAGAATCTGGTTAAATAGTTTTGGTGGAACCCAGGCATGAGTCATTTAAAAGATTTTTTTTTAACTTTGATATAATTTCAGACCTGCAGAAAAGTTGCATTAGAATAAAGAATTCACCCTTCAGCCAAATCTCTCTCTCTCTCTCTCTCTCTCTCTCTCCTGTTTCTCTCTCTCTGTATATAATTACTCTGAACCTCTTTGAGAGTATGTTGCAGATATGATGCTCTTTTATCCCCAGATAGTTCCCAAATATGAGGAATTCTCATGCACAACCACAGAACAATAATTAAGTATCAGGAAGTTAACAATACCATTATGTAATCTGTAAACCTTATTGAGATTTTCTACATTTTTTCAGTAATGTCCTGTATAACAAAAGAAAGCCCATGATCAGGAGTGGCTATTTTTTAACATCTCTCCCCTGATGTTAGTGTACAGCTGAGAACAAGTGGAAAGCAAGCATGCGTTCAGCTGAAGCTGGAGGCAGTAGGAAAAGGCTCTGATGGTAACAAATCCTCCTGGAAGATTCCTGGCGCCCCAGGAGAAGGTATTTGCAGGGCTGCGCTCGAGAGGCAGCAAGAGAGTAGAGACAAGGAAGGGCAGACCCTGCGCTGGGAGCCCAACCCTCAGCAGGGTCCCCCTGTGGTGACTCCTCCCGCCCGGAATTTGGGGGTGAGGCATGGACCGACCCTGAATTTCACCATTGTCCATGCCTCTCACCCCTCGCCCAGAAGACATAAAAATAAGGGTCTTGAAAGTCTTGGATTTCTCTCCACGATTGCCTTGCAGCCCTCAGGGTGGAGGCAGGTGGGTTCATCCAACTGAAGCTGCTTTCTCAGCAGTTGTCCGGAACAAGGCTGTTAACTCAGCCTGGGCACAGGGCTCAGGGTGCGGCCGCGTCACTGGTCGGGTGCCTGAACCTGGCGGGGAGACGTGTGTGTCCACAGGGGGCAGGGCAAGTGAGGAGGGCAAGAGCACATCAGCCAGTGCGACCCAGCCAGACAGTGTCTTCTGGCAACTTCCCTAGCGGAAGCCTCCACCATGTGTGCATAGCAGGTGCATAGGGGCTGAGTAGGAGAGTAAGAGCTACAGCCCATATCAGCTCCTGTTGGGGAGAGGGAGGAGACCCAGGTGGTGTTGGTGGGGAGCCCGTTCTCTGCTATCAAACAGCTTCACCTCCTCCCCCATGTTTCGGTAGAGCCAGAATGGGAAAATAAGCAGGGAATGCACATCATGCCGGTATGGTGTACTTTCCCGGACTCTAGTAGTGTTGGGTAAGCAACAATAGAACAGAGAAAGCTAGAGGGTAAGGAATGGATAAAGGCAGTCTTAGTTAACCAGTAAGTATTTAATACAAGATGGCAGATACCTTTTCTCTATTTGTTTGGTTATCTATTACTACAAAACAAACCACTCCAAAAGTTTGAGTTTAAAATGACTATTTTGTTATTTCTCAGGATTTTGTGGGTTGACTGGGGCTTAGATGAACATTTGTTTATTTTTGATGGTCTCAATTGGAGTCTCCCAGATAACTGCAGTCAGATGGTGGCCAGGACTGGGTGTCATTCCACATGTAGTTTCAGGCCTCTTTTTCTTTCTCTCTCTCTCTTTTTTTTTTTAGAGACAGACTCTCACTAAGTGATTCTCCTGCCTCAGCCTTGAAAGTAGCTGGGATTACAGGCATGAGCCACCACACCCCGCTATTTTTTTTTTTTTTTTTTTTTTTTTTTTTTTGCAGAGACGGGGTTTCACCATGTTGTCCAGGCTGGTCTCAAACTGCTGACCTCAAGTGATTTGTCTGCCTCTGCCTCCCAAAATGTTGGGATTACAGGCGTGAGCCACCGCGCCTGGCCAGGCCACCCTTTCTGTATTTTCCTCTCCCAAGTATCCATCTGTATGGTGTCTGGACATTTTGCAGTGAGGCTCAGGGCTCCCAGAACTGCAGTGTTGGAAGTTGCCAGCTCTTCAGGCATAAGCCCAGATCTGATACAGCTCACTTCTGCCACAATTTGTTGATTCAAATCACAGGATCAGTCACATTCAATGTAGAACGGGACTGCTCAAGAGTCTGAATACCAGGAGTCATGGTTCATGTGGGGCCCATCTGTGGAGATTAGTTACCTTTATTCGCTTTCTTCAGGGGCCACTGGTGATGTCCCAGCCAGATACTATAAAAATGAATGTTACTTGCAACAAATTAGAGGAAATGCTATTGGCTATCACCCTACTATGTAGCTAGACCTAAGCAGGTAATGGTCATGGGATACATCCAGGAGTGCTAACCTTACCCCTGAGTTCTCAGTGTCTGCAAATATTTCTGTGCCCCCAGAGTACTAACAGAATAGAGACTGTGTGAAGCAGGACAGTTTGGATCTACGAGGAAACCTGCGTAAAACAGTTTGGTGATGACTAAAGACCTTTTCAATGCTTCTGTGCACTCTAACACACCTCCAAACCTTGGCCTAATCTGTGGGGTTTGGTGGAGGTTAGCTGAGGAGGCGGGAAGGACCCTAGAATAGCTAAGGTTGGATATCATTTCCAGAGGGTAAGGTTGCATATGCTACCAAGTTGATTTAAAGAAATCAAGCTAAAATTAAGATATATTTTTGCATACCTAGTTTTGTGGCTTGAGACTGACTACATTTTTTATTTGTTCTTATAAAAGAAAAACAAACAAAAGTCCTAGATTGCTTGATGCTCATGACTCATTACCGTCTTCTATATCTAGCAAGCTTTCCTGAACACTTTGTTACTACCTACTTGTCTTAGTTCATTTTCTGCTGCTATAACAGAATACTATAGACAGGGTAATATAAAGAACAGAAGTTTATTTGGCTTGCAGTTCTGGAGGCTGGGAAGTCCAAGATTATGGCCCTGGCATCTGGAGGGGATCATCCCGTGGTGAAAGGGCAGAAGAGGGATGGGTGAAACCCATGAGAAAGAGAGATTCACCGAGGACTAGACGCATTTTATGACAACCCACTCTCTCAATAACCAACCTGCTGTCATGATAATGACATTAGTTCACTCATAAGGGCTCTGCCTTCACGACCCAATCACCTCTAATTAGATCACACCTCCGAACACAGTTGTGTTGGGGATTAAATTTCCAACACATGAACTTTTGGGAGATACATTCAAACCACAGCATTACTCTATTCCTACCTAGTAGGTTTAATTTTAAGAGGCCTGTGAAGAAAATAAAGGATGAAATATAATTAAATGTGATCTGAATAGTTCACCAATAATTTCTAGGTATATGCCAAGGAAAATAACACTGGTACTCATCTTAGCCATTTCTAGAAAAATAAAAATTTTAAACTGACACAGTCAACTAAGTTTTCATAAGGCAATTATATCTGACATCATCTATTCTTCTTTCTCTATCAAGACATTCATTTATATATTAAATCATCAACACTTTAACTCAAATGTTAAGGTTTTAGTTATCTTTATAAACAATCCCTATATTATACTCTTATTATTTAAATTTAGAATCTGAGCTGCACTAACATCCAAGTTTTTTTAATCTTACCAGCATTAAATATTTATTTTATCATGTTCCTGAATAAGATTAAATAGCTATAGTTGTTTAAACTGGGATGCTTTGTGAAACTACATCGTAAAAAATTTAAAAGGCCAAAGTTTTCCATTTAAGAATTCTGACTAGTGGTCATCTGTCTCCGTGGAGGCGTTTAGAATCAGGTAAGGGATCAAGCAGCAGAAGTGAGCCTGTCCCTCTGGTTCTTCTTGACACTCACTTAAAGTTATTGACAGTCCATGTTGATGCCATCCCGAAGCAATCTGGTGAGATTGCTTTTGTTAGCAAATTATCCTCCAAAAATAACATCTTCTGGCTTCTCAATTAGAGCTTGCTAAAGAATGACTGACTTTATTGTATGGGACATCTCTACGAGTAATAAATAGGCCCTTTTTCTTTCCCTAGGGAAACTAAATTGTACTGTGCTGTTCTCAGTAATAAACAGTATTATGAGTCTTGTAACATAGGAAGTACATCAAACCTGCTTTGGATGATAGATTTTATGTCTCCAAAGAGGGTTAAACTGTGTGTTTAAAGCTCTTATCATGCTGCTTAAATTCTGTGTTGCATTTTAGAGTTTAAAAAATGACATACTACAAAAATAGAAAAGAAAGAGAAGATGATTTTACAGTTTCTCAGGGTCAAGGCAGGAATACACAAATCAGAGAGGGAAAGAAAATTACATATAAATATAGAATACACTAAGTGAGTATTTTTACCTTTATTTCAAGCTTTATGTAAGTGGTTAAATTATAATTCTGCTGGGCAGATATACAGGCTATAATTTGTTATGTAGAAGATATAACTAACTGGAGGGATTTGTGCAAAGCAAAATTTGTAAAATAAGGAATATGGTTTAGGACTTTTAAAATGATAATTAGCTTGCAATGTGAATAAAATATGTAGTTTCCTTTAGAAAGTTAGGACTTAATATAGTTTGCAAATTACTCCCGTAATGAGTTCATTTACAATGAATATAAGTTCCTACTCTATTTTCATAATGAATGAAAGAGGTTTTAATGAATCACATTTACTTTTAACATCCAGCAGAAATATGGAACAATATAAAATAGAATTGAAATATTTCTTATAATATCATTAAACTGAATTATTCCTTATGAACCTTTTGGTTTTGGCATGTAGATTTTTAAAACTTTATTTTAAAAAAATTATTCATTAAAATGTATCTTCATTAAATTGGTTTGAAGGTTGGTTAACCATCACGTAAAGGTTAATGTCCAATGAAAAAAAGCAAAATGCATTTCGTAGTGTTGCAAATGAAAAGAAAAAAATGTGTATATCTGCTCTTTGATCACAGAGCAGGGCCAGCACATTTCTGTAGACAATAGCAGCAGTTTGGTATACATTACTATTACAAAGCATGGTTCATCTATCCGTTCAACAAGTTTTTATTGAGTGCCTACTATGTACCAATCCTTATACTAAGTACCGTGCTTACAAAATTACATTTGAAGAGTTAGATTTCAGTTTTTCAGGTGACCGTCAGGGAATTCTCCTGACTTAGGGAGCCTAAGTATGTAGCATAATGCCCTAATAAAGATTAAATTTATGCTTGTTTTATTTAGCTCTATAGAGAGGGTCAAGAAATTTTCTCCATCAGAGGAGAGCAAAACTCATCTTTGATGGATTGAGGATGATTTCTAATCTTGTTCTTCCAGCCTCTTCAACACCATCTGCATTTCCTCCTGCGGAGGTACAGGCCATTTGAAAAAGGAAGGGATAGTAGCTTTATTGTCTGGAAATGTACTGTAATGATATTTTTTTCTGCTTATGTTTCTAAAAATATAAGTTTCTAAACACCTAAGAGATAGGGGCTAGGGAGGGTGGTGTAGCCTTCAGGTACTTATAGTTAGAGAAGCCTAAGGCCTCTTCCTATGAAGTTAGAGACCACAACCTTATTGTGACCTAGCAGTTCTCAACTGGGGGTAATACTGTCCCCCCCAGGGACACTTGGCAATATCTAGAAACATTTTTGATTGTCACAACTGGGAGGAGGTGCTACTGGCATGTAGTGAATAGAGACCAGTGAATTGCAGTAAACATTCTGCAATTCACAGAACAGTCCCCACAACAAAGAATTGTCTGGTTGAAGATGTCGATAATACTATAGTGGAAAACTCTGTTGTGACCTGAAGGCTTAAGCATAGCGCCTTGTACAAAGGATGTCGATAAATGCTTGTTGACTGCATGAATGCATGAATGAGTAAATTACTAAATTATACTTTGCTAAGACTACTTAACTTTAGAAAATGTTTATTTTATCAATTAAATACGTTGCCTTTTTGTCCAGTTGGACTGGGGAGACCAGCTCCAAATGGGCATTTGGAGATCATAGAAAAACTGGTTGTCTATAGTATACTGTTGCTATCCTGTTATTTGTTGGAATTTATGATTGATTTAATTAGTCTGTTTTCAGGCTAATTTAATTATTCATTATTCCTAATTATTCATTTAACATATATTTCTTAAGCACCTACTATCCATCAGATACAACTCTAGATACTATGTATAGAACTGAAAGAGACATCAATGCTACCCATCTTAATAGAACAGTAGTCTACTTGAGGGAGGGAAAGACTGATATATTTCTCCAGAAACATATATACAGATACATCTGGAGAAAACATATATTTCAAAACAAAGTTTAGTTCTAGAGAGTGGTCTAGGATTTGGGGTGTTGGTCAAGGAAGATTATATCTTTAATGTTTGAATACTTTTTACAAGAATGTACTTGGGCATATTTGTATAATTAAAAATTAATGAAATTAAATGTTATTTCCAGAAAAGTAGTAATATATGATTTAAGAACATTTTCTTTTGGTTAACATTGTTGTACTTCACGTTTTCTCAACATGCTGTTATAAAGATTTTCAAACATACACAGAAATTGAAAGAGTTGCGCAGTGAACATCCAGACATCCCAGCTCGATTCTGCAATTAATATTTCAATGTGTCCCTTATCACATATCCATGCCTCTTGCCATTCATCAATATATCATATTTTTGAGGTGTTTCGAACCAAGTTGCAGTCATCAGTGTACTTCTCTCTAAGTACTTCAAGATACATATTAACTGGAATTCAGTATTTGAGCACAGATCAAACATGCTTTTTACTAACACTCTCCAGTTATTTAACACCAAATGCTTGAAATAGAAACATGAGTTCTGTTTTGTTTATGAGTCTACCACTGCTTCTCTTATGCAACCTGCCCAAGTAAGATGAGGATTAGAGGTCTGGCCTCTAAAATAGTCATTGTGATAAGACTTAAGGATACTCTCTTTTAGTCACTTTACATTTAACTCATTAATCAAAGAATCAATAGATAGAGCCATTATTCATTTTTCTGGCTATCAATTTTCACTGTAAATTGGAAAACATTATAGTCTCTGTAGCATCATTCATTGAGCAGTTAGGTTATTAGCTGAGAGAGGTGGTTACACATCCAGAAAGCACTGTAGAGAGTGTTCTCTATGGCTTTGGAAATCCTACCACATTTGGGTTTGGTAACTTTTTCTGCATGGGCACAAGGCCCTGCTGGAATGAAGACAGGGGCCTTGTCTCTTTTGCTCACAACTATATCCCCAGAACATAGTTTGGTGACTGGCACACAATATATTCTCATTGAATTAATACATAAATGAATGAATGAGGGTCTCACAGACAGGTGATATGCAGTAGGTTATTTGTGAAATTAATTAATAAACTTGAAGGTCTGTAGAAAGGGCAGAATAATGATGACCTGCTCTCATTCATACTTACAGAGCTTTTTAACTATCCTCACCTCCTTCCACAAACCTAATATGCAGAATATTATGAAAAAATTTTGGAAAATATTTAATTCAATAAGTTCATAATAGAAACAAAACTACAAAGGTTCACCATAATTACTTGGGAAAATATTCGTTTGATGACTACAAGTACCAGAATTAATTTTTATGTCCTGGCTATTACATTGAATATAGTATATAAACTTGTCAAATTCTTTAATTAAAATGTGTTACTAATTTAGTTTAAAAAGTAGTATAGTGAAATGATATTGATATGTTGCAAGTATCATATTAAAGTGTTATCAAAAGGACATTTTGGGTGAACATGAACATTTACATAAATGGGATTTGTCTATTATTAAGTAGACTAGTTTTTAAAAAGGTAAATATCATGAAAATAGTGTGCACTTTGAAGTCAGAAAGACTTGAGTTCCAGGCATGGCTCCCACCCTGTCACACTTCCTAATCTACACATGAGGATAAATGTTTCTACCACTTTGTTGTTTCAAGAGTAAATGAAACAAATTGTTTAGCAGAGTTTTTGAAGGTAAGCACTCCATATTGGATGGATTTCTTTTTTGTTTAAGAAAAGATATGTTTGAAAACTTTTATGACAACAGTGAGAACAACAAATTATTCGCCGTCTTTTTTGAGTGACAGTTTGGTTGATTTGTTCTTTTTAATTTTTGTCAAAATTGTACATGTAAATAGATTGAAAACTAAAATGTACTGCAAAGCTTAATGCTAATATAACTATTGTTTAAAATTTTTCATTTTCTGTTTGTTGCTGGAATATAAACATAGTTGATTTTTATGTAATTAATTTGGTATTCAGCAGCTTTGCTAAACTCTCTTAATAATGTTAATAACTTGTCCATAGATCCTTTTGCATATTCTGTGTACACAATTATATTATCAACGAATGATGTCAGTTTTATTTCTTCTTTCCAAGTTCTTGATCTTTTGTTTGGTTTTATTGCCTCTTGACTTTGCTTGGGCTCTTCCGTGCAGCGTCACAGCTACAGGTCACAGTGCAGGTCAGCTTTGCTGTGTTACCCATTTCAAAGGGAAAGGTTTAAATGTTTTAATTTTAAGTATGATGTGGCTATAGGATTTTTTGGGAAGTAGTAGTTCCCTTTTATCATATTAAAGAATTTCTTGTTTTCTGAGACAGAGTCTTGGTCTGTCACCCAGGCTGGAGTACAGTGGCATGCTCTCAGCTCATTGCAACCTCTGCCTCCCGGGTTCAAGTGATTCTCGTGCCTCAGCCTCCCGAGTGGCTGGGATTACAGGTGACTGCCACCACGCCCAGCTAATTTTTGGGTTTTTAGTAGAGACAGGCTTTCACCATGTTGGCCAGGCTGGTGTGGAACTCCTGACCTCAGGTGATCCACCCACCTCAGCTTCCCAAAGTGCTGGGTAGGATTACAGGCAAGAGCCATCACCCCTGCCCCATATTAAAGATTTTCCATTACACTATTAGATTGTTAAACACATTTGACATAATGTTAACTTTCATCAAATGCTTTTTTTCTACATCAGTTGAAATAGTCATATATTTCTTTTTTCATCTGTTAATGTAGTAAATTATGTGGTTGATTTTCTGATACTAAATTAATCTTATCTTCCTGTAATAAATTCAATTTGCTCATAATATTTTATCTTTTTCGTATATTGCTGGATTCTGTTAGATAATATTGAGTCTAGAGGTTTTGTGTTTATGGTTACATATGAGATTGGCTTGTAATTTTTTTTCTTACTCTGTGTTGGTTTTCAGTATCAAGATTTTGCTTTTTCATAAAATGAATTGGTGATCATTATTCCCTCTCTTTCTAGTAGAGAATCGATGTTATTTTTCCCTTCGACGTTTGGTACCATTTTCCAGTGTAGACATCCAGAGCCTGGAGTGGTATTTTGTTTGTTTTATACTTGTTGTTGTGTGTGTGAGTGGAGGAGGGGTATCAAATTATAGATTTATTTTAATGGTTTTAGGATTACTCAGGGTTTCTATTTCATCTTTTGAATGTAGTTTTCTAGACATTTTTTCATTTATCTAATTTTTCAAAGTTTTATTCAGATAAAAGTTATTAATATCATTTAATCTTTTTAATGTTTAAAGGATCCCCTATAATTATTTTTCATTATTGTTATTGGCTATTTGTGTTTTCCTTGCTATTCTTGATTAGTCTTGCCTCCGGTGTATAAATTTTATTAATCTTTCCAAAAAGAAAATTTTGGCTTTGTTGATTCCCTTTATTTCATTTTCTATTTTTTAACTTTCTGCTTATATTTATTACTTTATTTTCCCTTCATTTGTAACTTTTAATAAGCTATTTTTTAAAACTTCTTTAAGTGGATAAATGGATGTATGCTTCACTCATAAGGTTCAGTCTTTTTTTTTTTTTTTTTTCTTTCCCTTTTCTTTGGAACAGTGGTTCTCAACCTGGGGTGATTTTGCCTGCCTGGGGACATTGGGCAGTATCTCTAGACATTTTTCGTGGTTACACTAGGAGAAAATGCTTATTGGCCTTCAGCAGGTGAAACCAGGGATGCTAAACATCCTACAGTGCACTGGACAGCCAGCCACCACAAAGAATTATTTATTCCTAAACATCAATTGTGCTGAAATTGAGAAAACCTGATTTAGGATAGTCTGTAAATTTTGAAATATAGCATTTTGTTAAAACTAAGTTAAGAGTACTTTCTAATTTGCATTTTGATTACTTCTTTAATCATGTGTGGTTTATAGCTTTAAGCTTTCATTTATAACCATATGAAAAATTTCTCCTCTTTCTTGATTGACTGAAGCTTTTCATTTCCTGCTTAAATGAATTGTGATTAGGAAACTCTGCATGTTATTAGCCCTTTGAAATTTCTCAATACATGCTTTGTGTCCAAGTAAATAATTAATTTTGTAAATGTTGTTTGTGTTTGAAAAGAAAGTGTTTCTGCAGCTGTTGAGTGAAATATTCTATATATATTGATTAGTTATTTGATTAGATTATCAATATTTTTGGTACATGTTTGAAAAAGTGTCAAAAAAATTAAAAATCTCCCACTTTGTGGAGTTATTTAATTCCTTATTGTATTTCTCTCAGATATTACTTATATAAACATTTGAAGTTGAGTTTAGGTACATACAAATGCAGAATCTTTATCCCTTTCTGGTGAATAATCATTAGAAATAGACCATCCTGATCCTAAATAATGTTATTTTTTGCCTTAAAGTTTACTTTGTCTGATATTGATAAAGCTACACAATCTTTCTTTGTTTAGTGTTTAAATTATTTATTTTTATCACTATTTTACTTTAACCCTCATGAATCCTTACGTTTTTAGATCTATGTCTTATGAAATAATGTGTTTTTATGTGTATTTATACATGTATATGTAAATCTAGTTTGAGAAGCTTTGTCTATATTTCATTTATACTTAATGCAATTAGTGAAATATTTGGATTTTTATCTACTGTTTTATTATCTCCTTTCCAGTGTACACCTTTTCTTTTTTTTTTGCCTTTTTCTTTTCTTTAGGATCAGCATGTTTTTATTTTTACACTTTTTTCTTTGTTTGAAAGTTAAATACTTTCTTAATTCTTTTTAGAGTAGTTACTCTAGAAAATAAAATCCTTCACTAATCAATACTTTATGTTACTTTTTCCTTGTACAGAACTTGGCTCCAGTGAGCAAAAGGAGCTTAGAATACTTTAATTCAATATTTTTCTCCTGACTTATGTGCTATAATTTTGGGGTATTTTAATTCTTTTTTTTTTGAGATGGAGTTTAATTCTATGTTTTTTATTATATAGCCCCATTCGACTGTTAATATAGTCAAATTATATTTAGTATTACTGATATAGTCACGATTTTGTCTGTTCTCCAGTCTTCTCTCTCTTCTCAATTTTCAACCTGTGATCATTTTTTTCCTTCTGCCTTCTAGGTTTAGTGTTTCTTTTGTAGTTTTTCCAGTTTATTTTTTCACTTTTTCTTCCACCTCTATTTTTTTTAGTGTTGGTCTGCTAGCAGTAAATTCTCTTAGTTTTTGTTTGCCTGAATTTTAATATTTTTACCACTAATCTTGAAAGACATTTTTTTCTGGGTTTAATATTCTTGGTTGTCAGGTTTTTAGGAGGCACATTGAAAATGTTACCCTACTATTTTCTAGTTTCTATTGTTGATGTTAATCTAACTGCTATCTTTTTGAAGGTAAAGTCGGTCTTAGCCTTACTTTTATGGTTTTTCTCTTTGTCTTTGAACTTTCTGGCATTTTGATATGATGTGTCTAAGTATGAATTTTTCTTTCAAATTTTCCTGCTTGTGATTTCTTGGTATTCTTGAATCAGTGTATTGGTGTGTTTTATCAGTTTTGAGAAGCTCTCAGTCATTATCTTGTCAAGTATTGCTTCTGCCTCATTCTTGCTTTCTTCTCTCTCCAATTAAATGTTTACCTTTTTATTGTAACCTCAGTGTTGCTCACCATCTCCTCCATATTTCTGATCAGTTTTTTTCTCTATACTTCATTCAGAATATTTTTTTTTTGAGACAGGATCTCACTCTGTCTCCCAGGTTGGAGTGCAGTGGCATGATCTCAGCCCACTGCAACCTCTGCCTCATAGGTTCAAGTGATTCTTGTGCCTCAGCCTCCCAAGTAGCTGGAATTACAGACACACACCACTACGCCTAGCTATTTTTTCTTTTTTGTATTTTGTAGAGACAGGGTTTCACCATGTTTCCCAGACTGGTCTTGAACTCCTGGGCTCAAGCGATCCTCCCACCTTGGCCTCTGAAAGTGCTGGGATTACAGGCATGAGCCACCACACCTGGCCATTCAGGATAATTTCTTTGACCTACATTCCATTTTAATAATTTTATCTTCAGTTCTATCTCAACTTCTATAAAACACATTTATTGAGTCGGGTTTATTAAATATTGTTTAATGCTAGAACTTCTATTTAGTTATTTGTCAGAATTTCTCTGGCATTTGCATGTCCTCAGTTCTCTATCAAAATTTCCAAATTTGTCTTTTATCTTCTTAGCCTTACTAAGCATAACTGGTTTAAAATCTGGGTCTAATAGTTCCAATGTTTGAAATCCTTATCTGTCTGCCTATATTGTCTTTTGTTTCTGGTTTTCATTCATCTCTTAGTTTGCCTTCATATAGATAATTTTGAGCTGGATATTATAATTAACTATCTATGGAAGTAATTTATAATTTTAGGCTAAGAAAGATGTTGTCCTCCTCTAAGAGGATTTGTAACTTTTGCCAGGCACTTATAGGCACTAGCACCATGAGATAAACTTAATCCAATTCCAGGGCTTGATATTTTCTGGGCCACTCAAGTGACTCAGGCTGCAGTCTTTGTGAGGGCTGTTTTACTTCCATATTACTGTTACTTCTTAGGTACAGTTTTGTTCTCCACGTAATCATGCAGTGATTTATGAGGATTCTTATGCTGTGCAAGTGCTAGTCTTCAACATTCATGCAACCAACTCTAAGAGGCTCTTCAAAATGAGCAATCCTAAGGGCAAAAGAGGTTCCAAATGTCAGGTTTATGTCTATACACTTCCAGTTTTTCCTGAAGATTGGCCTGGTAATTTCTTATTATTTTATTTGGGAATTTAATGCTTCTGAAATAATTTTGAAAATAGTTTTCCAGCATTTGAGTTTGCAGCGATAGACAATTAGCAAATAGCAATTTGATTAAATAATCTAGTATGTTATTAATGGGTTGTGAGATCACTTTTTGAAATTATTTGTATTTTTTTATGTTTCAATACATATAATGGATAGTAATCAAATCCGAGTAACTAGCCTATCCATCACCTCAAACATTTATCATTTCTTTGTTTGGGAAATATTCAATATCCTCTGTCTAGCTATTTGAAACTATGTATTATTGTTATTTATAATCATCCTACAGTGGCATATAACACTAGAACTTATTCCTTTTATCTAGCTGTAATTTTTATCTTTTAACAAATCTCTCCTGATTCTTTCCATCCCCTTACTCTTCTCAACCTCTACTATCCTCTGTTCTACTTTTTGTGTTTATAAGATCAACTGTTTTTAGCTTCCACATATGAGTGAGAACATGCAGTGTTTATCTGTTCTTGGCTTATTTTACTTAACAAAATGTCCTCAAGTTCCACCTATGTTGCTGTAAATGACAGGATTTCATTCTTTCTTATGGCTGAAGAGTATTCCATTGTGAATATATACCATATTTTCTTTGTCCATTCACCTGTTGTTGGACACTAGGTTGATTCCATATCTTGGCTATTGTGAATAGTGCTGCAGTAAATATGGGGATGCAGAAGTCTCTTTGGTATAATGATTTCCTTTCCTTTGGATAAATTCCCAGTAGTATGATTACTGGGTCATATGATAGTTTTATTTGTAGTTTTTTGTAGTTCATATTCTTATCTACAGTGGCTTTACTAGTTTACATTCCCACCAGCAGTGTTTAAGCATTCCCTTTCTTCCAGGAAGAAAAATAACAAATCCTCCCCAGCATTTGTTATTTTTTGTCTTTTTGTTAATAACCATCCTAACAGGTAAGAAGACACCTTATTGTGGTTCTGATTTGCATTTCCCTGATGATTAGTGATGTTGGGCATTTTTGTGTATATCTGTTGGCCAGTAGTATGTCTTCTTTTGATAAATGTTTGTTCATATCATTTGCCCACTTTATAAATCAGATTGTTTGTTTTTTTGATGTTGAAATATTTGAGTTCCTTGTGTACTCTGGATATTAATCACCTGTCAGATGAGTAGTTTGCAAATATTTTCTCCCATTCTGTAGACTGTTATTTCACTCAGTCATTGTTTCCCTTGCTTTGCAGAAGCTTTTTAGTTTAATGAAGTCCCATTTTCCGTTTTTGCTTTTGTCACCTGTGATTTTCAGGCCTTAATTATAAAATCTTTTCCTAGACTAATGTCCTGAAGAATTTCTCCCATGTTTTCTTCTCATAGTTTTATCATTTGAGGTCTTACATTTAAAGCTTTAATCCATTGTGAGTCTATTTTTGTGTAGGGTAGGAGATAGGAGTCTAGTTTCATTCTTCTGCATACAGACATCCAGTTTCCCCAGAACCATTTATTGAAGAGACTGCCCTTTCCCAAGATCATGCCATTTGCAAACGGAAAATTTGACTTCCTCCATTCCAATTTGCATGGCCTTTATTTCTTTCTCTTGACAAATTTCTCCGATAGAATGTCCAGTGCTATGTTGAATGAGAGTGGTAAGAGTGGACATCCTTGTCTTGTTCCAGTTCTTAGAGGAAAAGATTTCAGCTTTTCCCTGTTCAATAAGATGTGAGTTGTGGGTTTGTTATATTATCATTATTAAACTGCAATTTCCTTCCATACCTAATTTATTAGGAGTGTTTTTTTTATCATGAAGGGAAGCTGAATTTTATCAAAAGCTTTTTCTGCATCAATTGAGATGATCGTATGTTTTTTGTCCTTCATTCCATAGATGTGATGTGTGATGTTTATTGATTTGCCTATGCTGGGCCATCTTAGCATTCCTAAAGTACATCTCATTGAATCATGGTGTCTTATCTTTTTGATGTATTGTTGGATTCAGTTTGATAGTATTTTATTGAGAATTTTTGCATATATATTCATCAGGGATATTTTGTGGTTGTCTTCTTTGTTGTGTACTTTTCTGGTTTGGGTATCAGGATTACGCTGGCCTTATATAATGAATTAGGAAGAATTCCCTATGCTTCTATTTTTTAAAACAGTTTGAGAAATATTTTTATTAATTTGTCTTTAAAGATGCAGTAGAATTCAGTGGTGAAGCCATCTGGTCCTGGATTTTTCTTTGTTAGAAGATTTTTATTACTGATTCAATCTTGTTACTTGTTATTGGTCTGTTCAAGTTTTCTATTTCTCAGTGGTTCAATCTTGATAGGTTGTATGTATCCAGAAATGTATCCATTTCTCTTAGGTTTTCAAATTTATTGGCATATAATTCTTTATAGTAGTCTGTAGTAATCCTTTGTATTTCTGTGGCATCCATTACGACATCATTTTTGTTGTCTTTTATTTATAATTTTATTTATTTGGATTGTCTCTCTTTTTTTCTCAGCCTAGGTAATGCTTTGTTGGCTTTGTTTATCTTCTTTTATCTCTTGTATTATTTTATTAGTCTCAGTATGGTTTATTTCTGCTCTGACCATTATTATTTCTTTTCTTCTGCTAATTTGGGGTTTGGTTTGTTCTTACTTTTATAGTCCCTTGAGATGCATTGTTAGGTTGTTTATTTGACATCTTTCTAGTTTCGTGACGTATGCATCTATTGCTACATATTTGTCTCTTAATTTCATTTTGCTGTGTCTCATAGATTTTAGTGTTGTGTTTCTATTTTTATTTGTTTCCATGAATTTTTAAATTTCATCCCTAATTTATTGTGTCACCCATTGGTTGTTCAGGAGTATGCTGTTTAATTTCCATGTATTTGTACAGTTTTTGAATATTTCTCTTTTTATTGATATTTAATTTTATTTCAATGTGGTCAGATATGATATTTGACATGATTTCAATTTTTAAAAATTTGCTGAGACTTGTTTTATATCCTAGCATATGATCAATCCTAGAGAGTATTTCATATGCTTATGAAAAGAATGCGTATTCTGAAGCTGTTGGGTGAAATGTTCTGTAAATGTCTGGTAGGTCCATTTGGTCCATGGTGCAGTTTACAAATAAGCCAATGTTTATTTGTTAATTTTCTGTCTAGATGATCTGTCCAATGCTGAGAGTGGGGTGTTGAAGTCCTCAGCTATTATTTTATTAATGTCTATCTCTTCCTTTAGATCTAATAATATTTGCTTTATACATCTGGATGTTTTGGTGTTGGATACATATATATTTACAATTGTTATATTATCTTGCTGAATTGATTCCTTAATTATTATATAATGTCCTTCCTTGTCTCTTTTTACAGTTTTTAACTTTAAGTCTGTTTTGTCTGATATAAGTATAGCTACTCCTGCTCACTTTTGGTTTCTGTTCATGTGGAATATTTTGCTCCATCCCTTCACTTTCAATCTCTATGTGTCTTTACAGGTGAAGTGAGTTTCTTGTGGGCAGCAGTAGTAGAGTCTTGTATTTTCTTAATCCATTTAGCTAGGCTATATCTTTTTATTTGTAATTTTTGAGAGACAGTCTCCATCGCCCAGGCTGGAGTGCAGTGATGCGATCTCAGCTTACTGCAACCTCCACCTCCTGGGTTCAAGTGATTCTCATGCCTCAGCCTCCCAAGTAGCTAGGATTACAGGTGTGTGCCACCACACCCAGCCAATTTTTGTATTTTTAGTAGAGACAGGGTTTCACCATGTTGCCCAGACTGATCTCAAACTTCTGACCTCAGGTGATCCACCTGCCTTGGCCTCCCAAAATCCTGGGATTACAAGTGCAAGCCACAGTGCCTGGCCAATATACATTCAAGGTTATTACTGATAGATAAAGACTTATTCCTGTAATTTTATTGGTTGTTTTCTGGCTTTTAAAATTTATCCTTTTTTCCTTACTTCCTCTTTTATTGTGTATTTTTAGATTAGGTGGTTTGCTGTAGTGAGATGATTAGATTTTTTTTAGCCTTCTCCTTTGTGTATTGGCTCCATTAGTGAGTTTTATAGTTTTGTAGTTGTCATGAGGGTTATTGTCCTTTCACTTCCAGATGTAAGCCTTGCGCATTTGCTGTAAGCCTAGCCTAGTGGTGACGAATTTTCTCAGATTTTGCTTGTCTGTGAAAGATTTGTTTCTCCTTCATTTTGGAATGATAGCTTTTCTGGGTATATACTATTCTTGGCTAATGGTTTTTTTTTTCTTTCAGTTCTTCAAATATATGATCTCATTCTCTCCTGGCCTGAAAGGCTTCTGCTGAGAAATAATTGTTAGTTGAATAGGAAGTATCTTATACGTGACTTGACACTTTTGCTGCTCTTAGAACATTTTCTTTCTCTTTGACTTTTGACAATTTAACTATAATTTGCCTCAGAGGGGCAAATCTAAACCTTTGTCATTTTTAAAGCTTCCTGGACCTGGATGTCCATTTATCTCCTAAGACAGGAAGTTTTCTGCTATAATTTCATTAAATATGTTTTTCTCACCTCTTCCCTTCTCTTCTCCTTCTGGAACACCCATACTATAAAAATTTGTTTGCTTACTGGTGTCCCATAAATCCTGTAGGCTTTCTTCATTCTTGTTTGTTCTCTTTTCATGTTTTGCCTGCTTGTGTTATTTCAAAAGATCTGTCTTCAACTTTAGAAATTAATTCTTCTACTTGGTCTAATCTGTTGTTGAAGCTCCTGATTTTATTTTTTATTTTATTCATTGAATTCTTCAGCTGAAAGATTTCTGTTTAGTTCCTTTTTATGATATCTATTTCTTTGTTGAATTTCTCAATTACTATTTTTCATCAGAAATTGTTTTCTTGATTTCATGGAATTGTCTATCTGCATTATCTTATATCTTACTGAGTTTCCCCAAGGTTATTATTCTGAATTCTTTTTCAGGCATTTCATATATTTTCTTATGATTGAAATCTGTTACTGTGGAATTATTGTTTTCCTTTGAAAGTGACGAGTGCTTGCTTTTTCATGATTAATGTGTCACTATTTTGATTTCTATGAATCTGGTGGAAAAGTCATCTCTTCCAATTTATGTAGGATTAGTAGAGAAAGACTTATTTGTATTAATGAGTCTTGGGGTGTTGGTTTGGTGGAGTGCATTGGCCTTGGTTCTAGTGGATGCAATAGTGTGGTCTCTGTGTAGCTTCTTTAGCTGTAAGTCATACTAGTGGTGTTTGTGAGTTTCTCAGTGGCCTAGGTTGAGAGAGTTTGTGGTAACAGTAGTGTGGCTTTACCAGGGGTAGGCTTGCTGGGCTGTTTCTCAGGTCGGGGGTATGTGCATGCACACAGCAGTTCAGCCACCTTTGGATCTGTCTCACTTGGGTTCAGGTCATGGGACTGTTACTCTGGCCGCAAGCACAGCCATATGGTTACTCAGGCAGCCTAGGGGTGTGCCTGCCAGGAGCAGCTTGCAGTGTTGTTTCTTAGGCCTAGGATATGGGCATACAGGTGTTTAGCTGGCCTGGAGACATAGCCATCAGGGGCAGCCTGAGGGATGTTTCTCAAGCCAAGACTCTTGGTTGGCCTAGGGGAGTGCCAACCAGGGGTGAACTGCAGGGTTGTTTCTAAGGTCTGGGCACAGCTATACAGCTGCTTAGTTGGCTGGGGGGTGTGTTTGCTAGGGACAAACAAATGCTTCTTGGGCCTAAGGCATGTGATCATGGGTGTGTGTCTGCTGGGGGTGACTCCCTGAAGTCTGACGGGGCTGTTTCTCTGGCTCAGGACATGGGTGCACAGCTGCTCACCTGACCTGTGGGTATGTCTGCCAGGTGCAGCCCACAGGACTGCTTCTCAGGCCTGTGATATGGCTGCACTGCTGCTTGGCAGGCCTGGTGGTATTTCTGTCAGGGGGTGACCCATAGAGCTGTTTCGTAAGCCTACAGTGCAAGCACAGGCCTGCTCTGTTGACCTGGGGGCATACCCACTAGCGGTGGCTCATGAGGCTGTTTCTTGGGCCTGGGATATGGGCACATAGCATGTCGGTCTGGCTGGGAGCATCATTTCCTGGGGGAGGCCCATGGGGCTCTTTCTCAGGTCTGGGACAGAGGTGCAAGGCTGTTTGGCAGCTCCGGAGCATGTCTGTTGGGGGCAGACTGTTTCTCAGGCCATTATTGCAGGTGCAGGGCCATTGGGCAGACCATGAACATGTCTGCAGGAGACTGTTTTTTAGATCCTGAATGCTGGTATGTAGCCACTCTGCCAGCCTGGAGGCTCAGAGGCGTCTCCTGCTTATGGAAGGATACACAGTGATTTGGCTGGTTTGAAAGTAGGCTTGTCCTAGAAGATGCAATCTGGGTAGGGGACACGGGGCTGCAGAGGCTGGGTGCCTCCATACTGTCCCCTTGTACTCCCAATCACCACAGGCGCATCTCCACTCCCCGGCTGCCCTCTAGAGCTCTCCCTTCGACACTCCAGCCAAATCTTATGTTTGTTCTTTGCCTTGATCCTGTCTTGTAGGAGAGAAGAGTGCCAGACTTCTGTGGTCAGTCATTTTGCTAATGTCACTTGAGATTCTCTTTCTTCATTTTGTTATTTACTACTCGATTGGGTTTATTTTGCGTTTTTATTCTAACTTCTTAGTCCATTTTTAACACTATCTTTGCCTTTTTTCCTCTTTATCAGTAATCATATAAGGCTATAAATTTTCCTCTACCACTTTGGCTATGTTGCACAAGTTTTAATCTGCAAATATTTCATCATTATTCAGCTCTAAATATATTCTAATTTTTATTCACAACTGTTTTTTGTTTGTTTTTGTTTTTATTTTGTCCCAGGGCTCTTGTTTTGTTTAGAAATATATGTGTTTTGTTTTAAAACTAATGAGATTTCTCTTAGTTTTGTTTTGATTTTTAATTCAATGACACATGTGTAGTATGTTTGATACCAATATTCTGAAATGTGTTGAAGTCTTCTATATGGCTTAGCTCATGGTCAATTTTTATAAATGTTTTATGTGGTGCTTTATAAGAATATGTATTCCTCAGTTGTGTAGTGCTGTGTTTATGTGTATAAAAGTTTTTGCCTTTTTTTTTTTTTTTTTGAGACTGAGTCTTGCTCTGTCGCCAGGCTAGAGTGCAGTGGCACGATGTCTGCTCACTGCAACTTCTGCCTCCCGGGTTCAAGCGATTCTCCTGCCTCAGCCTCCCAAGTAGCTGGCATTACAGGCGCCCGCCACCATGCCCAGTTGATTTTTGTATTTTTGTAATTTGTAATTTTGTATTTTTAGTAGAGACAGGGTTTCACCATGTTGGCCAGGATGGTCTCAATTTCCTGACCTCATGATCCGCCTCGACCTCCCAGTGTTGGGATTACAGGCGTGAGGCACTGCGCCCGGCCAAGATTTTACCCTTACATTAGATAATGTATTTTTATTGGATATCTCAGATCTGTATCCTCAATAATTTTTTTAGTCTATCAATTACAGAGAGAGTTATGCTAAACAATTCAAGCATGGTGGTTGCATTTTCTGATTTCTCCTAATATTTTCATTAAAGGAACTCTTTTGAGGAAAATATATTAAGTAAATAAAACTTTAGAATATTTTTCTATCTTACAAAATAATTGCACTTATTTCATTTGCCCTGAACCATTTTATTGCCATTTGTCTTTTTTTTTTTTTTTTTTTTTTTTTTTTTTGAGACAAGTCTCGCTCTGTCGCCCAGGCCGGAGTTCAGTGGCACAATCTTGGCTCACTGCAAGCTCCACCTTCCGGGTTCAAGCGATTCTCCTGCCTCAGCCTCCTGAGTAGCTGGGACTACAGGCGTGCACCACCACGCCTGGCTAATTTTTGTATTTTTAATAGAGACGGGGTTTCACTGTGTTAGCCAGGATGGTCTCGATTTCCTGACCTCGTGATCCGTCCGCCTCGGCCTCCCAAAGTGCTGGGATTACAGGCATGAGCCACCACGCCCGGCCTGTCATTGTTTTCCTTATGCCAATTCTATCCTTTTATGTTGAATTTTTCTATGGCTTTATAGCTTATATATGTCTCCCAACAAGAATAAATATCTGGATTTGGTGTTTTAGTCCAGTCTGATGATTTTTTATCATTTAGTTGAGTGTTTAATCAATTTGCAATGATTGTGAATACTCGTGTTTGGTTCTATTTCTGTTATATTATTTTGTGCTTTCTGTTTGTTTCACTTTTTGTTTTATTTTCTCCTTTTATTTTTGAATGCTTTACTTTTTATTCAAATTTTATCCTCCTATTATTTTGAAATGTATACCCTCTATATTTCCATTTTTCAGTGTTTATCCTACATCTGAATGTGTAACCTTAACTAAGTCTATTGTTAATCAATATTTTTGCCTCCTGCTGAAGCACACAAGGAGGGACCTTAGAACATTTTAGACCACCTCCTTCCAACTTAAGTGTTATTGTGTGAAACCATTTCATTTCTGTTATGTTTTTACCCCACAAATTAGACATAGTTATTGTTCTAATTATTATTTCATATAGCCTTATTTGTTTAGATTTATCCATATATTTATAGATATGTATTTCTTTTATTCTTTCTTGCATTTTAGCATAATTGCAATAATAATTTTATTTGTGCTCGAACAAAATCATTTAGATATTTTACTTTAGTGAGGGTCTACTGGTTGTAAGTAATAAATTTTCTCACTTTTGTTTTGATTTGTTTAACAGTGTTTTTGTTTTACTACCATTTTTGAAAAGTAATTTCTCGAGGCATTTAATTCTGGATTGATAGTTATTTTTCGTAGGATTCTGAAGATATAATTCCATTGTTTTCTGCTTTCCATTGCTGTTGAGAACTTAGCCGTCAGTGTATATACTGTTTTTTATTAGGTAATCTATTCTTTTTCTCTGGTTTCTTTTAAAATATTTTCTTTTATCTTTCTTTTTTCTTTTTCTTTTTCTTTTTTTTTTTTTTTTGCTTTTGTACAGTTTAACTATGCTGTGTCTGTGTAGATGTATCTTTTTATTTATCCTGTTTGAGATTCGTTGGGCTTTCTGAATGTGAGAATTTTTGCCTATTAATAAGCCTGGAAAACTTCTCAGGCATAATCTCTTCAACAGTGCCTCTTCAACATTCTGTTTATAATCTTCTTCTAGAAAATTCATTTGACATTTGTTATGTCTTCATAATATAGCCCTTGTGCTTTGCAACCTCTAATATTTTTCTTCTCTTAGTCTTTTTTGGTTCACTTTTGAAATTTGTTTAGGTTTCTCTTCCAGGTCACTAATAACTTCTTCATGCACACCTTATTTGTTGTTTAACCCATGTATTGAGTTTTTAGTTAAATTTTTTAGTTTTATTTGATTCATTTTTAAGTATGCTTTTAAAAATAGACTCTTGTTTCTCATCCATGCTTTTCTGCCTGCCTATCTTTAATGATTTTGAATGTATTCAGTATATACTTATTTTCTACTACAGACACCAAAATTCCAATATTCAATGTTTTGCATGTCTCATTCTGATGTCTTTGACTTCATCAGACCCTCAATCATGATGGAAAGATTTTGAGATAAGAATAAAAAGTTAATTCCCCCAGAGGAGACTTCAAAATGCTTTATTTTTTTTTTCTTCGGTTTCCTGGGGCTGGTCCTACCAATTGAGGATTACCTTAAATTAAATTTTGCCCTTCATGCTTTCTGTACTACACATGTAGCAGTAATTCCAGCTTTTGATGCTTATGAGGGTTAGCCTGAAAAGTAGATTTCCTGGGTAAATAATGAAGCTTTAGCTATAGGCTCCTGTGGGATTCCTTCCTTACAAGGGCCTCTTCCAAGGCCTAGAGGAGTCTTAGCAACATGCTTACAGGGTCATATGTTTTATCAATATTGTAAAAGTACAATATTTATTTATTCAATCATTTTTATTATACACATGTAACCATTTATTTTGTACATATAGATAAACATAAAACACTGGATCCTGGAGTATATACGTATTCAACTTTAGTGGATAATGTCCAGCATTTTCCAAAGTGGCTCTACCAACGTACATACCAAGTATCGGTATATGAGAGTTCCAGTTGCTCCACGTCCTTGACAGCATTTGGTATTGACAGTCACCGCAGTTGCTCCAATGTCTTTCTGTCACACCTCCCTTCATATTAGGTAGTATTGGAGCAACTTTGGACTTTCTGGGGATCTGAGTAAGAAGTGAATTGGGAATGTAATAATTTTACTAAAATTTGAAGGATACTTTGGAATGCTTTCATAAAACAGGTAATTAATTATAGGCTTCTACTAGACATTGCTATGGTCTGAACATGTTTCCAAAATTCGTATGTGAAAACTTAATTACCAATGTGATAATATTGAGGTTTAGCCTTTAGGAGGTGATTTAATCATGAGGGCAGAGCCTTTGTGGATGGGATGAGGGCCTTTATACAGGGGCTTGAGGGAGTAGGTTTGCCTTCTTGCCTTTCCATCCCTTCTGCCATGTGAGAACACAGTATTCCTCTCCTCCAGAGGATACAGCAACATGACATCTTGAAGCAGAGATAGAGCCCTCACCAGACACCAAACCTGCTGGTAATTTGACCTTAGACTTCCCAGCCTGCAGAACTGTGAGAAATAAATTTCTGTTGCTTACAAGTTACTCAGTCTTCAGCATTTAGTTTCATTGGCACAAACGAAGACATATTTTGTCATCTTTAAATTTATTTCCTAAAATATTGAGAGGTAACTCAGATTAAAAAAAGGAATTCTAAACAAAAACAATAAAGATGACTAATGAAATTAAAAGAAATTACCCTGACATCGAGAATAAATTGTTTAACAACAAATTTGTTTTGAATCTATCATACCAAAAGCAGTATTTCATTAAGAGGATGAGATAAATTTCAAATGGAAGTAGTGAATAGAATCTTGGATTGTTTTATAATCCAGCTGATGAAAAGAGATGAGACATACGAACACATTAAAAAGATTTAAGGTCTGTGCTGTTTTGACAGGTAATATTAACATTGAAGATGAAAACATAAAATGCATACTAGGTCAGTATAATGAGGACGTAGATGACAAACTGCTTAATGAATATCATCAATTCAGAGTGCTTAGTGCTTAAGACTGGTCACTGTGCAAGAAAATACAAAATTCCCTGAAGCCCTCTAGATCAAAAATGAAACCATATAGGTTTTGCCGTACTTGACAATAATCTTAAACATTTCTGTGTTACCAATAATAAGTTGTGAAGCAGAAGGAAGCTATTTTAAATATTGTTTAAAATTTTGTTTTGGGGCCGGGTGTGGTGGCTCATGCTTATGATCCCAGCACTTTGAGAGGCTGAGGCGGGATGATCACTTGAGCTCAGGAGTTAAATGAGCAACCAACATGGCAAAACTCATCTGGGCAACATGGCAAAACCTCTTCTCTACAAAAAATACAAAAATTAGCCAGGTAGGGTGGTGTGCACCTGTAGTCCCAGCTACTCAGGAGGCTGAGGTGGGAGGATCGCTAGAGGCTGGAAAGATAAGGCTGCAGTGAGCCATGATCGCACCACAGCAGTCCAGCCTGGATGTAGTGCAGATCCTGTCTAAAACAAACAAACAAACAAACAAACAAACCAAACAAACAAACAAAAAATGTTTCTGATCAAACATGCTGGAATAAAGAGATAAAATTATCTTTCTATCTTCTTAGTAGAATTGATGTGACAAACATCTTGGCATATGAAGAGGTAGTCAAGGAATTCGCAGCGAAGAAGAGTACAAAAATACTAGTAAAGTGATGTTTTAGGTAATTATTTAATAAAACATGCTATGTTATTCTGGATTTTCTGATGTTTGTGATATTTATCAGCTTTTAGACATTTATATTTCATTGTGATTTATTTTCTTAGTCTAAAACCTCATATTTGTAATCTTGTATTCTTATTGTTAATGAGGCCTCCTTTCCTAACTTGCTGAAACTTTAGACCCCAGGAATTCTGGATCCACACCTGGCTGACTTACTATGAATTCTCAGGATAGAGTTATTTTTCTGTCTAGTAGGGTTGAGACGAGACAGACTAGCATCCTCGTTCTCTCATCTGTGTTGTAGTATTATTTCTTACTAAGATGAGCCCTTTTGGGTCCCTGCTTTTGCCTGTCTCCTGAATCATCATTAAACTCCAGAGCTCCAAGGTCGCTGAGATTCTGCAGAATTCACAAGTGAACCTGGGAGCTTGCTTGTACCCCAGATTTCCCTATTTATTTTCTTTGATTCGGTGGATTCTTTTTCTTTTTCTGACATCTTCACAATATATTTTAAAAGATTTTAAACTTTTTTCCCCCAAATTTCAGTTGCTTTTAGCAAAAGGGGCTTGGGGTATTTAAACCAATATCCTTTCAGAAATGAAAATGCCTGCAAATCTAATATAGGCATACCTCATTTTATTGTGCTTTGCTTTATTGAACTGTGCAGATATTGCATTTTTTACAGACTGAAGGTTTGTGGGAATGCTGTGTCGAGTAAGTCTGTTGGTGTCATTTTTCCAATAACATATGCTCATTCTGTGCCTCTGTGTCAGCCTTTTTAAGCAATAATGTAATTTTTAATTAATGTTTGTACATGATTATTTTTAGACACAATGCTATTGCACACTTAACAGACTAAAGAATAGTAAATATAACTTTTATATGCACTGGGAAACCAAAAAATTCAGGTGACTCCCTTTATTGTGACATTGGCTTTATTGTGATGATCTGGAACCTAACCTGCAGTATCTCCAAGATATGCCTATATTTGAAACCATATAGAATATTTACCCAAGTTGCCAGGATTTTTTTTCCTTGATACATAAAAAAAACCTCTTTCTCTGTAAGGTTGTTATAATTACAACATGATCTATAAATGTTCCCTCCTTCTAAGACAAAATTTAACATATTTTATCATTTATTTCATGACTCTTACATAATAGTGATCATCAGCCATTGTAAGATGCCAAAGTTATGGCCTTCTGTCAGTTCTCAGCCACCAGTAACCTATTAGAGTTAAATGGATCAGGCCATTGATCTAATTTCAGATATGAGTCACTAAAAATATTAAAGGCGATAAATAATAATGCCATTCATATTCACATTGAGAAAAGAGTTAGCAAGCTGATTAGGTATCACTAGCTCTTCTGAAAGGAGACCAGGCAGGGTAGGGGAAGCTGCTTCCCCTTCACCCCCCAACCTTCACTCAAGGACTGTGGAGGAGGTTGCTGCAATGGCGTGGCATTTAGGATTACACACACACACACACACACACACTCTCACACTACACACATACACACACAGATGTGCACACATAGTATGAAGGCAGATGATGAGAGTGACCCAGATCAAAGGAAAAATGATTACTAAGATGCCTTTTCCTTCTCTCTCAAAAATAGGCTGCAGAAGGAATGGAATCTTCTTACTATTTTGTAGGTTGTGATAGATTGTGCTTAGCATCCAAATCAAATAATACAACATCTTCTCTCAAGAGGTTGCTTCAGTGGCCAGAAAAATCAGGGTTCCTATGTCCTCATTTTATTGTAATAGCATCTGCATCAGCTCTACTTTTATTTCATGCCCAGCACAATGAGTCATAGACACCTGCCTGTCAGTTTGCATCCGCTCTTTTGCATTTTCATTAATAAATGGTGAAGAAGAAGTATACTAGATCATTCCTATAATTTATGTATGTGTATATATATATATATATATATATGTATATATATATATATATATATATATGTATATTCCGAGGAGGCACTTCTACTCATTTAACTCCAGGCAGAAATTCACTATATGGACGGACAATCAACTGAATTCTGGGAGCAGGCAGTATTGCAAGTTGCTGCCACTGTGACATTGAACTTTGCCCTAGCCACTGTCATGCTGAATGAATTTTTTCATTTAGTCTCCTTCTGCATGGCATAGTTCAGAGGTGTACAAGAGCCATGCATTCAAGGCCTGCTGAAAGGGAAATCTTTCTTTTATGACTGTTGAGCACCAAGCACAGCATTATTACCCTTTTAAAATGACCGGTTGATCATTGGTTCCATAAACTGTGACCATTTATTTTGTACTGTAGAGTCTGTGGTTATAGTGGTGAGTAGGGCATAATTCCAGCCCTACAAACGTATACAGTCTAGTTCTAATAGAAGGAAAAAGGTAAAACATTACTGAGAGCCTATCATAGTCTGGCTCTTTGTTTATGAGCTAATAAGATTCTATTTAAAACTCATGGTAACTCTATAAAGTAAAGCTCATGACTTAAGATTCAAACCCAGTTTCGTCTGATTGCAAAGCTGATATTTTTTCCACGACATCCATCTGCATTGGTCAGTTTTATATTTTGGTTGCCAGGTTCTAAATGTGGATAAAAAGACATTTTGGTCTTTTATCTTCCTTTCTTCTGAGTCATTTCAAAAGCTTGAAAATGCATACGTATAACACACATTTGGATATGAAGATCACATATTTATGTGTGTGTATGTATACACACGCACATATATATGGTAATCATGGAGTCAAGTGAAATTATTTGCATTTAAGTTCATTATTTGAAATTGTTATAGCAAAAGACATAAGTGGTAGACTTCTTTAATTTAACTCATAAATTAAGGATGTTATATAAAGCTTTTTCTGTTTGTGGTTGTTATATTTTGGGTGACTATTTGGATCTGTGAGATTGCGGACTCAGTGACATTGTCAGCTGTAGTGGGCTCTATTTTACTTATTTTACTTGACATATAGTAAGGGAAATAATAGTTTTATGCTTAAATCATCTGCTAACTGGCTAAAATGAAGCCTAATTATCCTATTTATTAAACTAATTGCTAAACCACTAAGCCAAGGCTGTACATAGGTTTCATGTTGTGTGCCAAATTTGATGGGATGGTAGTAGGTGTCTGAAATAGAGAGATTTTAATTTTTTTTTTCAGAAGAACAAATTTGAGGTCATGTCTTGCTCAGAGGGAGAAAGTATGCTGGAGGATGTCAGGTATTTGCCTTTACTATTCCTGGTAAAATTATAAATAGAAAATACCTATGAATATGTCTTTTAGAGTTCATTAATTATTTAGAAAAGCTAGTTGACCAGATACATCTATACAAATACCATTACTGGCCGGGTGCGTAGGCTTACGCCAGTAATCCCAGCACTTTGGGAGGCCGAGGTGGGGGAATCACGAGCTCAAAAGATCGAGACCATCCTGGCCAACATGGTGAAACCCCATCTCTACTAAAAATACAATAATTATCTGGATGTGGTGGCACGCGACTGTAATCCCAGCTACTCGGGAGGCTGAGGCAGGAGAATCTCTTGAACCAGGGAGTTGGAAGTTGCAGTGAGCTGAGATCATGCCACTGCCCTCCAGTCTGGCGACAGAGCAAGACTGTCTCAGAAAACAAACAAACAAACAAACAAACGAAAAAAACCAAAAAACAAAAAACAAAAACCATTACTGAGGGAAAAATACCTAAAGCAACAGTGTTATTTCTGAATTGAAATAAAGGAAGATTGAGATAAGAATCTTGTTAATAAAATATACCTTTATGGTTGAAAAGTCAGATTTTATACTCACTAATGATAATCTTGCAACAAAAGAATAGTTAACGCGGATAAGTATCTTTGTTTCAGAATTTGATAAAAGAATCATCAATATTGGAAACTATTTTATCCTGATATAAGTGCTTTAAAGATTAAAATGTTAAGGTAATAAATTAATTAACAGGTTGTTTTCTGTACCAACACATCTCCTTCATAATTGTGTATCAATTATGAGTGTGTTCATTTGCTAAGAACAGAAAATCTGATTTTTTTTTAGTGGCTTTAATAAAGAAAAAGTTTGTTTTGTTCATACAATGAGAAGTGAGAAGTTGGTAGGTAAGGCTTGTGGGGGATTCCAGGGGATCTGGGTAGGCTATTAGTGGTGTCCCCACAGAGGCAATTTTAGTAATCTAGAATTCAGCAAAGATAAGAGATAGAGACAGAGATTATATAATATTAGCAAGGGAGAGAGAGAAAGGGGTGGGGGGTCAGAGAGAATGATGATTATGACAGTGGATATATAGTTTACATATTTTTAAGCTTTTATTAGTAAGTATTCCATGCTCTTTTCTAAATGGTAATAAGATTCTAAAATAAACAATAAACATATAACAATTTAAATTATAAAGATTAATATTTATCAAGAGGGATTGTTGCAGAGTAGAGAGAATCTGAGGCTTCCTTCTCTATGAAATTCAAAATAACACTGGTAGCACTCACCACTTTTTAAAGATGGTATACAGACGGGATAGAAACCCTTGCCAATTCAAAGAAAGAGAGCAGACCAAGTGTGTAAACCTTCGCTGAGAGCAAATCAGTGCTAAAGAGGTAAACATGTAAAATGGCACTTGCCCCCAAATTTCATATTTATCTTAATTAGGCCATTGCTCTTTTGATGTTCCAGAAACAGTGGATTCAGGCTGGTTGCCCAGTAGGATTTAAAAGGTATAACTGAACTTTGTTTCTGCAATGCTTTTTACTAATCTCTCAGAGTTGATTAAATAATAGGAAGCCAACATATTAATTTTTCTGAAAGCTTGTTTGTTTGGATGCCCTTGAGAAAAGCAAATGGATGAATCAAGAAATTAGTTTCATTAGCCAGTATTAAAATTCTGCTATCTCATTGAATTATTTCGTTGGCTGTTCAAGTTGATTTAATGGAGAGACTGGCTGGAAAAACATGCAGAAAAACATGTAGAAAAACACAGTGTACTGATATAATTCAGTAATTTCCTCTAAAGCTCCTTGGAGAAATGAATATCTGAAAATGGAATTTTTATCTAACATTTTTAAAATAGCACTTGAATAATTTAGAACAGGGACTTATCAATAAATTATTTGCCTAATGTATATTCTACAGAAATAGGCAGGAGTGGCATTCTGAAAGAATCTTCCTGTCTTTAGGAACTGGTAACGTTTCTTTAGAAAAATAAAATTAAGTTCCAGGAGGTTCTATAACAGTGTTCAGGTATGTAGGAGGAAGTTCATATTGCTGGTAAAAAGACATATAATGTGGAATGAGACCAGATATTTTACTTACTTATCCATTGCTCGCAGACATACCATTGATTTCTCTTAGCTTTGACCTCATTTTTGGGCAAAAAACACTAACAAAATCTTTCTAACCTTATCAACTTTGTGAAGGGGGAGACTTATACATGTGGTATAATTGGGCTGCTGCCTGCAGTTGCGCAAGCTCTCCTGCAAGATTGGCTTCAGGTCTCCATGATTAACCATACTCTAGCTCCATAGGTAAGAGGAATCCCTAACATTTAGAGCCTTGTGGTCAGCCATTGTCCTAAGCTGGGAAGTGTAGTGGTGGGTGGGGCTTGTGGGACTGAAAGTCCCTTTTAGTACCTTCTATGGTGGGGTAGGAAGTGAGACAGACAGGGCAGAGGATGGTTAATGGTAATCTAAGCTTGGCTTATGGCACAGGTTGTTTTTGTTTTCTGTTTTTTTGTTTAACCAAGCCTCTCTCTATAATTTTTTTAGAGAAGATCTGTGAAATAGCAGATTAGTTGCTTTAGTTCAGTGGGAAAAACTGAGTTCTATCTGTACTGTCAAAAACAACTGTCTCCAAAGTGAAATTTCAGCTAGTCAATAATTTTGTCTAATACTCAGTTTTTAAAGAAAAATTTACTAGCTGATTGTTTGAGTGACAGCTACCATAAGTTAAGGTACTACTAATGCTATAAAGCAGGGGTGTCTCACGTTTTGGCTTCCCTGGGCCACATGGAAGAAGAAGAACTGTCTTGGGCCACACATAACATACACTAACACTAATGACAGCTGATGGAACAAACAAAAAAACCACGCACAAAAAATCTCATAATGTTTTAAGAAACTTAACAAATTTGTGTTGGGCCACATTAAAAAATGTCCTGAGCCACAGGCAGCCCATGGGCCATGGGCTAGACAAACTTGTTATAAAGACAGTTTTATTTGAAGTGTAGATAAAGCCATCTATGTAAAATTCATGGTTACTTACCTGAATAGGAATCCCAATGTTACCTGTGTATTCTGTTATGAGTTCTCTGCCAGCTATTTGGTTCATCTCCCTTATTTATCGAATTTTAAAATGTCCTCATTCTTCAACCAGCACCCATCTTGTCTATCAGGGCTTGCTGCCGACTCTGAGTTATTGTGTGTGTCCTCCCTACTTTCCTGCCCTTATGCTGTACACTTTATATACACACCTATCCTTAGCTTCTTTCCTCCAGGCTCAAAGGGTAAGTCTCTCTTTCCCCTCAAGCCCACCTATGAACCATCACCTCCTGCTTATGTAGGATTGGAAAAACTGTGGTTAGAAATCTGTACACATAAGTAAACTGATAAGCTGCTCCACTTTAGGCCGAGTTTTTCTCCAAATGAATCAAACCAACTGATCTCCCCTTGAATAGTACTAGGAGACACCTGGAATTAATGTAATCCTCATTTTTCTATGTACCAAATTTTTTCATTGACCTTTATATAACCTTATTTGTGTTATTTTTCATAACACATAACATTTTCATGTTTGTAACTGAGGTTTTATTTGTTATATTTAATTTAGATGTATCCTAGGGACATAGAAGACAGCAGAGGTTTATTAATCTCATTAAATATTGAATTTCCTCAAAGTTTGGAACTAGAATGTCTACCGTTCTCACCTATACCTGCTTTGTAGGCCATCTCATTCACACTCACCAACTCAGGTACTAACTCTATGTCAAGTGCCCACTAGTTTTTATCTCTAGCTCAAAACTCTCTTTTGAACTCCTCCTTACTTACCTATACTATGGTTTATTTGACACATTTTACCATCCAAAAGTGTTTGTTGAATGAATAAATTCAAAATTAGTTACATGTTTCTAAATCACACTCTCAGGGTAAACAAGAAGAGAAACAACATATTATTTAAAGCACATCCTATGTACCTAAAACTCTAGGCCTTAGTGCCTTTTTGTCTAAAGTTATTATGCATTCTTTATTTTTATTTTGAGGTTTGCTATTTCTACAGACTCAAGAATAAGTTTTGCCTAAGACTTGTCTTTAGCTTTTCATTGTAGATGGTGTGTGCTGTGTTATCAGCTATTAAGCCCTTTCTGTCATGAAACAAACAAACAAACAAAGAAACAAAAACTCTTACTGTGAATTTGGATTTGTCCCTCCTCCTGCCATGCTTCTTCCAGCACTATCTGTAGACTGCCTGAATGCCCATACACCCTCATGATATTCTGTGATATTCCAAATGAGGAGCTGACTTAAAGAGAAATGGGCTGATGCTGATGCTCATGGGATTGGCTGGTCTGATCATATACTCTATTTCCTGTACAGAAAATGACCCCTGAATGGTGGCATGGTTTGTTGAAACTCTGTTGTGGAACCCACTGGGAGACTACACACTGTAAGATTTGGGTGCTCTCTTGTAAGATGTGTATATATTCTGAGTGAATGATCTGTATAGGATGCAGTTTGTTTTTTCATAGCCTACATAAGGGCTCAAGAACCAAGTGATGAGAGGGAGGGGGATGCCCATCACTATTTTTCCTAATGAATCAACTGGAAAAAAGGTGGTTTCCTTTCCCGTGACTCTAAAATATGCTGGTTTAGATATATGAGCATGATAGACATGAATGCTTCTACACAAAAATGCTTTTCTTGAATTGTAAACTGAAACTTCCACCTTTGGATCCTTTATCCTAGAGATAAAAATTAGTGAGCAATTCACAAAGAGTTAGAACGTGAGTTGGTGAGTGTGAATGAGATGGCCTAAGGAGCAGGTACAGGTGACAAGAGTACACATTCTAGTTCTAAACCTTGAAGAAATCCTATATTTAATGAGATTAATAAACCTCTGCTATCTTCCACATCCTTAGGACATGTCTAAATTAAATATGACAAATAAAACCTCAGTTACAAACATGAAAATGTTATACCTTTTTGCATAGGTCATTTTTGGCTCCTATTGCCTTTGGGTGAACAAGTCAAAGTAGGTTATGGTGTTGTCTTTGATAATTGATAGCCAAGAAGCAGGCAGTCAAGGAGAAATTGGGTTGCTATTATACAATGGGGGCAGGGAGGAATTAGTACAGTACTTGGGGTATCTCCCGTGGTGCTCAGAAGCCTCAGAAATGGAAGTCCAGGCCGTCTTACCAGATAAAGAACTTTGAAGAGCTGAGGTTATAATAATTTTCAGTGGAGACCAGCAGAAGTCATAAATGTGGCCAAGGAACTAGTTGTAAAAAGGAGTAACATAACCTTATAGTTTCTACCTGTTCTTTTCTCCTTCTAGTAATGTGTACGTATGTGTACGTATATGTATATACACATACATAGTGTGTATATATACACACTATATATATGTGCTAACTTTTACATTTATACTATTTATTAACTGAATTTTCTTGACTTTTCCTTTATGCTATTGTGTTATATATCATGGGTTGGAAATGATTAACTGTCCAGTTGAGTCCAGAGGAGAAGATGGAGAGAGAATTATGATAAAATCAGAATAATTTACCTCATCCAGAAATTCTAAACTAGATCTGGATGCAGTAAATAATGAGATGTAAACTTTTTCTCTTTGGGAAGAGTGAATTTTTAGATATATGCAGGGGAAATAAATGCATTAACCAAGCAGGTGCAATATCATAAAGTTAGTAATAAGAAATAGGGTGGTGGGCCACTAATGGGGCAAACTGCAGAGGACATCGTATTTTCTGTTTGCTACTCATTTTATGAGTCCTGATAGGGGACAGAGACTAATTTCTACTTATAATTTTAAAAGGCTGGATGCTCAATTATTGGGCATAATTGGCAATTAAGAAGCAGGCACCTGGCATAGGTTTGGCCAGTCACAGTTGCTTGGCCTGGATTTGAGTCTGGAGATAGAGATGCAAAGAAGCTAAAACCAGAGAAGAATATATTTTTGAACCAAGCTGCATCCGATTTTTAGAAGCCACAGCAGCACTTAGGCTTTAGTGGAAGTGAAAGTGCTGTCCCTTCTGGACTAGATCTGTGCCAAGGTGTGGTGTGGCTACTGTCCACTTTCTCTTGTTCTCTGTTGTTTAAGCTCAGCTCCCCGGCTTTCATAGTAATCCTGGAAGCTACCTAATATCTTTTCAATAAACTATGTTTCTGCTTATCTTATCCAGATTCACTTTCTGTTTCTTCCAACCAAGAAGCTTGAGTTATGCACTGAGAACTCCACAAACAGCACATTAAATCTCCTCTTCTGAGAGAGGAACATTCTAAACCCACAAGCACGTAGGATGCAGGCTGTGTTTCCAAAAGAACTCCAGGACCCAACTCACTCGAAAGCCTACAGAAAAGCCTGCTTGGTTGCGCAAAAGAAGTGTCTATATACAGATGTTTATCCTCAGCAGTTGAGGAGTGAGGTTAGTCCTGTGGTCGCCTGACTACATGATTCACAGAGACAGCCTCAATTTTCTGAGTCATAGGAAAACCTCAGGTGGGCTGTGGAGACCCAGGAAACATTTGTGGTATTTTCATCCTGATGTTGCAATAGGAATATGATCTACAAATCTTGCCTGCTGGTCTCAAAATGCCAAAAAGGCAATAACATAAGCTTTTTTAAAAAAACGAATGAACCGAAGCGGGGGCAAGTAGAAGAAAGTGAGATTCAGAAATATGTTGTTGTTATTTACTCACAACAGTAAAGAAGATCAAAGGGTGGGCAGTTTTTTGATATCTTACAGTGGAAATCAACAAGCATCTTATTATAGAAAAAGGAGGAAAAAGCACATGTCCAAATTAGCAAAAGATGGGTGAATCCTTTTCTGAGCAGCTTGTGAGCTCATTAGCTAATCACGGGGGTTGGATAAAAGGGGCAGTTTGAATTATCTAGTTGTTTATTGGAAAAAGGTAGAGCATGGTTATCTGTTTTTTAATATGAAAAATACATAAGTGTTCAGAATTTTCATGAGTAGGGAAGAACTACTGAAAATGTAACTATGGAAGGCAAATCAGATAATAGAGATGAAAAATGGGGTATGTTTATGATTTTAGAAAGATGAATAAAAACAATTTTAGGTTGAATTGGACCTAAAGGGTGCTGAAGTTCAAGCATTGAAAGTGAATTTTGTAGCAAAGCCAGAGAGAGGAAAAGCCAGCATTTAAAAAAACATACAAAGATATAGTCAGTTACTATATACAGCTGATTTCACCAAAGGAAGACTGTTTTTGGCTGTTGAAATGCAAAAAAATCACTATATGAGAAGTGAAAATAAGGATATATTACTATGCATGGGCATAATGTTTTGTTTTATATAAAACAATAGTTTATAAAATAGCTTATATTTGTAAAGATTAAGGTTGTGGTGTGGTTGAGTGAGCAAAGGTTTGAAATTAGTCATGCATGGGTTCAAATTCTGACTTTATCACTGTAGTTGTTTGCTGGGTTACTGTAACAAAGTACTGCAGAATGGGTGGCTTAAACAACAGAAATGTATTTAACAAAGTGCCACAGACTCAGTGGCTTTAACTACAGAAATTAATTTTCTCACAGTTCTGGAGGTTGGAAGTCTAAGATCAAGATGTGGGTGGGGCTGGTTCCTTCTGAGGGCTGTGAGGGAAGGCTGTGCTCCAGGCCTCTCTCCTTGGCTTGTGGAGGGTCATCTTCTCCCTGTGTCTTAGCATCATCTTCCCTCTGTATGTGTCTGTTTCCAGAGTTCCTCATCTTTTAAGGATACCAGTCATATTGGATTAGGGCCCACCTTAATGACCTCAATTTAATTACCTCCTTAAAGACCCTATTTTCAAAAATGATTACTTTCTGAGGCACTGGGCGTTCATACTTCAACATATCAATTTTTGGGGAGACAGAATTCCAGCCTATAACACTTACTTACTATGTTTTCTTGGGCAAGTCGTTTAATTCTCCTGAGATCTCTCCCTCATCGTTAATGTAGGGGTAAAATATTGTTGTAAGATGACAGGTAAGTCATCCACAACTGTGGCTGACACAGAGTAAAAACTAAAAAAAAAATCAACAAATGTTTTTGCTGTTATCATTGTGATAAAGTACAGAGTGAGTTATAGCTAGAAGCACAGAAAAGGAAATGCTCACTTTAAAATTGTATTTCTGCAGCATTGTCAGCGAGTCAAGATACCTCTCTGCATTCCAGAGAACTTGTCCTGATCCTCGCAATCAGAGCTGTCTTGGAACAGATGTCACCTCCTCTGGTCTTTCCTGACCCACCGGCTCATTCATATCTCCTACTCAGCCAAGAAAATAGGTGTCTAGCTATAGAAAATAGTCTGATTTCCTGCCCAGAAACTGTTTCGGGTGAAAAAAAGCAAATGAAAAGGAAGTAAAAGGAGAGAGTTAGAGTATATTACATTTCTTGAATACCTGCAACCTACTTTTCCAATCACTTTTAAACCAGAGTTCTTTTTACAGCTTTCAGAGCTGAGCCCGTTAGTTGAAGCTCCGCCGAGAGAAGCCAGCAGAGGGCAGCAAAGGGCAGTTGGGCCTGCCGCACCGCTGATTCCCAGGTCTAGGGGCCATGTTACTTAGCAGGGAAGCTTCCCTCTACACCAGTAGTTCTCATTTTGCTGCATGTCAGAACCTCCAGAAGAGCTTTAAAAATCTCCTGATGTCCATGTTTCAGTCCAAAGCAATTAAATCAGAATAGAAGGAGGTAGAGGTTATATGGAGGGGCTATTGGGGCATGTCTCAGTCCATTAGAAGCCCAAAGAAACTTGGGATTTGGGGAAGGACTTGGATGAAGATAAATAAAGGGCAGCCAGGCTCTTTATTCAGATTATATCCACCATCCTAGAGAAGAGGGCCTGACATTTTTAAATCGTGACCGAACTGGAAGAGATTTGTAGTACTTTGAAGGTTGCCCTTCAAACGCATTGGAATCGTTGGCATTGCTAAGTGAGGTGATATTCAACAGGGCTATTTGATGAGATATGACAGATGCAAAACGAAAGTAGATTAATTTAGTAAGAGTATAAAAGAAAACGAATGTCACCCATCAAACAGGCAAAGGCAGGAGGTGAAAAGGAGCAGGAGAAAGACCTACCCAGGAGCCCTATGCGAGAGGCCACGCCCATCCTGCCCACTGATTGGGCCGAGGCACACCTTTGGTGTATAGCTGGCTCTCAGGCAGGAGGAAGGTTATCTGAAGAAGGTTCAAAGAAGTGTTTATGTGGCTGGAAGTCTAAAAAGAAATGAAGTGATAGAGGTTTACAAAGATGTTTGTGGAAGGAGAATTTACAGATTGTAGATGATGGAGAAAGAAGAAATTCTGACTCCACTCGCTACACCTTCAGCTCTTGAGAAAACTGAGTATGGACTGGGTGAGTTGAACATATAGTATATGAAGAAAGATAATTTTGACAATTGAATCTGTTTGTTTGAAGTGTGACTGTTAAACCTGAGCGAGTGGTTTGAGATGGAGGTGTTAAGACTCTGCTTGTCAACTCTATGAAGAAAATTAAATGTTGTACTGTGACCCAAATTATATTGGACATTTTCAAGCCCTGTTGTCCTAGAATTATTTTTTTTAAATAGTCAATTATGAAATCTTGAGAGTTGACAGAATATAGATGTGTCTCTTTAGTGGTTTTCAAAAGGTACTGTGTGTCAGAAAGTCTGTTAGAAGACAAATAGCTGGGCCTCCAGAATTTCTGATTCAGTGGGGCTTGAGAATGTGGGTTTTTCTAGGTTCCCGAATGATGCCAATGTTGCTAGTCTGGGGACTAATCTTTGAGAACCGTGGCTTTAAGAAAAACATTCTTATTTTTGAAAGAGGCGAATTAATGACTGTGGAGGCGCATGAAGAATGTATACCTCTGTGCTTGGCTAAGTGATTTCAGCTTTGTTCATTGGAATCATCTGGGTAGCATTACAACTACCAGTGCCCAACTTCCACTCCCAGAGTCTGTTGTAACTGAGTCGGCAAGTGGCCTGGGTATCAGGATTTTAAAATCTGTGAGCGACTCAAATATGCAGCCAGGGTTAGGAACTATTAGCTAGCTAGCCAACATTCTGGTTCTTGTTGGTCTTTTCTTATGTCTCAGGATAGCCTCAGGAGTTAGGAAATCAAGATGATGAATAATCTCAGCTGACATTCGTTGAAAGCTTTTTATGGGTCAGCACAGTTTGAAGCACTTCATGTGGATTAGCTCATTTAAACTTCAGTGAGAGATGTATTATCTATTACCGCTACAGGCACAGTGTCTATGGTCTATGGCTCAAAAACAAGGTATGAGAGACTTGGCGAAAACATGAAAGGAGGCCAGGCGCGGTGGCTCATGCCTGTAAATCCCAGCACTCTGGGAGACCGAGGTGGGTGGATCACCTGAGGTCTGGACTTCAAGACCAGCTGACCAACATGGTGAAACCCCATCTCTACTAAAAAAAAATATATATATATATATGTACAAAAAATTAGCCGGGCATGGTGGTGCATGCTAATCCCAGCTACTTGGGAGGCTGAGGTAGGGGAATGGCCTGAACCCGGGAGATGAAAGTTGCAGTGAGCCAAGATTGCGCCGTTGCACTCCAGCCTGGGCAAAAAGAGCAAAACTCCATCTCAAAAAAAAAAAAAAAGATAAAAAAATATGAAAGGAAAACCGCAAAATTGAAATTAATATTAATCAATTTTACAACAAAATGATAAAATCCTCAAATATTTTAAAAACAATTGCCTATATTTAATAAGGAACATATGTCCTTTTGAAAATGTGCTTACTATTTTGTAAGGTAAGACTATCAAAGTGATTATGAAAGTTTTATTGCCCTGTTCACAATAATTTTACTTAATAGAAATTATTGTTAACCCCACTTTGTAGATGAGAAAATTGAAGCACAGAGGATTTAAGTAATTTGCTTTAAGCCATACAGCTAAGTAAGGGATAAAGAAAGAATTCAAACTTTGAAATTCTGACTTTGTGAGTCAAAGTCAAGTCATATCATATCATAATGTAATGCATTCCTCATAGACACATACGCAGACACACACATGCCTTTTCAAAAAAGTTGCCTAGGGAAATTATAAAGGAATTGCAATTTGGGGCTGTTGTAAATACTTTCAGAGAATCTGTAGATCACTAAGCTCTTTGACCTGCAGTTCAACAGCGCAGGGCCACTGAACGCAGCTACTCAGGAGGTTCAAGGCATAACTGGCCGCTGCTGTGTTTGCAAAGATTGTATGACAATGGCACCGTGGAGTTGGGCAATGTGGCAGCTCTATATCAAGGCCATTAACTCTGAAATCTTAGATAGTAGTACAGATCTTGTTAAATATTGCCTAAAAGGAAGAAAAAGTTAGAAAAGTATTCAGAGGACGCCCCTTTTTTTAAAAAAAATTATAAGGTCTTGAGTATTATGCAGTAGTTGATGTACTCAATTAAAAAAAAAAAAGAATCTGCCACCCAGAGAGCTTAGGTCATGTGACTTGCTCCCAATCTTGCTCCCAGTTAATGGCAGGACCAAGACTACAAGGCCGATCCTGGAGGCCCCTGGGACTCATAGGTGTGATGCCTACCGGCATTTTCCATGGCTGAATTTCAGTTAAGAGATGCATCAAGTTTCCACTACAGAGGTTTTTGCAAAATGTCCTGAAATCCTGACTTAATTTCAGAGACTTTATATGTCCTCACAATAGCTGGAGAGGAGGAAATATTAAGCTGACGGCTTAGCAGGCAAATATTTATTTTAAAAAATGTCACCCCCTGGCACGCAAACTGAGCATCTTGTTGCGCTTGGAATTCTTTTTCCTCTCCTGCCATCTGGTGGTACTTCTGAGCCACATTTTCATTCAATTGTGCCAGATCTCAATAGTCATTTCTACAAAATTTGTTTAGCTTTCAAGGTCTTTACTGCTCAGATCATTATCACATTCTTAGGAAACTTGTTATTTTTTATTTAATATTCAGGACAAAACAAAGGTTTATGATTCTTTTTATATACCAGAGTATTTCATTTCTGTTAAATGTTTGTTTCTAAAATTTGTAGTATGTGACATTGTTAAAAACATGACCGTGAATATATATTAATTTACATTTTATATTTAATGGGAAACCAAGATGTAATTTTATTAAATTGGATATTTACTTAGAATCATTGGTTGCTGTGGTATCAGGTATTGAAAGAAAAAAATGCTATTTAAAAAATTTCCTTTTGAAATGACCACTTGACTGTGGCTATTGTTGCTGATTTTCTTGTATCATCAAGTATTTGCTCACATTACACTTGTAATTGATAGAAATCAGTTTCATTATCACTGCTAACAATCATTTCTTAGATCCATTTCTAGGATGATCCTCAACTTTTCTGCCCATCCACTAGTCATGGTGATTTTCTACAAAACTCCAGCTCTATAGCTTCTCTACAGAAGTAAGCCTGGCAAGCACTGGCCCACTCCTTCAGTTGCCACCTTCTCTGTAACCTGATCTATGGGACCTCTGCCTTAGGGATCTGACTTTGACGGGAGATGGGGGGTTGGGTGGATGATCTCACTTTCTTTTTAATCTCCAGTCTCGCAAATGTTTTCCTGTAGAACCCAGGTCAATTCTACTGTTTTAGTGTGTTTTCTGCTGCTATAACAGAGTACCTGTGACTGGGTAATTTATAAAGAACTGAGGTTTCTGACAATGCTGGAGGCTGGCAAGTTCAAGGTCAAGGAGCCCACACCTGTGAGGGCTCTCATGCTGCGTTATCCTACGGCAGAAGGCGAAAGAGAAACAGACCATGCAAGAGGAGGGAAGAGGCCCAAACTTGTCCTTTTATCAGGAGACCACTCCCGCTGTAGCTAACCTACTCCCACCATAACAGCATTACTTCATTAAGAAGGGCTTTGCCCTCTTAAGGATCTCACCTCTTAACATTGCTGCATTGCAGATTAAGTTTCCAACAAATGAGTTTGGGTGGGTACATTCAAACCATAGCACCTACCCATCTGTGAAGAAAAAGTCTGTTATATAAAAATCAAACACAAAATTATAAATAATGAATAAAAGGCTGAAAGAGACTCCAAATAATCATAGCCACATCTTCAAGTCAAAGTAACAGTTTAAAAAATGGAGAACAGAAAAATAAAATGCAGGCTTCGGAAGAGTTAACTGAATATTTTTATTTATCCAAAGTCAACATGTAATTAGTGTTTATTCTCAACACACAGTGGTAACCAGTACACAAAAGATGACTGAACAGGATTTGTTGATTAAAGGATACAATGAATAAATGCTTCAAAATTAGTTTGAAAAGTGTTAGTTGAAAAAAAAATTTAATATTCAAATTGTTAGTCAAAAATTCATTGAAATGCTTGAAAATGATTAGTCTGCTAAAAGGTAACAACATAATTTGTTGATTAAAGAGCAAATAAATACTAAATGCTTGCAAATTATTAGTTTTACCTTATAGGTACTACTTTTACCTATTGTGAATTTCCAGCTCACTTTCCCAGTCCTATTTGTATGATACTTATGTATGGGATAAACAAAACAAAGCATCCTGAAGTCTTTCTTGAAATTGGATTAATTAATTGCTACCAGTGTGCTCCTTGTGTTAATATACAATGTATTTTTGTAATGTCCTATTCCAAAGTTTTTAGCATCTTAACCTAAAGATGTTTCTTTATCCTGAGAGTCAGGTTACTGTTTTCTTGTTGTAATATGTTTGTATAACTAGAAAACACTGAAAAACTTTCTACTATATGAGAATCAGTTAAGGACAGAGAAAGGTCTTGATTTACCCAAGATAAGCGCTAGGAAAAGAGATGAAGTCCCAGGTTTCTGGCCTGTATATGCAGTGCACTGCCCTGCACAATTGTAAAGAAATTCCAGGCATAATGAACAATGTACATTTCATCATTTACATGAAAATAAAGTCAATACTCTAGAATAATACTTCAAAAATTGGTCAGTTTTCCCATGCAGTCCCTTGAATGGGGACATTTTGCTGTGATTAATAAATTGGGTCAGTAATAAACAGCATTAGCAGGTTAGGAAGACAGCCAAACACTAGTCAACATGAATTTTCCTCTATGAGGTTGTCTTAGTCCGCTCTGGCTGTTATAACAAAATGCCACAGACTCAGTGGCTTATAAACAACAGAAATTGATTTCTCACAGTTCTGGAGGTTGGGAAGAAGTCCAAGATGAAGATGTTGGCAGACTTGGAGACTGGTGAGGGCCCACTTCTTGGGTCATAGATGACCGTCTTTTCACTGTGTCCTCACGTGGCACACAAGGCAAGGGACCTCTCTCCAGCCTACTTTATAAGAGCACTAGCCCCATTCTGAGGACTCTGCACTCATGACCTAATTACTTCCCAAAGTCCCCATCTCCTCATACCATCATCTTGGAAGTTATGATTGCAGCATATGAATTAAGGGGACATAAACATTCAATCTATAGCAGAGGGTGATTTGATGTCTTTGTCTACACACTGCTAGATTCAGAAATCTCCAGCTAACTACCTGATTAATTCCCAAGGCATTGCAGCTCCTGGATTGTGTGGAGGTCTTCAGGCTGGGGCATAGGTTGGGTGGATCATCCTGGAGCCACAGGACAGGGAGCATGCAGGACTCCAGGAGCCCAGAGTGGCCAGCGGCCCTGCAGATAATTGGTATTGTACATATGGTATTTTTATGTATTTTTAGTTTTGCTTTCTACAATTGCCTTTTCATCTTGTGGCCAGAACAATTTTAAGTAAGAATTTTCCACGTTTCTAGGCTGTGGAGTGAGATCAGGGACAGTGTGATGCTGTGACTCACTCCTTCCCCAAAACTTACTGTGGTTTTGGTTTCCACAAGTGGTTTTGCTACCACATTCAGAAATTATGTTTTTAAAAGTGAAACATTAAATCACTTGCCCACTTTCTGATAAGCTTGTTGTTTATCAGCAGATAACTTTGGCTTTTAGATGTGAAATCCATGCACTTGAATGTATAAAGTCATCCTTAACAGAATGCATGTAGCTCAGTCAAATACATTTGCTCATAAACACTTCTGGCACTTCAATAAGCACTGAACCAGAGTTAGGTATATTCTCAGAGTATATCGCTAAAAACACTCATATAAAACACTCTGTAGCTACTCAAGTTTAGGTCTATGTACAATATAGCTTTTGTTCAGCAGTTTTATTTTTATCTGAATGTGCAAAGACTTTCAGCAACTGTTCTTTATGGGCCTGCATGCCACATAATGTTGAAAACCAGCATTTTATTGACACGTAAAAGCCTTTCTAGTCAAACAAGTAGGCATAACTATCTATTTTTCCTCTTAATATGAATATGAATCTTGTGTTTCCTAGTTCAGGTATTTGGAAACCTTAGAGAAGGTGGGTTATCATGTACTTTCTAGAAAATGCACCTACCTTGATTCTGCAGCTTATATCCTCTGCAGAATTCGGCATTTAAGGTAGGATTGCATTCATTCCCAACCCACCCTTAAACCAAAGTCATCTTCTGCTTATGGATATTTGGGTTTTATTGCCATAGATCTAGAAACTCAAAAAACTTTGGTAGCCAGGTGCCATGTAAGATGTGTAACCACACTGACGCCACACCGAGAGCACACGTGTAGCCACTCGAGTTGACTGCCCAGCTTCGTACCCAGCCAATAGTCAGCACAGACTCCAAGCCGTGTGAGCGAAGCATTGTCCATGGCCAGCTCAGCTGAGCCTAAATGACTGCAGCTGCTGCAGATAACCAACTGCAATCTTGAAAGAAATCCCAAGCAAGAGCTGCTCTCCTCAGCATTTTGCCCAGAGAGAATTTGGAAGGGTTACTGGACAGGATTACTACTTAAAAGGTTGGTGAAGGATCCAGGGAGGGCTAATGCTGGCAGTAAGAATATTTGTATCTTATAAGCCCATAATAATCTCAGACATAACTCCTATGCTTCTACCTTTCAAAACAAAATCAGTGGGACCATGTTTTTGCACTTCCACATAAGCTCTATCAAAGTGTCTGTTACCATTTTGTGACTTTGGCTTTCCTTTTAGGTTTCACTCCAACTAAATTGTCTCATGAATGTTTGTGAGAGTGATGTTTACCCCCTCTGACCCTGTACAACATTAGGGTTGATGTCACGCCTCTCTCTGTATTTCTATTTTACTTGCCTCTCAAGTGAAAGTATTGAATTATTGCTGTTCAGTGATCTTTTTTCCTTCCTAATTCTTTGCCAAATTTATTTCTTCGTCCTCTAAATACTACCGATAACCCCCTTTAAAATGCATCATAATCTGGACGTTTTATTTAGAACAAATTTACAGAATGATAATTGTTGAGAATATCTGGAGAAAGAACTTAACAATCATTTCATTTGGAGGAAGTATTGTCTGGAGAATTTCACATACCTGAAATAGAAAAGCAACATACTTTGGTTAAACATAATATGATGGATACAGCTAAATGAGGGGCAGGGCACGAGGAGTGATTCACCTCTTCCAGCTTTTTGAAACAATCTACAGGGGACTAGAAGTCATCCTTTTGTTCTTCACAAGTCTTGCTTATATTTACCTGTAAAACCTTGACTTAAAGTCACCCTGTCTAAAGTAAGTCTCTCACCATTATTATTTTTTTAATCTCAGAAATCTTTTTCCCTCACAGCACTGATTTCAATTTTGTAAGAACTATAATTTAAAAATTTCTGTGATTTTATAATTACTGTTTTGTAGTTTCTATTGTTTAGATATGTAAGGGCTCTCCCCTCCTCTGGAATGTGAGCCCTTTGAGGAGGGCAGGGAGGCTCTGCTATCCTTGTTTGCTGCTGATTCACCAGCACCAAGCATAGCTCTATGCATACGTAGTATGCTCAATAAAAGCTTGCAAGCTAAATACTGGTAATGTAGTGTCAAGGCCATCACCACACTAGTCTTGTGGCTGAAGTAATTGTACATGTTACTGCTGCAGAAATTATGGCTATAATATGGGAGCTGGATTACCAGAATTATTTAATTGGTAATATTTACATAAACAGAGACAAAGATGGCCATAGGCAAGTTCATTAAGAAGATAAAGCTTGGATGAGGTGATTTGCATTGTCATATTTCTTCTTTCTCATTTCTAGACACGTTAGGGATATCTGAATGTTAATAAGATGTCTTAATTGATTTAGGTTGCTATAACAAAATACCATAGACTAGATGGCTTATAAACAACAGAAACTGACTTTTTACAGTTCTGGAGGCTAAGAAGTCCAAGATCAAGGTGCTGGCAGATTCACTGTCTGTGAGAGCCTGCTTCCTAGGCCAGGGGTCCCCACCTTCCAGACCACGGACTGATACCAGTCTGTGGCCTGTTAGGAACTGGGCTTCACAGCAGGAGGTGATTGGCAGACAAGCAAGCAAAGCAAGCAAAACATCATCTGTATTTATAGCCACCCCCCCATCGCTTGCATTACAGCCTAAGCTCTGCCTCCTGTCAGATTAGCAGCGGCATTAGATTCTCATAGGACTGCAAAGCCCTATTGTGAATTGCATATGTGAGGGAGCTAGGTTGTGCACTCCTTAAGAGAATCTAATTCCTGATGATCTGTTACTGTCTCCCATCACCCCAAATGGGGTTCCCACCGCTGTTACATTATGGTTAGTTGTTAGTTGTATACTTATTTCATTATATATTACAATGTAATAATAATAGAAATAAAGTACACAGTAAAGGTAATGCGCTTGAATCACCTGGAAACCATCCCCCCACCCAGTTCCGTGGAAAAATTGTCATCCACAAAACCAGCCTCTGGTGCCAAAAAGGTTGGGGACTGCTGTCCTAGACCACTGTCTTTTTGCTATAACTTCACGTAGTGGGAAGGGGTAAGGAATCTCTCTAGGGCTTCTTGTATAAGGGCAGTACATAATCCCATTCATGAGGGCTCTATCCTCATGATCTAAGGTATCTTCCAAAGGTCTCACCTCCTAATACCATCACCTTGGGGGTTAGGATTTTCACACATGACTTTTGGGGAGACACAAACATTCAGACTATAGCATAAGAATAACTCTTTAAGTAAAAAAAAAATCCTTTAAAATCCCAAGGAATTAATTGATTTTGCATATTAGATTTAGGATATCAACATGGGAAGGGAGTGAGCAAGTGGCAACGGGCTGGGATGAACTATTTTTAGGTGGTGAAACTTTCTAGCATCCCTCAAATCACACCACATTGGATACTTGCTTCTTTTCTAATCCGTATGATTATCCTGAGCTAGTGATTTTGGTTTCAAAAGGAGGGATGTTCAGAAATGGTTTGGGCAAGTGTGTCTGACTGGCCATGTTTTTTTGAACTTCGGAAACACCCCCTAATTTATAGGAAGTGGAAATAGGGCCATCTCAGCTGATTCCAGTAAAGTAGAATTATGAAGTGAAGAGAACATGAGAACAGATAGACCTGGAGATCAAATCTCCCCTGTGCCACCCAACAAATTGTTGACTTCATTTAGCCATTTTAAGGTTTATTTTTTTCACCTGTAAATTGGAGATAATTGTGAAGTTTCAAATAAATCACATATGTGAAATGCTACCCATAGTAGGAAATTAACATATACCAATTACCTGATGAATAATTCAGGAAATCGTAACATTCTATGATTCTATAATTGTTATGAATCAAATATAAGTATTTATGCAAATTTTTATGTAGAGTTTCTTTCCCCCAAATCAGTAAACTGTAGATAGCATGATTCACAAGAACAGATTAAATCTCACTTTATTCTTTTCACTTTGTACTTCCTTTCAAAGTACAATTTATTACACTATAAAAGTGCATAAATCTCAAGTTTATAGCTTGGCGGGATTTTTTCAAATGTATATGCCCATGTGAGCACCACCCATATCAAAATACAGAACATTTCCTGTCCCACAGATGGCCTCATGGCCTCTCTCAGTCAATACTTTCCTCCAAAAGTAACCACTGATCTAAACTCTATCTCCATCAAATAATTATATCAGATTTTGTATTTCATATGAACAGAAAATACTGTGTATTCTATTTTGTATTTAGCCCAAGTCTATGAGATTAATCCATATTTTTATGTGAGTAATAACATCATTTTAAAGATCAGTCCCGGACTTGTCAAGAAAGAGTTATTTTCAGAAATAAAAACATCTCCTTACCTCCAAAATCTATCCATTTTTTTCTTTAAAATAGTCTAGATAGATTCACTTTTCTTTCTACTCCTTTCTGAGGAATCTTTTTCTGTTTGTCGTATCTGTGATTTACCCCTCTCCATTTGCGCCATTTGAAGGTCCTGCTTGTCTAATTACATAAACCTCAGTCTGACTCCATTTTGTAGTTCAATCAAATAAATAGTGATGCTTTATATTTTATCAGTCAAGCATAAAAAAGCACAGAGAACTGAAATTTTCACTAGTCCCCTGGCAATGGCTTCCTGATATCCCAAAGGGGAAAGTGATTCATTTTTTTCTGCATTGCTGGATTCATCATTCAGTTTGATTTCTTTAGGGAGCAGAGTGCTGAATGCCCCTCAGGGTCAGGTTTTGGAGTATTTTTACTTTAATTACTATAGACAAAGAGGAGGAAGCGAGAAAGTCAAAAATACAGGAATAATGAATGTAACTGCTCCATAATATGGCTAACACAGCTCTTTTATTATATTACAGACCTGGCACAAACCGGACTCTACTTCATTATGTCAATTTTGGGTTATCAGGGCTTGATGTCATTAAACATTCAAATTATGACTAGTTGTTCTTATTTTATTTCCATGCTAAGCAAGAATTTATTGATTATAGATTGGAAACTCATGAGTTTTACCTTGTCAAATATATAGAGATCATTGCAAATTAATTAATTGATACGATTTCATATATCAGCCTTTGTGAACCTCATCAAATTCAGTTAGTATCCTTGGTCAGAACAACTTTGCTAGGCTGAGGGTCTGTCACCAAGACAAGGGTGTACAGTTAACCTTCCCTAGGCAATAACCTTTTGAGGATGCTGTGTTGCACTGTCCAGACTGCTCTATCAGGACTGAAGGATTCATTCAGCCAGCTGTTGGGGAGGTTGTTAGCTGTTACCCATCTCCCGAATTGTCACTGCTAATGATAGTCATCTTGCCCCCAAATCATCCCCTTTCCCAGGTCAGCCTACATCCAGTGACTGGTCAATGTAAGAGAACAGAGGCCTTGTTCTCTTTTCCTAACTGGGGACAACTCTGAAGGACTACTGTCCAGTGCCAGAGCTTCCCACTGGGCCAGCTGAGGCCTTTGTTAAGACTGATTCTCACTCTCTCTTCTTCTGTACAATCATGCTTCTTTCTCCTCCTTTCCTCAGGTGTTGATCTTAAGGACACTTTCTAATAAATGTCTTGCATGCCATATCAGAATCTGTTATGAACTTCGTTTTGTTCCCCCAGATTCATATGTTGATGCCCTAATCCCCAAAGGGATTGCATTTGGAGATAAAACTTTTAGAAGGTAATTAAGGTTAAATGAGTTCATGAGAGTAGGTCCCTGATTCAATATGATTGGTGGCTTTAAAAGAAGAGAAATGGAGAGATCTCTCTCTCCACATGCATATGCACCCGGGAAAAAGCCCTGTGAGGACACAGCCAGAAGACTCTGCAAGTCTGCAAGTCAGGAAGAGAGCCCCCACCAGAACCAGCCAGGCTGGCACCCTTATCTTGGACTTCCAGCCTTTAGTATCATGAGACAATACATTTCTGTCATTTAAGCCCCCTAGTCTGTGGCACTTTGTCATGGCAGCCTGAGCTAATGAATATACCCTCTGTTTGATTTTATATCTTCTTCAAACTTCGAGAGCAATCAAAGATCCAAGCATAGTACTTTCTATTGTCAGAACACTTGTTCTTCTTAGGTAAACTATTTGTGGAACTTAAATATAAATGAAATTCACAAATGATAAGTGTGGATCTCAATACATTTTTTTTTGCAGTTTTAGCAAGGCTAAGTCTTGCTTTTTTGATTATACTTTATTATGCTTTAAGTTCTGGGATACATGTGTAGATTGTGCAGGTTTGTTACATAGGTATGCATGTGCCATGGTGGTTTGCTGCACCTATCAATTCATCATCTACATTAGGCATTTCTCCTAATGCTATCACTCCCCTTACCCCCACCCCCCAGACAGGCCCCAGTGTGTGATGTTCCCCTCCCTGTGCCCATATGTTCTCATTGTTCACCTTCCACTTATGAGTGAGAACATGTGGTGTTTGGTTTTCTGTCCTGGTGTTAGTTTGCTGAGAATGATGGCTTCCAGCTTCATCCATGTCCCTGCAAAGGACATGAACTCATTCATTTTTATGGCTGCATAAAATTCCATGGTGTATATGTGCCACATTTTCTTTATCCAGTTTATCATTGATGGGCATTTGGGTTGGTTTCAAGTCTTTGCTATTATGAATAGTTGCAATAACATACATGTGCATGTGTCTTTATAGTAGAATGATTTACAATCCTTTCGGTATATACCCAGTTATGGGATTGCTGGGTCAAGTGGTATTTCTAGTTCTAGATCCTTAAGGAGTTTCTACACTGTCTTCCACATGGTTGAACTAATTTACACTCCCACCAACCGTGTAAAAGCATTCCTATTTCTGCATATCCTCTCCAGCATCTGTTGTTTCCTGACGTTTTAATGATCGCCATTCTAATTGGCGTGAGATGATATATCGTTATGGTTTTGATTTGCATTTCTCTAATCAACAGTGCTGATGAGCTTTTTTTATATATGTTTGTTGGCCGCATAAATGTCTTCTTTTGAGAAGTGTCTGTTTATATCTTTTGCCCACTTTTTGATGGGGTTGTTTGTTTTTTTCTTGTAAATTTGTTTAAGTTCCTTGTAGAGTCCGGATATTAGCCCTTTGTCAGATGGATAGATGGCAAAAATTTTCTCCCATTCTGTAGGTTGCCTGTTCACTCTGATGGTAGTTTCTTTTGCCGTGAAGCTCTTTATTTTAATTAGATGCCATTTGTCAATTTCGGCTTTTGTTGTCATTGCTCTTGGTGTTTTAGTCATGAAGTCTTTTTCCGTGCCTATTTCCTGAATGGTATTGCCTAGGTTTTCTTCTAGGGTTTTTATGGTTTTAGGTCTTACATTTAAGTCTTTAGTCCATCTTGAGTTAATTTTTGTATAAGGAGTAAGGAAGGGATCTAGTTTCAGTTTTCTGCATATGGCTAGTCAGTTTTCCCAACACCATTTATTTAATAGGGAATACTTTCCCCATTGCAAGTTTTTGTCAGGGTTGTCAAAGATCACATGGTTGCAGATGTGTGATGTTATTTCTGAGGCCTCTATTCTGTTCTATTTGTCTATATATCTGTTTTGGTACCAGTATCATGCTGTTTTGGTTACTGCAGCCTTGTAGTATAGTTTGAAGTCAGGTAGCATGATGCCTCCAGCTTTGTTCTTTGTGTTTAGGATAGTCTTGGCTATACAGGCTCTTTTTTGGTTCCATATGAAATTTAAAGTAGTTTTTTCTAATTCTGTGAAGAAAGTCAATGGTAGCTTGATGGGATTAGCATTGAATCTATACATTACTTTGAGCAGTATGACCATTTTCACAATATCGATTCTTCCTATCCATGAGCATGGAATGTTTTTCCATTTGTTTGTGTCCTCTCTTATTTCCTTAAGCAGTGGTTTGTAGGTCTCCTTGAAGAGGTCCTTCACATCCCTTGTAAGTTGTATTCCTAGGTATTTTATTCTCTTTGTAGCAATTGTGAATGGGAGTTCACTCATGATTTGGCTCTCTGTCTATTATTGGTATATAGGAATTCTTGTGATTTTTGCACATTGATTTTGTATCCTGAGAGTTTGTTGAAGTTGCTTATCAGCTTAAGGAGTTTTTGGGCTGTGATGATGGGGTTTCCTAGATATACAATCATGTCATCTACAAATAGAGACAATTTGACTTCCTCTTTTCCTATTTGAATACTCTTTATTTCTTTCTCTTGCCTGATTGCCCTGGCCAGAATTTCCAATACTATATTGAATAGGAATGCTGAGAGAGGGCATCCTTGTCTTGTGCCAATTTTCAAAGGGAATGCTTCCAGCTTTTGCCCATTCAGTATGATATTGGCTATGGGTTTGTCATAAATAGCTCTTATTATTTTGAGATACGTTCCATCAGTATGTAGTTTATTGAGTGTTTTTGGCATGAAGGGGTGTGGAATTTTATTGAAAACCTTTTCTGCATCTATTGAGATAGTCATATGGTTTTTGTCATTGGTTCTGTTTATGTGATGGATTACATTTATTGATTTGTGTATGTTGAACCAGCCTTGCATTTCAGGGATGCAGCTGACTTGATAATGGTGGATAAGCTTTTTGATGTGCTGCTGGATTTGGTTTGCCATTGAAGATTTTTTCATTTGTTTTTTTGAGACAGAGCTTCGCTCTTGTTGCCCAGACTGGAGTGCAATGGCATGATCTCGGCTCACTGCAACCTCCACCTCCTGGGTTCAGGCAATTCTCCTGCCTCAGCCTCCTGAGTAGCTGGGATTACAGGCATGTACCACTACGCCCAGCTAATTTTGTATTTTTAGTAGACAGGGTTTCTCCATGTTGGTCAGGCTGGCCTCGAACTCTTGACATCAGGTGATCCACCCACCTCGGCCTCCCAAAGTGCTGGGATCCCAGGCACGAGCCACCATGCCCTGTCTTCATTGAGGATTTTTACATTGATGTTCATCAGGGATATTGGCCTGAAATTTTCTTTTTTTGTTGTATTCTGCCAGGTTTTGGTATCAGGATGATGCTGGCCTCATAAAATGAGTTAGGGAGGAGTCCCTCTTTTTCTTTTGTTCGGAATAGTTTCAGAAGGAATGATACCAGCTCCTTTTTGTACCTTTGGTAGAATTTGGCTGTGAATCCGTCTGGTCCTGGGCTTTATTTTGTTGGTAGGCTATTAAATGCTGCCTCAATTTCAGATCTTGTTATTGGTCTATTCAGGGATTTGACTTCTCCCTGGTTTAGTATTCTGAGGGTGTATGCTTCCAGGAATTTATCCATTTCTTCTTGATTCTGTAGTTTATTTGCATAGACATATTTATAGTATTCTCTGATGATAGTTTGTATTTCTGTTGGATCAATGGTGATATCCCCTTTATCATTTTTTATTGTGTCTATTTGAGTCTTCTCTCTTTTCTTCTTTATTAGTCTGGCTAGCAGTCTATCTATTTTATTAATCTTTTCCAAAAGCCAGCTACTGGATTCGTTTATTTTTTTGAACACTTCCTATTTGAAGTTTTTTATTTGTCTATCTCCTTCAGTTCTGCTCTGATCTTGTTATTTCTTGTCTTCTGCTAGCTTTTGAATTTGTTTGCTCTTCCTTCTCTAGTTCTTTTTATCGTGATGTTAGGGTGTCAATTTCAGATCTTTCCTGCTTTCTCCTGTGGGCATTTAGTGCTATAAATTTCCCTCTAAACACTGCTTTAGCAGTGTTTATGATGATCTCTGCTTAGCAGAGATTATGGTACATTGTCCCTTTGTTCTCATTGGTTTCAAAGAACTTATTTATTTCTACCTAAATTTCATTATTTACCCAGCAGTCATTCAGGAGCAGGTTGTTCAGTTTTAATGTTGTTGTGCAGTTTTGAGTGAGTTTCCTAATTCTGAGTTCTAATTTGATTGCACTGTGGTCTGAGACACTGTTTGTTATGATTTGCATTCTTTTGCATTTGTTGAGGAATATTTTACTTCCAATTATGTGGTCAGTTTTAGAATAAGTGCTATGTGGTGCTGAGAAGAATGTATATTTTGTTGATTTGGGGTGGAGAGTTCTGTAGATGCCTATTGGGTCTGCTTGGTCCAGAGCTGAGTTCAAGTCCTGAATATCCTTGTCAATTTTCTGTCTCGTTGATCTGTGTAATATTGACATGGGGTATTAAAGTCTCCCACTATTATTGTGTGGGAGTCTAAGTCTCTTTGTAGGTCTCTAATAACTTGCTTTATGAATCTGGGTGCTCCTGTATTGGATGAACATATATTTAGGAGAGTTAACTCTTCTTATTGCATTGATCCCTTTACAATTATGTAATGCTCTTCTTTGTCTTTTTTGATCTTTGTTGGTTTAAAGTCTGTTTTATCAGAGACTAGGATTGCAATCCCTGCTTTTATTTATTTATTTATTTATTTTGCTTTCCATTTGCTTGGTAAATATTCCTCCATCCCTTTATTTTGAGCCTGTGTACGTCTTTGAACATGAGATGGGTCTCCTGAATACAGCACACCGATGGGTCTTGACTGTTTATTCAATGTGCCAGTCTATGTCTTTTAATTGGGACATTTAGCCCGTTTACATTTAAGGTTAATATTGTTATGTGTGAATTTGATCCTGTCATTATGATGCTAGCTGGTTATTTTGCCCATTAGTTGATGCAGTATCTTCATAGTGTCGATGGTCTTTACATTTTGGCTTGTTTTTGCAGTGGCTGGTACCGGTTTTTCTTTTCCATATTTAGTGCTTCCTTCAAGAGCTCTTGTAAGGCTGGCCTGGTGGTGACAAAATTCCTCAGCATTTGCTTGTCTGTAAAGGATTTTATTTCTCCTTCACTTATGAAGCTTAGTTTGGCTGGATATGAAATTCTGGGTTGAAAATTCTTTTCTTTAAGAATGTTGAATATTGGCCCCCACTGTCTTCTGGCTTGTAGGGTTTTTGCAGAGAGATCCACTGTTAGTCTGATGGGCTTCCCTTTGTGGGTAACCCGACCTTTCTCTCTGGCTGTTGTTAACATTTTTTCCTTGATTTCAACCTTGGTGAATCTGACGATTACGTGTCTTGGGGTTGCTCTTTTCAAGGAATATCTTTGTGGTGTTCTCTGTATTTCCTGAATTTGAATGTTGGCCTGTCTTGCTAGATTGAGGAAGTGCTCCTGGGTAATATTCTCAAGTGTGTTTTCCAACTTGGTTCCATTCTCCCCGTCACTTTCAGGTACACCAATCAAACATAGGTTTGGTTTTTTCACATAGTCCCATATTTGTTGGAGGCTTTGTTTGTTCCTTTACATTCTATTTTCTCTAATCTTGTCTTCATGATTTATTTCATTAAGTTTGTCCTTAATCTCTCATATCATTTCTTCCACTTGATCGATTCGGCTATTGAAACTTGTGTATTCTTCACGAAGTTTTCATGCTGTGTTTTTCAGGTCCATCAGGTCATTTATGTTCTTCTCTGAACTGGTTATTGTAGTTAGCCTCTAACCTTTTATAAAGGTTCTTAGCTTCCTTGCGTTGGGTTAGAACATGCTCCTTTAGCTCGGAGGAGTTTGTTATTATTCACCTTCTGAAGCCCATTTCCGTCAATTTGTCATACTTATTCTCCATCCAGTTTTGTTCCCTTGCTGGTGAGGAGTTGTGACCCTTTGGAGGAGACGAGGTGTTCTGGTTTTTGGAATTTTCAGCCTTTTTGTGCTGGTTTTTCCTCATCTTTGTGGATTTATCTACCTTTGGTCTTTGATGTTGGTTTTTGATGGATGGGGTTTTTGCATGGATGTTCTTTTCATTGATGTTGATGCTATTGCTTTCTGTTTGTTAGTTTTCCTTCTAACAGTCAGGCCCCTCTGCTGCCAGTCTGCTGGAGTTTACTAGAGGTCCATTGCAGACCCTATTTGCCTGGGTTTCACCAGTGGAGGCTTCAGAACAGCAAAAATTGCTGCCTGCTCCTTCCTCTGGAAGCTTTGTCCCAGAGGGACATCCACCAGATGCCAGCCAGAGCTCTCCTGGATGACCTGTCTGTCAGCCCCTGCTGGGAGGTGTCTCCCAGACAGGAAGCACAGGGGTCAGGGGCCCACTTGAGGAGGCAGTCTGTCCCTTAGCAGAGCTTGAGCACTATACTGGGAGATCTGCTGCTCTCTTCAGAGCCAGCAGACAGGAATGTTTAAGTCGCTGGAACTGGGCCCACAGGTGCCTCGTTCCCCAGGTGCTCTGTCCCAGGGAGATGGGAGTTTTATCTATAAGCCCCTGACTGGGGCTGCTGCCTTTCTTTCAGAGATGCCCTGCCCAGAGAGGAGGAATCTAGAGAGGCAGTCTGGCTACAGTGGCTTTGCATCACTATGGTGGGTTCTGCACCCTGTTCACACTTCTCCAAGGCTTTGTTTACACTGTGAGGGGAAAACCGCCTACTCAACCCTCAGCAATGGCAGACACCCCTCCCCACAACAAGCTCAAGCATCCTAGGTCAACTTCAGACTGCTGTGCTGGCAATGAGAATTTCAAGCCAGTGGATCTTAGCTTGTTGGGCTCTGTGGGTGTGGGATCTGCTAAACAAGACCATTTGGCTCTCTGGCTTTAGCCCCCTTTCCAGGGGAGTGAACTGTTCTGTCTTGCTGGTGTTCCAGGTGCCACTGCGGTACAAAAAAAAAAAAAAAACTCCTTCAGCTAGCTCAGCTCAGTGTCTGCCTAAAGGCAGCCTAGTTTTGTGCTTGAAACCCAGGGCCCTGGTGGTATAGGCACCTGAAGGAATCTCCTGGTCTGGGGGAAAACCATGGGATAGTATCTGAGCCGGATAGCACCGTCCATCCTGGCACAGTCCCTCACAGCTTCCCTTGGCTAGGGGAAGGAGTTTCCTGACCCGTCACACTTCCTGGGTGAGGCGACACCCCACCCTGCTTCTGCTCTCCCTCTGTGGGCTGCACCCACTTTCTATCCAGTCCCAATGAGACGATCCAGGTACCTCATTTGGAAATGCAGGAATCACCCGCCTTCTACCTTGGTCTCGCTGGGAGCTGCAGACTGGAGCCTTTCCTATTGGGCCATCTTGCCAGCATACCCTGAATACATTTTTATAAAAGGAGTACAACTATACAACCAGCACACAGACCAATAAATACAGTCTTCTTTTATGTGTGATCTCGGTAATTTTTGTTCTTTTTGTTTTTATTTTTCTATATGAGGGCTCATCTTTTTGAAGAATGAAATTTGACTTTGCCAATTTCCCCTATTGTCTGTTTTCTATTTAATTAATTCTGCTTTTAAGTATTTTCTTGCTTCTACTTACTTTATGTTTACTTTGCTCTTCTTTTTTCTAGCTTCTTAAGGTGGAAATTCACATAATTGTTTTCAGATTTTTCTTCATTTCTAATATGAACATTTACTGTTATAAAGTTTCCTCTAAGTCAAGCTCCTCCAAACTGTGGCCCACAGGCCACATGCAGCCCAGGATGGCTTTTAATGTGATCCCACACAAATTCATATACTTTCTTAAAACATTATGAAACTGTTTTGTGCTTTTTGTTTTGTTTTGTTTTTTAGCTCATCAGCTATCATTAGTGTTAGTGTATTTTATGTGTGGCCCAAGACAATTCTTCTTCTTCCAGTGAGGCCCAGGGAAGCCAAAAGATTGGACACCTCTGTTCTAAGCAGTACTTTAAATGAATTCTCAATATTTGATATGTGGAATTTCAAAATATTCAATTTGAAATATTTTACATTTCTCTTGTGATTTTTTTTAACTCAAGGATTCTTTAGAAACATGGTTTAATTTTCAAATATTTTGTGTTTTTCTAGACTTTTTTTGGTTATACATATCTACATTTTTTCTTATTGTCAGAGAACACAATCATTATGGTTCTAGTTCTTTGAGATGTATTGAGCTTTTTGTAGTGGTCTGAAAGATGGTTTTGGTGAATGTACCATATGTTTATAAAGAATGTACGCCTTCCACAATTTTGGGGTGTAGTCTTCTGTCAATGCTAGTTAGAACCAAGTGGTTAGTAATGTGCAGATCTTCTACATTTTTCTTTATTTTTTTCTAATTCTATTAATTTCTGAGAGACGTTATTAAAAATCTTCAATTATGATGATAGAATTGTCCACTTCTCACTTTAATTCTGTCAATTTTTACTTCTTGGATTTTGGAACTATTCATCAGGGATATACATATTTATATTTCTTATGTCTTTCTAATGAACTGACCCATTTTTTTATCATTTTTCTTTGTCATGAAGTTTCATTTATCTGATATTAGTATAGTCACTTAAACCTTCTTAAGCTTACTGTTGTCATGGTAAATATGTTTCTATCCATTTACTTTCTATCTATCTTGTAGAGGGCACATAGCTGGATCATGCTTTTAAAAAGTATTAAACATTTTTTTCCTTTAAATTGACATGCTTATTTTATCAATATTTAAACCTGCACATGTACATCTGAACTTAAAAGTTAAAAAAAAATTTTTGACAAGAGAAAATTTAACTCTACCATTTTACTTTTTAATTTTTGTTTATCTCCTAACTAGTTTTTTTGTTTCCATTTCTCCTTGTGTAGTTTCATTTGGATTATCGAACATTTTTATAATTATATTTTAATTTAATTAATCATTTTTGAGCTATAACTGTGAGGATTTTGTTGGTTGTTCTAGGGATTAAAATAAGTGTCTTGTCACAGTCAATTTAGGGTTGATATTGCACTAGTTTATGTAAAATATTAAAATCTAGCAACCATTTATGTCCATTTACCCCTTTCTCACCATTTATGTTATAGTTTTTGTATGTATCACATTAAACTGTGTTTAAAAAAAACCCGATAGATAGATAGATAGATAGATGGCTTTAAACTATCATAATTAAAGCTATTAAGAAGGGAATTATTTAGTGCTCTTCATTCTTTTCTGAAAATTTATATTTTTATTTGGTATCATTTCATCTAGCCTAAATCAATGCTTCTTTTAGGATTTACTGTAATGCAGGTCTGCTGGAATATAATCTCTTGATTTTCTTTCATCTGGACCTATCTATATTTTACACTCATTCTTGAAGGATGTTTTTGCTGAATATAGGAGTCTGGATTGACAGTTTATATTTTCTTTTAGCTCTTGAACGTGTTATTTTACTCTCTTTTGACCTTAATTGTTTCTGATGGAAAGGCAGCAATATTTTGATTTGTTCCCTCTATGTAATGCCACTTTTCTCTGGCTGCTTTTGAGTTTATCTTTCAAAATTAACAGCTTGGCCAAGATATATCTTGGTGTGGTTTTCTTTCTATTTATCTTGTTAGAACCTTGCTAAACTTCTTGAATTCATAAATTTATATGTTCCACCAACTTTGGAACATTTTTAGCCATTACTTTTGTTTTGTTTTGTTTTGTTTTTTTTGTTTTCTTTGAGATGGAGTTTCGCTCTTGTTGCCCAGGCTGGAGTGCAATGGTGCGATCTTGGCTCCCTGCAACCTCTGCCTCCCGGGTTCAAGTGATTCTCCTGCCTCAGCCTCCTGAGCAGGGGGGATTATGGGTGTCCGCCACCATGCCCAGCTAATTTTTCGTATTTTTAGTAGAGACGGGGTTTCACCATGTTGGCCAGGCTGGTTGCAAACTCCTGACCTCAGGTGATCCACCAGCTTCGGACTCCCAAGGTGCTGGGATTACAATCATGAGCTACCGTGCCCGGCCTGGCCATTACTTCTTTAATTATATTTTGTATGCTTCATTCTTTCTCTCCTCTCCTCTGGGACTCCAACTATAAGAAACTACATATTTGGTTCATAGTCCTGAAATGTAATTTTAAAAATATGTTTCTTTACTATAACATTATTAAACTTGTTGAAATATGAGTCTGTGTGCAATTCAGTGTTTATTTTCTTTCCATAATGTTCTCAATATTGCAAACTGGGTGACTATAATGTCTGTTTTTATGCAGATTTTTAATTCCTGTCTTTCTCACAGACAATTATCTTTCCTTTGGACATTTTCCATGTGATTATAAGGTTTTGAGTTCTCTTGGGAATCTTCATGTGTGGGCAGATGTATTACCAAAAGCCATTAGTGGGAGATAAAACAGGTGTGATCTAAAACCTGGATTTAGATGACACTTTTGTTGTTTAAGTCATTCATTCAACCAGGTGAGAGCTTCTTAGACCAGAGGCAATTCTGTTATCTCTTTTTTAGGGAGTTGGAGTGTTGATATTTCATCTCCTTTTCATAAGATAATGTTGTCTTGTTTTAATGTAACATTTCCATTTTTGGCCAAGGATAAATATATCAGCATCATATGTTGATTGCAGTAGCATTAGGTATATGATAGTATTATTTTTTAAAGTAACCACACAGAACAAGACAGGATATTGGAACTATAAGGCATTGCTCTGTTATCCTACTGCTTCAGTATCAAACCATATAGACAAATAGGGACCTAACTCAGCTAACTGACTTTTTAAGAAAGGAATTCCACTCATTAGGCTTCTTTAGGATGTTTTTCTCAGGTTTACAGCTTATCATCAGCTGGTTATTTTATTACATAAAAACTAAATCTATTGTGCTCCAAAGAAGACAAATGTTACCTTCTGATGATATAAGGAAAGATATATAGATTTGTAATTTAATTATAGGTTTCATTTTTAAATAGGCATTAATATAGGAAAAATTAATACTGCTACAAAACAGCAAGAAAAAAAATCCATATTGTAAAGTATTAATAGCTTGGGATTTCAGAGTAATCACAGTGCCATAGGTATGCACTGTAATTTGGGAATAAAGCTTTGCTTCCATAGTCGACCAGATTATCACTTCCTATTTTGACCACAACCCTTCCTGAGACAAAAGCAGAGATCGACCACAGAGGGAGGAGAGGAGGAATACAGTTAAGGATTATATCCCCATGGCATCAGCACTGTGATAAAGGAGGAATTAGGAGAGGAAGGGATGGAGAAAATAGTTGGGATTGTATTGCTGACCTATTTCTGGTTCTTATTTAATATCTGGGGATGAGATAGGTTTAATCTGGCCAGCTAAGAAACAGGCAGTAGCATACTATTTTGATATATCATACCTTTGGGGCCATTTTTTAAATCAAGTAATTTACATTTAATGTTTCTTAATTATTACATGTTATTGATTACTTTCTTTATATATGAATATTAGAATGGTAAGTATGCTTTAAATTACTGGTTATAACTCTACCCAAGTTTACATAAAATCCATCCTAAGCACACTTTGATTCATTTTTTCAATGACGATTTTGTATTTTCTATTATTTCAACACTTATGTTGATAATTTGAGAGTTAACTGTGCTATTTTTTGCTCTGTCGATCCTTCCTAAAATGCAGAGAATAGCAAATTAACCATCACTTGGCAGCATCCTTAGCCTCTACTCCATAGATGCTAGTTAAATCCACCCATGGTTGTGACAATTAAAAATGTTTCCAGACATTGCCAGATGTCCTCTGGGGGAAAAAATTGTCCCCAACTGAGGACCACCAATCTAACTGCTCAGCTAATGTCAGAGAGAAAACACTTTGAGTTATAATCATATGCTAAGCTAAAGCAAGTATTTTATAATTCAAAAGTAAGCAATGATATCATTATTTTGAATAAAAGAACATACAATTTTTTAAAATTTCTGAAGTGTTTTAAATAGTAACCATTTCAATAAGCCATTTTATTAGGCTCCTGGTGAAGTAAATAATATACCATTTAAAGTACACAGAGTAAAATAATCTTTCACCTGACTGTATCCACAGGTATCTATTTCAGTTTGGCAAGCATTCTTGATATTCGTCCAAAATGTTTGGATGATTCACTTAGGAATTTAGCCATTTAATGCAATCCAATCCTGTCCTATTAAGGCCAAGAACTATTGCCACGAGAACATTGCCAATCTGGTAACGTTCCAAAAGCCTTTTCTATTTCTAAGGAAATTGTACAAACTTTTAAGAGAATAACAAGTTGCACTTTGTTATCAAATGAAAAGGGCTTTATAATACAGAATCAAAACCATAGAAGAGACATGTATAACTCACAATGTCATCAGCAAAAGGGAGTGTAAATAATGAGCAGGGGAGAAAGAAACTATATACCACCAGTATTTGTTAATATTTAAAGAAGCCTAAATTCTGTCATCATTACCTAACTGCATCAGTATCATTTAAATAAAATTGCTCATACATAATCGGGGGTAGAAGTTTGTCTCTGGAAGCTCTAATTTTCCTTTTTTGACTGATTTTTCCAGCTGTATAGAATTTTCAGTGGCATCCCATGGTCTTAAGCAATCTACCGTGACCAATGAGTCAAAAAGATCTATTCAGATTCCTATCTAATCCTACTATTGGCATCAAAGAGGCAGTGCCTCATAAGAGGTGTAAAGTATTACCTCCTACTGAGATATTTGTGTTAAGCCAAACCCAAAGGGTGAAGAAGGAATTGGGGATCGGAAGGTCTTCCTGAAAATCAGATCATCTTAGGTTTGAGGGGGAATTTTTAAGACAGACAAGCATCAGCATGAAAGAAGATGTCCAGGAGAACAAATGGAAGGTTTAAAATTTGTGTAGAATGGAGGAAGATAGGCAGATACTGTCTCATTAGCACTCATGTACATTTGAGGCCGCTTCCACACATAGAAACACTTGTATTAAGGCAGACCTTAAAGCAGCCACTACAATTAGGAGGTACCTGAACATTAAAGAAAGGGAAAAGTAAACATAAAAGAAATTATTGGAGGATTTTGCAAACTGGATCTATGGAAGAAAAGTCTTTAGCAAACAAGGTCAAAATATGGCATATTATTAAATTTTCCAGACATATCAGGGAATGCGGGTTTCTTAGGTGCTAATAACTCAGACACTTGCTTTGTTGCCTTTCAGTCAAAAATACCTGTACCATAGGTATACATACTAATAATGCTAACATGTGTTGAGGTCTTAATATGTACCAAAAGTATTTAATCCTTGCAACAGTACTCTGAGGCAGATACTTTTATCATCTGTACTTTACAGATGAGGAAGTTCACACTTAGAAAGGTTAAGTAACTTGCCCAAGGTCATACAACAAGGATTCACACCTAAGCCAGACAGATCCAATGCTTAAGCATTTGTCTACCCTTAAATGATAGTTCTCTGGCAGAGGCAAGTTCTTCTGCAAAGGGAGAGACTGAGTGAGGAACCAAATCAACTGGATTTCCCTGCATGGACCCACTTTCTTACTCAGCCCAACACACCCTGGTCCCCAGATGGACTTCTCACGAGATTCGCCTTAAAGATTTGGAAACCAGGGAAGTTGATGATCCCTGAAATGATGCCAGCTGTCTTATCGAAGCCAGAGTATGGTAGGAGTTGCTTTGGGAGGACTGGGTGTAACTCAGAGAGACCTTGCAACTGCAGTGTGCCTGGTACAATTCTGGAACCTCATGAATGGTAGGGATTCCTTAGCAAATCTCAGTATCATGTGGGCAAAACCAGCCTATTCAACAGCGACCCTGAACCACAGTGGAAACAGTTCTAGGCTGCTGGTCAGGGAGGGTGAAGAATTTGAAACTTGGCCCTTTATTCTCTCCTTGTGGTTTATAACAGCCAATTTGTTTTATTTCTCTGGGATCCTTCATGGCATATGAGTGATAGGATACAAATATAATATCTAAAAATCTCTAAGAAATCTTGGATTCTGTGATGTCTCAAGTAGGATGAAAAGTTACTTAGAGAAAGCTATTATGATAAGTGGATATTCATGGTTCACTGTCAGTGAAAGTTGTCTGTAAAATGTTGTTTTTGCAAGTAAAGAGAACATACTGGATTCCCTTCCCCACCTCCATGCCATTATATGCTGCATAAGGAGCTGTGTGGATCTTAAGGTTAAGAGTTCTCTTAATAAGTTGTGTGCCCTGACAACATGGCATGGATTAAGTTGCCTTTCTGTTTTGTGTTTCTTTTTCCCCCTATGTAGGTGGCAGTGTCACACAGTGGTGAGAACCTGGCATTTGTAGCTAGGGCGAAACAGCTTCTCGTTCTTGATTCTGTCACTTATTAATTGTGTGACATTGGAGAAGTTCACATGGTGGGAGACAGTCTCTATATGCTAATAACTGTACCTTTAAAACTAGAAAATTAATAACTGCTACCTGAGAATGTTAGTTAAGCAATTATATTGCGCATTACAGTAGTTCGGATTTGTAGTTGAAAATTGAAGAAGCTGAGCTCAAACTGGCTTAAGTAAAAAAGGGATTTTATTGGTTCTTGTAAATAAGTTCAAGACCAATCTCACTTCAAGCATAGATAAATCCAGGTGCTCAAAGGATTTTTATCAGAATCTTTCTCCTCCTAGCTTCAGTTCTGCAGTTTTACTCTTGATATTGGCTTAGTTCTCAGAGAAGCTCTTCTTATGAGGATGTAAGGGTGGTCACCAGCACCTCCAGGCTTAGTCAACCCAGCAGAAAGAGGGAGGCTTTTTGCCCAGCTAGCCAAACTCTCAGATTGGCGAAGTGTCATTTCCTTTCCTGAACCAATCACTGTAATTGGAAAGATAGGACTGGCCAGGCATGCCAGGATACTCTTAGAAAATGGCTAGGTGTGCCAGGGGTCTTTTAGAAAGTTTGGCTTATATGCACTCCAAAGAGGACCTTTGGACTTTTGTAATGCGGCAATTTTTCTTGGGCAAAAAATTAAAGGACTTTTGTTGGAAAATGCTTTGAGCTATTTCAGAGTTCTACCCTACTTTATCAAAGAATCACTTCATTAATTAAAGCCAGGGAAAAAACATACTTAGACTCTTGGTCAAAGATGCTTAAAATATTAAGCTTTGATCCTGTACCTCCCAGGATCCCAGAGTGGAGTCTACCATATTAAAAGCACATTAATTGAGGGTGTGGGAAAGATGAATACACCGAAGGAATGCCCTGGTGCAGTTATGAGAAGGGGGAAATGAATGCTGGACACGGAAAAACAATGTATACTCAATGTATACTCATCAAGTATAACACATTTTATATCTACACAATGTTCAATGAATATTTTTTGAGTACAGCAGATAAGGCACTCTCCTAGGTACTGGGGATATATTAAGAGAGAATTATCAAGAAGCTTACCATTGAATGGAGGAAAGAATGAATAAAGAAATGTATCAGAAGTATCAGAAAAGAAGGTGGTTTGACTTAATAGGGGAAGAAAAGTTGCTATGGGAACTACAGGCTGGGCAACAACATCAGTCCTGAGGCAGGAGGCAGGAATGACTTCCCAGAAGGAGGAGGTGATATTGAAGCTGAGATTCCAGAGGAACAGAAGGAGTTAGTCTGATAAAAGGAACTTCTCTAAATCTATGTGAGCTTGAAGTTTATCATCTTGTAAAACACTAGCAAAGATTAGATATCTTCAGTTCAGCTTTGAGGGTTGTTAAATTCAGAAGCTATAAAGAGAGCAGCTGGCTTTGAAGCAAGTTGTTGAAATTTCTGGAAACTACTCCCAGCAGAGTAGGAGAGTATCCTGAATATGAGTATTTATTTTGGGGATGCTATGGGAAGAATATTTTTAAGAAGAAGACCACCACTGTAACTTAATACCACAAAATAAAACTTAGTTTGGATGTCAAGCAAAATGAAGTTTTAAAATAAGTAAGCAACGTAAGGTTTGTTTTCAAAGAAGAGGGAAGAAAAGGGAGACTTCCTAGAACAATGGGTTTAGTCAAGGCTCGCAAGTATTTGGAACAGAGGAAATTTAGGCAGTGCTGGGGTTGGAGCGTGACTATGGGAAAGTCTTGAGCAGACGGAAAGTCAGGGAAGGAGCAGTAAATGGCAGGGTTCATCTGCGTTTCTGTGGCCTTTGTGAATGTAAGTATTTGACTGAGAGTACTTAAGGTATTTACTACTGCATCCCATGAGTCAGAAAAATCTGTTTCCAACATTCTATTACAAGTTATAGGATCTGACCAACCCCAAGTAACTTACACAAGAACATTGAATTTGTGAGAAGGATGCTGAATAGTTTATAGTTTGAGGGAGGCATTGGAAAACCAGTCCTCAATAAAAAAGGATACAGGGTGGTTCTAGAAATAATTAGTTATCAAAGTGTTATCCCTAAACCAGAAACATCAATATCACTTTGGAACATGTTAGAATTGGAAATTCTCATCCCCACATCAAACTTATTAAGCCACAAATCTTGGAGTGGGGTCCATCAGTGATGTTATAACAAGCCCTCAGGTGATTCTGATGTAAACTTGAGTTGGAAAATCACGCCTGAAATTTTAGGACCAGAACACCTTCAGCTATTTCTCTACTGCATACTGTCCTTGAATGACTCAGCTCTAAAAACACTTATGTCTCTTGATGTAGCCATCCAAAAATGAACTCCTAGAAAGTAGAATGTGAATGGACACCTCTGGTTGTGTGCCCATTTCTGTGTCTGGTGGTGGAACTTGGTGACATGCTTGACAGCCACCAGAACATGGAATGAGAAAAGGAAGTTCCCTGTGAAAAAAGTGGGGAGAGGGGTTATAAACAAGGAACAGAATTCTGACCAATCAGCAGACATATCAGATGGAGATTTTTGAAGGGTAAGGTGGAATTAGTCTCTTGTCAAAGGGATTCTGGACCCCATTACAGGATGAGTTACAGAATCAAAAAATCCACAGAGAAAATTAATTTAGTGTTTGTTTTTTTCTCACTGTAAAAATTCCATATGCTTAAAATGCTTAATTCAACATTGCCTGATTTCAATATTTTAAATGATGTCAACAAGTAATGTTTTCTAAGCATTTTTTTCCATTGAAAAAAGAAAATGGCATAAAGAGCCACTGCCCATATACTGATGAACTTCCGAGATGTATTTCTCATCACCAGAGGTTTTCTTGTACTCAGAAGTAAACGTAATAGAACACTAGAATATTAGAGCTAGAAATCATCTAGTCCAGCTGTTCCATTTTAGAGATGAGAATGTTGATGCCTAGGAAGTTTGACAGACTTGCTCAAAATCACATCCCTGATTTCAGTCTTTATGGGGTGGTATGATAATTCATTTGGAAATGAATCCAATGTCTATTTTCTTATACGTGGCCAACTAAGAGAAAACTAATCATCTGTTGGCAATGTCTCAGGCATTTCTTTCTTGTTTTGGACAATCTCACTCTCACCCGTGCTCTTTTCACTCCCTTCATTCTCCTTCATTTATCCAGTCACCAGACAGCCTGCTGGCCAACCAACCAACCAGCCAGCCAGCATTTAGCCTGCCTATTTAATTCTTCTTAAAATAGCTAGTTATATAAAGATGAACAAGACATAGACCTTGTTCTCTGGCTCAGATCCAGACTAGAGCCCAAGCCTTCTGACTCCTAGTTTAGAGACTCCACTTGTTAGGCATTAAAGTGACTAATAGAATACTGGCTGTGGAGATATTATGGGAACACAGGCCAGAAGCTTGACTTTGCCTTGAACTGCCCTTCTCCCTCTTGCAGTTTCTGTATTCATTTCCCTGGTGTGATGAGTTAGAGTTTTCTATACTTTGAGTTACTGGAAGGAATCTTTTTGTGAAGATAGTGCCAAAAAGGAATCAAGTAAAACTACTTAGGAAAATTCTATAGTCCTAACTGAGAAAGAAAAACTTCATAGTATTTGGTGGCAGGGATGAAAGTTATCTCCTCTAGAGATAGTGTTTAGTGTCTTCTGTAATAACAAATTCCCTATTTTGATCTTTGCAAGTGTCCTACATCTGGAAATCCAACCCTGAATGCCTCTATAAATTGTGAGAGATAGGAAGCATTACAAAATGGGGAGTTCTGTGTGGAAGCAATGATATTGCTTTTCATTATGGCAAATGAGATAGACCTAGTTCTAGTCCCTAGAATCTTAGATCTTTAGTTTCTCTACCTCTACTCTTAAGCTTTTCATCTTGATCTCCTCTGCCAAATGTACAACCTGTGAAAGTGGCTCCTACACTATAGAGGGGAAAAGAAGGATAACCGAACAGGACTAGTGTCCATTCCTTGAAAATACTAAAGTCATGGAGACTCACCTCGGGGATTTTTCATGTGCTGCCTACTCTTCAGGGCAGGTTCCTGAGTCTTCATAAGGCTGCCTCATCCTTAACTCAAAAGTCACCTACCTCAAGAAGCTTCTGTGATGACTGTTCTCCAAGTGGCCATCAAGTTACTGGGATAGACTGACTTCAAAAATGCCAAAAATTTTCCATCCCTTTATGTACCCACACGTTTTGCCTCTCATCAAGAGGTAGAATCTACTTTCCTACCGCTTGAATCTGGGCTGTTCTTGTAGATTTGATCTGGCCAATAGAATGAAACTGAAGCAACATGAGCGCAAGTGCGACCTGCTGGAGGATGACAGCCCATGTGTAGGAGAGCTCAATTGTCTCAGCCATTGTCAGTACTGATCCCCACACGTCAAGCAGACTCATGCCAAGATCAGTAGAACCATTGACCCAATATACTACCGTCCACTGACAAGTGATTAAGCCTGGCTGAGCCCAGAAGAACCTTTCATTTAGCTGATCTGTAGCAATAGTAAATTCTTACTGATTTAAGTCACTGAATTTTGGGGTAATTTGCTACATAGTATTAGCTAACCTATATGTAATCACTTCTTCATAGTTTTTATTACTATCTAAAGTTATGTTTCTCATTAAATTCAAGCTATATAAATTTCAAGCAAAAAAAGTAACATGCACAAAGTCCTATATATAAAAAGTTAGAGTTTACTATATGTATATGTGACATCTGTGGACTGATCAAGCTGTTTGTTAGCTTAGAAAAAAAATACATTGTTTTAGGAATACTGCATCATTTTGATGTTATTACTTTTGGTAGTATATAAATATAACATTTTGTTCCTAGAGATACTTAAGAAATAAATGGTGCAAACTAAAAAGTCATAAATGCAAACTATTTATATGAACCAACAACTTACATTTACAGAGTCAATTAACAAGTATATACTGTGGCAGTTTCCTGACTTCATCCATTGGCAGAGCGTGCAACTCACGGATGGGCCTCAGGGCTGCTGTGTTTTTCTGTAGGACGTCATGCTTTTGGAAGACACTGTCACAGGGTGAGGCTTTCAGGGCCCCTCCATCCTGGTCAAAGCTGAAACCTCAGGCCCTCTCTGGTTCAGTTAAATGAAGCTCATCTCCTCTTCAGAGATGTGAACCAGAAGGATCAGGGCCTTCAACTGGGTCAAATCTTAGGAGTAGGAATGTTGAGGAAAGGTAATAATCCTCAGGCATACTCAAGGAAAAATTTGTGGTAACCCAATGGGGGACTGAGTTTATGTGGGGGTATTTTAGGGATAGAAACATAGCAAGCTATGAAGACTTAACCTTTTTTTTATACAGATGTATGATTAATACACTAAAGGGCAAACCCTTGAAAATGTAGTTGTTAGTAAAAAGAACAACAAGCAAGGAACTGAGCTACTATGGGCCAGGCGGAATACTGTGGGAGGTTGACTTTTGAGATCTCATTTAGTCTTCACAAACACTTTTTAATGTATGCCAATATAACTATACATCTTACATGGCAATAAACTGAGTCTCAGAAAGTATGTTCAACCAAGGTTGTACAATACTGACAAGGTCAAGCTGATAATTCCTTCCTCCTCATCTTAGATTGTTACTGCAGAATTGCAACACACTTTTATACAGTTCTCCGTAAATTCCCAAACTCTGTTGACATCATCCTTCATTTCATGGATGGTTTCTGAAAGAAACACCCATTGGCAATACCAAAGGTGTTTCCCTTTTATAATGGCTACTTACCATGTGGGTAATAGAATCTATACTAATTTTGAATTAGAACCAGTGTCTAGCAGTCCATAATATGAAATATCAGGTGATAGGAGAATTACTCTCAGAAAATAGCAACTTCAAAGTTGTTGGCCACTAAAAAAGCTTTCTTCTTAAGCAAAAGTAATGCCCTCGTTGACTTTTATATGATTCTCACATCCAAATAAATCTGACTTTGCTCTACAGTTCTTATTTAAAGCCAGTTTATCCATTTAAAAACACCGCCATTTATTTGTTTGCCTAGGAGGAAATAGAAAGTAAAGGCAAATATCAATTTTTTTGCCATATGGTTATTTTAAATAAATATTTGGATAGAAGAATGAGTAGCATTTGAATCCATTTCTAACTTTCCTCTAACTGCTTTCCTCTCCACGAGAGGAGAATTAAACTTCACTTGCTCATATTTACCTTCCAGCCCTGGTGATTTCCTGGATTATTTGCTGTTGGTGGCTTTGACGGCATAGTGTGCAGCCCCAGGAGGCCTTCTTCCAGAAAACAGAATTAGTATTAAAATCAGTTGTGCATGAGTTTTGTATCTTTCTTTTACAATAAGTCATTAGTAAAGAGTTTTTCTTTGAGTAATTAGTTATCATTTTGGTTTCTTCTCTATTGGTGATCACTGACTCTTTTCCAGTGGACAAACATAGCCAAGAGAAACATTTTCACTCAAATAGGAAAAAAAAATAATGTGTCCACATATATCAGCTTCAAGAATGCCCCTTTCATGTCAATGGAATGTAGGTTAGAACAGCTAAAAGTAGATTGACTCTAACTTTTGCTTTAATCCTGACAAAATAGGCCAAATTTAAAACATTTCGAACAACTAATTTGGGAAATATAGGGAGAAATTACCCTACCTGTTTTTGTGATACCAGGTTAAATGCCGCATTGTTGCAAACAAGGTTTACAGGGGAAATAAATATGAACAAGTTTGTCTTGTATGCCTCAATGAAACTGAAAACATTGGTAACTGGGAGCCAGGCAAACAGAGCAATTGGAACTGTGGAAACATTACTGTTCCCAAACAAACTCCCTGCAATTACCAGCCCAGAGAACACCCACGGAGCTCTCAAACTGGGTACCAAAGAAGGTGAGGCTGCTAACTTCCAAGCAAGCAACAATAGGAAATGGAAAACCCAGCTAGGCTAAGCTTGCCCTTCTCAGCTGGCACCAGAATAACATTGCCTGAAGAAAACAACATGAAACCTGGCACATGGAGAGCCCCAAATAAAAGCTGTATTTTAGCAAATCCTGAGGAAAAGACATAGTCTTTATTTCTTAGAGAAAATACCATGTTTGCAATGTTACTAATGGTATGTATTATGTCAAAACAGTCTCCTGCTAACCAGTGCAGAATTCAGTGCTGTATCCACACGTCGTTAAGATGTTCTTTAAAACACTGAGATTTCCTGGTAGGCTAATACTTATGGCTGGCTGTGGATTTACATGTGGGCTCTGCTAGTTGAGGCCATTTCAAGATGCTGTTGATTTCTGGAGTCCTAGGGCAGCACTTCCTATGCTTTAATACAATCAGCTGGGGATTTGTTAAAATGCAGACTCCGACTCAACCGGCCTGGGGAGGGGCCTGAGATCCTGCATTTCTAACCAGCTCTCAGGTGACATTGATGCAGCTGCCCCGTAAATCACATTTTGAATTGCAGTGTCCTAGAAAACATTATACCGACATAATGAGAAATGGAGAGGGTAGTTTTGGAACCAATTAGAGTACATACTCAGGATGTGGTAGGATAAGATGGTGAACTTTAATTAGCATTTGGACATGCCTTTTGCAGTATAAGGAAAGATTACACTAACTTTGGGAAGACTTTTTGTTTTTTTTTCATGGAGCACAGAGCAGAATTTAGAAATATACTAGTATCTTTGTGTCAGAAAAGAGCTCAGATATCAACCAAAGGGTAAGGGCTTCCTGTCTAGTGCTGTTTCCACAGTTCCCAAAGGGTCTCCTCTTTTTATGTTCTGGATCAGTGCCCTGAATTTCCTCCTATAGTGCTGTATTCATTTCCTGTGGCTGCTGCATCAAATTATGACAAACTTGATGCCTTAGAACAAGATAAATGTATCCTCTTGCAGTTCCAGAATTCCAGCACCAAATTACTCTGCTGAATTCAGTGTGTCTACAGGCCTGTACTCTCTCCAGAGACTCTAGAGGAGGATCTATTCTTTGCCTCTTCCAGCCTGTGTGACTCGGGCATTCCCTGGCTTATGGCAACGTCTCTCCATCCTTCAAGGATGGAATCTTTAAATCTCTCTCTGTACCATCTTGAGATTGACTTCTTTGTGAATGTCTGTGCGGAATCTCACAGGATCTCAGTCTTTCTCTTATAAGGAGACTTATGATTGCAATTAGGGAACACCTAGATAATCTAGGATGATCTCCCCACCTCAAGACTCTTAATCACATCTACAAAGATCCTTTTTTCCAAACAAGGTAATAATTATAAGTTCTAGGAATTGGGATCTGATACTTTGGGAGACTTTATTCAACCTACTACACACAGCCAACTACTGTGGGATGTATAAATTGTACTCAGACTTACCAGCATGGCAGGTTAGAATTAGAACAAGCAGTCCCCGGACAATTGTCAGCTGTCCGCTGAAGTACTAAGATAGCCATTCATGTAGCTCTGGGTATCGGTGTAGATAAATGTCTCAGATGCACATGAAGCCATGCTCCATTGATAAGCCATTTATAGATGACATCATCTGCAATAGAATTTAGGTTGCTGGGCAAGATGTCTGCCCTGCATAGTTTGCCTCTTGGGTCTCTGCTAACTAGCAGTGCCTTGTGTTTCAAGCCAAAAGCTATTCTGTAGTACAAGAAAAGCCTTTAAAAAAATCTTTGTGAATATTTATTTTGAAATAATTATAGATTCGTAGGATGTTGCAAAGAAATGTACACAGGACTCCCCTGCACCCTTCACCCAGCCTCCCCCAGTGTTAACATCTTGCATCACTGTACTACAATACAAAAACCAGGACACTGACTTTGATGTAATCCTCAGAGCTTATTCAGAAGACTCATATTTTTAACTGACTAAATAATAACAAAAGATTTTTAATATTTATTTTAGAAACATATGCACCAGAGGCCATTATTACGGCCTATTTCAGCACAAAGACAAAATGCATCCCGTGGATTAGAGGTATAGAAAAGCTATCACCAGGAGATGGCACCTTAAATGTATGTTATGAAACTCATGAACCAAGAAACCCATGCAGTCACTTCTTATTTCAGCTTCCCAGCATTTCATTTGCTACAATATAGCTAGCAATAAAATAAATTTAAAGACATGAATCCAACATTATATTCCACTTAGAGTATGTAGTTGTTTACATGTGTAGTTAGAGCTTTTTATGTGACAGGGTTTTGATTTTCATAGTGGAACTTCATGAATTGTAATGAATTGTAAAATATTTTTAGAGAAGGTTATTATTTTCTGTGAAAGGGATATTATACTTTGAATGCTAAGGTTTATACATTCTTTGCTTCACATTTTCCACTTCTAATGTCGTCATCCTGAGGACAGGAGAAAGCATTCATGAAAAAGATTGGACTGAGGTAGCAGCATGGGCAATGGCTCTGGATTCAGCTGGCTCTCCCCAGGGATCACCAGTTCAGGGGGACATTAGGAGCCAAAGATAATGGCAACTGACTAAGTCCAGCTCTCCAAAAAGCCCCATAATTATACAGATGAATGGGAAGAACAAATAAGATTACATATACCCTATGCCTTTGGCACAACAGACTCCATGTTACCAGTAGGTAGAAAAATAAACACTATTCCATAGAAACTTTCTCTTGTGCCTTGCATATTTACCTCAAGCTTGGTTAGAGTGGGGTAGGTCATGGGGCCAGTGGGGAGGGGGGCGGGGGGGACAAGCTCAAGTCATACGAAAAAGAAGACCAGATGCAATATTGGAAAAGAGTCTTGGTGGGCCAGTACATTGAGCCCAGGGAAAGGACTCAGAGAGGAGAGTGTTGGCCAGGGCAAGGCCACACTTCTGCAGGATGCTCCCTTTGGAAACTGTGTGGAGTTTGGGGAAAAAAAGGTGGGGGGTAGGTGGGATTGGGGGGAGGAAGGACTAAAGATCCTGTGAGGCAAAAGAAAACCAGAAAATCAAAATGACACATGACCCATCTCATCACTTCCCTCCACCTGAACATGGGAAAAACATCTAGAAGAGAGCCCTGGAGCATGAGTTAGTTACGCCTTGGAGTAGTGCTGTGTGAAGCCATATTGGAACCTGAGGTAAAAGGAAATATTGATGATACTAATCCTGCCTTTATTTAAAATTTCTATATGTTGAATGTCATTGATTTTTAACATTCTTTCTGAATTTTTAAAAATATCACCTTAAAATATTATTTCTTTATCTTGACAGCTGTGTTTTTGGTGCCCCCTTAAACCATGTACCTCCCTCACCACATCCTTGTCCTAGTCCTGCCTCAGTGGTCTCCTAAACAGAAGCAGAGGAGCCGGAGCCGCCACTAGGGATACATTTCAAGGCTTCTAGGTCTCTGCAAATGCTGATAAAGCAGCTCTAGGAGCTTCCAAAAATCCTCTGAGAAAGGAACAATAGGCGCTAACTGTTGGATCTGAGAGCACACCAAATGGTTTGGGGTAGGTGCCCCTGAGGAGTAAAAAGGGATCAGTGGAGATCTTGGGGCGGCACTCACATTATTTGTTACAGAAGCCATCTTCCAATATTGATTTTTCAAAAGTCCCTCCACTTAATCGCAGCACCAATCTCACTGTCCTCACCCGCAATAGTTCTATTGGCTCACTGATTTGTCCTTCTAATCATAGTGAGATAGATATATATATATATATTCATGACAGTATATATGTGTGTGTGTGTATATATATATATATACACATACTGTCAACACACTCAACCACAGTGTCCCTTGACAAGGAAGGAACAGTTGATTGGGGTAGGGCTGACAGAGGTGACTCTTGGAGAGCTGAGCCCTTAGAGTCTACTCTTTCTCAAAGACTTCATTAGAACCACCAATATAATGAGTTATAGATTCTTCTTTCTGTTCTATCCTCACAGAGTATACTCCTTAATAAGCAGCAGATCTGGCAGGGTCATCAGGATGAATCAGCACAAATATAGGGCCATTATTGGAAAACACATTCAAAGTAAATAATAGATTGGAAATAGATAAAAGGCATAATCTTTTCATTTGAAAACTGTCATGCATTTCTCATACAAACTCTCTGTAGCTCTTGTCTGTAGGACAGGAGATTTTATATTGGTGAAGATAACCAGAAACAATTTCCCCACCCTATTAGCAGCCATAAAATTTGGGAAGAAATTCAGAATAATATTCACATTTTTTTCTGGGAGTAAATAGTGTATTCATGAATGGCATACCTTCCGAAATGTGCAAAAACTATAAGTGTAAACTCAATAGGTTTTCATAAAAATGAACATACCTTTGTGACCAGCACTACATCAAGCACCACCAGAAGCCCCCTTGTCCTCCCAGTAAACAGCCACCATATGTAATCAGTCTCCTGCCATCTAATACTGTAGATTAGTTAGCCTGTTTTTTGTATTTTATGTAAACAAAATCACATAATATTTATTCCTTTATGCCTGACTTTTTTTTCACAAACATTATGTTTGTGAGATTCATCTGTGTGGTTGTTTGTAGTAATAATGTGTTTATTGTGATTGCTCTAAAATATTCCCTTGTGGGAACGTATCTCAGTTTATTTAAGTATGTTATAGTTGATGGATATTTGGATTGTTTCTATTTTTGGGATACTAGGAATATGGCTTCTATGACTATTCTTGTGGATAACAGTTTTTGTATTCTTGGACATCAGTGGGAACATATAAGGATATTTCTGCTGGGTTATACTTAGGAATTTTTTGAAGTTTATAGGAGTAGAATGATACATGTACAACTCAACTGAGGATAGCTTAAAACAGGCAAGATGCCTTCTCCCATAGCATGAGTGCGTGGCCATCATTTAATTCAAATTCTATCATTGGGAGAGCATTTTCCAACTTGGTAACCCCTTCTAGTCTATTTGTACTATTACTATTATATGGAGCACCTATCTTGTTAGAGAACTTAATAAATTATTATTTCTCCTATACAACGACACATTCTGAACCTATTTTCAAAACTGAAGGTGACAGTGTAACAGAATAGCACCAAATCCACTTTTAGCAGGCATACAGGTAATCTCCAAATCTTATCCATTGTATTTGCATTAAATAAGGTAGTAGAAATAGTGCTCACCTATTCAGAACTCTCATGTCATGCATTTTGTAAGAGTATTTTTTAAAAATTTGTCCAGATTATAAGACTCATCTGTAATACCTGTTCAAATTAGATTCTTAGACCAACTAGATCACATTCTGTCAGGAGGGTCCTGGGAATAACTGTTTTTCGAAACCAATTTTCATGATCAGGCAAGATTTGGAAATCATACAAAGGAGTATTACAAATAAATGATATTTAGCATTTCCTTGGCATATTTTGTGTGCTCAAAAAATCATGTATGTGAAATCTGGTTTCTAAAGCTTCCTTAAAAGCAAAAAGACATGAACACAAATATGAGGAATCAATTTGTAATTCTTTAATTTTTATTCAGATCTTTGATATTATTGGTTATTCATGTAATGTTTTCACTAATATAACAGATGTTTATTGAGTGCTATGTTAGGCCATTTTTTCATCACTGTAGAGAAATACCTGAAGCTGGGTAATTTATAAAGAAAAGAGGTTTAATTGGCTCACTGTTCTGCAGGCTGTACCAGCATGACTCCAGCATCTGCTTCTGGTGAGGGCCTCAGGAAACTTACAGTCATGGCAGAAGGCAGAGTGGGAGCAGGCACGTCTTATGGCAAGAATAGGAGTGAGAGAGAGAGAGCAGGTACCACATACTTTTAAATAGCCACATCTTCTCATAGTGAGAACTCACCCATCACCAAGGGGATAGCACTAAGGCATTCATGAGGGAGCCACCTCCATGACCCAAACACCTCCTACTAGGCCCCAACTCCATCACTGGGGATTGCATTTCAGTATGAGATTTGGTGGGGACAAACATCAAAACTATATCAAATGCTCACAAAGAAACATGTTTTTTAAAAGTTTCATGTAATATGACTCCTGCCTGAATGAATTTTGAATCTGACACTCATACAGGTAACTAAATCATAAAGCATCATGATACTGTATGAACAAATTACTGTAGGAATGTTCAGAAGGAGGAAATAATTCCTGTCCCTTTTTGCCTTTCCTGCTTCAGTTTCCACCCCTCCTCCATATTCACCATAGTAACTATTTCTAAAGCCCACTGGGATCCATATTAACCCTTATTGTTCATTAAAAATGTATATTTCAGTGGTGAGGTTATTTTATACAGGTCAAATTCAGAAAAGGGAAAGAGAGTAACAAGTGGTTCATCGGCTTCCTGCTTAATTTTAAGCTTCTTCAAAACAAGAAAGAGGGCAATGTGCTCACTGCTCTTTCTCCAACTCCTTAAAACAGTGCCTGATATATAGTAGTTGATGAACAAATATTTTCTGAATGAAGAATGAAAAGATGTAACAGAACTTAACTACATTACTGGTGACAGAGTAGATTATGTGACCCTAAAAATTGGTCTAGCCTTTAACTATAATTCTACCTTGAGGAAAGAACCTGAAAGAAGAAAAGCAGGATTTATTTGGCTATACAGATTGATTTTCATTAAAAGTCAGTAAAACGAAAACTAATTTTCACTAACAGTTGGGTGGATTTGGATTCTGTAGTTGGAATGAGCTTAGATCGGTCTCATCCTGCAACTTGGAAACTGAGTGAACTGAGGTCTTCGTTTCTTCATCTGTAAAATGGAGCTAACAATAACAGTTTCTATACTCGTACAGTTGTTGAGTATCAAATGACAGAATCTGGGAAAAGCTCCCTGAACAGAGCCTGGCACATGGTAAACATTTAGTAAATAGGAGCAGCTCACCTTAGCTCAGTCATGCTAGTTAGACCAAGCTAGTCCTTAGCCCAGATAATTTCCTGCCATCTTTTGGAATATTGGCATAAGAAAAGTGTAAATCTATGGTGACCACCAGTGTGATGGCCTTTAGAATTGTGCCACATTCAAAGTACACAACCATATGTGGCAACTCTATGAGCCACTGTTATCACTGTCCTTATCATTACAGATGTTCTATTGATTATAATTAAATTTTTAGAATAAAAAGGTATCCAAGATATTCTGGAAAGCTGGCTAATCTACATGTTGTTTAAGATATGACCATTGATACCTTTTATTGGGAGAAATTTAACATGGAAATATTTATAAGGTAATGTTAAATATAATAATAGAACTCAAAATTGTACATAAACTGGACTGCAAATATAAGTATATGATTTAAAAAATAATTGTCAGATTCAACAAAATGAAATTGTAGACAGTTTCTAATTTAAAAACTGTACACTAATTCTTGTTATACTATTGGTATATATAAACACACATTTAAATATTTATATCCATTAGCTATAAATAAACTTTCAGAGAAAATTTATGAAAAATATATAATTTTTGGAGAAAAACTTTAAATGTTGAGGGAGACCTGGGGATATGATGAAAGGAAAATGCGAATTTAAGAGGAGTGAAGATGGATAATGGGGATGTTAAAAAGATGATTCTTTCAAGCCACTGTTTTTTAAGTGTCCAAGTAATTATATGATATAGAATTTTTCCACTCAGTTTTCTTATGCTTTGCATTCATTGTCAATAATCAATTTTTAATAAAAGTTCCAGGAAAGCTAGGGGGTTCTGTGTATTACACATGAGCTTACGGGGACAGAAATAGTCCATTTTCAGAAGAGTGTATACTTGTTCCCCCAGTTGGGTTGGTTCCTTCTTTACACTTTGAGCTGCTTCTGTCTACCATCTTGGCATGCTCCCTTTCAGCAAAGGAGGGAAGAAAGGTCTTCTCTTGCATTCACCCAGTCAAATCAGAGTTAGTACTTGATTAATATAATATTTCAATTCTGTCTTGTTTTTCCCCATTTCTACCACGTTATCACATTTCCTGCCTTTCAAAACAATTTAACTTATTTTACTAACATTTTGAGATCAGCTTGTGACATTTAATGTTCTCAATAATTAGAGAAGAATTAATTTGGTTAGCCTAGAATACACTCACTTGGGTTTCTAAATTAGTAAGCTCATTTTCATCCAGATAATGGAAGGCTAGAGGGGTCCGGGTCCTGATTTAAGAGTAGAACTATTGGTTCTACCAATTTTGGCTTGGAGGCACTGTGTCGGTAAGAACCAAGTGGCCCTGATCCTCAGCTCTTGGTGTGAAGTGCTTGGTAAAATTTGTCATCTGAATTGAATCATTAGGGTAGAAGCAGTGTTAATAATATAGAAATGGCTGGCCCTGTTCACATTAATGATTAATAAATAAGGTTACATCATTTATAGCTCCTAGAGTCCAAAAAGGAATTCTACACATATTGTATCCATGAAGACACCACCCTCCACCCTTGCCCCCGCCTTGTGAGTTTAGCACGTGATCCTTATTTCAGTGGGGAGGATAGTGAAACTCAGAGAGATCGAATGCTTTTTCCAAGGTCATGGTGCTAGTCAGGGGCAGAAACTGGACTAGATCCCAGGTTCCACAATTCCAAGCTTGTCATGCTGTGCTCAGATGCTAGCAGTTGGGATTTAGCAGATATAAATAAACTGTATTTTGGCCCATTTGATTGAGATCTCTATCCATGACCTAAATTTGCCTTCTTTTCCATGAGGCATTTCCATTTCCCCTCACCCGTCGTTTTTGAGAATGTAAATTAATCTCTGCTAATTTTGCAGAATAAGCAGGCAGACTAATACAGTATCACTAGTAGAAATGAACTTTCTTCATTTAGTTTAATGGGGAGTTGATTTTGAGACTTAATTACCAGAAATGCTGTCCCTTTGCACTCATGATAACCTATGTGGAGCTGCAGAACACAATTAGTTGGTGTAATTTTATTCTATGCTTGTGTGAATATAGAATTTGATGCCTGAGGGACAGAGCTCAGGACAGAAGTTTAGGCGTTCACTGTTGGTCTTTGGATATGGAGAATGTTTCTTTTGAGGCTTTTCTATATCAGGGGTTGATCCCCAACTCCTGGTCCTAGTGACTAAAATTTAAGAATATAATTCTTCTAAACATGAAGACGTATCTAAGTTGTTCGCTTGCATGTCTCTTCAAAGCCTCTGACAAAAAGTAGAGTCACATTTCTGAAAGACTTTAAATTTAGACAGTAACATTTTCTCTGGATGAGAATATACCAGCAGTTTTATGGTATAGAAATTGAGAGCATGGGTTCTGGAGTCAGCTACCTGGTTTCCAATTCTGGCTCCACGTCTCAGTACTGTGTGACTTCAGGCACCACACATAATCTCTCTGACTGAGTCCCCTCAACTGTATGATAGGGATAATAACAAGTACCTTATGGATTTGTAGAGGGTGCGATGAGAATATGCTCTTTTAAGCAACAGAAACTATTAATAAACATTGACTATTATTATCTGTATGATGTGATGAAAGTGATATTCACAAAATGTAAGCATTTAAAACATACTGCATTTTTAAATTGTGCTAAATAACACATGACATGAAAGTTATCCTTTTAAATGTCTAAGAGGACAGTACAATATTGTTAACTCTATGCACATTGTTGTACAGCAGATCTCCAGAACTTTTTTTTTATCTTACATGCTGAAACTCTATACTCACTGAACAGTAACTACCCATTTTCCCTTATCCCCCAGCCTATGGTAACTACTATTCTACTTTCTGATTCTTTGAATTTGACAATTTTAGGTACCTCATGTAAGTGAAGTCCTTCTGTGACTGGCTTATTTCATTTAGCATAATGTTCTTAAGGTTTATCCACACTGTAGCATGTGTCAGAATGTCCTTCTTCTTAAAGGCTGAATAATACTCTATTGAACATATATACATTTTCTTTATCCATCCATTGATTAATGGACATTTAGGTTGTTTCCACCTCTTGGATATTTTGCATGGGAGTGCAAATATCTCCTCGAGTTTTGAGAAGTAGTAATTTTTATGAACTTGGTGGAGCACTTCTTCAAACTTTGAATGTACTAAAACTCGAGAAATGGAAATATTTCTGCTCTCTCTTTGGAGAATCACTTTTTGTAACTTACCCATGGATTCGTATCTTATTTAAAATATCTTATTTAAGAACTAAAAGTAGAACTACCATTCAATCCAACAATCCTACTACTGAGCATCTAACCAAAGGAAAAGAAGTTATTATATGAAAAAGACATATGCACATGCATGTTCACAGTAGCACAATTTGCAATTGCAAAAATATGGAACCAACCCAGGTGCCCATCAACCAACGAGTGAATAATGAAAATATGGTGTATTTGTGTGTGTGTGTGTGTGTGTGTATCCAAAGACCAACAGTGAAAAAAAATATATATATATATGGGAATACTACTCAGCTATAAAAAGGAATGAAATAATCTTTTGCCACAATTAGGATGGAGCTAGAGGCCATTATTCTAAGTGAAGTAACTCTGAAATAGAAAACCAAATATCGTATGTTCTCACGTACAAGTGGGAGCTATGTATGAGGATGCAAAGAATAAGAATGATATAATGGACTTTGGGGACTTGAGAGGGAAGATTAGAAGGGATGTGAGGGATAAAAGACTACATATTGAATACAGTGTATACCACTCAAGTAACAGGTGCACTAATATCTCAGAAATCACCACTAAAGAATTTATTCATGTAACCAAAAACCACCTGTACCTCAAAACTATTGAAATAAAAAATATTAAAAAATCATATTTAAGATCAACTAACATTCACACAAATGACTTAACCATGAAATAATGGTAGTCATTTAATCCATTCTAACAATCACTTTTAATCCCCCTTTCCCATGCTACTAGTGCATATTTGTGGAGCCACTGATATCCAGAGTAAAAAATTAACCCTAAAAGCCAGTTCACATATCTTGCCATGATGCTTTTCTTGACCATTTCAGCTCACAAGGATTCTCTCCTTCCACTGAATACCAACTAAACTATAATTTCACAGTCACTGTTTTGGTACTTATGTATTTCATTATATCTTTAGGCTTATGAGTAGGTAACTTTTCTCCTTCAATAGATTTCAAGATCTTTTAAAGTAAGGATGCTTTAGCAGCCCATGGGTCACCTGATGCCTCTCTGTGCCTCTGATTCATGTACCTATAACCATTGTCTCTGCTTTACCCCATATGACTCCAGGTGTAAAACTCAGATGCCCTTATTATTTCCTTAAGACATCCATTTCCAACAGGCATTTCGTGAGTTTCAGAAAAATTGATGGAGTTTTGGGGAGGGCTGAGTATGAGTACTCATGCTGCAGAGAATGCATATACCCCTTCTCCCTACTTTTTTACTCTGTTGATCTTGTTGCCCTCTGCTCTGCCCTTATTAGATTGCCCATCCAGAGTTCCAGATTTTTCTCTTTCATATTTTGGGTTTTCCACACCCTTCTATGATGTCTGTAGGGGCAGCCAACCCGCAACAAAGAATTTGGGTAAAACACATTGTCTCCAACATTTTATAGCTGTTGTTTTCCCAGAGCAGCAACTGGTAGAGTAACATGTGTGCAAAATACATTTGATAAATATTTGTTGACTGAAGATGCAAACTGCTTGATTATTGCAGTTTTAATAAGAAGGGGCAGATAGAATTTTCTGGGAAGGACTTTCTTGGGCATGGAATTATATCTCCTCTAGTAGGATTGCAGAGTAAAATCATCTGTTCCTGGTAACAGTGGAGGCATTTAAAAAAAGAAGTCCAATCTCAAACGGGCAGCTACTGTTTCTGTACCCAATAGCTTCATTTGGAACTGACAATCACGGGAAAGCTTATTACTCAGTCTCAAGCCATGTTAAATACTTGGAAGATTTTCTTTCTCTTATTCTCATGCCTTGACTGTATGGAAAGGTCACAGGTATTAAAGGAATCCTAAACCTTTGCTTATATCCAAACAGTCTGACTGTGCAGCCTCAGGGATAAACAAAAAAGCAAGAGGTATGACTCCCTTTGCATGGCAATTCAGATCATGTTTCTTCATCTTTCCTTTGTGACAGGGCGAAAAGTTGAAGCTTCCCAGGACCTGGAGGGCAAAGAGGGTCCATGTTCTTCATAAGAACAGCTGAACAGAGATAAGCACTAGCTGGTTTCTAGAAGAGAGAGACTTGAAAAGGAGGCCAAAACTCTACAAAAAAGGCCTGGAGAGGAGACATTGTCTATTTATGACTGAAGTAGTTTGAGAGATAAAGTGTTGTACAGGCAAGTGTGTTTGAGCTAAAGAAAGGACTAACAACAGGAACAGGACTTCAGGCTCAGGCCTGGGCATGATCTCAGCTTCAGGGCATTGTTGGAAGAATGAAGAGTACATATATAAGCCTTAAGGTTAGCATTTCCTTAACATTTTCATAAGTTCACATAAAAGCCACATCATAAATATTTGAGGATGGAATAGAACAGTGATACCCAAAGTGTGGACTGCAAGATGATTTTGGTGGTATACAGCTCATCTTTTTAATTTGTTATATATTTGTGTTTGCTAAGATATATATAAAATAAATAGCACATCAAGCCCATGATTTCACACATAAATGGAAAATAGTAAGAACTATAGATAATGGGTTCGAGCATGTTCACAATTGTTTCAAGCCTTTAATAAGTGAAGCTTTTATGAAAACCATCTGTACTCCTCATAGCAGATATGGAATGCTAGTGTGGACTTGTGTGAATTGACCTTCTACATTCACCATCATATGCTTTTTAGGGAGACAAGAGAAGAAGGGAATTGAGCTATTCAGATATTGTCAAGGTGGTATGTGAATAGCCAAATTTAGGACACTAGGTCAGACAACCACTTGGTGGAGATGTTGCAGAGGAGATTCAAACACTAAGTGGGATAAAGTGGGTTTTGGGGTTCCTTACCTGCTGGAGATTATATAACTCTTTTGGGACTTGACGAAAAAGAATTGATAAAGAAGGGATAATGTAGAGGTTGTCAAAAAAAAAAATACAGGACTTCTTTAACTTTTCCATAATGATGAGCGCTGGCATTTTGTAGATTAGGGTTTTAGGCCAGTTTTAGACATCTTACACAGTACAGGGGGGCCCCACAATGAACAACTGTGTCGCATCCCACACAACCTTCCAATGTCCTCCTGGGCATTATGTCTAGGTGGAAAACTTCTTGTTAATTATCCGAAGCTACTCATTTAACTATGCTTCATATATAAACAGTGGTTTTTCATGGTTTTAATACACATCCATTTTTCTAGGGATGTGACTACTGTGTAATTCACAGTTATTTTAGAATGAAGACCCATATTAGTTTATTATCAATTACTTTTTTATTATCTACTAATATTGAGATATTATATGAATTTTAAAGAAAGTATGTCTTGGGTTATACATCTGTGAATTTTATATTGGCTCTCTTTGAGACTTTTCTGAGTTTGTAGCTTCTTATATTCTTATTAACAGGACTTTTGTTAATTTCTTCCAAGATCTGGCCCTGTGATCTGGTGACCAAATTTTATTCAGTACTTGTGTTACAGAAATTCTAAATATTGGAGTTTCCAAGAAGCTTTTAATTAGATGTTCCGTAACAAACCCTGAAGCTCTCTGGATTTCTATATCAATCCCAAGAGATATGTAACTTGTTAGTTTATAGATTAAAGAAATATCTGTATCCTACAAAAACATTTAACCCAACTATTCTTTCTAGCTTAGTTATCTTCAGACTTCCATGTGCATTGAACCAGCTGGGCTACTCGTAGGACATGCAGATTCCTGAATTCCATAAGCATGAACTTGAGTTTTAAGTAGCATCTCTAGGCCCGGCATGGTGGCTCATGCCTATAATCCCAGCACTTTGGGTTGAGGTGGGGCGATCACTTGAGGTCAGGAGTTCGAGACTAGCCTGGCCAACATGGTGAAACCCATCTCTACTAAAAATACAAAATTTAGCTGGTCATGGTGGCACATGGCTGTAGTCCCAGCTACTTGCAAGGCTGAGGCAGGAGAATCACTTGAACCGGGAGGCAGAGGTTGCTGTGAGCTGAGATCACTCCACTGCACTCCAGCCTAGGTGACAGAGTGAGACTCTGTCTCAAAAGAAAAAAATAATAAAAAGAAGCATCTTTATATTTCTGATGTGATGTTTCATGAACCACAAGTTTGAAAACACTGCTTGAGATATTACAAGTCATCCTAGAATGAAAAAGAAAAGCAAACCAAATCTTGATATCTAACCTATCAAAATACCCTCTTGTGGGCTGCACAGGTATAATAGACTCCTGTATCTATGGATAGAATCAACTAATTTTTAAAAGTCAGTTATTCAAATGGTTACTCTGGTTAAAAGGGAATTATCCTGATTTCAAAATATATATATCAGTATGTGGATGTAAATGCATTAATATGAAGAAAATACAATGTTTCCATCCTAAGTGGTGTATTCCATTAGGTCACTTAAATGTAGGGCTATCATATGTATCTTAACTTATGAAACTGGTTAAGAGCAAAACAAATAAACTTTGATTGATATTCTTTTGACTATTGATCAGAAAAGCTCTTCTGAACCTTCTACTTCAAAAAAATTTTGGTCAATATTAGGTTATCAAATCTCAAATTAGATTTGGCAAATAATGCACCAATGTTCATGTGGTATTTTAGCTGCCTACTTTTGTTTAAAACTGTTTATCTAAAGGATTTAGAAAATCTAATATTAGAAAGGTTGAAAATGACCTGAAATTCATACAAATACTAGATAGTAAGTGCATTAGAAAGGTTTCTTCAGGTAAACAGAACCAATAGGATATATAGAGAGAGGAAGAGGAAAAGGAGGAGAATTTAAGAAATTGCTTCTGGTGATTTGTAGGTGTTGGGAAGTCAGAATTCTATAGGGCAGGCCATCAGGCTGGAAATTCCATCAGAAATTGATGCTGCTGTCTTAAGTTGAAAGGGAGTCAAGAGGCAGAATTCCTTCCTCTTCAGGAGACCTCAGTATTTTTCTTAAGGCCTTCAACTGATTGGATGAGACCCAAATGCATCATGAAGCATAATCTACTTTACTCAAAGTCTACTGATTTAAATGTTCATCACATCTAAAAAAATATCTCCATAGGAACATCTAGACTGGTGTTTGACCAAAACTGGGCACCATAGCCTAGGCAAGTTGACACATAAAATTCACCACCACAGTCAGCTAAATAATGATTAACCAAAGTGAAGCATAATGGAAACCTTAACTGAAAACATTGGTGTTTGAAAGCATCTTTGAAAGCTATGCCCTAAGTGTTTTTTCTCCCCTGTATACCACCCTAATCACAAAAAATATCTATTTTAGGGAAATAATAGCCATTCTATATGCCATAAATTAGTAAATAGGTTGCATTTATATGGCAGTGGATGAAAGGGTTAGGACTCCAAAAGTCTGAAAATCAGACAGAAGAATTTTTCTGCATTCTCCCCACTCCCACCCTTTCTGTTAGCCGAAGTGTATAAAGTTTCTTCTAGTGGTCAAACTCTGTGGACATGAGGTGGGCATCTCTTCTTTCCCTGTGGCGAAAAGACCTGCTGGTATTGTTTGTGTCACTGATGAGGGACCATGATGCTATCCAGTTATCAACTTTCCTTTCTCATCTGGAACAAGATTGGACTTCTTTTATTTTCTAGACCATTGATTCTCACAGGGAATATTTTGTTCCCCAAAAGACACTGAGCAATGTCTGGAGACATATTTTGATTGTCACAAATGGCAGGGAAGGATACTACTGGTATCCACCAGGTGGAGGCCGGGGATGTTGCTGAATATCCTACAATACAGAAGACAGCCAAGCTACAAAGAATTATCCAGTCCAAAATATCAACAGTGCCTAGGTTGAGACATCCTACTATAGAATAAAAAATTCAAAATAGCAAGAGGGTAGAGATTTTTATGTCTTTGAGAAAGATAGAAAATTAAGTCTGTCACACGGTTTCATCCTCTCCCTTGTGCAAACATATGAAATAATCTTCTGGGAATGGAAGCCCAAGTCTTCTTGTATCATGCATTCCTTTCTTTTCCCAATGTATTGTAACATGGCAAATGGCCAAAATCTCACCTGAGAATCTCCTGGTAATTTCTCAGACACAGACATTTTAAACAACATGGTACTACATGAATAGGTCTATTGCATTTTTTAATATTTAGCACTTAATTATGAGAGTTATGAACCTAACTTTCCACTTCCTATGGACCTTGTTGGCTCCCCTACTTACTCAAATAATTTAGTGATATGATTGGGCATCTTTCCTTACTTCTGGTTAATTCTGGAGAAGATTTCAGAAGGAATTGAGTTCCATTTCCTGTTATGTGAGTAGCTGAATTTGATATCATGAGGCAAGCCATTTCATGCTTCTATATCCTAACTTCTTCATTGATACAATAAAGGAAATGGATTAAATAATGATCATAGTTCCTATAATCTCCATGAGTCTATAATCTCCATGAGTCTAGGAAACTCTGAACGCTGAGCTTAAAATAGGTTTGAAGATATGCCCTTTAAGAAACAATAATCCCTCTCTGGTAAAAGTACAAGCTAAGAGAGGCAGTGACAAGGCACTGTCTCATTACTGTTGAGTAATGAGACTACTGTTGAGTAATGAGACAGATTGAGAAAGTAAAACTATTCAGCTCTTTCAGAATCAGGAGTTTATGATGCCCACATTAATTATTTTTCTGAAGTGTTGTGGATCCTTTAAAAATTGAAGTGAATGCATCCAAATGGGCTCAATTCTTTTGAATTCACATAGAAATGACTTAAAATGTCCTCCTTTTTGAATGAGCTATGTGTGAAGGCACTCATCAAGAAAATACATGTTTTGAAGTTAAGACCAAGGCCTAGACCATTACAATGTTGAGTTTCTTGATGGCAGAAGACATGCCTTATTGGTTCATATCATGGCACGGTACCTGGAACATGGTAGGTCCTCAGTAAATACCCATTGAATAATTGCAGAAATCAAATATTGACTATAATTGTTATATCACAAGAATAAAAGACATACATTTTAACAGCTAACTGGCTAGTAATCTCAATGCCACTTATTTAAAGTATCCTTTAAAGATTCATGGACTACTGATTAAGACCAAACTTGGTGTGGGATGCTTTATATTTATCTTTTTGTAACATCAGATTATGATTTAGTTCTGATCATCCTCATCTTACACGTGATAAAACCAAATTTACAGTTATTAATTCAGCTTCTGCTTTCTGTAGCCTGTGGCTTTATGACTATAGTTCCAAATCAAAACATCACATTACTGTGTATGTACCCAAAGGAGAATAAATCATTCTACCAAAAAGACACATGCACACATATGTTCATTGCTATGTTATTCAAAATAACAAAGACAGAAAATCAACGAAGGTGCCCATCAGTGGTGGACTGGATAATGAAAATGTTGTAAATGTATACCATGGAATACTACACAGCCATAAAAAGAACAAAATCACATCCTTTGCAGCAACATGGGTGCGGCTGGAGGCCATTATTCTAAGTGAATTAACAAGGGATGGAAAACCAAATACTGCATGTTCTCACTTATAAGTGGCAGCCAAACATTGAGTACACATGGACATAAAGATGGGAACAATAGACACTGTGGACTACTAGATGGGGGAGGGAGAAAGGGTGTTGTGGGTGGAAAAAAAACTGCCTATTGCATACTATGCTCCGTACCTGGGTAGTGGGTTCTAAATCCTAAACCTCTGCATCATACGATATACCCATTTAACAGACCTGTATTTGTACCCTGTAAATCTAAAATAACAGTTGAAGAAGAAATAAAAATCACTTTTCTAACTGAAGAGTTATATTTAGAAACAGAAATGTGTAATTTATTCTAAATAGATAAGCATATAATTCTATACATAATTAATCTCTCTACCTAGATATTGTCTTTTTGAAATTCTCAGAGTGATCCCATATATAAATTTCTCCTTTGAGGAAGACCTTATGAAACACTTCCAGCTTTTCACTGATCCATCCCCAGCACATGTGGGTGGCCTAGGATCCCCCTTTTTATTTTCAGCCCCCCACTGCCCATTTATCTGTCCTAGGAGAGCGTTTCTTTTGGCCAAGTCTTGCACTTCTGTCATTTCTCCATTACTCTCTTTAAGAAATGTCAGTCACACTTGAGTTGGGTTCCTTAAGGCTAATGGCCAACAGTTCACCCCTCATTTCAGAAGACCTCTGTCTCCTCAGACCCTGCCACACAAGCTCCTCCTCAGTGCCTTAGGAACGTCTGCTTGTTTGTGTTCTCACCTCCACCTGCCAGTCAGCTGTGTGAAGAAGAGATGTCTGATTAGGTCCCTGCTGAAACCATTTTGCTGCCAACCACAAACACACACATTCCTTCTTAAGGAAACAACCCGCAGCTCTGCTTTCACACTCCTAGCTTGCAGAAAGAAATCCAAGGCTAATAACTTTAGATTTGTGTCAAAGGCATTATGTTCATTAGACATAGTGTAAAAACACAATGCCTTGTACACATGCTAGGGGATTTTTCTATTTCACTTACCAATCCATTGCTATCCTGTTAAGTGTTAATCCAATACTTTTATAGTAATGGATTTCTTTTTTTCGAGACGGGGTCTCACTCTGTCACCCACGCTGGAGTGCAGTGGTGTGATCATAGCTCACTGCAGCCTGGAGCTCCTGGACTCAAGCAATCCTTCTGTCTCAGACTCCGAAGTAGCTAGGACCGCAGGCACATTCCACCATGCCTGGCTATTTTTATTTTCATTTTTTGTAGAGATGGGGTCTTGCTTTGTTGCCCAGACAATTATGTCTATTTTTTTAGTTCATGCAAAAACATACAGACTTCAGTTTTGCATATTTATAAGGATCTTTGGATGTTCTTTTGAAAATGGGCTGGTGAATAATAAGCCTAATAAAAACTAATTTATTGAAACCAAATTAAAACTCTTTACACTTCACTGAGAAATGGCATCTATGTTATTGGTATCTAAGATCAATTTTCTAAGAAGGTCATAAGAAAAATTCACAAATACACAGAATGTAGAATCACATTGATTTTTTTTAAAACTCAAGAGCAATCACTAAATTATCTTGTTATTTAAAAATATATTTATTGAAAGCCAACTAACTGCCCAGCATTGTATACCAGGTATACTTTGTAAATAGTGGGATACAAGCATGCAAGTTTCCAATTACTACAGAATCTTAATGATTCTGTAATAATTAAAGAATAATCAACGTATGTATCGGGGTGTGTGTGTCAGTAATATTGAACCAGCGAACCAAAAATAATAATAAATGTATATACATGAATACTTTCAAACAATGATAAAGAAGGCATTGAATGAGAAGAATAGGATAGTTTAAGAGAAAATGAAAGGAATTGTTTTCATTTCTTTGGTCCTACTGTGAGTGTGCCAGACACTGGAATAATAGAGATATAATCTAAGACTGAGGCACCAGATTTTTCCCTCTAATTAGGGAAGCAACAGATGATCTAACAGGTGACAATCTAATGTAGGAGTTCTGTGATTACCCCTATGAATGAGGTCTACTGGAGGCCTTACCGAACCATACTCTATTTGGAAGAGCCAGAAGAGGAATCTGGGAGAAGATGACATATCATCTTGAAAGAGCTTGGTTATTTCATTAATGACCACAATGCTCTCAGCACTTTCTCTGAGGTACAGGTCACTTCCCTACAACAGCTGCAAAAGGGAATGAAGAGCACATGAATCTGGATGACAGCAGAGAACTTGGGGAAAGAATTAAAGGGTATCAATATAGAAATGAAGCCTTCTTGTTTCATTGCTTGTTTACAGCTTGTGGAGTCGAACATTTCTTATAGGAGAAAAGGTTAATTATGTTAGAAAAGGGCTATTTACCTAAGGTACAAATCAAAGGGAAAAAATCTTTTTCTCTATAGCCATGGTTAGTACACTCAGGGCCCTCTGATTTATACACTGCAGCTCCATCTGTCTTTGCATGTGTTGTTCATTCCTCTTCATGCAGCAGCGCTTCCTGCCTTTCCTCTACTTCACTTTGATAACTTCTACCTGACCTTTGAGAAATGTCCTTAAGTGTCCCTGCCTTAGAGCAGTCCTTCCTGATTCTTCAACATTGAATTAGCTTCTCCCTGAAGCAAGGGTTCTCCACAATATTCTCTGTAATAAGATAATAGAATAATATAATTCCCTGTCATATTTTTTGCAACACTATTTGATGTCTATTATTTGTCTCCACCAATACACTGGTGGGATGTCTTAAATATGCTTAGTTTAACCAACTCTTATCTTCCAGAGCCCATTGCAGACTCTTAGGACCCAGTAGCTATATGATTAATAAATATTTGGTGAATTAAAAGATGGATGAATCATCAGTAGATTCATGGCCTTCTGAGAAGATTCACAATATCTAGTCTAACCAGTCTGTCAAAGATTACAATAGCTTGAAGGTAAATTATTCAGCAGGATTACCCCAACCCCAGTTTACTGTAGGTAGATTAGTTATCTATTTGCATAAAGGGTTGGTTATCTATTTGCAAATGGGACTGCTGTCATCTGAAGGCTTGACTGTGGCTGGAAAATACATTTGCAAGGTGGCTCACTCATGTGCTCACAAGCAGGTTCTGATAAGTTGATTCTTTTCTATTTAGGCCTCTTCCTGGGGCTTCTTGAATATCCTTACCACATGACAGCTGGCTTCCCACTGAGAAAGCAATCCAAGGTGGATTCCAAGGTAAAAACTGCAATGCTTTTTATAACTTAGTCTTGGAAGTCCTACACTTTTGCCATACTCTATTGGGTAGATAGGTGAGCTGTGATTCAGTGTGAGAGGGACAGCACAAAAGAGAGGATACAAGGAAGTGAGGATCAATGGAGCCATCTTGGAGGCCTATGATCACACTGGGCTGTGTAAATTCTCCCCTGATTCTTTGAGAAAGGATTCAGAGTCTTTTTCATTTGGCCATACCCCAGAGGGGTATTGGGGAACATTTTGAAGATGAGTTTAAACCCAGGGGAACTACACATGAGCTACACAATAGTTGTTGACAGGCAAAGAGTCTTTGACTTATCTTCAACCTTTCACCTATGGTCCCCCATGCCCTTTGGCAACATAAATAAATTTCCACAATATCCCCCTTCAGTGGGTGTTATTTTCCTTATTATAGATGATAAGTTAGGGTCAAAACACAGTCAGGGGAATTGCCCAAGGGTATACCATATATCACTGTCAGAAGAGGGATTACAACTCAAGGTATCTGAATTCCAAGCTTATGTTTAGACGGGACCACCTCCGGTGCCTAATGAGTTGTGGCATGCACTCACTTCTCTGAATTTCCCTTTAATTCTACCTAACCCCTGCTGAATTCATCTCCTTACCACCCCAGCGCACACACACATACACACACACACACACACACACACACACACACACACACACCCCTCACCATTTTCCCATACCTTCAGAAAACCCAAGTAGCCCCTTCATGACAGTCTCTCTCTTGTGCCAATAGGGGGCCCCCAGGGGGTATTTTTAGAGTAAGAAGGGAGGCTCCCACCTTCAAAATGAGAAAGCTGTAATTTTCATATTGTATCTCTTTGCCAATTGTAAATCAGTCATTTTAAGGATGTTTCCCATTCTTGTTTCCCTTCAGGCAGCTCTTATTCCTCTCCGGAAAAAGAAAAGATTTGCTTTATAGCTAACTGCAGGACTGAAATGACATATAAAATAGCAACAGCAGGGAACAAATGTGTCCCTAAAGTGGCAATATGGTGCCTTTTTGTGTGTTTTAAGGCTTTGCAGTGAGAGGCAATTTTTCTTTTCTGGCTTTCTATTTGAATAGTTGTTGAAAATTTAGAAAACAATATTAGGTGTGTTCACTAATGCGGCCTGACCCGAGTTGTTCTGTACTATCAGTGGTAGATATATATAAAAATACATCTTTAATACATTTCAGTACTACTCTGGCCAACTGCTCTGATGGTATTTGTGGGGCAAATCTATCAAGCTAATAACAAAGATTGTTCCATTATTAGAGGTGGGTATTTTTGTTTATTATATAATTCTTTTCCCACCAAAATCATTGGTGTTCTATATCATTAATTGGAAACCATAGAATAAAAACCAATTTTATTCCCTCCTTTATCTTTTCTTTTCCTTCCTTTCAATGTAAGAAATAGCCATTCTGACTGTCAAGCCTATTTTCTTTTATTTTTGTCAAATAGGACAATTCAAACATTTCTTTTGAAACAAAGAACCCGAAAGCCAAAGTAATGTCTATATTTCTCCAAACTCCCTACAGTATCAATAAATCCAAAGAGCTGACAGCATGGGCAAAGTTCTACACTGACAGAAAAAGCAAATTGGATCAACAGTGTTGTTCATTATCCTCCATATTAGAAAACAATGCTGCTGGAGAGAAGGAGGTTATTTCCTGGAGGGAAGACCCCTGTGTGACCTGCCTTTCTCACCACACTGCCTGTATGCTGCCTCCCTCACAGGCGAGACTTGCAAGCCCAATTTTAAACAAGGGAAGGAATGCCTGCTTGTTATTTTTTCCTTCTGCACCCCTTCACCCCAACCTCACTTCACATTGCTAAACCAGGTCTTATCCCAGCCCCTTTAACGTTCAACACATATAATATTATGGGATGACTTAATCTCCAAAGGACACTGTTCTGCAGTAGTAGTTGGAAGAAGAGGGATGGCCACACATTCAGATGCGTCCTCATCCACACACGATGTAAAAGAATTTCTCACAAAGCCCAGCAGTGTGGTACAGTGGTGAGGGCAACTGCCTTGATTCTCATTCTTCATCTGCCTCTGACAACCTCAGCAAACTTGGACTTCTCTACTTAGTCTTCTCATCTGGAAGATGATCTGCTGACTCCATTCTATTTCTAAATGCTTTTCTGACTTGAGGATTCCAGGTCCAAGGGTAACATTTCCAGACTGTGGGCCTGAGGAGTGGAGTTTTTTTGGGATTGTCAATAGCCCAGGTGCACAGTGAGAGTGGGATTAGAGAAGAAGCAAAAGTAAGCTTACGACTGGCCTGTGTTGTGGCCTAAGGGAACTATTAATCATGTGCTTTCCTCTCCAGATTCAAAACCATATGAGAGAGAGATGCAGGAGCCAGGGCTCAAAAGGTCAACCTAATTATTGGCAACCTTGAACCGGAAACCTGGCATGGGACTAGACTCAAATGGGCTTCCAACTCTTTCCCTCCCTGATTGCATCCCTTGTTCCAAGTTAATAATTTTTTTTTATGTTTAGCACTTAATACGTGTTCTAAGTCCTTGACATGGAATAAAAACTCACTTAAATTTTACACTAATCTGTTGGGATAGATACTATTATATCCTTATTTTATAGATGAAAACACTGGGGCACAGACAGGTTGAGTGAGGTGCCCAAGGCTGTAGAGCTCGTATGTGACAGAATAGCATTGATAAACTGGCATCCTGCACGGGCTATCACTACACTACTCTCAAGTTGGCAAAGCACCTGGCAGAGGGGAAACTCCTCCTGCAGAGCTGATCCAGGGGAGCTGGGCAGAGTGGTGACTGTGTGAGGGTCTGCAGGGGCCTTGATGGGCCTTCTCCTTATCCCACCAATGAGATAAAAGTCACTCCTTGGAGGAATGAGTGAGCAGCGGCAGTGTTCTTCCAAAAGGACAGATGTTTTTATTATGTGAGCCAAGGCAGGAACACAGGGAAAGAGGGAGAAAATACCCTTTAAGGGCAGCTCATTTCTTCAGAATGCTAAGAAATGCCACTGCCATGATCTCCATTAGAGCCCAAGAGATAAGGGTCTGATTGCATTTTGGAGAAGTCCAGCCCCAGAATGGGGTGAAGCGGGACGGGCTATATTATTTGCAGGGTCCAGTACAAAAGAAAATGCAGCGCTCCTTGTTCAAAATTATCAATAATTTCAAGATGGTGATAACAGAGCATGAACCCAAGCACAGGGCCCAGTCTAAGCATGGAGTCCTGTGTGGCTGCACCGTCGCATGCCCATGGAGCCAGGCCTGTGATAAGTCCAGATCTCAGATCTAGGACATGCTGAAGGTGATTTCTCATCGAGCCAAAGACAGAAAGATCATTATACCACTTTGATTGATGTGAAGCTGTAGGATGGATTACAGCTGCACATTAGAAGCACCTGGGGAGCTTTTAAAACCTTCTGATGCCATGTGGACTTTACCTTACACCAACTGAATCAGCATCTCTGGGGGCAGAGTCCAGGTAATTGGTGTGTTATAAAAGCTTCCCAGGTGGTTCCAATTTATTTTCTAATTAGCTCAAGGGTCCTCAGGAGACATCTTGGTTGTGGTTCTAGAATTCTCCTTTTGAAGATCTTCAAGTCTGAAATGCTATATGGGCAGCACTATATCTGAGACCGACAGGTAATGCGAACTAGTAAAGGGTGCTAAGAATTAGGAAGACAGACTCTCAGCAGCAGATCGTCAAGAGACAGAAGGGAGCAAGAGAGAATATTGCAAATGCGAAAGCCCAGAGAACATCTGAAAGGAGTGACAGCTCCTCAGTCCTTGACCCATTGTTGCCTGAGGAAGGTGTCCCTGGGTGGCCAGAGCATGTTATCCATCAAGAGAAGTTGGACATCTAGATTGTTAAATTGTATCTCAATTTTTCCATGTGCTGACAAATAAAAAACAGAATAAGAACAAAAACTATGGAGTGGCTCTATTCTGGCCCTGTAAAATAGCAGAGGGGGTGCACAGACTGCCAGTTAGCAGCTGAATTAAACATTCGTGGAATCAGAGACTCATAGGCATTAGAACTAGCAAACACCTTCGTTATATGGATGAGGAAACTGAAGTTCAGACAATGGGAAGGTCCCCAATCAGATATACTGTGAGCTTTCGGCAAGGCTAGGTGTAGAACATGGGGCTTCTTATCTGACTCCTATATACTTTCCATTGCAGTGTATCTTATTTGGAGAAGAAATGCAAACAGATGCAAAATTCAATGATTTCTCACAGAGTATTTGAGAAAGAGTTAGCTAGAACTTCATCTCACATTAAATTCATTGTCCTTCTAGTGGTTTAAATGACTAGCCATGGTTTGAATTAATGCAGATCTCCTATTTTTGCTCTTTTTTCATGGCAACATCCCTAGTACCTAGAATGCGTGCCTGGCTCATGGCAGATGCTTGATAAATATTTGTTGAATGAATGATTGCATAAATGAGTGAATATCACAGAGATGCAGCCTTCCTTTTTTTTTTTTTTTTTTTTTTTTGAGACAGAGCCTCGCTCTGCCGCCCAGGCTGGAGTGCTGTGGCGCAATCTCTGCTCACAAGCTCCGCCTCCTGGGTTCACGCCATTCTCCTGCCTCAGCCTCCGGAGTAGCTGGGACCACAGGCGCCCGCCACCACGCCCGGCTAATTTTTTTGTATTTTTAGTAGAGACAGGGTTTCACCGTGTTAGCCAGGATGGTCTCCATCTCCTGACCTTGTGATTCGCCGGCTTCGGCCTCCCAAAGGGCTGGGATTACAGGCGTGAGCCACCACACCTGGCCGGTATTTGAGTTTTTTTTTAAACCAACGCATTTTTAAATTATCATACCTACACTATTAAATCACATTTTAAGCTGTTTGGTTGAATTTACTAATAAAATAAATTAAAGCTATATTTCCTAAAAAGAAAGGAATCATTCATTGCAGAAGGGACAATATTGCTGTAATTTAAAATTAGTCAATAAGCTCTTGCTTCTTTGGTTTTTTTCCCTGAAAGTTTTTTTTTTTTTTTTTTTTTTTTTTTTAAGACGGAGTTTTGCTCTTGTCACCCAGGCTGGAGTGCAGTGGCATAATCTCACCTGGCTGCAACCTCCGCCTCCCGGGTTCAAGCGATTCTCCTGCCTCAGCCTCCTGAGTAGCTGGAATTACAGGCGCCCGCCACCACGCCCAGCTAATTTTTTGTAGTTTTAGTAGAGATAGGGTTTCGCCATGTTGGGCACGCTCGTCTCGAACTCCTGACTCCAGGTGATCCATCCGTCTCGGCCTCCCAAAATGCCGGGATTACAGGCGTGAGCCACTGCACCCAGCCTCCCTGAAAGATTTTATAATGCCAGGCAACATGGTAACAGATAGGCTACCTGGCTGAGACTGGGCATCCTGAACTTTTAATCATGTCTCTGACCCCCATGACAGGGTAGCAGCTGGAAACCGTAAAAAATGTGGTACCGTGTCTTGTAGTCTTGCCTCAGTGCTCACTTGCCTTACATGCTTGGAGCTTTTAAATGGATGTGCACAGTATAGATTAGGTCTCATAGTTAATTTGGATCAAGTGATTGAGGACACAGGTTTTCCTAAGATCTTATTTATAGGCCCAGGTAGGAGAAATACAGTTTTGCAAGGCAATTGACAGTTTTGTGAAACATTTTCCACAGAAGATGAGCTCTGCCAGGGAGGAGAGTGCTGCATGTATCACTATTCCAGTTTTTTCAGATCGAAAATTCTCAATTGACTGAGGTTACAAGGCTGAAAAGTGGTGTAGTCGAGATTTCTGGAGTCCATACTGTGGCTTTGGGAATTTCTCTAAACATCAGATTGTTTATGAAGAAGGAATCTGTATGCATCTGGAATCCTTGCAGGCTTGTGGATCCATGGAAAAAATTATCAAAGCATGGCAAGACCAGCTGGCATGGATTTTCAGAGACATGGAGTCGGCAGCATATGCCAGGGATGGTCTGTGTTTAGAGGAAGGGGCTTGCCTGCTGAGAACTTTCTCCCCGCTGTGGCTCTTTGATTCTCTAAAATGATTGTGATAACAACAGCAGGGAAATGTGATAGTCAAGGAAGCTGGTTTGAATGCGATCTTGTGGAATGAAGTGGGTGTTAGGGAAATCCAGGCTCATTCACTTCAGTCAGGCACAAAAGGAATTTGTGAAAGAGGAATATTAAAAGAAACAATTTAAAAATAACAAACTTTTACTGTCTCACCTTGACTTACTCTGGTCTGGTAGCTACCAGGCTTCTTTGGACTATTTTTTTTTTTTTAGCTGAGAAACAGTCAAATATTGACTTATAAAAATACCAATTTCAGTTTCCCTCTAATATTTTTAGCATATTATGAATTTCATTATAGAGATATTAAAGATTTTTTTGATCCACTCTCTGGGGATAAGGGATTTACATCTTCAAGAGCCAATAATTAATTAAGGGAAAAAGAAGCAATGGGTAGGTGGGGCTGAGGGTTCAGCAACCTTTTCCCCATTGGTAAGAGCCTGGGAAAGGAAGCCCTTTTCATATTAATTTAAAACTTAACTCTGTTGCATTCCTCTACCTGAGCAAATAAACACATTGACTGGAGGTGGGGGAGCTCTGCTTTCTACTGGGATAGCCTGACAGCCTCAGCAGTATTTATGGTAACAATAATGACATGTGTGTGGAGCACATACAGCGTGCCAGGCACTCTACTAAGAATGTTACGTACATGATCACATTTATTCTTTTAGAAAACTGCGTAAAGTGGTTATTATCCCCTTTTTACAGACAAAACAGATCCAGAGAAGTTTAGTAACTTGGCCAGGTTCACACAGCTCACAAGTAGAAGGATGAAGTCTATCTATATCCAGAGGCTGGTTCTTCACCCTCACTATGCAGACTTTCAAAGGCAGCATTCACTCAATAAACACTGAAGGAGCCCCTCTGTGCCTCTGTGGACCAGACACGCAGGCAGACAGGTTTTTTGTTTGTTTTTGTTTTTTACCCAAACCAGTAGGGTTGTAGACTAGACTTGTAGAGAGCTGGAGAATATGAGAGAAATTCAGAGGCTTGAAGTTTCCTGAAATAACCTTGAGACTGATGCTTCTTGTGGGAAGAGAACTTTTATCCACCACTCTCGCCATCAGAGAATGTTGGCGGGGTCAGATAGAAGGGGCCCATGTGTGAATCATTAAGACCACAGGCATAAGACCAGAGGCTTTTTCCAGAGTTGGATGTGGATTGGGAAATTAGCAGGGCCTCTTACTAATTGAGCTATTTAATCCTCAGGGAAGTTCAATGTCATTGTCATTTTTGGACTTATGAGTGTCATAAGGCTGGTTGCCTTTTGATGATAATGATAATGAGTAAACATTAGATTCACATTCCATTACTGAATCTCTGGTATTCTTACTAACAACCAGCATTTATTGGGTATCCGCTATTTTCTAGATTTTTTTAGTTATATGTCACTATGCTCCTGCCTAGAGAGAGGTGTCATTATCCCTTTTTTAAGTTGGAAATAAAAATCACAGAGGTTTAGAAAAATTAAGTGGTTTCAACCTATGTCTGGCTCTCAGGTCTATGCTATGTGCCCTACTAAGACTCCGCTAAGGACCAGAGGGAGTAGAAACAAGAAAGGATAACGCATAGCTTATTCTCAAGGTGTTAGCAAAAGTATCAGGGAAAAGAGGTGTAGCTGAGTACTGAAGGACTGGCTTTTGAGCGTGACTTATTAAATGGTGAGTTCAGGCAAGTTGTTTAGCTTCCCCAAGTCTCAGTTTCCTTAACTGTAAAATGGACATAATGAAATGACCTACCTGCTAGGGCAGTGGTGATTATTGGATAAGAAATATCTTCAAGGACTATATTGCATAAGAATAAAGTCCAGGATGGGTGCGGTGATTCACGCCTGGAATCTCAACACTTTGGGAGGCCGAGGCGGGCGGATCACGAGGTCAGGAGATTGAGACCAGCCTGGCCAACATGGAGGCTGAGGCAGGAGAATTGCTTGAACCCAGGAGACGGAGGTTGCAGTGAGCCAAGACCGCACCACTGCACTCCAGCCAGGGTGACAGAGCGAGATTCTGTCTCAAAAGCAAAAAAAAGAAAAAAGAAAAGAAAAAAAAAGAATAAAGGTCAAAACTTCACTAGGCTGTGATTTAGCTCCTGCCCACATCTCTACTCACCTTAATACTCTGCAGACTCCAGCCACACTAGCCCTTTGGTTCTTTGAATAAACCCCTGATCCTTCTTGCTTAGGGTCTTTGCATACCAGATTTCATCTGCCTGTAACACTCTTCTTCTTTCTCATCAAATATTGCTTTTTCAGGAAAGTCCTCCTTTCCTGATATCCAAGTTAGATAAATCCCCTTTCTAAGCTCTATTATCTCTCTATGCTTTTTACTCACAGCCCTTATAATGGTCTTTATACATTTGTAAGATGATTTAATTAACATCATTTCCCAGCTAGATTGTACATTTATAATAGCTGGGCTTCTGTCGGTTTTTCTTATGACTGTATCCTGAACATGTAACACAGTGCTTGGTACATAGCAGTGTTAGATATTTATTAGTTGAATGAATGAATGAATGAATGAAAACACTCCTTGTGCCTGGCACCTAGAAAGCCTTCAATAAATATGAGGTAGTGTTACTTCTATTCTATAAAATACCAAGAACCAATTCAAGAGTTATATAATAACACCAGTTGGCAGTACATGAGATACAGGTTGAGTATCTCTTATCCAAAATGCTTGGGACCAAAAGAGTTTTGGATTTTAGATTTTGGGGAGGATTTTGGAATATTTGCATTATATTTACCAGTTGCGTATCCCTAATCCAAAACTCTGAAACCCGAAATGCTCCAATGAGCATTTTTTTTTGAGCTTCATGTCAGTGCTTTAAAAGCTTTGAATTTTGGAATATTTCAAATTTTGGATTTTTGGATTAAGGATACTCAAATTGTAGCATAAAGGCAGTGTATCAGTTACTTATTGCCATCATAATGGTGGGTAACAAGCAATTACAAAACTTAGTGGCTCAAAACCATACACATTGATTTTAAATCTGCAGGCCAGCTAAGTGGTCTTCTGGTCTCACCGCACACACTCATTGGCTAGTGCTTTGTTGATCTGGGTTGAGCTCTTCCCATGCAGGGGAGTCAATTGTCAGGGATTGCCTAGGGTGAGACAATAGGGGCAATTCATTTCTGCTCCATGTGTTCACCCTCCAGCTTTCTGGGCTGGATAAATTCATGGCAAAGCCAAACTGTCCTGTGCTCCTTCTCTGGAACACATTGCATTGACTTTAGGGAAAGGGTGGTGTAAGGGAGGAAGAGCAAATTAGAAGAGAAACAGTGGTTTCTTCGCTTAATTTTGTGTATAGGTCTGTTTTCCAGCTGCCACTAATTGCAAGGTACTAATAATCAATGAAAGAATAAATCAAAGTTGACTTCTCATATCCTAGAAAAGGGAAGGTTTATTCTTTAATTTTCCTGGTAGCATCTTCCTTATGAGCAGCAACCCATTTTGAATTAACTGGAGGCCACTGAGCTTAAGAGCAGAAACAGTTCGTTTCAAACTTCTGACCCAGTGTGAGACATGATGAATACATGGGTTTTAATGAAAATGCTGAAGGTCAAATCCTCAGGCCTGTGTCAATGGGCAGTGGCCTCTTGAAGTCTACACTCCAGTTCAGCTATTGCATTGCCCTTGACAGAGCATAAGCTCTTCACATTGAGGCCTCCTCTTTCTTTCTCTCTATTTTCTTCCTTTTCCTTCCTTTCTTCCTCCCTGTTTCTCTTTCCTCCATGGAATAACCATTCTTCAGATAATAGTTAAGAAGTTTCTGTTCTATGTATTGCTTAGAATGTGGGTATTATAAGCCCCTCTCCTTTCTGCACAAATAGCGATGTTCCCACAACATTATATAATGAATTTCTGTTCTCTGGGAATATTACTCCATAGTTTTGAATTTATTCCACTAAGGCAAGGTGGAAAATTATCAATCTTTATTATAAATTAATTACCCAAAACTGGTTAGTATAAGTGCTAAATAGAATAATCTGCTGTATTTGTTTTCAAAACTCTATTTCCATATGTAAATGTTTAAGAGATTCTTACTTCCAAAAGTTATGACAAAATTTATAAAATATCGGATACCAAAAACTCTGATTTTACAACTGAGAAAATTGAAATTTCAAAAGAGAGCAGGTAATTAAAAATGAAAAAAGGCTGGGCATGGTGGCTGACGCCTGTAATCTCAATGCTTTGGGAGGCCGAGGCAGGTGGATCACCTGAGGTCAAGAGTTTGAGAACAGCCTGGCCAACCTGGTAAAACCTCATCTCTACTAAAAGTACAAAAATTAGCCAGGTGTGGTGGTGGGCACCTGTAATCCTAGCTACTAGGGAGGCTGAGGCAGGAGAATCATTTGAACCAAGGAGGTGGAGGTTGTGGTGAGCCAAGATTGTGCCACTGCACTCTATCATGGGCAACAGAGTGAGACTCAAAAAAACAAAAAACAAACAAAAAAAAGAAAACAAAGACATATAATTTACAAGTATGTTTTAATTTTATAACAGGGAGCCAGGCTCAGCTCATACTTTTGTATTTTTGACATCTCTAACTGGGATCAGTCAGTTTCAAGGACAGTAATTATGAAGGTAATCAGAGTCTTTTTTTTTTTTTTTTTGAACTCAACTTAGGTAATGGCTGGTGATAGCTGGGGCAGGTAACCTCTTAACCACCCAGGTAATTTCTTTTTACCACATCAAGCTCTGACTACTTCACTGAACGCTGATGTTTTTAATTCTTGGAGAAGCAAGCAGGCAGAGAAGCCCATATTTTGTCACAGAAATATTAATATCTGAATTGACAAATTTTAATGGAAGACTGTATTTTAGACCCAGTAGAAAAATATCTAGTTGCTACATGTGATGGTTAACTTTATGTATCAACACGATTGGTCCATGGGGTGCCCAGACATTTGGTGAAACTTTATCCTGGGTGTGTCTGTGAGGGTGTTTCTGGATGATATTAACATTGAATCAGTAGACTGAGTAGAGCAGGTTTCTCTCCTTAATGTGGGGCAGTTCCATCCAATCAGTTGAACCTGATTAGAACAAAACATCTGATCCTCCTGTGAGTAGGAAGGAATTCCTCCTTCCTGACTGCATTTTAGCTAGAATATCTGTTCTTTCCTGCTTTTGAATTTGAACTGAAACATCAACAATTCCTGGGTCTCAAGTATACCTACTTTTGGCCCAGAACTACACCATCGGCTCTACTGGGTCTTCAGCTTGCCAGCTGCAGATATTGGGCTTGTCAGCTTCCAATATTATATGAACCAATTCCTTACAATAAATCTCTTCATACACACACGCACACACATACTCCCTATTTGTTCTATTTCTCTAGAGAACACTGATACACTATAGAAAATGCTAATATAAGTGTACCTATTTAAGTTTGCAACAAATCTCTTTTGAACTACTTAAACTGTGAACATCATTCCTAAATCAGGCTTTGCTAACTTTCTAAAATTGTAGGGTGCCATTACCCAGAAAGTAGTTAAATTATACTTCTTGATTGAGGCTTTAGGGATGGTGAATCTACTAACTATGGATTTATTTTTCTATTCAAAGTAATGTTTCCTACAAAGTAAAGTTTGCATTCATTTTTTAACTTACAAAAATGTAGCTACAGCTGGGTGCAGTGACTCATGCCTGTAATCCTAACAGTTTGGGAGGCCGAGGTGAAAGGCTCGCTTGAGCCCAGGAGATCAAGACCAGCCTGGGTATTTAGCAAGAGCCTGTTTTTATAAAAATTTTAAAAATTAGCCAAGCACAGTGGCACATATCTGTAGTCCTAGCTACTCGAGAGGCTGAGGCGTGAGGATTGCTTGAGCCCAGGAGGTTGAGACTGCAGTGAGCTAAGATCATGCCACTGCACTCCAGCCTGGGTGACACAATGAGATCCTGTCACACACACAAAAAAACGTAGTTACCATGATAGTATCAAAGAACCAATAAGTAATTCGTGAATTGTTGAATTAAGCCAAGCATTTCTGATTTATGAACAATGAGGAGACGGAACCTCCAACAAGTTCAGAATAAATTTTTAGAAGGTCTCAGTTAATCTCCTCTCAAAGACCCTATAATGCCCAAATATAATTAGGTTGCATTCTTATTGCACTATTACTATTTTTTGTGTTAATTTGATTCATTATGATTGACATAGTGGTTGGATGGGCAAGGTTTTATTAAATCACCAAATGGCCAGGCAGATAGGCTGTCAAGACTATTAAAATAAGTATCTTGATTCTTCACCTGACTGATTCCATTCAGCTAAAGGGCCCAGCTCAGAAAAACCTATATCAGACCATGAGGAAAAGGCAACATCCCTCTGATAGAGACCCCCAATTCTGAACTGTGGGGTATGACCCATTCCTTGAGCCTCATTCTATCTAGTTCTTACTCTCCTAAAGCCTGATCTTACTTTTTCTTCTGTAGTCATTCATGTTTTCCTTTGTGGAACAGATGATTTCCTTGGCTCTTTTCCACAGTCTTCTGCTTCACCTGCCTCAGGTTCCTCAGGTTGGTCCCCTTGAGTAATGGACTATATTGTCCAACCCAGCCCACAAGACCATTACACACACAGTTTATCCCTGCCTTGTGGTTTCTTCACCCTTTTACCAGGAACTGTAGCATTGATTGAGGACTTAATCCCTAGAACAGACTGTAGCAATGGCAACTAGCCACAGCCGTGGAATTGCCATTGTATCTCTTAGATTTCTTAGCAGTATTCAGATGTTGGGACAGCCTGTTAGTTCTCTCTGACCTCTTTGAAGATACTCTTTCCAGTTATTATCTACTGGACAATGTTGAATTTCCTACTCCTGATGACTGATCTGCCTGAATATTTTCTCCTAGCATCTCTAGCTGGCCCTTAATTCAGCATCTCTTCTGCTCTAATTACAGATTGAGTTGCCTCTCACTTTGCCTATTTGACTACAACTAATGGGTCCTTGCTACAACATGTTGTGGATCATGCTAGAAAAGGCCATGGGTTGGAGAATTATTAATATCCTTTAAAGTGGCAAGATTAAGTGGTAAACACATGATTGCTGTTAATTTAACCAGACTAACTCTTATTCTTTGAAAGCCAATACAAAGTCCCTATGACATAACTGTTATGTCAACGAATTTCCAATATCAGCATTTAATCTGTGATTGAATTCAATATTGAATTCATATTCAATCCATATTGAAATGGTTACTCAATTTATTAAATTGGTACATTGATTTGGTAAATTATTGAAATTGTAACTTTATTATGTTTTAAGTTAGTTCATGAGTGGGTGGAAGTGAGGGGAGAATTGTTAAAAAATATGCTGCTCTGGAAATCATCCTAGAAAATATATTCTCTCTTTTTGTGAGATATACAGCATGACTATAAAATAATTGTAAGAACCAAACAAGATCACAGACTACTGCATATTCAATCTCAAAATGAGATTTTGATTAAATTTCTAGAGTCATATACTTTATATCAGTTGCAGAGCTGGGACCAGACCATAACAGCTGTTTGACAATGGAGTAAAAATAAATTTCAAATTGGATTAACTTGCTAATAACCTTTGCTATTTTAGAGACATGGACCTGATTGTCTAGTGTAACAAACATGCTTTACAGCATATATACTAGATAAGAGTAAAACTCAACAGGACCTGCGCTAAAGCTAGAAACTCAGATGAACACTAAGGTATGAGGCAAACTCTTCATTTGCTAAAGTCATCACAGAATGCATCTATGCAGGACAGAGGCAAAATTTTAGATCTCTTGTCCTCCAAGAGATTTGAGATAAATCAATGCATATATTAAGGGGGACACTTAAAGAATTGCTTTGATTTATTTTCAAAAAGGTAAATTAATAATCCTTATTCCCACCCCAAAACATACAATGATTTGATGTGCATATACCTCTATCCCATCTATTTACATAAAGAATCATCCACACCTTAAGGTACACCTGTCATCTGCCCATTAGTGAATCACCACTGCATTAAGAAGCGTTCAACACCCAATCTTTCTAATGTTGTTAGACAACCTTGACCTTCAATTTCTTGCACTGTGAATAATATTGCATCATATCTACACAGAACAGTGTAATCATCTTTTCTATTTGCAGCACTAAGACAGTCAACAGTATTTGATACAATCAGCATGTGTCTTGATACGGAAGGCACATGGTGACAAGCCTAACTGAATGTAGTTATTCGGCTGTCATGAAATGCACCTTATGGTGATAAACTTCTGCCATAAAATTGGAAGACTATCACATAAACATGTTTCACAAAGAAATACACTAGCAGAATTCACTGCCGGGTTATTGTTGGAAAACAGTGTTCTATTTATTGTGTAGCGATTTTTACAGTATGTGTCAGTGTTTGGATGCTCATTACGTTTTACAATGAAGTAATTACCGGGTGGTGATTTCTTTATTCTGGACAACAATTCTATCTAATTAGTGAACAATAAATTGAAGCGGTTAGATTAGGGAAATTTGAATAGACATAGCAGGACAGGCGGATTTTCAGTTTGTGGAAGCATCGACTTGTTTAAATTTAGGCTCCCAACTACATACACATTTTTCTATGTCATGGTAAATTATTTTTTCCTATACACCAATTCTTTTATTTCAGTCTTTGCTTCCTCTCTGTCTCTATCTCTCCTTCTTTTTCTAATAGTATTGCAAAATTAACTAAAAAAAAACCATATTAATGGTGTTGATTAGGTATTTGAGATATACTGTTGAGGCTAGGTATAGGTGCATAATCATCAAATACTGTACTTACTAGACCCTAAACTGAGAATATAAAACTTATTTAAATACATTTGTCTTTATTATGACCCAGGGAATGACACTCATATTCCAATGCCTGCTCTCTAGCCATAAAGGATGGCAGAAAGAGCTGCTCATGGAATCTTTGTACTAGGAAACCAGCTTCATTGGTTTTACTGAGGAAGGGTCTTAAGATGTCATTTTCTCTTCACAGACCTAGGAATTCTCTGTATTTATCTGTCCCAATCATTATCACATATCTTGAATGTCTAGTCTTGATGTTTTTATAGATACATGCCTTGAAAAATAGCCCAAACCACCTCCAAATTCCACATATAGTAATGATAGATAATGTTTTTAAAAAAGAAAATTTTAAAAAGAGAAAACCATAACCAGATCCAAATTAAGATGAGTAACTTTGGGGGCTTCAGGAAGCCAATCCAGGCTTTCCACCAGTCCCTGACCTGTTGGCAGTATGACTGATCTGCAGAATTCTCAGTAACCTCTGAGATGGTAGCCAAAAGGTGCGGATGTGAGAGCTCTTTCTTAGGGAATGAGGGGACAGGTGAAGACATTTTCAAAACTGCCAGGCAGAAAGGAGTAAAGGCTAGAATGGAATTGATGGGTGGGAAAAATAAGAGAATGGAAAAGGATATAGCTGGCAAATAATAATCAGAAGAGTATCAATGCAGCTATATGAACTCTGACAAAAATAGATTTTAAAGCAAAACAATTGCTAGGAACAAAAAGGAACATTAAATCATAATAAAAACAGCAACCCACCAAGACTGTATTACCATCATAAATGTATATGAACCTAATGACACAGCCTTAAAACATATAAATCAATCACTGACAGTTATATGTAGAAAATGAAAAACATACAATCATTGTAGGAGGTTTTAACACTTGGCTATTGGAAACAGTATAGAAAAAATATAAGGATATAGACAAAGTATAGAGATTTTTAAAATCTTGAGAGTTAATTTAAAGCGGGCAAGCTCTACTCAGCTTTAGAGTTTTCTTGCCAGAAGGAAATGCAGGCTCAGTACGGATAGAACATCAGATTTCTCAAGAGAAGTTTAGAATCGGGATTTTTCAGTAAGATATTGCTGGAAGTGCGACAGTTTAAGACTTCAATGTAATGACAGTGCAGACCACACAAACCAGGTCCTTGGGCAGGGTTAGGATGTGAGTAGCCTAATGTCTATCTTTCCCATAAAACTGTACATTTTTTTAGGTCAGAAATTATGTCTATTTCTCCATGGCTATGTCTTCAATGGTGGTTTGAGGATTAAATGAGGAAAAGCATTCAAAGTAATACTGAATTTGATTCTTGCAAATTATCTCATTGAATGCTTTATACATATACATATGGTAGAAGTTTCTGGTAATACACAAGAGAACAAATGAAAATGTACACACACTCTCTCCCCTGCAAGTGCCAGGCCTTTCTAATAACTTGAAGAGAATCTCATTCTTTCCTGCTTCTCCAGTGCCTAGTCCATTAGTATTTGAATAATGAATAAGTAAATAAATGGGTAACTATGTTTGTAATTCATCTTCATGGTAATTATAACTCAAGGGAAAAATATTCATTCTGCATTTACCATGTGTCAGACATTGTGGTTGCTTTTTATATTAATTTATTAATTCCTATGACAACTACAATGGTGCCCATTTTACAGATGAGGAAATCTAGTATCAGAATATGAATAAGATTAAATATAACTCATGGAAGCTTCCATGACTTACAAGTAGTAAAGCCAAGATGGAACCCTTTCTTCTGAAAGCCTTTTAATACATCGTGTATTTCATAAAGAGTTTTCCAGTTAATAAGAAGGGAAATGCTGACTGAGGCAAATGTAAGACTTTTTGTAATCTCAACTGCTTACCTGGCATTTTCAGTAAGACTTTATTCATTTATTCAAAACTCAGCAAATATTGAGCATGAACTGTGAGTGTTGCACTCTGCTAGGCACTGGGGGTATAGCAGTAAACAAGTCAGAGAAAATCCCTGCCTTTGTTGTATACCTATATTCTAGGAGTTTATATTTGAAGAGAAGAAACAACAAATAAATATGAATAAGGAATATGAAACAAATATTAATATAACAAATATGAAAATAAATATATATATAATTTTAATATTTATAAGAGCTATGAATAACAGTAAGCCAGAGTCAAAACATATAGACTGATGGAGATGCTTTTTCAGGAAGGGTAGTGAGGGAAGTCTTTTCTGGGAATAAGGGATTCTTGTGAATATTAGGAGAAAGACAGTTCCAGAAAGAGAGAAGAGCAGTTAGCCAAAAAAAAAAAAAAAGTTTGTTGGTTCAAAAACTAGAAAGCTGGAGTTGGGTGAGTCATGGGGAAAATGGGAGAAACTGAAGTCAGGGATGTGACCATGGGCTGGATCCTATAAGACCTTGTGGGCCAGAGGAAAGATTTAGGATTTTATTCAGTGCGATGGGGAGCCACTCTGGGGTTGAGAGCAGGAAAGTGATGTGATCTGATACACATTTTGAAATTATCCTTCCAGTTGCCTCATGGAAATATGACATAGAAGGCTAATACAGGATTCTCATTCTCCACACAGTTTGGTCTCATTTATGTGGATCTGTTTTATCTTTACCTATTACTAAAATTTCAGAAAGACTAGAAGCCAGAACACTAATAAGAAGTCTTAAATAAATCCCTTAAGCAATCTGTAAGTTTTCTCACCTATAAAATGAGTATAATAATACTTGCTAAGTGTTCTTTGCAATATTTTGAGATGTTGAGACAGAGGCAGATTTTGAGACAGAAACTAGTGAGAGAATGTTTATTAGGAAGTGCTCTTGGGATCAATCCCTATGCAAGGAAGAAGAAGAAAGCAGAAATGGGCAAAGGGAGAAGTTGAGATGCAATGTGTTCTTAACAAAGGCCTCAATTGACCCATAGGGACCTCTTGAGGTAAAATACCATGTCGGAGATTTCCCAAATTAGGGCAAGACGGCCAGGCTTCTTCATGTACCAGTCACAAGGCAATCTCTAAAATAGTTGACAGCTGAAGGTATCTGCTGGGATTTTTTTCCCAACAGCTGGTGGAATGAGTCCTTTAATCCTGAAGGAAGCATCTGAGTAGCATATCACAGCATTTACCACATGAAGTGACTTGCCCAAGGTTACAAATTATTCGGCAGAGCAACTGGGACTTGGACCCAGTCTCAGACTCCTGTTCAATATTCTTCCTGTTCCCACTTAGCCTCTTGTTCATTACTTCTAGTAAATTTCATCCCACAGTCAAATTTTAAAGCCCTTTCACCATTCTCCATTGGAGAAACTCTTACCCAGAATGCTAGGAAAAAGCACTTTCTTGAATATTGTCTAAGGCTTTTTGTGTAGATTGTTAAATATCCTGCTACTCTTGCACAAGACCAAATAACACCTGCAATTGGAAAAAAGAACCTAATATTAAATTCCATTACTCAGGTCAGGAGCACAGCAGACATAGAAAAGGTTCAAAAAGGGGCAATGAAAAAGAATTGAGCCATAACAGAAGTATATGGAGTAATGAGTTTAATTTCCCAAATTCTCAATTCCCCCCTCCGTTCTAAGCATATTTCTTTTTATGCAATTTAGCTATAATTTCAGGGTAGCCTTCCAGTGTATTGAACAAGAACTAATTAGTGTGTTTAGATCTTTTATGTGCCTTATCTGTTAATTGCAACTTTTGGAGTTTTTCTTTTCTATGCAATTTGACCAAAGCTAAACTATCTTTTGAAAGACTACCCTTGAAGATAAAGTTCTTTGTTGCCAAGGGAGGTCATGCAGATTTTTGATGGCAGCCAGGAGCAAAATAAATGTTTTTCCCATTTTAGTCTACAACAGTCATTTTTCAAGAAAAACCATGTTGTCTAGCTGGGGTGGAGATTGGACTAGACCATGTTCATGTTCCTTTTATCAGCATTCAGTCAACTTTCCTATTCTGGTTTTCTGTGGCACCCCGAATCAGGGATCCTCCACATCAAAAACATAGATATCACAAATAATAATGTTGGCACTATGGGAGGCTATAATCTCATAAATAGTCAAACAGTCAGTGTGCATTTGCTACTAAGTACTGTAGTAGACATTGCTAGAGTTCTCCAATATATGGCTCTCCTTATCATCCTTGTAGCTGGATGCCATGTAAGGATTTCTGGCCAATAAAATATTAGCAGAAGTGATGCATCTCATTTCCCAACAAGCTTTGCCATTGTGTTCTCAGAGTACATGCTCAGATTAATGGCTTTCTTGCGCTGTTGGTTTATGAAGCAGAGGATCATGTTTCCTCATCTTTGTAGCCTCTGAACTTAGTGTAAGCCCAGGTTATAGTCAGTATTCAATAAAAGTCCATTGGACAATGAATCAATGACCCAATGTCTCCTGTGGGGACGTTACACAGGTGTTTTGCATTCAGACTATTTTCAGTTCTTTTTTTTTTCTTTGACAGGGTCTACTTTGTTATGCAGACTGGAGTGCAGTGGCTAGATTATACCTTGCTGCAGCCTCCATCTCCCAGACTCAAATGATCCTCCTGCCTCAGCCTCCTGAGTAGCTGGAACCACAGGCATGTGCCACCATGCCTGGCTATTTTTTTTGTTTTTAAATGGGATCTCAATATGTTACACAAGCTGGTCTTGAACTCCTGGGCTCAAGCCATCCTCCCGCCTTGGCTTCCCAAAGTGCTAGGATTACAGGAATGAGCCACTGTGTCTGCCCCCACCCCCTTTTATATTTCATTTACCACCAGTTCTAGTTCATCCTTCACTGAGCCTCTTATAGAGAGGCAAAGAGGATGTGAATGTATCTCAGAGGAAATAACGCACAGGCTTTGGAATTCGCTTTCTCTCTCATTATTTACTGTCTCTGTGACTTGGGAAAGTTACAGCTTCCTTCAACCTCATTTATCTCACCTAGAAAAATGGGTGTTACTAGTGCTTACTTCACAGAATTTGTGTAAAGACCACATGAGACAATATATGTAAACAGCTTAGCATGATGCCTTGCACAAAATGCGTGTTGTATAATTTGTTTCATCTATTGAATCATTTGACACCTTTCCTTTCCTTCAGGTTTCTTTTTTTAACTTTTCCTCTGACCTTGACTTCTTCCTACCACTTAGTGTTTCCTCACTGTCCAGAGGTTGTCTCACCTGTTGGTGAGGCATCTAAGCCTGTCCTCTTCTGACAGTGGCCTGAGCGACAATTCTACTGTTCTCCCTTTCAAAACTATAAATAGTTGTTAGGTTAAATGGGATTAATAATCAAGTTCTTAGTACTGCTGCTAATTGATTTAACATGTTAATTACTAATCTGATATTGCTTTTGGAGTACATAAATTTTAAGAAAATACACCAACAAATCTACAGTATCTGAAACATAAAGATGTTAAAATAACAAAAAATTAGCTGGGCTTGGTGGAATGTGCCTGTAATCCCAGCTACTCAGGAGGCTGAGGCAGGAGAATCGCTTGAACCCAGGAGGCGGAGGTTGCAGTGAGCCGAGATTGCGCCACCGCACTCCAGCCTGGGCGACAGAGCGACACTCCACCTCAAAAAAAAAAAAAAAAAAAGAAAAAAAGAAAAAAGATGTTAGAATAATGATAGAATCCCAGGCAAGAGTGACTGGTTTTAGGGAGAAGTGGGGACAACTGGCCCTCAAAATTCTCATTCCTGGCTTGATTCACACCATGTAGGTAGTCATTGATTTTGTTTGTTTGGTGACTGGAGAAGGTCCTGATACCAGCAGTCCTCAACATAACCACATCTATTATAGATATATGAGATAAAAGGGCCATTGTTGTTTTGTCTATATTTTTTCATTTTATTTGCATAATTGGCATATAAATTGATAACTGTCTATTCTCAGGTAATTGCCAAGTTAAACATTTATTATTGCTGCCTTTCAGTATGTCATTTTTAAAAAATTAATTCACAGCATCCACATCATGTCATTAATGCAGATTCTCAAAACCTTAATAGAACCTGAAGCAGAGAAGACAGAAGTCATTGAGATCCTTAGGGTTAGTAAATCTTGCTCCATTACACTATATGTGTACCAAATAAAGCATACCTTCCTTCCTTCAACAGAAACAAAGGAAATTCCACTGTCCCATGCTTACCTCAGTCCTCCGTCTAACCCCCCAGGATGGATGTCTTTTGCATGCCCCTCCACACCAATCTCTGCCTTCTCCACCCTGGCAGCCTGTGAGGCTGCCCCACATGAATATTGTCAAGGAATTTCTTTGCCTTCTGGCTTCAATTCAGTCAATAGGAAACACAGGAAGGCTTTTGAATGATGAGAAGAAAGTGAGGTTGGAGCATTTACTTCTCTAACTGCCTCCTTGCTGAATGGCTAGGGTTGACTGCATCCCTCTCTGGAAGGCCATAGCTTCCATTAGGTGGTCGGTTCCATTATCTACCTCTCTAGGTATTTTAGCCGCTCTTTCTCCTTCCCACTTCAGGTCTGGAGTGCTAAAGACTCCCTCATTGTAGGTAACCCTAGGGCACTGCATCATCCCAGGCTGGCTCCCCTAAATTCTGTCTATACCTTTGTAAATTGTTCTTAAAAATCCTCTCAAATATCTCATTGTTTTTGCCAGGACCCTGACATATACTCACCAATCTGCTTTTTATTTGGAACCTGGTACTGTCTTTGGCCAGGGAATCTTCTCAGCAGGACATAATCCTTGCCTTCTGACAGAAAAAACATCCATATTTACAATTCCTGGACAAAATGGAGGGATTTTTCCTTATTTTATGACAGTGTGCTGCCTCTCTCTCTCTCTCTCTTTCTTTTTTTCTCCTTAAGAAAGTGTTATCAGTAGAAGAGCTTTCAGCTTATCCCAAGTCCAGGGTTGGAGGCGGGCTTCCAGAAAGTATGACAAATGCACAAGCATGTCAAGCTGTGACAGCCTCAATGGGCTGAGATTTCAAAAATCTTATGAAAGGGAGACTTTGAAGTGCCTTATTCAAAGGCAGCCAAAGCTTTTATCCTAAGAGGAGGAGATTCTAATGTGGCCTGATAATTAGCGGAGAGTGGGGGCCTTCATCCCCTCCGAGCAATGAGATGCCATGGCTGGAATGTGCCCTGAACCCAAATGTGATTGCACAAAGAACCTAGGTCTCATTCCTGAAATTTATAACCATATCAACCATAGTTTTATGAGATATGGCATCATTTTTTAAAAAGGCTTGAACCCTTATAGAGCTATTCAAATAACCATTGAGTCATTTGAACTGAAATAGGAGTTAGTTCAAAGTGGCAGTTCATAAATTAGAGGTGCTGTTGTTTCAAGGAGAGGGCATAAATGCCGGGCAAACAGTCCAGTGCACTGGTTACTAACAGTTATTGTTATGCTCATGACTGTGGAGGAGCAGGGGCCAAAACAGGCAGAATTTGACTTTTAATTTGACTTTAGAGCATAATTAGAGGCTATGAGGCATATATAGAAAACATAACATGTACATATTTGTTTATTCATTTATTCACTCAACATTGTTTTAAGCTTAAACTATAAGCAAAGGAGAAAAATTAGTAAATAATAAGGCAGGCCTTTATAGAGTTTCTAGGTTAATGAGGAAGGCCTCAAAACACAGGATCATGACACAGTGTGCTAAGTGCTTTTTGACAGAATGAACAGAGAACCATGGAATGTAGAGGAAAAAGGTCTTGACTGTAGGGCTAGGGAGTGTGGTTTGGGCAAAATCAGGGAAGACTTTGTTGGAAGGCATACGTGAGTGTTTCTTACAGGACAAGTTGTAGTATCTCAGATAGGTGAGGCCAGGGAGGAACTTCCCAGCAGAGAACACAGGAATGTTGCTGCTTGAAGAAGCAGTGATAATCCAGAAAACTTCATGTGGTCCTGTAGGGCTAGAAGAGGAGATTTGGGCCAGGCGCAGTGGCTCACGCCTGTAATCCCAGCACTTTGGGAGGCCAAGGCTGGGGTACCACTTGAGGTGAGGAGTTCAAGACCAGCCTGGCCAACATGGTGAAACCCCGTCTCTGCTAAAAGTACAAAAATTAGCCAAGTGTGGTGGCGAGTGCCTGTAGTCCCAGCTACTTGGGAGGCTGAGGCAGGAGAAAATCACTTAAACCCGGGAGGCAGAGGTTGCAGTGAGCCGAGATTGTGCCACTGCACTCCAGCCTGGGTGACAGAACAAGACTGCCTCTCATAAAAAAAAAAAAAAAAAAAAAAAAAAAAAAAAGCGGAGATTTGTAGAGTGGCATGGCAGAAGGTAGTGCCTGAATCTGGGAGGTATGAAACATTCAGAGATCTAGACTTTAATTCAAAGGCTGATGGCCTTAAGCTTTGGCAGGTATTCATATCACCAGGAGAACCAGTGAAAATACTGATGACTGGGCTCTACTTTTTGACATTGTGATTCAGTACATCTGGAGATTAAGAAATCTGAATTTTAAAAAGAAATCTAGGAACCGTATTTTGATACATACTGTCAAAAGAAACAAAAAGCCCTAGAAAAGACTTAAATGGAAGGTATCCCAAATAGAATATCTATATGGACAATTATTTGCCCTTTGTACTTTTCTCTAGTATTGTTTGGATTTGACCCTCCTTTTGTGAGAATCAAGGAAAGTTGAAAGGTACTGCTGAAATTCTTGAGGTGTTGCAGTGGAGATGTGACCCCCTCTAGTTGGTACCCTGAGAGCTGAGAGCTACTTCACCGTTGCCACTTATCCAATTGGTGTAGATCCCACGCAACTCCAAAGTATAATCGAATAAATTAGCAAAATCAAATACAGTATGCAATGAGATAATAAAATTGTTTGCATAAAGAATAAAAACTATCTGAAAGGGAGTAGCTGTTACCAGGAGACCAGGATGCTGAATGAGGAGAGATGAGATTTGAGCAAGCTACAAATTTCCTGGTAACTTAGGGAAAAATAGAAAATACATTGAATTATACATTTTGCATTGTTTAAGAAAAAAGGCATTCATTTTTTACAGACAAATACTTTCTGGTATTAGGTTCAAGGAGGAATTTTTAATGTAATGGCCAAGGTCAGTTATAATTTTGTAATAAACAGAAAATCTATCTCTGCTATCTGAAACTGGCTTAATTTTTAAACCTCAGATACCTGAGTCGTGAAAGATTGGGAAGTTTGTAGTTGCACCTAAATAATTTTTGAAGGGTGGTACAAAAATGTTAGCCCTGGAAAAAATACAGTGTTTTGGCTTCTACTTAGAATCACATGGACACAGGAATTTCTTTGTATTCTTACAAACAATGTTATGTCTTTGTTATTAATATAAATGAAGTTACTCTATTTAAAGTCTTGCTTCCAAGAAACATCTGAGGCAGGTGATATTAATAAAGATCAATCTCTGGATATCTTTGGCCTAATAACCTTTACTGTCTAATACACAAAACAAGTGACCCATAAGAACAGGAGATATAGGTGTATAATAAAAAGTACAAATTTTATAATGGAAAAGAGCAAAAAGAAAAATGCAATGAAAATAATATAGAGACAAAGAAAAAGAGAAAAATATGTAGAGACTTTTTTTTTAAGAGTAAGGCTTTTATGTTATAATGAACAAGCACTAAGCACCTGTAGAGAGATATCTATAAGCCTCTATAATAGAGAATGAGGTGGATGGATAGAATATTGACCTGAGAATTTAGGGAACTGAGTTGGTATTTACGTTGTCTTAGCTATGTGTGAGCATAGTTTGAAATCTGTATATATCAGTTTCATCACTTTTAAGATAAAGGGATTAATAATAATAGGTCAGGGGTCTACAACTATAGCCTAGGAGCCAAATCTGGTCTGCCACCTGTTTTTATGAATAAAACTTAATTGAAATACAACCATACTGCTCATTTATTTACATATAGTATATGACTGCTTCATGCTACAAAGGCAGAGTAGTTGCAACAGAGTACATGTGGCTCATAGACCCATAAACGAAGCTCATAATGCCTAAAATAATAATTTTCTGGCCCTTTACAAATAATGTTTGCCAATCCCTGCAATAGATGATTATATGAATTAGTGAGAATATCAATTTGGTTTCTGTAAAATTCTGGAACCAAAATTAACAGTGGCTTTTAAAAAAGATAGACATTTATTCCTCTCACAAGTAAAACCCTGAGTTGGTAGGGCAGGTTCCTTTCGCAAAGAATCACAGACTCCTTTTATCTTATGGCTTTGCCATCTTCCATGATGACTTCTCACTCAGGAAGAAGAAACGGGACAAGGAAACCTTGCTCTTCCCTTACCCAACATGGCAGTTGAACATCTACCCCCACTGACATTGCACAAGCTCAGCTTTGTAACTTGGCTGTATCTGAAAGGGAGGCTGGAAAATATATTTTTTAATCTGGATGGCCATGTGCCCAACTGAAAATTCTATTACCATATAAGAGAAGAACAAATATGGGGAGACTGACCTATACATTTCTTTCCACTTAAAATTCTATGAACATAGTGTATTAGTCTGCTCAGTCTGCCATAACAAAATATCACAGACTGGGTGGCTTAAACAACAGGAATTTATTTCTCATAGTTCTGAAGGCTGGGAAGTTTAAGATCAAGGTGCCAACAGATACAGTTTTGATGAAGGCTTTCCTCCTGGCTTGCAGACAGATGCTTTCTTGCTGTGTCCTCACATGGTGGGGAGAGAGAGCTGTCTCATGTCTCTTTTCATAAGGAGACTAACTAATCCTATCAGATCAAGATTCAACCCTTATAACTCCTTTTAGCCTTACCTACTTCCTTACTCTTAATATAGCCATGTCTAGTGTAGGGCTTCAACATATGAATTTTAGGGGACACAACTGAGTTCATAGCACAGAGTTTCCTATATGAAATTGACAGAAATAGACATGTCATGAATGCATCAATAATCAAGGATGGGACTGAGGCTCTGGCCTACACATCTAAAGGGGGATAAATATGAGCATCTTAGGATAGGGCAGTGCTTAGACTTAACATTGACAACTCAGTAGAATACATACATTTAGTTTAAACATAATTGTTTGGTAAAGTGATTTTCTTTTTTATGTGTACTATAAATTATTCTGAAATTATTGATTTGTTTCAAAAGTTTCCCTTAAAAAGCCCTTTCAAGGTAAAATCGCAAGTTGTATTGGCTTAACCTAGGCAAACCTAACCTACTTCTGCTCACGATAGTAATGGCAATGTAGGCACTTCTACAAAATGGGAACCTTGACAATAGAAAACACACGTTTAGAGTTCCAGAAAGGATTATTGCTGAAAAAGTCTACCTATAACCTTTCCCTCTGGGTGAAAAGACAAAAAGCAGTCAAACTCTTATCTCTGGAAATATGAGGTCCGTAATTTGGCATCAGGAGAATCTGTCCAGTTTTATTTGTGTGAATCATCACTCATTTTTAAATCACTCTGTATTGGGGTACTGTTTTGATAATCTGTTGCCCAAAACTTAGTGGTTTAAAACAACAGCAATCATTTCTTTGCTCAAGATTTTGCTATTTGAGCAGGATTCATCAGGCATAGCTTAGGTCTGGAAGGTCCACTTTCAAAATGGCCTCACTCACAGGGCTGGTAAGCTGTTGTTGGCTCAGCTGGAGCTGTTAGTTGGTGGTCTCAATTCTTTTCCATATGGGCTTCTTCGTGTGGCTCCCTGAGCTTCCTCACAGCATAGTAGCTAGATTCCAAGAAGAAGCTGCCAGTCTTCTGAAAGCCTAGGGTCAAAACTAGCACAGCATCACTTTTACTGTATTCTATCAGTCAAAACATGACAGGGCCTAACCCGTAGTCAAGGGGGGAATAATTGGACTCCACTTCTTGGTGGGTACAGAAACAAAAAACTTACAGCTGTCTTTAATTTACCAAAAGTACCAAGAAGCCGTATACATTATCCTAGATCTGTAGTAAACAGGTGTTTTGATAGTTCTTTTTGTGAATCAGTTTTTGGAATTCAGATCACTTTTCCCAAAGAAACCATTTTGCAAATGGTACTTAGAAATATATTAATAGTTTAGCTTATAGTAGGTAATAATAGCAAAAGGTTAGGACAATAGTCTTTGACATCAGATAGTCTGGGTTTCAATTTCAAGTCTCATCTGAGTAAATTATTTGACCAATCCAAGTCCTAGTTTTATCCTCTGTACAATGGGGATGTTAATAATACTCATGAGAGTTCTGAGGATTAAATGAGAGAATGTACCTAAAGCACTTAGTGCAGACCCTAGCATTTATAACATGCCCAATAAGTGTAGCTCTTATTATTTTTACCCAATGAAGATTTATATGACAGCACTGAGCTATCATATAAAGAACACTGAGCTCTCTTTAAACCCAGAGCCCATACACTTTGAAGCTATCTTACATTATAGCCTTTATTTACTATGAGTTCTACAACCTGCGTCTGTCCAAGCAGAGCCAAAGGATAATACATTTGGCTGGCAAGAGTTTCTGATGATAGCACTTCCCTTGACTGGGGAGAAAGAGCATGAGAACGTTGTATGGAATTGGTATACACAAATGGAATATTAGTAAGCAGGTGTTGCCTACACCAGTGTTTCTCAGTCGTTTTTTCATTATCATTTCCCTCCCTAATAAACCTTTTTTGACATTTTTTCCAACTGCTACCCCATAATATTTTAATATCTCACATATGACATATATCTGTTTATATGCTGTATGTATATCTCTCTCTGCTTTATGCATTAAAAGAAGTATTTTTTTCACCCCTGCCAAAACCGATTTTCACCCCTATGAGGGCAATATTGACGCTTTTGAAAACGCATTGCCTAAACCACGTAACCTAACCAAACTCCTAAAATTTATTTTGTCACATAATCAACAACTTTATTGTTTTTGTTTGTTTGTTTGTTTGTTTTTTGCAGAGGAATGTCTCAAACAGTGGGGGTATGAAGAACATATATAAGATGGATCTACTAGGTAATGTTCATTGCTGTCTTTATAACAAAATTAATTATATAATTCATTGTATAATTATTGTTTAATATCTTTCTTAATTGCAAGCTCTGCAGTAGCAGGAACATGTCTTGGTTATTGTTGAATGGTCTCTGATGCACAGTAGATGATCGATATTTCTTGAATATTGATAAGGACTTTAATATCTAATAGGGAAAAGAAGGTAAGACATGTAAAACCAAAAGTATTCATGAGCTTATTTTGAGTTATGTATGAGGAGTAGCAAGATGCATAAAGAATTGAGACAGTCAAGGTCAGTTCCCTTTACTCAGCAAGGCTTTAACGGTTACCTTCAGGATCAGCTTTCTAGACCCAGGTTTGAGGGTGGAATCTTGTCTTGTTCATTATTAAATGTTACAGAAGTCTTAACAGAATGCTTTATAAGTGGAGGTTTAATACTGCTTTTGAATTATGACTTAATAGTTAAGATAGGAAGCAAGTCTTAGAAGAAACAAAGGTACAATTAGTCTGCTTATTATTTTCTTCTTCCTTTAGTTAAAAATACATTAAGGATGATCTATGTTTAGATCTTTTGCAGAAACTTTTCCTAAGGACACATTTTATATTTGAAGAAAAGGTATTTTTGACATTAATATTTTCTTCAATCTAATGTTAGCTTCCTATATTTCTTTTCTCCCTTCAGTTCATCTAAAACATTACAATGCTTTTCTCCTTTTTATTTTATAAAATAGACTCTACAAACCCAATTATAACTCCCTTAGAAGACAAAAGGACTGTAAGGAAATAAAAAACAAGAATGATTTGGATATATCAGTTCTCTTTTTTTGTTACATTTTGTGGCTGCCATGGGAAACCTATAAAAGCTTCAAGTCTGATTTTGGTGGATAAATTCCCAACAACCTCTTCCTTCAAGGAGTGATCAGTATTATGGACAAAAGGAGGGTATTTTTTTCAATATGTCCTTTTGATTTTATTTTGTGCGGCAACCACCTTTGTAAAACACACTAACACGTCAGAAATATGAAACTGTCTTCAGTTCACTGCCCTGTAAAAGACGTGTGGCAAAAAATAAATAAATAAATAAATAAATAAATAAACAAACCCAGGAATGCCTGAGTAAGTAATTTTATTTTTTATGATTCAAGCCCCAAAAGGTCTTGAACTGTCAGATTTATTGTCTATCCGATTTTATGACTTTTAGTTGTATTTATTCTTTGATGTTTACCATCTACTGTGCCTACGTGTGCCGTGGTCTGTGGGCTTTCCTATTGCTAAATCATTTTTTAAGCTTTAGTTGTAGCTTCTGTTCAGCATCAATTCCCCGAGACATGCCATTAACATGAATCATTTTTGAAAGTGTTTGGTGCAATATGAACTCCATGTTGAGTCGATCACTCATTGTGATGGAAAGAAATGATGACCTTCCCGGAAATACCCATCGCGGTTAAATAACCAAGGACGGGACGGTCAGGGACTTCTGATTGGGGTGCCCCCATCGGCTTAATCTTTGCCCCCAAAAGAGGGAGATGGGAGGTCAGTGCAGATTCAGGAGGAAAAGGGAAAAAGAGCTGGGAAAGGGGAAAGAAAACTGCTGACCCAAACCACAGCTATTTTATTGGAGGGTCAGTTTTTTTCTACCTCCAGGAAGGTTACATTCATAGCAAGAACTTCTGAGGCGACATCAGTATTTGAGTGCATTCTTTTCTAACACTAATTTTAAAACTTCCAAACATGTTTTCTTTTTTCAATAAAAGTTACATTTTTGCTTTTGCCTGCTCTGATCTCTTTTCTGCTAGGACCTTCTGAAAGAATTGAGTATAATTACCACTAGTGATAATTTTTTTTCTTTGTTCATATCCAGTATCTAGACATTTTCAAGTTATTGGCCAGTGTAGCCAACTCTGTGTAGACCCGGTTAACAACATATGGATAATTCTGGAAGCTTGCCATCCTTTCTCTGCCTATGTTTGGCTAAGTTTGGCCTCGAAACCTTCCCCTCTTCTCCTACGCCCACCCCAGGCTTCTCAGCATCTTCCTTGGATAAATAAATATAAATATACTAGACACTATGATTAAGGGACAATATACAGGCATATTTTAGAGCTAGGCTCAGAAAACTGCATCCCACAGGCCAAATATGACCTGTTGGTGGTTACTGTAAATACATTTTATTGGAATACAGCCATATCCATCCATTTATGTAATCTCTATGGCTGTTTTCACAGCACAGCAACAGTTAAATAGTTGCAACAGAGACTTTATAGCTCTCAAAAACTAAAACATTTGCTATCTGGCCCTTTACAGAAAAAGTTTGTTGATCCCTCTTCTAAGTAGCAGCTATTCAGACATAATCACATTTACTAAACAAACAATATTAATCATTTTATTTACTGGGATCTTCTTAAATTTGAAGGCCAGATTGCTGAGTAAAATACCAGGAAATCTGGGGAGAAAACTGAAGGAGATAACTTCCAAACACACTGTGATAATGTGGTTTTATGCTTTCAGGCATCCTTCCAGTTGTTCTTGTTTTCTGTTTAAATAGATTTATCCAGATTGCAGACGAAGAAATTTTGTCATAAATATATATTTTAAACTTTGGGGGACAACCCCAATTTTTAAGCTTTTGTCTAATTGTTCCTGTAAAAACCAATAACATTTAATATAATTTAATTAAAATTTGCCAATTTGTTAGGAAAAATACAGTCTTTTGTTTTAGTCTACTTTTTGATAAATTGTAAAGTTAAACATTTTTTCTATATCCATTGAGTGTCTGTATTTATTCTTTGTGAATTCTTTGCTCACATCCTTTACCATTTACATTTCAAAATAAGGTTTTGCTGAAATTCTTGACTAAATTTGTCAGACCCTTTCTTCGTGTTATTCTAATATGAATATTCCAATCAGAATTTATACTCCTACCAGTTCAGCCTCTCATGTAAGAGGACACACAGCATGCCCTGAGAATATGGGATAGCATCTTCTATGTGTTTTATGATTTTAAAATAGAATAAAGCACTTGTGAGAGCAGAAATCACAAAGATTAAGTCAACGCTGTTAAGAAATAAAATACTTATGTTAAAGATTAGAGTTTTACATCCTGAAATAAAGGCAAATGTTTCTAATTCACTAAAATTATAGCAAATTATATCTCCTCTTAACCAAAGGATTTAAAGCTGCTTACAACACTTCAAATGGTTATAGCTTATTTTTCTTCTTTTTTCTGAAGCTCAAAAATGCTTTAGGGTTCATGTGATTTGTATTTGGCATGATGCAGCATAATTGAATGAGATACTTACTTCCAGATGATTGATGCCAGTGATTGAGAAGAAACTGCTTTCTTTAAATTGTAACTGACTTATAAAGATGAATGGCTTGTTACTGTAAGCAGCTTTATATCTAGTTAATTTTAAAAAGAGAGCAAGACCAAAATATCTAGCAATTCTAGAATATTTGCATGGTGAGTATGTGTGGGGAGAGTCACACACATATACATACACAGACAATACATAGAACACACTGTTCCAAGAGAAAATGCCTATAGATTCTTTAATTTTTTTATTTTTATTTTTATTTTTTGAGATGCTGTCTCGCTCTGTTGCCAGGGTGGAGTGCAGTGGCGCAATCTTGGCTCACTGCAACCTCCGCCTCCCAGGTTCGGTTCGAGTGATTCCCCTGCCTCAGCCTCCTGAGTAGCTGGGACTACAGGCGCTGATATAACAATATTTAGTTTTTATTAACCCAAAATAAAGCTGATGGGCAAAGGCAAAGCTCATTTCCTTTGCTAGGGGAAAAAAAAAACCAGTCAGTAGTTTTCACTTATGGAGGTCAGAGAGAGTTACTCTAGGCTGACACATGTCAGAGAAGAGAAATACAATTCACAAAGCAAAGTATACATGGAAGGTAGTTTCCAATGATGGCCATCATCAATTCTTTCTTCCACTGTGTGAGTGTTCTGCTCTTCCCCTTGACTCTGGGCTGCCCTTAATGATTTGCATGACTAGATGAATGCAGTGGGAGTGAGACTCTGGGAGTCACCAGTCTATATCAGAGTAAGCATAAGATTCCTCCTGGATCCCTTAGAAAGCTGACCCTTGGAATGCTTCCTCTAAGAACAAAGCCACAATTCTGTGAGAAATCTAAAGCCCTGTGCTTGATTCCCAGTGAACAGGCCACATTAGCTGCCAGCCACCATGAGAGAGCCATCATATATGTCCATTCTAGTTGAGTCCTGCATTCCTGCTTAACCTCCATCTGCTTGCAATTTCATGAGAGACTCAAAACAAGAGCCTCCTAGCTGAAAGGAGTCAACCCACAGAATTGTAATACCTAATAATAAATTGTTTATTTATTTGTCTATCTACCTACCTATTTTAGAGACAGCGTGTCCCTGTGTTGCCAAGGCTGGTCTTGAACTCCTGGGGTCAAGTGATCCTCCTGCTTGCTGGGATTAAAGGCATGAGCCATCAAGCCCGGCCTAAGTTGTTATGTTAAACCACTATGTGCTGGGATGGTTTGTAAAGTAGCAAAATGTAACTTATATTGTATAAAGCATTTTTAAATGCATCAAGTTAATGCTTCTATGCAAAATATATCATTACGATAAGTAGGTTTAACATACCTAACACTGAATTTTGTTTGCTCTTCTAATTTCCTCACTAAAAGAAAATGCCTCTCAGACCTAAGGAATATCCTCCTAACTCTCTCAACCAGGGAGGTGGGACATAAATTGGAATATAGAGCCTGGACTTCTTTCTCTCCCGAGGTATGCATTACTAGTCAAGTTAGTAGATACTAAATGACATATAAGCTTACAAGGGCAATCAGTGACATATTTGAGGAACACAAACACTATAAAAGATTAATAAGTTGAACAACCCAGAAGATAAAAGAAGTAACAGAGCAAGAATTTAAAACAACATAATATTTAACCTGAAAAAAGATGATATCTGAAACATGAAACAAAAATTATCCAGTAGAGAAGAACCAATTGAAGACATTGAAATAATGACCTCAATATATGGGATAAGTTACAAAAGAAATAGTCAAAGTTTTACTGAACTAAATGATCAAATCAAAAACATACTCAAAGGAAAGTAAAAAAAGAGAACAATAAAATGTCAAATTGACCATAATAGAGATCCCAGAAATAGAGAAAAGAAATAAACAGGGGGAAATATATGTAAAAAAATTATTGAAAGTTTTTAAAAAGAAAAGAAAGATGCCAGGCAGAAATTAACAGAACTTACAGGAACAATTTTAAAATGACAAGGCATTATAGTGTTGCTAAAGAATAACGGAGAGAGGGAGAGAGAGAGAGAGAGCAAGATTGAGCGAGGCTGGCAATCTTTGATATGCAAACGCAATCCATTAGAAACTGGGTCCACCCAACATGGCGATTCCCATGGCCTTCTTGCCCTTGCCCCACATGTTCCTGGCAACATGGCTGCCCCCACATATCCCCACGTGTGTAGAACACCGTGGCACCCTGCATTTGCATATTAAAAGGCTGGGGGGGAGGGCCAGCTTTTCCCCAGCTACGTGAATGACATGCCTAGTCAAACCAATCCTCTGAGCCCTATGGAAATCAGACACTGCCTCCTCCAGCCTCTATATATACACACCTGGCTGGTTTCTGTCCCACTTGGGGTTCCCTCTCTCTGCTTTGGAGCTCCCCCTCCCTCTGTCTCTGTATGGGGGAGCTTCTATCTTCTACCTTCTCCCATCTTCCTTGCCTATTAAACTCTCTGCTCCTTAAAACAAAACAAACAAAAAAAAATTGAGAGTAGGTGCACAATATCTACAAAGAACAAGTGTCAGACTATTATCAGAGTTCTCTATGGCATTACTCAAAGAAAAAAAAACACAATAAAATTAAATTACCAGAACAGCAAAGAAGGAATATTTTATGTTAGAGTTTATGTTCATGCGATTTATCATTTAAATGCAAGGTGAAAATAAGGATATGTTCTTCTGTAAATGCCTTATAGGGTTTTCCACACCAAGGCCTCCATTGGAAATACTCTGGGAGTAAGTTTTCCAGAAAGTAGAGAAAACAATTCTAGCAGATGCTATAAAATATATGGGAAGTAAGAATAGAAAATTATTTAGTAAAGTTTACCATTTTCTCAAAAAAGCAATCAACAACCAAAAATATGTTCAAAACGATATGGAATAAAATTCTAGATCAGCACTGTTCAATAGAAATTTCAGAGATAACAGAAATGTTCTATATCTGTGCTACATGCAACTATTGAATACTTGAAAAGTAAACTAAATATTTTACTATATTTAATTTTAATTCATCTAAGTTTAAAATTAAATAGCCACATGTGGTTAGTGACTAGTATGTTAGTACTGTTCTAGATTAGCTCAACATGGTGAGATTGAGATCAACAGAGAATATCATGGATATGAGAGGGAGCTGAGCACACACAAATGAACTTGTCTGATTTAGAAAAAAAAAGATTCTGATACTATTGAGAAATTAATAAGAAAAAATAAAATGTAAGTTTGAATCTTAATAGGGATAACCAGACAAAGACTAAAAACAGAATGTATAACTTTCAGAACCACAGATGTAACTTCAAAAACTTATACAGAAGATGAAAAGGCAGATGAAGAAACAAGGAAGTAAGGTAAATGGAACAATTTACATAGAGTGTCAGAAATTAGTCTCAAAATACCAAATCATCAGGAATACAATGAATCATTATGAAGTTTCAATCCCCCATTTAAAGAGAGAAACTTTCAGACTATATTTTAAAAATCCACTAATATGTTGTCTATAAGAGGCATATTTAAAACAACAGTATTCAGAAATTTGAAAATAAACTAAGAATGCTATATAGATAAATCCAAATCTAAAGAAATCTGGCATAGCCATTTTCGTATCAGGCAATGAAGAATTTAAAGTTAAAATTATGAATGTAAAAGAGGGTTAGTATATTAGAAGAAAAAACAGTAGATTGAGAAGTTACAATAATCATCATGAATATGTGTGTGTGTGTGTATGTGTGTGTATCTGCACAAGGTCGTAAAATACAAAAAGCAACAAATGGATGTACCTCAGTAATAATGACCCTATGTAGAACCCAGATCTTGGTTCCTAGTGCCATTCTCCAGTCAAAGAAAGCAGAGCTCTTGTAGAATGACTTATTCTAGAGCCCAGGTAGGAAATATGTAAGATGAGTCTGAAGCATTTTGTAGTGCCAGACAGAAAGAAGCGCAAAATAAATAAATAAATAAAATTTAAAATTTTTTTAAAAAAATCCCCAAACAAAGAAACAAAAAACTCTACCCCCGTTGATGTGGATGTCTCAAGGGGCACAGGTGCCAACAATATCCCAGTGATTCAAACAACAAAATAAATAAAGCAATATTGGATAATTACCCAAAGTATAAAAGAAATATCTATGAGTCCATATTGATAATGATTGAATACATTAATAAATGGCAGAGAAGAAACAAATATTTTATACAGAACAATTCCAAATAATGTATGTAATTATTCTGCCTTAAAAGAGGGAGAGTATAACTTCCCATTCCTTAAGTGTGGATGGCATCTAGTGATTTTCTTCCAAAGAGTGTATTCTGGAAAGGGGAGAAATGAGCAGCTCGACAGTGGAGAAACCTGACAAACACTGCATCAACCAGGTTATCAAGGTCAGTGTCAAGTCATGAATTATGTTGACATGATGTGATGAAAATGCCACTTTATGCTCTGATATTTTCTCTAAAACACTGATAACCCCTGAATATTGAGGCAAATTCCAAAAGGGGACATCCTACAATATACCTGGTCAGTTACTCCTCAAAACTGTCAAGGTCATCAAAAACAAGGCAAGCCCAAGAAACCACCACAGTCTAGAGGGACCTAAGGAAGCATGATGAATAAATGTAGTGTAGTATCTTGGGTAGAATCTGGAACAGAGGAAAGACAACAGGCAAAAACTAAGGAACTCTGAATAAACTGTTCAGTTAATAATAATGTCTCAATATTGATCCATTCATTGTAACAAATCTACCATCTAATGTGAGATGTTGCATTAATTGATGGGGGAGCCCCACCTGCAGGAGTACATGGGCAGTCTCTGTACTGTCTTAATTTTTCTGTAAACCAACAGATGCTCTGAAATGTACAAGGTCTATTAGAGAAAGCGACAAATGACAGGATTACCGGGAGAAAAAATTAAGTAAAAAATGTACTCCACATATTTTAACGCATTCAAGGAATTGATCACACGGACAAAAATTCCTCACCATAAGCCTGTGCCATAAAAAGAGAATGTGCATTCTTTGTGAGCACACACTGAATATTCATAGCAATGTGGGCCACAAAAGATCAATCTCTAAATGCTGACATAACTCAGGACTCCCATTCAGACCACCTTCCCGTTCGGTATATACTCTTCTCCTATGTGAATTCGTCCAGTTCTTGTCTTTAAATACCAGCTTCATGCTGTTACTGTGCAGCCTGGGTCTCAGCCCTGAATTCCAGATTTGGATATCTACGGTCAATTTAACATCTGCACTTATTTTTCTAATAGCTTGGAGTTGGCACTTCCCAAACCAAAGATCTACTTTTCCCCCACAAGCCTGTAAGTGGCAACACCATCCTTTCGGTAGCCCAGGTAACAAAAACAAAATAAAACATCCAAACAAACAAAAACCTTTTTACCTTATGCATGCCATGTCTTACCCACCAGGAGTGTTATTGGTCCTGACTTCAAGTTATCAGTGATGTAATGGGCTTTGACAACCATAGTAGATTTTTTTTAACATGCCTCATCTACAGGACAAAATTATTTTCAGTAATAATCATGAAGTAAAGAAGATAATAATAATGGCTAGAAAAGAAACGTAGACAATGATTTTTTTCTTTCACCAAACTTCATATATAAAATTGTGTCAGAAAAAAATAAATATTACATGTAAAAAAAAGAATAAAATAAAAATTACAATACAAGCAAGGAAAAAAGTATGAATAAACACTACTTGATTTATTACTTGTTATAAAAGAGACAAACAACTTGTACCTATATATTTGTTTTTGGATTAATGAAGTGTTTGAGCCTTCAGACTCAGAACTTCTGAGTTCTGCAAACTTGTCAATGACTTCAACAAAATTAACTTTCTTTACATATTCATGTTTAATAGAATAGAGCCAGATTTGTCAATCTTCCTTCATAGTTGATTGAAGAATACTTTTTATAAATGTTATTTACATGAATGAATAAATGCACAATTAGTCATAAAAGTCTTAAAGATAAAAGTCCCATTTTACAATAAAACCCAGAAATTTTAAACACAAATGAAAACTCCAAATGGTCACAGCAAATTACAGAATTAAGATAATTCAAATTCTGTCTCTTCACATTTATAATCACTGTGCTATTGTGTATTCTTAATCTCCTATCTAACTGCAGAGATAGGTGGTACCACCAAGTCGTGCCCCTGAAGTGTGCACCAGCAATTCCTCAACACCACGTAAACATTTTCTCAAAACTTGTGCAGGCAACTGAGTCCATTTGTGTTGGACGACAACCGTGCAACTGGAGCTTCTTGGAAATAACTTCCATCTGGCATACAGTGTTTATTAAAGGATAAGAAATTTAAAATATGCTAAATTGTAGCTCACATGTATATTATTAAAACTCAGCAGAAACTACAGCACTTGTGTAGAACTAAAACTTAGACTAAAGAGCTTTTCTTCTCAGAGGAGTATTTTATCACTGACATTATTTACAATTGCAAGTTCATGGTAACAATAAAAAGCAAACTGACTTTTAGTTAGTTTTAATGTCACTTTTGAATTCTCTACGGATAATTCTCTACTTATTGTCTGCGCCTGGAGTAGATGGCATTCACTGCACCCCTTTTGGGATGCTAGTACAAATTATATCTAAATCTAACTTTCTTCATCCCTATTGCTTCCAACTTTAGGAATCCATGATTTTTCTTTAATTATTGCAGTAGGCTCCTAACTTTATAACTGAACTTGCTTCTTAAGTGTTTTCTTTTTTCCTCATCTATTTGTAACACAGCAGCTAGAGTGATCTTTTAAATGGCAGATGAATCAGTCACTCCTCTATTCAAAACCTTCAAATGACATCTCATTTGTCTCAAGGTATATGTTTGCCATGAACATATGCCTGAGTCCATGCTTAAGTGAGCTGCTTCTAAACCACAACTGAATGGCTCTACTTCTGTTGGGTGTGCTTCTACCTGCTCCATTGTCCCATCTGATTTCACTTGTAAACCACAAGCTCCAAGTAAAATTATTAAGAATTTCAAGATGATAGGAGAGCATTCAACCAAGCATGTGGCTCTTCTCTACAACAGAGGTTGCACATTCCAGGTCTTACGGTTTGGAGAAAACAGACTCATCATGCACTCTTGTGAAAGAATCAACTAATGCACACACCCTGGAGAGAATTGGCATTATTTAGACAAGTGCATAAATTCAACAAGCTGATAGTTCCCCTCTGTGTCTATAACCCAGAACACATCTTTTCCAGACCCAGAAAGGAACACGTATGAGGATGTTTACTAAGACATTGCATGTAGTTAATAGAGAACAGGAAGAAAGTGAGGCATCCACTACCAAGGAATGAATGAATGAATGAATGAATGAATGAATGAATGAACGATGGTGGAGGCATACTACGGAGCAATTAGAAGCCATGAACTAATTTGGTGGTTCTTACTCTGGCTGCTCACCTGAGGAAATTTAAAAACTCCTGGAAGGGCACAGTGGCTCATGCCTGCAATCCCAGCACTTTGGGAGGCCAAGGTGGGAGGATTGCTTGAATCCAGGAGTTTGAGACCAGCCCGGGCAACATAGCAAAACCCTATCTTTACAAAAAAAAAAATTAAAAATTAGCAAGGCATGGTGGCATGTGCCTGTATTCCTAGCTACTCAGAAGGCTGAAACAGGAGGATCACTTTAGCCCAGGAGTTTGAGGCTTCAGTGAGCTATGATGGTGCCACTGCCCTCCAGCTTGGGTGACGGAATGAGACCCTGTCTCAAATAAATAGATGAATAGATAAAATAAGAATTATTAATGCCTAAGCCCCTGTGCCTGGATTAATTGATCTAGAATGGGGATTGGTGTTATTTAAAAGTTCTCGAAGTGATTTCACAGTTGAAAACCATTGAACAAAATGGACATACAGAAATTTGCATATATATTTTAAAATTAAAATGTATCTTATATATTTTATATTTTTTCAAAATGCAACAAATAGGGCATATGTAAATTAAGGCCATACCAATATATAAAATATATTTTCCTAGGAAACTTATATCTCCAAAAACATATATTAAATAGGGTAGAGTGGTTGTCATGAAAGAATGGAGAATTATAGGAGATGCTCATTATCAAAAAAGAGAGAAAATAAGAAAGTGGATTTATCCAAATTGTTGATGATGGAGTTTAATTCTCTGAACCTAGGTGTAAAATAAGTAATAGTTACTAAGAACTGCCTGTATGCTAACCACTCTTTTTTCTAAGTGATTTAATTGTATTATTTCATTTAATCATCACACTGATTCTGTGAGGTAGGTACTATTATTATCTCCACTTTGCAGATAGAGGAAATCAAATGCCAGATGGGTTAAATGGTTCATGCAATATCACAGGGCCAAATAGCAGAGCTCTGCTTGACCCCAGACAGAGGGCGCTCAAGCTCTGCACTTAACTGCTGTGATCTACTGCTTCTAACAAAGATAGTGGGGAAAAAAGAGGAAAGGGATACAGAAAGAGACAGACATTGACATAGAGAGCGCAGGGAAGAAAGAGAGAAACTGAGAGATGGTCTGAGCCTGAGGATCCATGCAATCGCGATTTTAAGTAATTATTGATCCTAACTTATAACTGAATTGGCACTAGTCATAAATGATCATTAAAAACAGAGCACTTCTCAATACTTCTCTTTTATTTACTATCAAGATGAGATAATCTGGAAAAACCTAGATTAAAAAGTTAACAGCCCAAAGGTGAATGTTTAAGATATATATTCAAGACACAATAAAAACTATGAGAAAATGACAATAATATGGGTGTACAATTATGGCTTAGAAGACTAAAAAATCTCCTAAGAATCTACAAAGGATAAAGGAAGCATGAAGTAGGCTCCTCTGAGAAGAATCCCACAGAGATGATGTGTGTTTCTCAGTGCATCATAAAAGGCAATACATGATGTCAGTTTGTTTTATGATCGGTAATGGGAACTAGATCACTAGGATTAAAGTGGTATTGGCTAGATTTCTGCACTGTAAAGTTTCTATTTTTCCCTTCGTCCTTAGTAACAATTCTACAGGAGACACTTCAAAGTTACAAAAATATGTTTCTGCTCAAATGTTCACCCACTTATTTTAGTATTCATTGGTTGATCTTGTCTGTAACAATTCTTATTACTGTAGTGTTTAATATTTTCTAATTTCCTTATTCCTTCTAAATGTATTAATCAGAATTCTTCTGTAGGGAAGAACTGTTCCATTTACTTACTTATTTATATCAGCAAGTTCTCATGGATATTTATTTTATTCTATGAGTTATATTCTAATACTATCATTATTTATTTTGTTGTTCAAATTGTTCCAGCTTCAGCCTTTGGGTGATTTTCCTGGCTGTCCTCAGTGTCCTTTCTACCTGTCTTATCCTTTTCTGAATACTTTCTTACTTCCTCGCACCACATGATCTGATGTGCCCTGGGTCGTTTTATTTAGAAGCCAATATCTCAGAGCTGGGTATGTTCATTACTACTGAGTTGTAGCTGTTTCTAGGTTCTCTCAGTGGGCAACCCTGGAAACTATATGTATGTATGTATGTATGTATGTATGTATGTATGTATGTATACTAATCTTTGCAGACAAACACCTCTATATTTCAGTATTCATCTGCATATAAAATAATAAGAAATAAGAGTTTATATGGATACCACACGCTCAAATCTAACATCAGGGGGTTCATCTAGATTTTTCCTCTTCTTCATTTTAACTTCTGTCTCAAATAGTGAGAAACCTACAGTGTATTCATTTATTTGTTCAACTCTGATCCATTCATAAAGTAATTTCAGAATTCTTAACCCATACCACATCAGAAAAAAAAATGTCTACCTAGAGTACTGTAATTGTGTACAGTATACTTCTTTTTGTATTTAACCTTACAACATCTAGTCAGGCGTATTTCTCTTAGCAAAATATATTGAAGATTTATCCAGGTTGTTATATGTATTGATAATTCATTACTTTTTACTGCTGGGGAAGGTTTCATTGTATGAATGTACCATTCTGCTTATCTATTCACCAGTTGAAGGACATCTGGATTGTTTCAACTTTCTGGTAGCTATGAATAAAACTTCTGTAAATATTCACATATAGGTTTTTATGTGAATGCACATTTTCATTTCTTTTGAAGAAATAACTAGGAGTGGGTTTGCTAGTCCATGTGGTAAGTATATGTTTAATTTTTTAAGAAATTGCCAAACTATTTCCCAAAGAGGCTGTACCATCTTGCATTCTCACTAGCCACATATCAGAGTTCCAATTGCTTTGCATACTCACTGGCGTTTAGCATTATTTTTTTAAGTCTAGCTATTTTAGCATTTACATATATATATAAAATATATAAAATTGTGATTTTAATTTGTATTTCCCTAATAATGATATTAATCATCTTTTCATGTGCTGATATGCCAGCTGTTTATCCTCTTTGTTAAAGTCTGTTCTAATTTGTTCTCTGTTTTTTAAATGGATTGTTTGGTTTCTTATTAATGAATTGTGAGAGTTTTAAAAACTGTATTCTAGTTGCAAGTTCTTTGTCAGATATGTGATTTGGTTTGCAAATGTTTTCTCCTGATCCATGCTTGTCTTTTCATTCTCTTAACTTGGCTTTGCTAACCAAAAAGTTTAAAATTTTAAAAAGTATAATGTTAATTGATCTTTAAAATTTTTTGACTCTTGGTTTTGGTGTTGTTTCTAAGAAACTTTTTGCCTAGCTCAATGTCATAATCATTATCTTCTATGTTTTCTTTGAGAAGATTTTATAATTTCACATTTTGCATTTAAGTGTATGATCCACTTTGATTTAATATTTGGTAAGGCAGAAGCTATGGATACAGATTAACTTATCTCATATGGATATCCAATTGTTCTAGTAACAGTTGTTGAAAAGATTATTTTCTCTCCATTGAATTTTCTTTGCACCTTTATAAAAAAATAAGTATATTTGTGTGAATCTACTTCTGGGATCTCTATTCTGTTATATTGATCTTGTATCTATCTCTGTCAATACAAAACTATGCTGATGACTGCAGATTTATAGTAAATGTTGAAATCAGATAGTATGAATCCTCCAAATTTGTTTTGTTTTTCAGGATTGCTTTTGCTATTCTGCTTTCTTTGCCATGTTTCCACACAAATTTTAGAATTGATGTTTCAATGTATAAAAAAAAACCCTATGGGTTTAAATGGGGATTGTGCTGAATTTGTAAAGTAGTTTGGATAGAACTGACATTTTAACAATATTATAAATGTAATCTAATAAATTATGTAGGATAAGTAGGCTAAAAACAACAAAACACTGATAAAATAAATTAAAGAAGACTAAAATACATGGAGAGATATATCATGTATGTGGATTAAATATATTATTTCTCTTTCTTGCCTTATTGCACTGGCTAGGTCGTTCAGTAAGATGTTGAATGGAAGTGGTGAAAGAGGATACTCTTGTCTTTTTACTGATTTTAGGGAGAAAGCATTTAGTTTTTCACTCAATGATGTTAGCTGCAGGTTTTGTATAGATGTCCTTCATTAGGTTAATGAATTTTTCTTCTGTCCTAAGTTTGCTGAAAGCTTTTTATCCTGAATTAATGTTGAATTTTATCAAATGCCGTTTATCTATTGAGATAATCATTTGCATTTTCTTCTTTAGTCTGTTAATACGATAAATTGCATTAATTGATTTTTACATGTAGAGGCAGCTTTGCATTTCTGGGATAAACACATCTATTTATCATATATTATCCCTTATATATACATATTGTTGGTTTTGATTAGCTAACATTTTGTTGAGAATATTTATATCTTTGTTCATGAGAAATAGGGTTTTCTCTTTTTGTAATTACTTTGTCTAGTTTTAGTATTAGGATAATTCTGATCTCCTAAGATAAGGTTGAAAGTGGTCCCTGTTCTGCTATTTTTGGTATCATGTTTTTCTTAAAGTTTTGGTAGAACTTGCCTGTGAAATCATCTGGGCCAAGTTTTCTTTGTTGGAAGGTTACAAACTATGAGTTAATTGTTTCAATAGATATGGGCTGTTCTAGTGATCTACTTATTTCTTGAGCACGTATTGGCATTTTGTGTCTTTTAAGGAATTGGCTAATTTCATCTAAGTTTTTGAATTTGAGTATTTAAGAGTTATGGTGTCATCCTTTTATTAACTATGTGGGATCTGTATATCCCTCCCATCTTTCACTTCTAATATTAGTAATTTCTTTCTTCTCTCTCTGTTTCTTAGTCAGGGAACAGGTTTTTGAACTTTATTGATTTTTAAAAAGAATCATCTTTTAGTTTCACTGATTTTCTCTATTTTTTATCTTCAATTTCATGATTTCTGCTCTTCTGTTTTTAAATTTCTTTCCTTTTGCTTGCGTCTAGTTTAATTTGATCTTCCTTTTCTAGTCCCTTAAAGAGAGGGATTAGATTTGTCATTTGTGACTGACTTACTTTTTGAACTTTTTTTTTTTTTTTTTTTTTTTTTTTTTTTGAGACGGAGTCTCGCTCTGTCGCCCAGGCTGGAGTGCAGTGGCGGGATCTCGGCTCACTGCAAGCTCCGCCTCCCGGGTTCACGCCATTCTCCTGCCTCAGCCTCCCAAGTAGCTGGGACTACAGGCGCCCGCCACTACGCCCGGCTAATTTTTTGTATTTTCAGTAGAGACGGGGTTTCACCGTTTTAGCCGGGATGGTCTCGATCTCCTGACCTCGTGATCCGCCCGCCTCGGCCTCCCAAAGTGCTGGGATTACAGGCGTGAGCCACCGTGCCCGGCCTTACTTTTTGAACTTTTACTTTTTCATTTATGGCAGATGATTCTAGCTTTCCATTTTGGGGAGCGTAATAAAGCTCCATTTATTTATTTATTTATTTATTTATTTATTTATTTATTTATGAGACAGGATGTCACTCTGTCACCCAGGTTGGAGTACAGTGGTGCAGTCCTAGCTCACTGCAATCTCAAACCCCTGGGCTCAAGCAATCCTCCAGCCTCAGCCTACCAGAAACTGGGGCTACAAGTGTGCACCATCCTGTCCAGCTAATTTTAAAATTATTTTTGTAGAGATGGGGGTCTCTACATGTTTCCCTGACTGGTCTTGAATTCCTGGGCTCAAGTGATCCTCCTGCCTAAGCCTCCCAAAGTGCTGGGATTACAGGCATGAGCCACCACACCTGGCCATAAAAAACTTTATTCATTGTGTGTGTGCGTGTGTGTGTGTGCATGCGCGCACGTGTGTCAAAGTCTCACTCTGTCACATAGGCTGGAGTGCAGTGGTGCACTCATGGCTCACTGCAGCCTTGAACTCCTGGGTTCAAGAGATCCTCCTGCCTCAGCCTCCTGAGAAGCTGGGGCCACAGGCGCATTCTACCATTCCCGGCAAATTTTTCTTTTAATTTTTAAAAATTTCAATAGATTTTTGGCAACAGGTGGTGTTTGGTTCTTTAGTGGTGATTGCAGGGATTTTGGTGCACCCATCCCCCAAGCTGTGTACGTTGTACTCAGTGTGTAGTCTTTTATGCTATAAAGATCTCTCTGTGCACTACTTAGCTTAATGTAAAAAAATTAATATGTTTAAATTTTTATGCTATTAAGTCAAAAATATTTTCAGATTTTCTCAAAATGTCCTCTTTGACCTATGGCTATTAAAAATTGTGTTTGTTGAATTTACAAATATTCAAAGATTTTCCAGATATATTTCTGTTACGGATTCCTAGTTTAGCTATATTATTGTCCAAAAGCTAAACTTTCTATGATTTCTAATTTTTTCAATTTTTAAGGCTTATTTATGACACAAGATGGTCTGTCTTGAATGTCCCAAACATTTGAAAAGAATGTACAGTCTGCTATTGTTGGCTGGAGTATTCTATAAATATCGGTTAGATCAAGTTGGTTGATCGTGTTATTTAGTTCTTCTATATCTTTATTGATTTTCTGTCTACTTTGTCATCAATTACTGAGAGGAGAATATTACAACATCTAAATACTATTGAGGGTTTGTGTATTTCTGCTTTCAAATTCAGCAATTTTTGCTTCATGCATTTTTAAACTCTTGTAAGGTGCATGCTGATATAAATTGTTATAATTCATGGAAAATTGACCTTTTTATCATTCTGTAGTGTTTATTTCTGATAATATTTTTTGTTCTGAAGTCCACCTTGATATTAATATAGCTACTACATCTTTCTTTAAATTAGTGTTTGCATGGCATATTTTTCCCATTCTTTTACATTTTACCTATCTTTATCTTTATATTTAAAGTGGATATCTCGTAAAGAGTTGTATTAGTCCATTTTCACATTGCTATTAATATAAAGATACTCCCTGAGACTGAGTAATTTATAAACAAAAGAGATTTAATTGAGTCACAGTTCCCCATGGTTGGGAAGGGCTCAGGAAACTTACAATCATGGCAGAAGGTAAAAGCAGGCACCTTCTTCACAAGGTTGCAGGAGAGGGTGTGAGCATATAAGGGAGCAACTCTCAAACACTTATAAAATCATCTGATCTCATGAGAATTCACTCACTATTATGAGAACAGCATGGGGTAAACTGCTATGATGATTCAGTCACCTCCCTCCCTTGACATGTGGGGATTACAATTCGAGATGAGATTTGGGTGGGGACACAGAGCCAAACCCTATCAACATTATATCATTGGAGTTTCCTTTTACGCCCAATCTGACAATCTCTTATTTAGTATGTTTAGACCATTCACATTAAATATAATCATTGATATAATTAGTTTAAGATCTGTCCTCTTGATACCTATAATTGATTTGTTCCACCAATTTTTTGTTTTTTTTCCTCCCCTGTTTTTCTGCCTTCTCTTGGCAGAATAATCAGGCATTTATTATTCTATTTTATCTCAACTCTTGACTTATTATATATACCTCTTGTTAAATTGTTCAGGGGTTGGTTTAGGATTTACAAGATACAACTTTAATTGGAGTCTATCTTCAGATATTTTATACTACTTAATGTTTAATTTAAGGACTTTAAGAATCTTAAATAGTCAACTCCCAATTCCTCCTTCCCAAACTTTGTGTTATTGTTGTCATATATTTTACATTTTTTTCCATAAACACACACTACATTGCTACCATTGGTCAAAACAATTCGTTATTTCAGAGCCATTAAAAATAAGAAAAAAATAAGTTTTATTTACTTTCATTTATTTCATCTCTAATGTGATGTTTTTATTTTTTTATTTAGATCTAAATTTCAATTTTGTATCATTTTCTTCCTGAAGAAATTTTCTTTTACCATTTCTTTTAGTGTAGGTTTTCTATGTTAAAATGACTTCCCTTCATATTTGTCTGAGAAAGTATTTCTCCTTCAGTTTTTTTCCTACTTTATTTTTGAAAATTATATTCACTGCCTATAAATTCTGGGTAAATTTTTAACAAGTAAATCATTCTTTCTGCACTATAAAATGTCTCATCATAATCTGGCTTGGGTAGTTTCTGGAAGGAAGATGGCTCCACGTCTCATCTGTGTTCCTTTATATGTAAAGGATTCCCCCATACCCAACTGCTTTAAGAACTTCTCTTTGTCTTTTGTTTTCAGCAGTTTGACTAATATGCATAGGTGTGTTTTTGTGATATTTATCTTAGTCAGCATTCTCTATTTTGATCTGTGGTTTAGTGTCAGTAATTAATTCTAGAAAATTCTATGCCATCATTTTTTCAAATATTTCTTTTGATCCACTTTCTCTGTCTTATGCTTATTAGATTATTGGACTGATTGGAATTATTCCATAACTCGTGAATGTTCTATTTTTATTTTCACACTTTTTTTTCAGCTTCAGTTTGGATAATTTCTAGTGACTTTCTTTCACTTTATCGATTCTTTCCTAGTCTATATCAAGTCTACTTATGAGCCTGCTGAGGTCATTCTTCGTCTGTTATTGTGTTTTCATTTCTAGCATTTTCATTTAATTATTTCTTATAGTTTTTGAATCTCTGTTGAAATTTCCCATCAAATCATGCATATCGTCTCCTGTTACATTAGAGTCTTTAACGTATTAATCATAGATATTTTAATTTACCTTTCTGTTCCAACATCAGTGTCATATCTGAGTCTAGTTTTGTTGACTGCTTTGTCTCTTGACAGTGTTGTTTTTTTTCTTGCCTTTTTGTGTGTCTTGATTTTTTGTTGGAAATGGGACATACTGTGGCAATAGAGTCTAAGGTAAGTAGCTTTTATGTTTACAGATGGGCATGCTTTTTCTTTTGTTAGGCCTCTATTTTTTCTTCCTGCTGGTTCTTTAATGTGCATGTTTAAGTTAATTCAACCAGGAGTAGGAATTTGCTTTGGGTTTCTTGTTACTGTGGTTACTCTCAGTGTTAAACAGATTGCAAATTCTTTTGATGATATCTTGTGTTTTGAGTGGCAGCTGGTTTATCAGTGGGTTTTATTTAATTTCTGTTTCATCCTCAGCTTTAGGTCTTCCCTTTGCACTGTGTCTCAGTTATTGTTCATCTCCAGCACTCCAGCAGTTTTCTATTATTACTTTTTAAAATTAATGCTTGTTAGCCCAGTGTTCTGATTCACTCTAAATTTTAGGCAAGCACTATGTCTCAGGTCTCAGGTATAACATTCTTTTTTATTTTATTTTTTTATTTTTGAGACAGGGTCTCACTCTGTTGCGCAGGCTGTAGTACAGTGGCATGAACTCAGCTCATTGCAACCTCTCCACCTCCCAGGTTCAAGTGATTCTCCTGCCTCAGCCTCTCAAGTAGCTGGGATTATAGGCACCTACCACCATGTCCTGCTAATTTTTGTATTTTTAGTGGAGATAGGGTTTCACCTTGTTGACCAGGCTGGTCGCAAACTCCTGACTTCAAGTGATCTCCCCACCTTGGCCTCCCATAATGCTGGGATTACAGGGGTGAGCCACTGTGCCTGGGCCTCAGGTATAACATTCTTAATATTCCTCTTCATATCTTAACTGTAGTTCCACATCCAGCACATATTCCTGATCTTTCTCCAAGGGTAGAGGGTTTTCTTCTTAGGCTAAAATGGATTTTTATCATTGCCTCAGGGTAAGAGGATTGGTTGTGTTTCACTCCATAGATTATGGCTTTTTCCCCATAAAGGATATAGGAGAGAAGTTCCAGGTTGGATATATGCTTTTCCCACAGTGGCTGCTGTTTTCCTCTCTCAGAACTTCACCATTACACCATTAGGCATGCTCTCTTGAGACTCATACCAATCTTTTTTGGGAAGCTATGAGATCCGTGAAGAAAAGCTTGCAAGAAAGAGAGTATGAATTCCCCTGTACAGTAGTCCTTATCTGTGGTTTCACTTTCTTTGGTTTCAGTTACCCATAATCAACCACGGTCTGAATATATCTATATCTACATATAGAGAGACCATATTTGTGTAACTATTATTATAGTATATTGTTATAATTGTTGTATTATTGGTTGTTAAACACAACTGTGCCTAATCTATAAATTAAATTTGTATGCATAGGTATGTATGTATAGGAAAAACATAGTATATATATGGTTTAGCACTATTTGTGGTTTCAGGCATCTACTGTGTGTCTTGGAACATATCCCTTGCAGATAATGGAGGACTGCTGTATTTTCATGTCTTATGGTTCCACAATCTCTCACCAACCCCTACTCAGCTTCCACCAGTTTGTTAACTATTCTAGCTCCATTATTCTTACTAATATCCAACTGTGTCTGCCCCACGTAAGCAAGTACTCACATCTCATCTCTCCCAACAGACATCTGCCTGTCCTTATATTTTGGATGGTTGGTTTCCAGCAATATCAGCTTTTTGATGCATTCAAGAAATGTCATTAACTTGCAGGTTGTTTCACTTTTTACATTGTTGTTGTAAGCTTGGAGGCATAGCTCTTTCTAGATTTCTACATTCCAAGTAGAAACTAGAAGTTCCTTATACCATCATGAAAATAAAAGAAAGTAAACACTTCTTACTTAGCACAGAAAAGCAGAGAAAAAGTTCCTGAAGAAGTGAGCCCTTTTCTTTTTCTAAAAATTTTTCAGATGTTGAAATATCTCTGCTTTTGCCTTGCATCCACTATTCCTTACATTCCCCTTGGATAATTCAATCACACCAATATTGTGATTAAGTAGTATAAAATATTATGTTGATTTCATAGGAGAGGAGAGGGTTTACATTGCACATTACAATGATATTTACATTACATTGTTCATGGTCTTCACAAATCCCATTAAACATCTGTCTTTCATAGTCCCTTCTTATCTCCTGCATTTCATTTAAACAATATCTTAGCTGTTTTGTGCTGCTATAACAAAATACCTAGACTGGGTAATTTACAAACTAAAGGAATTTATTTTCTTACAGTTCTAGAAGTTGGAAATTCCAAGATCAAGGTGCCAGCAGGTTTACTGAAGGCTGCTCTCTGCTCCTAAGATGGTGCCTTGATGTTGCATCCTCTGGAGGGTAGGAACGAAGTGTCTTCACATGGAAGCCAGTGAGCAAGCAGGCTGAGTGTTGCATGAAGCCTTTTGCACAAGGACCTAAATCACATTTATGAGGGCTCCTCCCTCATGGTCTAATCACCTCTTAAAGGCCCTACCTCTTAAGGCTATAACGTTGGCAACATCTAAGTATTGGAGGGGACCCATTCAAACCATAGAAAATGCTTATAGTCTTCCCTATTGAGTTGGTAAATTCTGATCTATTCCAGTATATGTGAGCCCCACTGAACACAGTGCTCAGCAATTGTAATGCCACTTAGTTATAAGACGCCTTCTCCACTTCTTAGAATACATTTGTAGACCATGTAGTGTTTCTAGTTTGCCTTTTGGGTTTTCTCTCAACCTTAATTTAACAAAGGATCTTTTTCAAATACACACAGTATCTTCCCTGAGAAGAATTCTGGGAAATAATGGAAATAGGGATTTTGGAAGAAAGGAAATCGACCTTTTTAATTATCCCATGACTTACACAAATGATGTGGGAAAAATACCCCTCTCAAGTGACATGTATGTACTGACAGTTGACTCAATATCAAAGTCACGTGTTGGGAGTATCAGAATCTGATCTGAGTGTGGTTTGATGAGTGTCACAGATTCATCTGCGAAATGTTGCACCTGACAGATGGGACAGTCTAGTTTAAAATTTTTCCTCATTGAGATCATCATAGGGGATGATTTGTTTTCAACAACTTTCATATTTGTGCACAGCACCCCAACCCAAAAGAAAAAAAAATGCCACCTTCTCTCAATAATTTGGAATATTGGAGGTCTTTGTACGCTTTTTCATACAGTCTTTGTGCTCTTTAGAAGAAAAATGTTACAAATAGATAAGGTAAAAATACCTTAGTAAAGGTAACAATTGACATCCAAGGTTTAACAGTCTTTCCTTCCTCTAACATCTTGCAAAAGATGTAACACTGCATCATTGGCCCAATGACATACCCCAAAGCATTTGAATTTTTTAAAGAAGGTCTTGGGATAAAAGAAAGTCATTCTGCATCATCACTTGGGATTGTGGTATTTAAAGGTCATCAGAAAAGCATCTTCCTGACACATAACATCAATGGCAACCTCTTGGTATATGAGCTGATGATAATACATTGTTAAAACCATTGTGTGACAAATGGAAATAAGAATGTTTGTCATTAAATATTCTCTGCTGCTTGTACAAATAGAAAAGATAAGGCATGTGGTACTTATTCTTCTGTCTCCTAATATAAGTGAATATTCCTATCAGAGCTTCATCTTTATAGAGGTATCTGCTGTGGAGATATAACAACCTTGAGTAGCTGCATAGGATCACATGTAACTATGTCTTTCCATGGGCCTCTGGGTAATATTGCATTACTGTTATAAAATTGTCTGTAATCAGTGTTATTTTTGTAAAATGGTAAATTAAAGAAATTTTTAGATGATCTTTAAATATGAATCTAGGAGTTCCAGAAATATCTCAAAGGAAAGAAGCAATTGATGTAGAAATTAGGATAAGTTAAAAGATCAGCAGTTTCAGCGTATCTTCCCTGAGTAAAATTTTGGATTTTGTAAGTTCTACTTTAAAAATAATACAGTTTATTTTGCCAGATAAAATTAGGTTGGGAATGAGAAGGTTGTGAGGTTTCACATTTCACAAAGCTCATCTGAGAAAATTAAAACAGTATTGTCTACATGATTCAAAATTTTCCATTTAACCTCTCTGTACTGAAAAAAAACAGTTAAAATATGAAGCATTTAGATTGGGTTTTAATTGTCAAAGATAATTCTAATTCTAAAACTCCACAGTTCAATTATAATCCAAAATATTATTTACTATCTCATTAGTTTATATTAGGTAGCAAAACATTTGTCACTTTCCTTAAGATACTTTCCTCTATTGTTGACTATTTTGTATATTAAATTGTGTAAACTTTTTCACAGTCAATTTGTGAAATTGACTGAAATAGCCTGGGTCCTGGAGAAAATATGTACCACACTCAAAAAGTTTAATTGAAGAAAGTTAAATTAAGAAAATATTTGGAGGGATATAATCTAGGTTAAGAGAACAAATGGGGAATGAAGGCTACATGAAGCCATTGTTGACTCTAGGCCGCAAGGCACAATGATGAGGGCGATGTGTTATAGAGCCTGCAGATGGCTTGGAGCTCTGAGAGAGGAACGCTCACCTCCATCAGGAACTGTAGCCCTGGTACTCAGCCACTGCTGGAACCACATTCAGGAAGGGATAGGGGAGGGACAGAAATATTCCAACTTTCATTTCCCCTCAACTTTCCTTGGTCAAACCCAACCACAGCCACAGGAGCAGGGTACCTGAGTGATGCAGCTTATAGATATCAGCCTCACAGGGCACAGAACAGGCAGAAAAGGGGGAAATGGATGTAGGGGAGGGTAGCATAAGAATGTTTAAATATATTATCAACTTATGAATAAGATCATGTGTGTGTGTGTGTGTGTGTGTGTGTGTGTAAGTTTTCATGCTGTTTTACGTCAACTTGATCTCTCTGGGCTTTGACCTCCCTATCTCCAAAGTGGTTTTCTGACTTCTCATCATCTGTAATGCCTCCATTTCTTATTCCAGTTTCAAGCATTCTAGTGTCTAACCACCCTCTCCTACATTCCCAATCCATTCACTCCAATATGCCCTCTGCAAGAGTTCCCTGACCTCATTAAGACCTAATTTGACCTCTCCATATTGACTTTCCTCTTTATCTTGCTTAGATTCCCTGATTCTTGTTAGAATCACCTTTTCTGCAAACACTCTCAACTCCCTGTTTCCTTCTCCCTTTACTGTACTTACCCAATAGAACCCCAGTCCTTGTTGAACCCAAACTTTCCCTTTCCTCACATCTTTACTGACTCATCTGAACACTGCTAGAAAAATTATCACACAACCCAGATGGCTGGTTTCAATTTATGGAATTACCAGAAACTTCAAATAGATACTTAAATAATGTTTTACAAAACAGCAATAGTGTATAAAAAGAATCATCTACTTGTTTTGTGTACTAAGAAACCCAGAGGCAGGCAGCTGCTGGATGACTTTGGGACTGAACAATGTCAAGATGCTGTGTTGATGTCTCTTGGTCTTTCTGTTTCAAGGTAGCAGCCATAGTTGAAAGCACCACAGTTCCATTTGACACAGATTGAAAGGCAGGACATAGGAGGTTATGTTGCAAAGAGCACTTTTCCTCATGTAACCCCTATCTTATTAAAGAGGAAAATTCTTCCTCAGAAGATACTCGCTTATATTACAGTGTCCAGAACTAGGCTTATGCTCATCCCTAGACCAGGGGCTAAGCCACCTTCCTTGAAGTCAAGTCTTCTCTGCCCAGTGCCTGAAAATAGAGAAATACACTATTAGCAAGGATGAAGGAGATGAACGAGACGGGAGAAGGATGACGTATGTGGACAAACATGTAATTAGGAAAGACAGCTTCTGATATAATATACTATACTCCTTTCCTTGTGGGGCATGTGTACATACATATGTGCCCTCATATTCATACCCCCAGTGGCTAAGTTTTGGTAGAGTAAAGTAGCTGTAGCAGGGCGTAAAAACTGAAGTTCTGAGAAATCATGCCAGTTAGTACTTATTAGTACCCAGTTTTTGTCCTGGGTGCTGTAGGGGATATGAAATTTTTTCATAGTTAGGGTTTACCTCTAAAGAATAATCTTTATGATCTTAGAGTTCATGATTCTAAATATTGCCTGAGCCTTTTTTCTTTCCTCAAAATGTGTGAAATTCATTTACTGATAAACACTACTCTTAATGAAGTTTGGATAGTTTATTTAAAGTGTATATATATATATATATATATATACACACACACACACACACACACACACACACAAAATTTCCAAACTGAATGTCTGTAAATGCATTTATTGTTAGTGTCTGTTGTAGAGAGTAGCTAGCATGTAACAATTTGCTGTAATGTCTATATTATTTGTCTATCTAGTGTAATATTAAGACTGTAAAATACCTTGTAAACATTGATTATATCTGGGGAAGATATCAGAATCTCTGTAAATTTCAGTGGTAAGAATTATTCATTTCTAGTGGCATGTGGATTGTCACTGATGCCAGTCTTACCTAAACATTTCCAGTACCACTACCTGTTATCAAATTAAAGATCAGTCTAAAGCAAATGCTAATTTCCTAAAAGGCTCCTCAAGTAAGGGAAATGGATCAGGTAAAATTGCAGTATCAAAGTGCCTTACTTTTTTTGAATTCTCACAATAAGTGAATATCAAATAAATGTTACTTCCTCTCTTGGCTAAGATTTGTAATCCATAATTACATTGATACATGTGTTATATCAGTGGCAGCAGTGGAATTCATAGTATTTTTATGTGAAATGCACTGTTTTATTGCATTAATTCACATTTAATGTGTACACAGTAATAACCATAAAGTATGATAACCAAAGTTATATATTTTCTTCAGAATATTCATTTAGAGAGCTTTCAAAAGAGTCTGAGGAAATTAAAATATCAGTCAGTTTACCTGCAGGATATAGAGCAAAAGCAGGAAGCAGTATAATATCTTTTACAAGCCAACATTCCTCCCCACATAATTTCCTTACTTCTAGCTGATAAAATACAATAGTTATAACCCTGTACATATTTTTTTAACTATGGTACACAAAACAAAGGTTTCTGAAGTGAAGGAAAATATACCTCTTTCAGTAAAATTGCATTACTCACATGATTACAAGCAGGAGGTTTGAAGGCAAGAGAAAGCAGTGAAGGTGGAAGTCCCAAAGCCCCTTTCCTGGTAATGGACCACAGAAAGATGATGCCCATAAAGGCAGGAAGTCTTATATAAGAGGTAGTGGAGGCCCAGGGGTTGGCGAGAAATAACAAATGGGAAGGTACCTAGAAAACAGGACAAGAATGAAAAATCTTGGTCATATTGAGGGCCAAAAATAAAATAAAATAAAACAACAGAGTAGGATATAGTGTTCTAAAGGCTGTGAAAGAGGGAAACCAAGTAATGGACAATTTAAACTTGGTGAACACAAAATGGTTCTAGAAATACAGAATGCGGCCTGTGTCTTTTTAAAAATTTTTTTCTAAGGCTTGGATATTCTTGCTTCCCAATACTGTGTTCTAGTATTCATATGAAAGTTAACTGTTCCAAATTAAGGCATACTTCAAGACCTAATTCGCATCCGGGATTCTTCAAGAAGGCTTCCATGACAATCACAACACCTACTGATTCTTCCCTTAGTTGAATTTCTTTACCTTTATATCATTTATACAATTCCTTCATTAATTTATTCTTCAATTTGTTCAATATTTACGAAGCACTTTCTCCATGGATAGATGGATATGGCTTCCATTTATCAATGAATTATGTTATAATTAAGATGGATATAGTAGTCATGTGTCTATAGTGGGATATTTTTGTCATTGCTTAAAAGCATTTTTTAAAATACAAGTCATACACACATAATTTTTAAAAATGTAACCAAAAGGAAAAGTGTAGGAAAGAGTAAAGTCTCTTTCCTCACCACAATCTTAGTCTCACTCATCAAAATAACCACTTGTTATTTTCTTGAGTATACATATATAAAAATAGAATATACATAATTGTATATGCCTTTCTAAAAACATGGTGGCATATTGGCATATGCCTTTTAAAAAATCTAAAGATATGGGGTCTATACACATATGCACATATGTGCATATGCTGTTCTGTACATTGCATTTTTTCTTAACTCTGTATTTTCAAAGTTGACAGACATTAAAATATCATGGCAGACCTTGTCATTTGGTGTTTATCATCAAACCTTCCTAGGTTCACAATAGACCATACTTCTAATACTCCCTAGCAGTTAGGTGCGGCCAACTGAGTGAATTCTAGGCAGTAGAATGGGAGCGGAAGTGATGTGTGCCTCTTCCGGATCAGGTCCATAAAAATATCCATGCATAATCCTCTCCCCATTTTCTATCTGTCAGTAGGATGTTGATGATAAGGGTGACCGTGGAATCCGGATGTTGAAGGTGGTATAGCCTCCCTCAGCCTGGATGTCTGCTGGATTGTAGTGAGCACATACCCTTGAACTCCCTAACCTGTGACCAGAGCACTTGCACTGGGCTGTAACATGAGTAAAAACATCAAATTTCATTATGTTAAGACAGTGAAATTTTGGGATCAGTGTCAGTATTTACTGTTACCACAACCTATACACATACATAGAGATAGCTAATTGTTTTTAATGTCTGAGGAGTGCTTGATTTATTGTTTGCAAGAACCATTATTTATTTAAGCTACTCCTAACTGATAGGCATTCAGATTGCTAGCAGTTTTTGTTATTAATGATGCCATGCATAATCTTTTACATACATTATTATTTCTGAGTATCTCCAAAGGATAAATTCCCAGCAGTAGAACTGCGGATCAAGGGTATCGACTCTTAAAACACGTTAGTGCTTTGACAGCTATGCTAACTTCTTTAAATTATTTGTACTGATTTTGTTTCCTTCAACAATGTTTGAACGTGTCTCCTTTTACACATCATCATGGACACTTAAGTATTATAAAATTGTTAACTTTTTCCAATCTAGTCAGTGAAAAAAAGATTTCATTCTTTCGATTTGCATTGTTAAAATTTAGAGTGAGACTGTGTGTCTTTTCATGTGGTTTTGGCCACTTAGATTTCTTTTTGTGCAACCTGAATGCTTGCACCCTTTGTAGAGTTCTCTAAAGAGCTATTTGTCTTTCTCATGTTGATTTATAACACAACTATAAACTGCTTAAGAGAGATTATGTCAGATATTTCTTGGTTTAACTCCCAGCACAGGAGTTAAACACATTTGAGCAGTTTTTGCATAGTTAAAAAAGATTTACAGTTTTTAAATTCTTACTACGACTGTGTAACTATTATCCTCTGCATTTTATGGAATAGGAAATGGGGGCCGAAGGGAGTTAAATGGCTTGCGAAGGTCAAATAACTACTGAGTGGTAGAGCTGGGTAAGGACCCAGAATTTCCAGCATGAGATCGCTAACTTTTAGGGAGTATTTTTCTGTATATACCTACTAGGTTTCTAAACTAAAGCACCCAATATATTAATCATCATAATCTAGCATCCATTATTCATTATCAATTAGCATTAAATATTCACAGATGAATGGTAACTAAGTAAAATGCCTAAGTAAAATTCTTCATAGACACCTACAGAAAACATTTTAAAATGCAACCTTTTCTCATAAAATGGCCAGCACCAAGATCTAGGTGAATTTCTAACAGTAGTCACTGATTGATTCCAAGTATCAACCTTAAAAAAAAGGTGAATTCTATTTCATTCATTTATAATCCATATAAGGATATACATTATATATACTTTATGCTAGGTGCTTGGAAAACAACGAAGAACAGGTGAGTTCCTGGCTTAGAGTGGCTTAAAGGGTTTTTTTTGGAGGAAATTTTGAAGCAAAAATATAGCTAAAATGCAATCCAGGACTTTTCTGTAGTTCTCCGCAGAGTAGCATGGAGCACCTAGAAGGAAGTCGATAATTGCATTTGGAATTCCTGGGAGCAGGTTTATCAAAGATGACATTTGATCTGGGTACTGGCAGATGAGTAGTTTTCCTGAATAGATTTTAGATGTTTTGCCGAAAATCAAGGTATTATTTTGATAATTAGGGATCACCTATATCCCCCCGATAAAAATGTCCTGAGACACATGAAGCTAAATAGAGTATGGCACCAGTGTCAGACACCACTTGGAATGATTAGTTCCCCGCACTTCGAATTTAGAAGGTGACAAAGTGTCCTATTTATCATTGTATTTCCAAGGCCTACAACACAGAAGGGACTCTAAATATTTGTTGAATTAAACTAAATTGAATTAAATGGGTTCCTGGGATTTACATACACTACTCTTGAGGCTAACTAGAGCTCAGAGTGAGAAAAAGTGCCATGTTATAAGTTGTATCTTCTGATGAAACAAAATCAACTTAGAAGGAAAAAACTGAGAGCAAGGATGATATTGGATACCTCCCAGTGGCACTAGTTCCATTTTAGTGGCTGTCAGTGGGTAAAAGAAAAAATTAGTCGTGGCAGAAGATAGCTGCTCATCAATGACAGACACCCTGCCCCCACTGCACTCACACACCCATTGCCCACAGTCTAAAGTTGTTGGGGAAAAAGGCTCTCTTGCCAGGACTACATGTCCCAACCTCTTTTGTACCTAGGTGGGCCGTTGTGGCTAGTCCTCACTTATGGAATGTGAGTGGATTGATGTATGTCACTGATGGTGCCTGGTGCACATATCTGTCCAGCTTCCAACAGCTGGCACCTGGATTTTTTGTCTTGAGGGCTTTCTTTGCCCCCCTAGGGCCTGCCTTGCCCAATCACATAAGGGGGTTGAAAACACCTGAGAAATAACCCCCTCTGGGAATAGTTCTGAACAGATGATTGACAAGATGGATATAAACCTATCTTCCTTGTCCTTTGAAAGGGATAATTCTGAGCCATGTGATCTGCCCTGTTTCCCAGAAGTTCCCCAGCAGAATCAAGCTCTGATTGCCCACAGTGGTGCCTTGCTTGATAACGTGCTCCTTGTTAGTTGCCGTTTCTTCCCCGTTGCACTTCTTCCATCACACTGCTGGCAGTCAAATCCCTGTCTCTGAGCCCACTCCTGGACCATCCAAAGTAAGGCAATACACTTTCCCCTAGATACCAGGTGTTTTTTTTCTCTTGTTTTACTCTCTGATTTATTTGAGTACAACCTCTAGTGGCTTCTAGAAAGGGCCAGTTGAAGTAACAGTTTTTGAGATCTTCTGCATCAAAAGACAGCCATCGCACTGGATTTATGGTCTCTACTCTCACACTGGATTTATAATTTAGTTTATGCATAAAATAATTAACATAGTAACTATATATAAGAATGTTATATAAAATTAAAATAATTTTAAAAATTATTTCCTATTTAGCTTCCAAGTGAGTTATCCCACTGCTTGCTGGCTTCCAGTGCTGCTCCAAGAAGTTCAATGTCATTATAATCTCTGATCTTTTGTATGTGATATATTTTCTCTCTGAAAGATTTCAGAACTTCTCTTTAACAGGATTTCCTGCAATTTAATAATTGTGTGTCTTGGTGGTGTTCGTATTATTGTTTCTTCATTTATTGATCTAGGTACACAAGGAAATCTTACAATCTGGAAACTCATGCCCTTCGGGTCTGCAAATTTTTTTCATATTATTTTATAGTTTCCACTCCTTTCTTTTTTTGTTCTGTCATCCTGAGACTCATGATTTGGATGCTTGGACTCCTGACTGGCTCTCAAATTTCCTTTATTTTCAAAAATTTTTCATTTATTTTATTAAGTTTTGTGGGACAATTTTGTAATTCTATTTACCAGTCTTTCTATTATATTATTTCATGTCTGATATCACATGTTTGATTTCAGAAATCTGCCATTATAGCCAGAAATCTTGGATTTATAACATCTGGATATGTGCGTGTTTTTAGGGCAGGGTTGGAGAGGAGATGGGGAAGGACAAAATGTGATTTCAGGCTACAAACCTCCTATGGACCAAGATTTAGTAGCCACGGGTACTTCTCTTACCCACCTCAACCCTGCCCAATAACATCATCATTGTCAATAATAAGTCCTTGTCAGTGTCTCATCAGGAAAATAGAAATAACTCTAGTTATTTTAAACAAAGAGAATTTAACAAAGTGAATTATTTACAAAAGTATTGGAAGGACTAGGGAATCAAGAAGGGAAAAGATGAGATGTTATTTGGAGATTAGTATCTGAGCAGCCTCTACCCACCTAGAGCCAAGGGACAAAAGAGACAGTGGTGTTTCATGGAACCCACAAGGGCTGTGCCGTGGAGAGTGCTGCAGTGTTTAGTGTCACAGCTGTTATCCAAACCATCACCACCGTGGCTCTGCAGGAAGCCAGAAGCCTGCACTCCTGCTGACCCTCAGGAGCCCTGGAGCCCAGTGTTGCTGATGCCACGGAGACTTCTGGAGCCCATAGTTACTTGTTTCTGCTGCTGCAGCTGCCATAACCATGTATGAATGCAGCACCTGGCAGTCACCTACATTTGCTTGCCATTTTCACTGCGGTGGCAGCTGCTGCGATCAGAGTCAATGAGCTCACGTTTCTAAGGCTTTTGGGATTTGACTGCTGTCACTTCCAGAGCCAGAAAAAAAAGGAAGAAAAAAAATGACTTATTGTTTATCCTAACTTTTACTCTTCCTCCAATATCTCCCAATGGTTAACAGAGGTTAAACAGAAACTAGCTGGCCAGGGGGTCTGGGTGGCATTGCTTTCAGGTAGGAAGGTTGAAAATGAAATTGAGAGTTAAAAGACAAATAACCAACAACTGCTTTCTTGTGTGCTCAGTAGGTACCAGAATTGTCCCTACATTACTTCATTTAATCCTCACAACAATCAACAACAATCATTGATGGTAAGTATAATTATTATCACATTTTATATTTAGATGAAGAAACAGTCTCAAAGATGTGGAACGACTTGCCTAAGATTACATAGCTAAGAAGATGAAGTGTAACTCAAGTCATTTTGACACTGAGTCTTGAGCCCTCACCCGTTTTCCTTTCTACAGATCTTCTGTGAACTACCTACCATTCAGGTCTCCCAGCTGCGTTCAGCAGTGTAGTCCTCCTCTGCATTCGTGACCACTGTAGGTCTTCTACTTTCTAGCCCAAGGAAAATCCTTTCTGCTTTTATGACAGCCTTTCACAGAGGGTCCCAACAGTCAATGGATTATCCTAAGTGACCCAGCAATCTTCTTGACCCTTGCCACTCAGAGTGTGGTCTATGTACCAGCAACATTGGCATCACTTGGGAAGTATGAAAAGTACTGACCCTCGGCCCTTCTCTCCCTCTGCTCGCTGACCTATTGAATCAGAATCTGTATTTTTAACAAGAGCCCCAGTTGATTCTTATGTTCCTTGAAATTTGAGAATGACTAGTCTCTGCCATTTTTGTCTCCCGCTTAGAGTTTTCCCATACTTTCTGGGAGGGGAAGAAAGAGATGATGAGATGGGAGTCATGGTGATTTGGAATCACTGGTCTCTTGCAAATTCTGCTTTACCTCTTAGATCAGTCCGCTCTGCCAGATTTGTTTCTTCACTTTGCTGATTTTCTTTCAGGGACCACATTACCTCTGTTGTCAGTCTGGCATGTTTAAGGAATCCCATTCTGTTAGATGGGTCTACCCATAAAGTGTGAACTAGTCCAGGGCTCTTTTACAAGTCCCTGAACCTCATATAGACCTATCCAGGTGTCTGGAATAGAACTCAGTGCTTCCGGCATGCCATGATCATGATAAAAGAGAATCCTATCCTCCAGCATTCTAAGATAGCAAAAAGTTTATTTTATCTGGATCTGCTACTCTGCCCAGTTCCATGACACGCACCTGTAATTTCAGCTAATCAGGAGGCTGAGGCAGGAGGATTGCTTGAGTCCAGGAGTTCAAGGCTAGCCTGAGCAACATAGCAAGACCCCATCTCTTAAAAACAAAACAAAACAAAACAAGATGTGAAAAATACACAGTTATTCCCTTTACCCACCTGAATTCCTACTCTAATTGCATTATTTATTTCCTGTGGATGGGAAACAGATGGTCACGTACCAGCAAGCAAAGAAAAATGAGAGAACATGTCCTCAGCTACCCTTATTTTCTTCCATTTCTTGCTCTTTTACCTGATATACATGTAATGCAAGTCCACCAAGCCCTGCCTGACCCTCCACCATGGGAGATGCAATTAATACATTCTACTTGTGTGATCACCTTTGCTCGGTTTCTGAGAACTGTTACCCAAATTCAGACATCTAAAGAGCATGATATGAATAGACTTTTTAGGCAATGATAATCATATTTTCAAGCAATACATCAACATGTATTCTGCTTCTTGAACAGATTCTTAATTCTCATTGGAGTTTATTAGTCACCCTTGTTCTCAGTTGATTAAATTTGTTTGTAGTTGCCTCCAAGATTATATTGACAGATTTTCCTCCTTACAATTTAATGGTAACATTTTTGCAGGATATGAGCTGACATGATAAGACAAATGGAAAAAGGGAATGCATCACCCTGTATAGATCTGATTTATCTTTCCCTCCATCTCCTTATTTATTTTTGCCATGATTGGGAGCCAAATAAACAGAGTGACATTTCATTTTCATAAGATAAGTCTATTATTTATGATTTATGGTTTCATATTTTTGAAAGTAAGCACAATAAGAGTAGAGATAAAAGCTAATATAACTTTAGAGCCACTATATTTTATGAGTTAATTGTTTTTGGGTGCATTATGACTGGCACAAATTAAAATGATATAGAGAAAAAAATTATGATTCTTTTAAAAGTCTATTTCTCATTAATTTTAATGAGTTCTTTTTAAATTTGTACATTTGTGAGAAATAGGAAGCATGTAAGCTCTGCAGCATGAGAAGGGCTAGGTTATTGGGCAATTTTGATTTAATTTGTATAATATAGTAGCTATGACTGTGACTGGATCACTGATAATCTGTGTAAATTTACAAGGATGATATAAAGCCAAATATACTTTAGCAGGATAAAATAAAAATTTGGGCTATTTTCTGAAGCCCTTACAGTCACTTTGAATCTCAGTACTCCAAGATTAGATTGCATATTGGGCCATGTGGAGAACCAGGTCATTAACTCAGCAGTATTAAGCCAGTCATTGCTCTCTGTTGTTCTAGCTTGCAGACATCTACAAAACCTATATGAATGGGTTGATTTGCTACTAAACATCATGGACACCATGGACACCCCTGAAAGACGGAGATTATAGGCACAGTTATCCTCCTCAAGAATTTTACCTTTCTCTTGGGACACTGATCTCGTGCCCATCACTAAGCATGACCACTTTGCTTGCAAAGCCTCACAATTTATGATCATGGGTAAGAGGCACAGCTTTGTGGATTATTTTTCGTCCAAGGATCAGTTAATCCCTTTCCTTTCAAAATCAAAGAATTGAAATAATTTTAAAATGTGTAAAAAGCTGCCATTTTGGTGTTGCATGGATCACCTATATCTAAACACACTGTAAGCTCCACGATGGCAGGGATTTTGTTTGTTGGTTTGTTTACACTGCTGTATTCTCAGTGCCTACAGCAGTGATGAACCATGATGGGTACTCCATAAACATCTGTGGAAGAAAGGAATAAAAATAGAACAATGGTTATATTTAATGTTGTTTGCTAAAAGACACATTAGGATGTATGAGATAACCTCAAATTGAAGAATATGTGTTCTGCCTTCTCTCAGTATCTAGGATGAGGAGTATTTATAATTGCCTGCCTTGTAGGTGAGCTGAGAGGATTATGTAATTGGTGCTTTTAAGTACTACAGAGGCAGAAACTGCTCTATTCAATTGAATTCGGGCTTAATTAGTGCTTATTGTGCTTGGTAAGTTCTTAAGGGTGTGAAGAAGAACAAGACCTTCTTGCTGCCCTTAAGGAGATTATAATCACGTTATTACTCTGATGTATTTACACCTATACTCACTCTTTTTTCACTGCTTCACTCTTTCCTCAGTTGTCTCTCATGGGGCCAGAACCAGATGGGTAAGAGTGCCAGCCTGAGCAGCCTGTGTGTCGTGCGCAGTCGCAGGAGAGGCAGAGGTAGATGAATATCAGGCTCACCCTATGGTAGTAGTGGACAAAATAGAACCTGGATATAGGATGCATTTGCCCATATACTGAGCAAAAGTAAAAATAGACAAACAAGCTTCAAATCAGTATCTGGGAGGTCTCAAGAAGGGAAAAGGCAACTACTTAGAAAGGGTTCAAAAAAAGGGGACAGAAGCAAGGTTTGCAATCAGAGTGTCAGCTGGCATTCAGGGACAAGGATGATCACTTAAAGTTGCCACTCATGAGTGGACATTACTAACTTCTCATACTCTTAAAATTTGGATTCCACTCCCATCAACACAAATAAACTGTTCTTCCGTGGGTTTCTGGTGATATCCCCAATGCAGTGACATTTTCTCTTTTTTGTCCCAGTCTTTTATTTTAATAGAAACTTTTTAGTAATATCTCCTGGATGCCTCTCACCACCACATAATGATGCCGTCTCAAATGATAGCCAGCACTGCTTGGCTCAACATTTAGTTCTTGGGCTTCCAGGTAAAGGTGATTAATTAAGAAAGTGCATTTACTTCCTACTCCTTCAAATTAAAATTACAGTAGAGGTATAAACCTGAGACAAAACGATAAAAATGATATGGATAGGAGACAGGGAAATACCGGGTAGAAGAGGGCAGTCCCCCAGCAAAAGCCCCACCCTAAAGTTGGATATCCACGGCCCTAAATGAGAACAGGCATTCCTGTTTTCTCACCAAAAAGTTGCCTTTGGCTTATCATGCCCCCTATCCTGTACCCATATAGACCCCAAACCCCAGGGTCCAGAGCATACCAGGAGATGAGGAGACGAGATAAGCTGACAAAAGGGTGGAATGACACAGCAGAGAAAGAGAGAAGAGGAAGAACATCTGAGTGTTGAAAGGAGTTTGGCTGGGGGTGGTTGGAGAGGAGTTTGGTTGCTGGATGGCCCAACTCCAGGGGAAGATCACCTTCCCACTCCATCCCCCCTTCTGCATCACCATCCATCCCATTGAGAGCCACCTCCACCTCTCAATGAATCTCCTGCATTCATTCTTCAAGTCTGTGTATGACCCAATTTTTCCAGGACACTGGACAAGAGCTCAGGATACAGAAGGCTGTCACACTGGCCCTCTGCCCTTGCAGAAAGGCAGAGGTTCCATTGAGCTGGTTAACACTCAAGCTGTGGGCAAATGGCAAGGCTAAATGGGCACACTGTAACACATGTCCACTTGGCCTCCTTCAACTGTCTGTCTGCATGATCCCTGTCCCATAAGGGTTCTGTGCAGTGGCTGTGACCAAACAGGTGAGCCACACCCCTGTTGGACATCCTGCCAGGGGGATCAGGGAACTCTTCCATTTCAAAAGCAAAGAGAATAGGAGGAGTGATATAGCAGATAAAGACATCTATACATTTCTGAAATTAAAAATGGGTCTAAGAGCAATAACAAATGAAACCAAGTGGAGGAAGCCACAGCCTAGAATACACACTGAGGGCTCCAAAGGGGCAGAAAAGACAGTCTTCCCTGGAGAAGGCCAGAGAGATTCACTCTAGGCAGCAGAAGTGAGATATGTAGCTAAAGACAGAGGAAATAATTAAAAGTCTGAACTACCTCCCTCTACAACCTCCAGAGGTGGAGCATAGGCATCCTAGCAATTACCCTCAGGCCAAAAGATCAGAGGAACACTCTCTTTAAAAGAAATAAAAAATCAGTATGAACCCTGAACACAGGGAATGTGAATGAGTGGAAGTACCTTAGATTAAAGTTCTTCCCACTCTGGCATTTATGGGGTGGGCAGCAGAGCGATCATCGATGCCTCTCTACCTGCCTTCTCTGAGAAGCCTGCCAGGGACAAGTTCCACCCAGATCCACACAGCTACCACCCAGGCTTCTGTCATTCAGATGTGTGACAGAATCCCCAAGGACCACTGAATGTGTAAGGAAAGACTGTATCATAGCAGAGAAACACAAGGAAAAAACCTGTATCATGGAAGAGACCAGAATAAACTGATAACCTAACCCCCCAAGATATTTTTATAATTCTAATTAGTATTCTCAAAGATGATCTAATGGTGCATCTGTAAAACAAGACTAGAATTATCTTTAAAAGTCAAAAACAAAGCTTGGGCAACATGGCAAAAACCTGTCTCTACAAAAAAAATTCAAAACAGCTGGGCATGGTGGTGCACACCTGTAGTCTCAGCTACTTGGGAGGCTGAGATGGGAGGATTGCTTGAGCCTAGGAGGTCAAGGCTGCAATGAGTCATGAACTTGCCACTGCACTCAAGCCTGGGCAACAGAGTGATGAGACTTTGTCTCAAAAAGAAAAAAAAGTAAAAAACATAAATTGAAGAAGTTTTTAAAAATTAAAATTCAGTAGAAGTTTTGAATGACAATAGGATGGAATACCTGTGAATATAGTTATTTATATAAAACTGAATTCCTACTTGCTACCATATATACTATATACAATCCTAAATTACATATGAATTAAATAATTAAAAGTGAAATGATTTTCACGTAATTGGAAGAAAATTTAGAAGAAAAGCTTTGTAACTCAGGGTACAGGTGGATTTCTTGAACTAGAACTCCCTCCCTCTTGTCATTTCTCTCTGCCAAAGTAACTACAATTAATAGTGTGTGTGTGTATGTGTATGTGTTTCTTGAAGATGTTTTTATCAATGTAATATATTTGTATGTGTATAGGTATGCTCACACCCCATATGAGGGGTATATACATACAAATATATGTATATGCTCACACATACATATATACATACAAATATATATAGTAAATTATATATAGTATATACATACAAATATATATAGTAAAATATATACATACATACAAGTATATATTTTACTATATATTTATGCTTACACATGTATGTATACATACAAATATATATAGTAAAATATAAATATATATATATGTCTCTTTTGCTTTACCCAAATTACGCTATATGCATTTTGTGGGGCTTGTTTTTTTGTTTAGTTTTGCTTTGCTTTTGTTTTACTTAATAACATCATTTATTGATTTTTTTCATGTTAATACATATTAATGAGCCACGTTCTTTTCAATGACAAAATAGTATTCTATCATTTAATGTGTCATGCTTTGCATAAGTAACCTTTTATTGACTCCATGTTGCTTCCGATTTTTGGTGTTACAAGCAATGCCTCCATGAACATCTGTGTATATGTATAACGGTAAATTTGAATAATATATTCCCCAGCTGTAGAATTTCTGGGGCAAAGCCTCTGGACATTCAATTTGTATGGCTATCGCCAAATTGCCATTCAGAAAAGCTGCACAAGTTGATAATGTAGAGTGTATGAGACCGGCTCTCCCACTCTCTGGACCATCTTCAACCTTTAATTTTGCCAATTCAGTGAACAATTTAATATGGTATCTCATAGTTTTTATTTTTATTTTTTTTAACTAATGAGCGAAAAGGAGTACTTCTTAAGATGCCATTCATACTATATTTTCTATAAATGTTTTTTAAATATATTTTACTCATTTGCTTATTGAGTCACTTACTTTTCATGCTCATTTGTTGGAACTCTTAAAAAATGTAAGAAATAGTCAAGTGTGTTATATTGTTGTGATAAGCATTTCCTATAGTTTGCTTTTTGTGTTTATTACCAACCTTATTAAGGAATAATTTACATAAAATAAACTTTCCATTTAAAGTGCACAATTTGATGAGTTTTAAAGACATACACACTCATAAAACCACCGACAAAATCAAGACAAAGATATTTTCCTCGTCTTCAAAGGTGTCCGTGTACCTCTTCCCTGACCACCCCTCCTCCACGCTCAATTCCAGGCAACCACGCATCTATTTGCAAAGTGGATTAGTTTTTGTTTTCTAGAATTTTATATAATGGGATCGTAGAGCATGTACTCTTGTGTGTGGCTTCTTTCTCTCAGCAGATTTTCATATTCATGCTTTTTCTTGGGCAAAAAGTAGTCCATTCCTTCTAATGCTGAGTGCTATTTCTTCATATGTGTTTACTGCATTTGTTTCTCTATTTACCTATTAACAGACATCCAGTTTCTTTCCAGGTTTTGGTTACTGTGAGTAGATGCACTGTGAACATTTGTGTATGAGTTCTATGTGGGCATATGCTTTTATTTCTCTTGGGTGAACAACAATGAATAGAATAGCTGTAGAATGTATAATGTCAAATGTACAGTGTAGACTGTACAATGGAATATCGCAGGTTCATGTGTAACTTTAGAAGGAACTGCCAAACAACTTTCCAAAGAGCTTGTACCATTTTGCACTCCCACCAGGAATATATGAGAGTGCTGGCTGCTTTGCCATTTGCCAACACTTGGGATTGTGAGCCCTTTTAATTTTAGCCATCCTAAGCTAAGGGCTCTGTATCTCATTGTGGTTTTAATGGGCATTTCCTTGATGATTAATTATGTTGAACATTTATTTTACGTGCTTAGTGACCATTTGTATGTCCCTTGTAAAGTTTTCATTCAAAGCTTTTGCCCATTTTTAGTTACCTGTTTGTCTTAAGAGTTCTTCATATATTCAGAATATAAGACTTTTGTCAATATTACATACATCTATGTAACATTTATATTATAGAATATGTGTTACGTATATTATTTATATATGAAATAATTTTTCTATCCTATGGCTTGTCTTATTTTATTAGTATATTTTGAAGAGTAAAATCCAAGTTCATCAACTTTTTTCTTAATCATCTCCATTCTCCTAATGAGTTGTTCTAGAATTTCTATTTGATTTTTCATTAAATTTTAGTTTTCTATGTTAAATGTTCTATCTTTTCACATATTATAATATTTTTCCTTCACTCATAATTATTTTTAAAAACTTTTAAAATTCATTGCCTAATAATTCCAACATTTGGGTTACGGTTTGACTTTTCTCCTTTTGATTGCATTTTCTCTTAAGAATGACCTACAATTTCTTGGTTCTGTATATTTTTAATGATTTTTAGATTATATGCGGAACATTGTGAATATCAAGTTGTAAAGACTAGAAATTTTGTTGTGTTGTTCCAAAGAGTAATGATGTTTTTGTTTTAGAAATCAATTAACTTGGTTAGACTCAAACTGAAAATGTTTTGTGGGCTACAGTGAGTATCAGATCAAATCTCAGTTCCTGTAAACTAGCTACGGTCTGCATTGGCCTTTGCCACACATATGTGGTTTATGGGGTCAATCAGAGACTTGGACAAACTTTATGTTTAGTTTGAGGATTTTTTTTCTCTGGTGTTCTCCTCTCTAGAAGTCCTTCCCCACTCTCCAATGGCTGCTGTTGTCCCTGACTCTATTGGATTGTTTGGCATACAAAAATGTCAGGTTTTGGCCGGGTGTGCTGGTTCTTACCTGTAATCCCTGCACTTTGGGAGGCTGAGGCAGGTGGATCACTTGATTCTGGGAGTTCCGGACCAGTCTGGGCAACATGGTAAAACCCTGTCTCTACAAAATTACAGAAAATTAGCTGGGCCTGGTGGCACATGCCTGTATTCCCAGCTACATGATTGGCTGAGGCGGGAGGATCGCTTGAGCTCAGGATGTCAGGCTGCAGTGAGCCATGATCACACCATGCCACTGCACTCCAGCCTGAGCGACAGAGCAAGACCCTGTCTCAGAAAAAAAAAAAAAAAAAAAGGGGGCAGGTTTTCTACTAGAATTTTAAATGTCCCCTGCCGTATCTTAACACTTGTCTGCTCTCAGGCAAAATTTATAAAAATGGAAAAATGTATCCTATGCCAAGTGCTTCTTCAAAGTTTCATTTCCCCTCCTAAATCTGCTTCCTTTTTTGACTCTCCAGAGGCTGAAGATTGTTGATTTGGATTTGTTCAGTTTATAGTTGTTATCTGCTTTTTTAATTTGCTTTTTTATCTTTTTATTTGAATTTGAGAGTTCTTTATATATTCAGAATACAAATCTTTCATCAGATTACACATAAGTAATGTTTACGATGTTATATATTATGTGTATATGGAATATATGTATATATGTACTCTACTGCAATAGAATCAGTCTCTTTAGAAGCTTGCATAAGAGACTGACTCTCTTGATTAACTTGCTTGACTGAAGTCACACAAAGAATAAAATATAGAGGTTGATTATACCCCATGTTTGTGACTCTAACAACCACACACTCTGTCTGCTATGTAAAGCAGCCCTACCAGGAAACCCATCTAACCATACTCTAGTAAAGCTTTGCTGGGTAGAGAATCTCATCTGCCTCAAGTGCTAAAGCAAGGGGGACTGTCTGTGTTACAGCATCCCCTTCTAGTATCTTTCTTATTGCTGATGGCAAACAATGGCAGGTGAACCTCTTCTCCAAGGCATCATCTGACCTAAGAGGACAGCATCTGTGTGACTCAGAGATTTTTTTAACAAAGATTGAGGAATAGTTAGTAATAACATATACATAGTTTCAAAATTAAATGCAAGCAAATGTGGAGAGATCTCTCAAAAATGATTTTTTTTCCCTTAGTATCTCATTTAGCACAATGGACTGAGTGGATATAATCCAGGATGAAGTCACAGATGATACTGTTTTATTTAAATTGGTCATTTCTAGTCTCTGTGATTACATCTTCCCAGGTCCCTGTACTCTCAGGAGTGTCAGGAAAGTAGGCAATAATTGCATCATTCTTTATATGTGTCTATAGCTCAGGAAGCACTGGAGACTAATGAACCAAGTGCTCGTATTTCCTTTATTGCAATCTTCTTGCCTTAGAGATTTCAAGCTGAGGAAAAGTTTGGAGGGTTTCCTTTGTTGGGCATGGGGTAGGGTGGGAAGGGGTGGAAATTCCATTTATTTTTAGCACAGGAAGCCATTATAGCAGTTACTTAACAGGTGTGTCTGTAGGAATAGGTTATACCGATTCCATTCAAGCCATAACTCATTGTAAGTACTCACCATCTCCTAGGTGCCTATTTGAACATCACTGTCTCTGTGCAAAGAGGGAATGCTGCTGCTCTTTTAATCTAGTCACTTGATAGAGATAGAGTTCCAAATACTATTTGTACCCCTATTATGGAGATATCACACATGGGCACTTGTGGATTAACTTATACATTTCAAATAAAATAGAGATCATGATGTGACAGGTCCACTGAGGCCAGCACAAAATGCTGCCATGTGACTTGGCATCATGGAATTTTTTCATTTTGGAGCTTAGTCTGAATGAGAAAAACAATGTTATATCAGGCGATAGACCCCTTTGTATCTTTCATTCATGGGTTTAGTAACTAAGTAGCCACACGTAGAATTTTGTTTGGACCTTTGATGACCTCTTAAAAAGCATGTGTGGGCCGCGCCCGGTAGCTCAGGCCTGTAATCACAGCACTTTGGGAGCCCGAGGCGGGCAGATCACCTGAGGTCAAGAGTTCAAGACCAGCCTGGTCAACATGGTGAAACCCCATCTCTACTAAAAATACAAAAATCAGCCAAGTGTGGTGGCGCATGCCTGTAATCTCAGCTACTCGGGAGGCTGAGGCAGGAGAATCAGTTGAACCCAGGAGGTGGAGATTATGGTGAGCAGAATCGCGCCATTGTGCTCCAATCTGGGCAACAGAGCAAGACTCTGTCTGAAAAAAACAAAAAACAAAAAAAACATTTGTGTAATTTTATGTGAGATGCCCCACAGACACAGATATGCCTATTTCTTTTTGTTCTTAGAGGCAAATGCAAATTATTAGCAAGAGAGAGTCTTATGAATAACAGAGAAGAGTTTCCCACTTTTAAAACTGACTAAAATGCACAGCGTGTTTTGAGAGTGAAAGAATTGGTGGTTTTAGCTTCAACTTCTTGGCAGCAGCTGAAATTTTCACATGTATGATGGAAACAAAGATCCATCCATGCCCCCAACACCTCTTGCCAGCCTGAGTTCTCGGCCCTGTCCTCACTGGCCATCCTCCCTGGTTCATGGCTACCCCATCTTGCCAATAAAAATATCACCGTGGTGGTGAGACGGAAGTTTTGATTCTTGGGTCTCTGCATTTTTCCCTGTACCAAGTGTATTTATCACACATGGTAAGAGAACTGGGAGGTCTGAAAAACTGGTGCTGCCTTCGTATTTTCAGAAACCAGCTACTGATTTTAATCTGCCTTAACTCTCTCTGAATCTGATACACAGGCGTCTCAGATGCTGCTACTGAGGGCTTTTACCTGTTGTATATTGACAAAAAATTGTATGTAATAGGTTTTAATATATAGGCTCAGGGATTCAGAGAAAAACAGAAATAAAAAAATAAAGATTAATTGAACTTTTTCTTAACCTACTAACTTCTACTAACCTTAACTTCTAATCTTCTGTATGTAAAAAGATCACACAAACATGACATATATCTCTATCTAACTAATATCCATTACTATGATAACTAAAGGCATGTTTCAAAATCAGTTTTAAGGATCCTGACTTAAGCTGAAGGTTCGTAAGTGCAGTTCCAGATCTGGTAGTATAAAAGGAAAGAGAACAGTGCTGTTGTTTTCAAAAGCCTGAATGTGACTGCGAGATAAAATTTATATTGTTTCTCTCTGGGGAAGAGAACCATAATATGAACATGGTGTTTAAAAGTGGCAGAATATTTATGTATATATATAATAAAAATGATGTGTATTGGACCAACTTAATATTTTTATGAGTCATTAAGCATAGGTATTTTTTAGATGCATATTTACTTTCTATATCTTTCTAAAATACCTATTCATTATGCAATATCCCTGCTCAAGAATTTCACAGGCCCTATAAGGTCTAGAGAAAAATATTTAAACTCCAAAACCTGGTCTACCACCAATTGCATCAGTTTACTTTTCTATGTGTACTTCCCTTTGCTATCCCTACAGTAACAATTTGCTTTGGTTAATGGCCCAAGTATGCTCACCTGGTCATATCATGCTCATTTCTGTCCCTGAATTGCCATCTAGAACTTCTCTGTCATTTTTTAGGCAATCCAAATCTTATGAGCAACAGACTGTTGAAGGCTCGGAGTCAAACAGACCCCATCTGATCCTGACTACCACTCCCAGGCATAGGACCTCAGACAAGTTGTTCACTTGGCCAGAGCTCAATTTTCTCATCTCTAGATGGAAATAATAATGATTAATTATGCTGAATGAGATCATGCATATAAGACAGCCTAGTAAAAGCTCTGGCATACAGTGTTGAATAAATCCTAATTTGCTTTATCTGTATATTCCTTCAGATTTAAAATAAATTCCACCTTAGCTGTGAAGAGCACTCCTCTTACCTCTCACCCTCACTTCAGCTAGTGATAATTTTTCCACTTATGTTGTTTTAGAGCACTTTTTGTCAGACACATTCATTTCCCTGAAAACTGTCTTTTTAATCTTGGGATCTTAAATGACAGAAAGCATGTAAAGTGCTTCACACAAGACTTGATATCTAGTAAGTGCTCCATAAATATTTCTGTGGCTGCTGCTGCTATTGCAAAGGCAACAGTCACTCATATCCCTAGGTTGGCAGCTCATCTGCTGAATGGGTTATGTTTGTTCCTGAAAAAAAGATGCAGTGAAGAGTCAGGATTAAGGGTTTACTTTCTGAATTCAAGTTGCCCGGATTAAAATCCCAGGTCTATAATTTTTTAAGCCATGTAACTTTTGACAAGTTACATTACCTCTCTGGACTTAGAATGCCCATAATAGATACCGTTCCCATAGTTATTATGAGAATTAAAAGAATTAAGACAATTTAAAAGAAGAACAGAGGATATTAGAGGCAGGGAAGAGGGGTGAATAGGGGGATAGGAAGGGATTTCTTAAAGGATACAAAATTACAACTAGGTAGGAGGAATAAACTCTAGTGTTCTAGACCACTGGAGGATGATAACAGTTAATAACATATTAGATAATCTCAAATACTAAAGGAAAGATATCGAATGTCCCAACATAAAGAAAGGATTGATGTTTGATGTTATGGATATGCTAATTACCCTAATCTAATCACTACACATTGTATGTATTGAAATATTACTATGTATACCATAAACATGTACAGTGTTGTGTCAATTATAATAAATTGATTTTTCTTTAAAATAAAATGTAGGAAGAAAATACTTGACAAATAAATACTTTATATGCATTGGCTATTGCTGATTTTTTTTAGCCTTTTCAGTCCTGATACCTCAAGTATTTTGAGAACTCCTAAGGACAAAGATATACACTTGCACTGATCCTATAATTTCATGAGGACAAAACGAAATATCAGATGGCAAAGGGTAGGTCTAGTACAATGCCTGGAGCACTGTGAAAGCTTTATAATAACTAGTTTCCTTCCCCTTACCTTATCCACCACACTGAGGAAATAGTTCTAGAAAATGCTCTTTGAGCATTTTTTGAAGGGAATAAATGAATATTGATTTTTTTCCTGTATGCCAGGGAACATCATTAAATATAAAACAGTATAACGCAGTATAATTCAAAAGACTGCCTGTTATTCCACAGAAATCTGGTTTGGTGAAATTATGTCATCTTTGTTGTATTACTAGTATCATTTACTGTGTCTTGACTGGCCCAAATCTTCCTGGCTTATTTTGTTTTGGAGCCCTGAGTTGCAATATATTATTTAAATCAGACATTGTCTTAATTTTCTTTTAGTTTCACCTTCATTATCCTTCTTGTTTTCTCTTTTTCTCTTCTCTCTACTGCTGACTTGCATTCACATTTAAATGTCATTGAATTGTCACTAAATGGCAAAATAGCTTTCCTTTACAAAAGGCTAGCTAGAATTCTTCTCAGCTGCTTCCATCTGCAAAATTTCCAACATTTCAGCATTTCACAGGTGAGGCTGTGAGATCAATACAGGGGGAAGAAACTATCACTCTTCATGCCTTTGATCTTGAAGTCATCTCAAGTTTGACATGTGTAATATAAAGACCTGAATACATCTAGAAAGTGATAATGTATAGGATGACTAAAACATGAATTGCTAGGTTGACTCCATAATCTTTTGTGTCAGCAAGATTAAAGAAATCAGTATAGTATGATCCAATTGGGAAGGGTTAGGTTCAAACCCTGGCCTTTCTACTTACAAACTGTATAATTAGAGTGAAATAACTTCTTAGCTTCTATTGATACAGGCGTGAAATGAGGATAGTAATAGTTCCCATGACATAAAGTCATCCTTTGGGTTAAGTAAGATCATATACATTTCTAATGTCTATAAAGCACTTAATATATTAGTTGTGGTAATATAAGTACTATAAAAATGAAAATTCGTATGTTATGATTAAATAATGCCAGAAAAGAACTCATTCTAGAGCAGTGGATTTTCATTTAGGTTCTGCCTTAGGTTAGATTTCCTGAAACAGACTGAGATTAAAGTTTTCATTGAGAAAGTTTATTAGTGAGCCACTTGGGGTCAACACCTATGGGAAAGTAATGGAAGAATGACTGGATATAGTTGGGTTCTGATGTAGTGTCAGTAAAGACTTCAGCTGATATCATGGGGAGCTCTAGAACTGGGATGACCCTTCAGTGAGGTCCCCAGTTGAGACAAGGGGCTGGGTCTTTCTACCCCTGCATAGGCCTGATTTCAATGTGGTCTGCCCCTTGGGAAGGACCTGATCTTGGTTCTCTGCTGCTGAGGCTAGTAGGAGACAGGTTCAGCTTAAAGCTTTTCTTCTCCAAAACTTCCCACAGTCTTTACTAAAGAGAGATTGGGTTGCACACCACAGTATCCACTATGGGTTCCTAACTATAAATTTGTAATAACTGTATGTGACATATTGTTGTATTTTATTACTCCTTTTGGACAATATGTTCCCTGTGGGTAAGAGCTATGACTATCCTGACGGCCTAGCACATAGGGGAAAGTCAGTAAATACGTCCTAAATATAATGAAATTGTTTATAAAAACTATCCTTTCAAAAAAAAGATCATCTTACCTCCAGTTAATTAGAAAATATATCCTGAGACATGCAGAAATTACTGACATATTCACACTGTTGTATCAATTTTTCCTTGTAACTTAACTAGAACACAAAATGCAGAGAGCAAAACTCTAATATGCCTTATTTGGATATATGATAGCAAGATATAAACTACAAACATTCACAAACAATTTATTATCAAATTTGGTAATTTTTAACATTGTTTACTAAATCCTTATCTTCTGAATTAATGGTAACATGGAGAGATGGATGAATAATAATGTGATAAAGTAAAATATTTATTATAGAATCCAGGAGGGGCCCTTATAGTGACTAATATATTATTCTTTCATATTCTGCACATTTGAAAATTTTCATAATGGAATTTTGGGGAAAGAAGTTTCCTATTATCATTAAGTTGGCTATGTGCTTATGAAAATATTGAACTGGGATTGTCCTTAAATAAGAGACAGGGAGCTAGTGTGAGCCAAGCATTTTCCATGCAGAGGGCTGTAAGGCGCTAAGGACATCTCTGGTTGAACAAACTAATAGTCTGTGTTTCTATTTGTTCTGAGTTTCTATGTGTTCCTTTTGGGGTAGTAGGTGAAGAAGCATCTTGTAATAGTAACAGGTATACTATGGAAGGAAATAGCAAAAGAAGATATCTCCTGTTGAGAACAAGAATCCTAAGACTGAATAAAGATTTGTAAAGAGGCTTAAAGATAATTGGCTCTAGATCACTCATTTTAAAGGTGTAGAAATTGAAATCAGGAAGTTGAAACAACTTGTTCAAAATCATCCAGCTAGTTTGTGTCACAGATAGACTTTATTTCTCCCGGAAAAAAAAAAAAAAAAAAAAAAAACTTCTTCCTTCTACTTCTCCCTCTACCAACACACAAACAAGTATCATAACACCACGAACTATAATAAATTCTTTTTCGGGGGCAGTAGCAGCCATTTATGAGGTGCCAGGTGGAGTTTCCCTGCCTGAATATGTCATTCCACTGATGTATCATAATTACTTAAATTACTCGATTTTTTCTAGGAATACAAAGCCTGAAAATATTAGTTGAGTGAGTTAGTGAGTATGCAAATGATTGAATAAATAGTTGGTTATTTATTAAGCCATTATCACTCTGGGCAGAATTGGTTATTAGCTTAACTAATGAGTCACACGGAAACGAAGAAATGGGCCCAGGACAGGCAACTTTTGATAAGGAAGAGGAAAAGAAAGTAAAATTTGGTGAAAGCTGGGAGTGATGCCTGGATGGAGGCAGGCAATGGAAGTCTTTGAGAAGTGTGGATGGCAGTGGCAAGGACGATGGCCAAGATGGGAGAAAGGCCAATGGGGCCAGAGGCTAGTAAACGGAGAAGGAGATTATCTTTTTATTTTCCAGATGTCTCACTGTGTCTTAGAATCCGCTGTTATGCTGAGAGAGCACAGGGAAATGGTAAGCCTCTTTGGGGAACTTGTAGTGGGGGAATGCCTGACCTTTTCAGAAGCGGAATTTGGCATGGAGCCCAGCTCTAGAATAGGTTGCTTTCCTTCACTTACTCCACTCTTAACAGCCAACTGGTTTGTTTTGCTTGCTTCTTTGTTTTCGTGTTTGCCATTGCCTTAAAGGAACAGTCTTCAAATTTCTTTTCAGTTGTGAAGCCCTTTCTTCACATGGCATCTTGCTTGTAAGTTCTGCATGTAAAAGATACAATTGGGTGGCTCCACTTGGGGTGGAAGAAGCTGGTGTGGGAGGACCTAGGGCCAAGTCCCCCACCCCAAGCACACCCAGTCTTGAGGAACCCTGAGGAAACCAGGGACTCCATGGTTAGGAAAGGACTGTCTTAGAAAAATAGGCAACACATCGTAGTCATCTGAGGCCAGAAGAGAAGTAATTAGAATGTTATTTCTTTAAGTACCTTGAGCTTTCTAAGTATGAAAACGTTGTCTGCTGGGACTCTTTCTTATTGTTTCAGAACAGGTGGGATGTGACTGATAAGCTTGAGTAGTTTTTATTTCCCACCAAAAAAATGAGGCCAATGAGGCCAAAATGATATTGAAAATATATATTCAAATAGGTTGCAATGTCTGCTCTGATGTGGCGTAAGTATTCCCTAAATCGCGGAGGTGAAAAATGCATCTTTTATACGCCTCTCAGATTAATGACCTCAGAGCCTCATTTCTGTCTTTTCAGAGGTAGCTATTATTGTTATTATTTTCTATTTATTAGTTAAGTTAGAAGTTTCAAACCATGTGATATCACATTAGTGCACTCCTCAATCCTATGTCTTTGCAGTTCCCATCTTATCCCTTTTTTGAACATGTATTAGTAAATATCCTACTTCATTTGGCATGAATGGGTGTGGGACATTCCTTCCCTCTTCTGTTACACTTCAGTTCCTTCCTGCAACTTGAAGAAAACATTTATGGACTACAAGATTAAACACTGACTATATTTCCTTTATAGCCATCCTTCAAAAATCATTTACTCAAAGAAACAGAAAGTTCTTTCTTTTACTTTCTTTGTTTTTATGACTGATAGATTCTTGGTGGGGTAAATCAATTGCTAATTTTATTTTTTATTGTTGAATTATTGCTGAGATGTCTGCTGCATGCTTGGTGTTACCAAATTGTTCACCTCACTCTTGAAGCTGCACCAGATTCTTCATGTGAGACACTTGCAGCATTCTCATGTCATGGTGGCTGATTCCCCACCAAAACAAACCAGTTGGCTGTTAAGAGTGGAGTAAGTGAAGGAAAGAAACCTATTCTAGAGCTGGGCTCCATGCCAAATTCTGCTTCTGGAAAGGTCAGAAAAGGGGTGGGAGGGAGAGAGGGAGGGAAAGAGAGAGAGAGAGAGAACCAGGTGGAAGCTGGTTCTGGGTTGCCTGTACACCAAGAAAAACGATGTTATAAAAGTTTCTTATATCCTGAGAGGTTAACAGTGTCAGTTCAGAAAGTATTTTTAGAAGATTTTATTCATCTCTGAAGTAAGAACAGTTTTATTGGTAATAGAATTCATTTCTAGAGTTTGTAACAGAAAAATGTTACCACTAATTGAAATACAGTTGGAAGAGGAACCAATTTAATGAGCAGTTACACCGTTTGCTTAGAGAAAGTATTGAAGAATAGAAATCCATAGTTGTGTAAGATGGAAAATCTAACTGTGCTTGAGATATTAGATTGAAAAGCAATACAGGAGGTCTTCAATCTTGTGAACACTGTTGTTAGTACTGTGCTGTGCTCGTCAAAGAATATGCAACGTGACAGGGAATTGTATTTGATAGATATTTAATACGTTTAATTTTGTTTTTTTTTCAAATTTGCTGTTTCCATATGTTGTGGACTTTTATTGTTTTGAGAATCTTAATATCCAAATCATTTGTATTACACAAATATAAATAATAAAACCTTTAAATCCTTTTAGGAATTATTAATAATTTCCATTATGTATAGTTTTAGTAGAAATTTAAGCCAAGATTTCTAGCCTCCCTCACCAAAGGGTAGATCCATGAACAAAATATGACAGTTTGGCTTTCCTTTGACTTTGAACTTTCACCAGGATGATACAAAACCAGAATAAAACATCTGGAGTTGATCCATTCCAGTAGAAGCCCTAGGAAGGATGTTGTAGTGGTTTCAGTATGTCTGCAAATCCTTTGACACCCCTCCCTTCAAAAGATGGAAACTCATTCCTTTTTCTTTGATTTTGGCAGACTTAGTGACTTGCTTCTAATGAATAGAGTGTGTAATTTCTGTGTAACTCTCAAATCTAGGTCATAAAAAGGATACAACTTTACCTGATTTGTTTTCTTTTTCTTTCTTTCTTTCTTTCTTTCTTTCTTTCTTTCTTTCTTTCTTTCTTTCTTTCTTTCTTTCTTCTTTCCTTCTCTTTCTTTCTTCTTTCCTTCTCTTTCTTTTTCTTTCTTTCCTTCCTTCCTTCTCTCTCTCCCTTCCTTCCTTCCTTCCTTCCCTTCTTTCTTTCTTCCTTCCTTCCCTTCTTTCTTTCTTTCTCTTTCTTTCTTTCTTTCTTTTCTTTCTTTCTTTCTCTTTCTTTCTCTCTCTTTCCTTCCTTTCTTTCTTTCCTTCCTTCCTTCTTTCTCTCATCTCTTTTTCTTTCTCATCTCTGTTTCTAAAAGGAATCAGCACTGTGCTGTTCGGACACTCAAACTGACCTAGAGGACTTGAATGTGAAGAAAAACTGACGCTCTTGCTAAAGTCCAGCACTAGCTTGACAGCCATGTGAATGAACCTCATTGGAACTGGGATCTCTGGCTCTGGTTAATCCTTCACCTGACTTCAGCTGTGGCCAACATCTTTTTTTTTTTTTTTTCCAAGATGGAGTTTCCCTCTCGTTGCCCAGGCTGGAGTGCAATGGTTCAATCTCAGCTCACTGCTACCTCCGCCTCCCAGGTTCAAGCGATTCTCCTGCCCCAGCCTCCCAAGTAGCTGGGATTACAGGCATGCACCACCACACCCGGCTAATGTTTGTATTTTTAGTAGAGACGGGTTTCTCCATGTTGGTCAGGCTGGCCTCAAACTCCCGACCTCAGGTGATCCACCCACCTTGGCCTCCCAAGGTGCTGGGATTACTGGTGTGAGCCACCGTGCCCGGCCTGTGGCCAACATCTTGGTGGTAACTTCATGAGACACCCTGAGACAAAAACAGCCAAGATGCTCCCAAATTATTAACCATTGAAACTGTGAGAGATAATGGTGCTTATTGTCATTTTAAGCTACTAAGTCTGGGGAGTAATCTGTTAAATTGCAATAGATAACTAATAAAGTTGTGGACTCACCCCTGCTACCAGGACTTTTGGGAGCTTCTTGGTTTCTTTTTGTTTCTTCAGTATCTGTCACTCTTCCGTTTGGCTCTGTAAGCTTCTCTCCCTCCAACTCCATTCTGCCAAAGTCAGTTTCAAGTGCTTGCTATTAAAGAAGATAATTTTAAAACAGTAGAGATTATTAACTGAAACCAAACTAAGGGAAATAATGTATTTTTTGTTTCCTTGCTTGGTTGGTCTGGTCTTGAGAAATTTCAATTCAATGTCTTGGTCTACTGTGGATTTTATTTTAGTTGTTTAAATTGTAGTGTTATGTATCCACATGGTTCACACATAGGGAGCTGGAAGATTGCACTTCCTCTATCGGCATTGCACAAGTCAAGTGTGATTTACCACTGATACATATGTCTCTTGATGAATATTCTGAGGTTATGCAGCCACTCTTTATCACATATCATTTATAAAGAATGATGTGATAATCAGCTATAAAGAATGCAACAGTAAGCTTGTAAAAGGAAACTAAATGCCTGGTAATTAAGAAATATATACGTTATAGATTTAATTGTTGAATAGTTATGTTGATTTATCCCACACAAGTGGATCTTTCAGATTTATAACTTGGTGTGCCCTGAACTTTAGCATGTTACTCTCATGAGTCTGTGATGCTATTTTATTCTTCTTTACCTATTTGTATAAACTGGTAAAAAAATTCAAGGACAAAAAAACTCTACATACAATGAAAACACATGCCCATTATTTTAAATAGAATGATTTTGTTTAGTATGTTAAAAATAGCAATATAAAAGAAAAGCTTTAACTAAGCTTGTCTATTACAATCAAATTTGTTTAGTGTGTTAATAATTTTAAACCGTTAATGAAACAATCAGATGTCTACTTTTAAGAAAAATTTACAAATGATTTTTTTTTTAAAATATGCTTCCATATGAGTTAGGAGACAGAAATGAACTTGACTATTCCCTTCATTCTAAAATTAGGAAATAATTGGGATTTATATCAATGGTGATGCCTTTCAATGTCCAAGCTGGTAGAATGAAGGCACAATGGAAGTTAGAAGTCAAAATAAATGGACAGTATGCTATTTTAGCCATTTTAAGTACATCTGGCAATACAATAATTTATTGGTCATTTTGATAGACTAGTGAGACAATTGGTAAATTGATAGAAGATTGATTTATCAATTTCTGAATCTCAATTTTAAATTACAGTATATATAAAAACTATTTTAAGAAATGTTCTAAAATATATACCCTTTTTTAATACTTTTAAAATCTCAAAATAGAATAACTTAAAGGTCATTGTCCTGATTCTAACATAGATTCCAAGATAATTATTTAACAGACTCTAAGTATCAGTTGAAATTTTATGTATGTAAGGGAAATGTTTCACATCAGTGATTTTTCTAGTGCTTATCTGGACACTGAAGGGAAGTTCACCAGAGATGATCTACATAGGAAATCCTCTGCAGAACCCCCACCTTAATGTTGACAAAGCTACATTACTTATTATATCTGTTTTTCTATCTTGGTCTTCTATAAAGGACTTCAATTTAAAAAAAAAGTGCTTTGGGAAAAAGAAAACACTGAAAAACCACTGATACTGATGGTCTTAAGAATATGTGTGCACATCGTAAAAACAAATAAAAATCCCAACTTCCATTTATTTTATAAGTCAGATGTAGCTGGACAACAGACCTACTAATAGTCTTCTTTAAAAACGTTTACACTTTATATGATTTTGAATATCTCAAACTGAATTTGGCTGAATTCGACAACTTAGCATTTTCAGGCAAGCTAAAGCTAACCTATCTTGAAATACATACTTTTCAACATATTAAACAAAAACATATATATTTTTTAACAGTATTCAAAGATTTAAGATTGCCTATTTAATCTTACCTCTTAGATTTTGGTACTTTGATGCTTGTATGGTTTTCTTCTGTTGGGAGTCAGAACAAAATACCCCAAACTATGTTAACTTAAGATGCTGAGTACTTTGAACTGAAGGAGATTGGAAGGGCTGTAGAAGCAAGGACTCTGACCTTCTTCCATCCTCTTCTCTCCATCTGCTCCATTATCCCCTAAGTGAGTCATAGAAACTAGAATTTCTCTCCCTCAGAGCAAGGCTTACAACCTAGGAAGGTCTCTGATTTTCTCCCTTCCTCCTGAAAGTCCTCAATGGAACAAGTAACCTGCTCCATATTGGGGGGTTAGGGACATGGATATCTTACAGAGAGAGAGAAAAAAATCAGAACAAACAGGCCTTCCTGGGTTCCCCACTCAGTTTATTACCATTCAGTTATACTCTTTTTGTTTAATCATGTTTCTCCATAACTATCTACCTGTCTTATCAAACTTAGCATTAAAACAGTTTTCTCTGGGTCTCTGGGCCTTCACTTCTGAAGGCTCCCATGTCTCATAAAACCTTGCTAAATGAATTTGTTATGCTTTTCTCTTGCTGACCTGTCTTTTGTTATAGTATTGACCATTACCCTTGTGGTAGGTGGGGAAGATATATTGCTTTTTTCTCCTTTCTACTTTCATGTAGTTAAAAGTAAATGAGAAATAGGTACTTTAGCTATACTTCCTTGCAATATGTTTCAGTGATTGTTCTAGAGATTATAATATATGTCCTTCTTAACAGTCTACATAATATTGTACCACTTCATGTAAAATGTGAAAACCTTGCAACATTATAGTTTCATTCATCCCTTTTCTTTGTGATATTGTGTGTTCTGCATGTATGTATTGCATGTACATGCATTAAAAGATCTAAAATTCTGTTTTAATTTTTACTTTAAAGAATAATATTTTTAAAGAAATAAAAGAAGAAAAATGTATAGTCTTTTATATTTTGCCCAAATATTTAACATTTCTGTGCTCTCTTTTCTTCCTGTCAATCTGAATTTCCATCGCTATAATTTTCTTTTGACATGAAAGGTTTATTTTGCCATTTTTGCAATACAGGTCTGTTTCTGATTAATTCCTTCTGTTTTCATTTATCTGAAAATATCTTTGGTTCACCTTCATTTTTGAAGACTATTTCACCTGGATATAGAATTTTTAATTCACAGGGTTTTTTTTTTCTTTCAATACTTAAAGATGTCATTGCATTTACTTTTTTTACTGTATTGTTTCTCACAAGAAATAAACTGTCATAATGTGACATGATTATGTTCCCATGAACATAATGTGCCATGATTTTTTATTTGCTCTAAAGACTTCCTCTTTATCTTTGGTTTTTGTCCGTTTGTTTATAATGTGTCTGGACATGGTTTTCTTTGCATTTATCCTATTTGGTGTTCTCATAGCTTTTTTGGCTCTTTAAGTTGATGTTTCTAACCAAATTCAGAAAATACTGGCTATCATTCTTTAAATATTGTTTACTGCTTTATTCATATTCTGTCTCTTCTTTCCCCCCACCCCTTTTCTCCTCTTCTTGTAAGACTTCAATTATGTTTGTGTTATAATTTTTGGTATTGTCCCACAGGTTCAGCACTGTTCAACTTTTTACCTTATTTTTTCTCTATTCTTCAAATTACATAATTACATATTGCTTTGTTATTGAACTCAATTACTTTTTAAATGTTGTCAATCTATGATTAACGCTATCAAGTAAATTTTTATCAAATATAATACTTTTCAATTCTATAATTTCCATTTCTTTCACATGATAGTTTTCATACCTATTCTGAGAAACCCCATCTGTTCATTCATCATGATCATATTATCCTTTAAAATGTTTATAAAACCTGCTTAAAATCTTTGTCTGCTAATTCCAACATCTGTATATTTAGTACTGATTTATATAGATTGTGTTTTCTTTCAACTATGAGTCACCTTTTTTCATTTCTTTTTAATATGTCTAGTAATTTTTTGTTATATGCTGGGCATTATAAGTCTTAAATTATAGGGCATCTAGAATCGTGTTGTCTTCCTTAAACAATTGCCTTTTTAAGTGTGACAGCTAAATCACTGGTGGATGCTTTTGATTTTGTCTTATGTAGATTTATTCTTTTTAATGGCTTTATTTATATTTAGTTTTTAGTTATTAAGTTCAGCCTAAGGCAGTCCCTTGCCTAGGGCATGGTCCTTACTCTTTAGATATGATTTATCTGAATCTCAACTGAATGACAATTGAGATCTCATCACATTGGCTGGCTGCAATTCCAGTGAATTCCGGCAGTATATGTACTGTAGTATTACTACTCAGTTCTCAGCCCTGAAAAAAAAAATCTTAGCTAGGTTTTGTGAAGCCTCACTTTGCACATACATAGCCCAGTCCTTGGCCAAGGACTCCAATTAATCCCCACACACACTGCTGGGGCCCCTTTTAGCATAGCTTGATCTTCTTAGTTAACATGCCTTGCAAATTTCAGATGTTTTCACATCCTGGATCACCAATCTCTCCCTTTTCAAATCACTGAGACCATTAATCCTGTAAGTTCCATTTTCCTGCCATTGAGAAAGCTGAAGTGTCATTGGAGTGATCACAGGGCTCACTTCTTGTGTTCCTCTTCTTTCAAGGTCTATAATTTTGTCCAGCCTATTGATTAATTCCTGCAAATGATGGCTTCATATATTTATTACCATTTTATAATTCCTTTAGGTCAGAGGTCCTCATCTGGTTACTCTGTCATAGTTAAAATATGAAGTCATTTTCAAATAGATATTTTAAACCAGCTTTCTGTAACATTTCTGTACTTCTCTAACAGTAAAATCAGATAGCATGCTAACATTTTTTAATAACCCTGTTGGAAACAAGCAAAAACCTAATAACAAGGAAAAACCTAATAACCCCCAATAAACACACACGTCATATGTATTTCAAAAAAGAGACGTTTCTTATTTTTTCTTTCTGGGTATAACACATATTAACTCTCTTTTGATAAAAACAGATTAATATACTTGTGCTTCACAATTTGATTAATGCTAATATTTTATATTTATACACATACAAAAATAGAAATATGTCATGGGGAGTCTATATACTTATATTTATGTGCTATGTTATACATTATGTTGTAAAATATGTATTTCTTTAGAGAAGAAGAGGAACTCAATTATTCTGATATTTTAGCAAATCACTTCTGTATAGAGTTTAAAAATTATGTGTAATTCAGATAGAGACCATTGTTTCTTAAAGACAAGCTTCAACTTACCAATCAATTTCCACCAGGACCTTTGCTTTCAGTAGACAAAAACTCAATAAATGACTTTGCCATTAATATTTCTGTTTATATAATAGAATAGCAATCTACTGAAAATTTACAACTATACTAAAAATCCAGAATGTGGCATCTCGGGTATTATAACTAAAATTTAAATAAGAATATCACTTGAAGGGGTTTTAAAAGTATTTACAACATATTTTATAGATTGTTGCTAAGAGGTTTACACAATTCATCTTACAGGTGTAGACACATTAATGAATGTGAGGGTATTAATTTTCCTCTAGCATTTAAAATTTATTATTAGCTTGGTTTGGCAGTGAGAAGTTAAAAGGGCTTCAAGGTCCACATGAAATGGTTTTTAAGTGCATTGGGAATGATGAGTTACATTAATTTTAGATTCACCAAGTTCTTTTACAGGCTCTGTGTTGTCAATGTTAAAGTTTTTAAATCAGAATTTCCTTTGATGAATGCCTCACTGAAACACAAAAAAAGCTAAAACAGGTATTTAACAAACAAGAAAATATATTAGGCCAGTAAACTTCTGATATTTTAGCAAATCAAAAGTGCAATATTTTAAACATTCCCATCAATAATTAGGTATGTGCAAAATAAAACCATAATGAGGTATTACCTGCCCAACAGATAGACAAAAAATTTTTTAAAGTTTAACAATACCAAATGTTGGCTGGGGCGTGAAGCAACAAAAAACTTTAATAAACTACTTCAGTGAGTGTAAATTGGTGCAATCACTTTGGAAAACAATCGGGCATTTTTTAGTAAAATTGACTGTATACTTACCCTACAACCTTGCAAATCTACTCAAAATATACACTCTCAGATGGTGGTGGGTACTAACATCATGATACGTAAACAAGCTCAGTGATAGCAGCATTGTTTGCAATAGACAAAAACTGGGAACAATTCAGTATCTATCCACAGCATAATGAATATGGAAATTGTGTTATATTCATATATTGAAATAATATATTACAACAAAATTAAGTGCAACTACTCAAAAGAACATGGATTAATTTCTCAAACATAACATGGAGTGAGAGAAGGGAAACAGTCTTAAAATAATACATACTGTGTTATTCATATAAAACTCCAAAGAGTCAAACCAAACTATATTGTTTAGGAATACATCAGTGGAAAACTTAGAGAAAAAAAAAATACTGTACTGTAGAGTATTTTAGAAGTCAGGAGAGTGATTACTACCAAGGAAGAGGACAGAGAATTGAAGAATGGTATGCTGAGGCTTCTGGGTGGCTGGCTGATATTTCCAGTGGTGTTTCTTAATAACAACTCATTATACTCTACATTCATGTGTTGTATCAATTTCTGTAAATATGTTATCTTTCATAATAAAATGTTTTAAATATATCTATGAGTCAATATAAATTATGAGAAATAAAGAAAAAGAGAAAATGGATAAAAGAATGTTAAAAATATTTTATGATACTTTAGTCTATAAGTAGAATACACTCAACTCAGAATAATTGTAACAATGATATATTATTTTATAAAGCAAGAAATCTGGAAATATGATGGCTCCAAGTTAGATTAATATAGAAGCCCAGCGATGTCATCAAGGACATAGTTTTTCTTCCTCTTTCTACTCTATATTTTTCATCATATTACATTATCTTATTGTTACAGGATGGTTGTCACAAATGCAGAGCAGTGTATCCCTCTTTTTTTTAAGGAAAAGGACCATTTCCCTCTGTTCGTGCACACTCACTCACACACAGACACACACGTTTCCCTTGACTCCTTGACTGAACTTGCATCCCATGTTCCTGCCCCAATGCAGAAAAGGGGCCACCATGACTGACTTAGAACAATAACGTTTTACCCAGTGTAGGGCTTGGCCTCCTGCCGCATCTGAAGCACAGTTTTGAGGAGTGCAGATAATGAAACAAAATCAAGGATCAGTTAGACAGCATGAAGGCATACAAATGTTGTCTCTTACAAATTTTAAAATACAGACAATTTCTCTAAAATACTTGAGCCTTCAGTTCAATTCATGATTAGAGTATTAATTAGTATTACCAAAAATGTCCCATACCCAAGCATTTCCTAATGTACCTTATTAATTTAAAAAAGTAAATTAGCATCATATAAATGCTGTATTACCCAAAGAAGAAACAGAACCAGATTATATCAAAATCTAAATGCTCCAAAAGAAGGAAGAATCTCTATAGAATTTCAAGAGAAAATACTTTTTATGTCTAATTATATGTATTCCTGGTTAGGTCATTTTTTTATGGTCAGTGCTAACAAAAAGATAGTGTCAGGTATGCATAGACTAACAAATAATACCACCCCAAGAATTTTAATGAAAAATAAATTGCTTGAAAGGGTTTTCCTGGTTTTAAGTCATGAAGGAAAAAAAAAAAATCAAACAAAAACCTAACTGTCATAGTATTCAAAATGGTATTGAGTTGTGACACCCTAAAATTTAGACTCAGTTCTTCCCTAACAGGGTTATTGAGTATCTTTTTTATTTTTTTTAAATACAGGGTCTCACTCAATCACCCAGGCTAGAGAGCAGTGGCCTAATCATAGCTCACTACAACCTTGAAACCTCGAATTCCTGCACTCAAGTAATCCTCCCATTTCAACCTCCTGAGTAGTCAGTGCTGCAGATGTGTGCCCTACACCTGGCTAATTTTTTAATTTTTTTTTTTGTGGAGACAGGGTATCACTATATTGCCCAGGCTGGTCTTGAACTCCTGGCCTCAAGTCATCCTCCCACCTCAGCCTTTCAAAGTGTTGGGATTACAGGCTCTGGCTACTTTTGTGAGTATTAAAGGAGGAAAAATACATATAAAATATATAGCTCATTTACAGGAGGAGGGGAGCAACTTCATAAATATTAGTTATTTTGATAATTGTTAATATTTCCTGCCCCAACCCTAGAATCAGTCATTTCTCCAAGAAGCCTTGGTTCTGTTTATTGGAGAATGGTATTAGAAACCAAGATCTGGATGCTAAGTGTGTTCATTGCTACTGGACCGTCTTTTCTTCTAGGACCATTCAGTTGACAGAGCAAGAAGATATACACATGTACACTAACCAGTATATATCAACATTTCTATAAGTATTTCTATACATAACCATCTCTCTGTATATTAAGCTTAACATGAGTTTATATGGATGTTTCAAACTGTAACCTATTATCTCATGGATTCTTCCAGCATCCTCTTTGTTTATCTGTTAGCTCCCACTGTGACAGTGGGAAACCTATCTCTTACAATCTGCCAATCTAACATGTACTTAATTGTTCAGTTCCAGTATGCATGCATAGCAGCACCAGAATTAACTAGTACTGTATTTGTGTGATTTTTTTTTTTTTTTTGAGACAGAGTTTTGCTCTTGTTGCACAGGCTGGAGTGCAATGGCACAATCTCGGCTCACCACAACCTCTGCCTGCCGGATTCAAGGAATTCTCATGCCTCAGCCTCCTGAGTAGCTGGGATTACAGGCATGTGCCACCATGCCCAGCTAATTTTGTACTTTTAGTAGAGACAGGGTTTCTCCATGTTGGTCAGGCTGGTGTCGAACTCCTGACCTCAGGTGATACACCCTCCTCAGCCTCCCAAAGTGCTGGGATTACAGGCATGAATCACTGCACCTGGCCTATATGTATGATTTTTAAACCTGATAGAGATGTTAAATACACTTCTTGAAGAGCATGCACAGATTTCAAAAATTAATAGTACTATATATCTGGATGTCATATTTCTCTATTTTTAAATTTTTGGGGGGATATTTTGGGGGGAAGAAGATAAAGACATACAAAATTATCATCTCTCACAAGAGGCAATAGAGAAACAAGAGACAACTAGAGAAAAAGAAGGGGGCTACTTAATCTTTCTAGTGAGAAATAGGAACTTACAAAAGTAAAACAATATTTAAATTCCAAAACTGTCCTATATACCATATCGATACATACAATTTTAATTAAAATTCCTGAAGGATTATTTTTTCAGCAAACTACAGCTAAAGTTTTAAAGTTCGTCTAAGAGAAAATGTCATTATAATTGTGAAGGCAAATAAAAAATATGTAGCGTTTTGGAATATGCCAATTGTGAAGAATTACCACCTTCATTTATGTAAGAGTTTATGCAATCTGCAATTATGGCCCTAAATCTACAGTGGGCTGGGAGGGCTGTGTCTTGTTCATCTTTGTGATAATAGCCCCTAATGCACAGTGAGCAGTCGGTGAACATTAAATTGAAGATGACCTTCCTTCACTTCTAATTTAAGAGGTGAATTATTTATTCAAAACTTTATATAAAATCTAGAGTATTGTCCTGTGAATACACATATTGGCATATATACCTAGTTTTGAGTCACTGTAGGTTTGTGATGAAATCTACTCCTAAGGTTATGTAAATTAGTGAAGGCCAAAAGTGTATTTGTGTGTTGGTTTTACAGAGCATTAAGTACTTCACAGAGAGACTTGATTTAGTTGTAGACAGATGTCTGAGAGGCTGTGACGAAGGGAGAAAAGATACTTAAAGTGGAAGCATGAGGTTTTGAATACAGTCTTTTAAACTGAAGTTAAGTCCCCTCTATAACTGTAATAGAAATCAGCTATGCAACTAGCATACAATTTATAGAAATGTGATGAAATGTTCATATATATCTTTTTGTTTTAATTGAAGTTGACTTAATTTCTCAACTTTCTTGAAAGCTAAAAAAACAGACACAAGAACTTTCTTTGTGCTAACTAAATATTTGGATGTTTTACACAAACGCATATTTTATTATGCTACTACTGCAACCTGGAATATTACCTACATATTTTAATTGATCTTAATAATTTATGTATACATGAAATATTAGTTTACATTTGAAAATTTCTCTTCCAAAACAGCTGTTCAGTTCAGAAAAATTGAACAAGAATATTTATGAATATAAAATTTCATGAGTCAATTGTATTAAACACATTGTATACCCTCCATAAATCCTGATTTTCTCAGTAGATTCACATTTTTCCCATCACTGACATTAATTTCCTGAAAACTGAGCCTTTAAGAAATAATTTGAAATGGGAGGGGAAAAGTTTTTTTTTTTTTTTAAGTGAGCAGTTGGAGCCAGATCTTATAATTTTTTTCAAAGAAATTCTAGTCTTTGGGGAATCAGTAGTTCAACCCCCTTGCAAGACGTTGAATTCTAAGGCCATGGTCAGTCAATAAGTTTTGGCAACCTATATTAAATTATTTTTGGAAAGCTTCTCATGGATAATAATATGACACTAACTGATGCCCTAAAAAGCGATATCAGTAGGGGGAAAGGGTAACCGTGAGTTACTCACAGGTGATGGATTGATTTTATGATCATCAAGGAAATCAGGTGAGAGTTTGTTGGGGAGTGAGAATGAAAGTGGAAAACATCTTTATGGCATTCCAGTAAACCACAAACCATTCCACTTTTACCTCCATGATTGATGATGCCACTGAAAACCCTCCATGGGACGACTGCACTTCCTTGAATCTCAAATTGTAGACCATTCATTATGCTATATATTTTCCACCCTGACCTGATATTGATGTACACTGTGTTTAATGAATCATATTTATCACCCTGTTTCAGCACAGGATGTACTGTGTATCTGATCTTAGACTCATGGTCCAAGTGGGAAACGGAGCAAGTGAAGTGTGGGAATAGAATCTAACAAGAGGGCAGGTTAGGAAGTGCCAGACAGGATGGAGGAAGAGATAGAAAACTTGAGCTGGAATCTCTAACTGGGACAGAACAGAGCATTCCAAACACTGGTGAAAATGAACAGTGGACTCCTGCCATCTGTATGATGGCAAAATGACAATATCTTCAAAACCAGATTCTCCTAGCTTCAGATTATTATCCAAATCTGCTCTCAGTTAATGATAGAAACAGTTTCCCAAAGTGTTGAACCAACGTGCATATACCCAGGGCCAAACATTCCCACCAAAATAAAAGCAACGTATTTAAATAGATATTTTGAAGGAAATTACAGATGAAAAGTGAGAAGAAGCTAGTCTATGAATATTTCTAAGCTGGTCATTTTCCTCAAAATAAAGCAAAATAATTAGACTTATACATGATGTTTAGCCACGCATAGTTATATGATAGCTTTTCCTTTGTGCCTTGCTAACATTTTTAATATTTCAGGGCACATGATGGTTGGGTAGGACTAGCCATGCCAGGCCACAGCCATCCCAGTAAACATTGGTATGGAGGCTCACCTAAGGTAGGGAAAGTTACTTGAGGACACATCATGGGAGGCAGCCAGGAGTAAACAATTTCAAATATAACCAATTTATTGTACAAACTGAAGCATAAACATGAAACTATTATATTTTTCTGAAACCTCTGTCTCAAATGCATTATGTCCATTTTTCTTTTTCCATAAGGTAGAAGACCCCTTAACGAGACCTTGGGCAGATTTCATAATTTCTGGTTAACTTTCAGTTACTCAGTTTCAACTGTTAAAAATCCATCAAGTTTAAATTTACATTTCCAGTTTTGTCTCCAACCAGAGCTCTCTTTTCCTGATCACAGACCAGTCTTGAGCTTAAGGAGCCTTTGCTGAGAAGTAAACAAGCTTGTTCTTACTCCTCTTTTCAAATCAGCACAAAGGATTCCAGGGGAACCCAGGCTTGGTTTGGAGATACCTTTTCCTTCCACTTTCAAGGCATAACTCCCCTTTCCTCTGGTCTTAGGGGAAGGAATGGGAAAAGAGATGGAAGGGCAAATTCCCACTATTTATCTGCACTTGGGTGAGCTGTCATGAATTCTTTGGCTAAGAGGGACTGGTTGTCCATATATTCTTATGCCAGGTATCCAAATGCTGGCTCATGTGGGTGACAAGGTTATGAGGACACTGGAGAGCTGGCCTATATCTCAGTGCTTTGACATGATTTCACATTTTCCAAGCCTCTTTAATTCCCCGGCTATCCCATCATGTAGGACATCCCATAGCCACTGCTTGCTGAGGTTCTCTTTCCCAATGTCAAGCCCTCTTGGGTGGGGTGTTAGCCACTCAGCTCATGCTTGGTACCCAAAATGGAAAACTCACATTTGGCTTTGTCTGAAGTAGACAAAGTCAAGAATCAACTCACATACTATACAATTCTTTTTACAATTTTTTTGTGGTGACATCCCACCTCCCCCAAATTTCTGAGTTCCATTGCTTTCAACTACTAGCAACTTTGCTTTTCTTTTTCTCTGAAAGACTGCCCTCAAGCTACTGGAGCCTACAGATGTGCCAAGAAGTTTATTTCCCCTGGGAGGCTGTTTACCAATAAACTGCCTAGCTCTCTTCATTCAGTGTGGGGCAATTTAGAGGCTTAACTTAAACTCTAGAAGTTCCCTGCAGAATCAAGCCAAGCCCTATCCACTGCTGTGGGACTTTTGGACCCTTGTTCAGCTTCTTCTCCTTTCCTGTTCTGCTGCCCCTGCCACTCTCCCCAATGTTCTTACTGATTTCTCCTATGAGCACTTTCTTAATAAATCACTTGAATCCTTACTCAGGGTCTGTTCCTTTGGAAACTGACCTAAGAAACCTACTCTTGACATACAGTTGGATAAGCATGGAGCTCCCTGCCACATTGTCCCCAATTAATCCTGCCATCTCTTTCCAATTTTCTTTCTAATTTCAAAAGTCTTAGTAGCGGTTAATGTTCTTTTCCTTCCTTTCTCCTCCCATTCTCCTTCTCCTTCCTTCTTTCTTCTTACCTTCTTTCCTCCTGCCTCCTTCTTTCCCTTCTTTTGTTCCTTCATCCTTTCCTTGTCTTTCGTTTCTTTCCTATTCTATATCCTTTCTAGAATAAGCACTGTGGTTCCAGATTTCTAGTCTTTTCTCCCATATATATTACTCTTGGAATTTGGGAAGAGAAGCCAAACTGTTTTGGATTCTTTGATGGACTGATTTTCTTGATAATAATGTTTCTCTTTCATTACTTAAAATGGTAACGCTTTTGGTGCTGAGAGCAGGTTGACATTTTTTGGGAAGGAGGGGAACATGAAGGTGGTAGAGAAGAGGTTTTTTTGAAGGCTCACTTGCTCTGGACACCAGAGTAAGGATTTGACCAGGCTTTCTTGAGGACTGGAACTTCAAACTTCTACATCTGCCCCAAATAAACATTGAAAACCAGAATCAGTTCAAACTTCTACATCTACCCCAAATAAATATTCAAAACCAGAATCAATTCCTAGAGCTAGCAGTGGAGGTCAAGGCAGTGTCATCATTTTCTTCCCTGGCAATAGATCATCAATTCCCCCAGTACAGACAGTCCCTAACTTAAGATGGTTCAACTTACGGTTTTTAAATTTTTTGACTTTACGATAGTGCTAAAGCAGTAGGATACTCCTGAGAGAGAGGCTGAGTGGCAGCAGCAGTGGCAGCCAGCCTTGCAATCACCGGGGTAAACCACCGATATTCTACAGTGTACTGTGTTACCAGATGATCCTGCCCCACTGTAGGCTACCGACTATAAGTGTTCTGACTGGGCTAAGCTCTGATGTTCAGTAGGTTATATGTATTAAATGCATTTTTTATATTCTCAATTTACAATGTATTTATCAGAAGGTAACCCTGGCGCAAGTCTAGGAACATCTGTATGTAATAATGTCCAAAGTTCTGGAAAGTACAGTGGGAAAAAGTGAGAAGGAGAACTCACTACAAATGGTGAGTGAATGGCTAAGTTTTATTTGTTTTCTATAGTTGATGCCTTAGGAAGTTGAAACAAGAAACCTGTACACCAGTTAGATAATTAAAATGGCACATTGGCAGAAGATGGTTTCCCTCGTGTCTCATACATAGCATTTAGGAATGAAAGTGCTCAGCGTCCCAGTGGTTCTCCTTTTGAACTGGCTCATCCATTACTGGGGTAATGATTTTCCGTCTGGGCAACAGCAAAGCCAAAGGCCTATTACACAGGCAACATAAAGTTAAAAAGACATTATGAATAAAACGTTGGCTCATGCCGGCTTTTGCCAAGCCTTCTCCAGAGAAGATTGCCTGATGCCGACACGTGTTTATTACACTTAATAATGTTTACAGAATTCTTCTTTGAGCTCATTAGAGCTGTCAGATCAGAAGTAAATGTATTCCCCCCTCTGTTTATCTCTAAAGACTTCTCAGTCAATAAAGCAAGATGAATGACATCCAGGGCGCAGACAAGTACTCTTGAGCTTCGCAAACACTGCCAAGTTAAACCCTCAGCCAGGGTGGGCTCGTGGGTCTCAGGACTGAGGGAGCATGCATCTCATCAGCCACTTAGTTCTCTTGGCGGTGCTTCTCCAACTTTAATGTGCTTGGAATCTCCCTGAGAGCTTCATAAAATACACAATGCTAGGCCCCCTTCCCAGAGATTTTGGTTCACTAGATCTGGGTTAGGGCCCAGAAATTTGCATTTCTAGCAAGCCCCCAGGTGATGCTGATGCTGCAGGTGCATGTAACCCACTCAGAGTAGTCCTATTCTGGAGTTCATTTTCTTTTGTTGCGGAGGAGGGTGGCGGTACCCCTTGGCAACTTGGGACATCCTGGCTGGCCTGTGGCATGCATCAGCCACAGCGGTGAAGGCGGCAGGGGCAGCAACCAGAGCAGCAGCAGTGGCAGCAGTAGCAGGCGCGGCCGCCGCCGCCTCCGGCTCAGCTCACGCGGAAACCCCACTGGGCCGTCGTGGCTCCGCGCGGTTGCGGGCCAGCGTGGAGAGGCGGGACGTGGCGCCCGGGGGCGGGGCCTGGCGCCAGGGGGCGGGGCGCAGCGAGCCGGGCTCCCGCTGTCTGCTCTCAGCGGCGGCGGCAGGGGCTGAGGGCACAGCCAGCGGGCGGCGCGCCGCGGACTCCAAGGCAGCCCGCCAAAAGGTAAAGCCAGGAGAGCGCGCTGGCGGGTCTTCCTGTTGGGTGGCTGCTGTCCAAGCCCCTAGCGTCCCCGGAGCCCCAAGCTGGGTCTGGAAGACCAGGGCATTTGCATGGCATCCAGGGACCGGCTGCCTAGCAGGGATTTTGCGTGTACCGCGGCGGGGCCGGGGGCTGGGGGTTGGGGGGTCTGCAGCGGGAGCCCGCGACCGATCCCAGGACATCTGGACTCGCGGACAACTTTGCGCAGCAGTCCTCTTCCAAGTTCCCTTTATTGCTATTGTCTTAGCGCCTGTCTGACAGTCTCCCCGGACTCCAGCTTTGTTCTCATTAGGCCAAACCCGCCCTCCCCAGGGGCGTGAACCCAGGAGTCGCTGGCAAGTTGCACCTGCCAGCCGGATCCGCCCCGGCTCCCTTCGCGTCCCTGCCGGGTCCAGCGCTGTCCTGCGCACCTTAGGGCTGGGCACGGCGAAACCTGGCGCCCTTGGGAGCAGAGGTTCTCGCTCCATTCCCCTGTGGGGATCTAAGCTCCAGGCCGGGGTGTCGGACCTCTGGGTTGCAGCATGCTTTGGGGCCGAAGAAAGGGCGAGAAAAAGTTTGAGCATTGGCTGGGCCTAGGGAGCGGGTAGCGCCAGGCTGCACATGGCAGGAGTTGGAGAAGAGTACTAGGGGCTTGGCGCCGGACACAGGGACGCGGCCAGGGACCGAGCCCTGGAGGCTGAGGCTCTAAGCCTGGACTGTCAGCCGCGAAGGGGTTCTTGCTGTGTGCGCGCTTTGGCAGGAAGAGGCTGTGTGTGATTGTAGAGACGATGGGCGGAAAAACAGAGAAGAGAGAGGTACTTGGAATCTATGTAATTGCAGTGTGCCCCAGTGTGCACTTTTCTCCCTCCAGATATTTTGAAAAAGGTGTGCACGCCGATGTCTTGTAGGTGGACTCCCGGAGGTGGGGGTGGGGGTGGGTACGAGGGATAAGTTTTACCTAGAGCTAGAGCTGGCGTTGAAAGTGAACAGGTGACAGAAGACGTGTGTGTGTGTGTGTGTGTGTACGTGCGCGCGCGCCGTGGCTAAGGATGCTCGGGTGCTGGACCGCCCGCTGTGCCTCCACACCCCTCCGCCCCGCCCCCTTCCAGCTCTCAGCGCGGGGTGAGTTTCCCTGACACTCCCCGCCGGAGGCAAGCAGGCAGAGGCGAAGTGATGGTCGCGGAGTGGAACAGACAAAAGGGTGCATTTGGACGACCCTTCCAGGACCAGGCGGCCAGAGTGTGGGGTGTGTGTGTGTGTGTGTGTCTGTCCGTCTGTCTATCTGGAGGGGGTCCCTGTCCTGCCAGTTATGGAGGGACCACTGAGAGAAGAGGAAAGAGGTAGGAGCGGGAGAAAGACAGGTGAGGCGGAGCGGAGGATAAGAAACCGAATGGGAGAGAGTCGAGAGCCGAGATTTAAAAGCATCTTGCCTAATTGGACGCAGATTTATAAATTAATTTTTAAAAGAGGTGCTAGAAGTAGGAGAAGAAGAAGAAAAGAGCCCTGAAGCTAAAATTTTACAGGATGGGGGTGCAATAAGTTTGATTATTTAATAAAGGTATCTTATCGAGCCATGTTAAAGTAAGTCTAAAACCCTCTCTGAAGTTTATTGCTGGTTTTAGATAGCCTCCTTTGACACATCTTTGCAGCACCTACTCCAGAAGTACCTTTTGACAGTCAGAAAGAAGTAAAAGGCATATATACACAAATAAAATGCAGCTAAATGAAGTTTAAATGAAGCTTTGAGCCGGATTAAATGGCTTGTGTAACTGCTGAATGTTGCTAAAGTACTGTCAGGGCTATAAAATAGCCAGACAAAAATAAAGCAAAAAATAATTGTAACAAGAAAATGAAGGCTTTACAAGAACTTCAGTAATGAACACATAACAATTGATGGTATGATGCAGTAATTATTTTCGTATTTACGCCATTAACGATTGTAATTTAACGTTAATGTCCTGGTATTTTATTCCTTCTCATTTGCAGACAAAAGCACATCTGAGACGCCATCAGGGAGTAATTTGGTAATATAAAGTCATGAATAGAAAACACTAAACCATGCTCAGAACTCTGACAACAGAAAGCGTGAAACAAAATAACCTCATTTGCTGTTTATTATCTGTCTTTATAATTCTGTTTACCATCATTTGCATAAATGAATAGCTAAATTGTATAGTATATTCCTTCTTGGACAAAAAAAAATACATGATGCTTATAGATATGGTGGGGGGGAACTAGTAGGTAATTCTTACCTAAAGCATGAAGGAAAAAAAAAAACTGTGGGGTTAGAAACTGTTGCAAATAATCAGAATGCAAATTTAACCTACTTTAGGCATCCTTATTTTATTTAACTTGGCTCAGGTAGCTTTAACAATATATACGTAATTAGGAGATGGACAGACCCTAAACTTCTTTGCTAGCAAATCATAACAAAACTAAATTGAAGAGCTACACATTGTGTGATGAAGCAGTTTTGTTAATCTGAATAACTATTTTTTTCTGTTCAGACTTTCAAAGGTTAAATTTTCTGAAAGTGAGAAGGAAGGAGTTTATTGGAAGAAGTTCAAAACAAAATTATTTCAGCAGAAACTTAAGTTATTAACATCTTAAGACAATCATCAGAGTTCACACATTTTAAAAGTATTGTGCATTGTTTTAACCTTAGGGACATTTGTGAAAACTTCTTTACTCATATGATAAAGGGAAAAAATAATAACTGCTTTAAAAAGGCTCTAAAGTAAAATGCCAGCAAAACAGCTGAGCAAAACATGTGGTTAAGAAGGATCAATCAAGCATATGAATGTTTAAAAATATCTATTTATTATTACCAGGCTCATAAAATATCACAGTGATTGAATATCCCTTTTCCTTCCCATACAAATATGCTGATCTCATGTGGAACAGCACAGTGAAATCAGTATTACCTGAGAATAGATTCCATGTGAGAATAAGGACTTTGTATATATTTCAAGTACAGAGAAAAAAAATTTTTAAGTGGGAAGCAAGCTGTTCATTACAGTGGAGCCTGGTGACTGTGTAAGATTGGGGTAAGTTCTTAGCAGTTAGTTGGCTACAAACTTATTTGTTTATTCATTTATGCAACATGCATTTTTTAAGTACCCATTATTAATGACCAGATATTGTACTATGTATTGGGGATTCAAGGATGAGTTAGACTCATCCCCTGTATTTAGAAAAAATTGAGTCCCAATATATATATATATATATATATAATGTCAATTAAAAATGAAATTCTTAAAATGAGAAAACAGTTATGTGGGAAAATAAATGCAATAACATATGAGAAGTGTCCACCTATCCTAGAACTTGGGAATGAAATAGGCTAGACTCAACTTTCAGCTCTTTTTCTTACTAGTTACGAGAACCTGATCCAGTTATTTAACCTCTCTGAACCTCAGTTTTCTCATCTGATAAATGAGAGAAATAACACTTCCCTAAATCATGGAGTTGTTACAACAATTACATGTCAACATATTTTTAATGTCTTCTATGTTTAAAACAAACTCTGGATCCCATACTTCTCAGCATCCCTTACCTCATTTCTTTTCTCCGTGTCATTGTCAAACTTCTGGTGAGGCTTGTCTGCACATGTTAATCTCCACATGCTAATCTCCACCTCCTCTCTACCTTACTGTCTGTCCTCCTCCAGTGTGGCTTCTGCCTCCACCGCTTATGAAAACAACTTCTCTTGACGTCAGCAGTGACTACTGAGCAGCGATCTGCACTCTTACTCAACTTCTTGAAGCATTGGACAGAGCTGACTCGTCCCTTTTCTGTCATAAGGTATATTCTGTTGGCATCTTTCAGTGACTTTGGTGGCTTCTATGAGACTGTATGCCTTTAATTCTCCTCTTTAGGGTTTATTATTTCCCAGCTGGCTCCACTTTCATGATCTCATCTCTAAATAAAGCTTGGATCTTACCAACACTAGGGCTATATTCTGGCCCATCTTTTTTATATTGCCTTCCTCTTCCCTCCCCAGCTTCCGCTTTAGGTAATATCTTTCATTCTCATGGTTTTAAGTCTTATCCATACAACAATTCAATTTATGTCTCTAATCCATTCCTGGCCTCTGAGCTTCAGCAACATCTATTCAATTGCCCACTTAACGTCTCCATTTGGATGTTTCCCAAGCATATCTAACATTTTACACACAAAATTAAAGGTTATATTATCACTACAAACAACCTCCTAAAATTATTCTCTTTAGTCTTCCTCATTTGGGGAAATGACAGTACCATACTAATTGTTCAGTTCAGAAACTTAGATTTATTCCTTTGCCTCAATTATTTCTTAATTCATCATGTACATTGTGTCCAAGGTAGGCATGTGCCTGATACCCACAGGTAGACCTGCCAGTATTGGTGGATTATAGTCTGCATTTGTTCTGATTGGCCAGTGCTCTAGCCATACCAGTTGATAAGTATTTTGGACTAATACCCCTGCTCATATCTCACCTTTGTTCACCTCTATCATAACCCCTAGTGTCCAGGCCGATATCACCTTTCACCTATTATTTTTGTCCTGACATGATAGATGTGTGTGACTAGTATCACTATTTAAAGATAAACTGATTTGCTATATTTTGCAGATTATATAAGTTTCACACAATCTAATGTTAGGAGGTTGAACATCAATTAAGAAAGAGCTTATACCTTTCATGGTAACTCACCAATTCAATACTAAGAGGTTGGATATGTTCCAAGGTAGAAGTCCTTTGTGAGCTGAGAAATATGCTTGGTGGATCCCACGCTAAAGCGACAGATTATGGAATTTCACTTTTGCCAAATTTGGAACACAGTACTATGTTTGATTGTTAATTTTAGGAAAATGAAATCAGATTAATTTCTACCACTAAAAAAGAGCAAATTTAAATAATCATAATCTTGAATAGCCTGTTTTTTTCTCTTGGCCAGCACAGTACATATAATAAAAAACCTAGAAATACATTTAAGAGACTGAGAATCAAGCATGTTCAATGTTGTATACAGATTTTTTTGACAAAAAATAAAAATGAAAGCAAAATATTTGAGTGAGAAGTATCATCAATGTCAACCCCAGAACTGTTGTAGCAGGCTTCCCCTCTTTCACTAGGAAGCCACTGTTCTGAGCATAACCGGCATCCTTGAGTTCACTTCACTTTGTATGTGGTACATCTGAGACGTGGAAGGTTTTACCTCTCTCAAAAGAGCAGTGATGACGTCAATGTAATCATGTAAACAAGAGTCAAGTGATCATTCAGTGGTATCATTGGACTCGAAGGTCAAGAAAAATCTAAGTCTCAATTTTCTAGGGATAGAAGCAGTTTTATTCACAAAAGAGTAACAGGACTGCAAGAAGAATTTGTTCAATTGTAAGCCCACTTTATATTCTCTGTTAGTCTTTTTGTGCTGATCCTGGCTTTTGCTTTTGCATTGCTCTGGGCTGTAGAACCAGTCTCATAGTAACTTTCCCTTTTCCTTTTATTTCTTCCTTTCCTTTTTCCTTTTTTTCCCCTATTTATTTCTTTCATCGTCTTCAGTTCTTCCTTTTTCTTTCTTCACTTTCTGCTGTGCCTTTCCATTCTCTCTTCCCTTCTTCTGTCCCTTATCCTTTTAAATTGTCTTTCTTCATCACTCTTATATAAGCAAAAACAAACAAAATAAAAATATATGTGTGAGTTTTGCCCTGGCTGTTTCCACCATTATCGGATTTAATCTACAGCATTGCTTTTGCCTTTTGTACTTGGTGGTCTTTGCATTCATCATGTCAAACTTATATCAAGAAGTTTAAACTCTTGTCTCAGTTTCACCTATGCCAATAAGTAAACATAGAAAAGATGGAAGAAAGAGAACTGATGAAATGTGTCTGTGGATCCATGCTACCATGCTCTAGAATGCCCCTTTTCCAATACTGTTGTTTTTACAAGCAGGTGGCAGAAAGGTAGCAAGCCAAGCAAATAACTTCCTGAATTCAGGTACCATTTTGGAAGATTCATGTCCATCTTCACAGGGATGGTGAAAATTAGAGTAATGGCTTTTAAATGATGATTACTAATATTGATTGAGTGCTCTGTATGTGCCAGACTCTGTACTAAAAGTTCGGCACATGTTATTGCATTTATTACTCACACCCAGTAGGCTAATATTATAGGGTAAAGAAACAGCCTTAACAAGGTTAAATGACTGGAACAAAGGTTGCAGAACCAAAAGCATGGGAGTGGCAATTCAGATCCTCTTAACTGCTGTTCTTTATTCTGTAGTCTGTAGTAGGGCACCTCCCCAGTAACAGCCAGGTTCTATATCTATGAATATATTCATAATGATAGAGCGCTGTCGAGATGCCCAGAAGCCACAGTATCTACATTAATATGGACACACCTCAAAGAAACAGTGGGTGGTGAAAGTTGCATTCATTGGCCCCGGGGGCCCAAGTTATATAGGTCAGTTGAGTCCATCTTAAGGTTAGATCCTTCACAAGAAAGCATGATAGAGGCAATTCACCACAGACTGTCTCTTCAACGTGGTTACTGGGGAAGCCTGAAAACAAGTGGGATTTTCAGTCTGGGATGACCTAAGCATCATGGGCTTTGGAAAAGACTTGAGTGGCTCTGCAAATGCTCTGTGTTCTCTTTCAGGACAATGCACTTTAACATTTTTAGGTAAGCATGGTATAGTTTGTCTTTTGAGAGAGTGAATGTGGATAATGCTAGATCTGAGCAGAAGAGAAATAAGATAGCATTGTGTAAAGGAAATGAACCTTGACCACCAAGGAATGAGCAAAGCAAAATCTCCTCTTTTGTGAATGGAGGCAATTGGAATTAGGTCTGTAATTATTTGCAGCAGCAATGTCCCAGGATCCTATACGTGGCAAGGGACTGGATATAAGAGAGGACAGCTGGCAATCAGTGCTGTGTGTCTTTTAAGAGTTTCAAATATGACTCCTGTTTTCTAGCAAAGTTTGTTCAAGAACCTAGTTTGAATTACATGAAAACACTGGCAGTCAAAAAACATGAGAGTATTCCAACAGCTTCATGACTGGAGATCCTGTTTCTACCCTTGCCTCACATAATAGCTACATTGGCCTTAATAAAATGTTAATCAGAATATGACATTTATTGTGTCAGCATCCTCCAAATGGCTTCCCATCTCACTCTTACTAGAAGCCCAAGACCTTACAGTGTCCTACCAAGCTCTTTATGATCTGGCCCCTGTTATCTCTCTGACCTCATCCTTGGCCTCCTTTGTTGAATAAATCAATAAATGAATGAGTAAATGATTCTTGAGCGAGACAGGGAATATCCAGGGTGCTCAATAGTGTTTGTTGAATAAATGCACAAGGAGAGGATTTACCGTTTTAATGAAGATACTTTGGAAAAATTCACGTTAGGAAAAAGAGGGACAGAAACAAATTAGAGAATGTGAATAACGGTAGTATATCGGAACTTCTGGATGCTGACCTAGATTTTTTATCATTTATATATGTATTTATTTCATAAGTATTTATTGAGCATCTACCAGTCTAAAGGTTGGATGTCCATCAATAAACAGGAAGGCAAATTCACCAGCCCCTTGGGGCTGACGTTCTGTTGGGAGACATATATCACAATAAATTAGACAAATAATATGATAATTTCAGATAGCAATATGTCCTATGAAGAAAACCTTATCATATAGTTTACCTCTTTGACCTTATCCATTGGCCTCCTTTGTTGAATGGATGAATGACTTGAGTTAGCCAAGTAATATCCAAGGTGGAGAATACTTTACTTGCAGATCCCACATCTTCCTGGTATTAAACCATGAATAATGTGGTCATCTGCAACTGGTAGAGATCACAGAGGTGAGTAAAGTTTAAACAGTCTTGTGTTGAATGAATATATAGTCTTGTCTTCTTTAAGATTTTTCCACTAGTGAAATAAGGCTTAGTACTAAAATATTGTTTGAAAAACAGAGTTTGACAAAGAAGATCCCAAATTGATGGCTTCTGTAAATGTGTTCTGCGTTTAATTTGAGAACTGTATTAAATGTTTCACTGTTACAATGACAATTGTGGTTTTCTTTTGATAATTTAATAAAGAAGTAAAACTTAGAGTAGATAGCTTTTTGCTTGCTTCACATATGAATATATTCAATGTTACAGTTAAAAGAGATAGTGCTGAAACATTTAAATTGAAGAGGTTCAGATTCTATGTGATTTTCACAGTACTCAGTTTATTTTCTCAGTACTGATTTTGGCCCTTTTATTTTCTCTTTGTGTTAATTTTGTTATGGCACAGATCGAAAACTAGTACAGGCTCTAAATCACCAGAATTGGCTTGGAAACATAAATGATTAATGACAAAGTCACACCAAAAAGGAAACAGTGATTGCTGTGAATGAAGCATTCTGAGGTTTTCTGATATTACTCATTAGGGTCACCAGTGGCCATGAAGCCTGTATTAGTTTTCTATCACTGCCTTAACACATTAACACAAAATTCGTGGCTGAAAACATCACACATTCACTATATCACCATTTCCGTAAGTCAGAAGTCCAGACAGGCTTACCAGGCCAAAAATCAAGGCATCAGCTACCCTGAACTTTTATGTAGAGGTTTAAGAGAAGATTTTGCCTTCAGATTTGTTCAAGTTGTTGGCAGAATTCAGTTCCATGTGGTTCTAAGACTAAAGTCCCTATTTCCTTGCTGGCTGTCCGCTGGGGATCATTCTCAACTTTTAGAGCCATTCTTTGGCTCTATCTTTCTTCAAAGTCAGCAACAGTGAGTCCTTGTACTTCCAATTTCTCTGACTTCCACTTTTCCTACATCTCTTCTACTTGCAGCCAGAGAAATTTCTCAGCTTTTTGAAGGCTTGTGTGATTAGATAATCCAGGATAATATCTCCTTTTTTAAGGTCAATTGATGAGTAACTTTAATTACATCTGCAAAATTTCTTTTGCCATGAAAGGTAACTTATTCACAGGAGCAATAGCAGAGTGACAGATAGCATGGCCAGAATTTTGCTTACCAGGGCCCATGAAGTCTACCTCTGATGATATGGTTGTCAACTGAGACAGACCAGAAAACCTAAAAACTATCAGACACTATAGCTTGACAAGTATATTGGAAAGCTATAAGCTTTTGGCAAAGGACAAAGCAATGATGTTCTAGTACATCCTGTAATAAAGCCACTGCAGAGTAAAGATAGCCATGGTATTAAACAAAACAGAAATAGTTTATTTAATTTTATGAGATGTGGCCTCCAAAAAGTAAGCTTAAATAAACAAAGAATACTTCATGTACTGGGATGGAACATTCAAATGCCTTCAGGAGTCAGGAGTCAAGAAGGGAGGTAGCAATAATATATGGCAATAGCAGTATGGATTAAGAACATGAAAGAGGGCAGCCCTAACTTAGCTCCAGGCACTTGTTTACTTTGGAGCAATTTCAGCCTAGTAATGACAAATTATATGAGGGTTTAGAAATCTGAATTTTTATGTGACTCTGGAAATCTGTGTAAAATCTCCAGGTTTTTTTTTTTTTAATGTCAACTAAATCAAAATTAAAAACAAAAGAAGCACCAAAACCTAATATATTATGGGATGAAATTTGGCTTGTGGGCTGCCGGTTAGCAATTTATGGTTTTAGTCATATGGACTAAAGTACATATTTGAGTAAAAAAGTATTTAATATGATAGAAAATACTCAATTTAGGAACTGGCATTGACAAAGATACTAATTTACTCCAATATAGTAAGACTAGGAAGTTCGTGGCTTCAGCTTTCAGAAGTAAAAGTGCATGCAACTTTAGTGGTCTACTTTTGTTAATCCATAGTAAAAAATATAAACAAAAAATAAGGAAGATACTGCTGCAGTGCTGTTCTTGAGTGTTTAACCTTATTTGAGTGCCTAGAATACCACTTTTTCTTGATTTATACTTTTTAGGTTTGGGTTTCCACAAGTAAAAGGGATAAGGATAAATTGTGATGAATTATCCACTGAATTTGAAAAAAATGGGAAGGAAGCCAGGCATGGTGGCTCATGCCTATGATCCCGACACTTTGGGCTGAGGTGAGAGGACTGCTTGAACCCAGGAGTTCGAGACCAGCCTGGGCAACACAGAGAAACCCTGTCTCTGAAAAAAAAAAAAAAATACAGAAGTTAGCTGGGTATGGCGGTGCACATCTGTGGTCCCAGCTACTTGGGAGGCTGAGGTGGGGGGATCTCTTGACCTCAGGGGCAGAGGTTGCAGTGAGCCGAGATGCCACTGCACTCCAGCCTAGGCTACGGACCAAGACGCTGTCTCAAAAAAAAAAAAAAAAGGGGGGGGGGGTGGGGGAAGAAACAGTTTGGGTAATTGAAGCACAAATCCAGATTGTCACAAAATTATACTCGTGTTTAGAACTAGGGAGAGAATATCCTTTTAAAATGCATACTAATTTAAAAATAATTTTAAAAGAATGAATCGAAGTGCATGAAGAGGCTCGAAAAATGTATCCTACAAATCGAGTTTAAGGTTCATAAGGTTTTAGAAAATGTCTCCAGCTGAGTGGGAGCAGGGGATTGGATGGTATCATAGCTGAGAGCACAGCTCTATGACTCAAACTAATGAGACTTTGAGTTAGGGCTCTACCACTCACCAGATAAATGACCTCCAGCAAGATTATTTCACTTTTCTGAGTGTAGGTTTTCTCACCTGCAGAATGATATAATTAGCACCTAATTCAGAGGTTGTTGTGAAGATTAAATGGATGATACTTTTAAAGCACTTAAGTATTACTGCTATGGTTCTTGTAACAAGATTCTAGATCTGGACACCTGGCATCTTATCAACCACCATCAATTCTTATGCTGTGGATTTAAAAATAACAGACTTGTAACTGCCTAGATGGGATCAATATTTATCTGTCACTTATTAAATGGAGCTGTGAAGGTATAAAGGCACAGAATAGTTAGAATTTGAATCAGTTGATCCTCCATTGCTTCTCTGTCTATTGCCCCCTTAGCTGAGGTGGATGGAGGGTTTTCCCCAGAAATGCCCAGCAAGGAATGATGGTTGCTGTGGGTTCGTAGTGACAGTTTTGGACTTGATGCCTAAGGACCTGATGCAAGTATTGCTTTCACAACATTCCAGCTAAACCATGTATATGGAAAAGATACATAAGTTCTCTGAGCTTTAGATTTCTTTTGTATGACATATAAAACCAAGTTTCCTAACTCATGGGCTTGAAAGGGTTGCCTGAAACAATGTATGTAAATGTCTTTTATAGCATTGGAATGTAAATGGTTAGTATTTGCTGTTGCCCCTACAGAACCATTTTCTTTAGTTAGGCATGAGTAAGAGTAAAAAAAAAAAAAAAAAAAAAAAAATGCAAAGATGACTTGGAGCACAAATGTAAAGATAACATTGAGCACAACCACTTCCAAATCACTTAATAAAAGTTTACTGGACATCTATCCTTTTCCAGATATACTAGATGTAGGGGCTAAAAACAAAAGAAACACACACACATAGCACCTAGCTTCTTGAAAGTTATGTTCTAGCTAGGAAGACAAATGCCACAATGCACTGTGATTCACATGCAATGAGGGGTTTTGCACAGTATTTTGGAGATCAATGGGGCAGTTGTGTGGAGAGAGAGTACAGAAAGACATCCTAATTGAAATATCATTAAAATATTTTTTGGCTGTAGATAAGTGTCCAGGAGATGCTGTAAAACACAAAAACCATCAATCAAAACCAAATGTTTCCCCATTTTCTTTCTTGAACTTTATTGTATACTCAATTCAACAATTCCATGGACGTTTTCCCATTTTTCCCACCTAAGGTGTTATCTCTAAAAATATTACATAAGATTTCAAAACCTAACTAGGAGAAAGGAGTTTACCTGCTATAGCTCCAGAAATAGTGTCAACATAGATCATACATACACAAACCCTGCTCTTCAGTCACAGCCCATGACCATGTGCTTGTAATTGGTCAGAATTGCTGCTTAGATGTAACCATTACTCAAACTGCTGCAGTGGATCAAGAAGTCCTTGTTCAATTTAGGATATTACAGACAGTGTGTTGCAGTTTTGAAATCCCATATATAGAAAAGTCATGTTGAGAATTCTGTTTCAACGGGGAAAAATGAAACCAAATTTATAGTAACTCCTGTATCAAAATTGAACACTATTCTGTCCATTTGATATTTTAGATTAGTAAAAAACAAGTAGACCAACAGAAGGCAAATTCATTACATAATTCTAATCCTAATAGTCTTTTAAAAATGTCTCTAATGTAATAACAAATAACAACTAATAAAACTGGTTTACTACTAATGAAATAATTAGCAAACATATTTCATAATTATAAGCAGCAGTTGTATATCTATGAAGAATAATAGATGTGCAAGGTTTAAAAATAGCATATACACACTGCACACATTTTAGAAATTATTATTTTACATTTATTAATGCTATTTAGTGAACTTTATATCCTTCATCTTAAATATAATTACATAGAACTAATAAAATTAAATATGAAAGAACCTATTGAGAAATGCTCTCTTTTTAGTTTTAATAATTAGAAGACAGAAAATATATTCCTGGACCCCTTTAATTGATGCAGTCTATTTACATGCTCCAAAGATCTAATGATGCATTAAGAATTCTCCATTTTTGTTGGTTCGATTTTCTATTGAGCAACATTCCTGAGAGTAATAGAATGAAGTAGGGAGGGAAAAGACTGAGAACTGCCCAAGACAGGCTACAGTTATGGAAATAAGCAAGTGACAGAAAATAATTCAGATTATTTTCATTTTTTGGGTTTTATCAGAGATTCATTGTCTTTAGATATAAAACATATAAACTATTCCATTATAAATTCAAAGCTATAGTTAGGTCAGCACATTAAAAACTACTTCAAAATGGAATTATTTTATCGTTTTGATTTCTTTATTTCCTTTATAGAAAAATAAATGCCAATTGGGCTGAAAATTATAGAGGATTATCTTCTCTCCTCATAAAGGTTAGTAATATGAATATGATTTTGTGAGGAATTTGATTTGAGGGTTGAGGGAGTGATCTTATTAGCACAAGACTCCCTTGGCCAATAATCTCATAACTATGGGATATATATTAAATCCTTTTCTATTTATATTCTTTGGCAGGCCGTTATTCATTTGTTATTGTGGAGATTTTGTTAAGTAATAGTCCTCTTGAGAAATCCTGGGTACTTTTTCGAGGTCACAATTTCCTATGAGCTTAAAGAGTGGGCCATATATCCTCTCTTCAGTTCAGAGCCCACTCTATACCCATTTTCTTTAACACATACTTTATTTGTAAGGTTTCTGACACTCCTTTCTTCCAAGAACTTAAGAGTGATATATCACTCTTTATTTTGTGAAGTCAAATTGATTAGAGGAAACAATAAACATAATTCTTTAACCATGAAACCCAATATATTTTGAATACTTGTCTGGGCCACATAACGATAGTCACATGTTCGTTCTCTGGAGACTGCCGGGCTGAGCCCATGGCTCCTGGTAAACAGTCCTCACAGTATTTCTTCTCAGACTGGAAGAGATCTCACCTTTGGCCTTTATTATCATTATTATTTCCTTTGCTCTGACATGACAGAAATCCATCACCTTCTTGATACTGATACCTGTTCACTGCTGTCAGATCATTACCACGAAGGGAAAACCAGTGAATACAGTATTTTTTTTAACATTCACCTAGAGGTTTTAATGATAACCATGCTTTAAAAATTGGATTAATTGGGCAATGCTGCTGAGCAGAGAATTCCATATTAGGTTTCACTGACTGTCAAGGGGCTATGTGACGGCAGCTCCCAATTCAAAATCTGGTGCTTCAAACCATCTCTTCCAGACAGGAACCAACTTAAATGGATGAAGAGACCCCTTAGGGAAGTAGATAAAACATTAATTTTAAAAGACAGGGAGACTTAATTTCAGATCTTATCTTTAATACTTACTAGCTGTGGGACCTCAGAAAAGGTACTTCATTGCCCTGAATTTACATTTTCTCACCTGTAAAAGAGATGTAACATCACCGACCTGTGAGAATTAGTTGAATTTACATAGACAAAGTACCTGGCACATTCTGGGTCCATTTTAAAGTGAGTTCCACACACTCATTTCCCTCATATAGATTTGAATCCAATATATATCTCCTGCCAGCCCACACACCATCAAACTAATATATCAGATCAGCAAGAAAATTAGACGAGCCTTTTACTACTCTAACTATGGTCCCCGATGAGCAGCATCAGCATCATTTGGGAGCCCATCAGGAATGCAGAACTAGGGCTCAACCCCAGACCTGCTGCACTGAAATCTGCAATTTAACAAGATACCCAGGTAATTCGTGTGCACAGCCAAGTTTGAGAAGCACTGAGATAGACCATGACATTTCTCCTATGACAAAGTCGATCAGCTGTGCTCTTGGTTGTCCATTCCTTTTCACCATTCTTTTGTTGTTTTGGTGATTTGAGGGTACACACACACACACACACACACACACACACACACACATTCTCTCGGCACTTGTACCTTGGTCAATGCATGCTCACTTGCACATACATCAATAGAACATCCCTCAGCCTAGGGCTTGGCACAAGTAGATCCTCAATAAATGTTTATTGAGTGAAATAAAACAGCCAACAGTCAGACAAGCAGACTCTCCCATCTGTTCTGCAGATGCACGGCAGCCCTAGAAGGGCCTGGAGGGAGATGGATGTGCTTGAGGTCTTTGCCAGGAGGCATTACCCTTGCCCAATGGGGAGGAGGGGTTTGCTCTCTGCCATTCTTGCCAGGAGATCTGCTGAGGTTCTGAAAGCTGTCACATGCGTGCAGCCAGAACAAAGGCCTGGGAGCACTTTTTTTTCTTTCTTTTCCCTGCCTGGCAAGGCTGGTGCCACAGTGCTTTGGGAACAGTTTTCTCTTGGTGATAGTCTTTCTTGCTCATAAAAGACAAAGAGTAGGTACAATGGCACTGCACCAGGATTATAATTTTCCCACGTCTGCAACTAACCTGTTAATGTCTCAAAATCTCTATCGGTTTCAAATTTCCAAGTTGTTGGTTCCCAGGCTGGCATACGATGTGACTGCAGTGGGAAAAAACTGGGGAGCAGATATTACCCAGAGAAAGATGAAATTGCTGGAGAGAACTTGCTGCCTTGAGGACTGTGAGAAACAAAACTGCAGGCCCTTGATGATTTGGGAAATGAATTGTACTGCATGACCTTGGGCAAATCAAATATGGCACTTCTTCAATCTATAAGATTGTGATAAATATATCTAAATGGAATTTTATCAACTTATACACAGAGTATATTTCAGTGAAGTTCATACCATTATTCTCTGGACCCCTGCGATCTGGAACCTGCTTCCCCAGGGAGTTAGCACTCTCACCCTCCTCTTTCTCCCTGCTCCCCAGGTCTGTCTTGGCAAAATTGTCAAGTCAGGTGACTTACTTTTGGAGCCATCCCACCTCACTTTCCAAGTCTGCTTTGGTCTTGGAAATATGGTGAAATCACAATGACCAACGTCTTCCTCTTCAGCAAACTCCTCTGTCCTTGCTGCAAAACATTTCTTCTTATTCTATTCAACAATCAAAGCTGTCATTTACCCATGATGGCCAATCCCACACAGGAGTTAGGAAAACAATCAGATTAATATCCATATAAGAATAAAATCTCCCCTAATCTATTAAGGATATTTTCCTCTTCTAACCTAGGTGGAATCATTATTCATGGGAATTTGCATTAGGAGTGACATATTTAAAATGGCATAAAGCAGATTTGTAGATAAAGGGGACATTGATCAATGGTTTGGCTAATACTAGCTATGGTATCAGATAAATACCCAATTTCAGTGGCTTAATAAAATTAAATGTGACGTGATATGTAGAAAGCAGTGCAATAATGGTATACCTCGACTAGGAAGGAGCAGTAGGTAAGAAGGATTATTCCACACAGTCATTCAGGGACCCAGGATAACAAAGGCTCAGCTGTCTTCCATGTGTGGTTTCCTAGGTTGCTCTGGGTATTGACATTCAGTTGGCAGATGGGGCAAGAGAGAGAGAGAATCATGCATGGGAGATTTTGATGGGGCATGTTTTCTCACATCCCATTGTCTAAATCTGAATCCTATGGCCATGTTTAACTGTAAAGGAGGCTGAGAAATGTAACCTATCCATGTGCCAGATTTGGCAATCATCTATCAGTCATTGCTACACTCATGTACAGGTGGGAACAGCCCTGTTTCTTTTTTCTGTTTCTCCTGCAGCTCCTTGGAAAGGTTTGACATTCCCTCCCCCACTTGAGAGTCAGTTCTCTGCAGCAGATAGCCCCCCTCCACCCACCTGAAGAACAAGAATAGAATCTTGGCATGCCACATTTTAACAGTTGCCAGCAATTAATCCAGAGTCGATTTCCTGTGTCTCACAAGGTTGTTGTGAGAATTAATGAATTATTTGGGGTGATTACCATCCCTTTGATCACTGTCTTTGTCCTGTGCTTTTACGGTTTACACTATGCAGGCACAGACTTACACAATACCTCTGCGAGAGGCAGAGTGCTTATTATTATTCCACTTACCACAGGAGGAGCTGAGATGCATGCAGGTTAAAAGACATTCTCCAGTGCAACAGGGTTACTCCTGTATGCAACACTCTGTTATTACATTATTTTTTAAGGTAGAGCTTTCTAGAAAGAAAAGGTAAGACAAAATTGGTGGTTTAACATCTTTTTCATTAATGTGCTGGCTCTGCAATCTGCCTGCTGGGTGATCTTAGGCAAGTTAATTAGCTACTCTGTGTCTCAAATTCCCTAATGTGTAAAATGGGACTAATCATAGTAGCTACCTCCTGGATTATTGTGTGGATTAAATAAGATAAGGAATGTTAAGTATTTAAGACAATATCTGGCACTTAACATGTGCTTCATAAATATTAGTTATTACCATTCTTTAAAAAAATTCCAGGAGAACTGGTATCCAGTTCAAGGACTTCAAAGAAGAAAATATCAGGATATGTGGCCTTATGTTATTGGCAACAGTGAAGTAGAGGTAGAAAATGTGACATCAGCATTATCTATTTGCAGAAGGGAATATGCTCTTCCTTAGTAAGCTAATCTGGCAGGAATCAAACTTTCCTATGAGGTATGGCCAACAAATTGCAGGAACTGTTGTGGAGGGCAGGGATTCCGAAGTATGTCTGCCTAGTACACAGGCTGCTGGCACTGGCTGTGTCCAGATGTCCCTAGTCTGAGAGTGGTGGCTTCCCCTGAGTGGCTGCTTCCCTGGAGAGAACAGAAGACCTTATGTTCCTTGAGCCAGGGCAAATGTTCCTTCACTGTCAGTGAGAGCACTTTCTAATCTTGGTGTTGAAAGTAACTTGCTTATTAACAATTAATCTGTGTACCTGTGTGGCAATGAACTTCCACCTATTCTATGGCCAAAATTGGAAAAAAAAAAAAAAGGAAGAGAAGAGCATGAAATTCAGATTTGCTCAATGAGAAGATTAAGCAGTTGTATTGATACACAGGATGCAGATTCAGCAAATTCGTAAGAGTGTCTTCTATATGAATACTTCTGAAAGGTTACTGTGCAAGCAAATCACCAGGAGATCTTGGTAAAATAGAGATCCTGACTCAACAGGTCTGGGATGGTGCCTGAGCTTCTGCTTCTACACTCACTTCCCTGTGTTTTGGATGCTGCTAATCTGGGACCACACCGAATCAGGTAGTCTGAGGGTGGGAACCAGCCGTCTGTGCTTTATAAGCCCTGCAAGTGTCTTTTGACATAGCTAAAGTCTGAGAACCATTGTTCAAGAGCAGCTGTCCCTGGCTTTGAAAGGTGTGATAATGTAACCAATCACACAGAATGACTCTAGGCCCCTGAAGAATGTCTCCTGGTCTTGTTTCCGCTCAGTTTCAAAATGCACTCCTTGGACTGGTATATTCTGGAGTGGAAGATTGGGTGTGGAGGAAGATTGTTCTTCAAAGTCTTAGTTTTCCATATGAATTCTTCCACCCTTGTTCTACTTTCCTTATGTGAAGACCACATAAAACCAGATGTGACTCCAAAGTAAACCGTAAACAGTGGGAAATTGTTTCAGGGCACAATAATCCCTAAGTGGCTCTTGAGTCTCAGTCTTCCATTTGAGAACTTCCTTTGGTTGTGGAATTGGGATAAAATAGGGTGACCAGCTGTCTGGATGTGTCTGAGATGAAGAGGTTTCTCACACTGCATGGGACTTGTGGTGCTCACACCAGGCCCTAGGTAGTTGGCCACCATAATTGTAGGCCATTGCTGCTCCAGCTTTAAAATGTGAATCACTTGGAAATCTTGTTAAAATACAAGCTAATTCAGTACTTCTAGGTTGGAGCTGCAGAGTCTGCATTTTCAACAAATACCCAAGTGATATTGCATTTCTTGGCTGTGGACCATACTTTGAGTAGCAAGGCAGTAGAGCTGGCCTATATGTGGAAAGACCAGGGGTGCCCCATAGCCACTTCAACTGTAAGTGGACTACTCATCCCTGACAAACTTAGAGAGCATTTTAGGGGCACACTCAATGCTTCAGGATTATGGGTTTTGCCTTCAAATATAAAGTATCAATACATCTCCACTCCTCTGTGCTGTAAGGCTTTTTAAATTTTTAAAATTGTTTTGAGACGGTCTTGTTCTGTGGCCCAGGCTGGAGTGCAGTGGCACAATCTCGGCTCATTGCAACCTCTGCCTCCTGAGCTCAAAGGATCCTCCCACCTCAACCTACCAAGTAGCTGAGACCACAGGCAAGCGCCACCTTGCGCAGCTAATTTTTGTATTTTTGGTAGAGACAGGGTTTTTGCCATGTTGCCCAGACTAGTCTTGAATTCCTGGGCTCAAGTGATCTGCATGCCTCGGCTTCCCAAAATGCTGGGATTACAGGTGTGATCCATGGCGCCTGGCCCTGTAAGGTTTTAAACACATCAAATCCAAATACTGTCTCTCTTTCTTTTTAACTGTTTTTTTAAATACAAAGATAGGTGACTGCTGTTGAGTCATGACTAGAGCATTCTTAAGCCTATTGACTTCTCAGTTCCTGCCTAAGTACTACTTAATGCTTTTCCTTGTTTGGGATGAGCATCTGCGAACAACCTGGGAAGTATTTATCATTTTTGGCCTTTTCTCTGCCTCACGAAGGGTACCTCTGTCCTTCAGTTTACAGCTGTGGCTGACCACAAGGTCTTTTGCTGTTTGCAATGCTTCTGCTTTTCAGCATAATGAGTTTTGCTTTATCCATAGCCCCTTTTACTAATTGCAACGTAGCAGCATATTCTATATCCCATCTGTTTCCATGATTGATTGTTTTTTACTTCACGATGTCCTAGAGAGTTACTTAAAGGAAAATTCAGGCCTTAGTGTGACCTTTCAGGCTGCTGTCATAAACTGTGTTTATATCTGGGTATGACTGTCTATGCCTTATGGCCACCCAAAGAAGAAATAATTTATTTGATGTTGATTATGGATTCCTCCTTACTACTCACTTTGGACAGCCTTGCACTAAATTTCATTGTCTTGCAACATCTACCTGTCTGCTTACACTTCCTTAACCAGCTGTTCTGGCTATAGTAGTCCACTGTTATCTGCAGGGGATACTTTCCAAGGCCCCCAGTGGATGCCTGAAATGGAGAATAGTCCCAAACTCTATATATATTATGTTTTTTCCTATACATACATGATAAAGTTTATGACGTTTAATTTATAAATTAAACACAGTAAGAGATTAATAAAAATAAGCAATTATAACAATATACTGTAAAAAAAAGTAAAGTAAATGTAGTCTCTCTCAAAATATGGCATTGTACTATAATTACCTGTTTTCAGACCATTGTTGCCCCTCAGTGAGGGAAACTGCAGATAAGGGGGGAGCTACTGTATATGCCGCGTGTGTTCATGGACAAAGTGAGAATGGCTGTGCCTGTGGCAGAGCTTAGTAATGGCTCTCAAGAAGCTGCTGGTTCCAGTTATTCTCGCTACTTATGTTCTATAAAGTCACCAAGATTGCTGCCTTAGCAAATATAGGGTTAGGTTCCTGTGAGCCTCTGGTTACAACATTTCCATCAATTAAGTGATATGTAACCTTGTTTTATGTGTGTTTCTGTTTAAAGACACCTTATTTAGTATACATTGATTAACATTGAGCTCACAGCCAATAGGACTGTAACTCACACCTGAGAGAAGCTTCTCAAATACAGGTATTTTCTCCATAAAGCACATCGCAGCATTCTTGAGCTTAGAAACACTAAACAACACTTCAGCATATGCTTGCAGGCCATTTTGAGCATACCTGTTTACCCATTCAACATCCATTATGGGAATGAGCTAAAAGATGTCAAATATCCTTGCAGGTGGAAATTCTGTGGTTTTGCATTTGATACTTGGCTTAGTGTAGATGGAGTTAGGGTGGTAGATGAGCTAAGAATAACTTCTCAGTTTTGAAACTTGGACTCAGAAAGTTTCATTGAAGCAGAGTTGTCTTTGTTTTGTGCTGGTATAACAATTAATAGTGGAGACTGAGTAATTTATAAAGCACAGACATTTCTCGCAGTTCTGAAGGCTGGGAAGTTCAAGACCAAGATGATTGCATTTGCTGAAGACCTCCTTTTATTTGTGTCCTTACCTGGAAGAAGGCTGAAGGGCAAGAGAGAGTGGATCCACTCCTGCAAGCCCTTTTTCTAGCAGCATTAATCCATTCATGTGGGTAGAACCCTCATGACCTAAACACATCCCCAAAGCCTTCACTTCCCAACACAGTTGCACTGGGGGTTAAGTTTCCACCACATGAATTTTCAGACCATAGCAACAGTCACCCATTTACTCATGTAGTCTCTAAGGCTGCTTTCACACTACCAAGGTAGAGCTGAGTAGTTGTGAGAGAGTTCCTACGGTCTGCAAAGCCTGAAATGTTTCCTGCTTGGAAATGACACATATCACTTTAGCTTACATTTCATTGGCCAAAGCAAGTCATATAGGCAATTCTGGGCTCAACAGGATGGGGATGTTAGATACTCCCACGAGGGCAGGAAGTAGATAAATGTGAACAATATTGCATTCTTCCTCTAAGGGATAACAGAGTCAAGAGATTTTGTTGTTTAATAGGGAGTGGCTTTAGCATGTTTGGGGGCAGAGGGAAGAAACCTATGCAGACAGAAGAGTAGGAAGTGCTTTCTGAATGATAAATGTTCCTTGCTATTACTCCTGATGGGGCAGGTTTTCAAGTGGGTAATGTGAGGTTCTGGGTCTTTGGGTTAGACCTGAGAGCCTGTGCTAAAGTTAATAACCTAGCGCATAGGAATCACCTGAGAGACTGTTCAAATGCAGATTCTGATCAGTAGGTCAAGGATGAGGCCTGAAATTCTGCATTTTTAACAAGCTTGCAGAGGATGCTGATGCTGCCAGTCTGTGGGCCATACTTTGAGGAGCAAGGAACTACATCAGCAGATATGCTAAAACAAAACAGGGAAGCAAGTACTCATTAGCAAACCTCCTGTGTCAAACAGGTCAAATAATGAATCCTAAGGGAATGAAGTTATCCTTTCTGAAATGTTGATCATTTCAAGCCAGTGTTTAGATTATCTCCAAGGCAGGGAAGAATTAGCTTAGAGAAAGCAGAATGGCCATTTAAATGACAAAGGGTAGATCAGATGAAGACATATTGGAGACAGGAGAGGGCATGGGTAGGTCAAGAGGTTGTGGCCAGGCCTGGTTTGGTGGCTCATGCCTGTAATCCCAGCACTTTGAGAGGGGGAGAATTGCTTGAGCTCAGGAGTTTGAGACCAGGCTGGGCAGCATGATGAGACCCTGCCTCTACAAAATATAAAAAGTTAGCTGGGCATGGTGGTGTGCACCTGTAGTCTCAGCTACCAGGGAGGCTGTAGTGGGAGAATGGCTTGATTCTGGGGAAGTCAAGGCTGCAGTGAGCTGTGATTATACCACTGCACTCCAGCCTAGGTGACAGAGTGAGACTTTGTCTCAAAAAAAAAAAAAAAAGGAAATTGTGGCCCGATTAGGTGATAAGTTAAAGATTTTCAGCTGATGCGGTTCCGTCCAGTGACTTTGGCTGCCATTCTGCCAACAGCCTATCCCTAATGCAATACATGCTAGATGAAACATCAATACTCTTCAATCACAGGCGGGACTCCAGAAACTGGCAATAAATGTTTTTTAAGCACTCAAACATGAATAGCAGTTGTCAGAATTTACATCTTTTGATGGTAGAAAATGATTTAGTAGAGTTAATAAAAACCATTCAGCATTTTCATTGCTATGAAGTATGTTTCATTTGAGCTTTGATTGTCATAAATATCTTGCTGGTTAAATCCTGAGTCAAAACTACAGCTTTGGGATTTGACATGTTAAGAGAAAATTTTGAGATGAAATTGTTCATTAGAATTTCAGTATAGTTTCTTCAAAGGAAAATCTATAATCATCAGAAAGAACTGAATTTATTGTTTATTCCTCTTTTTAATGACATTAGTAGAAATATCTTGGCCATGAGTAGTAAGCGGAAGCCCATGCTTGTATTTCAAATATGTCTTGACTTTTGCATAAATAACTCTTGCATTTACGTTTTGTGGCATTGAATTCAGATTTTCCAACCTGCTTGCTGGAATTCCATGGGGAAATTTTAAGTTTTCTGAACCTAATTTTTTTGTTTATAAACTATAGATGATATCTCATTTTGTTAGTGATGGGTTAACAGTAATATATTTAAAAGACATTACATACAGCAGGCCTCCAATAAATGTTGGATGTATTTTTATATTTGCGGGACGAATCTGAAAGCACCATTTCGCACATTTCAACATTAAGAGTGAACCATATGTGGCTAAGTAAAAAAGATAGACAATAACAAATATTTGAGAGACTGTGGCTCCACACCGAACCCACCTAACAAATCAGAAACTCTGGAGGTCCAGTGATTGTGGAGTCACTGGAACCCTCATGCACTGCTGGTGGGATTACAAAATGATACAGCCACTTTGGAAAACAGTTTGGCATTTAAAAAAAGTTAAACATAGATTGACTTTATGACCCAGGATTTCTATTTCTAGGAATCTACCCAAGGAAAATGAAAATATGTCCACATAAAGGCTTGTACATAAATATTTATGGTAGCATTATTCATAATAGCCCAACAAAAAAAAATAAATGTCCACCGAATGGTGAATAAACAAATTGTGATATATCTATACAATTAATTGTTTGGCAACAAAAATGAATGAAGTACTGATATGTGCTGCAACATAGATGATCCTTAAAAACCATCTTCCTAACTGAAAGGATCCAGACATAAACGACAACAAATAGTGTGATTCCATTTATATGGAATTCTCAAAAAAGGCAAATCTACAGATAGAGAAAGTAAATTAGTGTTTGAGGCTGGTGGTGGGTAACTACAAATTGGCCCAGGGTTATTTTTTGGGGGGTTGTGGTGATGATGGAAATGTTCTAAAATTTGTGGTGACAGCTGCAGAACTCTAAATTTACTAAAAACCTTTGAACTGTACATTTTATGCTGGTGAATTGTATGGTATATAAACTATATCTCAATAATGCTGCTTTTAAAATAACGAACTGGCTGGGCACGGTGGCTCACGCCTGTAATCCCAGCACTTTGGGAGGCCGAGACGGGTGGATCATGAGGTCGGGGGATTGAGACCATTCTGGTTAACACGGTGAAACCCTGTCTTTACTAAAAAAAAAAAAAAAAATTAGCCAGGCATGGTGGCAGGCACCTGTAGTCCCAGCTACTGGGGAGGCTGAGGCAGGAGAATGGTGTGAACCCGGGAGGCGGAGCTTGCAGTGAGCCCAGATCGCGCCACTGCACTCCAGCCTGGGTGACAGAGTGAGACTCTATCTTAAAATAATAATAATAATAAAATAATGAACTGTATCTTTATAGATTTTGATTATTTCTATGTCAATTCTCACTGTTGTAAAATAAAGACAACTAGTGAAATACTTTTTACGGCTATCTAAAATGTGTTGGGTTCTTTGAGCCATCGTGAATGCTTCAGCTTTTTCAGTTCAGTAGAGAAGACTCTGGTTTTCAGAACAGCAAGCTTTACCCTGAAACTAATAGCCTGCAGGCACCAGCAGAGGATACTAACATCTGAACACAATAGAAAGTCCAGTCAAATGTTAAATGCAAATCAATAACACTGGCTGATGATTCCACATGAGTAAAAAGAGATTTGTAAGATGGAGTGTCTTCACTTTAGCCATTAAACTTCTCATTCACCCGTTCTTCATTAAATGCCTGTCTTAAACAGGGCCATTGAATCTAAGATATCAGACATGTTTGAATTATGGAGATCAACTGCTTCATTGTTGGCTTTGGGCACAGGATAAAAGGAATTGAATTTAATATTCCCCCAGAAAATGATGTAAGGAGAGGTAATTGGCAGCACCTGGAAGATACCATCTTAAAGTGGACAGCTGCCAGAGATGTGGTTATGGAAGTGCAAGTACATTCAAGACCCACCGATTCCCAATTATGTTACAATGCTAGAGACCTCACTCAAGGATCAGATTGAAGAACTAAGTGTGTGTGTGTGAATAAATTCTCTGGCCTTTTTGAAAATGGGAATTGTGTGACAGCTGGTTGTAGGGTCGTGTAGTTTCATCGTAAATAGAGAATGCAGAGACTTGCATTTGACAGTTTGTTTCTTTTGTACAGAGCTTACTGTGGGGATGTAATTTGAGCATCCCCTCAGGCAGATTGTTAGGCCTGCCAGGGCAAACATGCAAACTCTCCTTGGACTTCTTTGGTTGGTAGTAAATGAGCTGAGGGGTCAACAGGACTAGAAGGCATCTGAAATTTGCTGCTCAAACAACTCATGTTTCTCAATGTGTAATCCAAGAATCCTTGGTGTCAGAATCATCATGTGAGTGCATGGTGTAGTGGTGCTGTTATTAACAATTAGAAACTTGAGTGACTATACTGTACCACATTCTATTGCTGGGGAAAGGAGTAAAGAGACCATGATTCCTGCTTTGTGGAGCTTTCCTTCTGCAATTGTTTTCCAAGTGTTGGCCCTGGACCAATAGCATTTCCTTCACCTGGGTACTTAGTAGTAATGTAAATTTTCAGGCTCCACACTGAACCCACCTAACAAATCAGAAACTCTGGAGGTGCAATCTAATGATACGACTTTTAATAAGCCCTCCTCTTCTTGATGCATAGTAGCATTTAAGAAGCATTCATCTAGGACAGGGTTACTCAACTTCCTCACTACTGTCCTACGTATTGTAGGATATTTAGTAGCATTCCTGGCCCCTATTCTCAAGATGCCAGGTGGCTCCCCCACCCCAGCTGTACCAATAAAAAATGTCTCCAAATATTATGAAATGTTCCCTGGGGGCAAAATCATCCCTAGATGAGAACTAGTGCCTTATGGCAAGGCTGCTCAAAACGATCTGCTGACTGGCACCACTAGCACGACCTCAATCAAATCTCTGGGGCTGGAAAGGAGGAATCTGTGTTTTCAAAAGCACTTCTGGTAATTCTGATGCTGCTAAGGTTTGAGAATTACCATCCTAGCAGAGACAGGCAAGAAACCTTTAGATGTGTACATATAAGTAAATCACTCCAAGTGATGAGTATGCTACACGTCAGATTTGTAAGACGGAGTGTTTTCACTTTGTCCATTAAATTTCACATTTCAGAAGGACTGGGAAGATAGGAAAGAAGGTCAGGGTGCTCTGTGGGAAGGCTGTTAATTTTAAATAATGTGGTCATAGAAGGTCTCACTGAGAAGGTGATCTGAGACAGAAGAAAGTGAAGCAGTAAGTCAGATAAGAGGAAGAATACTTTGGACATAGAAAAGGAAAAACAGCAAAGGTCCTGGGGCAAGTGTATGTCTGGTGGGTTCAGAGGGCAGTGAGTAGGCCACAGCAATACAATAGAAAGGCATGGCAGGAAAATAGTTGGAAAAGAAATGAAAAATAATGAATTAACTTACCTCGTTGCAGACTTGACTTCTGTATGTACTGGCTATGTGTCTTTTAGTATATGCTGTGATCTTTTTGGACCTCAGCTTTCCTTTGTATACCTGTTCCCTGTAGGCCTTCTCTGAGAAATAAACATGATCAAAGGATAAACTTTTGAGAGGGAATATAGTACATATTTAAATTCTAAACTTCCAGCACTTAGCACATTACATTGATCATAAGACATAATCAATACATGTTATATGGATTGTTTAAAAAAATTTGAACAGAAAAATCACGACCTACCACAGCAGATTTTCGGTCTCAGCCTTCCAGATGGAAACTGGAAATCTGCATTTTTTTTTTTTTTTTTTTTTGAGACAGAGTCACTCTCTGTCGCCCAGGCTGGATGGAGTGCAGTGGCACGATCTTGGCTCACTGCAAGCTCCGCGTCCCGGGTTCATGCCATTCTCCTGCCTCAGCCTCCCGAGTAGCTGGGACTACAGGCCCCCACCACCACGCCCAGCTAATTTTTGTATTTTTGGTAGAGATGGGGTTTCACTGTGTTAGCCAGGATGGTCTCAATCTCCTGACCTTGTGATCCGCCCGCCTCGGCCTCCCAAAGTGCTGGGATTACAGGCGTGAACCACTGCGCCTGGCCTGAAATCTGCATTTACAACAAGTTTTCCTAGGTGACTCTTGAATATATACAATATTTTGAGTATCTTCATTCTTCTCATATAAATGTACCATGATCCCTTTAAAATTATTTGAAATGCCCTAGCAGTGGAATTTTGCAGGGATAAAAATTCATCCATGAGGCTCTAAGACCTTCCCCCAAATGAGCCAGGTTTTAGACCTACCATGGCATGCTTGGGGATTATAGTGAGGGTTTTGTCACTTTGTGGCGAGGCTTCCTGGATTGAATATTCAGGGGACTCCTCAGAGGAAGCCAATCAATAGTATTAAGGACTAGAAACATGTCCTGACCCACTGCATGATAAAAGTAACTCTGAGGTAGATATGGTATTATGTCCACCATGGTTATGTTGAAATTAAAGTTATCCAAGGCAAAAGATTCCTTATACTGTACCTGACTATCTATCTAAGTTTTCTTTTGCTTTGCACTCAACACCTCTCTCCTGATTCGTTGACTTATGTCGTTATGCTTTGGTAACTAAATAACCTTGAACTTCTGTAGCTTCTACCCTCCTAAATGTTCGGTGTTTGGGGCCATTTTCAGTCCTTAAAAATAAACCATTCCTCAACATGTTACTCTCTGGTTATTTTGCTCAACCTTATTTGCCTTGGGGAACCAAAAAGATTAAATCTTACCAGGTCTTGAAGTTACAACAATTTGAACTGCTAGATTTTTCTGCCTTAATTTCCCCTCTGTGAGTTCAAGAGGTCAGACATAGTCTGAGGCAATACTTAAGGAGTCTGTATCTCGAAAAAGCAATTGGATTAAGTTGCTTGAATCTGTCTCCTCTTTTCACATTGAAATGATGGGGGCAGGGGGATGGAGGAGTGTCAAGATGAGCTTTCAATTGATTTATTTGGTAGAGAAAATGCACCAAAGCTGAAGAGAAAATGCCTTCTCATTATTGAGTTGCTAAGCTGCACCTGATAGTTCACGTTGTGGTCCATGACTGGAGCTGGAAGCACCAAAAGTTTTTATTCATTTAATTCACTAATAAATTAATTACACTCATCAGTAAGATTCATACACAAGCAATCTAAAGAAGTTAAAAAAAATCAAGGATGTTGCCATTTATACTGAACTGGACTATCATTCTTTTTAAAATTTCTCCTTACAGTCCCTTGCAACATTTATACTTCACACCTCTCATTCCTCAGATGGGAGAACTGAGAGTCCTAACGGTTCTGGAGTCTGTTCCAAAGTTTTTAAGTATTTCTGTCTTCCAAGATTAGGTGCAACACGCTCACTAAACTTTTCCTCCACTGCTCGTTCACCCAGAAACATTTTGAATTAAAGATGTTTCTAGGGTCGTCAGATAAAATTCAGAATGCCTAGCTAAATTTGAATTTTTGATACACAACAAATATATTTTTTAGCATAATTATGTCCCCAATACAAATATGTCTCAAATATTACATGGTAGATACACGTATACTAAAGATGTATTTGCTCTTTACCTGAAATTCAAATTCAACTCAGCATCCCGTATTTTTACTTGTAAATTCTGCCAACACTAGTTACTCCTCTTTAACTAATGCTGTTTCGACTTCAGTGCAGTAGCTCACACCAGTAATCCCACCACTTTGGGAGACCAAGGCGGGTGGATCATTGAGCGTAGGAGTTCAAGACCAGGCTGGGGAACATAGTGAGACCCCTGTCTCTACAAAAAAAACAAAACAAAACAAAAAATAGCTTGAAGTGGTGGCATGTGCCTGTGGTTCCAGCTACTTGGGAGGCTGAGATGGAAGGATAGCCTGAACCCAGGAGTTTGAAGTCACAGTGAGCTGTTATTATGCCACTGCACTCCAGCTTGAGCAACAGAGCAGCAAGTTCCTGTCTCCCCGCCCCTCAACCAAAAAGGAATATTTTGTTGTAATGGTTAAACTTTAATCAAAGAGGATCTCTGAGGCAAGTTATTTAGCTTCCCTAGCAGGAGGAAATTAAGAAAACTAAATTATATTCTTTGAATAAAAGACAATTTAGAACCTAAGACTTTGCTTTCTTAAAAAATGTTAGGATTAGAAACTATTGTCATATTTCCCTAAAATTGCTGACGTAGTAATTGGAGGTGTCTCTCAGTAGACCCTAGAACTTATTTTATTATGTAAAAAGTGATGAAACCAAGAAGATTACAACATGTTTTTTTTTTCTTCTTATAAATCTTCACAGGCCTGAATTATAGCAGAACTTTTATCCAATCTACTTTTAATTTGCTATTGGGTCAAAGGTCCATGCTAGTGGGATGGGCACTATAATTAACGATTGCCACCTGTGTGAATTCTTTTGCATTTAAAGCACGTAAGCCCACCCCTGAGCCCAGTTAATATGAAGCACTGAACCAAGATGGCTGTACCCTATCGTGTGATTCCCTCCTTGTGAACGGGTACAGCTTCAGTGAAGAAGTTTCAGTTTGGCTTAAGATTTAGCAAAAGAACTTGGTAGTCTCCTCATTTCAAGACGGTTAACTATGTCACGTCATGGAAAGGAGGTATTGTGAAGAAGCAGGCAAAGATTTTGAATAATCTAATTTCTTTTTCTGCATTGTGATGTTTAAGACTGCTAAATGAAAACCATTGTTTTTGCAGAATCCTGAACATCATCATAAAAAGACAGTCACCAGTCCTGCTCATCTGGAGGACTGTTCTCACAATCTTCAGCAAGGAGGTACGTTCAGGTTTAGTCCTTTTAAGTTCTCTAATACTTTTTGGGAGGCCGAGGCAGGTGGATCATTTGAGGTTAGGAGTTCGAGACCAGCCTGGCCAACATGGTATAACCCCGTCCCTATTAAAAATACAAAAATTAGCCGGGCATGGTGGCACTTGCCTGTAGTCCCAGCTACTCGGGAGGTTGAGGCAGAAGAATCGCTTGAACTGGGGAGGTGGAGGTTGCGGTGAGCTGAGATCCTGCCACTGCACTTCAGCCTGGATGACAGAGCAAGACTCTGTCTCAAAAAAAAAAAAAAAAAAAAAGAAAAAAAAAAAGTTCCTTAATACTCTTATTAGAAGCTATGGTCAGTAATTCTCTTTGTATTTAGCCCTACCTGGTTTTTAGAATGCTTACTCCAGTTAATCAGTTCAACTCAAGGCAGCAGTTTCTTGCCAGGAAGAGCGGAGAGAAAAGAATTGAGCTGATGTCTTTCTCTATATTGCAATATCTCTTGAAACAAGGTGGTTCTGGGAGCTTGAGGGTTTTGCTTTTCTTTGAGGTTGGGGAGAGAGTTGTGACTGAGAAAGTGGGAATGGATTCAGGGGGTGGAACTTCGTTTTACAGCCATGTGATGAAATGTGAAGTAAGTTTTTAGTACAACTCTCATGTAGGTGTAACAAATAGTTAAGCATTAGAATGCCTTCAGGTGCCACGTTATTGTACTCACCTGGAAGTTAAACAGACTCTTCTAAAGCAGCTCTCTTGCTTTAGAAGGTTTTGGTCTCAAACCTCTGTATTCTGGTGTTTCTAAATGTGGTAATCTTTCTGGTTTAGTATGTTTCACAAAATCCCAGACTCAACCAATATAATCAGTATGCTTTGCTTAGTCATTAAGGTTTTCCAGGGTAAAATATGCAAAGATATTAAAATCTGAATTGTAAGTTTTATATACTTTGGGGACTTGGAAGTTTATATCATACGTCTGCAAACATTTTCTGTAAAGGACTAGACAGTAAATATTTTAGGCTTTTTGTGGGCCATATGGTCTGTCACATGACTCAATTCTGCCATTGTAGCAATAAAGCAGCCCTGGATAAGATGCAAAGGAGTATGGTATGTTCCAATAAAACTTTATTTGTAGACACTGAAATTTAAATTCTATATTATTCTCAGGTGTTGTAAAATATATTTTCCTTGCAATTTCTTTTCCATCTCAAAGGTTGGGAATAAAAACAAAAAAAAATGGGTGGAAGGATGGATTTGGTCTACAGTTTGTAGTTTGCTGACCTACCTTTACATCAATAAAACAAGTCAAGTTCTGTGAACCTCCACTTGGTTTGTGATGCTGCCAGGATCTTGTATTATGTTCATGTTAAACTAATCATTTCCCAAAATGAACGGGGCCCATGTCAGAGGGGTTAGTGCCTCTTGGGGGTAGGCATCATATCTTTAGCTGCCCATTGTGGAAAAAGGGAGCAGTGGCAAATATTGAAGTCACCTGGCGCATCTTGGGTGTTGATTCTGATTGTTCTAGGAATAAACCTTTTGCATTTGGGACATTCTGCCTTCCCAGCCAGTAACCTCCCAACCTTTCTCACCTCCTCTCAGCCTTCTTTTAGTTCTTCAGCCAGTTAACAGGACATGAGAGAGTTGTCAGCTTGGTTGCTGCTTTTCAGCAGGTCATTTGGCAGAAGGTTTCTTTACATTCTGCTTTTATTGCTTCTCTGTGATTAAAGGGGTTCCTTTCAAACACACGGCAAGAGTTGTTTGACCATAGCTATTCCTCAGTGTAGGCAAACTCAAGTATAGAAAACAAACAAACCCATCCACTGCTGCTCCCTCTTACTCTCTATACACACATAAATAAATAATTTGAGGCATGCTGATTGAAGAAAAAAACCCTTTACAGAAGAGAGCATTGCATGCAGTCTTTAAATTTCTTCTAAATCATTGCAAGCTTTTTCTAAATAGAATACCCCCTAAGTATGTTGAAATTGAGACTATTTAAAAAGGAAAGCATAACTTGTGTCAGGTGATAATGTGCTGTGTGACATTAGGTACAGAGAGGTGAAGTAACTTATCTGAGTCACTTTCTAAAAAGAGGAATTGAACTACATGAACTCAAGGGGCTTCTTGTATACTAATGACTTAGTATACAAGTAAACTTGCTACTCAGGTTTGTTTGCTAGGAGCAATAGACTATACCATGTAGCCTAGGTTCGTATATTTTGTGAAACTCACACAATGACAAAATCACCTATTGATGCATTTCTCAGAAGGTATCCCCATCATTAAGGGATACATGACTGTCTTATATTTGGCAAATATAGTTGACCACTGAGGGTTTTCACTTGTGAATTCAGCCACCACCAATGGAAAACATTTGGTGGGGGCAGGAAGTATCTGTACTGAATGTATATAGGCTTTTCCGGTCATTATTCCCTAAATAGTATAGTATAACTACTATTTACATGGCATTACATTGTATTAGGTATAAGTAATCTAGAGCTGACTTAAAGTATATGGGGAAATGTACATAGATTATATGCAAATACTATGTCATTTTATAAAGAGACTTAGCATCATGAATTTTGGTATCTTCGGGGAGCCCTGAATCAGTCCTCTATGGTACCAAAGGACAGCTGTGTTTATTTCATACCTTCGTTAATACAGAGAGGTGGTTCCCAAATGTCTTAGTGTAAGAACACTTTCATATTCCTAGAAAAAAATAATCAAGGACCTCAAAGATCTATGTATACAGTTATGCCTATTGATATTTACCATATTAGGAACTAAGAGAATGATTTACTGATTTATTAAAATAATAAACTTATCCTTGTTAACAGAAATAACTTGTTATAAAAAAAAAAAAAAAAAAAAACCTTTCCTGAAGCAAAAAAGTTAATGAGAAGCGTGGAAGATTTCCCCCACAGTTCTGTAGGTCTTTCTAGTGTCTGGCTTAATAGGTAGTTGGGTTCACGTATCTGCTTCTGCATTCAAGCTGCAGTGATATCACACGTCATGTAGCCTCTGGAAAACTGCACTGTAACTGATGAAAGGATGAGCGTGAAAAAGACAAGTGACATTTTAGTGTTACTAGCAAAGTAGCTTTGACTTGTTGGATGCCCTGCAGGGACCACCAGGGCTCCCTGGATCACAGTTTAAGAACCACTGGTAGGGCAGTAAACCATGGACAAGGTATGTATAATTCCTTCCATGTAAGTGGATCAGCTGTCCTGCTGACCAGGCACAAACTTCTCACTGTGACTACACTTCCGAAGTTGCTGCCTAAAGATGGTTATCAAATGACCACCTTTTAAAATCTGTAAGCTAACATTTCCAATGGTAGCACTAGTACCTATGTGTGAGACACACTGCTCTTCACAACTTTACACGGTATGGCTGGAAATAGGAAAAATGAAGGAAAGAACTGCTGCTGCTGACCCGCATTTCCATCAGGTGTGGGTTTGGTTTCTCACTCTTGTTATAGATTCATACTCAAAGAATTATGACTCATCAGTCATCGAGTGTTGGAGTGCTATTAAAGGCTATAGTGATTAAAAAGTATAAGGTAGCGAATTATATGATTTTTCATCTTCAAGGAAACGAATGTCCAAAGAGGTGGGTGAAGTTTCCAAGATTACCTGGTGAGGAAGTACAGTCATCCCTCCTTATCCATGTTTTTGCCTTCCACAGTTCTGGTTACCCATAGTTAACAGGTCTGAAAATATAAGATTGGAAATCCTAGAAATAATTCATAGGTTTCCAATTGCCTGTGATTCTTAGTATCACAATAAAATCTCTGGCTCTCCTGCTTTGTCCCACCTGGGATGTGAATCTTCCTCTGTCTAGCGTATCCATGCTGTATATTCTGAGTCTGGTAGTCACTTAGTCATTTCAATTATAGGTTACAAAAACATAGCATATATAGGGTTTATATATCTACAGTTTCAAGTATCCACTGGGGGTCTTGGAATGTATGCCCCACGTATAAGGAGGGGGCTACTCTACTAAACCTGAAGTAGAATTAAGATATCATCTTTATATTATACTGTACTGTATCTGTGGTACCTGCCCTTCGGCAGCCTAGAGTTACAAACTAAATGTAATAATCAACTAAATTTATAGAGTGTGGATTCCAAAGCAGGTCATTCAGTTACATAGACTCACAGAGGCTGGGGTCAGCTGAGAGAAATACTGGAGCTTTAGTGGGAATTGTGAGGCAAACTTTTGAAGTACCAGGAGGACTTGGATGGAAACAATAATGCAGAAGAAATAATGTGGGGAAAGGCACAGAGGCAGAGATGGCCAGAAAGGAGAATAGCCCCATATTAACACAGAGCATGTGCTGAAGAATAAGGAAAGAGGAGGCTGATTGATGGGGTGATGGCAGCCATACCCTGTCCAAATCAGGAGCATCCATTTTGAGATGCCTCATCTAACTGGGGCTGCAGACAAATGGCTTGTGAAAAGATCCGTACTAACAGAGCTTTACAAGGATTCCACCCAAGATTTTGGCCATTTAACTTCATGGATGAACCAACCGAGCTAACCAGCCACAGATGCTTTGTTTATAACCAGAGGAATTCATGTGAGCTTGGTGATGACAATTCCCTGTCTATAAAACGCTGATAGTTAAACAGTGATACTGTGTGAAGCACTTGGAGTCTCTATCTCGGGAGGCAGTTCTTAAGTGTAATGGTTTAATGGTCATTTAGCATGATGGGCCTTTGGAGTGTAATATCATTTGCCTGCCAGTTAAAATGAACACTTCTCTGTGGGAAGTCAAAGATCATGTCAGCGTAACCTGGATTAGGGGAAGGAAAGCATCAAGAAGTGAATGCCAAAATAGAAAACAGGGAATAAGATTTCTTGTACGCCTGGCCTGTTCATAAATCCAATTTAATTAGAGAACACCACTAATTTTCACTGACTAGGGGAGGCGGAAATTTTCTATGAAGCAACAAGTTTGACTTTTTTTTTTTTTTAAAGGAATGCTGCTTTATCTTCACTTTCCTCCTGTCATTAGACTAACACTTTTCTAATCTTATTTGATAACCTCCTACTTCACTGATAAAATCGAGATTATGAAAATAAGCTGAACTTCTTGCCCACCCAGAAACTTCTGTATCTATGTTTCCATTCTTCCTGCCCATGTGTGAGGATGGAGGCATACCTTCTCCTGTTCAAGGCCCGCCCCTCCCTGAGGCTCTTGGCGCCACCCTATCTCAATGTCCTGCCAATCCCAATTCTTCATTAACCCTGACTTGTATATTTTCAATCTGTCTCTGCCCATGAATGTGATTTTCTGCCCTAAGCTTAGAAATGTAGACAAGTTTCACTAACTTTTGCTCCTCTATCCTTCTTTTGCTGCACTTGCACTGAGCTTACTTGTTTCACCCATAACACTGAACTGTGAGCATGCACACAGTCACTGATGTTCTGATTGCAGGCATGATGGCATTCAAGTTGTATAACACGGCAGGGGCTGGAACTGTTGGTATCCAGGTTCTGTCCTCCTCTGATGTCAGACACACCATCCATCCTTTGCTGTGTTTATCTTATCGACCTGGTTCCTTGTTCTTTTCCTTTGCCATTCAGTGTTGTTCCTTTGCGTTTTTTCTTCCTTTGCTGTCCAGTGTTGGTAGGCCTCTGGATACTTCCCTGGCTCTCTTCCTTGCTTAGGCTCCATGTGTTGCTGGGGCAATGTTGTTTGCACATGCCATTTTAGTAAGCACCTTATTCTGTCTTCTGAATCTATACTTCCAGCCCTGCTGTTTCCTTCGAGTTCCAGAACCAGGTGTTCAACTCAGACTCACTCTCTCATATCCAAACTCAGTTTACTCTTCAACCTTGTTCCTTCTTTATTGCTAGTCTCAACTCCTGGCGTCAAACTCCACAGACTATGGCTGGTAGGCCCAAATCCAGGCTGCTAATGTTTTGTAAGTGATTTTTTGGAATATGGCCACAGCTATTATTTTTTAAGTATTTTTTTTATGCTCTAAAAAAGATCATGTTGCCTGCAAAGACTAAAAAATTTACTATCAATCTTTTACAAAAAAGTTTTGCCAACCTTTATCCCAGAACATCAAAAGCATTTGGAAGGTGTGTGAAAACACAAATTGCTGGGTAGTATTTCTAAAGTTTTTGATTCAAGTTATTTGCATTTGTAATAACTTTCCAGGTAATGCTAGTCAAGGAACTGTACTTTGAAAAGACTCTTGTTCACAATGGTATTGTCATTCGCTTTCCTCTCCTAAATAGGTATTAAATCTCTCGTCTCCATCGAATGTATTCTCTTCAGTGCTGCCAAAAGGTTTTTCCAGAAATACATGTCTCCCTATTATATGACAAGTTCTGAGGGTCCCTTCATTACCTACAGATAATATTCATCAACTTGAATAAATTATAGGCCCTAATAAAAGGTTGAGGACCACAGTATTATATGCATGAACTATAGGAGTCCCTTAGTATACAAGAGGAATTTGTTCCAGGACTTCCTGTGTATACGGAAATTTACGTGCACTCAAGTCTCACAGTTGGCCCTGTACACCTGCATATGCAGTGTTTTCCATCCAAGCTGAAAAAAATATACATGTAAATGGATGCTTGCAGTTTGACCCATGTTGCTCGAGGGTCAACTGTATTTTTTTTATGCCAAGCATCTTCAGCATTGACTCATTGAATCCTCACAATACCCAGTGTAGTAGAAACTTCTGTTATCCCCATTTTCCAGATGAGCAAATCTAACTTCAATAACAATGTCATGTAACAGGAAGGCTGTGAAATCAGAATTCGAACCCAAGCAGTCTGGTTCCAGAGACCGTGCTTTACTGAGTCTCACGTAGCCCTCTTCCACCTCTCTGTCCTGTGGTGATTTTCTTATATTTATTATAACTTAATACGTACAAATGTAAACCTAGATATATTTTTCTATGCTAATAGTTCTTGTACAACTATAAAACCAAAGTGAATACAAACACAATTTGAGTAAAATCTAAATTAACATTAAATTGATGTGACACATCACTGTGGTCTTACTGAATATTGTCTATTGCAGCATGAATGGGTGTTGATTTGCTACAGTGAGGTTATTGTGGCTTTGACCTAATTGTGCAGCCTGAGACATGTTGGGTCAGTTATTAGATTTTTTTCAAACACTTGTGAAACTTTTATTTTTATGCCATAATATAACGACATTTGGCCTGAATGTGCCACACAAATATTAAGTTGACCTCTTTCCCCCTAATTAAGCTATTTCTAGGTAGTACCACTTAATCCACACCATCAAAAGTAAAACATTGGTCCTGAATGCCACAGGGATTCTGGATTTTAAGGTGGTTAGCTGCGGACACCAATCTGAGGAATGCTGGCCCCAGGATGAAGTCTAACTCCTAGGCTGACGTTCAATTCCCTTCACACCTGATCCTGCCAACCTCTCATTTCATCTCTTACCATTCTCTTATGCTTTCCATTTTACCAGTCCTAACGGCTTGTAATTCCAGGAACTGTCTCATCCCCCCACGCTTTTGCACATACCATTTCTCTGAGTGACTACCTTGTCCAGTCCTCAAGCCCACACCTCAAATCCACTCTACTCTCAACTCCTCTTCATCCTTTAAAATTCTACTTTAGCATAGAAGCCTCATAAACTATTTAAACTGACATGTATACAGGGAAAGAAGCTAATGACCCGTTGTAACACAAGGCAAGGCACTCTGGATTGTCTTTTCTCATGTACCCATGGTTCCAGATGAATTCCAGCATGCCACACAGCATGGTTTAAGAAATAGGCTTCGTGGGGGGAATGGGAAAACTGACCAAACCAGAATCAGCAAGAGAAGGGAAGATGTGAGCTCCCAACCTCCCTCACCGGCCGAGGGGCTTCCAGGTCTTAGTTATCTGCAGGCCTCACAGTATGTGGGGTTTTCTTCCAAATGCAAGTATTCTTTCCTTCTTGCTTTTCAGTTTGTAACTGCCCAATGAGTTCTTCTTGCCCACTGCCCAGATAGAGCTGATTTATCACATCAGGAGAATTGAAATAAAGAGTTTTACACATGTAGAGCTGGTTAAAGGGGAGAGCAGGGTTTTATTATTCAAATCAGCCTCCCCAAGGATTTGGAAGCTAGGGTTTTTCAAGGATAGTTTGGCGGGAGAAAGGGAGAGTGACTAGGCAGTGGATGCTTGCTGATGATTGACTGGGGGTACAATCACAGGGGTGTGGGAAATGGTCTTCATTTGGTGGGGTTACAGGAGGGTCTGGAGGTCCAAGTGGAGCCATTGGTCATCAGATATGCAAAAAACGTGAAAAGGCATCTCAAAAGGCCAAGCTTAGGTTCTACAATAGTGATGTTATCTGTAGGAGTAATTGGGGAAGTTTATATTTTTGACCTCTGGAATTATGGCTGGCAATTGTTTATGTCTACACCTTAGCAGAATTTGTGTTTCTCTCATCCTCCTAGCCTTACAAAGGTGGTCTCTCATTGGCCTTACAAAGGTGGTTAAGTTTTGGGGAGGGGCTATTATCATTTAAAACTATAAACTAAATATCTCCCAAAGTTAGTTTGGCCAAGCCCAGGAATAAATAAGGGCAGTTTGAAGGCTAAATGCAAGATGGGAGTTGGTTAAATGAGATCTTTCACTGCCACAATTTTCTCACTATTAATAATTTTTGCGAAGGCAGCCTCACTTTCCTAGGAAAAGCTTGAGGGAGGAAACTTCTTAGTGGAAAACAAGTCAGGCCAGCTTGGCACCAAGCAGACTCGATTTTGAAGTAACGACTGTTCATATAGTTGTCTCAGAAACCCTTGCTGCCTAGCACCTGGACACCTTAAAGCCCAGTGGAAATTACTTACCCTTCTGTAGGGGAGGGAGCCTTTGGTCTCATGGGAAGCAAACTTTGGGTGCAGGCCCCTTTCCTGGCAGAAGTGGGGAGTGTGCTCAGTGTTGAAGCAACTCAGAAGGAGACCTCAGGGTCGTTTTTGTGTATACTTGCTCATGCCTCTATCCTCCTCTTGTTCAGGTCCTGCCAGATTTTTAGTGGTCCATTAAGTTGAAAAATCAACTTTGGAAATTCTCTTAAGAAAAGCCCACAAAAACAACAAAAGGAAATGGTAGACACTTGGGAAATTTTCATTGACTGCCATTGAGTTCAAGTCAACCATAGGCAGATTTCAAGTCGACTGTGAAATGATTCCCCATTGAGATAAAAGTGCTCACTGAGATAACAGATGCCCATATTGAAGTGATCAGGGTTGGAGATGATTCATCCTTACTAAGGAAAATGCAATTCCATATCTCTGGACGGCTTGCAGAAAAAACGGGGCTTGATATCCGAGTTGTAAGAACTATCTGTGAAATTACAATAATTTTCCTGGGGCTGTGTTAGCACTTACTCTTCAATCTTTTTAATGTAGCTTCAATAAAACAGTATGAAATGCATGTGTTACATGTGGGTGTTAGCCTGTTTTAAAATCTGTCCAGATGCTATTGTCTGGATATAGAAAATCTAGGTTTTAGAGATCAAAATAATTAATGTAATACACAACAAGAATAGAAGGCACCTCAGAAACACACTTGTACAAATGATGCCAAACTTACTTAGTATTTAATCCATTTATAAGGCTGATAAAGCTTTTAAAAAGTGAATTCTTTTCAAAATACTTTATATATTAACTCTGTCGTGGCTACTTTCCATTTCTATTTTTGTGAAACGAGAACTCAATACTCTTGTAAACAAACAACAAAAAAAAATGTTAAGGCTCCTTAACCATCTGCATGGACTCCTCCTCTTGGCCAGGGGCATCCCAAAGTTAAACTGAAAAATATAGTTCAGGCCATGATGGGAAGGTGGGTGTGGTTGGACTTGCCTCATTATATCCTCTTCCCTTTTGGAATTACTTGGTATAACAGACTTTTTAGGTATAATAAGAAACATTTACAATCTATTCTCTCTGAAGCCTGCTACCTGGCGACTTCACTTGTGTGATAAAACCTTGGTCTCCACAACCCGTTATCTTAACCCAGACATTCCTAAGTCATAGACAATAACTTTTTGAATCAATTGCTAACAGAAAATCTTTATCTACCCATGACCTGGAAGTCCCACCCTGCCACTTCCAGATGGCCTGCCTTTCTGGGCCAAACCAATGTACACTTTATATGTATTTAATTTATGTCTCATGTTTCCCTAAAATGTATACAATTAAGCTGTACTCTGACCACCTTGGGCACATGTTCTCAGGATCTTCTGAGGGCCATGTCAAAGGCCTTTGGTGACTCATGTTTGGCTCAGAATAAATCTCTTCAAATATTTTAGAGTTGGACTCTTTTCATCAACACCCTTCATGTTATCTCTCTCTCATCCAGGAAACTCAGAATAATTCTCAATAAGGTATAGTCTCTTATTCATTTATGTATGATGTTATTTTAAATGTCTTACACAGAATGTACAATTAAAATCACTAATAGCAACTAAAGTCTTCATGTGTGAGATTTTTCATAATGTGTCTTAAGTTGGTTTACAAATCTGGTCAACTTTAGTATTTGTGTATAATATTTTGATGTATTGGAAAAAGATTTTAAAGGAAGTACAATCAGCATATTTCTAGAGTGTAGAATTTATGGTTTTCACATAAATGTAAAATTAAGACAAATCAAATTATGCTTCCTGATTTTTAGAAAATTAAAACACTTATTTTCTTTTGATTCAATAATTATAACAAGCTTGATGTGGAAAATATAAAAAATAGACTAAAACTCTGAAGGAGAGAATGAATCCCTTCACAAAACTAGTTTTACAAAATGCATATACATATGAATTATTCCCTCCCCCAATTAGAATCATATTGTAAATTGACAGTTGTATGAATTTCTTTTCATTATTCTTTGGAATTGTGATGTTTAAATATCTGCATAATACTTCATCATACAGACATAGCGTAGCACATTCATTCTCTTTTGTTAGACCTTAAAATATTTTTAAATTTTTTGCATTTTATAAATAAGCAGTAAACATAATTGTATTTCTGTTTATCCTCTCTTCCTAACAGAACTTTAGCAACACTCTTGAATTTTGTGTTAATCATTCCCTGGTTTATCATTCTGCTATTTGTGTGCAAGCTGAAACAATAGATTGTGTATGAGTATTCCAGTTGTTTTATACGTTCATCAGCCTTTTATATTGTGAAACTTCATTTTTCCGTACTTAGTATGGAAAATCTCATTTTAGTTTTAGTTGGTATTTACTAATTTACTAATTAGGTTGTATATCACTTCATGTTCAGTGAACATTTACGCTGCATTTTTCCATGAAACACCTGTGATATTTTTCTGTTGATTTCTAAAAGTTCTTTGTATATCCTGGAGACTAATCTTTGTTAATTACTTGTGTTGCAAATATCTTCTCCCAGTTTGAAGCATGTCTTCTAACTATCTTTATGGTGTCTTTTGATGAATACAGTTTATTAATTTTAATGCATTCTAATTTATTTTCTTTTATGACCAATCTCTTAAAAATAGAAATATTGTTTTCCTATGAACATCTTTAAATCTTGTCTTTCACATAATTCATTTGGAATTGATGTCTGTAACTGATGTGAAGGTAGGGATTCTATTTTTCCATAATAGGAAAACTAATTGTTCCAACACTATTTTATAGTCCAAACTTATCTCACTAATAGTGTTTCTGTCATAAGTCAAATTTCTGTATGTATTTTTCTGGGCTCTTAGTTATGTTTTATTTTTTATAAATTTATATCAACACTGCTTTGTTTAATATTTCTTTATACTAAGTCTTGATTTCTGGCAGTTTAAGCCTTCTACCTATAGCATTAATTTTTATATCCAGAAACTTTAGAAACTAATTATGTTAATCATTTGATTGTAGCATTTTGGGGATCATATTATCTGTGATTCTTGTTCTCTCTCACTCATTTTGCCCTGCATGTATGTGTTTGGTGGAGGTGTGGATGAGTACTTTTTACTGCACTGATTAAGAACTCTAGTACACTTAAAATATGTGTACATAATAGGCACATATATTTATAGGATGCGTGCAATGTTTCTATATAGGCATACAATGTGTGATAATCACATTGGGGTAATTGGGAGATCCATCACCTCAAGCGTTTGTCAACTCTTTGGGTAAAGAACATTCTAATTCCCTTCTTTTCATTGTCTTAAAATATACAGTACGTTATTGTTGATTATAGTAACCCTGTTGTGCTTTTAAATACTAGATCTTATTCTATCTAACTATATTTTTGAACCTCCTCATTCCCTTTCCCATCCTCCGGTAACCATCATTCTACTCTATCTTTATGAGTTCAGTTGTTTTAATTCCATGAGTTCAGGTTTAATTATTAGTACACTTTTTAATAGAACTTATGTTGATGACCAACCTTGTCTTCTTTATAATTTGTAAGAGAATTTTTAACCAGCATGTTTGAAGTTTTTTATACAGTAACACCTTATTAGGTTAAGGAAATTCACTTCTATTCCTAATTTTCAGAGAATTTTTATTTTAGTTGTTGATGTTAATGTCTTTTTAAAGAATATATATTGAGACGACATAGTTTTAAAATCTCTTGATGGTCAATCAAATGGTCAATTCTCACTCTTCATCCTATTTTAGCTATCAACCTCTGACAAACGTCGTTAGTCCTTCTTGACACAATTTTCATTTGGCTTTTAGGGCATTCCCTCGCTACCATGTCCTACATTTCCTCTTCTCAGTGATTGCTCCTTTTCACGCACCCCTCTAGGTCTTCTTCTCCCAAAATCTATAGATTGAATGTCCCAGGGCTCAGTTCTTGGACTTTACTCATTTATCAACATTTACGTTCTTGGCTTTTATGCTAACATCTTCTAAGTTTGTCTTGCATTCAATGTTCTCGCCCAAACACCAGATTGGATATCCAGCTTCTACTTAGTATCTCTAGTTGAATGCCTAGTACATATCTCAAATTTAACAAGTCTAAAACTAAACTCCTTATCTCTCTTCTGAACACACCCCAGACCTGCACCATGTATGGCTTCTCAGTTTCTGTTATTGGTGACTTTATTCCTTAAACTAATCAGAACAAAACCTTGGGATTATTCTATACTCCTTTTTCTTTATTGCCTCGCTAGTAATCATTCAGGAAATCCTATTAGCTCTTCTTTCAAAATAGATGCGGAATCTTATCCCATCTCACCACTTCCCCTATCATCACCCTGGTCTGATCCACGGTCATCTCTTGACTTTGAAAAGGGGCCTGCTTTGTTCCCTTACCCCTCTACAAACTGTTTTCAATATAACCTTTTAGTGTTTCTTGTAGAGAGTAAGTTAGGTCATGACACTTCTTAAAGTCCTCGAATGATTCCCCATTTCACTTAGACTTAAAGCCAGAATCCTTAGAATGGCCTACAAAGACCTACAAGGAACTTCAACTTCCACCACTTCCAACATACCCCCTTTCTGATTTCCTCCACCATTACCATTATCCCCCTTGCACACGGTGGCAGCCTCACTGTCTCAGTGCTATGTCTTGAGCACAGAAGGCAGGCTTCTGCCTTGCTGCCTTTGTTTCAGCTCTTCTATCTGGAATGTTCTTACCTAATCCACTTTCCTAATCCCCTCATCTCTGTCAAGTCTTCACACAAATCTCACCTTCTCTATTATTCCATTTTACCTTGCTATAAAGGAATACCTGAGACTGGGTAATTTATAAAGAAAAGAGGTTTATTTTGGCTTATAGTTCTTCATACTATGCAAGAAGCACGGTGCCAATATCTGCTTTAGGTGAGAACCTCAGGAAGCTTCCAACCATGGTGGAAGGTGAAGGGGGAGCAGTTGTGACACATGCTGAAAGAGCCAGCAAGAGAGGGAGGAGGGGGTGCCAGCCTCCATTAAACAACCAGCTCTCACGTGAATAGATGGAGTGAGAACTTCCTCATTACCACAGGGAGGGCACCAAGCCATTCATGAGGGGTCCGCTCCCATGACCCAAACTTCTACCACCAGGCCCCAACTCTAACACTGGGGATCACATTTCAACATGATATTTGCAGAGGACAAACATCTGAACTATAGCACCTTCTCTGTATAGACTTCTCTACCCTATGTAATATTACAGACTTAACACACATGCACATCCCTTACTCATCCCTGCGCGTTGACTCTCACTTACTGTCCTGTTTTCACACCAGTTATTTTCTAACGTCCTGTATCAGGAATCAGCAAACTTTTTCTAAAGGCCAAACAGAATTTTCAGCTTTGTGGACCATACATCCTCTTTTACAGCTATTCAACTCAGCTATTCTAGCATAAAAGCAGTTATAGCACAGACAATACATTTTTTAAAAAGTGGGGCTATATTCCAATAAAAGTTTATGAAAACAGATGACAAACTAGATTTGGCCCATGCCCTGTGCTAATTGAAACCTGTTCTACATTTGATTTATTATGCTTATCTTTTTGTAAGGTTAGAATTATCTCTTATGTCAATGAATAGCTTATAAAACCATCTAGGCCTAGAATTTTCTTTGTGAACATACTTTTTCTTCCCTTTCATTAATGGTTATATGACCTCATTTAACTTCATTTAACTTCGTTAATGGTTATAGGCCCATTTAGGAATTTCAGTTCTTCTTGAGTCAGTTTTATTTATATTTAAATTGTTAACAATTATCTTTTTAAATCTCTATACTTCTTATCAGTTGTCTTTTATCCTAAACATTAATATATTATTCCATTCTTGTTTCTTAGTTATTCTTGACAGAGATTTTACTGTGTTTTTCTTTTTTAGTCTTCTCAGGGGACCAAATGGATTGTGGGTTCTCTCTACAGTAAGTTTTTTTAATTCTTCAATTCCTGTCCATATTTTTATTTAGTACTTTTTTATTTGGGTTTATGCTTTCTGGATAAATTGTTATTTATCAGTCTTCCCTTTTTTTTTTCTAGATATACATATAATTTACAGCTATAAATTTTCCCCAAATGAGTGACTTTACTTCATCCCACATATTTGGACACATGTGGCATTATTATTTGATTATCTTTGAATATTTTTATATTTTTGATACCTACTTTTGACAATCGGGTAAGGGGTCTTTTTACATTTCTAAGTGTAGTTTAAAGAATTTTATTGATGTTTAAATTGTACAGTTAGCCCTTTGTACCCATAGGTTTTGCATCCATGGATTCAGCCAACCACAGATCAAAAATGTTCAGGGGAAAAGTTAAAAATAGCAAGGCAACAAAATACTGATAAAAATATAGTATAACAACTATTTACATAGCATTTAAATTGTGTTAGGTATTATAAGTAATCTAGAAATGATTTGAAATATACGAGAGGATGTGTGTAGGTTATATGCAAATACTACTCCATAGGAACTTGAGCATTCATAAATTTTGGTATTGGAGGGTCCTGGAACCAATACCCCTTGGATATAAAGGGATGACTACTTTCATCAGAGAATAGAACAATATGGTACTACTGATTCTTTGAAATTGGTTGAGACTTGCTTTATGGCCCAGCATGCAGTTCAATTTTATTATTTTCTGTATTTGTATGAAATATATACTGTTTTGTGCTAAGAATGTTGATTAAATCAACCCTATTAATTTTGTTCTTCATTGGTGATTCTTTTTATCTGCTGATTTATTGATTACTAAGATTTGTTAGAATCTTCCAGGATGATGACTTTCTTTACCCATATAGTTGCATTATAATGCCCTTCAGATATTTCAAAGCCAGGTTAACAGGTACAGATAAGTTTACGTACAGCTTGTTTTATCTTCCTGGTGAAGTAACTCTCAACATGTTGCTGTGATTCTCTGTATTGCTAGTCATGCTTATTATCATGAAATCTATTAATATAGCTTTATAGATCATTTTGATTAGATTTTGACTCATTTCTTTTTCTATTTTCTACTTCCAATTTTATTTTGCCTCTTTACATAGCTTTTTTCTTTTTTTTCTGAGTAAATGTCATGTAACTGGATTTTGGCAGTCTTTAGTTTTACTTAATGTAGTTCATTTATGTTGATGGCAGTTACCACAATTTTAAATTGTTTATATTTTATATTTGTCTTGATCTTTTTGTATATTTTCATTTTTTGCCTTCTATTTTGTTATTAAAGTTTTTTCTCACTGCATTGTTTTACTCTACTACACTAAAAGTTATACGCTCATTTCCCTCCTTTTAGTTGTTACATTAGAAATAGACAATTATGCCTAACACATAAAAATCTAATGCTTATTAATATCTTTACCTCCTCCCAAACAATATGTAAACCTTAGAATGCATTAATGGGGGTAAATCTCTTGCAAATTTATATGCTTCTGTTAAACAAGATTTTGGTTCTATCTTTTTCTAATCTTACATTTTAACATTTGAATTTTTAAAAAAAGATTTACATACAAGTCCTTTTGTTTTTTTCATTTTAAACTTTTGGAATCATTTTTCTTCTTGAAGTATATTCTGTTGCATATTTTTAGTGAACCAACTGTATTGGTTGCCGAAGTTGATACTATATCTAGGAAATCTCTGCTGTATTCAGGCTTAAATACTTCAGTAACTTGTAAGCCTGGCTTAGGCCATCTATAGATGATCTGATGTGGTCTGTACAGTAATTTAGCATTCTGGCTCCGGACTCATTTTTTAGGATTGCCTGGCAACTTGTGATCTTGGGCAAGTTCCTTATGTACTTTAGCCTCAATTATTTTGTCTGTACAAGGGAATAATTACAGCACTTACCCATAGGTTTATTATGAGAATTGAATAAATTAATGCACTAAAAATGCTGATGGTACTGCCCTGTCTAATGTAAGCAACTCCAATGTAAGCTATTATTTGTATATATATTGCAACTTCAAAATGTTGTTTTAGTGTGAAATGTCTATTTTCAGGAAAGTTACAAAGATATTTCAGGGAGTTCCCATGTATCTTTACCCAGTTTACCCTCATGTTAATACCTTATAAATCCATAATACAATGATCAAAATCAAGAAAATAACATTAATATAATACTATTAACTAAATTACAGACCTTATTCAAATTTTACCAGTTTTTTCACTAATTTCCTTTCCCTGTTTCAGGATAGAATCCATTATCCCACATTACATTTAGTTGTCATGTTTTTATAGTTTTCTATCATCTTCACAATTCTTTATTCCTCCCTTGTCCTTCAAGGTCTTCACACTTTTGAAAAGTAATAGTTGCTTCTTCAGTTTGTTTGGTTTGTTGGACTCCTCTGCTAGTTACTTTTTAGACTGTCCCTCCGTTTGGATCTAATAATTTCTTGTGATTGGGTTGAGGTTATATATTTTTAACTAGAGTTCCATGGAAGTGATGTGCCCTTTTCAGGGCATCATTTCAAGGATACATGATGTCAATGCATCTTATTACTGATAACTTTCATCACTTGTTTAAGGTGGTGTCTAGTGGTTTCTCCACTCTGAAGTTACATTTTTCTCATTGTGATTAATATCTTGGGAAAGAAACTTTGAGACTATGTAAATATCCTGAATCTCTTCGAACTTTGAACTGCTAATTTTAGTATCCATTGGTGGATCTTGTCTATGACAATTATCACTGAAGTATTTGCTTAATGGTAATTTTCTGCTTCCCTCATTTCTTCTATATTAATTCACATTTTTTCCTACAATTAAGAGATGCTCTCTGCCTCATTTAATGCAAATATTATTATGGGTTAGAATCCAATGAAAATAAGTTATAATAATGGCTTGAAAAAGAATCAGGTAGCTCAGTCCTATGAAGCATAAACAACTTTAATAAAGTCTGAAATGTCTGAGCAAGTGAACATATTAGCATTTAATATTTTAGCTTTTTAACCCATAATACTCTAGAAATATGTCTTGATCTTATGAACTACACATCTTATTTCTCAATCTCAAGTAGTATAAACCAGTCTGTCTTCTAATGCAATTTTATAAATGTGTCTTCAAGGACCCACAATATATTAATTGCTGGAAATCTTTAGCTTTGGGAAACAACCAACTTGCCATGTGATATTATGCCAAAATACAAAATTTTCTTACGTATGGAAACATGATGCCAATTAGAAAAACAGAGTTTAGATAGTGGCATTTCATTTATCAGATATTTACTATTGATGGATGCAATGTCCTTCCCAGGCATAAACATACTCAGAAGCAAAACAGATTTATCATAAAATACTAAGCAAGAAAAATCATTTTATTAATGCCAGTGCTATTAGGATTTTGGAATATTAATAAGAACACTTAGGACTCAGAGCTAATAGTACAAATTGAAATGACAATATATGTAAATGTATTTGTTTTATCATGTATATTTTCTCTAATTTTTATTAGCAGTGCCCCAAGTTGGAAGATTATTTAGTTTAATGGTTAGATGCACAATGTAAAAGTAATATATCTATATATCTTTTGAAAACTATTGTTTCAACTTAGCTGGGAACATTTCTTAGCTGCACAATGATTCATAGATAGTATCTCACTTCTGTTTAAACACAGTTCTGAAAAAGAGGATAAATACATTAAACTCTGAAGTTCTTATATATTTGCATATCTAAGATTGGTCATAATTTACATGATAGTAATTTTTTAAAGCAATCTTACTTTTTTTTTTTTTTTTTGGAAAATTCACATCAATCTTCTTGAAACTCTAGAAAGACTTAAGAATAGAAAGCCCCAGAACCTTTAAAAGTAGAGTGCAGGTATGGCTGCAAATGGGAGAATTTGTTGAAAGGCTATAAAAGAAACAGTTATGGTGACTTCATCCTCCTACACAAAATCCTGAAGTTTCACTTCTAAAGATGATGGTTCAACAAGACCACAGCCAAGATACCAGGTACAGCTGAGGTTTGAAATACCAGCGTAAGGGCAGGAGGTTTTAGTATAAACCTACATGCTGAAGAGGGAGACCTCCAAGTCTGATCTTCCACTGATCTTTGATAACAATGAGTGGCAGGCTGGCATACCTCTCAGAAGGGAGATCAGAGGCCTCTTTTATGCAGAGGGAAAAAGACTGACAGGTAGTGGCAAGTGAGGGCTTGTTAATGAAATGATCCTCAGGTCACCATGCTGGAAAATCTACCTGTCCACAGGCCTCCAACACATGTCCACATGAATGTGAGCCTCTAATCGGCTTTTAAGGAAGATTTTCCTGTTTCTTTTCAAAATATATCACTTACTAGGTGTTTTTCACAACACAGACATGCATTTAGCTGAAAAGACAAAATAGACAATCATCTCACCAACTCGGTTTCCTATTGACATAAAGGGATAATAAAAGTACTACACGTGCAAGGTTCCAAAATGAGAACAGTAAAGAAAGGCACAAAGTGAGTGTTTTGAGGCTATGTCGTTAGCCATATACTTGTTTAGAATTGTGTTGTCTTAATGAATAGTCTTTTATCATAACTCTTCTAGTCCAGCTTTTGTCCTCAAGTCTCTTTTGCCTATATTAATATAGCCAAACCATTTTTTTTTTTTTTGCTTGTAGTTTCCTTGTATGTCTCTTCCATCATTTTTTTAAACTTTCTTTTACTTTAGGTGTGTCCCACATATAGCACGCAATTGGATTTTGTTTTTGAAGTTTTCATCTTTCTGCTTGGCTTGTTTCCAAGTTGTGATTTTTTTTTTCCCTGCTTGTTTTCGTTTCTCTTATGTTTTACATGCTTTCCTCAGATACTGGCAAAAACCTTGGTTGACTGCTTATGATTTGGAGTGGGAAGCAAAAGAGCTGACTGGAGGCTCTGAAAAGGTAGATGGGGCATATCAATGGTGAGAGTTACTCTAAAGCAGGACTCTCAACATTGGCATTGACATTTGGGGACAGGTAATTCTGTGTTATCAGGGGCTATTGTGTGCATTGTAGGATTTTTAGCAGCATCCTTGGCCTCTACCCACTAGATGCCATAAGCACCCCCTAATTGTGATAACCAAAAGTATGCCCATATATGCCAAATGTGTCTTGGAGTCGGGGGTGAAGTCTAAAAATCAACCAGTTGAGAACCACTCCTGTCGGGTGATCTGCAGATACCATTTGTAGAAAAGCCCCTGGTGTCAGAATCTTTGTGGTTTTTCTTGGACTAGTAAGATTGCCCGGAGAAAAACCTTACTGTCTCCTGCCTATAGATAAAGACTTGGTTGAAGATATTTTATTTCATTTTTATTTTTCAAATTTATTTAGTTGTAAAATTTCTCATTTTTATTTCTTCTCATTAAAAAATAAAAATACTTACTTTGTATATCTAATAATATCCATATCTGAAGTCATTGCCAGTCTGATATATTAACTGGCTTTCACACCTACTTTTCTTTTATGTTTTATATATTTTTTTTCTCACTGTAGACTTAGTTTTCCTGGAATTTCATTTTTGGTAATCTTTAAGGCCTGAGTTAAAAATTGAGTTCCAGCTGGACACGGTGGCTCACGCCTGTAATCCCAGCACTTTGGGAGGCCGCGGCCGGCGGATCACGAGGTCAGGAGATTGAGACCATCCTGGCTAACACAGTGAAACCCCATCTCTACTAAAAATACAAAAAATTAGCCGGGCGTGGTGGCGGGCGCCTGTAGTCCCAGCTACTCGGGAGGCTGAGGCAGGAGAATGGCGTGAACCCGGGAGGCGGAGCTTGCAGTGAGGCGAGATCGCATCACTGCATTCCAGCCTGGGCGACAGAGCAAGACTCTGTCTCAAAATTAAAAAAAAATAAAAAATAAAAAAATTGAGTTCCAGCAGAAAGGATCTCCATTTTTTTTTTTTTTTTTTTCTTAACCTGGGAGGATTAACAATCAAGAATCACTTTAAAGCTGGGTGTGGTGGCTCTCCTCTGTAATCCCAGCACTCTGGGAGGCCAAGTGGGAGTTTCACTTGAGGCCAGGAGTTTGAGACCAGCTTGGAAAACATAGACAGAACCTGATCTTTTAAACAAAAAACCGAATCACTTTACATTCTTGACTTGAGGGATTTAGGATCACCGTGGCAGAAGTTAACTTAAATACTGTAAACCTGTGTGAGGTCCTGCTAGGATTTCCCAGTTCTCAGTGGAGAGATTTTTGTCTTTCACTTTTCACCAGGATTCAAGATGTGTAGATTTTCTTGCAGATCTCAGATGGGTTTTTAGTTCACAGTTACATTAAGGGTGTACATTTTGAGAATATTTATTCAGGGAGTTTTGTCCTGCGTGAATCCCATCTTGCAAAGTTCTTGAGTTTTGTGTTACGCCTCTGTCCTACAAAGTCACGAAAACTGAAGCTCCAGAGCCCCTAATAGTCAAAGACATAAACAAGATAAGGAGCTCCCCTTAGCTCTACGTTCCTGGTTTTTGATACATTTTTTCCTCTATTTTTTGCTTTCTTGCCAGTTCATCAATGCTTAATTTTTAAAAGCATTTTAGAATTTTTAGTTGTTCTCAGTGGGAGTTAGTAATGGATTCTGATCTGTTATACCACCCTAAATGGCAACTGCATTTTTTTTTTCTGTAACAAATGAGCACATATGTATGGCTATCAGACATTTGGGGAATACCATCACATCAGAGAGATGGAAAAAATAGAAAGGGCTTGGGGAAAGGGATCTTTGGAAAAGAAAAGGCAGTGAAGGAGCAGAGGAAAACTGGGGGTGGGGGCAACACGAATCTGTAATTAATATCCTTGGAGAGATAAAAGAAGATAAAGCCTCCATAAAATAATAAAGCTTATAACCATGTAATTTTCAAGGGATAGAAATATTCAAGTAGTTATGGTGGGGTAGTTGAAGATACCTATTTGTTCTTCTTAATGATATGTAAAGAGATAGAAAACAGGAGAAAAATCTTAGAAAAGTAGACCCATGGTTCTCAACATGGGTTGTGAATACCCATGAGAGTTCCCTAAAATCCTAGAAGGGACTTCATGAGGTGTCACCTATATATGGGTACAAGTAAGAATTTTCTTCATAGACTCCAATGATAACATATCTCAACAATTTGAATGCACAAGCAGATATGAAAATCCAAGGGTGTTCCATCATACCAGACACTAAAGAGATTTGCAAAATGTAATGCTACTCTTCTCACTAACTTTATTTTGGGACATATAGTTACTTTCTATAAAAATGTTGTGTTACTGTGAACTTATGTTAAATATGTTTAATTCTTTTTCCACATTAATGTCTATTACAATAAAGATTTATAGACTTAATCCTCATATGTAGAAGTTCTTTGGGATCTAATATGGTTTGGCTCTGTGTCCCCACCCAAATCTCATCTTGAATGGTAATCCCTGTGTGTCAAGGGAGGACCTTGTGGTAGGTGATTGGATCATGGGGTTGGTTTCCCCCATGCTGTTCTCATGATAGTGAGTGAGTTCTCACTAGAGGTGATGGTTTGAAAGATGTTTGGCAGTTCCTCCTTTGTTCCCTTTCTCTCCTGCTGCCATGTAAGATGTGCCTTGCTTCTCCTTTGCCTTCTGCCATGATTACAAGTTTCCTGAGGCTTCCCCAGCCATGCAGAACTGTGAGCCAATTAAGCCTCTTGTTTATAAATTACCCAGTTTCAGGTAGTATCTTTATAGCAGTGTCAGAACAAACTACTACAAGATCTTCGTTTTTAAGAAAGTGAAGTCTGAGATCAAAATTTTTGATAACTGCTGAACTAAGCAATTAGCCTGGGGAGTCCAAGATCTGGTACATAGGACTTGAGAAAGAATAGAGAAATTTCTCAATTCAGAAGAGCTTTTTAAAAATGAAGGACAAGGGTTTCCAGGTTGAGTGAACTCATTGAGTACTTAGTAAATTGATTTGTTTGCATATTACGACATTTCAAATCTCTTGGGACCAAGAGAAAATCTTGAATATTTTCATAATGAAAAATAAAAACAGATTACCTATAAATGTTTGAGAATTATAGTGGCATTGATCTTTTTAAAAGTTACTGGAATCCAGAAGACAATGGAGCACAAAACCTTCAAAATTCTGAAGGAAAATATGGAACCAACCCAAGAATGTCAAAATAAGAGCACAATGATGGCTGTGGCAGGTGGTAGCCCAAGGCTCCCTGTGCAGAGTGGAGGAAAATAGTGTCTCAGGAGTGATGACTGCTGAAAATAATCAAATTGATCATTTTTTGAACTGTTTGATTTGAGGAGAGTTGTACTTCAGCAGAGTTTTTGAATGAATTAGTGAAATTAACAAAACTAGACCAAAAATATTGACTCAATTTTTAGCTCTTGGGAAAACAGTTTTATGAAAAAAAGATACGTAATTATGTGCCACATGACTCAGCTATAGATTATATGAATATTGCCATAACAATGAAAAATTGAATATTGAAAAAATGAAAGTCTAATAGTGACTTGTATTTGGAGAATAAGAGAATAATGTCTATAGGAGGCTGATAGGTAGAATGACAGGCAAGACTTAGGAGATTTAGTAAATAACATTCTGCATTAAAATCAATAGCAATATAATTTTTAAAGAAGATATAGCAGAACAAGTAGCTAAGAGAGTTGAGTTACATTAAACATAACTGATTACAGTCGGCCCTTTGTACCCGTGAATTCTGGATGTGTTGATTCAGCCAATTGTCATTTAAAAATTTTTAAAAAATTGTGTGTACTCTAGATATTCCTTGTTATTCACTAAACAATACAATAAAAATAACTCTAGCATTTATATTGTACTAGGTATTATAAGCAATCTAGAGATGATTTGAAGTATATGGAAGGGTAGGCATAGGTGACACACAAATGCTATATCATTTTATATCAGGAATGGAACTTGATAATCTGCAGAAGCTCCTGGGAGCAATCCCCCATGGATACAAAGGGTGACTGTAGTTAATTTTATTGTCATCTATGGGACCATAATAACATCCATTTCAACTTCAATATTTTCTCAGCACAAACTTGGTATTTTGTGGTGTATTTACTAGAGAAGAACAGAGTTGCTTACATTTTTCATAGTTTAACTGCCCCAACATCTTCAAATCTGTATAGAAGCCTTAACTTGTTACCCAGTCCACAGACATTCCCCATGTCTCTGCTGTCAGAATGCTGATTTTGTCCAGGAATGCCACTCTTCTCCCTATAGACATGTGCTTAACCAGCATGGGAAATCCCGTTCTCCTAACCCATGATTGGTTGATGAAGGCATATATGACAGAACTCTGACCAATTACACCTAGTTGGGAGAGTCTTCACTGGTGGTGGTGAGGGGGTATATGGAAAGGGTTTCCTTATTTATTCTCTTCTGATGGGTGGTGGTGAGGCGAGATGTGATGCCTCAAACTGCGTGCAGCACTAAGGGGAGCTGAAGCTGAACATGTCAAACGGAGAGTCAGTAAGAGCCTTTCTCCTTGTGACATTCATTGTAGAGTCACTAAGTTAACCAACCCTGGGACCCAACTCCAGACTTGAAACAACAAAAAATCTGTTTTAAAAAATCCCCTTTATTTAAGCCAGTCAATTAAAGCTGAATTTTAAAGTTCCAACTGAAGTCAATTGATATTTTCCCAAAAGCAAGTTGCATTTTAGAGTCATTGATCTCTAATTAAATCCTCTTAGGTGCATGTAGTCCTTTGATATTCAGGGGTGAAAGATTCACATTTACTTGGGCATGTTTGAAGCCAGACTTTCAACAATCATTGTGTGTGTGTGTGTGTGTGTGTGTGTGTGTGTGTGTGTTTAAACCACTAAAGGAATATTTTTAAACTCAAAAGAGTGGTGGTCTATGAAGCAAACAAACTTTTAAATGCTATAAAGTAAAGGAATCAAGAAAGAGGGCAAAGCAGGAACACTACTGTTTTGACATTCTAATTATAAATACATTAGACTTGGTGCAAAAAATCATCAAACCATCAGTCTTGGCGATGGTTAAGTTAATTCACTTTTTGAAGTTCAATAATTCATCTATGAAGTGTCAGCAGCTGGGTGTTGTTAATGGTAAGCCTTTCATTCCTGTTAAATCAATTGTAAATAATAGAACCCCTCAGAGAAAAATGATGAAATAAGCATTGATTTTCAAATTGGGTGTCAGATACAGAGCATTAATAAAACACATTGCAAGCAAACAAGTACCTAACAAACTCTGATTACTGAAATAGTAATCAGAGGGAAAAAGTCAATGATTCTTGCGTAAGTTGCTAGTATTTTAATACTTCATTTATATCTATGTATCATATCAAATTTCTCATTTTAGGCTCTATGTGGTTATTTAATTTTCATTATTCTTACCAGCAAAACCAGGTTGTTTTGGGTATTGTTACATTTGTTTCTCCCATCTAAATAGGTAACAAGCATCTCGTCATATACTTTCTTGGTTTCCTGACACCAACGATTTTGTTGTGTTTAATGCAATACAATAATCATTTACAGCAAGCCACATAAAACACTTCAAAAAATGTAACAGCTCCAATAAAACTTTTAAGGAAAATAAAGCTCTATAGCAGGTGTCCATAAAAGTGCTTTATGCCCACAGACTCTATTAAATGTTAATGCCAGTGTCCTGTGAATACCACATATGGGGTCTACTGAAATGAAAATGTCTGTGAAACTGTTGATTCTCCAGTAAAGGAGGTTGGAAGGGCAATGTCATATTATCTATTACACTGAAATATGAAAGCCATTAGAGAACCTACTTATTGTGCATTTTATGAAGGGCTAGTTTAAGGGAAAGTACATGAGTTCTTTTTTCAAGCCATGCATGCAACAGGGGTGGAAATACTGAGGGCACAGTTTTCCAGAGAACATCTCCAAACTTCTCAAAGTTGCATAGCACAGATTTTTTTCCCCAAGGATTATCTCTAGAGATAAAATAGCAGTGGCATAGTAATGGTAGATTTTGGCTGGATTTTTAAAAATCTATTTTAGTGCTTTTGCCTCAAACTTCATTACCAATTGCATTGTTTCTTACTTCATAGGATTTTTCTTATTATTTCTAGATTTCTTTGTGAAAGCTCTTTGACGTTATTGAGATAATGTTTTAACAGTTATCAAATGGTTAAATACCATTGAGTGGAATCTCATGTTTTTGTCCTCGATAACATCTAATTAACTCTTTGTGTAGGAGCTCTATTTGAAAAGTAGATGAGATACAGAGGATCACTGCAAAAATAGAAACTATTACAAGAAAGAAAATATAACCTGAATACAAGATGTGATGTGACTGTCAAATGTAAAGCAACATATTTACAGAGAATAGGGACATGGGGCCATACTTCTTTTCCCCACACTCTCATAGATAACAACTGCGTATTCAAAAAAGAAAAGGCAGGATGGTGGCAGAACGTAATGACTCCAGGCGAAGAATATTAGAAGGACCTTGACGATTTTAGCCTGGGATTCAGCTTGTCTACCAGCTGGCCAGAATCTGTTATGTTAGAATTACTACATAATTTATTTTCCAAGTAGAGGAAGCTTTGGGAATAAAAGAGAGTGACATTAATGATTAGCTTGGGGCAAGCAAAGAGGAGTTCGACTCCTGGCCTTAAATGTTCAAGTAGGATCAAGTATGAGAGAGAGAGATTGAGTTGCAGTATAAGGGAGGGATTTGTAAGGAACCTTTAAGTGGCTGAAATGGGATGCCTTTGGGAATTTGGTAATTTCCAGTTTGTCAATGGAATTGCTGAAATGGAGATTGTGAGGCCTTTTGACAAGAATGTTCTGGTGGGGATTTGAGCATCAGAATTATGATTGAACAAAATGAGTTTTAATGTTGCTGTAAACCTTGAGAATCTGTGGTTCTGAATATTAAATGGAGAATTTTCATGGAGAGCTGTAAATATTAAATCAAGTTGTTTTAAGATGTGTTCATAGAATTCTAGAATGAGTGCCGTCTAGCATAGCTATAGTGTAGCTCTAAATCACTAACGTCAAAATGAACCTACATTTTTATGAAGAATACCTGGGAAGAAATTTCAGAATCCTAATTTTGAGTAGCAGTGTCCAGTGTTAAGATTCCTCAGCTAGGGTTAGAATTGGGTAAGACAGAAAACTAGAGTATAGATTGGAGACTTTGGGACATGAAGAAAATTCTCTTTAAAGCAGGGTCTGCAGTCCCATTTAATGCTCTTCTGCTGGACATTTGGGAAACCAGATGATGTTTCAAATAGGCCAGCTGAAATCTTTTACAGTGAAGTTGTATCATATGTGCCTTTAAGCAACTTAAACTATATGCACATAAAGTAGTGTTATAAAACATTGCTCTATATTTCTGTTATATGCCACCTACTCATATATTATACTGTACTTTATAGAGTGATTTAGGGGACTTTCAAGGGTAATCTTGCCTTCATGATTTTACCCTAATTTGCTAACTGAGAGCTCAGCCCATATACTAGGGTTCTTCTGACTTTATTTACAGCTTCCTTTTTCCATATCAGCTCAAGCCCCTAGGTCTCTGTAGAATATTCCCTGCTAACCATAGCTAAGGCTGGAAAACACTATTTTCGCCTCTTAGGCATTTCTTTTCTGTGAGGCAAATTTTGACATTGAAATATACCTGGCTTTATAGTTGCTTTGTAGCTTGGATATGTCTGGCCTCTCTAAATAGACTACACACCCCTTGATGCAGGGGCTGATTCACTCATTTCTTTGGAGTCCCTGACAGTGTGAGGCACCCACAGATGGTTGTTCAGTTGAGCTGGCTCACCTAATCCTTAATTGAAAAGAGGACCGTTATTGGAAAGGAAGTTTCATGATGCCCTGACCTCCCAGCATAAAGTATCTGTAAACAAACTTTTTTTTTTTTTTTGAGACAGGATCTTGCTCTATCACCTGGGATGATATGCAGTGGCATAATCATGGCTTACTGCAGCCTTTACCTCCCGGACTCAAGCCATTCTTTCTCCTCAGTCTCCTGAGTAGCTGAGACCACAAGCACATGCCACCACGCCTGGCTAATTTTAATTTTTGTAGAGACAAGGTCTCGTTATGTTGCTCAGGCTGGTCTTCAACTCCTGAGAGTGAGTGATTTGCCTGCCTCCCAAAGTGCTGGGATTACAAGCATGACCCACCGCGCCTAACCTGTAGATGAAACTTGATACTCCTAGGGCAACTTGATCCTACATAGAAAAGCTAATGATATCTGTAAAGGCAGTAATGTAAAAGAGAAATTCTGTTTGTTGGATTCATTTTAGGTTGCTTTCCTATATTAAGCTTTTAGGGTCCACAATGTATAGACCATGTGTCTACAAAACGTTTTGAATTGTTTCTAAATATCCTCTTTCCCGTTGGGAGTTTTGCATACAAACTTTTAATAAAACATTGTATTAATAGTTTGAAAAGTATTTCTCAGATAAGAACCATAGACTTACATTTCTCATTTCTGCTTTTTTGAATTAATGCCATAGAGGCATGAAAATGAGTATATTCTGAATGCCTGAAGATTCAGCTTTCATAAGTAAGGGCCATCAATTACAAAATAGTCTATTCATAATAGGATTGCAAAGGATTTAAAGTCACATTTCTTCTGTTAACTAGTATGCAGGAGGAAAGATGATGTATGAAGAAAACTTTCAAGGCGGCGGGGTGGAGAGACAAAAGGATACTTTGATTACAATAGAAAATAATTTTCTATAAGCTATCCTCTCAATGAAAGATTTATATCTGTAACATATTGGAAGGTAAATTTTGGCTGAGGCCGATTTATTACAGCATGTCTCATAGTATATTAACTCTGAAGAATGCTTCATAAATGTGCCTGCTGAGGCTGGCTTCTCTGTCTCAATGCTCCTTGAGAGTTACAGTATTGAGTGTACCTTCTTTGAAGCTTTGATCTATTTTATGATAGAATGTTATGGTTATGCTTATAATATGTATTAAATGGCTAGCAAATACTTAACTAAGAGACATAGCAGCAATTGAACAATAGTTTTTACACTTACTGTAATGAAAGAATAGCTGTAGGCCAGCTTCTAGAATAATCTAACAACTCTCACAGCTCCTCCTGCTAGAAGTGATGCACAATATTATGGTTGACTCTACACTGTGACTTCTGAAGTCTTAAATTATCTTTTTCCTTTCAGTATTTGCCTTTCAGTATTTACCTCTGCCTCTTGTCACTTGGGAGGAAGGCACTACTGACTTGCAGCAGCTCTGTCAGGTTTTGGGTTTTGCCAGCAGTGGTTTACTGTGATGTCAGCACTCTTGGCATGTAATGGGAAGAAGCTGATGGCCTTGAGGGAGAGGTGGTGTGGTGGGATTGAGGCAGCATAACTCCAGTGGGATTTTTCTGGATCTTGGCCCTGTGTGCTGTGTGACTAGCTGGTCTATCAGCAACATGTGAGTGCCCATGGCCTACATGCATATGTTGGATACTGTTATTATATGACTCTTGGTGATTCATGAGTAATGATTAAAGTACTATGAGTCCTCATTTTTGAGGGATAAAAAAACCTACACTTGCTACACAGAAGTACTGAAATAGCCAGATACAGCCCTTTTCACATATCCTGAAACCCAAAGATGGGCTGTTCTACATGGAATATCAAATTATTTTATAAAGCATAATAACTATAACACAAATAATGATAATAGCAAACACTTGCATAGTCCTTGGTGTGTGCTAAGCAAATGTTTTATATATATTGATTTGTTAAAACCTCATAACCCTATGAGAATTGAGATCAGAAAAGTTGTTACGTGGGTATTAATGGTAGGAGCCGGGATTTGAACCTAGCCAGTTACAGCTTTTATTCTTTTTTTATTTTTATTTTTTTATTATACTTTAAGTTCTAGGGTACATGTGCACAACTGATGAGTTATAGCTTTTATTCTTAATGATCATGCATAGAAGTTAAAAGCTAAGACCCTATAATCAGCCAAAGTTGGGTTTAAATGCTAGTAATGTGATATTTAACACCCAAGCTTTTTTAAAAAAAAATCTGTAAAACGACAGTAAAAAATTTAACTGTATAATGTTGTTTTTGGGAATTGTGATGTCCCTAGCATAATGTTAGCTTAGTATTTATAATGATGGAAAATAAAGGCTGTGCATTGATGGATATAAATATGTCTGCTATATATTTTGTACATTATGGACACACAGGAAAGGATTGTGGAAAGAAGTGAGAGGTGCCCATATTCTTGTTGTAGAATATGTGGTTCAGTCTTCTCCATAGGGTTACTGGAGCAGGGCTGTGCAAAGAGATTTTGCCTCAGGCCTCTGCTTCAACTGACTGCATTTTTAGCAAGTTCACTTTACTTTATAACTGACAGTCCTGGATCTTATTTAACTGGAAAACAGTAACTGTCAGACTAATTTCCTTTTGATGATAATGTGAATTTCCTTCTTTAATTGGATAATAGAATGATTGGGAATTTTGCAAATAGAAGATGGGACGTTCTGCTGAGGGCAGGAAGTGAGAGCAATGCACTGTCCCCTGTGAGGACTCACTACATATGGATCCAGCCCACCAAATGGGTGGATTCATCAAAATCTGCAGAAATGCCATCTCTTTTCCTTTGTTTTGACTTCCTTTGCTTTTGCTGCTGATGGGAGTGCTATCATCACAAACCATAATTATCACCTTTTGCAGTAGTTTTGCTTTCCTTGACTAAGTCATCCTGGGGCAGCTTATTTTCATTAATAAGAGAGTTAACCTTATGGCTTTAAGTCTGGGTTTTCCATTAGTGAGCCAAAGCAGGAGAGAAAATCTTGACTTCTCAAAAAATGATGTGTTTGCAACCTCCAGTTACTGCAGTGTTTACGTTTTTTATTACCTTTATATTTGTAAAAAGGAAGAACATCATCTCAGAAAATAGCAAGGCAAACCATAATTTTATTTCCAAAGAAATTTTTACATTGATGAAATTATATGGTACACATCTTTGCCAATTTTGGTGCTCGTGGAATCTTCATAACAAACATTTGCTTGGAAAACTTTTTGTTTTTAATTTCTATTATTTGAGTGGTATGTCTTTCTTCCCACCCACCTCCAACAAATGTATTGAATCACCTCTTAAAGTGTGTGTGTGTGTGTGTGTGTGTGTGTGTGTGTACATTTAAAGGTATCTGCAGTAAGGGCACAAATTCTAATTTTTAAAGTATGTGAGTATGTGTTCTTGTTTGTTTATACTTTGAAATGTGGTCCAAGATATAAAAGGAGTCTGGAAACAAAAGTTTCATATTTATTAAGAGCTGTTGAGAATTTTGGCAGACCATTCTAAGAAGTTACCTTCAGGATAAGAGCAGGCATGAAAAAAAAAAAAAAAGAAAAAGACTCAAAAGTTTCTTGGATAGCCCTGAAAGAAAAACCTTAATAATGAATGTTGTATGGCACATTCATTATTCTAATGCGATCAGCAGTATATGCAGTAATTACATGTATAGCAGCTCTTCATTACCAGATAAAAATATTGAAGAATTAGGGTAGCCTAAGTGTGACTTAGGCTTACTACTATTTGTCTTAACACAGAAGTGCTCTTTTCAGTCCTAGACTTTATCAAGTTCCTAGCCTCTAAAAGCACGAGTCTTTAAAAGTTGCCTTGCTGGTGCTGTCTGTAGTGGTTCAATAAGAATTGAAATGACTCACTCTCCTCTCTTCCCAGTTGGTGCTAAGCCTCAACCTGTGTGTATTTCTAACTTGTAGAGTCCCTGGCCATGGAAGGTGTTGAAGTTCTTTAGACTTTTCTCTCTGTTACTTATAGGAGGGATTCCAGAAATTGAAGAATCACATTCACATTGACTATATCTCAGGCTTTCTGAGAGTTTGGACTTATTTCACGAGCGGCACCGTGAAGACGTATGACTTTGTAGGTCAGGCATGGTGGTTCATACCTGTAATCCTAACAAGTTGAGAGGCCAAGGCAGGAGGAATGCTTGAGTCTGGGAGTTGGAAATCAGCCTGGGGAGGGTAGAAAGATCCCATCTCTTGGTGGGGGGCAACTACCCCTCAAAAGAAATGACTTTGTCATGTTTTCAATTGACTATAACCTTGACATATGGGTCACCATAGGATGTGAAGAAACCTGGCTGAATAGACATATGGAATGGTACAAGTAATATCTGGCCTTATACAAACCCTTGAATATAGAGGTCTCTGTTCTGTTCTTTCCTGGACAAAGAGTTTTTTGGGTGGGTTCTTCCTACATGCCTCGGCAATATTGCATGATATGTGAATGAGGGCTCTGGAGTAATAAAAAAAAATGCGGTTTGAGTTTGGGTCCATTTACCAGCTGTGTGATCTTGGGCAAATTACTTTGTTAAGGCTTTCTTTCTTCTCCTGCAAAATGGGGATAATTAGAGGTATTATTGGATAGACACCCATTAGCAGCCTAGTAAGCCATGGTGCAGCATTTGTGAAGAAAGTAGCACCAAGGATAACATACATGTGGAAAAGCTCAGTGCGTTTCAGTCTGTCTGGAAAGTTGTGAACAACGCAGCCCATAGCATTTGATTTTAAACAAATGAAATCCCAAATGTAAAAAGTAATCCTACCAAGAACTATAAATTTTAGTTTTTGATAATATCTCATGACGTTTTGCCTTTGACGTTCCTTTCTACATATATTCCTATTTTCATTTAGATTATCTTCCAAACTAGGCTATGAGTCTTTCATGCTAGAGGTAGTATATGCTCTACCCAACTAATAGCAGGGGTTCTAGCACCTAGCATGTCTACATTGGAAGCTTGTCTGTTCTGCTTACTAAGAAGCCTCGGGAAAGTTACTTGGCTTCCTTGTGCTTCAGTTTTCCAACATCTCCGAAATGGGAAGAATCATAGCCCCCACTAGGTTAGTAGTGAGTACTATGAGAAACTCACATCTGAAGTGCTATTAAGTGCTTTCTGTGCATTTCTCAGCATATAGTAAACATTCAGCAAATGTTACCTGTTGCTTACCCACCCCCATCTCTATAAATATATAGTTAATATTTAATATTCATCTGCCTTTTCATCATAACTTTTTTGTGGCTAAATAAAATATTAGCACTGATAGTGTGGAGTGTGTGGGGGGAATCAGCCAAACATGAACAGATGCAGGGGACATTAAAGAACAAGACCAACTATTTTATGGCCTGTCAGAAATCGGGAGGTCAAGGAGAACAAAGTGGTTAAACATCCTAGAGTAGATAAGTTGAGAAAGAGTTGCAGTATGAAGCTTCTACCTTGTTTACATTAAAGGACCTGGGGCGGCCATCTTCAGGCTGCCTAGAGCCCGGGGCATACCCATAGGGTTCAACTTTCCTAAGCCCCCCTTGATTCTGGAGCTGCACCCACAGAAGTAGATGGGGGACAGTGGTTGAGAATTTACCAAAGGAGATGGTTGGCATGTGAGACTAGAGGACTGCAGAGAATACGGGTCCCGTGCCCACCCACAGCCCAGTTAGACTTGTGAGGGAATAACCTATGGGGAGACAGATGATGGGTTAAGCCATCCCTGCATATCAGCAGGGAGTGTTGCAGGGCCAAAAGTAGCCAGATGAAGGAGGACATGTTTCTCAAGGACCCCGACTCATCCACCCAGGGAAGTAGAAAGGCCATTTTCTAATTCACTTGAATGCCCTCTTAGAAAAAAAAAAAAAAAGGGATGTAGGTGGCATTCCCTCTCTGCTCGACCTGGTACACTTTTAGGGAGAGAATGGGCTGGAGGTAGGAGGCTTAGGGCTATCTGAGAGATGGTACATTATAATCCAAGGAAGCTGAATCTATCACTAAAGACTGGGTAAAGCTTAGTCCAGTTGATGGTATAAACTGCTCAGTTGTTTGCACCAAGCAGATAGAACTTATGAAGGTGGCCAGATTAAGACAAAATAAATATGTTCCTTGCATTTTCAACTTAGCACTGCATTAAATTTTGCAACCTCAATCAATAGTTAAGATATGAGGCTTTTGCAAATTTGTCTGTGAGCATTTTATAAAGAGAATGGCCAAAACATATTCATTTCTTTCTCAAAGGAATCAGTGACCCTGACTCCTGGAATGCAAGAACTCTGGAATTATGATTCTAGCAGATTTATGAAGGAATCCTAAAAGTATTTTAACTGAGAATGTAATTCTTAGTGTAAGAGTCAGTCATTACCACTGCATTTGTTCCAGCATGTATGTATGTGTAACATATACTATTACAAGAAATGCGGGAGACATACCCCTCAAACATCTTAAATTCAGTTGATGACCTAACATAATATAGGTATAGATGTTAGTGATCTAAAGCAATGAGTAGTTAACCTGCCTGCCATTGGGCTATCACTGTGCTATGATGTTGTAAGTGGTCTCTTGGCAATTGCTTTTCATTCAGGGTAGTATTCTCTGAATCTTCACAGTGACCACATTTGGAGTAGCTGACTCAAGAGAATTCTGTGTGTTTCCTGTACCAGACATGTATAATACTAGGGTGATGTTTAGTTATCAGGGGCTAAAATCCCTTTGATATTTTGCCCAAAGGATCCTTTAAATGAACTCTAGTAATGGTGGGACACCTGCTAATTGACAATTTTACGATGGTTTCCCATCAATAGAATGGAATTAATTTGCACCTAAACCATGTTGGGAGATTGTGTTACCAATTCAATGTCTTGATCTTGACAAACACTGTCATAATAGTCCCTGGGAGACATTTTAAGATGGACCATATTTATATTTGGTTACATGGGTTTATTAAGTAAACATCTCAAAATTGAGGAATAAAATAAACATTTAAAATGAACTGTTTAATATTCATTTAAATGCTTGAAGACATTGACAGCTTTAATTTTTTTTTGCCACCTACTCTGTGCATCGTGCTTTGGGACACAGAGATTAATAAGATGTGGCTCTTCACTGCAAACAGCTCACGCTGATGACATAAAAATGCCTGTATATGTAATACTGATTTAATTTTTTTCATTAAAGACAGGGTCTTGCTTTGTTGTCTAGGCTGGAGTGCAGTAGATCATAGCTCACTGCAACCTCATACTCCAGGGCACAAGTGATCCTCCTGTCTCTACCTCCTGAGTAGCTAGAAGTACAGATGTGCAACAGCATGCCTCACTGATTTTTTTTTTTTTTTAATTTTGTAGAGATGGGGTCTCACTATGTTGCCTAGGTGGGTCTCAGACTTCTGGACTCAAGCAATCCTCCTACCTTAGTCTCCCAAAGTACTGGGATTACAGGCGTGAGCCACCGTGCCCAGCTGTAAAATTGTTTTTATGGATGTAATCATGTGCATTTTCTAGGAGGAATGTTTGTAACACTTTCACTTGCTTTTCAGATAAAGCCAGTGACTACAAAAGCTCAAAACAATTATACTTTCAGTGTACCTAATACAAGCCTGTGCTTTTATTATATTTGAAATATTTGTTGAACAAACAAATGAACAAATAACTGAACAGAAAGAGATGGCAGAATCCTATTCAAATGATTAGAAATTATTTCCTATACATTTTTAGTCTTTGAGAATCTTTATGTGTGAATTGTTTTATTTTTTATAATTTCGACTTTTCTCACAGATTAAAGGATACATGTGCATGTTTACCTGGGTATATTGCATGATGCTGAGGTTTGGGGTACAAATGATCCTATCACCCAGGTAGTGAGCATAGTACCTGATAGGCGATCTTTCAGCACACTGTGCCGCCCCCGCCCCCGCCCTGCCTCTCTCTACCATCTAGTGGCCCCATCTTTGTGTCTGTGTATTCACTGTTTAGCTCCCACTTACAAGTGAGAACATGCAATATTTAGTTTTCTGTTCCTATGTTACTTCACTTAGGATAATGACCTCCAGCTTCATCCATATTGCTACAAAGGACATGATTTTATTCTTCTTTATGGCTGCATAATATTCCATAGTGGATATGTGCCATATTTTCTTTATCTAGTCCACTGTTGTTGGGTACTGAGGTTTATTCCATGTCTTTGCTATTGTGAACAGTGTTGCAACAAACATGTGAGTGCATGTGTCTTTTTTGTGTAATGATTTATTCTTTTGAATATATACTCAGGAATGGGAATGCTTTTGGAATAATAATTATTCAGAAAGTTCTGTGACTTAGCCAGTTTACTCTTGGCTAGCGATGACAAAACAATACCAATATAAATAATTCAGTTACTTAGCATATTGCTGGAGTAACCATAATATATCAATTATGTGTTTAGGGGTCAGAGAAACAGAAATGAAGAAGATGTAGTACTTGCCCTCATGGAGACCATTATCCAATGTGAGCAAAATAATGTGGTAGAAGCTATAGGGGAGGTCTGAGCTAAATATATGGGTTAAAAGGAGAGTCAGATGAGTTTTGTCAAAAGAAGTAATATTTGAATTGAGTTGAAGAACATATGTGGAAAAACCTTTGCTTTAGCCAGGGAGATGTACTTAATTTATTCAATAGATTTACTAAGTTATATAGGATAGAAATGATTGATATAAGACTTAATCTGTTTTATGGCATTTAGGAAAGTAAAGTTGCCTATTGATTACCAGGTGATATGCTAAGTTTTCACAAGAATCATTTGGTCAGCCATTTAAATGATATAATCTCTATTTCTTCAAATGAAGAAACTGAAGCTCAGAATTCCATGGATTGTCTAATATCACACAGTTAATTCATTAAATAGGTAGACTAAAAATAGATTTGGTCAATATATTTAGTTTACAGCCAGGTTCCAGTTAGATTTGATATTACTTTTATTAATCCCTAGCTCTGAATTAGTGACTCTCAATTTTGTTGTACATCAGAATCACCTGGAAAGTGGGTTAAAACACAGACTACTTGGTCCTACCTCCAGAGTTTCTGCTTCAGAAGGACTGGGATGAAGCCCTAGAGTTTGGGTTCACAAGCCACACATTGAACAACTGTTCTAGATTAAAGCTTATTTATCAAGGTGTAGTTGTTTAAAATGCACTCAGGGAATTAATGCAAAATTTACGCTTTTTTTTTTCTTTCTATATGCTAATTATCTTTCTCACTTGCTCCTTACAATTGGGTCTTTTTTTTTTTTCCTTGAGAAGGAGTCTCGCTCTTTCACCCAGGCTGGGTCTTTAAAAAGAGACTGTGAACCCTTTGGGATGGCTACTATCAAACAGAAAAATAACGAGTATTGATACGAATGTGGGGAAATAATAATCTTTGTGCATTGCTGGTAGGAATACAAAATGGTGCATTTGTGGTGGAAAACAGGGCAGTTCATCAAAAAATGAAGCATAGAATAACGTCCAGCACTTCCACAACCAGGCATATACTCCCAAAAATTGAAAGCAGGGATTCAAACAGATATTTGTACACTCTTGTTTATTGCAGCATTATTCACAATAGCCAAAAAGTGGAAACAAATCATATCTATAAAAAGATGAATGGATGAACAAATATTGTCTATACATACAGTGGCATATTGTTTGGCCTTAAATGGGAATGAAATTCCGTTACATGATGCAACGTGTATGAGCCTTGATGACATTATACTAAGTAAAATAAGTCAGACCCAAAAGGAAAATATTGCACGATTCCACTTATATGAGCAACCTGGAATTGTGAAAATCCTTAGAGACAAAGTTGAATCATGGTTACCACAGGCTGGAGGAAGGGGAGAAAGGGGAGTTATTATTTAACAGGTACAGAGATTTTTGGTGGTGGTGTTTTGTTTTTTGTTTTGAGATGGAGTCTTGCTCTGTCACCCAGGCTGGAGTGCCGTGGCGTGATCTCGGCTCACTGCAACCTCTGTCTTCCAGGTTCAAGCGATCCTCCTGCTTCAGCCTCCTGAGTAGCTGGGATTACAGGGGCGCACCACCACGTCCGGCTAATTTTTTGTATTTTTAGTAGAGACAGGGTTTCACAGTGTTAGCCAGGATGGTCTCGATCTCCTGACCTCCTGATCCGCCCGCCTCGGCCTCCCAAAGTGCTGGGATTACAGGTGCCAGCCACCGCGCCTGGCCCTGGTACAGAGTTTTAGTTGAGATGATAAGTTCAGGACATGGACAGTGGTGATGGTTCCATAACATCATGGATATGTTAATGCCACTGAACTGTATGCTTAAAAATATTAAATTTTGTGTTGTATATTTTGATACAATAAAAAAACTGTCAAGAATATTGCACTCCTCTTCCTCTTCCTATTTCTCCCAAGCTTGTTAGAATAGGCTAGAGAGTTGTGTTTGAAACGAACTTGGAATGGGGCAGTATAGTCTCCTACAATGGAAAAATAGATCTCTATTTCAGACATGTCTCATACCAAGACTTGAGCTGTTATGAAAACTGAACTAGAAAAATAATGGACACATTAAACTTGCCCAGAAGTTAACCCTTCACATTCAACCACTGGCCAGGCTTTCAGGAAAACAACACATCTTGATTTGTCTGAATGGAAAGCCATTGTCGGTAACTTTAGCTCATGGAAAACGACTGGAAGTCAGAGGCTGTCTGATTTGGCATCCCTGAAGTCTGTCTCTGACACTTATGTCTAAATTAGACTGCTGCTAATTAAATAAACGTGTAAAGCCAGCATCGTGCCCTGTCTCTCCTCCTCCATAAAGCAGGACATTGCCATTTTGGGTAGTTGGCTGTATCTATCATTTCATAATTTCTAACCTTAGGCGTAGCTGTTTAACTCAATTAAATGTGACCAAAATGAACTTTGCCGAAAAACCTAATAGTAAAATAAATATAAGGAGTAAAACGCTCAGGGGTGATTTTCGCAGCTCAAGTTAGGGCTATTAATTTTGGACAGCATGTGTAGTGTAGTTTTTGACTTCGTTCTTCAAAAGAAGTTTCTTTTGTCTGAATTACACTTTTGCAAAAGGGGAGATGGCTCCCGGACTGAAATATCTCACCTCTATTTTAATAAAAATTTCATCACTTTGAAGTGACCAAGTTACTTCTTCCTTTCAAATTCGATAACTGTAAACTATAAAAGTATAGAAAAGATAGAATACTATAAAAAACTTGAAGCTATATTTAGTTAAAATATGATTTGTTACAAGATTAATACTTGATACAATGATAACTTTACGTGGTGGTTATTCTTTTTCTAGGCCTTCCATTCCTTTTATACTCAATGAAATCTTAAAACCAGAGTGCCTTCTGTCCAGAAACCATCACAGTATTTTCCATAGAACACAATGCTCTGAGGCTTTTTTTTTTTTTCTTAAATGTTTTGTTACAATTTGGGTAAATAGGTTTAAATAAAACTTTAAAAGAAACTGCCGGACATCTAAGAAACTTCCTTTTGCTAATTTGCATTGTGAATTGCCAAGAAGACATTTGCCAAATACAGTCATCCAAAACTTATTCACTATGGAACCTTTTTATTTTCCCAGAAGCATCTCGTGGAAGTGGGAGAAAATAAAATGGGTGTTGAGAAAGTTAGTCCAACTTCTTTCATCAGACAAATGGAGGAAAGAAAGACTTTAGACCTCATGGTTTATTTGGCATTCTGTGATCTTAAAAATAGATTATTTTTCACTTCAGGATAGAAAGGCCATGGAGTTAGGAGTCAAGCCCGGAGTTTGAGTCCACACATTGTTGGTGGCCTGACTGGTACCTACAGACACTGCTGTGACTGATGCTTCATCACGTGATTAGGGCATTGCTTTCTCTCATACCCAACCCACTGGATAGTTTTGAGCAAGAAAGACCATGCTTGTGAAATAGCCTGCAAAATAAATAGGAAATAAATGAAAAATAGGAATAAATTATAAATATAATATTTATATTGTATATTATATAATAAATAGGAATAAAATGATTTATATATAACAAATAGGAATAAATTATAGGAATAATTTCAGAGTGTTAGCATTGAAATTATCAGTACAATTAGACAATAACTTTAATATTTGTTACATGATTATATCAAGATAGAAATTTTAAATTTAGTGTAATTACACAGTATAATTATAGCAATGTTTGAAAAATAACCTTATGCGTAGAACAAATACTGGAAGGCACGATGCCCACATGTTGGCAATATTTTATTTTGGTAAGGATTTGGGGTGAATACTTTTTCTTCTACTTTTCTATTTTATATATCAATTGTAGTACATAGATTTCTTATTCTAATCAGCTCTATTTTCTAGAAATTCCCCCTTCCCCTATAGCGGATATATTGGCTCCAGTAACCCCACTATGGTAGCTGCATTTAGCTTTTTGCTCTAATGTTTTTAGCATTTGGCTTTTGTCCTTCCTGTTGCGAAATATGGCTGCTTCTCCACCAGGCTGCACACCACATTCAAGGTAGGAAGGGTGGAGAATCCACTTTTTGGAAGGGTTGTGTTTCTACTCAGTAACAGAGGGCTCTTCTCCATAAACTTCTATGTACAACTCATTGGCCAAAACTGTCTCATGACCACCTCTGGCTTGAAGGTGGCTTGAAAACTCAAGTACTCAAGGTTGTCAAAGTGTGGTCCGCAGACCAGCAGCAGTAGCATGATCTAAGATCATTTTAGAAATGTAAATTCTCAGGCCCTGCCCCTGACCTTCCATTGGGACCAGTGACTTAATTTTCGAGGCCTGGTGCACAATGAAAATGTATAGGTCTTTCTTCAATCACTATTAAAAATTTCAAGATGACAGCAGAGCATTAAACCAAGCATGGAGCCCTTTGAAGCAGGGGGCCCTGTGTGACCGCACAGATCACACGTACATGAAGCTAGCCCTACCTTCCGTCATGAAAAGAATAAGTGCTCCAGGTGATTCTGTGGCGTATTCACAGGCTTGAGAACCACGAAGGAGTGGATTCGGCAGCCTAGAATAGGTACTCAGTTATCTCCCAGCGCTTCCAGCTCCTTCAGAAATGTACCAGGCTGTTTGTGGAAAGGTTCCGTCACTGGCCAGTCATGTGAGAGGCCGAATATTATATGGTTTTCTTTGCCATTGGTGAAAAGCATCTCTTGACATCAGTCTCTCTCCCTCAATGGGGACAAAAGTCTAGTGGGAATTGATTAGGACCCAGAGGAGTTTCTGTCGGCCAACAGCTGTGGCCAAGGATAAATTCCAGACTAATAAGCTGGGTAGTGTTCTCCCCTGATGAATGGTTGTTTTGAGGAGAAAAAAAAAATTGCAGATGAGCCTTCAATGAAAGTGAAATTAAAGTCATTTATCCCAGATCATGTGGAAATCTCAACTCCCTCCTTAAAGAAGGAAAATATAATAAAGCTCCCTCATAAAGATATAAAATATTTAACATGTGACTTCTGCTTTGTACCAACATCACCTCTTAATGGTTCCATTATTTTGTTACATTTAACTTCAGTGAAAAATTTAGGAGGAAGGAAGGGCAAATGTTTAACCCAAATTGGGATTTCTTTTTTTTTGCCTGAATTCTGTGATTACATCATTGGCACATTTATATTGCAAGACATTTTTACGATATAAGCATTTTTTCATTTGGACAGCAACCATAATAAATTAAAATAAAATTCAGTCTTGATTGATGTTATAAGTGTCATGTACAGGGCAAGTCCCATCTATTAAGTGTGGTTTGCCAGGGCAGCAATAATAGCAGCATTTGAATGTTTTTCTTATTAAGGAGAAAAATGGTCAGTAACATCAGTTTGGTAGACTCCAAGGATTGTGGTAAATGGAAAATGTCTGCAGCGTGTGTAACTCCTTCCCTGGCTTTAGGATGAAGGTGGTCAGAAGTCTGAAGGAATTGTTTTTCCTTTGTAAAAAAAAATTAGGATAAACTATTACAGTTTGTGGAATGAAAGAGAGAGGCTGATTACAACATAATGGAGTGTACCATATTCATCTCTTTGAAATATGACCTCACTTGGCCTTTTCCATTTTACAATCGATTCTCTCATTCCCTTAATGAACCTTTGCATTCATGAGTCTTCCTTGGAAGTATGCACATGAAGTATTGCTGGAGCAAAGAATAATTGTCTGTCAAGTAAGTAAGAACAAAGTGCCTCTCTTGTCGTTTGGTTCAATAACATTAGAAACTGTTAATGCATCATGTTGGGCACAGTATTGTTTTGCTTAATAATTATCTAATTTGCCAAAGCTTGCTTACAAAAAATGTTGTTTGAAAACTGGCACAATAGAGTTGTTTGCCTATTTTTCTAAAGATGGGATGAGACAGCTGATGTAAATGCATTTAGGCACAACTTTACTTCTTAGATGTTGCTAAGCATGTCTAATTTGAGCACAGCAGCACATTCGGTTTGAGCAGTGATACCACGAAAGTGATGTTATAATAAAATTTCAGGGAAAAGTTGGGTGATTATAATAGGAAGGAATATGAGAGAATAAATAATATAACTCTTAGTTTTAAAAATAACAATTCATTTACATAATATGGGATGCATACATACAAGATTCATTGATCCAATATTGGAAGACAATATGGTAGGTTTCCCATAACGCAACCAGGACTTAAAATATGTTAGAGCCTCATCTTTTGTGTTTTTCCCTCCACTAGTGGAAATTTAACTATGCTCTGTTAAATACTCATTAGGTTTATGGCTCTTGGAATAAATTGGATAAAAAGCTTGGAGTAAATTGATGGCCAATGGCATTAAAAAGAAAGAACAGTGTCTAAACATTTTTGCACGTAACAGCTACATAATGATTTCAGAGACTATGTCCTTTCCTGGGAAACTGGGAACTGCAATTGTCAATGAATGATTGGGTATTTAAAGGAACCCAGGAGTATTACGGGTGGACATAAAGCAATTAAGAATTTCTTCAAAGAAAATAGAGGGAAAGAAGGCATTATAAGGCCCCTATCTGAAAGGAGAACAACAGAACAAACCCCAAACCTATATGGATTTCATCTATATATTTATATTTTTTACTTTTTTGAGACAGGACCTCACTATGTAGCCCAGGCTGGCCTGGAATTCCTAGCCTCAAGTGATCCTCCTGCCTCAACCTCTCTACTAGCTGGGACTACAGACAAGTGCCACTGGGCGCAGTTCAGGGATTTTAAAAAATAAAAATGTAACTATATCATTATCAAAGCCTTTGGTAATCAATTCTTAAAAACATATAAAAATACAGAGTATGCTCAGATTTTATGAGAGTGAATAAAGTTTCAAATACCAGTCTAGCATGTCCATTAGCTCTCCTTTCTCCATGTAAGTTATCCTTCTTGTGATGCCCAGCTCACCTTAGTTCAGAGAGCCTTTGCTGACTAGGGGGATTCCTCTGAGCTGTCGCTTCTTAGAATAGCAGTTTTAAGATGTACAGCCATTAGGCCGTTATGTAGGGCCAACATCTTATTGAGCATTTACTATACCAGGTGCTAAGCATTTATATATATAACGTTAATAATAATAAGTTGGTGCAAAATCAACTGCAGTTTTTGCCATTGAAAGTAATGACCAAGACTGCAATTACTTTTGCACCAACCTAATATAGCAATATATATAAAATATAAATATATATAACATACATATATAACATATATGAAAACATACATAAGGAAAGAACAGCAAAGAAAGACTTACATATATTTTATCTAACTTCATAATCATTGTACTAGATTGATGTTCTTATTATCTCTGTTTTAAAGATTCAGGAAGGTTAAGTGGCTTGTCCACATTCCTACGTCTGAGAAGCAGCAGATCTAGAATTTGACCACAGACTTACGTGTCCCTAGAGATCTACTGCTTCCAAAATATATTTTTATATTTCCGCTAGGTTAAGTACATATGTGGCATGCCTCCCTACTAACTTGTGAATGCTTCATGAGAGCAGGTCAACCAATGAGGTAGAATTTAAATTTCCAGGGAATCACCGTCAGAGTGATTTCACATCCATCCTCAGTTGACACCAGGTTTTTTTTTCCCACTTTTTGTCCACCCTACAGAAGAAAGGAAGAGTTTTCACCCTCCCAAATCTTGGCTTATTGGCAGTGCTTTAAGGTTTAGACATGTTCTGTTGGGGACAACGTGAGGATGATAAAAACGGGTAATTTGGTCTGGGTTGGGAATTTTATGAATTTATATGTATTGTACAGTGAACCGAGGATGATGAGACTGCTCACTGACCTCCCCCTTTTATCTCCTGACATGTCAAAGAATGCTCTGGTCTCTGTCTCTCTTTCTGTTTCTCAAATGAAGATTAATATGGTCATTATAAAAATGCTCACTGACATGTTTTGAAATGGAAAAAAAATGTTTCATTTTACCTTTCTTGGTAAAAATGAGTCTAATTTGGCTGGTTTGACAATGAGGGCTGGCTTTGCCAATCTGGTTATATGGTGGATATTTTACATTAATTATATATTACTAAAACTTCAGTTTAAGGGTTTTAGCAAAAATATAAAGTACATAGTAAGATGAAAGTATTTGATTATCTTTATATTCGTAAGGGTGTTTCTAAACTAATTTTTTCAAACCTTTCAAAATATATTGAGAGAAACAAGACGCCTCTAAGCTGAAGAGTAACAAGAATAACTGTTATTGGAAAAATCTTGGAAAAACTGTTTTGACATGCTTTCAAATTTTATAGAATTTATGAAAAATCTCCAAGTAGTAAATACATTTCTAATACTTATTTTAATAAAATAATTTTAATACTTAATTTCTGACATAGATAACTGTAATGATAACTTGAAGTGATTTTTTATCTCTTACAATAGGACAGCATTTTGGCCAAAGAAAATAAAATGATGCATTGGTACAGAAATAGGAAATAATAATCATAAAAATATGACATTAAGACAAACTTCTATGTGAAGTAGAGGAAGGGAAACACTAGTATAAGAAAAAGTAATAATGTAAAATATCTGTTAGATGAGTTGTCCATTTATTTGAAACTGATAAATATTAAGTTTCCCCGGTGTTTAGAAGCTATTAAACACATTTTAAAAGTTCTTTCTTTATATATTTGTAATCACAATATATTTGTACTTGTCAATATAATCATAAATATATTTAATATTTTCAACCATTTCAATGTATGATTAAAAATCTTCAGATGTCAGCTTAATATGAAAGGGGGTGCATGGTCCATCAAATGTGGTTTAGGAATTACGCAAACAACACATTCAGACTTTTATCTCATACTGCTCTGATCTTGTCCAATACCCAGCATGGTGTCTTTAGGGCTTTAAGATCTTGATGTTCAAGTGGAAAGAATCATATCTGATAAATACTGACATCAGGGCCAGTAAAGGAAGCATATTCTGAGAAACATTAATACTTTGTTTCCAGTAACATGAGAAGACTGAAATATGTTCTCTATACATTTTTAAAAGAATCTTAAGGATTAATAACAAAAACTTCATTGCTATAACATAGAATTTTAATGTGATAAGTTATATGGTATAGTGATCTAGATACCTAAGTCACAAGTACTAAAAGTAAAAACCATATTTCTGAAGGAATGTTACCACCAGGTCATATATGAAATCTGATTATAAAGATGGCCTTGGTTTCTACCTGTGTCTTGTGGAATGAGTCTTTTCCCAAAAGGTGAAGGAAATGATGATTTTAGAAACAACAAATGTTAATTTTAGAAACAACAAGAACAAAATTGTCATATTCTTCATTCTGGCTCTCACTCACCAACCAGGGTCTACAGTTGAGCGAGTTCTTTAACTTCCAACTGTCTTATCTTTAAAATGATAATATTGGCTTAATAGGACCATTTTGAGTATTACATGTTGTAATGTGTGTGTTAGTCTGAGTCCTCTGAGAAACAGACACCACGATGGGATTAAATGTGCAAGGATATTATTAGGAAATGCCATGAAAACAACCCCATCAAAAAGTAGCCAAAGGATATGAACAGACACTTTTCAAAAGAAGACATTTATGCAGCCAACAAACATATGAAAAAAAGCTCATCATCACTGGTCATTAGAGAAATGCAAATCAAAACCACAATGAGATACCATCTGACACCAGTTAGAATGGCGATCATTAAAAAGTCAGGAAACAATGGATGCTGGAGAGGATGTGGAGAAATAGGAAAGCTTTTACACTGTTGGTGGAAGTGTAAATTAGTTCAACCATTGTGGAAGACAGTGTGATGATTCCTCAAGGATATAGAACTAGAAATATCATTTGACCCAGGCATCCCATTCCTGGGTATATACCCAAAGGATTAGAAATCATTCTACTATGAAGACACATGCACACGTATGTTTACTGCAGCACTGTTCACAATAGCAAAAACTTGGAACCAACCCAAATGCCCATCAATGATAGGCTGGATAAAGGAAGTGTGGCACATATACACCATGGAATACTATGCAGCCATAAAAAATGATGAGTTCATGTCCTTTGCAGGGACATGGATGAAGCTGGAAACCATCATTCTCAGCAAACTAACACAGGAACAAAAAACCAAACACTGCGTGTTCTCAGTCGTTAAGTGGGAGTTGAACAATGAAAACACATGGGCACAGGGAGGGGAACATCACACAAGGGGAGGGATAGTATTAGGAAAAACACGTCATGTAGATGACGGGTTGATGGGTGCAGAAAACCACCATGGCACATGTATACCTATGTAACAAACCTGCACGTTCTGCACATGTATCCCAGAACTTAAAGTATAATAAAAATAAAATAACCAAAGCCTTTACCACAGGGCTATAGAAGGTGAATCTGTGACTCATTTATTTCATAGATGGTAGAGTGAATAGCCATCTCTTCCTTACCCTGGGCCCTGGGGGTTTGTGATATGGTAGTTTCAAATGTGATGACAGTAATAAAAATGAGTTATCTAAACAAATCCAATTCTATGTCTTCTTGTTTGACTCATTGTCTTAAGGCCAAATGCACCTTTTCAGCACAAGACAAAAATACCTCTGCTTACTTGACACATCTGACCACATCTCTTCTCACACTGCTCATCCTTCTGTTCCACTAACACTGGTGATGGTACTCATTATTGATGGGCTGACTCATTCCTCTCTACGGATGTCCACATGACACAGTTCTGGCCAGTGAGACACTGGGGGAGATTACTAGGTAGAGTTTTTGGACAAGCTTTCCTTTCCTGATTTAAAAAAGGAAAAGGATAGTTTGAGATTGTAAGCATTTTGTTTATTGCCTTTCTTTCCTTCTTCCCACCTGCTTAAAGAAGCCTGGAGGTGCAGTAGTCATCTTGAGTGAGACAAAATAATGAGGAAGGGTAATTATAGATATAACTGGGGCCTGGGCCTTTAAAAGCATCACTGAGCAGTTGCACTGGCTAAGGATGTTTGTCAGACATCCTATATTAATTTGATTAATACCTACTTACATATTATCCAGTCAGATTTTCTGTTACTTGCCACCATATGCAATCTTGACTATTTTACCATGATTATATTTCATCCATCGAAGTAATTAAGACTTGAGGTTTTGTTAATTTCCTTGTTAAAACTAGACAAGACAGTGAACTCTTTGATATTGACTTTTTCTAGTCTGTTATGCACAAGGCATAGGTAAGATAAGACCTGGGGTACCACAGTGGGGTCTTAGTTCCTCTCAGAAAATACAGTACTAACAAAAAATTAGAACAAAGGAATCAAAGTCGAGACAGCCAATAAGCATGAGGACCTAGGCTAGGCAGGGTGGGTTTCACAAATGAGGAGGGGATGTCGTGGCCACATTTTGGTTTTAGAAAGCTTGCTGTAGCTAGTAGCTGGGTAGAAGTAGTCTATTTGGGAGAGTATATGAGGTTTCAGGGAGAGTTTCTGGAGCTTAGGGCTGGAATGATGGCTGGGTTTAGAGAAGAATGGATGGATCTTAGTGTTTGGATTGACTTGGATATAGCAGATGCAGGCAGAATGAAAATTCAGAATGCTTCAGATTTTTGGCTTAGGCAAAATTTGACAAATGACAGAGTCAAGGAGCACCATTTAAAGACCAGGATAGTTGAGATTGTTGTAACAAAAGTACTTGAGTGTGAATTGGAATACTGCCCTTTATTAGATTTATCATTTTGGGAAGGCTAACTTCTCTAATCTTCAAGATTCCTATCTTTAAAGCTACGCTGGCTGGGAGTGGTGACTCATGCCTGTAATCCCAGCACTTTGGGAGGTTGAGGCGGGCAGATCACCTGAGGTCAGGAGCTCGAGACCAGCCTGGCTAACATGGTGAAACCCTGTCTTTTCTAAAAATACAAAAAAATTAGCTGGGCATGGTGGCGGGTGCCTGCAATCCCACCTACTTGGGAAGCTGAGGAAGGGAAATCGCTTGAACCTGGGAGGCAGAGGTTGCAGTGAGCTGAGATTGTGCCACTGCGCTCCAGCCTGGACAACAGAATGAGATTCCGTCTCAAAAAAAAAAAAAAAAAAAAAGCAAAAAAACCCCCCACTAATCATATGAGTCAAATCACAAGAAACCTGGAGGATATAATATTCAGTATTGTTGTTGGATCAAGTTAAAAGAAGGAAGAGAATGATGGTGAATTTCACAAGCCAGGAGACAGTCAAATGTAGATATCCAGTAGGAATATCTGGGGCTGAGTTGGGGATATAGACTTGGACTTACTTGTCCATTCAATCAGCCAATATTTATGGAGCACCCCCCATGTGATAGGTATTATTCTAGGCACTAGAATACTTACGGTAGTTGAAGCCAGGAGAAAAGGGCCATGGGCAAACCCCTGAGGAACCAGATTATTTCAGGGCTGGAGTGGTAGTTATCAAACTTTAGCATCAGAATCACTTAGAGAATTTGTTTATAAACAAATTTCCTGGGCCTTACTCCAGTGATCTGATGTAATAGGTCTAAAGTGAGAGCTGAAATCCTGCATTTTTGACAATTCCCTAAGTAATGCTGATGCCACTGGCCTAGGGCCACACTTAGTATCGCTGGATTAGAAAAGAGTTAGTTACAAGATGACTGAGAGGGAAGAGCTAAAGGGATATAGGGAGAAGCCAAGCAAATGAAAGTTTTAAAAAGGAATTATTAGGTGTATTATTATTAAATGTGGTTAAATGCTGAGAGGTCAGACTAACTCCAAAGCATCCCGTGGATTTAGTTAAAAGGGCAAGAGAAGCTGAGTGGAAGTATGGTTAGTATGACTGTTGGAATGTGAGGAGTAAGGATATGGGATGGCATGTGTAGTCAGCTTACTTAAGAAATTTGCTTCTCTTCTGAATGAACAATCTTTGAACACTTTTACCCAAAGTGCTTTGGTAGGTACATAAATCTTACTTGAAAAAAAAGATTTAATAAGTAAATATCTAGTAAACCCTAACTAAAGCTAAACAGATTTGTTTTTAGCAGCATTTCTCCATACCTTTAAATATAGAAATGAACTTAATATATTACCAATATAGGGATCTAGTAAGCAATATTAACCACAACTATTTGACAAGGAAATACTCGTCTTCACGGGTCTCTTAGGGACAAGTGGTCCAAGGAGCATCCTTTGGAAATGTTCCCCCTGCAATTCTAAATCTTACTGGTTAATGAAGGTCACCGGAGTGAGGGGGTTTTGTTATCTTTATCAACATCCCAGAGACGCTCAGGATTTGAGAGGTATTCCTTTCCTGTTCCTAGGACTATGTATGTATAAGTGCTGTACCAAGCATTATATCTGTATAGTAGTACAGCATGTTCCAAGCCTCTGAATGATGGCCAGTGGAGAAAAAGCACTGATTCTTGTTCAGATATTTGGTCTCCTAGAGGTATACTTGGATTTTTATTGTTAGAGTGATTGATTTAAGGCGTTCGCTTTCTTAAGTTTCTTTAAAAATTTGCCTGAAGATAACCTCTGTGTAAAATGCAGTAGGTATTTATTTTTTGCAAATGCCTATTTTTTAAAAAATATGTACCAGTAGAATCTACACTAGAAGAAGAGATTACAGTCACCATATGCTATGTACATTGAAAGTCAATACACCTACAGCTTCCATCAAGGAAAATCAATGAAGCAAGAACCTTAACAATTTGGATCTTCTCCTTGATAAGACTAATACTTGCATGCAGCTTAGTTCAACATAATGAACAAAATTTAGCTGATTTTGTTTGGAAATGCTTTCTTGAAGAGCAGAAATGAGGTCAACTTGAGGATAGAAAGTAAATGACTAGATAAACATAAAGGCTTTCTAGCTCTAAAATTTGTAATTCTTGAGGTAACCACAACTGTTTTTTTTTTTTTTTTTTTTTTTTTACTAACCTACAGTTAATTCACATCATACAGAAGGTCTAGGGAGATATTAATGAAAAAAAGGAAATGTTGAGACCTTAATAGACCTGTTACCTTTGTAATTCTATAAACCATTGACATGAACATACCTAGTAGACTCACTGCTATTTGAGTAAAATTTAAATTTTTTCCCCAGTTTCCATGCCTTGACCCACATTCTCTGCTTTCCCACATCCTTCAGCTATCCATATTCAACTCCCCGTAATGGCTAACGGAATCCTATTTTTTCCATGATATGTCAATTTGCTGAAGACTTCAGTAGAAAAGAATGCTATTAATAACATTGATCTCTCCCGTTATATAACACATTAGAAATGTTAGAGCTTTTTCCAAAAGGCATCATTTTTACTTTTCATGACCCTAGGAGACAGGTTATTATAATGGCCTTTTGGTGGAGTAGGAAACCAAATCTCTGAGGTTAAAAGCAAGTAAGTTGTAGATGAGGGCCCAAGTCAGGATTTATGCTGCAAATGTTATACTCTGTTCTCTATTACTTGCCTGTCTTTGTTCTCACTGAACCACTAGGGCACTTATCCATTCATTCATTCAACAAATATTCATTGAGCACCTACTATATTCTTCTATAACACATTTCTATAACATGAATTAGCACACACATGATTGGTAAATAGAGCAATATCAATAAAATATGGGGATCATCTTGGTGCTCTCCAGCACATTAATTTTTGACGTATTAAAGTTCACTGACGCGGGTGAATGCAGTGAGCTATGAAAGAACAGAGTGTGCACACGAGGCCTGTCTCCTACGTTCCTCCTCGTGACTCAGTATCACTAGGTGTTCCATCTTGGAAGTACTTATTATTCTAGTTTTCTTCATCTTTTTTTTTTTTTTTGGATTTTTACCTCATCTCCAAGATTCAGCTTTGACTTAAACCTTCCATTAAGCTATCTCTACCTTTCTTTGCATTTGTTAGTCCTTCTATATGTCAGTTTTATTTACTAGGGATTCATCCTGTCTTTTAACCGTGATGGATTTTTAAGATGATTCTTGTTGTGCTCTGCTTACAAAGTATGTAACCTGAGTGGTCTACCCTGACCTATTTTTGTTCTGTCACCTCTTATTTTTGATGTCTGATTGTGTAGGGCATAGAATTTTAATGTTTGTATGCATGTTAGCATAAATGTCTATATTTGCCAAGTAACATGTCTCTGTGTGTGTGTTTGTATTTATTCTCCACAGTAAAGTGTCGAATTTCTATATATTTTTTCCCAAAACATTTATGCCGCAAAATTGAAAAAGTCTGCTTTTAATTGTTCTAGCCAGAGATTATTGAAAAGCTCCTACATACTAGGTATGTTACCATTTTATTTAATTCTCATAGCAACCACATAAATCTGAATCTTTCTATCCCCATTTTTGGCAAAGGATTTGAACCTCAGGCAGTCTGACTCTTCCTTTTTTTACTCCACCATGTTTCTATTTTTTGCAAGCTAAATATAATTTCACATTGAAAAATTGTTCTTCCTAAGCCTAGAAACTTAGGGAAATTGGGGGTGCTGGCAAAAAAACGTTGAATTGCATTTGCCTTTCCACCATCCCTTCAAAGACTTTCAAGTAAATTTTCTAGTTTTCCCAGTTAGGTTCAGTCCCGCTAATACTAATGTCTAGCTCTTCTTACCCAAAACCCACTAATAATGAAATTTATCATCTCATTTAAGGTAAATAAACACAAAATAATTGGATGACATGTTTTGATAAATATAGAGTAAATATATGAGCTTTGTAATTTTTTAGGACCTGTGAATAATCTGTGTTTACAAAGGAGAGCTGTTTTAGTTAAAATAATCCTATTTGCTCTAACAGATACTCCCCAATCCAATATCCCAGAGGCTCAATATGATAAAAGTTTGTCACTCTTAACAGTCTAACTTGGGTGCTCCTGGTCTGGTAGTTTTTTCTCAATATTGAATTTGGAGACTCCATTTCCTTCCATTTTCAACCCTATATTTTTCAATGCTTGTGTCTGACGCTACCCTGGGGAGTCTTCATTATAGTCAACCCGATGCAGAAAAGACCATGGAGAATTATGAGGGAGGATTTTATGTGGAAACCCCAAAATGACATATATTGCTGCTGCTGCATTACACTGGCTACAACTCAGTTTTGTGGCTACTCCTGACCACAAGGGAGGCTAGTAGTCTAGCTGTGTGCCCAAAAGGAAAAGGAACTAGATTTTATGCACAGCTAGCCAATTTCTACCACAGGGCCAACATAAGTTCTTTAACAGCTCAAGTTTTATGCCTGTAACTATTGCTTCCAGCAGAATAAATTTCTCTTCGGCAAGCTGTGATAAATGTTATGACTTCATATTTTATTTTATGACACCTCTGCTTCATTCTCCCTAAATTGCCTTATTGCGTTTCATTATGGGCACTAATGATGAATTAAGTTGGACTGCTTAATAATTAAAAGTATTTCTAGGATGAAACCATCTTCTCTCTCGGAAGAAAGTACTTGGCTTTGTTCACAGCTGTAGTACTCAGTAAAAGAGAATTAGAATTCTTAAGAAATGAACACACAGACCTCCCAACAAGTGACATTGACAGGATTGTTCTGTTCGATTGTAAAAGAAAGGAATTTATATAAAATCAAAAAAAGCTTTTTACCAAGCTATAAAAATGAATGGTACAAACTTTTAATAACTTTAAGGATGCTAAACCTGGAATGAGCTGACATCTGAAAGAAAACTCTAGAAACAATTTCTGTTGCATATGTACAGAAATATGGAGGAGGAATGGTCCCATGGTTTGGGACCAAGCATAAATGTTACCTAATGTCAAACAGTTACCCAGTTTTTATTTTTATTTTTTGTTTGCTTTTGCTATTAAGTGGTAGTGTCTTAACACTGAAAAATTTGAATAAACTTGGATTGTATGGTTTCTCCACGGATGGTATCAGAGGAATGTATGAATGTGCCAAATCCTGGCTGGGCACAGTGGCTCATACCTGTAATCCTAGCACTTTGGGAGGCCAAGATGGGAGGATCACTTGAGGCCAGGAGTTCAAGATCAGCCTGGGAAACATAGCAAGATCTTGTCTCTTAAAAAAGTACCATATTGTGGATTAAAATGTGTATTTGTGGGAGTGTGTTTTTTCTAGGAAGAATTTTCTATAGACTTCACTAGATTTTCAAAGCATCTTGTGATATTCTCTCAGAAAGGCTAGGACTGTGCCCATGTAAAAAGAATGAATCTTAATGTTGGTGACAACACAGTACATAGGATTGCTTTAAAGAAGTTCAAGTCTCCAGACGTGCAATGATAAAAAAACATGAGCATGGGACCTCAGAACCATTTTTAGCGACATTTACTTATGCACATGGTCGCTAAACAAATATTGCTTGAGTGCCTTTTCCATGTCTCCTGCTGTGCTTAAATATTCCTGCAGATAGCAGGAGAGTTGCTAGAAATTTGAGAATGAGGGCTATGACGAGGCAGGGGGGAAATGTGGCTCCATGATAGTGTCCACGAGCTTTTGTTGGCATCAGGCATACAAGGTACGAATCCTACTTCTTCCATGTTTTATCTATCTGATCTCGGGTAAGTTAGGGAACATTTCTGTACCTCCATTTGTTCTACAAAAGGATTCATGTACCCGTTTCTTCGTATTGTTATGAAGAATATGTTAAATAATACATGTAATATACTTAATACAATGTCTGGTACACAGTAAAATCTCAATAAGTGGTCATTATTATTCGGTGTCCTCAAATATGTGAGTATCTTCCAGATATAAGATGAATTGGGTTTAGTACGGGTGGCCCTGTAGGGAGAATAGAAACCAATGGGTCTGAGTTTTAGGAAGATGCAGTTCAGCTTAACATAGCCAATCTTTTAATAATCCTAGAAACAGATAAAAATGGAACCAGGGCACAGGGCAATGAACTCCCATCGCTGGGAGGATTTAAATAGAAGAAGCCACTATTTCTCAGGGAAGAGAAAAATCTTTCTACATGATTAAACTAAGTTGCATTTGACATTTCAACTAAAGTTAGCATTCTATGAATGTTCTTAATAATTATCATATAGAAAAGGAGGTTAGAAAGAACCTGAATCTCAGTTTTTCTATCCTTGTGTATAAGAGAAATGTTTTTCAAAGTGTAACTTAAGTTTCTCAAATCCAGGAAGAGATTGAAAGACAGGAAAATTATCCCATACAGGTATGTTGTCTCTTAAGAAAATGTGACCCATGGTATCTAAAGTGGCAATACGCACACAAGGTACTGATTCTTTTTTTTTTTTTTTTTTTTTTGGAGACAGAGTCTCGCTCTGTCGCTCAGGCTGGAGTGCAGTGGCGCCTTCTCGGCTCACTGCAAGCTCCGCCTCCCAGGTTCATGCCATTCTCCTGCCTCAGCCTCCTGAGCAGCTAGGACTACAGGCACCCGCCACCACGCCCGGCTAATTTTGTTTTTGTATTTTTAGTAGAGACGGGGTTTCACTGTGTTAGCCACGATGGTCTCGATCTCCTGACCTCCTGATCTGCCCACCTTGGCCTCCCAAAGTGCTGGGATTACAGGTGTGAGCCACCGCGCCCAGCCGGTACTGTTCTTTTCTTAACAGAGGGTTTTCCCACTGAGATTTCCTTCAATTTACAGACAATTGTAGAGACAACTTACAAATGTATGAAGTGACATAGTCTTCTTTCTCTCTCTCTCTCTTTTTTTTTTTTTTTTTTTGGTCAGAGATCGTCTATAGTACTAATTCAGAAGTATAGCTCATACATTTCTCTCAATTCAAGGGCAGAGTGAAAAATACAATTTCAGAGTAAATTTGTGTGTTAACTTATTTCTGTAACAGTAGAGTTGAAATAACTATCAGGAAATATTGTTACAAAAATGGGTTCCTACTTGTATCTATCTCAATTAGTGGACAATCAAATGCCAGGAATTTCTTTCATCAAAATAAAGTTACATCTTAATGTGAAATGATAACACTCATCTGAGTCTGTTCAATAGCCAACAAAAAATTAAGCTGGTAAGGATAATTAATCTTTACAGTCCCATATTTTGAACGTTTTTGGGGAAAAAGTTATCAAGATTAAGGATCAGGTCAATAATTATGAATTTGTAAATCTAAAAGCAACATAAAAGTGGATATCCAGTCTAAAATAGTACTCCAGCACTTAGTGACATTCGGGGTTTACTCACTATGTATTAGAAACAGACTAATTTTTCTTAGAATTTAAGCTCTAGTCTATCTAAAATCAGCTTGTCTGGCTTTTTCTCTATGCGATGGAAATACACACAAGTCAGCCAGATGCAAAAGGTAGCCACAGGGAAATGGGTATGGCCAAGATGGTGCCAATCACACATGAAATCATGTTGTCTGTGATGCTACTTAAGCAGCATTAGAAAGAGAAAGGATCACAGATGGAAAATCTCAAATCATGTACCATTCCACCTTCTATATGCTCCAACATGTTATAGCTCAGGGATCTGAGACACAAAATGTTTAAATTTGTCCAGCACCCCTAGTGGTACAGCAACACATGCTCAAATCTCTTGATGAGTAACATTTTCCATGTCGTACCTGTGGCATCTCAGTGACAAATGGATTCTAGGGCCCTGGAATATTGCCACTCACTGAAGTTTCAAAGCTTTTAAAGGTGGGGATTGCTGCAGGAATATTGGGGGCAGGGTAAGACAGGTATGCCCTCTCAGATAGGCCTTATCCTGCTTGCTCATGGGAAGAGGTAATTCAACCTTCCGGATTTGATAGATGGAACATCTTCTGCCAATTATGTGTAAAGTACAGCCGATCTTCAGTATCCATAAAGGACTGGTTCTGGTTCCCCTCTCAGGTACCAAAATCCATGATACTCGTGTCCCTGATAGAAAATGCTGTAGTATTTGCATATAACCTGCACACATCGTCCTGTATACTTTAAATCATCTCCAGATTACCTAATACTATGTAAATGCTATATAATAGTTGTTACACTGTATTGTTTATGGAATGACAAAGTCTGTGTGTGTTCAGTACAGGTACAACCATTCATATTTTTCAAATATTTTCAATCTGAAACTGGTTGAATCCAAGGATGTGGAACTCGAGATACAGAGGGTCCACCGTACAATGCCCGAAATGATGTGGTAATCTCAGTACTAACAGATGGTATTGTCCTGTCTTAACCACCTGTGCACTATAAATGTACCTCACTGTGACCTGTTTGGATTTGTTGTTGAGCTTCCTAAAGTGAATATAATACCTTGACTTTGCAGGATGGACCCAGCTTCCATACATAGCATTATAGAGATTGATATTGTTTGTCTTTGAAAGCTGATTTGAAACATAGAAGTAGTCATTCCAAACTGTGCACTTAGTGGTTAGTGGGGAGAGGACCACTCTTTATAAGAGGTGTTTCTGAAGAACTAGTCCTGTTGGTTTTAGACAAGAGATACAAAAGTTGAAGAAAACAAAAACAAACTTTTTTTTGAAAGAGAGGCTTTCTTTTAAAATGCTATAGACCCATGCTGTCCAACAGAAATGTGATATAAGTCAAACATGTAACATAGTTTTCTAGTAGTCACAGACATAAAAGTACAGACCTAGGTAAAACTAATTTTAATTTAACTTCATATATTTGAAATATTTTAACACAAATCATATTAAAATTTAACTGGCATGTGTCAATTTTTGTATTACATCTTTAAAATTAGTGTGCATTTTACACTTACAGTATATCTCAATTCTGAGGAGCTATATTTCCACTGCTCAATAGCCACATGTGGCTAATGGCTATCATACTGGACAGGGACAGCTCCAGACCAAAGACTGCTCATAAATTGCTAGGAAATCATGCCTGATCCATTGGAGAAATTTTGAACTAGAGATATATGCCCAAATGTTGTTTCATGAAGGTTTTTAAGCCTCTCAGAAAGGGAAATAACATTTTCAGACTTCATGTATGTGTTTGCCATACAGCGTTGTGGGTGTTGTATGTGACTTGGATCTGGTTCAACTGATATGTGACATGAGGTGACTTTTAGCCATGGTGAGCTCACCAAATAGCTTTCTTCTGGGAATGCTAATATGTTGATCCTGGGTCTATACAAATGTAGGTGACCATTAAGCTGTGAATGATGGGTCTGGAGTGATCTCACCCCAGTAGAAGGAATGGGATTTCTGAAGCCAAGAAACAAAGCTGGAAGGGGAAACCTTAGTGCATCAAGGGAGAGGCTGCAGAAAAGCAAGTTCACAGGAGTCAGGGAGAGAGAGGCACCTACATTCAAGGCCTGAGTGGAGTGAGACAGCACTTCAGAAGTAGAAAGCAATCAAAAGCCTTACGGAAATTGACTGACTCAAGTGGTGGACAAGGAGAATTAATAAAAACTAGGCCTGTCAATAGTAGTTTACTTCTGTGTAATGAGAGCACAAGCAGAGATGTCTGTGTTTATGTCTGAGCTGGAAAAAAGACTCACAGAAAGCAGTAGGACACAGTGAAAGCTAGAGCCCTCTTTATGATTTTGAGGGAAATATATATCATTTCCCTCCATTCTAGTCATAGGTACAAAAAGAGAAAGAAAGTTGAAAAGAATCTTAAGGATAATCAACCTTCCCTACTACACCTGATTTTCTTAAGGCCCCACAGAAGGGCATCAGGAGAGTAAGATTAACATAATCCCATGTCTCCTGACCAATGAGGCTTTATTCCATGGCTGTTCCTGCAGCATTTTAGTATTCCTAGATGCTTCTAAGGAGAAGGTCCTGGTCTCCTCTGTTAGCAGAATGAAAGCCCGCATTGGTTATTACCTACTCCCTCTAGGTATATTGAAGAACTCTTCTTTTACCCTCTCTGATACCTGTGATGTCTGATGTGCTTAATGAGTAAAACACACTTGCAGAGAGTGATGTTTCCCAGAAAGCATATTGATGATATGGAGAAACTGGAAATCTTCTGTGTTGCTCATGTGAGTATAAAAGGGTATAACCATTTTGGTAAAAAGTATTGCAGTTTCTTATAAAATTAAATATACATCTATTCTATGGCATTGCAGTCTCATTTCTATGTGTTTGCTGTTCAAAAAAAAAAAAAAAAAAACCTTGTACAAGAAGGTACATGTTTTAACACCCCAAAATGGGAAACAGGCCAGGTGTCCATCAAAAGGATAATGCATAAACAAACTGCAGCCTACCTGTATAATGAAACTTAGGAAAAACATGGATGAATCTCAGTAATATTTTGCTGAGTGGAAGAAACATAACACAAACTGTACACATTCAATTATTCCATTTGTATGAAGTTTTTGTGAATTTGCACAGATATAACTAATTTATGAAGAATAGTGAATACTGCAAATGTTAAAAATTGTCATGGGTGTTCACTGTAAAACTTTTCAACTTTTGTTTTTTAAAAAAATTTTATAATGAAGTCTTGGGGTATGAATTATTTGTGAAATTGGTACCTTAGTGGGAACAAATTACTTTAGAATCTTACCCTTGCCATATGCAAACAAACCTAAATGTAAGAGCTAAAATCAAAAAAGTTTTAGAAAAAAACTTCATGACCTTAGGTTAAGAGGTTTTAGATATGACATGAAAAGCATGATTCATAGAGGAAAAAAACTGATACATTGACTAAACTTAAAAAATGTATGTTTCAAAATACATTAAGTAAAAAAGACAGATCACAGGCTGTAAGAAAATATTTGCAAATAGCATATTTGATGAACTCATATCCAGAATAAACAAAGCACAACTCAGTGATGGACAACTTAATTAGGTATGGACAAAAGATTTGATTGAATAGTCACTTCATCAAAGAATGTAAGCACATAAAAATATGCTCAATGTCATTAGTCTTGAGACACAGGCTTGCTCTGTCACCCAGACTAGAGTACAGTGGTGCGATCTCTGCTCACTGCAACCTCTGCCTCCTGGGTTCAAGCGATTCTCCTGCCTCAGCCTCCCAAGTAGCTGGGACTACAGGCGTGTGCCATGCCTGCTAATTTCTCTATTTTTACTAGAGACGGGGTTTTACCATGTTGGCCAGGCTGGTCTCAAAATCCTGACCTCAGGTGATCTGCCTCCTTCGGCGTCCTAAAGTGCTGGGCTTACAGGCGTGAGCCACAGTGCCCAGCCCATGTCGTTAGTCTCTAGGGAAAACCACAGTCTACTTCACACCCACTAGAATGATTATAAGTAAAGAGACAAAGTAAGTACTGGTGAAGATGTAGGTAATCTGGAACCCTCATACATTGCTGATGGAAATGCAAAGTGGTACAGCTACTTTAGGAAACAATTTGTCGGTTTTCTGAAATGTTAAATATAACATCATGCAACCCAGCAAGTCCACACCTAGCATGCTATGCAAACGAAAGGAAAACATACATCCACACAAAGGCCTCAATGTGAATGTTCAGAATAACATTGTTCTTAGTAGTTAAAAAATGCAAACAATCCAAATGTTCATCAACTGGTGAATGACTAAACAAAAACGGTACCTCCGTACAATGGCATATTATTCAGCAATGCAAATGAACGAATTACTAATACATGCTGGTTGAACTGCAACCTGACTTGGTTGAACTTCAAAAACATTTTCTAACTGAAGGAGACCAGATGTCAAAAGACCTTATATTGTAATCTTTATTTGTATGAAATACCTAGAAAATGCAGATCTATAGAGGCAAAGTAGATATGAGTTGCCTGGGAGAGAACAGGAATTAACTGCAAAAGAGAAAGTGGGGTCTTTTTGGGGTGACGGAGATATTTTAAAACTTGAGTGTGATGATGGTTGCATAATTTTGTAAATTTACCAAAAACCATTAAATTATACACTTATAACAGGTGAATGTTATGGTATGTTAATAACATCTCAAAGCTGTTACAAATATTGTACAAAATTTAGACTAGGGCTGGGCACAGTGGCTCGCACCTGTAATCCCAGCACTTTGGGAGGCCGAGGTGGGCAGATTGCCTGAAGTCAGGAGTTCAAGACCATCCTGGCCAACAGGCCAACATGGTGAAACCCTGTCTCTACTAAAACTATAAAAATTAGCTGGTCGTGGTGGCGGGTGCCTGTAATCCCAGCTACCCAGGAGGCTGAGGCAGGAGAATTGCTTGAACCCAGGATGCAGAGGTTGCAGTGAGCCAGATCATGCCATTGCACTCCAGCCTGGGTGACAGAGCGAGAGTCTCAAAAAATAAATAAAATTAAATTAAATAAATAAAAAACTTAGACTGATAGAAGTCAAAATTGTAGAGTTTTGTGGGTAAGAGAACTGAATTTGGTACAGTATGATTTCCTTCATCCTTACTGTGTGACTTCTGGAAATTACTTAGCCTCTCAGTGATTTATTTTACTCCTCTATAAAATAGCAATAAGAGTATGTCCCTCATAGTAATTTTAACAAAATTGCAGGAGATAAACTGTACTTATCACAGCATTTAACACATTGAGAGCTTAATAAGTGTCAACTCCTACTACTATGATAATAATGATCTAGAGGCATTGACCATAATATTTCACTACTTTTTGGCTCAAAAGTTCTTAACCTTCTATGACTGTACTTGTTTCCAAGATTTGGTATTGAGTTGTGTTAAATTAAGTTTAGCCTAAAGCTGCCTCTTTACGTATGTGAAGTTCGGCCTAAAAGTTTCTCCATACAAAGTGAACTATAACCGAAATGCAGGTGCGAACAGACTGTAACCTACTCTTGTGCCAATCATCGAGTTTTGGCTAATCAAAGATGGCCAACTGTTCAAACCCTGTTCAAATAAGGCAAACACCAAGCTGTAACCAATCCGGCTGTTTCTGTACCTCACTTCCATTTACTGTACGTCACTTTCTTTTTCTGTCCATGAATGTTCTTTCACCACGTGGCTGCACTGGAATCTCTCTGAGCCTACTCTGGGTCTGGAGGCTGCCCAATTAGTGAATTGTTCTTTGCTCAATTAAACTGTTTAGTAGGATTTGTCTAAGGTTTCTTTTTGAACAGTTGTTTAGGTATCTTTTCTAAAAGGACCCAGAACAATGTGCTCTTCTAATTCCTTATCTGACTTCTAATTTTATTTTTCTTCATGGTGCCTTTAATTTCTTCTCATCAGACTTTTCAAAGTGCTGTCTCTAGCAGTTTCCTCTTTCTGCTCATTTACAACTTCCAGGGTGCTGCTGAACTCTGAACAGTCTTGATACAATTGTGTACAAAAGTCCAAAATGGCAAAATGAAGGTGTGTGGTCTCTGCCTACAAATTAAAATACGTGGGTTTTAACATGTTCATTTTGTAATAACCTCGCTGGACACTGCTTATTGAGTTAAATTTCTCTTTGAGAGGTTGGGAGGATGCTAGTCATACAAACCAAAGAGAATGAATTTAAGATTATTTAAAAATAAAAAGCAATTGCATTAGTTTTCAATAACATTAACAATGTGAGCTAGCTGTTAACCAAGGGTTTTCTTGAAGAGGTCCTGCTGGGACTACTTTTAATTTGGCAATTAGCAGCACCATTTGCATACAAATAATGTGTTGAAGTCCTTAAAAATAGTCCACCTCTATCCCCAATTAGGGCCAATTTCCAATGGAAATCGTGTTAATCCTTCTAAATTGTAGAACAAATATTTCCTTAATATATAATGGAAAGATGGTATTGCAACCAGCTCAGAAAGGAAAATCACAGATTTAAAATTAGAAAACTTCAAATCAGGAAATCTAAATATTGTATTAAAAATGGTAGTCTTTCCCATACCCATTTCATCTCCAATTTTCCAGATCTCCCTTGAACACTGTAGCTTCAGCTGTTAATTTTGTAAGGTTTTGGAAGTTAGGTTAAAATTGGGAATTTAAATAATCAACTCTAATTCTCTTCTTTTCCAGATAAAGAACAAAGAGAGTGTGGCATGGCCTTGTCCAAGGTCAGAACACTTGGCAGCTGCCCTAGACTAGAACTCTTCTCTCCTGACTCTCAATTTTGTTTTTCATCTCCTACACTGTGTTGAGTTCCATTTCTGGTTATGCCACGATGGCTTCCATTCTGTCCTCAGTTCCACAAGTCTTTAAACTCCTCCAAACAGCCAACTTTGTCTGTGGTTCAGCTTTTATCAGTCATTAGTCTCTCTCACTTTGTCAATCTACTTCTAATTGGATACTGCATTTATAGAGCATTCTCAGCAAGAACCAGAGTGAGACAGTTCTACATAATTGATATGATTTGAGTGTCAAGTTGAAGTCCTTTTGCTCCTAATTAGCTCTCTTAAGCTTTCTATGGCATCACTTCCCCTCATACTGGCCAATAGTTCCACTATTATAGTCATGTCTTTAGGTCAAGGCTTACTGGTGCAGAGGCCTACAAAACCCAAGCAGGTAAAAGCAGGTCAAGGTGGCACCTGTCTGTTCTATAGACAGTGATTACTAATCTCTTAACTAGTATATGCTGAAAGAGAATTCTGATTTTTTTTCAACGCTAGTACAAGCAGTTTGAATAGCCCATGAGACTATCAGTTTCTGACTTCTTCTTTAAATTCATTCATTATTGCACTCCAGATGTACACATTGAGATCCTACCGTGTGTTCAGCACTGTGCTACATACTTTTATTCTGTAGCTGAAAAAATTGCTTTTACCCCAGTGTAACGAACTCCTCTGTATCACTCCGCTCCTTAAAGCTGGAGTGACTAGAAGAAAGCACTACATGCTTCTGTTTTCTTCCATTATCACAGAAAATCAGCCCTGCCCCAAACTCTGGAGCACATTTTTTGTCTTTAATTATATAAAAATGAAGCATTCCTGTGATAAGTGTTTAGGTGACCTTGCACCAGCACAGCCCACCATAGGTCCTTCTAACCATGTGCCCTGTGTTTACCAGTGAGCTTCCTGCCTCGCTCTTCAGATCAACCTTTCTTCTTTTCTGCTTCTTATCTCAGCACCCAATCAGCGAGGAGGTCCCCCCCATCTCCTCTTAACTCTCTTCCCGCATAGTCTAGCCCAGACCTCAGCATCTCCCCAGAGTGCTACACTAGTCCTCATCTTAAGCAATGCCCTCTACCCAGACTAAATTTGTCTGGACCTAGACTAAAATGTCAAATAGGAAAAATACAATAATCTGTATAGAATAATCTCTGCAATTAGCAATCCAATGCAGCAATTCTTAGATGATGCAGAATCCTAAGAAATTATACATTTCACATACCCTGATTCTAGGTTTAAGCAATTCATGAATTTGCTGACTTGAAGGCTGCAGATTGATGCAGGCTTACCTGCCCAACATTGTTTCATCCCTCACAGATCTCAGCGGACAGTACTGTCCTAGGGCCAAGGATGCAGTAGAGTCTCTAGGTCTGCATGCTAGACCCTTGGGGCTAAGGCAAGTTTATTTTGCTAAGGTGTCATTTCTCCATGTGTAAAATACAGATACCACTGTCTTATATAGGAAAGTATTTTATGAAAGCACTTCTAGTGTCAAGTGTTAACACAAGCTGTAGCATTCAACCCTGGTTCAAATCCTGGTTCTGTCACTGCTATCTGTATAAACCTGTAAAATGGAGATAAAAATGGTTGAATGAGGTAATGTTTGTAAAATGTGAAGCATAATTCCTGGCACACAGAACTGCACGTTGGAGAAAAAGATGTTAATGATGGAGATTTTAGGTTTTTGCCTCTGACTGCATTCTTTATCTTCAGGGAAGAGAGAATAATGAAAGCTAATGTGTATCAAGCACTTAGATTTTTCCAGGAATTGTGCTGAGCATGTATCAAATCATTTAATCCTCACAGCAGTCGTAGGCCGTAGGTATTTAGAGGAGGTATTTATTGTCCCCATTTTACAGACGAGGAAACTGAGTTTGACAGAAGTTAAGTATCCTGTCAAAAGTCACACACAGCCTGAAAGAGCTGGGATATACAGACAAGGAATGTGCCTCGAAATCTATGCTCTTAACCTCTAAATTATACTGCCTCATGGGTGGTAGAAAAAAGAGAAGTGTAGAAGACGGGTCAGCCCAGAGGTTGATCAAGGGAAAGGAAGGCTAGAGTAGGCAATTTACAAATTTGAGTTTAAAATACAGAGCCTTGCAATTCATAATAGAAAGACTAAGTGTCCATTGCTACAGCTGGCTGCTTCCAACTCTGCCAAACATCTCTCTCTGAAAAAAGTGGGGAGGGTGTCTCAGGGTTATAGACCCTTAGAGTCTTCATGGTCAACTTGGCTAGGGATAATAAAATCTTGGGACAGCTAGAGAAGACTACATTTATGAGAAAAGTAATTACGAATCAAAAAGTTTAAATGACAAAGAGACTATATTTTTTCTTTGTTCTTGGATTCTTTATTTGTATCCCACCAACTTCCAAAATGATGACTTGCAGCAGGTTACAACAAAAGACACACAAACAATAGAAATATTCAGACAAGGGTAAAAGGTCAAGAGACCGGGTATTTGAGCTATCCATTTAGCACATTATTTTTCCAGCTGGGAAATCTACTGCAAAACTGAACTAAGATCAGAAAGGTGCTTCATAAATATATAGTTTAATTCTAGCAATATATTTGAAGTGCTTAGATAGCAAACCTCTCTGTATTTCACTATAATGGCCCAGCTTAATTTGTCATCTTTTTTTCCCTCCTTTTAAAGCATTGCTGAGACTTTAAGATACTCATTGTGAATTAATTTGGGATTTGGCATAATAACATTAATCATGCTAAAAGAATTCATTTGACAGTAATGCGGTATAATTAGTGATGTACTAAATCCATTGAGATCTACCAATAATTATAGAATCGTTATTTTAAAACCTTATATAGGCACTCTTCTTTCTTTTTCTTTTTTTTTTCTTTTCTATTTTGAATCTTCAGCATGTAGAGACAAAGCTCTAGCTCTGACAATTTGCTTTTTGAGATACTGGGCAAAGGTAACAAGAATAAACCTCAGTGGACTTAGCACTAACCACAGAAGCCCTTTGCTTAGGGCAAGGTATAAGAATTACCTTAAAGAGGACTGTTTAATCCTGAAGACAGCTAGCTGAATCACGTGGAATTATTAGGAAGGCTTGTGAACATAAACGGGCCTGAGCAAACCTAGAGTTTAGTAGCTTATGAAGCTTAAAGACTGGTAGAGCTTGAAGAAATAACTAGAAATTCCTGTTCCTAGATTGTGGTGAATGTTTAATCTTCTTTAAAAGTACTAACAGTGAATTTGGAGTGGGAGGAAGTGAAGAGGATGGTTTCTATGGTTGTAGATTCTTAGATATTTCAACAGAATGAAATCTTAGAAATTAACAGGTGAAATAATATCATTTTACATAATTAAATCTGTGATCTATTAAGGTTGTTTGGCTTGTTCAAGTATGCAATTTAGTGACCCAGCCAGGTCTAGACTCCAAAAGTCTATACTCCAAAACCCATAGCCTTCTAGTCATAAACTATTTTTTTTTCTACCAGAGGCATCCCAGAAATAAACTCTCTATTTTTGTAGGAGTTTGGAATCGGCTTCTTAACAGGAATTCCTAGAAAGAAGCCCTGAATGTCCTGAGGTATCTTTTGCACCTAAAATGGTAATAACCATGTACTATCTTTGATAAAATAGTCATTCAAATGAATTTCTATATTCTTTAGCTCAGCTGAAGAATTGTGATTGGAAAAATCCTTGGACTCTAGAATGGGACAGTCAAATAGGATTTTCTGTGACACTGGAAATGTTTCATACCTGTGCTGTCCAAGAGAACTTTCTGTGACAATGAAAATGTTTATATCTGTGCTCCTCAGTATGGTAGCCACTAGCTAGATATGGCTGCTGAGTACTGGAAATATGGGTAATGTGAGATGAAGTAAAATTTTCATTTAATGTTTTCTTTTAATTAACTTTAAAGAGATGAGTGTGACTAATAGATATCATATTGGACAGCATAGCTCTATGAATATTTTTACTCAGTCAGTATATAAAGCTACATGACAATTGTGTCATATGTAATACTATTGATGTCAATGAGGTTATGCTATTGCCTTTTGAATATGCCTGAATGTTTTAGTCTCAATCCTGTATTTTGGGAGGAGTATATAGCATTGTACTTTCCAGGGCATGATCTGCAGGGCCCGAGCTCAAAACCTAGCTCTACCACGTGTGGACTCAGACAAGTATCTTAACCTCTTGTGAGGTAATACCCCTTATCCTTACAGGGGTGCTGTAAAGAGCATAGATGACTAAAGGAATTAATAGATTTGAATTGCTTAAGATGATGCCTGGCACATAGAGGATGGTGAATACGTGGTAGTCAACCACTATAGACAATGCAAGCTTATATCACCTGTTCCTGGGCTGACCACCACCACTGTTCCCTGCCCCTTCACCCAATATTCTTTGGCACAAATGAGCACATGGTAACGAAAGGCAAATCTTGGCATTCTCATTTTTCTTTTCGCAGCCCTCTCATATGCATTAACCAGTGAAATGAAACAAAAACTATATCCCCACAACTTCACACCCTACTTGGCATTCTCAAGGTACTCAAATATTTACTAAAGGAAAGAATATGTCATTTTCCCTTTTTAAATATACTATTAATTGCAAAATACTAGTTATCACATACAAATCCAGAAAATATGACAAACTCCATTATTCACAACTAGATTTACAGATTAATATTTTGCCATTTTGTTGTAGATATGTCCTTGGAAAGAAATCTCAGGCCTGGCATGGTGGCTCAAGCCTGTAATCCCAGCACTTTGGGAGGCTGAATATGGAGGGTTGCATGAGCTCAGGAATTTGAGACCAGCCTGGGAAATACGGCAAAACCCTGTCTCTACAATAAATACAAAATTTAGCTGGGCATGGTGTGCATATCTGTGGTCTCAGCCACTCTAGACACTGAGGTGGGAGCAATTCTTGATCCCAGGAGATCGAGGGAGGCTGTAGTGAACCAAGAGCTCACGATTCCACTCTGGCCTGGGTGACAGAGCCAGATCCTGTCTTTTTTTTTTTTAAAAAAAAAAAAAAAAAAGCTTATATTCATATGGTTTTGCAACTCCCTCTACTCTTTTTGAAATGCGGCAAGCTATTAATAGAGATATCTTTCTTAGAATTTTCAGGTTCACAACTTTCAATAGCTTACTCTTGCCTACAAAATACCTTTCACGTGAAAACAGAGTGTTTCAAGTTATTCTATAATCTCATCCCAATTTTCTCAACCTTCCCATTTGTGGGCTTGTCTCTTAACTAGCTTGTATTTACCAACGTGTAAGTTATTTTGGTTTTACAGTGACTTATCCTTTGAAGTTGATGTCTGCTATCTCAAGGAACGCACACACTCCTGTCTGTAACAGAAGCACACAGTAGGTGATCTGAGAATACTTCCTTGCAAAGTGAATTTATTGTTGATAACTCACAAGCCTTTGACATTTATAGAAAATATGGTCTCTGTCATATTTTTACAATTTCGTTTTCTTAATCTGCTATGATTTATAGGATCCTAATGCGGAGTTTTGTTTGACCAAAGAGAATGAGGCAAAGCAGTAGGATGTTTGTTAGCAGTAAGACACTTAATTTACATTAAACATTAGGGGAGAAGAAGATAATAGTAAGGTTGAGATAAATTGCGGTGGAGAGTGTGTAAAATTGAAGCCTACTTTTAAAAATATAGGGTACCCTGTGAAAATCAAGGTATTGTTTCACAGGAACTAATTTATTCTCCACAACTTGCTAAATTATGTGGTGCTTTAAATACAAATGGCAACAGTTTTGCCATCAAATACAAGTTCAATTGAAGAGAGATTGTTGACCCGCAAATACATCTGAGTTGAGAAGTGGAACCATTATCTATAGATAGTGCTAAAATATCACCTGAAACCTAGTCAGGTCACCAGGACTTGATGACTTATGCTATAGCTGTTAAACAAAAAGGATGAGCTAGTGATGCTTCGAGGTGTTTGAGGCTAATCGAGAAGCTGGGGGTGGCAAGGAGAAAGATGGGAAGTTGAGAGCTATTTGTAGTAAGAATGAGGAGTTTGATTTTTGGTACATCATGATGGAGATGACACCTGGACAGGCATATATAAATATATAGCATGCCCTTACAAATCAGAGCTTCTGGGTACTATATTCTAGGCTGCTAGAAGAACAAACTATATTGTTCAAATAGTTGTATAGTTATGATAAATTCCCCAAATGAGGTTTAATATATACTCCCATCATTAAGTTACTCACAAACCAAATGTGCTCATCTTAAGAAATTAAGTGAAAAGACTAGTTTGAGTGTTTTCTTGTCATAACTCAGCTGAACTTCGAAATAAGAGCCATTAGGGCTGATTTCACTAGTTTAGAGTACACATAAGACTCTCAAAGATGGAGAAGAATGGTTTCCTGTCATCTATCCCTAGTTAGTAAGGCAGCATGGCAGCTTGATCCAGTAATGTTACTTTAACCTCATATATTCTCAAATTATACTCTTTTGTTTTTTGCAAAACCATTTTTTCCTTATAGTGTCAAATATTTCATCCAATAAATTTGTTATTCAGTAAAACTCGTAGATTTGCATTACAAAATTAGAAAAAAGTAAAACCTGAAGATTTCCATGCCACAGCTTAACTATGATTAAATGTATTTATCTTTATATAGGAATGGCTTAATTTGTTCTGAGTTCCTTAGTTCTGAATCCCAGAGTAAGTTTGTATTCCATTGTTTCTAAAAGGATAATTTTTTAAGAAGCTACAAATAATGAATTTGTATTTTGTAAGGCAATCCTGTAACTCACGTGGTTTCTGCACGGCAATGGAATGCAGTTACCAAGATCTTTCTCTTTGGTTAGGGATGTATTGAGATTGAAAGCTCTATGTGACATCTGCTTAATTATCAGGCCTTAAAAATTTGGGTATCTTCAGTAATTCAGATAAGAGCTGAAGTGTATGGCTACAGCCCCAGAAACATGCAAAGAAGCCTGTTGCTTTTAAAGTTTGTATAGCCAAGAAATATTCATACCCTCAACACATACTAAGAAACACTGTTACTCATAATTGATCAGCGTATTATTATATAGACTCACTAGTCTATTTTTTCCCTCAATATACTAACCTTGTTAAAGCGTATTTTTTAAAATAGAATGACTGAAGCCGATTTTGGCATGCATTCAAATGAGTTGGTGTGAGTAGGTGCTAGAAATTTTTCATGTTTTCAGTATACACTAATGCCAGCTTGGCAGAGAATAAGAAAATTTACTGTGCTCCGCAGCAAAAGTGACAAACACATGTCAAAGGATTACTTTGTTCCCTGTAATGCAGATGTATTCCCAAACCAAATCCCTAGCATCTTTGTACAATGTGATTGCTTTATTGTTGGATCTAATAGGAAAGGAGACACCCAAGGGGTTATAAATATTTTTGAACAGAGCATTGCAAGTCAAAGTTAACGTTTTCTGAGAGTAGAAAATCAATTCACAAAAGCAAAATTCACATGGTAGAATTTTGAGGTCTAAGTGGGTTTATGCCATTGGAAGTCAGCAGGTATAAAGTCAATGTCATTTGTAGGTGTTTCCATTGCTTATGCAGTATCATAAATGAAGGGGTTCATTCACCCCTTATAAAAGTATCTCTGGTCTTGGTGGACTGGATTTCAAAGATCACATGCCTTTTGTACCAAAAGTGTGATTCATCTATTGTGTACCAAAATTGTAATTCATACTTACATTAAAATATAACCCATCCTGTAAGTAAGACACTAGGACTTAACTTTCAGTGCACCATCGAACAAAGATGGAAAGACCTAGGTGCAGCAAATGAACTCTACCTCCTGAAATGTGTTGTACTTAAAGGAATCTTCTTTTATTTTAAAAGATTATTTTTCTTAGCTAAATGATTGATTATTCCTTTTTGTTCTGTAATCTTAATTATTTTTAATTTAGACTCAACTTCTGAAAGTTCTTTTTTGTGGTTGTGTTTTCTCAGCTTTAAGCTTCTCAGCAAAAAGTGTTATTTCATTGTCTGCTTATGCTTTTCAAGGTCTTTTACAGTAGTGAAGTAAGGCCTGTATATCCCTCCACAGACAGATACTTGGGGATAATTCACTTTCTCAGCTCCCAAATCCTCATTTAGATTCTCTCCAATGATAAGATCATTTTTCTTCCACTTAGAGGTTCTCTCTTGTTTCATGGATTATATGCAGTGATTGTAAATAATATGGCTTAACTAAGCATCCTTATTTCACATTAGTAATTCCTAGAAATTGGGTTCGTTTTAAGAAAGCAATTATGTACTTAGAAATACCAAACTTTGAAACAGAAAAGAAAGAGAATATTCTCACTCAGAGATGATCACCATTAGTATTTTGATCATGTTTTCTCCTACTGTTTATTGCATACATTGAAATGTCTATTGTGTTTTAAAAAGCTTTAGAAAAGATATCATGTAAAAGTAATGATATAATGATATGAATATTTTTCCTACTATTACCCTGCCCAATTTTTAACATTATTTGAAAATAATATATTTAATTAGTAAACAAATGTATAAAGGGAACGTATTTTCAAATATTTCAAGAGGAAACAGAACAACAGGTTACTAATGGAACCTCCTAGGAGATGAACCCAGGTACTAGCCTTACTTAATATTTTAATAAATGATTTAGAAGTTAGAGTGCATAGTGAAATCTCTGCGTTTGCACATTACACTAGCTATTCTTATGGATAAATTATAGGAAGATCTAACCATGCTCTGAGAGTAAGCAGAAAAGTGACCGATGATATTCAATAAAGATGCGTTTTAAGGGGAAAAATGTTCTGAGCTGTAGTTTATAATATGGTTTTGGAACTATCACTTATGAAAGAGCAAAGAGTGGTTTTATTCTACCTAAAAATGTTTTTAAGCAAAAAAGCCAACATAGACTGGTCATTATTCATTCATTCCACAAATAATTGGTGAGTCTCCTTACGTAATTATAAACACCATGCTAGATTCTGAAGATGTAGGGTACAAAAGAAACAACAGTAATTTGTGGCTCATTTCTAGCAGCTAGGCTGTTAAATTCTTATTCCTCTCTACTTTTTATCTGGTCTCTGAGATCTGCCCCCTAGCACTTCTAGAGGGAGCAGAGATTCCCAGCTGTTGTCAATGTGGCCTGGCTGTAATGCCTGGGCAATGCTGCTACATAGGCTGCTGTTTTGAGTTGACTCCTTAAAAAAAATTCTTAACCATGATAAAGAACTTAGTAATTATGAAAAGTAATTCTTAACAATTACAAAGAATAATGTGTATCTTGTTTTACCTATTTTAATGCTGTTCTTGTTTTTTCTCTTGTTTCTGATTGTAATTGATTTGGTACAGAGTATGATAGCTCAGTAAGTTATAAGTCTGGATATTTTAAAGGGCTATTGACAATATCCTGCAACTCCTTTTGATGTGAAATATATTAATTTGAATGGAAAAATAATAGCGGGATTTTTTTATTGGTCATACTGCCAAAAAACATTCTAACACACAAAGTAGAAACAGGTCTATTAAAACAGAATTAATGACAACAAGAAATATAAAGTAAAATTAATACAACAGCTGTCTGATTTTAGGCAGAATGTAGAGAGCTCTCCTTTGAGGGCTGCTTTTCAGGAGTCTTATTCTTTTATGATTCTGAATGAAAGGGAAGTGGATTAGAGGTGGGATGCATCCAGGGGCGTAAGCTTTACCACCATTAACTGCGTTTGTGAGTGCTGCTAGAACTGCAAAATATGGTTATACCTAGCATCATAAAATTCTCAGCAATATTCCCCAAACCAAAGTAACTTCAATTCACAATCATGAGATAAAACCAATGAAAGCCATTCAATAGGGCTTTGAATCTTGCTTGGTTGTAAATTCCATTATAGCAGGTGCTTCCTTACCTCTCCTTCAACGTTTTATCCCCAATGCCTGGCACATAATAGGAGTTCAACTAATATTAAATACATGCTTGTCTATCAAACATTTACATAGTGTCTGCTATGTGCCCAACACGGTTCCAAATTCTTTTCAAATGTTACTTAATCCTTATAGCAACACTGTAAGATATGCACCCTAATAAAAATGAGGAGACCTGGCCAGGCATGGAAGCTTGTGCCTATAATCCCAGCATTTTGGAAGGCCAAGACAGAAGGATTGCCAGAGGCCAGGAGTTAGAGACCAGACTGGGCAACATAGTGAGATGGTGTCTCCCCACATTTTTCTTTTAAAAAATAGCCAGGTGTGGTGGTGCCCATTTGCAGTTCTAGTTACCTGCGAAGCTGAAGTGGGAGGCTTTCCTCAGCCCAAGAGTTTGAGGTTGCAGTTAGCTATTATTGTGCCGTTGCACTCCACACTAGGTGACAGAGTGAGACTCTGTCTCTGAAAAAAGAAAAGAGGAAACTTAAACACTAAGAAGTTAAGTGATTTGTTCAAGGTCACACAACTCTTAAGTAGAGAAGCTGGAATTCAAACCCAGACAGTCTGGCTTCACAGTCTATACTTTTAAGTACTCTGCTATGTCTCGTTGAACTGAATGTATTCTAGGGAGAGCCATTGGTTCATATTATTAGTGTCTCCAGTCTCCATGCATGTATTTTTTAAAAATATGTTTTAAATATAAGTGTAGTTTTTAAGCAATTATTTCTCTCTGCTGCCTGAAAATCTCCTATTCCTCCAAATACACAAGGCAAAGCTTACAGTTCTTGGTATGTCACTTAAGGTTTTTCCTTATTTGGCCCTATTTCCTACCTTATTTCTCTGTACTTCCCCTTTAGCTAGGGTACAAGATGCATAAAATACATCAGTGGTCCCATTAGGCTGTTGTCTACCTCAGTGCTCTTTACTTCCCTTTGCCCAACCCCATTTTTATCTTGGCCAAGTTCTGTAGATTCATCAAGACCAGATTAAATGTCACCTGGTAAAGTCTACAGAGAATTATCTAATTTGTATATATAATGCAGAGTACAGCAAAGTGTGTGGTACAGCAGACTGATAGGTACAGTCACAAAACTTTGCACTGAACAACTCTTGTAGACCTCACAACGTGTCTTTGCAAGCACCTGTGCACATGTGTTCACACCTGTTTATGGCAATTTCATAGTCTATGATATGAATGGTGTCCCTTAGACTTGAGCAGTGCCACTGCCACAGCAATACAGGGCAAACTTGCTAGCAAATAGTAGGGGCTCAACAAGATTTTGTAGAATGAGAGTTAGGTAGTTATTTGTGTTCACAAGGCCAGAGAGTGTCAAGTGTGACTCTGTGCTTCTGTTAGTTGTTTGGAGAGTGGTGACTATGCAGCCTGTTTCCAGACTTATGTTTCTAAACTTACATCTCCTTCCACAAAACTTGATTTGATAGAAAAATAGAGGTGATTCCAACTGAATGCCAAGTTCCATCTTTGGATACCTTTGATTTCCATGACAAATAGAAACTCCCAACTTGGGGAGCCTGCTTGGAAGAAAAAGTGTTTTGATTTGTTTACCTAGTCCAAGTACCACATGCTCTAATGAGAAAGCGGTGATGGGCTTCAAAGTTCGTCGGCCCTTTCACTCAGGATACTTGGAGGCATGTCCTTGATCTATAGGGCAAGCAGAGATAAAGGGGAGGAAACAGTAACTCCAAAAGTATCTTGAAGTCACCATCCTAAAACTGGACCAGGCCCCTCTCCTGCTTTAGCTCCCCAGCACCAGAATGGGGGATCTGGGAAAATCTGGTACTATGATATGAATGGTGTCCCTTAGACTTAGATGTTTGCAACAGCTCTCGTTTGTGTAGGGACATCTACTACTAGAGTCGTTTACATTGCTAATACTTTTTAAATCATTTTAGTGGGCATTGAAATCATATTCAATAGCAACTCTAAAGTGCTCATTAGTGTACTCTACATATGCGTATGCATTTTTACACACATACCTACGGCTATATATTGAATATTTGTTGTAATTTTCCAGTAAGCTGAAAGTCTTCTATATGTTTATCATGGTTAAGTGGTTCTGACTTATCTAATTTGATATTTTTAGATTTAGAAAAAACTGAGGGCCAATAGCATTGCTTTCAACAAGTTATTCAGAGAGGACTGTTAATAGAGGTTTTGATATGTGGCCAGGAAAACAGTATTTATTAATTAAGCAAGAAACATTCCGTGGGATTGTATCCTAATTGTTACTTTTGTTGAGAAAACTACCACACTGACTTACAGAATTCATGGAGGTGCTAATCTCTGTTCTATTTTATTTATTTTCCTGCTCAGAAAGTAATTAATGATTATGGAAGAGAGAAAACCCATATAATTTATTTATGAATAAAGTAGCCTTAAATGAGAAAACTGGTGGATTCATTTAAGTGGGCAGAATAAATTTATCTTCTTTCAGAAAATTTAAATAAAATGTAACCCAGATTTGTGACATTTCAATGTATAGCTGTATTTTCATAAATAAGGGAAAAATAATTTTCTAGGGAGAAAACATAATTCAGCAGAAAAAATAAGTTGTTTATTTCCCTGTAATATGAATCTTTTTAAAAAAACAATAAAAATATGCAAATCCTATAAAAACATTCTTTCAAATAACTCTGCATCATTTTAGTCTCTGAAATGAGAATCATTGGTTTTCGATTTGAGGAAAAACCATAACTATATTTCACTATACATTTTTTTTTTACAGATCTTCATGAAAATACTTGAAAAATGAATTTATTAGGAAACATATCTGATGTCTTCTATACTGTTTTTCTAAGCCAATTTAAAAAATTTCCATAGGTGCAGTTTTTGCAGTTTTTGTACCCTGACAAGAAATTTTTCAAGAAGTCAGTTTAAATAAAATTGCATTTTCAAACTTGTTGGCTTTGTCAGGTTCTTTAGTGACTCTCGCCCTTCAGAGTTTTGCTTTTGCGGATCTGACTTCCTCCAGGCAGGAGACGCAGTAAGGGCTTATGGGCAGAGCAAATGAGGACTCTACAGCTAAGACATATACTCACAGCTGCATTCTTCAAGAGCAGAAGTTATTACAGCACTCAGAGAAAGAAACAATTGTTCTAGAAGGCCAGCAACCTTATTCTTCATAAAATGGCCACTTTAACAATTTTTAAAGCAATTTACTTGAAAAATAAAGCAAAATATCAACAAATAGACTTTTTTTGTGATCACTTTTCCCATAATCTTTTTATCTTTGTTTTGTAGTGTGTAAGATGTAATGTAAAATAAGGAAGGATCGAACAAAGCATTAAACAAAAAAATTGTTAGAAGTTCAAGTATACATACAAATAGAGATGCATTTGTATTTCTCTGTATATTCCAACAAGGTAATCAACTGTATACATTCTAATAAGAGAATAAAAACTGTTTTTTAATATCCTTAGAATCCTTAATCGAACAATGTTTTGTTTTGTTTTCTTAAGCAGTCTTCCCACAGCTTCTCAATGAAGTTCCCTTTGAAGAGCGTGATGATAAATAACAGAGCTTTTCCAATTGTTATTTTGCCAAGAGGTATTGCTGAGGTTTTGTGTTCATCATGACTTGTGAAGTTCAGCTGTGTCCTTGGTCCTAGCTAGCCAGAGGAGGGAACCGGCAAAGACATTTCATTGTGGCTCTTCCTAGAGTGAAAATTCAAATGCCATGCTTTTCCAGTTGTTAGTCTAAAAACTTCTTACCTACCATTCGGCTGAGGGGTTGGAAGAGTTACCGGCACATCTCAGGCTGAATCAGAGTAGCCCAGAGATATTCTGGCAGGTTTTTCTGGTAAGAATAGCTCTTTTTCATGTACTGTTCAGATGACTTCGAAGATTTAAATTACTTTTGTCTTTCTGAGTTACACATTTGCTGAGGGATCATACCACACACTATGAAATTTCTTTTATGAAACTGAATTTGGTCTTGTTCTATAAATTATATAAGAATAAGCCCAAAATCTCATACCTGTTGATAGAAATGTCTGTCCTTTTGTAGTTTTATGCATGAGACTGATAATTTCACACTGCTTATACTGTAGCTACATTTAGTAAAAGTTTTGGTTGCTTTCATATTCAAAATATGAATATTTTTCTTCCCATAAATAAATAAATTTTAATGTCTAAGAAGAAAATGCTTGGCCATATTCCTATATTATTATGACCAAATGCCATTTTATTTCCAAGTTTTTTATTGAGAAATTCCCTGCACTGGAAAAAGTTTTTGAGTGAGCTATTATAAAGCATAAAATGAATTTAAAGCCTATGAGTGATGACTATGATTTATCAAGCAGCAAAAAGCAAATTGGTACATTTAAAAGTTAATGGTATTTTGGAGTACCAAATTACCATGGGGATGTGACAGAAATAGCTTGCAATTCCAAAAAGCACCCTAAAGACTTGAAGTGTTTAACGAACCCTATCATGTGGTACTATAATATTGGTTTACATCCCTTTTGGACTATGATTGCATTAACGTATGTTTTCCAGGGGTGGATATTTTTGAAAGGTGGCTGTTTATTAATGTTTTGTCATTTTCTTCATAAAGCTCAGTAATGTGCTGTAGCTGGCTGATTTAATCCATAAGGCACTTTCATATTCTGTTGCAGGTTTTAAACAGAAGTCAAATTGCTTTGTTACGTTTAGGTATAGAACAAAGGCATTATGTCATCCTACATGTGTATATTAATATATCCCACTGAGCTCAAGTAGTTAAAAAAAGAAAACAGTACTTAATTTATTTCCTTCCCTAGTATATGACCTCCAAAGGCAAACAGAAATCTTTAAAACCCACACACACCCACACTCTCAGACACACTACAGCAGTATATGAAAATCTGAAAAATCTATCCTATTTCAGCTCTGTTACTTTGTGTCTGAGCCTTCTTTTGTGTTGCTTCAACCCTTGCTCATACAGTAGTCTGTTATGATTTCACAGCAGAAGTGGGCTTAATTTTAAAAATCTGTTGTGTTAATGTTCTGAAATATTCACACCCCTAATTCTATAGGCAAATATTGGAAGACTAGTTTTATGCTGATTTTTCACAATCCCTAGGACGTAGAAGGCACTGCCATATGTTAGAGTAAGACGACTTATGATGGGAAATCGGTGGAGTGTTTTCAAGTAGGCCTGGCAGGATGAGAAAATCTTGTTAAAATTCAAAAATTGGATTGTTTGTTTTCACTTGCTCATGTGATTACTCTAATATGGCATAATCATAACTGAATTGCAACAACATGGCAGTCTGTTGGCTTATTTTTATTGCAGGCCTGTTGGCAGAGAGCTCTGTCCAATTGTTTATTGTTTCTACTCATTTTTAATCTTTTCTCATTTTAACCACCAATAAATTGGCACAGAGTAGGTAAATTTTGTTTCATGATATGTTAGGAAAATGTATAAATCGAAAACTTAATTTGAGGGGATCTGGATGTCTTCTGGAACTTTACTGTTTGAAAATAGTGTAGTTGCTGAGGATCCAAAACATACCTTTTTAGGAAAGCCTCAGGTTTCCAGAATTATATTCTAGAGATACTCTTTGAAATGTGTTTTGTGATTAGAAATTGTATCATTCCATCCATGGTCCATGTTTGTATAGAGTATGGAATGGGTGCAAGCGCTTCGTAGATAGCATCATAATTTTGAGATGTGTGATGGTGATGGAACACAGAGATATTCCTGAGATTCTATTTTACAAATTAGTATATTGAGGAGAAGAGTTTTCTAAATTTTACATGTTAGGGCCTCAGATCACACAATAAAATGAAAATATCCCAAGACTATAATCTGTATACCTTCCCATGATACTCAACCTCAGATAATCTCAGTTTAAAAGTCACAGAATGGTATAGAGGACTGAAATCCAGAAAGGCATTTTTCATATTAGGTTAACCAAGAGTCTTAACCGAGGCAGCTAACAATCAACTCAAATGACTAATTTGATTTTCTACTTCTCTTCCTTAATCAGAATTCTGATAGGGGGATTAATTAGCAATAAAGCAACATGAGAAAGAGGGAAAGAAAATGAGGGCATAGATAATCCACAAACTATATATAATCATCTCTGCATAATCAAAAGTTAACTGTCATTAACATGACATTTGCTTTTAAAGCCAGGCAGAAAATTATGATTTTTGGCACTAGCCTAATCTTTAATTATAGCACAGTACCATTCTTCTTTGTGTTAGTTCAGATAGCTATAAATTATATTAGTCTAGGGCTTTTGTGTCATTTCCTTTCCTTTTCCATGATTTATATAGTCAGAATACTGACCTATAATTAAGTGTACTTGAGAATGGTCTCCGGTTAATTAAATGCTCTGGAGTGTGTTTGGTGTGCTTTGCCAAAATTCCAAAGGAAAAGGCCATTCCTGGGTTAAATATCTATGAGGAGCCTGGATAAGTCTTCAGTGCCAGTCATATATGACTGTTGAAGCTGTCATGAGAAATAAAAATGAAACTTTTGTGACTATTGTCTGTAAAAGAATGTAACATTCATCTTTTTGTGTAATTTAAGAATATCACTTCAAAAAGTGATTGTCTCATATAAGGCATGTCCTAGTTTTTAATAACTGGTAAAGCAGAGTTATTACATGGAAACAAAAATTAAAGTCGTGTCTTCTTTCTTCTCTTTATTTTTGCTCTTTTATCTTTTCCTGTAACACATCTCCATTCTCTGCCAGAAACTAGTTGCTACTCAATTTGGTTCAATGTATGTTAGAGAATTCGCTTCTATGTGGAGTGCAGTATGCTGGAGAGGGGCCATCAACACACCCAGTTCTCTTGCATGAAGAGTCTACCCTGGTGCCAGAACCTGCCTTGACTCCAAAGATAAGTTGAGACTGTCCTACTTTATCTTACTTTTCATCCTTACTACCCTCTCCCAGCAACGCTTCCCCACCCACATGTACATATGTGCCAGATGACATAAAACTGCTTTCCATTCCAGATCCCAAGGCAAATCCTAGGGCCTGGACTGACTAAAGAGGAAGGCAGGGAAGCAAACAAGCAAAGCAGTAGCGTGCGATACGGGAAAGGCCCTCATTTTTCTGTGGTTTGGCTTAACAAAGGAAACTTCAGAACCGTTCAGGGAGATAGCATCAAAACATTTATTCAGGCTATTGCTCCTCACTGTTGGGGCATCCTTATGCAGCAGAGGACACACGCTGGCAGGTGGGTGGAGCGAGTTGGGCCCACAGATATTGTTTGGCATGCAGAGTTTTTTATTAAAAAAATGGGGCGACACTTTAAAAATAAAGAGATTTTAATCCCAAATCTAGATTTTTTGTTTCTTTTGAGAAATCCGGAAAAAACAAAAAATCTAGAAACAGGGTGTCTGTGTTCTCTGAGCTAAATCTGAGGAGACCGCACATGAGAAGGGTGACTGTATTTACTGATGACTCACTTGATTCAGTACATTTCTTCCTGGTCTCTGTATCGATTGGAATGTGTACCCCTATGCACACATGCGCACACACACTCTTAATGATTTGCATGGTGGTGGTGGTGATTGTTTGAGGGAGGGATGGAGAGCTTGAGAGGTGATCAAGGTTAACCTTGGCTGGGCCAATGGTAAGATGAAAGAAGGGAGTGTAAGGTAAGGTAGCCTTTCAGGTGTTAAGTTGAACCATATGAAATTGACACTTTTATATGTCAAAATCAATTGAACACTGGCAATTTTCTATCTACAATCTATTCCCTCCCACTTAAAAACATCTCCATGACGGCCCTAGAGTCTTTCGTTGTACTGTAGTTTGTTAGAGAACCGTATGTTTCCTTTCAGACTCCTAGGATTTCTGAGAGCCATGTTCCCATTTTAGGGAGTGTCTGTCCCCTTCATTCTGCCATAGATGTATTTTTTGTTTTCAGTCCAGTAGATATTCTGTTTCTCGTTAATTAAAAAATTTAATTTACAGACAGGTTCATTTTCTTTGTGATGCTTAGCTCCAGTAACTCCAAACCCAGAGAGACTATTATACATATAGTGGTGAAATATACACAACATAAAAATAGTTAAAATGGTAAATTTTAAATGGACAATTAAGTGGCATTAAGCACGCTCACAGTGTTGAACAACTATCACCACTGTCCATTTATAAAACTTTTCTATCCCAAACAGAAGCTGTGTACCCATTAAGTGAATCTACATTCTCCCCGCCCTCAGTCCCTGGTAATTTTCATTCTGTTCTTTGTCTCTATGAATTTGCCTATTCTAAGTACCTCATATAAGTAGAATCATACCATATTTGTCCTTTTGTATCTGGCTTATTTCACTTAGCATAATGTTTTCAAGGCTCATCAATGTTGTAGCATGTATCAAAGTTTTATTCCTTTTTAAGGCGAATAATATGCCATTTTTCACATTTATCACATTTTGTTCATTTGACTGTTAATGAACATTTAGTTTTTTGTTGTTGTTTTTTTTTTTAGACAGAGTCTCACTCTGTTCCCCAAGCTAGAGTGCATTGACGTGGTCTCAGCTCACTGCAACCTCCGCCTCCCAGGTTCAAGCGATTCCCCTGCCTCAGGCTCCTGAGTAGCTAGGATTACAGGCGTGCACCACGATATCTGGCTAATTGTTTGTATTTTTAGTAGAAACTGGGTTTCATTGTGTTGGCCAGGCTTCTCTCAAACTCCTGACCTCAAGTGATCTGAATGGGTGTTTAATTTGTTTCCACATTTTGTGAACAATGCTTCCGTGAACTTTTATGTACAGTGACTGTTTGAGTCCCTCCTTTCAATTCTTTCTAGCATATCTGTAGAAATGGAATGCTGGATCATGTGTTAATTCTATGTTTAACTTTTTGAGGAACTGTCAAATTGTTACATATTTTATAGAAGTGATAAATGCAGGCTGCATTATATAGTCTTTTTAAATCTAGGTACAGTACTTATTCTCTTGTATATTACAATAAAGCCAGGCTCTTCTTTTATTTTGCCATAGAAAATATTTGTTGGGTCAGAAAAAGGCAAACTCTTTTTAAATATTCTAGTCAAAGAGAGTTTCACTAGGGTCAAACTTTGATCAACACCATTGTTTTCCTTTTTCAAGCTCATATACAGCACATTTTGGTTTCAGATGAACTGTTCTGGTGATGAGTTTTTAAATTTTAATTCCTCTATGAAAACCATCACGCTGATGAGCATGTTCTTTGTAAAACTAACAATTACACTCTTCTGGGCTTCCATTGTTCCAATACTGGAAGTTAATTTGTTAGCACCCTATAATGCATTCTACATTGAAAGTGCCCTTATGTAATCATACATGAACATGTGTGGTATGACCATGACTACTAACATACATAACACTGAGAAGGAAGTTCTCAATACAATCTATATACACAAATAACGTGTTTTACCATACATCTCCTTATAAGCAAACGTCACTCATTTTGGATAAATTTTGTGATTCTAATCAAAACAATGTTCTCACTCATTTAAGCACTCTTTAATGTTATTATGTAAATGGGCTCTGGGGATGACTGTGTAGAGTTAAAGTAAGCTCTGAAACCCTTCACTATTTATTTCAGTAGAAAAGAAATGTCATTGTTGGCAGTAATCTAGACACGTCTCCTTTAAATGGTGGCGGTGGTCTGTGTCTGCATTCAAAGGTGTGGCACATCGTTTCATCTTTTCGTAGTACAAAAGGAGTTTCATTTAACAATTTCATACTGAATAGTTCTTTCTATTCAGCCATGGAAATAATGGGAGCAGCTCGGTGGGTGGGAATTTCTTCATGGGCTCAAAAAAGACTCAGGACTAAGATACAGGTCTGTGATGCTGGCGACGTAGAGAGGAGATTCAGTGTGGAAAGGGAGGAACGATGTCTTTTGTTTAAAGATAAAAATTAATTCTATTTCCTCTTTTTACAACAAGAGAAGGGGGGATAGGAAGGATTTCATACCATTTTAGTTTTAAAAATAGTCATTCAAGTGAACTGTCTGGCCAAGCAACAACTCAAATTTCCTCTCCATCCAATTCCTTTCCTATGTTTTTTCCTTGTCTTGCATCTCTATGGCAGTACTCCCCAGGGTACCCTCCTTTAGCTGGACCAAATTGAGTTCCTGTCCATGTGTGTTCTTAGAATAACCAGCCAATCTAACTTAGCACATGCGGAGGGAAAGGCATGGACCATAGACTCCCATTCTGCTGCTTGGCAGTGACAGGAAGTGGGGAAAGCATGAGCTCTGGAGTCATAAGGCTCAGGGATTGAGGTCGGCTTCAGTCCCTTACTGACGTTGTCAACTTAGGCAAGTCAGTTAACTTTTTGAAGTAGTAAGCTTTCCCATCTTATATATTCTTTGTGAAAAATATAGGAATTTAGGGAGAAAATGAGAACTGGGACCAGGGAGAGATAGTCAGTGAGGTAAATCCATCCCAGATAATTTCTAAAGAACTTTTAAGAACAGGGCCAACCAACATTAAATTTTGAATCGTTTACCATCCTATATTGAAATAGAACTCCCTTTCCATTACTATTAACTTGTAGGGGGAAATTTTTATTGTTATTGCTGATACTTTAATTTAGAATGGGGATGAGGTAAAGGAAAGGGGTTCCACTTTTGAACTAATAGAGACTGCAGAAAGGAATAGAAGGATGGAGGGTGGATAGGGAAATTCATCAGAATCAGAAAACTATAGTGATTATTAGGGAAATGGGGCCTTCCTTAGCATTCTTGGAGATATTGGACTAACTTTGGGTTGACAATTTTTACTACGTCTAAAGGATATTTTCAAAAAACGTAATTCTTAAATGATATTTTAATGCAAAAATGTGAGACAATCAGAATAAAAGGCAGTCTTTTTTTTTTTTTGAGACAGAGTCTCACTTCTTCACCCAGGCTGGAGTGCAATGGCACGATCTCGGCTCACTGCAACCTCCGCCTCCCTGGTTCAAGTGATTCTCCTGCCTCAGTCTCCCGAATAGCTGGGATTACAGGCACTTGCCAGCATGCCCGGCTCATTTTTGCATTTTTAGTAGAGACGGGGTTTCCCCACGTTGGCCAGGTTGGTCTCGAACTCCTTACCTTGTGATCCGCCCACCTCAGCCTCCCAAAGTTGCTGGGATTACAGGCATGAGCCACCGTGCCCAGATAAAAGGCAGTCTTTCAAACAGAATAAAATAGCTTTATGAAAAATTCACTACATTATCTTTGCCTCATTTTTCTGTGGACTGTAGAACACTTCATTCACTAACATTTTAGAATATTGAATCCAGATTCCATCTCCTCATAAAGCTAAGGATACCAATATCTATAGGAAGTAGCTTGCCCAATTTACAGTTAGGAGGCCAAAAACTTAAGCGTAAACTTAATCTTCTGAATTTGCAGTTCTCTTCTCACCTCATCAGATTTCCTCATGAGAAAGTGTTGCTAATCAGGATCCCAGGCTGAAAAATGTATTTTTCCCCTCAGAGGGAAGAAGTAGTTTCCACAGCACAGAAATGATTTGGCCATATTGATGTGAAAGGTTTCTTAGATATTTTTTGGTCCAATGGCCTGATTTCACACATGTTTTCATTTAAGTGTAGAAGAGTTAAGTGACTTGTTCAAGGTCACACCGCTATTATGCGGTAAAACTGGGACTGAAACCAGGTTTCATGGTTCCTGGTTCAACTAAAGATTCACTTATTTTAACACCTCCTGTATGCTGTCACTGCATTAGGTGTTGGGATATAAAAATAAACCAAAATAGCTCTGTAGCTGTGCTCATAATTGTTAGAATTGGGAGGATGGCATCATCTAGAAAGCAATAATTATAAAAGTATCAAATCTTAAATTTGAAATGGGCCTTAGGGTTTATTTACTCTAATTCATATGTAAGGAAATGAGGCCCTCATCTGAAGAGGTGGCTTGGGATGCACACAGACTCGAGTAATGTCGGTGTTAAGAGTCAACAAGACTTGATGGCTAACTAACCATGAAGTTTTAAAATAGAGAAATCAAAGATATATAGAGAATTAAGAACTTGAGCACAGAATGATGATAAGCATGAACCTAGGAGTTCTGTGCCTTTACTACCTAAGTGACCTTAGTCAAATCATATGACCTCAGTTTATTCATCTTTGTAGTCAAGTTCATTTCAATTCTGAGTATCAAATGGTATTATCTTTGTTAAATACGCACTATGTTGCCTGGCACATAATAAGGACTCAGTGAAGATTACTGTCAAGAGCATTAGTGGCATTGATAGAGAAAGAACTCCCCTAAACCAACATACCTCACTTTTTTTCTCTATTAACTTATGGATTCAATATCTGAATTCATAAGATTTCACAAAATCATCTAAAACCTGGCTCCATCATTTAGCTATTTTTTAATCTTCCTGTTATCTCATTTTAAAAGTATTAATAAAAATGTAAGAGAACCAAGGTAGATTTGGGCTATCTAAAGTTTTGGAAACGTCAATATTTGTAATAAGAATTGAATGAAAAATCCGTAGGAAGACCAGCTACCACAATCCAAAGAAAGACTGGCCACTGTGGATTCTGTGGCATAGTCCATGAACTCCTAGTGAATGACACCAAGACAGTTTCTTGACTTAGATTCCTAAATCAGACTATGTAAGGGATAATTTTGTTGGGGTAATCTTAATTGTTAGTACTATTTTGTAAAATACTTCCGAGTTTAGGGGGAGAAATAATAACCAAAAGCATCACATAAAACAAACTTCTATTTCCTTTTATTGCACTTGGTGAAGGTTATTAAGAATGTAATTCTTTCTGCTTGCAATGTGATTAGCAGCCAAATCTTTTGGGGGTAAATTTCCATTGCTACGCTCTTGTTATCGTAAATGGAATTTGCGTGCCTAATTCTCTTCCCTCCATATTGAATCCATACCCCTTTAGGTCTAACGGCATGCTAAAAAAGATTCCAAATCTCCAATGTTGATTGTGGGCCATATGTTAGCACTAATTATATAAATGAGACTTGGTAGAAATGTGACATGCTAAGCATTCTGAGCTTAAGGAATTACCTAAATGAATTCTAGCTTGAGTTAGTGCTAGCAGAGGCAAGGAAATGTGGGTGCAGGTTTTGAGCAGATGTTAACAGGTCTGTAAGCCTCTTCATTGTCTTTATTTGTCTAACTATAAGGACTACTGATGGAATATTGTGTCAGAATATTTTAAGGTGCCATTTTCCTGCAAATTGCATTTTGCACCTACAGATGGATCCATTTTCTGAATAAGCAGAGTGGAATGACAGAATATCAAAGATTAGAATCTGCAGTCTTCTGTGCATTTGAAAACTTAGCATTCAGTGAGGTCAATTGTCATGGTCATTATGTCATGGAGGCTGAAGACTTCTAGAAGGATATTTCAATATCAAACATTCTTGCATTTTAATTTTCAAAGTGAAAGTGAGGAGGGGAAAAAGAAAAATGGTTCCGATTCAGAGCAAGAGTGAATAATAATATTGTGAATAACACTGTCTCTGTATATAGTCATTCAGGAAAATATTGCCTTGTAATATATTAATGAAGTGACCAAGGGGGGTTTGGGACCCTGAATCCTGTCATGATTGAAGTCTGACTCATCCTCTTTACTGGATATTATGAAGCCCTAGACAGGACAATGATTGCCTGTTTCAAAGCCCATGGCAGACCTCACTTACATTCTTGTTTCTCTCACTCACGGGCTTCTTGAGGTTTATCTGTCTGGCCTTCTCATTTGTTCTCCATAGACATTGATCCCCTTGGGGATGTAAATTCTGCCTTTTCTTTCTGGGTCTCAAGCACAGAGTCCAGTGCTTGACACATAATAAACATTTGCCGTATGATTGTTGTTGAAAGCCTGGAAATAGCTAACATTGATAGAGGATTCAACTATGTATTCAATATTTGATTTGCATTATCTCATTTAATCCATACTGGCGTGTTCTTAGGCATTGCCTTTGTTGCTTTGCAGATGTGGAAACTAAGTCTAAGGGAGATTAACTAAATAATTTGTCTAAAATTACACAAGTAGAAGTAATAGAGCTAGAATTTAAACCTACAAATGCCTGACCCTGTGCCTGTCATTCAGTCATATAGAGTGTGGATTCTGTCCTTTAGACACTTAGGTGCCAAGTTGATTATCCTCAAATTTGGGTCTCTATATATTCTTGAGGACTGGTGAGTTTCCTCGGGTGACTTGCTTTGCATTTGTTTTTATTGAAATGGTATTCTAAGTAGAACAGGTACAAGCATATTCTTAACCATCTGGATGACCATATTGTGATGGTGTTTACTATGATGTTAGTGCCAACCAGTGTTACTTCAATGATAGAACATTATTCAGGGAGGAAGAGAGGCAAAGTAGATATGAAGATAATAGTTTTATGCCATTGAAGGTTCAGTAACATTAAGGGTTTGGAGGAGCTTAAACAGAGAAATTGGGAAAAAGTGCCCACAAAGCACAAAGCAATGATGAAGTGAAAATACACGTGTGTGAACATGTGCGCCCTTCCAGTTGGGAACATTCACATGGGGAACAGTGACCTAGTTTTTGGGAAACAGTGATATAGTTTTAATAAAACTAACATTATCTATTATGTTGAAGTTATGTGGTAAATTTAGTTTTTTATAGTCTTATGGGTTTGCTTTTCTTTGTAAACTTCTTTTGGTTTTATGGCCATAGTGCGCTTTAGACATAAAGAGTTTGCAATTTCATATTTGTGTATATTTATGTAAGAATAAGTCTGTCAAGATTTGGGAGAGAGCCATAATCTTTTTTTCTCTCCCTTTTAAAAGGATCTGTACACCCTTTGCCTACATCTGTCTTTGGCCATCACATGATCCTCAGGGACTGAAATGAAGCTAAGTCAGGATAACAGCAGTGTGTGAGAAGGCACACATGCACCTGCAAATGCCTGTGAGACATAAGTGATAGCAGTGGGAGTTTGAGGGGATGGTTGACTAGCATATCTTGGGGCCCACCTATTTAGCTCTTGATTCAAACAAGAATTCATGAAGCAGCTTGCCTCTCTCCTGTGATTCTTTCTCTGGGTGTCTTGTTTATCCAGTCCCTGTAGTACTGAAGAAAGATGACTTCTTTGAATGAACGTATTTCCAGAATCTTATCCTTGGCGATCCTCTTTGGCAAGAATTAAAAGGGAATTCCCTTGGCACATTTGATTGCTGAAGCATCTTTATATGCTGGCCTCCAGCCAACAGAGAGCAAACCTGAAATAGATGTATTTCTTGTTCTCCTTGACACCTTATGCAACTCCCTGAGGCATTACTTCTCTCTAAAGTCAGTGAGGCATCCACAGGGCTTAAGGATGGTGAACAACAAGGCCAATGCATCATAGTTAATATTTTGCTTTCAAACTGGTAAGTCTCCTCCAAAGTTTATCTACCACATGTTCTCTTTGGAATTCACTGACTCTAATGTCTCAAACTATCTTATAGTGTATTACTTAAGAATCGCTGGCCAGGCGCGGTGGCTCACGCCTGTAATCGCAGCACTTTGGGAGGCCGAGGCAGGCAGATCACGAGGTCAGGAGATCGAGATCATCCTGGCTAACACGGTGAAACCCTGTCTCTACTAAAAATACAGAAAATCAGCCAGGTGTGGTGGCAGCTGCCTGTAGTCCCAGCTACTCGGGAGACTGAGGAAGGAGAATGGCGTGAACCTGGAGGCAGAGCTTGCAGTGAGCCGAGGTCACACCACTGCACTCCAGCCTGGGGGACAAAATGAGACTCCATCTCAAAAAAAAAAAAAAAAAGAAATCACTGAAATTCAAGTATAGTTGATGGACAAATACAGTATTTTTCCAGAGTTGAGTTAATTTTTTTGAAACCCGAGCCAGTTCAGAGTGATAATTTTTTAACTAAATTCATTGCCTTTAGAAATTAGAAGGTGGTGGGAAGTTGGAGACAGCATTTAATGAAGAGTGCTGTTCTTTCTTTGCAAAATGTCTTGCAAATATGGTTGCCAAGTTATTTCTAATGCAGATGTTTCTACTATAACATAATGTGTGCTTAAAAAACCTAGAGTTCTAAAAAATGATACATTAATATTAGCAAGGCTTGGTCGGGTGTGGTGGCTCACATAGGTAATCCTGGCACTTTGGGAGGCTGAGGCAGGAGGATTACTTGAGCCCAGGAATTAGAGACCAGCTTAGGCAACATAGTGAGATCCTGTCTTTACAAAAAATAGATAAAACTTAGCCAGATGTGGTACACCTGTAGTCCCAGCTCCCAAGAAACTGAGGTGGGAAGATCATTTGAACCGGGAGGGTCAAGGCTGCAGTGAGCAATGACATTGCTCCTGCATTCCAGCCTGGGTGACAGGGTGAGACACTGTCAATCATAATAGTAATAATAGCAAGGCTCATGGAAAAAACAGAACAGACCACTCAAAAGATAGGCATGAATCTCAGCATGCATAAACCTAATTAAAAATTAGTGCCATTGAAAAGACATGCTGAATTTCTCATAAAAGTGCATTATATATAGGAAACGTGACCTTTGATAAAACTGAAGGTAATTTGATGGAAGGATTGAGGCTGCTGAGTTAGAGATAAGACTAAATGGGGAGAAGCATATGATGAGCTTTTCCAAGACAAGACATATGTCTACACTGAGCCAAGAGGAGAAACATGGGCAAATTATATAGAGTACATTCTCCCACAGCTTTCTGTACTAGAATATCTTGTGTTTATCTTCTATGTCTTACTGAAAAATATGAATGTACTGGGAAAAGTCATACGTGAACCTATATAATATCTTCCTTTACGATGACATCATTTCTCTGTTTACCAATCCTATCGTGTTAATTTGTGTTACAGATGCACATTTTATAGCAAAATAGGCTGAGTTTATCAGGACATTGGAAAAGGTAATTCACAAGATTAAATTTTGGATATTATGTGTGTTCAGAGGAGTGTTGTTTCATTTTGAGAAGTAGAACGTGTGTAAATCATGAAGTTGGGCTAAAGAAGGCTCAGGCTGTGAGCCAACGTCTCTTCCACTTCGTGGAAGCATGGACATCTTTTTTTATGGAGTTCCACGGGGATACATTTTTGCAGCTGCAAGGAAGGCTCGCAAGTACAGATGACCTTCAGTGACAGTGGTATGTGTCAAAGATTCTCCATCCACTCTGGTATGGTAAGAGTAGCATGATTGGTTTCCTTACCCTGGTAAAGCATGGTCTTTAGCCATAGTGTGCGAAGAAGGGAGGAACTCAGGTAAGGATACCGAGAAGACCAGATTCTCCAGTCAAATAGAGCTGCAATCAGGTCTCAACACTGCCATTTAGTAGCTCTGTGTGACTCTGGCCCAATTATTTAGAATCATTTTTTTCTCTTCATATCTGTAAAATATGTACCTCAGTAAGGTAGTTAAGAATAAGGCAAGGCTTGTAGTGCATGCTTAATGATGTTACCAATTTTTTTTTTTTCAGGAAGTGGCTATGTAAAGAACATATGTAGCTCTATGAGCTCTCTTTGCTCCATTTAGACAAGTACCTACTTGATAATGTCTTTGTCATAGTTCTGATAATCACATGAGCCTTTTCTGGCCAGGATTCAAGGCTCATTTCTCAGGCCAGGGGGCCTGGGGAATTGTGCTCAGATTACTTCAGACCATTGAAAGGGTCTTTGAGTAGGAAGCACTGGCAGCCTTGAAGATCTGAAGTCTCAGTGTACCCACTAGAGGAAGGCCAGGTATAGGTAGCACATCCCCCCTGCCCATGGTGATGGAAAAAGTCCAGGCAGAGGGGAGTCAGATGGAGATACAGGAAAAGAAATACACATATGACTGAAATTCTGGATTCAAGTTCTAGAACCTCCATTTCCTAGCTAGGTAACATTGTTTTCTTTTCACCTGCAAGAGGTGGAAAGTGAACCACACAGAGTGTGGATAAATAGAAGCTAAAAAGATGTTTGTTTATGCCCATCCTTTCTATCAAGTTCCTTTCTTTTAGGCTAGCAAACCTCTAGACCTTCTATTCATCCAGACTGAAAGACAATTGAAGAGGTAAAAATATTCTCATGTTGTGATTGAGTGTTATTTAATGGCCCATCCCTTCCCTACCTATTCCCCATGGAGAAGCTCTGTCTTAGTGGTTTGGATGTTTGTCCCCTCCGAATCTCATGTCGAGATGTTGGAGGTGGGCCTGGTGGGAGGGGATTGGATCGTGGGGGCAGATCCCTCATGAATGATTTAGCACTATCTTCTTGGTGATGAATGAGTTCTCACTAAGTTCATGTGAGATCTGGCGGGACCTCCCCCTTCTCCCTCTCTTGCTTCCCTTCTTGTCATGTGTGACGTGCCTGCTCCCTTTTGCTTTCTGCCATGATTGGAAGCATCCTGGGGCCCTCACCAGAAGCAGATTCCAGCACTGTGCTTCCTGTACAGCCTGTAGAACCATGACAATTATAATTTATTTAAAAATTATCCAGTTTTAGATGTTCCTTTATAGTGACACAGAAATGAACTGCTGTAATGAACCATTACAGTAGCTGTCTCTACTGCAGGGCAAGGTCAAAGGACATATTCTGTTCCTGCTGAAAGACCTGGGTCTTCTCAGCCCTGGTTACCATTTGACCCATGTCAGCATCTGCCTACCAACTTGGGAAACGTCACTGCACTTCCTACTCCCCGTCTTTTAGAACCAGAGCTTTCCAATGTCAAAGGTATTGGAGTATTTGCTGACCAGGCGTGAACAGTCATGATTCTCTTTCAGCTGTGTTGCAGATGGGAAAAAGTGTAACAGAAACACATATCTTTCCTGGTCAGAGCTGATGTAGACATCCCAAGGACCTCCTCTGAGACAGGAAAAAATATAATTACCCTTCCCCCCTGAACATATTGTACAAGTAGGTAGACCTTCAATTCGCCTACTAAGAAGAGGGTGCACGGTAAAATCGAAGATCAAATAGGAGGAAAGGGAAATTGTTAAAATAACTAACTTCATAGCAATTTAAGGTTTGTAATGTGATTTCACATTTACGTTTTTATGCTCTCCATAAGGATATATGTTGCATTAGAAAATTTAAAACAAAAAGTGACTATTAAATTTTGAGGCGAGAATATGTATTTCTTGAATCCTTTGATTGTATTGAAAACAAAATGTGACTATTTTGAGGTGAGAATATTACTTCTTGAATCCTTCAATTCTATCTAAAATGCATTCAGATCTTAGCATTCCTGGGATTCCCCTCTGTGCCGGACATTACGCTACAGTCTCTGAGAAAGGATAAAGTACTCTTTAATTCCAAAAGCTAGTTTATCAGTTGGTTGCTTTCTGAATGGTCACAAGATGAATTTGATTTGTTCCTTTACTTTTTCCTCCAATATCCGGCAACTGGGTTAAAAAAAAATACTAGCCTACATTGGCACTGGTAAGGAAACTGACACCGGATTCTCCAGCCAGTCATATTTTGTACCTTTGGATCACACCCAATAACAGAGGGAAGAGCGAAAGGACAGATTATAGCAGTTGCAACAATGTGTAACAAAAATATTGTGCCATTGAAATGTTAATGTAGGTGAGCATCACCTTGTAAAATTCATATTGTTAGAAAGCAAGCCTAATCACTTGAATCACAAAGACTGATTTTTATGGGAGACCTCTCATTTTATTCTTTAGGTATTTCATTTTCATTCTGTGTTTTCTTCGGAATTAATAGAGCCTCTTAAAAACTGCCGTCTATAAATTTTCTCTCCTACATATGTCTCGAAACAGTTTCATTTCTTCATTTAAAACATTACAGCCATTTCAAAATGCCCTATTTTGTATTTAATTTCACCATCTCATATAAAATACATGTTCTTCACATAATTATGTAAAAATGGGTTTGCAAATGCCCTAGAGATCCATATGATGGGGCACATTATAGGATTCTAAGTAATAATAATCTCCTGTTTACATGAGACCTGATTTTCATGCCAGTTTTTTACACTTTAATATATCCAGAACACAGCTTTGCTCAAATATGCTAGTTTTTTCTGGTTCAGGAAATGCATTTGAAATATCACAGATTAGCTTGCCTGGCAGAATGCACAGCTACATCTGATATTTTAGAGGTGAACATAACGGAGCCAGAGATGGGAACCATTGTTGTCATGTTTGCTATGTGCACAGCTAAACAACACCCAGCAGGGTTAGTGGAAGACCTAGGGTATAGGCAGGAGAAGAGGAAGCAGGAAAAGGAAAAAAAAAAAAAAGGTGATTTGGCAAGAGAAAGAGAGGATATCATATAAATATTATATAAGAGCTTGAACACACCAACTAATAAAAATAAAGCATAATGTAGTGCAGTAATTTTTCAAAGTGTGGTCCCTGGGCCAGCACCATCAACGTGCCTGGCATAGAAATGCAACTACCTCCACCCTGCTGAATCAAACAATGGTGGTGGGACACCCTGGAATCTGGTCAACACTTCTAGATGGTCTCAGGAGGGTTTTTCTGTGTGTCACCAAACCCAGTTGCAGGACTGGGAGAATTGGAGACCTGAAGGACAAGAAGAGCAGGGCAAGCTAGTAGGGATCTCTGGGAGTACTTCCCTCTGGAGAAAATGCTTTGAAAGTACTTTTTCAGTGAATTTTATGATGACAGGGCAGGGAGAGAAGCTTATCCTACAGAGGGCTTTATGTGCACACTCTTACCACTCAAGGAGGGGTGGTTGCATTTCCAACCAGGCTCCAAGTCATGGTGTTAGAAGTAGGCCAGACCTTTAGGAGGGGAGGCAGAAAGGAGGCTCCTTGTTAGAAGACACATCCCATGCAGAGGAGGAAAATCACAGTACTCTGAAGAACTGGATGTGAGTCAGTGCATCCAGAGCATGCAGAGAGGAGGGAGCCATGGCCAGAGAACAGGCCACGTGTGCAGTGCTGACAAGTTAGGCTTTGTCTTAGGGCATCGGACACTCCAGAGGAAGAGTGTTGTAATCCTGAGAGTGATGTGCTTAGGATCTGTGAGAATTACATGACTAGCTAAACGCTTGCTGAGAAGTGTCATAAGATTGGTGTTCCTAGTGACAAAGTTTTGGGTCCGATGACATATAAGATCAATAATGTCTTACATCCCTCTACTAGGCATCCATTGTGAGGCTCTGGGGCCTGTCTCTGGTACACTCACTCTAGAACACTAGTCCAAAAGGATGTGTCTATAGATATTTGAGAGAATAAAAATCATTTAGTTGATAGGAAACCAATGCCAATGACCCCCCAAAGGGGCACAAGATGCGAGAGGAGAGATGCTGCTCCTTTGGTCATTTAATCCCCACTCTTTTGGACAAAAATATATTCATGATAAACAATTTATTGATTAACCTTACAGGTAACACCAGTAGGGATTTGACTCACCTTTGTTTTCTTCTGGAGAATAGTTTCTGCAAATTTGGATTACAGGAAACGTAATACACCCTTGCTCTAATTATAGGAAACGTAATACACCCTTGCTCTATGCAGTGCATTGCAAATTGCCCTGTATTCAAGTGATTATTGCAATCTTTTACTATCTGTTCAGCTAGATGCAAACAATTAAAATAGCTTTCTCCATAACTTTTCTTTTTTTGAAAGTAACATTTGCAGCTGGGTGCAGTGGCTCATGCTATAATCCTAGCACTTTGGGAAGCTAAGATGGAAGGATCCTTTGAGCCAAGAGTTCAAGGCCAGTCTGGGTAACATAGTGAGACCCTGTCTATTTAAACAAAACAAACAAACAAACAAAAAGTAACATTTGTTTTTTTTTAGTGAATTAAATTTACACAATTAATGATTAGTGAGATGTAGTCTAACAAATATTTTCTTTTTATATTAATTGAAGGAATTTACCCCCAACTTTTATACCACCCACCCAATGAAATACACATTATCTGAGATTTTAAACTTGTTTTTGACCCTCTCAAAAATTCTTTTCTAGGTTTTCCTTTACTAAAATGTATTCTACTCTCTGCTAATGGCGCTCCCCCCATCCCCCACTACCTGCACTCCGGCGCTAACTGCTTACCATGACTTAACCCTTTGTCTAGTTCGAATGGCCTCTCCTTCAAGTCCTAGAAGGAAAAGACCACATGGGCTTTACTCACTCTCAGTCTCTATCTAGCTTGGTGCGTGGCACAGCAGGTGCTCAGTAAACATTCATTAAACCAATTAATTGCCACTGAAGACTGCTGCTGCTTTGTGTACCTGCTTTTCAAAGCTCTCGCTCCCCCATTATCTCCTGTCACCCTCTTTTTTTCTCCCTTTCCCTGATAGATTCATTACAAAAACATCAAACCCAATCCTCAATTTCCCTAAATTGTCTATGTAACTCATTGAATTTAAGGTTGTTACCTTAAAAGGTAACAACCCCCAACAGTAAAACTGGTATTTTTTTTGTTTGTTTGTTTTGTTTTGTTTTTTCTTTTGCCTCAGAAGCTGCATAATTTCAGGGTATAACATAGTTCGCAAAGCATATTAAGTATGAAAGAATATTTATATAGTATAGCCTATTGAAACTACTCATTGTGGCCAAAAAACCCTTTGCTTGTTTAGTATTAAATGAACTCCATTTAGCTGTTATATCTTCTAGGGAGAGCTAGTAGAGAGCTGGAGCTGGGGTTTGGGGGCATATAGATGCACGTAGATAAAAGAGTTCATGGACAGGGTTTCATGAAATTTGAATGTGAAGTGGTATTATGCATCTCTTTCATTTAAATAACCTAAAATGAGTAATTCACTCCCTAGAACATTTGATAAAAATCCTTGGAAGTTTGCCAGCAGGCACGGTGGGAGGAAGAAATGCATATTCAAAAGGAGATCAGAAAAAAAAGAAATGAAAATTAGGAAGCAAAAACCTGAAAAAGCAATCTATACCTGATTTATTTTCTAAAATAAATGGAAACATCTTGGTTAGAATTGCTTTAAAGAACCAGGGCCTCACTTAGTACCCCTGAGCAATGCAGTCTTCTGGAAACACTAGTGCATTTAAGAAAGGACTGAGCACTTTCTTACATTGTGTTCACCTCAGGCGACAGATCCCATGAACTCAAAGCTTGGCTCTGGAGTGTCAAAACACCTACCTGCAATGGTTATCGTTGCCATAGAGATAACTGGATGATAGATAGCTAGATGATAGATAGACACTGAATAGATAGTAGATAAATGATCTCATATGTCAGAAGAGGCCTTTGTGCCTAGGAAATTACAGATTTTTTTTCAAAAACAATTCTTCTGTCAAATCAAAAATAGAACTCTCTTTACTCCCACCTCATATACGTTCCCCTACTCTTCCAAAGCTTTTTCTTATCACATTTATGGTGTGCCGTGCCCATTCAACTCCTACTTGACTTCTTGTCCAGGAGGTTAACTTTCTTCAAAGGCTTGGATATGACCAGTGCTAGAGGGCAAAACAGTGGACACAGGACCACTAGGGTTTCTTTATTTTACAGTAAATCGAGCTTTGTTTGTTCTTACTTTCTTTTCTGAGCGCTCAGATGAGTTTTGTCTCTTTGTCCTTTTCCTTACTGTTTACTTGTTTCTTCCTTTCTCTCTTTCTCCTTATTTTCCTGCTTCTCCCTATTCTTTTTCCCATATGTGTCTGACTTTCCTGCCTCATTGTTTTCTGTTCCTGCTCTTTTTATGGGTACCTCTGGGAATTATAGAAATTCTAACACTCCTGCCAGATTGTGAGGCCACTCAATTCTTGAAACAACAATAGACAATTTCAGCAAATACATATACATGTTTTATAAAATGATGGTGAGGTGTAGGACCTTGAAAAACCCACCTCAAAATTCATCATGTGTCCACTGGTGTGGATAATAGGAAAGGACTTTGTAGAATTAGTGGGTAAGAATGGGGGCTGAGTTCTATTACTTCCTCTGCAGTGCAAGCTGACAGCCTGAAAAAATCAGACTTAAGCAGCAGCTGAGTCCTACATGGGAAATTACAACAAAATCAGAAGTCAAGGTCTGAGTCCTCTTTAGAAAAAGTATAGAATAAATTTAATCCCCTTATCTTACAGATTTAAAAGTTGGGGTGCCGAGAACTTGTGATTCACTGAAAGTTTTATAAATAGCAATTCCATCAATCTAGAACCTGGGGATATTGACTTGTAATCAAGTGACTATTTAGGTTCACCCCATTACAGAAAGGTGTGAGAGACAATAGAGAGGGAGAGAAGGGGGTGGAGTCATTATTGCTAATGGATTTAGTAGTAGAATTTGGGGTTCTTTCCCCAAGCTGAAGGAAAGTAGAGAAAGGAAGCAGTTCTAAGATAAGAATAAGATGGAAAAGTTCCTTTGACTCCCTCATAAGACTTGCAAAAAGGGTGTGACTCCTTTACCTGGCTGCCAGGAGCTCAAACTCCTTGCAGGAGTGGGGAGCATGCAGGTGAGTGGTTGCAGGAGCCAGGGGAGTGTTTTGGGGCTCTGGCCCGACGACAGTATCTAGGGGTGTGTTACAGATAATGCTCTTCTAGCAGTTGCTGTCCATGGACTGCTAAGTGTTAACCAGCTCAATGGAGAGTCAGGGTGGCAGCCTTTTACATCCTGCCCTCTTGGTACCCAGGTTCTTTTTTGGCAGTCAGGACAAATTGGGTCGCATGAAGGGTTTGAATGGTGATGAATGCGGAGGATTTTATTAAGTGGAGGATTTTATGAAGCAGCAGAAGTGGCTCTCAGCAGAAGGGGAGCTGGAAAGGGGATGGTGTAAGAAGAAGGTAAAGCCCAGCTGTCTCTAGCCAGGCTCCTCTCTGAAGTCATGCCATCTGAAGTTAAGCTGCGTCTGTCTGTAGTCTCCAACACTCAGTTGTTTCTCCTCTTAACAATCAGCCACTTGTCTCTTTGCCAGCTGAGGTCTGGGGTTTATATAAACACAGCACAGGGGTGGGGCAGGCCAAAAAAGGCAACATTTGGGTGGGAAAACGGGGATAACTGTTCCCATTTAGGGCTGTGGTTTCCAGGTTTGAGGGTGGGGCCTTTGCCAGGGAACCACACTCTTCTATCCAGTATTTTCCTCCCTCCTGTCCATATCAACAGCGTAGGGGCCAAGAGAAAGTTTCCCCTTTGTCCTCTGAGGCTTTGCTGAAAATCACCTGACAAAAGGCAGATTAATAGGAGAAAAGGCATATAAAATTTTATTTCCATGTGGAATCCCAGGGAAAATGATTACCCTAATGTGCGCAAGCTTATATGCCCTTTTTTTTAGGGGGTGGAAGGGAGCTGGGGATGTTAACAATTTTTTTCGGGAGCAATAAGTCATCAGGGAGAATAAATGTACCTGGAGGTGGGAGGCAGACCTTAGGGAAGGCGGGGAGTGGAGCTGCACAGGAATAAAGGTGGTCGTCTTATGTAGATCAAGCCCCCTGGCCGATCTCTTAGTGTTGCCCTCGGAAGAATAGGTAAAATATCTCTCTGGGCATAGGGATGACATCCAGTCTCCTCTTCTCTTGAGGCTGACCTGGAATCTTTCTTGGTTATTTGATGAAATTCCTAGGGAGGGAGTCTTGAAACAGTTGCACTCAGGCTGTCTTCGTCAGATTAGGAAATTCAGAGAGTCCCTGATCTCTGAATTGAGGGGTTGGGTTGGACAGCGGGGTTAGAAAGATGAGAGAGAAACCTTGGTTCTGAGGCTCATTTCTGAGCCTTTCCATTTTCAAAGTACTGAGAATACTGAAGTACTACATTTTGGGTAATCATTTTCTGTGCTTCAACAAGACAGACATTGAAGTTCACTCTGAGGAGGATGAGAGAAGGGGACAATGAAGATAATAATCAGAAACATTTCCAGGTCTCAGTTTTCTCATTTGTCAAATGTGTATAATAATATCTTCATCATGAATGAGAATGTTATTTAGAGAGCTTAATATATACCATGTACTCAACAAATAGTAACTAATGCTGTTTTGGATTTGTGACTGAACTCTTTGTAACCACCCTCATATGAACAATACTCATGTATCAATGGTCTGGAGTTGCTGGGGCTGATTTTTTATACTTTGAAGGTGAGTGAAGTACAAACATTCTGCCTGGCTCTGAAACCAGGATCTGAAACCTGGTCTCAAGCTGTGTGTCTCTTGTTATAATCCCAGACACATTTGTGGCTTGAAACTGTACTCTGGGAAGGTAATACATAGATGTGTTGACTATTTGCCAAAAATGACTAAACAGGGTCACATGTATGAAATTACCTATAATTTTGTCTCAAGTCTAATGAAGACTGGTATATTGGATCTTCTTAACATTGTAGTGACTGATCATGGTCATAGGTCATACAAAGGCTTAGGAAGTGAACTTAAGTCAACTTCCCCAGGAAACAGACTGTCCGCTAGATATTTGTACACAGGAAGGTTATTGGAAAGTTCCTTGGGTTCTATGCCTGTAAGGGAACGAGGAAAGCTGGACCAGAGAGAAGGAGGAATTCATACAGTTGCAACAGCCAGTACAGTTATGGGCCAATCCCTCTGAGTTACGGAGTCGAGATGCTATTTTGAATTGTTCAGAATTGAGGCAAAGGGGTGATCCTCTGTATTTCGTACCAATCAACTATTAGATGCTGGCTGCCCCTGGAGAGGAGTAATATTGAACAAGGTGATGTCTTCTGAGGGCAATTGCCAGAGAGGGCCTTCACCAAGAGCTATGAGCAGACAACATTCCAGCAGGGCTAATGAGTGCCTCACTTCTGAAGTGGAATCTGGACAAAGCACCACAGAATCCAACACAGAAGCCCTAGTTGTTTCCAAATATATTCTAGCAGCCTGGAAAGTGCTGCTTTGCTGTTCTCAGGATACTGTGAGACCTAGAATGACCCCCAAAGTATTTTGTCCTTCCCTAGGAAATGTAAAACCAGACCTTCAAGTTTTAACAAAAATCATTATTTTATAAATATTATTGAGGGGTCTTACTTGGAACCCTAGCTGACGACAGCCCATAAGAGTTGTCAGTCTGTGGAAGTGGAGAGACGTCAAATGTTCTCCCAGTTTGCTTTACTGTTCTTTTGGGAGAGTGACCAAAGAAAAAGATCCAGTGTACACAACCAGAATTGTGAAGAAGAAGAAAAGATTGTTCTCAGTAAAGCTATGATTATTTACAGAATTTGAAAAATCAACATTGTTATCCAGATGCTTTGAGCCTTAAAACTATTAGTCTATCATTTTGAATATTTGGAGGTTTCAAGCAAAGTTCTTTGCCAATTATTAGCATTTTCAGGTAACTTACTCAAATTTGACCTCAACTGTGTTCAACCAGCTGTCAGAAAAGGACAGTCAGTATAAAATGTGGCTGCCTATGATGCAGGCAGAGTTAGATCCCGTTAGAAAAGAGTGGGTAGGCAGGGCAAAAAGTGATCATATCTCCAGTATAATCACAGCAGTTCTTATTCCCATAATACGGTATTTATACCACACAGATAACATAGGTGTATATAACTCCAAGATAATAGTAAAATACAACCAACAGTTAGCAAATAGGAGTTTTGAGAATGTATTGACTTTTTCTTAGCATAATTTAATTGTAAGTTGATAATTTTTATTGGTGACTGTGTTTAACAACCTGCTCACCAAAATCCTAAAAATTTAACATCTGGCTCTTGTGAACCCAGACAAGCCAGGTTCAACACACTCCAGCAGGGCTCTTGGAGCCCTAGATCAGCAGCTTTTGATAGTTAGATTTTTGAACTCTCAAAGGATAACAGGGAGGCATTCAACTGTTGGACGTGTTAAAAAATCACAGAATCTGAGGAAGACCTGAAGCTTCCTGAGCTGCTCAGGTTTTTTTTTTTTTTTTTTTTTTTTTTTTTTTTTTAGCTGTCATGGAGCCCTCAGGGAACTTTAGAACTAATAGTTTACTCAAAACTCATTCTCCTTATATGCCCTCTAATAAAGGCAAGGAGAAAACTGTTCTTTCTGTTCTTAATTAGTCATTTGGTTCCCAGACGTCTGCCAAAGCAACTATAAAGGCAATTTAATTAAAACAAAAAAACAGAGCCATTAAAATTCTCTCACACCCTGATTTTTAGAAATGCCTGCTGCTCTCTTTAGGTTTCCCTTTTTCCTTTTCATTCACTGTTTAGGAATTTATCTGTGCTTTCTTTCAGACTGACTGTAGTCAGCGCTAGTTTGCACATAATGAGGGGTAAACCTCATGGAGGTAACCACTCTGAGAAGCAGAGAACTAAAGCATGTGTTTAATTAAATAGAAGTTATAGAGTCCTGGAGTTTGTAAAATTTTAGATTTGTTAATCAGATGTTTCTTGATGTCTGATGAGATAAGTCTTTGGCCATGAAAATAATATGACAACATAGCCACTGTCTTAGATTTGCAGTTGAGATTTTTCATGTCTTTTCTAGTAGTATTTTAGTCAAACACGTGAAACAGGAAATTTTCCCTGACTCCTTCATGGGCCTCATGACAGGAGTGCCTTGCTTACTCAGCCCGCAGCTCTCAAACCCTTGTGGGAGGGGGATCACACAGGTGAGCCGGTGCAGGAGGCAGGGCAAGTGCTTCTGAGCATCAGCAGGAGCAAAACTCAATGCAGGCCCCACAGTAGCTTCTGGAAAGGGAGTACCAGCAATCCCTGAAGCCCCAGAGGGCATGCGTTACAGTGCGCTCTTTTAGCTCTGGCATCCATATGGACAGCTTAAGTGGTAAACAGCTGAGTGGGCCCTCTGCCTTTTCATGTGAGGCAGTTGCTCTCTGCCAGCAAGGGCAGAGGGTCAGTGTGACAGCCTTTAGCATCTGCACATGTAGCCCCTGAGCTCTTTTTCTGTGTCCAGGAAAAATCAGGTCACATGAATGAATTGAAGGGTGGTTACTGAGGAGGATTTTATTGCCAATGGAAGTGGCTCTCAGTGGGAAGGGGAGCTGGAAAGGGGATGGAGCAGGAAGGTATTCTTCTCCTGAAGTCCCACCATCAAGCCATCCCTCTGGAGTCAAACTTCTCTCCGGTGTTCAGCTGCTGCTTCTCTTCTCCCCTTCTCTGCTCTCTGCCAGTGAAACACAGGGTTTTTTATCGATATAGCATGGAGTGGGGCGGGGTAGGCCAGGAGTAGTTTTGGAAAAAGCAGCATTCTAGTGGGAAGATGGGGATGTAAAGTTCTCACATGGGGCTGAGGTTCCAGGCTTGAGGGTGTGGCCTTTGCCAGGGACACTGCCCTTTTCCGTCTAGAATTCCTCTGCCTCCTGGCCCTATCACATGTGGCTGAGATTAAAACAAAATGAAAAGCCAGAGGATAATTGACAGTGTGATCTTTCCTTGATGTTCCACAAAAAAGAAAAGAGAGGAAGGGAGGCTACAAGCAAAGAACAAGGGGAATGAGGCAGGAAGGAGAAGCACCTAATCTAAGCACTTTGTTTATAGTCATCTTATTTAATGTTCACAAGAACCCTAGAAAATTGACATTATTATCTTTACATTTTAAGACATAGTTGTTCAGAGAAGCTTGGAGACTTATTCGAGATCTCTCAGTTAATCATTGGATTTAGGATTTGGGTTCAAGTCCATCCAATCCCAAGACAGTGGCTAATCCTTGAAATAAGTGGTACAAAGACTGAACTATCAATAAATTGCAGCAGGGGAAAAGATGGAACTGAACATGTGGAGACCTCCTCCTCTTCTAGTTTCTCCTATAATGTTCTTTCCCTTTCAGGTTCTACCTCCTGATAGTTATAATGGGATTATGGCCTTATATTTTGAGGAAAAACCTCTAATACTTAAATTGGAGTTTTTAGGGCACACATCTTTGAATATCAGATGGTTGCCTTTAAAATGTTATTTGATAATGTATCTTATGAAATTGGTGTATTCTATGAATATATGTACTACCTGCTTAAAGTAAGTTATGCAGCACAGTGACTTTTATAAATGTTGAGATGTGTTTCTTGGAAAAACATTTTGTTTCCTAGGAAAAGAAAATCTCACTGAAAATATTTTCTCCCAACCTATGATGAGCTCCATTCTTTTCAATTGAGCAGACATCCTGCCAGTTTGTGAGAGTGTGTGCCTGTGGGTACTCAGATCTTTGTATGCATACTTGGGCTAAGAGGCAGAGTAAGGCAGAGGAAGTGGTGACAAGAGACAATGTGGAAAGTGGAAAATTGTGAACACCTTCCAGGTATGCTAAATTGAAATATGTGATCTATTCCTTCTGATTAAAACAAAACCAGAATAAAATGCTGTGAATGGAATGATTTAACACCTGGCAAGGTAGCTACAACCATACGTTGTGTAAAGGAAGAGAAAATTGTAATTGCCAGTTGAGAATTGAGCCTTTGGATTTTTTTTTTTTTTAACTTTGGTGTGTCGCATTGACACTTTCCTTTTTTAAAAAAGTAAATCTTAGAATAAGATGTATGATTTCTGGCAGAGTATCTCTTGACATCCACATAAAAATGTTTGGTAGGATTGGGAACAATGACTAGGAATGACAGAATGGAAAAGAACAGGTTGTGAAATCTTGAGGGTAACTAGTGGCGGGGCCTGTGAGAGGGGCCTGTGACAGGGGCCAGGAATTAACCTCTCAAGTCTATTTTCTTATTTGTCAAATTTCTTTAATGCAGTCTGTTTTGATAAAACTATTAAATAAGAGACTTGAGAAAGCATTTTTGAAAACTGAAAAGAACTGTTCTGTCATTATAAGTTACTTTGCTATTATAATTATTAATGATAAATAGGAATCTAGAATTCGATTGCAAATTTTAGTTGAGACACCAAAGAGATTCTGTTGTTCAATTAAAAAAATAAATATTTATTGAACATCTACTGTGCCAGGTACCCTGCTAGAATAGTTATACGGTAGTTCTAATTTTTCCACCTTTTTCCAGACCAAGAATAAATATGCAAATATTGTGCAATGAATAACTGGAAGTAACATTCACATTTTCACTGAAATCTCCCTAACAGACTAACGGCTTCATCACTCAGCTTCATGGATATGAACTGATGCTGAAATTGATAAATCACATTACAATTGGCTGTTCTCTGTATCTGAGAGAGTTTGTAAAAGCAGAATTAATGTTTTTAGATCAAGCAATCCTCTACTAATAATGGTAATAACTCTTTATCTATGGAAGGAATCATATGAGACTTTCCAGGTTGTTCAGACAGATGAATTCAGCGAACCTTGCCACACTGTGGGGAGGGAGGGCGGGGCATGGAGTTCTGACGGTCCAGTTATCTCAGAGTATTGGAAGTGATGGATCAACTCAGAACAGGGAATTAATGTCATAGGAAACTGAGGCTCCAAAACACCATTGGACAATTGGCAAAGCCGATGACTAAAATGGATTAATTTGGTTTATCTCCATTTAATCTAGGCTTGAGAACACCCTGTACATCTGTACATAATGTCTATAAAAACAAAGCATTTTGGTTTTCTTATAAGTGCGTACGTGAGAAAAATAGCCATACAAACCTTAGTGTTCCCTTTGGGTGTCTTTTTTTTTTTTTTTTTTTTTTTTTTTTGAGACAGAGTCTTGCTCTGTCGCCCAGGCTAGAGTGCAATGGCGCTATCATGGCTCACTGCAAGCTCCGCCTCCCAGGTTCATGCCATTCTCCTTCCTCAGCCTCCCAAGTAGCTGGGACTACAGGTGCCCGCCACCACACCTGGCTGATTTTTTCTATTTTTAGTAGAGACGGGGTTTCACCGTGTTAGCCAGGATAGTCTCGATCTCCTGACCTCGTGATCTGCCTGCCTCGGCCTCCTAAATTGCTGGGATTACAGGTGTGAGCCACCTCGCCCGGCCCCTTTGGGTGTCTTTTAAAGAATATCCTTTGAAAGATCAGGGTGCCTCAACCTTGGCACTGTTGACATTTTGAGCGAGATAATTCTTGATTGCTGCGGGCTGTCCCATGCCTTGTAGGATATTTAGTAACATTCCTGTCCTCTACTCACTAGATGCCAGCATCAACCCTCAGTCCTGACAATCAGATATGTCTCAAGGCACTGCTGAATATTTTCTGAGAGCAAAACCATTCTGGCTTAAAAACTACTACACTAAATCAGAGGTCCCCAATCCCCGGGCCACAGACCGATACCAGTCCATGGCCTTTAGGAACTAGGCCGCACAGCAGGAGTTAAGCAGCAAGCAAACCAGCATTACTGCCTGAGCTCCACCTCCTGTCAGATCAGTGGTGGCATTCGATTCTCATAGGAGCACAAACCCTATCATGAGCTGCACATGGAAGGCATCTGGGTTGCATGTCCTTATGAGAATCTAACTAATGCCTGATGATCTGAGGTGGAACAGTTTCATCCTAAATCCACGAAAGCAGTCTCTGGTCCCAAAAAGGTTGGGGGTTGCTACACTAAATGATATAAATGAGTACTATCATGTGTCACACACCCTTTTATGCCCATTTTTATGTGTTAACTCAATTAATCCTCTTAGCTACTTTTTAAGGTAGATTCCATTGTTAGCATCCCCATTTTACAGATGAGGAACTGACACAGAGTGGTTAAGTAATTTGCCGAAGTCACCCATCCATAATTTAATCCCTTCAGCCTGCCTACAGATTCCTATAATCTTAACTGTTTATTCCTTTTTGTTCTATGTAAGTGGTTTGTGCCTCCTGATGAACCATGCATGTTAATACTTTGAGGACTTCTCTTCTAGATGCCTCAGGATTTGTTCTTGATGTGATTTCCAATTTTTAAACTGATTTGGTTTTGATGATGATCTTTGTTTTTTAAAAGCTAGTTACATATTGATCCACAGGGCATGGTGAATCTGTCCTTGGCCCCTTGGCTGTTTGAAATGGGGTAAGCTCTGGGCAAGTTCCTTTGCAACGTCAAGCAAAGGAGTGCATTGATATAAATGCCAGTGAGTTCATTGGAAACGCTCTCACAGAGGCAAGACACTGGAAACGCATCTATTTTTGTCCTTGGTCAGCTGTGCTATAGCTAAAACATTAGGGCCTAATGGCTTCCCATCCTTGTTGTCACGCTCATGGCCTCTTGATCTAGTTTGCCTTCTCATGCTTGCTTTGGTCTTACTCTCGCCTCCCCTGAAAAAGAGATTATTTTCCGTTACATTATGGCTATTATTTGCTTAATAACCCAAATTCAGGAAGCAGAATAACTTTTAGAACTAAATTCTCCAAATCCTGAAAAACCTACTGGCCTTGGAGAATTCAAGAAACCTGGCTAAAGCTCACCAGTCACACAGACAAGGAACATTTCCTAAGCACTAAGTGGAGAGGAACAAGGCAGTGTGGGCCGAGCATCTCTGCCGGAGTATATAGTTCATGCTTTCAGTCACAGGAATGCACCTGTGAGAAAATACCTAATACAATTAGGAACCTAGAATAAGTGTCTTCTTTTCCAAAATCAACTTACTTAGGTGCAAACAATATTTGATTAATCTTTAAAAGGAATTTCAGAGACAAGTCCAACTGCATTTTGGTAGAAAAAAAAACTTTACCTTCCCTTTTAAAAGCCTTTTCCAGAGTTTTAGTGAATCGCCTTGTATATAATCTTGACCAGCAGAGGGCTTCCATACCTGACAAATGATGTCTGAACAGAACAAAAGGGTCACAGAATTTCTCAGTATTTGATATTTGTTTTTCATTCTCCTTGTTTTTCTTCTGTTTTGATTGCCAAAGTCCTTTCAAGTTGAGTTTTTACTGAACTACAAAATGTTGATTTCCACCCCCCCACCCCACATACTGTATAAGGTATAACCAGATCTTTTTTGTGTATAAAAAGTAAGGTTAGCACTGTGGAAATGTTTTCTGCTAATTTGGTTATATAAAGGCTATTTCTATAGGAATTGATATTTTGTAGGAATTTACAAATCAAATTTACAAATTTGATTTACAAATTAAATAGGAATCTGTTCATTGCTAACCCTCATTAAGAGAGAAATATCCTCTTTTTTTTCTGTATATATCACATGAAGCATTAGCTTTGCAATACTGTTGGTATTGGCCTCTAGCATAAACTGTTGAGTCATCTTTTCAAGACCTGGTTGCCTAAGAGAACATTTTTATCAACCCACCACTCTCCATTTTATATTCTAACCCTTTTAACATTCAGAAAACTTTAGATCCTGAAAGCACACCCACGATTGAGAATGGCTGGTGTATGATTATTGTGAACATGTACAGGCAGACATGTAGATGGTTTGGTGTATGTTGATGCTTATGCATGCCCTGTCCATAAGTTGGTACCCATAAGCCAGTGAAGTTGGGAGTAACGAACCATTGACTAATCTGATGATTTTTCAGTGCAGAGGTATGTTTCAGAGATAGGTAGACATGTACCTGAGCAATTGTCTCCTTGCCAGGCATTCTGCACATGCTTATTGACATCTCCTAAAGGCGATGTCCCCGCTTTCTGTTCTCCCTCAAGGGAGTTATCTAATAGCAGGGCTATTGGGTACCCTCAGGCTGGTGGGAAAGATATTTGTGACAGGTTTCTTAGTTCACATCACATAGGCAGATATTCATTTGTACTGTTCTCACCTATGAACTATATACAGTGATTAAAAGTATTGGCAACCAAAGATACTATGAAGATGAATTGCTTTGGTTCTAAAGATAGAACTGGAACTAAATTCTAGATTTACAGAAACAATAGCCCATGTAATCGATTATCCTTTCTACATTGGGTGCTAGAAATTTTAGAGTCATGTTTACTAAGGTTCACTTCTGGTTAAGGGCACAGGATCTCATGACATCATCATGTGTGGAGTTCTTATATTTTCCCACTTAATTTCTTGTGTTGAGTGTATTTTTGTCAGGTATTTTGTATCTATCTGGGTGCCTAGGAGAGTATAAAAATAAATGTATGGAATTTCCAAATCCTGGAATAGAGTGGTCATGCCACAGCAGAACAAAAATGTCAAAATATTTGAAACCAGAAATACATTAATTGAGGTCATTTCGAGGAAGGCTGATGACTGTCTCTCAGTCTATGGAAAAAGTAGGTAGGCTTTGTCTTCCAGCTTTATGAGTAAAACAGGGTAAAGCTAAAAGAAGAATAGATTTGGAATCAGAGAACCATGGTTTTCATCATGGAGAGGTGATATTTTATGACCATGAGGCACATGGGCTCCGGGCCAGATTGTTCATTTGAATTCCAATACTACCCTAAAGGTTGCTAGATGACCTTCACCAAGTTACTCCTCTGTCCTTCTGTTTTGCCACCTATAAAATACAGAAAAATTTAGTATCTGTCTCACACAGTTATAAGGATTAAATGAAATAATACACATGAAATGTTGAGAGGATGCCTGCTACATAATCAAACCTCAAATCCGTTCATTACTATGATAGTCTTGTGGTTCTGTCACTTTTATTGGAAATGTCACTTTAGCTGAGTCCCAGTTTCCTCATCCCCCTGACCCTCCAGAAAAAAATAATACAACATCATACTCTTCTGGTAAGGAATAAGGGATAATTGTGAAAGAATTTGTCATTGCAAAACACTGAAGAAAAGTAACGTGGTATTAGTGTTACATTTTTTGTGCACATCTTAGTTTTGTATTAGAAAAAATATGCAGGTTTACATGGAAAGTCACATTGGCCTGGTTAGCCTTATTAAAGTAAATAAGTTGGGAAACATATTCAGAAAGTTTAGAAATGCAACTAAAGAGGCACCTTTATCTTTGAATTTTTTTTTTTTTTGGTTATTTTAGCTTGTTAAATTATTTTTCTTTGGCACTGACCTTTGGCATTTTTACTACTTGATTGTAGAGACATTCCAAAGGAGAGAGTGGACATGTAACTATTATTGGAATTTGGGAAACTAGAAGGAGGGGGAGGTGAAAGAGACTGTTAGGTCAGCCTAAGGGTAAGATTGATGATGACTGGGATGGGGAGTTGTAGGAGATTAACACCTAATTACTTAAAAGAAACAATTTTAACAAATGAAAGAAGGAGGTGAGTATTGGTTTAACACTTGAGGATTTCTATTCCTATCTGTGTCTTACTATCATTTGTACAATATCAGCAGGTGGCTTGCATTTTGAACCAACCCTTCTCTCTTATTTCCCTGGTGATATTTTATGGTTTCCACACCTCAGTGTGTGTTTTTCTTAGCACACTCCTTCGTCTGATTAAGTACAGGAATGTCAAAGGTCATTTCTACCATCATCTGTGTCTGACCTTGGTTTACATTCATCTCTCTCTCTCTCTCTCTCTCTCTCTCTCTCTCTCTCTGAAGTCTCTAACAAGAAGCAGAACAGTAAAGACATTGGGCAGATGTTTAACAGACCAGGGTGTTGTCTAAAGTATGGGTTCACCCACTTTAAAGAACAGCAACAACAAGATTCACATTAAATTTTTATCTTTCTGGTTATCAGCATGAATTCTTAAAATATTCTATAGATAACTGTAATATGTTAAAAATCATTCAGGTGATCATTATGTCCATTAATTAATAAAGTCCTATACATTTTGACTGTGTTGAACCACACATCCTGCCCTGAATTCACCATACATTTTCATTTTCCATACTTGGCTCGTCCTGGAAAGCTTTCTATCATGGAAGTCACAAACCAGATGCCCATATTCAAAATTAAATGTGTCCATGTCTTTTATTTACTTTGTGTAGTTTTATTTACTGATTTGAATTAGATACATATACTTCGAAAGTCAACAATTTCACAGAGAAATTTCCATATTATCTTGAAAAATCAGAAGATCTGGCAACTCTCGGCCCGTGGGCTTCCATAGTAATGGCCAGAGCTGCCTTGTGGCTGCCACTTTGACAGGAGATAAGCTTCTCGTTGGTCACAGTTGGTATCACTCCCATTTGCTTTTCTTCCCTCAGCTAGATTTATTCCCTGAAAGCATCTGTCTCCTGTAAGATTTGAGCTTATGACCTTGGAGTAGAAGCCAGATTATCTCTCAAGGCTACCTATGTTTGCCCAAGCCTCTGTTTCCCTTAGCGTTGCATTTCTTCACTACCCCCGCAAATTCTAAGTAGCCGTTTTGTAAATTTGTCTCCTCAACTCAGATGGTCAACTTCTAAGAGTAGAATCCAGTTCCTTCCCTCTTCATCTCTGACAGTACCAAGTGTAGTGTTTCTCCGACATGCATGCATCTTTCAGCAGATTTGCCAGGATAGAGAATGAACTGGTTGACTGATAGTAAGAGCCTAGGAATGAGTTATTACCCTTCCACTGGCCTTTATGAGCTGCTCTGCAGTCGTGTAATTAAGAAGGCATTCACAGTTTGCTTTATAGCACTATCAAAGTTTCCAAAATGAATAAAATAGCTTCATCATTAATAATTTGGATTCATCATCTTTGACCCAAAGGCATCCCACACTAGAGACTGCAAACATTATTTTAAGCAGTTTATTGGATTATTGGATGAGTAACTAATGGATTAACAGGTCAAATAAATTAATGGATAAATTGATGTGAACATGTGGTTGAATGACTTTCCAATTGTAATTGTAACTGTAAAAGGCAGACACCCTAAGGGGGAATTAAGCAGTAGCAACAAACACTATTATCATTAGAGTTTCCGGAAGCAAGCATAACAGACAGGATGTTTTCTAATGAAACTGTAAAACAATTATAATAGCTCTTTGGAGCTTTGGTGTCTTTTTTGTTTGGTTTGGTTGTTTTCCTAGCGCATCCAAAGGAAGAAGCTGTGTTTGGAGCATCAGCCAGTTAAAGTATTGTAATTCTTGAAAATAACCATCTACTTGAGGGCCAAAGATGGACAGTAAAGTAGGCAATTAAGCATGTGCTACATAAATATGTGTAAATCTAATGCCATCTGCCACATTGTCCAAAGTGGACTAGTTGTCTTTATATCTCTACCTCATAAATCAGTTTTAAAGGGCTCCCTGAGGCAATGTTCCCTGTAATGACTGGGTACAAGATCTTCATTCTTTTGCTAAGACTATAGTTCTCTTGTTTCCCATGACTAAAATAACATACTTTTCTTTTGGGGTTAGAGAATCAGTTAACTTTGCCATGTAATAAACCACCTTAGAAATTAGTGGTGGTTAATAATTAAAATAACCATTTATTTAGCTTATGATTCTGCTGGACAGTTCTGGGCTGGGATCAGTTGGGCTGATTTTAGCTGGACTACCTCTTGTTTCTGTGGACATTTGACAGGTGACCTGGAGATTGGTTAGTCCCTTATGGTCTCACTCACATATCTGGTGGGTGGCTATGGTATTATGGGTACATGGATAACATCTCTTTCTCCCATAGCCTAACCCAGACTTGCTCACAGGGTTCAAGGGGTTCTAAAGACAGGAAGACAGGGCAAGTCCCAATGTGCAAATATTTAAGTTTCTGCCTTACAATTGCTATTGAACCATTGGCCGAAGCAAGTCATGTGACTAAGCCCAGAGTCAGTGTGAGTGGGTAGACTACCCAAAGACTTGGATGCAAGGAAACATATGTAAATGAGAGGTCATTACTCTGTCTACCACAAGGGTTCTTTCAGATTCATATAAATCAATTCACGTTTATTGAATACCTTCTAATGCCAAGTACTTTTCTGGGTAATTTTAGGTACATTTGGTCATCTTTTTTTTTTCCTTAGAGTAAGACTTTCTACAATCAAGTTACCTGCTAGGCACAGGATAGAAAAATTGTGATTTGTAATTCTGATACAATATTCATTTAGAATCATTCACAAAATTTTGAATAAATGGTAAAGCTTCTGAAGTTGTATAAATCTATGTATATAAATATTACATAAATGTAGAAGTGTTTGTATTTGCCAGAAGTTTATGCATGTTTATTTCCCTCTCAATCTAAATTTTCTTACCTATAAAAAGAATACAGCAAAAGTACCTTCCCTTTACAGCTGTTATGAAAACCAGCAAAAAGCTAAGCCTAGTGCCCAGCATAAAGAAAGCACCATCTAAATGCTCTGTGAGGGGCATTATTATATAGCCAAAGTGCCTCATGCCACTGCTGTTGCTATTGTTGTTAAATAATAGTAATGATGTCAGTAACAGCTTATTTCCCAGAAGTGAGATTTTGATTATACAAGAGCCACAAATCTCTCTAGGCCAGCCGTTGTTTTTCTATAACTTGTCCACCTTTCAGGGGTTGAGCTCAATCTCTGTATAATTTTATGTGAGGTTATTCTGTCTCTTTTATTTATGTGCCATTTCATTTCACCATACCAGAGCTTAGATACTTATGTCTTTCTCAATACATCAAATTGCCAAGTAATTTTGTTTTAAGAAGGAGAAGAGAGCTAGACAGTGTGTTGAATTTCAATTACTATTTCTTCACTAAGCCTTCTGTGTAATTCCCAATGACTGCAATGAGGCAGGAAGTTCTGCTTCAGAGCTTTGGATAATAGGAGATGTGGAGAAGATGTTTCCTCAGAGAGTGGTGTGTCCATTTACACCATTACAGTTTCATTGTTAAATATACTTTTAGCTATGTATTTCCTTCTCCGTCAAACTTTGTGTGTAGCTGAAGAGCTCTATCTACTACAAAATGCTCAGAGCTGTCAGTTTAATCTTAGATTGGATAGGACACTATATACCACGACCGAATTTTAAAGGAAAAAGAACGATCACCTAAAACAGGAGTCAACAAACGTTATATAAAGGAGCAGACAGTACATATTTTAGGCTGTGTGGGCTATAAGGTCTCTGATTAAATGACTCAACTTTGTTTTTGTAGGCCAAGTAGCCACAGACAACAGATAACTGAATGGCTGTAGCTGTGTTTCAATTAAACTTTATCAAAGCAACAGTGAGCCAGATTTGGCCTATGGCTGTAGCTTACCCACTGCTGATTTAGAAGGAATTCTACATCTTTTAAGCAATCAGCAAAGCAAAGAACGTGTATTTTCTAAGAAAGTTTGAGGTGTAGGTATAGCTGTTTGTAGTGGTGAGAACTGAAACCACCACGAGTATTTCAGCTTCCTCTGGAATGTGGTGCCATCCATAGACATTTTAAGATAACCAGACAAGAAGACAATTCTGTCTTCTTTATAATTAGTCCATACTGGGGAGTCTACTCTGTGTGTCTTTTATATTTGAAGACTAGATACTGATAATGGTGCAGTTAACTGGACTTTTAAATATCAAAGACCGGAAAATGTATCAGATCAACAGTTGCTAATTAAATAAATTCCACCAAGTCATGTAAACACACACACACACACACACACACACACACAAACACACCCCCTCTGCTACCACCTGTAGCATGAGAAAGACACTTCATTTTAGTACTTGGAGAAGACCTAGAGGATAGTCCTTTTAATTGGAAAAAAAAATACAGCATTGTGTAAAATGTGTTTTCCTCATTCTTCATGAATACTTTGTGTGGAGTAATTCTAGTTCATAAACTTATATTTCTGACTGCTTGATTTAAAGACTGCTGTCTTACCTACTCTAAATTCCAAGTCATGAGAATAGAAAGACTTCTAAGGAGCTTGTGGACATTCATGTCAATTGAATAACTTTCTACTTGATGCTTATACTATTTTCTCTAATGAGTCAGCTCATCAGTTACAATTGTTCTTCTCCTTTCAACTAACTGCTCACCCTGGTACTAGTTCTTCATCTTGGTGCTCCCAGTATCATCGTTCTAGTATTCCAATGTACTTTATTATCAGGTTATATGCAGTACAGGAGACATGGATATCACTTTAAATATGGCAAAAATAATCAGATCCTAACAGGTGAGATCATATAAATGACATTTCTAATGACATCTATTGAAGGGTTATAATGTGCTAGGTAACATGCCAATTGTCTCCATGCATTATATCTTTTAGTTTTCAAAACAAATCTATGAAATGGTTACCATTATTATTCTTATTCAAAAGATGAGGGAGCTGAGGCTAGGAGGTTAGTCATTTAATCCTTAGCTATTTACTTTTTCCTTGATGTTTGGACTCTAGATTGATGTTATTTGAAAGAAAACCATGAGAAACAAAATCATGTATGTAGTGTTTTGAATAATAATTATCCTTAGAAGTTTTTGAAGATAGACATAACTTTAGTAAAAGATTTAGGATAACAGTGTTTTAACTCAAGTAGACCAATACCAGTAATTCGTTATTTATCTGATATTGTGAAGTATTCCTTGTAATGATGTTTCTACATTTTTAAAGCTTACTCTTTAAATGCCAAAGCTAAGTTTTTAAAAGAGTGCTGTTTTAGAAGAGACATTGGTAGCCTTCTAAAAAATGGCAGCACATAGCTGCTTTAAAAAGGACTGACAAAGGAGGTGATTACATGATCAGAGCAGTGGCTTCAGCTTTCTGGAACAGTAAGGATAATCAACATTTTTATTAGCATAACTTGGGCTTGGTATGCGCTGGCTATTTGGTGTATAAAATACAAAATTTTATCCTATAATCCTTCTATGTTGAGATTAAGCAAAATTTTGTGATTCTATGACAAGCATTGGATAGTCTCAATATTATGAATAAATATTTTTATTTTTGTTATATTGATACATAATGGATGTACATATTTTTGGGCTACATGTGATAATTTGATACATGTGTATAATCAATTCAGGGTAATCTGTCACCTTAAATATTTATTTTTCTTTAGGAACATTCGAGTTATTCTCTTCTAGCTATTTTGAAATGTACGATGGATTAATATTAACTATATTCAGCCTATGGATCTATTGAACACCAGGTGTCCTTTCTTCTAACTGTATATTTGCACCCATTAATCAACCTCTCTTCAGCCTACCTTCCTCCCTACGCTTTCTGGCCTCTCGTCACCACCAACCTACTCTCTTTTCATGAAATCCACTCTTTTAGCTCCCACATATGAGTGAGAACATGTGATATTTGTCTTTCTGTGCCTCACTTATTTCACTTCACATAACTCCCAGTTCGATTTGTGTTGCTGCAAATGACATGGTTTCCTTCTTTTTGTGGCTGAATAATATTCCATTGTGTGTATATACTGTACTTTCTTTTTATCCATTCATCTACTGATGGCCACTTAGGTTGATTTCACATTTTAGCTCTTGTGAATCATGCTGCAATAAACATTGCAGTAGAGATATTTCTTTGCTATATTGATTTTTTTTCTTTTGGATGTATACCATCAGTGGAATTGCTAGTTCATGTGGTAGTTATATTTTTAGCTTTCTGAGGAACCTCTGTACAGTTTTCTATAGTGGCTACACTAATTTACATTCCCACCAGCAGTGGTACAAGGGTTCCCCTTTCTCCACATCCTTGCCAGCATCTGTTATTTCCAGACTTTTTGATAAATACCATGTTAACTGGGGTGAGATGGATATCTCATTGTGGTTTTGACTTGCATTTTTTGGATGATTAGTGATATTAAACATTTTTTCATATACCCCGTGGCCATTTGTAAGTCTTCTTTTGACAGATGTCTATTCAGATCTTTTGTCTATTTTTAAATCAAGTTTATTTGCTACTGAGTTGTTTGGGCTCTTTATTCTGGTTAATAATCCCTTGTCATATAGTTTGCAAATATTTTCTCTCATTCAATATGTTGTCTCTTCAATTTGGTTGTTTCCTTCGCTATGCAGAACGTTTTTAGTTTGATCTAAGTCCCATTTGTCCATTTTTTGCTTTTGTTGCCTGTGCTTTTAAGGTTTTTCACAAAAAAGCTTTGCCCAGACCAACGTCCTGAAGCATTTCCCCAAAAGTTTCTTCTAGGAGTTTCATAGTTTGAGGTCTTAGATTTAAGTGTTCAATCCATTTTTATTTGATTTTTGTGTATAGTGAGAGATAAGGGCCTAGTTCATTCTTCTGCACATGGTTATTCAATTTTCCCAGCACCATTTATTGAAGAGACTGATCTTTCCCATTGTATGTACTTGGCACTTTTGTCAAAACTGAGTTGGCTGTAAAAGTGTAGATTTATATCTGGATTCTCTATTCTGTTCCACTGATCTACTTTTATCTCAATACCATGCTATTTTGGTTAGTATAGCTTTGTAGTATATTTTGAAGTACAATAGTATAATGCCCCCAACTTACTTCTTTTTGATCAGCATTGCTTTGACTATTTGAGGTCTTTTATGTTTCTATACAAATTTTAGAATTTTTTTGTTTCTATGGAGAATATAACTCATATTTTGTTAGGGATTGCATTGAATTGTAGACTGCTTTGTTTAGTAGTCTCATTTTAACAATATTTTAATCTATGAGCATGGAATATCTTTCCACTTTTTTGCATGTCTTCAATGTCTTTGAAGTGTTTTATAGTTTTCCTTATACAGATCTTTCACATCTTTGGTTAAATTTATTTCTAGGTATTTTATATTCTTTGCAGCTACTGTAAATGGGATTGCTTTTGTAATTTTTTTCAGAGTGTTCACTGTTGGCATATATAAATACTACTGATTTTTGTATGTTGCTTTTGTATCCTGCAACTTTACTGAATTCGTTTATGAGCTCTAACAGTTTTTTGGTGGAGCCTTTAGATTTTTTAAAATGTAAGATTATGTCATCTGCATACAAGGCTAATTTGACTTCCTCCTTTCCAATTTGGGTGCCCTTTACTTCCTTCTCTTGCCTAATTGCTCTGGCCAGAACTTTCAGTACTGTGTTGAATAAAAGTGGTGAAAGTGGATATTCTTGTCTTGTTCCAGATCTTGGAGGAAAGGCTTTCAATTTTTCCCTGTACAATATGATGGTGGCTGTAGGTTTGTCATATATGGCCCTTATTATTTTGAGGTGTGTTCTTTCTATACCCAGTTTTTTATGGTTTTAACATAAAGTGATGTTGAATTTTACCAAAAGATTTTCCAGCATCAATTGAAATAATCATATGGTTTATGTTCTTGGTTCTGTTATTTATTGATTTGCATATGTTGAATTATTCTTGCATCCCTGGGATGAATTCCACTTGATCACGGTGAATAATTTTTTAAACGCATTGTTGAATTTAGTTTGCCTAGTATTTTATTGAGGATTCTTGCATCATGAATAAGTATTAACTTTTAGAAGTTTCGTTTTTGAAAAGGAGCCCACCTGGAGGATAAGAGTTTTGCACAGCAGCTATTCTATTAATTTGTTTTTCACATTGTCTTTCTTGGTTCCGATGTCATGGATGTTAAAATACATGATCCAACTGACTCAGCATAGGCCTCTGAAAAAAAGGTGAAGCAAATCTCTTTATTTTATTCACCATTACATCAATAATCTCTTAAATAATGGTATTCCCTCCCAGTAAGGCTGTCTGTGGATTCATTAGGCTCCTAATATAGTAAATCAAATCAATATGTGCATTAACAAATATATAGTATCCCTAAGCCTTAATAGAGAAAGAAATACATAAGAAATTATAAATGAGTATCAGCAAATGTAAACTTACATCTTTCTTAGCCACTGAAATAAGTATAAGGAACACTCTCAACCGTTAACATTTTAAAGAAGATGAAAGCTTTGGAAAGGTCTTTAGACATAGCCGGAAGCTTCATTTGCTCTCTAGTCAGGGCTGTCCAAGAAAAGATTTTTGCAATGATGGAAATGTTATACAAGGTTGGATTGTTTAGCTTTTAGAGCCACACTGGCCAATCAGTATGGTAGCCACAGACACCTATGGCTATTGACTGGTGACTTGAAATGTGGCTAGTGTGACTTAGGCAGTGAATTTTAAATTGCATTTAATTTTAATTGAGTTGAAATGAGTTCCTGAAATAGATTGAAACAAGAATGTACTTGGACTTCATTTACAGTGAGTAGTATGGCATAAGGATTTGGGGTTAGAATCTGTATCATGAATATCGTTTATCTATTGAAATTAAATCCTGGCTGTCATGGTGAGAAGTAGCATGTGCTGATAATTCTAATTCTATCTCCCTAATGTTAGTTGCTCAATAAATGATAGTTGCTATTATTACTGTTATTTCTAAAATTAACACTACTGTTTTTTTGGTTTTTGTTTACTCAGGAAAAAATTCCTGAGCACCTACTTACTACACTCCAGGCACTGTTTTTGGTGTTGGGGATGCATGTGAAAAGAGTTCAGGTATAATCCCTGCCTTCAAAGAGCTTACATTCTAATGAATTATCATTGTTGTTTTAATTCAATGATTTAATGAGATGCAAATTTGTTCATGCCACACTGAGATGCAGAAAGAGAATACATACATTTAATTTTTCTATAATTTGCTCTAACATCCCTCCCCTATTATACAGGATGAGGGAAAGGAAAGACTTAACTAGTTGGTTCTATCCAGCAGTTTTATCTGACTCCAATGCAATAATTTTTAAACAGTTTTATTTGGAGGGTAAGTTAAACTCAGCTTCTTTAGGTAAAAATAATCGCTTGTATTTTTGTCATGCTGCTGCTAAATTTTCTTCTTTTTTGGGGAGTTGGCTGTGATTTTTTTTTTGTTATTATACATTAAGTTCTAGGGTACACGTGCACAACGTGCAGGTTTGTTACATAGGTATATGTGTGCCATGCTGGTTTGCTGCACCCATCAACTCGTCATTTACATTAGGTATTTCTCCCAGCGCTATCCCTGCCCTAGCCCTCCACCCAACAACAGGCCCCAGTGTGGGGTATTCCCCTCCCTGTGTCCATATTTTCTCATTGTTCAACTCCCACTTATGAGTGAGAACATGCGGTGTTTGGTTTTCTGTCCTTGTGAGAGTCTGCAGAGAATGATGGTTTCCAGCTTCATCCATGTCCCTGCAAAGGACATGAACTCATCCTTTTTTATGGCTGCATAGTATTCCATGGTATATATGTGCCACATTTTCTTAATCTAGTCTATTATTGATGGACATTTGGGTTGGTTCCAAGTCTTTGCTATTGTGAATAGTGCTGCCATGAACATGCATGTGCATGTGTCTCTATAGTAGCAGGATTTATAATTCTTTTGGTATATACTTAGTAATGGGATTGCTGGGTCAAATGATATTACTAGTTCTAGATCCTTGAGGAATCACCACACTGTCTTCCACAATGATTGAACTAATTTACATTCCCACCAACAATGTAAAAGCATTCCTGTTTCTCCACATCCTCTCCAGCGTCTGTTGTTTCCTGACTTTTTAATGATTGCCATTCTAACTGCCGTGGGATGGTATCTCATTGTGGTTTTGATTTGCATTTCTCTGATGACCAGCGATGATGAGCATTTTTTCATGTGTCTGTTGGCTGCATATATGTCTTCTTTTGAGAAGTGTCTGTTCATATCCTTTGTCCACTTTTTGAAGGGTTTTTTTTTCTTGTAAATTTAAGTTCTTTGTAGATTCTGCATATTAGCCCTTTGTCAGATGGATAGACTACAAAAATTTTCTGTCATTCTGTAGGTTGCCTGTTCACCCTGATGGTAGTTTATTTTGCTGTGCAGAAGCTCTTTAGTTTAATTAGATCCCATTTGTCAATTTTGGCTTTTGCTGCCATTGCTTTTTGTGTTTTAGACATGAAGTCCTTGCCCATGCCTATGTCCTGAATGGTATTGCCTAGGTTTTCATCTAGGGTTTTTATGGTTTGAGGTCTAACATTTAAGTCTTTAATCCATCTTGAATTAATTTTTGTGTAAGGTGTAAGTAAGGGATCCAGTTTCAGTTTTCTGCATATGGTTAGCCAGTTTTCCCAGCACCGCTTATTAAATAGGGAATCCTTTTCCCATTTCTTGTTTTTGTCAGGTTTGTCAAAGATCAGATGGTTGTAGATGTATGGTGTTATTTTTGAGGCCTCTGTTCTGTTCCATTGGTCTATATATCTGTTTTGGTACCGGTACCATGCTGTTTCGGTTACTGTAGCCTTGTAGTATAGTTTGAAGTCAGGGAGCTTGATGCCTCCAGCTTTGTTCCTTTTGCTCAGGATTGACTTGGCTATATGGGCTCTTTTTTGGTTTCATATGAAATTTAAAGTAGTTTTTTCCAATTCTGTGAAGAAAGTCAGTGGTAGCTTGATGGGGATAGGATTGAATCTATAAATTACTCTGGGCGGTATGGAGACTTTCAAAATATTGATTCTTCCTACCCATGAGCGTGGAATGTTCTTCCATTTGTTTGTGTCCTCTTTTATTTCGTTGAGCAGTGGTTTGTAGTTCTCCTTGAAGAGGTCCTTCACATCCCTTGTAAGTTGGATTCCTAGGTATTTTATTCTCTTTGTAGCATTTGTGAATGGGAGTTCACTCATGATTTAGCTGTCTGTTGGTCTGTTATTGGTGTATAGGAAAGCTTGTGAATTTTGCACATTGATTTTTGTATCCTGAGATTTTGCTTATCAGCTTAAGAAGATTTTGGGCTGAGACTGTGGGGTTTTCTAAATACACAATTATGTCATCTGCAAACAGAGACAATTTGACTTCCTCTTTTCCTAATCGAATACTCTTTATTTCTTTCTCCTGCCTGATTGCCCTGGCCAGGACTTCCAACATTATGTTGAATAGGAGTGGTGAGAGAGGGCATCCTTGTCTTGTGCCAGTTTTCAAAGGGAATGCTTCCAGTTTTTGCTCATTCAGTATGATATTGGCTGTGGGTTTGTCATAAATAGCTCTTATTATTTTGAGATGCATTCCATCAGTACCTAGTTTATTGAGAATTTTTAGCATGAAGTGCTGTTGAATTTTGTTAAAGGCCTTTTCTGCATTGATTGAGATAATCATGTGATTTTTGTTGGTTCTGTTTATGTGACGGATTACATTTATTGATTTGCGTATGTTGAACCTGCCTTGCATCCCAGGGATGGAGCCCACTTGATCATGGTGGATAAACTTTTTGATGTGCTGCTGGATTCAGTTTGCCAGTATTTTATTGAGGATTTTTGCATCAATGTTCAACAGGGATATTGGCCTAAGATTCTTTTTTTTTGTTGTTGTGTCTCTGCCAGGTTTTGGAATCAGGATGACGCTTGTCTTATAAAATGAGTTAGGGAGAATTCCCTCTTTTTCTGTTGTTTGGAATAGTTTCAGAAGGAATGGTACCAGCTCCTTTTTGTACCTCTGGTAGAATTTGGCTGTGAATCTGTCTGGTCCTGTACTTTTTTTGGTTGGTAGGCTATTAATTATTGCCTCAATTTCAGAACCTGTTATTGGCCTATTCACAGATTCTACTTCTTCCTAGTTTAGTCTTGGGAGGGTTTATGTGTCCAGGAATTTATCCATTTCTTCTAGATTTTCTAATTTATTTGCATAGAGGTGTTTATAGTATTCTCTGATGGTAGTTTGTATTTCTGTGGGGTTGTTGGTGATATCCCCTTTATGATTTTTTTATTGCGTCTATTTGATTCATCTCTCTTTTCTTCTTTATTAATCTTGCTATCAGTCTGTTTTGTTAATCTTTTCAAAAAACCAGCTCCTGGATTGATTTTTTTTTTTGAAGGGTTTTTGTGTCTCTATCTCCTTTAGTTCTGCTCTGATCTTAGTTATTTCTTATCTTCTGCTAGCTTTTGAATTTGTTTGCTCTTGCTTCTCTACTTCTTTTAATTGTGATGTTAGGGTGTCTATTTTAGATCTTTTCTGTTTTCTCTTGTAGGCATTTAGTGCTATATATTTCCCTCTACACACTGCTTTAAATGTGTCCCAGAGATTCTGGTACATTGTGTCTTTGTTCTCATTGGTTTCAAAGAACATCTTTATTTCTGCCTTAATTTCATTATTTACCCAGTAGTCATTTAGGAGCAGGTTGTTCAGTTTCTATGTAGTTGTGTGGTTTTGAGTGAGTTTCTTAATCCTGAGTTCTAATTTGATTGCACTGTGGTCTGAGAGAAAGTTTGTTGTGATTTCTGTTCTCTTACATTTGCTGAGGAGTGTTTTACTTCCAATTATGTAGTCAATTTTAGAATAAGTGCGATGTGGTGCTGAGAAGAATGTATATTCTGTTGATTTGGGGTGGAAAGTTCTGTAGATGTCTATTAGGTCTGCTTGGTCCAGAGCTGAGGTCAAGTCCTGGATATCCTTGTTAATTTTCTGTCTCACAGTTGTGTGTGTGTTAAAGTCTCTCATTATTATTGTGTGGGAGTCTAAGTCTCTTTATAGGTCTCTAAGGACTTGCTTTATGAATCCGGATGCTCTTGTATTACATGCATATATATTTAGGATAGTTAGCTCTTCTTGTTGGATTGATCCCTTTACCATTATGTAATAGTCTTCTTTGTCTGTTTTGATCTTTGTTGGTTTAAAATTTGTTTTATCAGAGGCCAGGATTGCAACTCCTCCTGTTTTTTTTGTTTTGTTTTGTTTTTTGTTTTTTGTTTTTTTTTGCTTTCCATTTGCTTGATAGATCTTCCTCCATCCCTTTATTTTGAGCCTATGTGTGTCTTTGCATGTGAGATGGGTATCCTGAATACAGCACACCAAAGGGTCTTGACTCTTTATCCAGTTTGCCAGCCTGTGTCTTTTAATTGGGACATTTAACCCATTTTCATTTAAGGTTAATATTGTTACGTGTGAATTTGATCCTGTCATTACGATGCTAGTTGGTTATTTCACCCGTTAATTGATGCAGTTTCTTCATAGCATCAATGGTCTTTACAATTTGGCATGTTTTTGCAGTAGCTGGTATTGGTTCTTTATTTCCACATGCTTCCTTCAGGAGCTCTTGTAAGGCAGGCCTGGTGGTGACAAAATCTTTCAGCATTTCCTTGTCTGTAAAGGATTTTATTTCTCCTTCACTTATGAAGCTTAGTTTGGCTGGATATGAAATTCTAGGTTGAAAATTCTTTTCTTTAAGAATGTCGAATATTGGCCCCCACTCTCGTCTTGTTTGTAGGGTTTCTGCAAAGAGATCTGCTGTTACACTGATGAGCTTCCCTTTGTAGGTAACCTGACCTTTCTCTCTGGCTGCCCTTAACATTTTTTTCCTTCATTTCAACCTTGGTGAATCTGACAATTATGTGTCTTCGGGTTGCTCTTCTCAAGGAGTATCTTTGTGGTGTTCTCTGTATTTCCTGAATTTGAATGTTGTCCTGCCTTGCTAGCTTGGGGAAGTTCTCCTTATTACTATCCTGAAGGGTGTTTTCTAACTTGGTTCCATTCTCCCTCTCACTTTCAGGTACACCAATCAAATGTAGATTTGGTCTTTTCACATAGTCCCATATTTCTTGGAGGCTTTATTTGTTTCTCTTCTTTCTCTAATCTTGTCTTCTCACTTTATTTAATTTGATCTTCAGTCGATCAAATTCGATCCTTTCTTCCACTTGATCGAATCGGCTTGTGAAGCTTGTGTATGCTTCACACAGTTCTCATACTGTGGTTTTCAGTTCCATCAGGTCATTTAAGCTCTTCTCTACATGGTTATTCTAGTTAGCCATTCGTCTAACCTTTTTTCATGGTTTTTAGCTTCTTTATGATGGGTTAGAACATGCTCCTTTAGCTCAGATAAGTTTGTTATTCTGACCTTCTGAAGCCTACTTCTGTCAACTCGTCAAACTCATTCTCTGTCCAGTTTTGTTCCCTTGCTGGAGAGGAGTTGTGTTCCTTTGGAGGAGAAGAGGCATTCAGGTTTTTGGAATTTTCAGCCTTTCTGCTCTGGTTTCTCCCCATCTTAATAGATTTATCTACCTTTGGTCTTTGATGTTGGTGACCTGCAGATGGGGTTTTGGTGTGGATGTCCTTTTTGTTGATGCTGATGCTATTCCTTTCGTTTTGTTAGTTTTCCTTCTAACAGACAGGCCCTTCAGCTGCAGGTCTGCTGGAGTTTGCTAGAGGCCCACTCCAGACCTTGTTTGCCTGGGTATCACCAGCGGAGGCTGCAGAACAGCAAATATTGCTGCCTGATCCTTCTTATGGAAGCTTCGTCCCAGAGAGGGACCCATCTGTATGAGGTGTCCGTCAGCCCCTCCTGGGAGATGTCTCCCAGTCAGGCTACACAGGAGTCAGGGACCCACTTGAGGAGGCAGTCTGTCTCTTCATGGATCTTGAACGCCATGTTGGGAGAACCACTGCTCTCTTCAGAGCTGTCAGGCAGGGGGGCTTAAGTCTGTAGAAGCTGTCTGCTGCCTTTTGTTTAGTTATGCCCTGACCCCAGAGGTGGAATCTAGAGAGGCAGTAGGCCTTGTTGAGCTGCAGTGGGCTCCACCCAGTTGGAGCTTCCCTGCCTCTTTGTTTACACTGTGAGCATATAACTGCCTACTCAAGCCTCAGTGGACGCCCCTCCCCCCACCACACTTCAGTGTCCCAGGTCGATCCCAGACTGCTGCGTTAGCAGAGAGCAAGGCTCTGTGGATGTGGGACCCACCGAGCCAGGCACAGGAGGGAATCTCGTGGTCTGCTGGTTGTGAAGACCATGGGAAAAGCATAGTATTTGGGCAGGAGTGCATGGCTCTACCAGGCACAGTCCCTCACAGCTTCCCTTGGTTAGGAAAGGGAAATCTCCTGACCCCTTATGCTTCCTGGGTAAGGCGATTCCCTGTTCTGCTTCAGCTCACCTTCCATGTGCTGTACCCACTGTCCAACCAGTCCCCACGAGACAAACCAGGTACCTCAGTTGGAAATGCAGAAATCACCCATCCTCTGCCTCTATCTCCCTGGGAGCTGTAGACCAGAGCTATTCCTATTCTGCCATCTTAGAATCACCCCTAAATTTTCTTAGATGGTGTTTGAGTGTCTTGAAAAGGAGTGTAGCTACTGTGACCTTAAGACAAAAGGGAAACCTGGGGAATCTTGGCTCTGACTTGGGCATTCTGTGCTCCTCTTTGGGTCCTGGCCAGCCACTGCTTCAATGATATTATATATCATCTGCCTCATCACTGCATGCCCTGCTGGCATGTGTGGTCAGATGATATCTGCAGCTGGTGGGACTTGTGGCCTGGGCACTCTCTCAGCTTGGTCAGGGCCCAGCTGCTCTTTTTGGCTGACTTGGCTTCACCTCTATTTTCTCTGGTTCTGCAACTCTCTGAGACCAGGCTGCAACTCTGAACCAGGTGGGCTACCTTGGCTTTCTCATGGTTGCTCCTTCCAGCCTAATCTTTATCCAAATCCTGGTTGATTTCTACATCTTTTCTCAGAGTGTAAGAGAGCTTCAGGCTTCCTTCCAAACCAGAGTGGAACCACAGCTGGTTTAGGAAAGCTAAACTTTCAGACTGTCCTTTTGCCTTTTGTCCTGTGCTGCTCAGTAGCTTTGATGTGGTCCTTCTCCAAGTGGAGTAGAATGGGGTAGTCCAGGAGGCTGTATGCTTTCTTAGTCCTAAGTGGGAAGCTGGGTCCCTCCATCTTTGGTTTTCCTTTATACCTGAGTAATACTTTCTTCTTCAGACAGAAAAGAAGTGAAATCAGAGTACAAACATAAGCTCCCCTCCTCCCTTTTCTCCTCTTTCCATAATTCCCTGACTGTTTTTGTTTAACTCTCCCTCTGCCTAGCTCCAACTTCTCCTCTGTCAGTGGCTCCTAATAATAGTTACACCATCCCTGGGGGAATTTTAGAAATGTGTTGGAGTGTTTGGGGGCTGGGGCATCATAATTATTGGAGAACTCCAGAAGCATTTAGTCAAGGGAAGTTGAATATCCTACAAAGTATGAAATTCCCATCCTGTAACACATATGTCCTATGTCTTCATGACCTTTAAATGTCCTTCTGGAAATTAGCACAAGTAAGAATTCTTTTTGAAACTATTTGAATCTATACTGTAACTCCTTTTCATATATAAACATATACATATATTAAATATATATTGACTTTTCCAAGAATGTAACCACCAAACAAATCAAGAGTATTACTTTATTTTGTTTTTAAATTTGCATGTCACTGATAGTAGAGCCACTCCTGGTATTTGAGTTGCCAATAAAACACACATGTGCTAGTGAGCATTTGTAGCTGTCACACTCCTGGTGATATTGCAACATAGGTACACACATCTGCCAACCTCATTATATCTTTTAGTAGAATTGTACCTGAGCACTTACATACTACAATACATTTTACATGTATTTCCTTTTGTTTGTTTTTTTTTTCACTGCTAAGTCACTGATATTTATTAGCATCTTTCTCCTTCCCCTGGTTTTATGGTAAGACTTTTTATATTTATTTATTTATTTTCTACCTTAAGTGCTGGGATACATGTGCAGAATGTGCTGGTTTGTTACATAGGTATACATGTGCCATGGTGGTTTGCTGCACCTATCAACCTGTCATCTAGGTTTTAAGCCCTACATGCATTAGTATTTGTCCTAATGCTCTCCCTCCCCTTGCCCCCTACCCCCTGACAGGTCCTGGTGTGTGGTGCTCCCCTCCCTGTGTCCATGGGTTCTCGTTGTTCAACCCCCACTTATGAGTGAGAACCTTTATCTTACTACTAGAGAACTGTTGCTTTTTTGAATTATGTTTGTAGATAGGTTATGTTTTCTATGAATTTCATTTCTATTTGCTAGAAAAAAATGGCCCTTTGGTCTGTCTGCTTCTCCTCTATGACCTCAGCATCATGGGTAAATCATAATATGTGGAAGGGGGCGATAAGCTTATTAAATGCAGGGGGGAGAGGGAGTTCTTTACCTAAGTATTAATATAAGATACTAAAAACATGAAAGATAATTCAAAACAGGATAAATACAATTACAAAAAAGACATGTAGAAATAGTGCAATAAAATAAACCAAATGAAAAGAGCAAGCAATTTCCAATTAATTTTCTATTTAGTTTACATTTTTTATGATTCTTACTAATTCTAATTTAGGTTGTGATGAAACTGTTCTGCCACTACTCCACTGGTATCATTATAGATTAATAAAATTATTAGGGAAAGCAATTTAGCTATATAACCCACAGTCATTACAATGATCAAGTAATTCTTTCCTGAAAATGTAAGCTAAGCCAAGCAAAAGGGAAGAAATCAACCAAACCAGTGAAGGTGTTCATCACAGCGCAAAAGTAACCTAAATGGCAAAGAACAGGTGGAGATGCTAATAAATATAAAGCAATAGCAACATGGAAATGCACATAAAACTATATTAGATACTACTAAAGTAGGTTTGTGACTGTTTGCTCACTCATTCATTCAAGTAGAATTTATTTAGTACATACCAGTGAGAAGCACTGTGTTAAGCGCTGAGAATATTTGTAGGAAAGGATAGGAAAAGAGAAAATAAAGTGTGGGTGGGTGAGGTTTCTTAAATTCAGAAAACATCTCTTTTAAAGTTAAACTATGAATTTTTATTCTTTAAATTATTTCTTTTGCATAATCTCACTTATATGTGGGATCTAAAAAACCGAATACACAGAGAGTAGAAGTTACCAGAGCCTAATAGTAGCAGAGAGGTGGCGAAAACAGAGAAATATTCATCAAAGGGTATGAAGTTGCATTTATGTATTTTGAATAAATCTAGAACTCTAATGTACAGTGTGGTGACTATAGTTAATAATACTGTATATTATACTAGAAATTTACTAAAAGTATTTTAGATGTTATATGCACAAAAAAGTTGCTGTGTTGGGGAAACAGGTTAATCTGCTTACTGTAGTAATCATTTCACTGTGTATATGTACAGCAAAACATCATGTTGTACACATAACATCTTTAGCTCAGTGAAAACGTAAGTTCCAAAAGCAATAGCCTGCAATTTCCTGTTCTGAGCTTTGCTGCCAACCACATGAGTTTCTCTGGGAAAGTCACTTCTCCCTCCTGAAGCTCAGTTTTTTCGACTGGAAAGTGGGAATTTTGACTTTCAGAATTCAAAGAGTTCATCGGGTTCATTTTATTCTGGAAATTCATTAAATATTTATTTGGCTCTCTCAGTCATATCATAAACTCATATCCATTTAATGACCAATACAGCTAGCATGGAAATGGTGAGGGGTTCTTTTCAAAACATTAGCAGTAATTTTGGTTCATGCCCTTTTACTCGTTCACATACTAACTTGTTATCTTGAATCACATAAGAATTTATCTTCCTCACCATGAAATGGAATGGGGCATTGAGATTGCACGCCAACATCTTGAGACCTTAAGAGCAGCAATCGGACTTACACTGCTTCCATCACTGCCATGGCATTTGCCTCATGGTTTTTTTGTTTTTTTTTTTTTTTGACAAGAACATTTCCCAGCTGAACAATAACATATTTGGGTTAAACTAAACAGAATTCTGTGACTTTTCTGATAAACGTCAAGGGAAAAAACAGACAAATCTTTGCTACAGTATTTAGTTAATTGGTAACTTTGCACAAAGCAATTTTACCTTACAGGTTTTCCTTTGGGGAAAAATTTAAAGGAGGATCATGATTCAAGAAATACAAAACACATGTCAAGAACCCTTTGGTTTGAACCTCCAGATTGGCAAAGTATAAAGAATAGATGTTTGCCATTTGGAAAAAGGGGGTTTGGAAAAAAACAAACGTGGGTCTTTTGTTTCCAGAAATTTTGTTCATTTTTTTTCCATTTTATGAGCCATGCCTTCTCCAGAACAGTCCCACTCTTTTGTACTTTGCACAGTAGCTACAGCAGCTGTGTTAATTAGATAGATATGTCACTGCGCTGAGGCCTGTGCCTGCTGCCGCGTTGGCAGCCATGAGCCTCCACGCATGTCAGTATCCTGCTGCAGTCCCAGTCCCAGACGAACAGAAAGGACAGGACAGAACTGCAAAGAGAAAAATAATAAACTAAGAACAGAGACTTAGCGCTCATCTGTGTCCATATTAAATATGCCATAAAATATTTATGGGATTAAATATGAGCATACTTTTCTCCCCAGCGTTGGAATATTTGAATATAATTCTAAGAACCACGGGTAAAATCACCTAGAGTGGTGACAAGCTGGTTTTAAGTGCTAAACTATAAATTGTTTGATTCTGAACACTGTGCAGTACAGTTCATTGACTCAGGAAATAGGTATTGAATGTCTGTGTGTTCCTGCCATGTACTAAGGCTGGAAATATGGAGGTGAATAAAATAGAACTTTAAAATTATACAGAACATGTTCAAGTAATAAATATGTCCAATGTAAATATGCAAAATATGTGTTATTATATGTGTATAAGTATTCAATATTAGTCAAATTTCCAACTTCCGTCTCTTCTTCAAGAGAAAAATCAGTATCAGGCAGACATAGATTAAAGATCTGGAAGATAAAAATTATTTTAGAAAACTAAAAAGTTCCACTTGTATGGTAAATTCTTGCTAGAGTTTTATTTTATCAGAATTAGTCTTAGCTGTTTGTTGATTACTTTGGGATTAATGTCCAAATGGGTTTTGTGGTTTTAGTTAAAGAAATATTAATAGTAGTTAATGTTGTGTCGCTGAAATTTAATTTGTCTTCTCTGGATTCTGCTTCCATAATGCTATTTTTTGTTCTAATTGATTCATAAAGATCATTAAACAAGAGAATAAAAACAATTTGTAGTTAATTTCTGGGAGATTGCAGCGTGTGTGTTTTATGGTTCAAATAACAGATGTTATTTTGGAGAAGCTAAGCAGTACTGTAATTTCACTGGAAATCAGCATGGTGATTCACATCGCAGCCTTCACCCTGTTAACTCCTGATTGCTGTGCGGTGAACTCCTACCCCTTTGCCGAAACAGCAGAAAAGCGAACCTCAACAGTTTTACCTCTCAGTGGGGTGCTATGCTTCAGCTGGGCCAAAGAAGCTAAGAATAGCCTATGAAAATCTCATAACCCAAGAACATTTAGATTTCAACGGTCGTCATCTTTCCATTTTCAAAATTTGGATGCTCATTCAAAAAATACGGGTTTGAAAACAGTGTCTTTCTCTCAAAAAACAATCTAATTTAATCACTTCGCTTTTGGTGCTATAACTCTTCTTAGCTTTCAGGAAGTTACTTGTCTAAATCTTTGACCAGTGAGTGGAGTATATATTCATAATATAAAAATCAGAAAACCTTGTTTATTAAGGAAGATAAACTTAATCACCTGCTATTTCTTTGGGCTTCAATCTGTATTTCAAAATCAACATCTGTTTTTTTTTTATTCCTTCTCCTCCACTTTTCATTAAAACATTTCAAGGTAAAGACACAATTAAAGCATACAGAAAGGTCAACAGGATGGAATTCTAATGGGAAAGTAGTTTAGTGACTATTAAAAAGAGAGCAGCAAAGAAGAAAGCTCTTAAGAAGGAGAAATGGTGCAGTGTGGAAAATGATGACCCCAGAGGGGTTGGATGAAATCTTTATCTTAAATACACACTGCAAAGGGAGGTTAGAGAAAGAAAGAGATGGATCCTCTGATGCAAAACTGTTATATTATTCACTTGCCTTGGGGCAACATTAGAAATATATTCCATTTTTTAAGACAAGAGACTTATATCCCTCCTGAGGGACTGTTCTACACCACTAATGGCCCGGTTTTAAGAGAAAAATATATGGGAAGATTATTTAGGTCTAAATCCTGGTGGAAAAAGATGATTTTTCCAAATTTGACTCCACATACTTTTAAATGGGCAAGTTGAAAATAAGGTAATGGATTTGAGTTTTGGCAACACAGACCTCTTTCAGCCCCCTATTTGAATGAACCCTCCTGTCCCCAAAACAGACACAAAGGTCTCAAATGTACTTGTGTGCATGTATGCACGCACAATTACATATACGCATACAAAAACCAAAACAAAATAACACCAACAAGAAAACATAAATCTTGGCTTCTCTTCTTTCAACATCAATTTTAAGACCTTTCATTCCATTTTTTTTTTTTCCAGTTCTCAACCTTAGTTGTAATTAGAACATTTTACAGTAAGTAACAGAGTGCTTGAGAAATTGTCTTTAGAATGAACACATGGTTGAAACGCTTGCTAGATGTAATTGTCTCATATAACACCCTTAACTAAGACATTTGAAATGTGATCCCATCTTGGGAGCACTGATGTCATGATGTCTCCCACAGTTACCATGCATTTATCTGTATATTGTTGTATATGTAAATATGATTGATACGAATATACTTGTTGACCATTTGGGATAATTGAACTTAAAGTAAAAGCCATGCTTTGAGCTTAGGGGTTGTGAGTAGGTATGGATGTCTATTTTTAAATCAAGGTCAAGAATGCAATGTTTCTGGTTCATATTTTTAATCATGTTTTTAAAACTATAAAATACTTCAAATATATTACAAAGTATTCAAAAAAATTTAACATGTTCTTTTCTACCAGACTTAATATTAATTTGAAAACATTAAAATTAATCCATGTAGAGTTGAAGATTTATCCAATCTCATTTCCTTCCCTTGCTCCCCAGATAAGTAAACATAACCCTAAAGTTGGGAAGTATACTTCTGGTTCGTGTGTTTTATAAGGTAAAGTATAGATTATAAAAAAAATAGTTTTGGTTCTTCTGTTTAAAAATTTTACCTTAATACTATCCCACTCTACCTTCCTTTACAACTTTATTTTCAAAAATTTAATATTATGTATGCAATGATATCAAATTATTGTTAGACATAGGTCTAATTCATCAGATTACCTTATAGTGATCTGTTATGTGACATTACAACAATTTATCCATTCTCCTATTGATGGCCACTTATTATTTGTTATTATTTTTATTTATTTATTTTTATTTTTGAGACAGAGTCTTGCTCTGTCAGCCAGGCTGGAGTGCAGTGGCGCAATCTGGGCTCACTGCAACCTCCGCTTCCCAGGCTCAAGCAATTCTCCTGCCTCAGCTTCCTGAGTAGCTGGGATTACAGGCGTGTGCCACCAAGCCCGGCTAATTTTTGTATTTTTATTAGAGACAGGGTTTCACCACGTTGGCCAGGCTGGTCTTGAACTCCTGACCTTTGGTAATCTGCCTGTCTCGGCCTCCCAAAGTGCTGGGATTACAGGCGTGAGCCACCGCACCCGGCCCACTTATTGTTTATTTTTATATAATTCTGCAGTGCTTTTCCTTGTACTTATTTCTTATATACGTGGTACTACCATGATAGTCAAAATGTTTAGCAATCTATGTGGCAGGAATGCGAGCCCATCAGAATGGGATATTGAATAACAACAGTGGATGTCAGCCATAAACAATTGTCATAGCTATATCAGGTGTGTCAGCTAAGTAATAGCCCTGGGTGCTGGAGTCTTTCTCAGGTAAATACTTGAAAGTAGGAATTGTTGTTACGTAGGAAAACATTACTGAATTAGAATTTTCTCTCTAATATTGTAATATCGATTTTCACTCCCACCAGCAATATACTCGAGTTTCCACTTCCCTACATCCTCACAAATGCTTGATATTGCAAGGTATTTTAATGTTTGCCTGGCTGCTAGGTTTGAAATATCATCTCCCCTTGATGTTTAATATATATTTTTCTGATTATTAGTGAAGTTGAGCGTCATTTTTTAACCAGATTATCTCATCTTTTATTTCTCTTATTTACTCTTTTCTTTTTAGACATTTTATTGTGTTAAATACTAAGCCTTTATGAATCATGCACAAAGCACAGATAGGTGCCCAGTCTATAGCTTAATTTCCAACTTTCATTTTAACTGTTGTCATATGTTTTTCTTTTTTTTTTTTTTTTTTTTTTTTTTTTTTTTTTTTGAGACGGAGTCTCGCTCTGTCGCCCAGGCTGGACTGCGGACTGCAGTGGCGCAATCTCGGCTCACTGCAAGCTCCCCTTCCCGGGTTCACGCCATTCTCCTGCCTCAGCCTCCCGAGTAGCTGGGACTACAGGCGCCCGCCACCGCGCCCGGCTAATTTTTTGTATTTTTAGTAGAGACGGGGTTTCACCTTGTTAGCCAGGATGGTCTCGATCTCCTGACCTCATGATCCACCCGCCTCGGCCTCCCAAAGTCCTGGGATTACAGGCGTGAGCCACCGCGCCCTGCCTTTCTTTTTAATATAATGGAACTTTTCTTTTTTTTTTTTGTTATTTCACTATTGTTTATTTTCTTTTTTTCTTCTTCTTTTTTTATTATTATTATACTTTAAGTTTTAGGGTACATGTGCACAATGTGCAGGTTAGTTACATATGTATACATGTGCCATGCTGGTGTGCTGCACCCATTAACTCGTCATTTAGCATTAGGTATATCTCCTAATGCTATCCCTCCCCCCTCCCCCCACCCCACAACAGTCCCCAGAGTGTGATGTTCCCCTTCCTGTGTCCATGTGTTCTCATTGTTCAATTGCCATCTATGATAATCAAACTTTCCTACATTTTAAAAAAAATCCTGCCTAATCTAACATAAATATACTTAGATATACTCTAGTAAAGTTTGTTTTATTTTTATATTTTTAATTTCATCTGAGATTATTAAATATAATGTGAGATATCTGATTTGTTCTTTTTTGCATTTCTCTCATAAGCCAAGCTTAAATGAATACATAGTTTTATTCTGCAACCTACATTCCATTCTATTTTGTTTATTTGTCTAGATCTCAAACAGTATCCCTGTGTTTCTTTTAGTGTTTTTTATTACACCCTGCTCTTTGGCTTGTATAGTCCTGCCTCCTCATTATTACTCTTCTTCAAATTTTCTTTTGACTCTTCTTTTACCTTTACCTTTTAATATAAACTTCAAATTTGACAAGCATCCAACAAATCCCACATGGGATTTTGGTTTGGAACTGCATTGAATTATGTATTAATTTAAGATAAAATTGACATCATTAAATAGTAAAGCAAAGTTTAAAATTTTGGCCTATAAAGGTCTTGGACATTTTTGTTAGGTTGATATCTAAATATTTCATGGCTCTTGTTGCTATTGTGAATGGAGTCATTTTAAAAATTACATTTTCTAATTAGCAGTTTCTACTACATAGGTATGTTACTGTTTTTATGTTGGTCTTGTAAACAGCAGCCTTCTTGAATTATTTATTCCAATAGTCTTCAATATTTTGTTTTGAATTTTCTAAATAGATAATTATCTGTTAAAAAGAAAATTAGGGTTAGGCACGGTGACTCACGCCTGTAATCTCAGCACTTTGGGAGGCTGAGGTGGGCAGATCACCTGAGGTCAGGAGTTCAAGACCAGCCTGGTCATCATGGCGAAAGCCCGTCTCTATTAAAAATACAAAACAATTAGCCAGGCTTAGTGGTGCATGCCGGTAGTCCCAGCTACTGGGGAGGCTGAGGCAGGAGAATCACTTGAACCTGGGAGGTAGAGGTTGCAGTGAGCTGAGATCACTCCATTGCATTCCAGCCTGGGCAACAAGAGCAAAACTCTGTCTCAAAAAAAAAAGAAAAAGAAAAAGAAAAAGAAAAAAATTAGCATTTTGGTCCTTCCTTTCCAATCTTACTCTTTTTAATTTTTCTTGTATTATTGCACTGTAGTAAACATAATGTTCAATAGAATATTGATCTTTCGGCATCCTTGTAGTTAGTTTTCCTGATTTTCAAGAAGATTTTATATTTCACAACAAGCACAGTTGTATTACGGGTTTAGGAAATTGCCTACCACTAGTTTGATAAAAGTTTTAAAAATGCATATAAGTAGCACATTTCATCATCAAATGCTTTTGCTGCATCTGCTGAGCCATATGGAGGGTGTTTTTTTTTTTTCCCTCCCTGCTCCCCTTAACCTCCTTTAATGTAATCTCTGATACCACGTGCTCAGCCATCTCTCCTCACCTGGCTTCAGCTGACACTTGGTACCAGTCTGTTCCCTATCTCCCCCTGCCCCCAGCATGAGGACCTCTTCACCCAGGGTGAGCTCCAGTACCCTGTGCCAAACTGTGCAGAGGTGTACCTTCCTCCCCTGCTCAGGCTTTCTATATCATGCCACCCCTTGCCTGGGTAGTCTGTTTGGCTCTCCTTATACCAGGGCACTCCCCACGTGGGCCCTTGCAACTCCAGCAGGGCTCTGACACCCTGGTCTGGGTTACCTTGACTTGCTCCTCCATACCGCAAACCTAATGTGCATGCCTACTTTGCTCTGTCACATCATATATTTATATTGTTTGGAAGAAGTAGAATTAAGTTATTTTATAATAAGTAATCCTGCGTTTTGAGCTAAATATACTGGATTTTTAAAAATATTTAGGGTATTTTCTTCCTTGTTTATGAGTAAGTTTGACATATGTTTCTTTTCTGCCTATTCCTTACCTGGTTTTGACGTCATGATTATTATAAAAGTATAAAGTTAGTTGAGGTGCTTTCATCTTTCTGTCCTCTTAAACAGCTTATGTAAGATAGAGATCATCTATTAAGTAATAGAGGCTGATATTTTCTCTGATAAAACCAGAGAAAATTTGGTGGATGTTTCTCCTGTGACAGATTAAGAAAAAGCACTACTGATCTGTTTCATGGCTATAAATTGTGTTAGTTTGCTAGGGCTGCCATACAAACTACCAGAGTCTGCATGGCTTAAATGGCAGAAAAGTGTTTTCTCACAATTCTGAATCTTGAAGTCCAAGGTCAAAATCCAGCAGGAATGGTTTCTTCTGAAGTCTTTCTCCTTGGCTTATAGATGGCCATCTCCCCCCGTGTCTTCCCGTTTCCCTCTGTGTATCCTAATTTCCTCTTTTTATATGGACACCAGTCAGATCCATTAGCGATCACCCATATGACCTCATTTTACCTTCATTGTCCTTTTAAAGGCCCTGTCTCCAAATATAGTCACATTTTGAAGTAGCATTAGGGATTAGGACTTCAACATACAAATTTTGGGGGAACACAGTTCAACCAATTGCATAGATTTATTTGAGTTTTCTACTTTTTAAATTATTCTTTTTGTTAAATTTTTATTCACTTTTTAAATGAAAAATTTTGAGACATATTTAGTGAATTTACTTAAAGGAACATTAAATGTTACAGAAATAAAAAATATTAGAAATCTATATACAATAAAAAGTGAATATACGTTAGCCAACTCCATGGATATTTCCAGTTAAATATTCATACAAACACACATTCACTTTTTTCTTTATATAGGGAATACATATACAAACATGACATGATGATTCTGGTGAAAAAAATCAGAGATGCTAAAAATATTCTCAACTTTTAAAAATGGTGTAGAATATGTTTTGACAACCTTTTACATAAATTATTCCTGATTTAATTCCATGTTTTTATCATGCCAGAAGCATAGTTTTAATTTTTCTAAACAAATTGACTTATTAATATGGCATTTTGTAAACAGCGTGGACAAAATGTTTATTATTGATAATTGGCTATGGTTTAAATTTTCAAAGTCTTTTTTTTAATTTACAAATAACAATTGTACATATTTAGGGTACATAGTGCTGTTTCAATACATTCGTACATATGAATCACATTAGCATATTATCTGAAATATTGACTATGTTGGGAACATTCGATATTCTCCTTCTGGCTATTTGAAATTAAATATTATTAACTATAGTCTTCTTACAGTGGTATAGAATACTGGAATTTGTTCTATTTAGCTGTAATTTTATATCCTTGAACAAATCTGTCCCTATCCTTCCCTTCCCCCAACCTTCTCAGTCTCTCAAATCCTCTGTTCTACTTTTTACATCTATGGTATCAAAATTTTTTAGCTTTTGCCTGAGAACATGTGGTATTTAACTCTCTGTTCCTGTTTTATTTCACTTAACATATGATCCTCCAGTTCCATTCATTTTGCCACAAAAGACAGGATTTCATTCTCTTTATGGCTGAATAGTATTCCATTGTGTATATATACCATGCTTTCTTTATCCATTAACCTGTTATTGGACACTAGGTTGATTCCGTATCTTGGCTATTGTGAATAGTGCTGCAGTAAACATGGGATTGCAGATGTGTCTTTGAAACAATGATTTTCTTTCCTTTGGATAAATTCCCAGTAGTGGAATTGCTGGGGCATATGGTGGTTCTATTTGTAGTTTATTGAGGAACCTCCATATGGATCTCCATGGTGGCTGTACTAGTTTACATTCCCACCAATGGTGTGTAAGGCTTCTCTTTTATCCACATCCTCACCAGCATTTGTTATTTTTTGTCTTTTTAATAATAGCCATTCTAACTAGGGTGAGATGATACCTCATTTTGGTTTTTGTTTTCATTTCTTTGATAATTCATGATGTTGGTCATTTTTCTATATATTTGTTGATCACTTGTTTGACTTATTTGAGAAATGTTCGGATTACGTGCCTATTTTTAAAAATTGGCTGTATTTTTCTTGTTGAGTTATCTGAATTCCTTGTATATTCTGGATATTAATCCCCTATCAGATGAGTAGTTTGCAAATATTTTCTCCCATTAGGTAGGTTGTCTTTTCATTCTGCTGATTGTTTCCTTTGCTGTATAGAAGCTTTTTGGATCGATGTAATTATATTTATTTTTGCTTTTTGTTGTCTGTGCTTTTCAGGTCTTACTCATAAAATCATTTCCCAGACTAATGTCCTGAAGTGTTTCCCCTATTTTTTCCTCTAATAGTTTTATTGTTTCGGGTACCACATGTAGGTATTTGGTCTATTGTGAGTTGATTTTGGGGTAGAGTGAGAGGGGGACATATGGTTTCATTCTGCATGTGGATATCCAGTTTTCCCAGCATCATTTATTGAGGAGACTGCTCTTTCCCCATTGTATGTTCTTTGTGTCCTTGTCAAAAATTAGTTGGCTATAAATGGATGGATTTGTACCTGGATTTTCTATTTTATTTCATTGTTGTATGTGTCAGTTTTCATGCCAGTACAATGCTATTTCAGTTACTACAGTGTTGTATAGTTTGAGGTCTGGTAGTGTGATACTTCCAGCTTTGTTGTTTTTGCTCAGGAATGTTTTGAATATTTGGACTCCTTTGTGGTTCCATAGAAATGTTAGGATATTTTTTCTATTTCTGTGAAGAATGTCATTGATGTTTTAAGAGGGGTTGCATTGAATTTGTAGATTGCTTTGAGTAGTATTGTCATTTCAAAAATACTGATTCTTCCAATTCATGAACGTGAGATGTTTTTCCATTTGTTTATATCCTCTTCAGTTTATTTCATCAGTGTTTTGTAGTTTTTTAAGTAAAGGTCCTTCACCTCCTTGGTTAAAGTTATTTCCAGGTGTTTTTTTTTATAGCTTTTGTAAATGGGATTGCCTTTTTTATGTCTTTTTTTCAGCTAGTTTATTCATGTATAAAAACATTTATGATTTTTGTGTGTTCATTTTGCATTCTGCAACTTCATCAGTTCTAAGAGTTTTTGGTAGAGTCTTTAGGTTTTTCTATGTATAATATGTCATCTGCAAAGAATACTAATTTGGCTTCTTCCTTTCCAGTTTGGATGCCCTTCATTTCTTTGTCTTGCCAAATTTCTCTAGCTAGGACTTCCCGTACTGTGTAGAATAAAAGTGGTGAGAGTGGGCATTCTTACGTTGTTTCAGTTCTTAGAGGAAAATCTTTCAGCTTTTCCCCATTCAGTAAGATGGTAGCTGTGGGTTTGTCATATATGGGCTTTATCATATTCAAGCGCTTTCTTTCCATCCCTAATTTGTTAAGAGTTTCTATCATGAAGGGATGTTGAATTCTATCAAACTTTTTCTACATCTATTGAGATGATCGTATGGTTTTTGTACTTTATTGATGTGATTAATGGCATTAATTGACTTGTGTATGTTGAACCATCCTTGTATCCCTGGGATAAATCCTACTTGGTCACATTGCACTATATTTTTGATGTGTTGTTGGATTTGGTTTGCTAGTGTTTTGTTAAGGATTTTTGCATGTATGTTTATCAGCATCTGGTTTGTAGTTTTCTTTATTGTTGTGCCTTCTTCTGGTTTTGGTGTCAAGGATATGCTGGCCTCATAGAATGAGTTAAGAAGAATTTCTTCCTCTCCAATATTTTGTAATAGTTTGAAAAGAATCTGTTATTAATTGTTCTTTAAAAGTTCAGTAGAATTTAGAGGTGAAGCCATTGGTTCTGGACTTTTCTTTGTTGGAAGACTTTTTATTACTGATTCAATCCCATGCCTTGTTATTGGTCTGTTCAAGCTTCCATTTCTTTGTGGTTCAATCTTGGTACATTATATGTGTCCAGAAACTTATTTATTTCCTCTAGTTTTTCCAATTTAATGGCCTATAGTTGTTTATAGTAATCTTGAATGATCCATTGTATTTCTATGGTATTCACTGTGATGTGTCCATTTTTTAATTTCTGATTTTGTTTGGTTCTTCTCTCTTTTCTTATTTTTCTCATTAGTCTATCTAATGATTTGTAAATTTTGTTTATCTTTTCACAAAAGATTTTTGTTTTATTGATCCTTTGGATTGCTTTTCTAATCTCAATTCTGTTTACTTCTGTTCTGATTTTACTATTTTCTTCTAATTTTGAGTTTTGCTTATCCTTGCTTTTCTACTTCCTTGAGGTGCATCATTCGGTTGTTTATTTGAAATCTTTCTAGTTCTTTGATGTAGGCATTTATTGCTATAAACTTGCCTCTTAATATAGCTTTTGCTGTATCCCATAGGTTTCAGTATGTTGTGCTTCTATTTTCATTTGTTTCAAGTAATATTTAAATTTCATGCATAATTTCTTCCTTTATCCTTTGGTTGCTCAGAAGCATATTGTTTAATTTCCAGGTATTTGTAAAGTTTTGAATGTTCCTCTTGTTGTTGATAATCTAGTTTTATCCCATTGTGGTCAGATAAGATACTGGATGTTATTTTGGTTTGTGAAAAAAAAATTTAGAGACTTGTTTTGTGTGCTAACATATAGCCAGTCCTGGAGAATATTCCATGTATTTATGAAAAGAATGTATATTCTGTAGCTGTTGGGTGAAATGTTCTGCAAATGTCTTTTAGGTCCATTTGGTCTATAATATAGTTTAAATCCAATGTTTCTTTGTTGTTTTTCTATCTACACGATCCGTCGAATATTGAGAGTGGGATATTGAGTTCTCCAGCTATTATTGTATTGAGGTCTATCTCTCACTTTAGATCTAATAATATTTACTTTATATATCTGAGGGCTCCAGCATTGGGTGCATATATGTATTTATAATTGTTATGTTCTCATGCTGAACTGATATTGTTGTTATTGTGTAATGTCTTTTTTTGCTCGTTTTTATAGCTTTTAACTTGAAATCTGTTTTGCCTGATAAGTATAGCTATTTCTAGTCCATTTTGGTTTCTGTTTGCATGGAATATTTTTCTCCATTCCTTCACTTTCAGCACATGTGTGTCTTTACAGGTGATGTTGGCGGCCTCAAGTTGGGTCTTTTTTTTTTTAATCTAGTCTTTATCTTTTAAGTTGAGAATGTACTCAATTTGCATTCATGGCCATTGATAGGTGAGGACTTACTCCTGTCACTTTATTGATTATTTTCTGGTTATTTCGTATATTCTTCATTCCTTAATTTCTTATTGTTTATTTTTGCAGTTGGGTGGTTTTCTACAGTTATAAGGGTTGAGGTTTCACCATGTTAGCCAGGCTGGTCTCGAATTCTTGACCTCAGGTGATCCACTTGCCTTGGCCTCCTAAAGTGCTAGTATTACAGGCGTGAGCCACTGCGCCCGACCTGATTTACTTTTTAATATAATTTATTAAACTATATACTGTTGATTTATAGCCATTTGTGGGAACTTACTTTGCAGCCTATTCAGCATAAATTTTTTAAATTCACTGTATATACGTGTAAAAATGTAGATTTTCTAAATAGTGAGTATAACAGTCTACATATATGCATTATATCCAACTTCTTGATTGAGTTGTTAAAATCCTTATTTTTACTTAGAATCTGTTAATAAATGCATAGAAATTCTAAATTATTTAAATCTTTACAATAAAGTATTTCTTTTATCATTATATAGTGATATTCTTTCTGTATCATTTTTAACCTCGCAGTATACTTTGTCCAACTCAGTGTAGTTACCTATACATTCTTTTGGGTTTTATAGACTGTTTACTGCTAGATGTTTTACTTGCTTTTCAAACCTGCTTTTTTAAATGTACTTATTCTTTCAGAATCCATTTCAATATTCATTTTAGCCTTTCAAGAATTATGAACATGGACTCTATTAGATTATTGTAGTTCTTGGGCTAATTTAGCTAATTCTCCCTTTGGCTGCTCTTACCTCTCATGGTGGTTCACGGCCTTTTGACTTGTAGTTTGTTTTTTTTTTTTTCTTTGGAGTCCTCTGCACCCTGGGGCCCTAGGAATTTAAATTTAAAAAAGTTATAAATTCATTTTGTTAACACAGGAAGCTGGAACTTAGTTGCATATGATCCTATGCATGTGGCACAGATGTGGTGTTTGGATTTTTTTGTGGAAGACTTTCATTGTCACCACAAAGACCCCTGACTGACAGAAATGTTCCTTGCTGCCTTAAAAAAAAAAATGGAGTTTTTGCAGTATTCCTTTTTGCGTTCAGAACAGCTGTTTGAAGGCCTAGGCTTTAATGGGCCTCAGGCCACATGTTCTGTTCTGTTTGCCTTTTATCCTAAGGAGTTATGTCTAGTTCAATATCCCTTATGTTTCTACAGGCTTCTGGAGATTACCACTGTAGCTTAACATTCCTTTTTTATATGTCTTCTAGGGATTTTCCTTTTTTCTTTCTCAGAAACTCAGCTAGTTCTTACATGTCTTCTTAAACTTCTTTGAAGTCCTAACACCTTTTCAAAAATCCAAATTCCTGTAGATATTGTAATAGTGTTTCAAACTTGGTTGGTGCCAATTTTATAACATATTCTTAGATATTAATATTTATACATACCTACTACATAATAAATATTGTGCTAGGATCTTTCACATGTCTGATTCTATTATCTTGCAGAAGTCACCTGCAAAGTATTATCCTTACCCTAAAAATGAAAAAACTTGGATTCCAAGAATTTAAGCAATAATATATGAGCCCAGTCCCTAATGGGCCCAGCTGGAATGGGGTTTTGGTCAATCTCACTCAAGTGTATAATGTACTTTTCTGCATGACATTAAGCTTCTTCAGGCTTTTCTGTTATATAGATAAACAGGCACCAATTTCATTTAGAATATATAATAGGTGTAGAAGTACTTATGTACTTGCTGAATGTTCATCCCATGATATGAAATTAGAGAGGTCTTGCATTGCCATGTAAAAACACGTAGTACACAGCTAGCCATGTTATAAATCTCACCTTTGCCACACCCATAAATGTCTCCAAAAACCCTTTCTACCCCATACTTTGGTGTAAAAGTGACCTATTTCCATGCATATCAGATTTTGCTGGTGTGCATGCTGAGTTTGGGGAGGATGCCTCAAAAGACATTTGGGACAGCAATGAAGAAAACTCATTGCTTATTGCCCACATAGCGTGGATATTGTGCTATGAGGCAGATCCCATTAAGAAATCAAAGCCTACCAATACATACTTTTGTACATGTCTTCATAAACTTGTTTAAAGTCAGTAGTTGATGACATCATCGGCAGAAAAGATAGAAGCACAGGTGTTTCTTAGACTGCAGTGCCCAAATTCAAGACCAACAAGAAAATGGCACAATGAGGATGCTATTACCCAGCCCTTTTGGTTGTGTGCATTAGCAATACAACTTACACTTGCTTCAGCACAAAAGACTTAATTCTTCCCTGTAGCCAAGACCTCTAAGGGGTAGATTGCACTTTACTCATGGTGGTATCCCACTCCCTCACTCTATATCTTGCCTCTGTGGTATAAGTTTTAACTTCAGGGACGTTTTCTCCATAACTAGCAAAAATGGCCCCAGACAACTCCAGGATTACCACTGTTTTTTATAGCCTTTGATGCAAGGTAAAAAAGAGACCCCTTTACTCCCCAACAGCCACATTAATGCAAAAAAATATTTTGACTTCTTCTTGAATCATAAATTCACTCCTGAGATCTGTCCAGGAGAAGTGGGGACATTGGCTGATCAGGGTCACATACCAGTTCAGTGGCAACAGAGCTCCGGCTTCAATCATTAGAATGAGAGACAATTTCTAAAGGAAAAAGGTGTTATGTTTACAGAAGGATGATGACCAGTCAAACGACAGGTGTCCACTACAAATTTCTACTTTGATATGGGTGCAATGATTGAGAGATTCTGGTAGTTCCATCAGTTTGAGGTACTAGTGCTTTACTTCCAGAATGCAAATTTTAGGCTGACTTCATCTATCTTAATTCAAAGTAATACAAATGTTTCCATAGACCTTGCAAATTCAAGGGAGTGGGAGGAGGCAGGTCAAGTAATACCATGACCACTACCCAGACACTTGCATGTACTAAATCACTTATGGGGCCACAGTTAGTTTGGCTTATTTCTCCTACTTACTTACAGAGAGAAATCCTCTTTTTTGCATTTTCTTTTATCTTATTTCAGGGTTTTTCCCTGCATGGAAGTCTTAACTACTTCTTTGACCTGCGAGGCTGATTTTTAAAATCATATTACCCTTAGATTTTAAAAATCTTTTAAAATTGGTGACTGTAATTTATTCTGTACCCCTGGTCTCTAAGAAAAATCTGTTGAGTATATGCATGTGTATATTGGAAGTGAGCACACAGAATGTCATGTGAGTATCTCAGTGCTTTCTTTCATTCATCATCTGAGGCCTGATTCTAAGAATGTTCCCTCTAAGAGAAGTGGAGAACATAATTTTACTTCAAAAATCTGTCAGTAATAATTGTACTCTTACAAATACTACAGTTCACACCAGCTTACTTACAAAAGTGTAAGTGCTATAGATTTTTATATGTGTGTATTTATTCATTAAGAGCACTCATGAAGATCAAATTGTGACTTTTTCAACAGAAAAATGGTCTCAGTTATGTGTAGTTTTCACATAGCAGTTGATACTTGGACAAAATTATGGTTGATTTTTGAATTGAGCAGAATTTGAAAGAGAGGCCCCACCAAAACATGGACTTGAGCCATTAAAAAGTAAATATTTGTAAGTAGTTCCTACAGTCTCAGTGGCCATACTGTAATGCTGTGTCAAATGTTGAGAAATGTGTGAGGATGGAGGGAGGGAGGGAAGGAGTTGAATAAGGGACAAATTAATCATCTTAAGTAGATGAGACAGTTTTTCTACTAACACTGCTTAAAATAAATAAATAAAGGCAAAAATTACAATGTCTTTAACCAAAATACATAATATAAAACCAGCTGTGGTTTTTATTTCTAAAGAAATACAGTTGCCAAGCATGAGAACATTTCAACAGTGGCTCTGCTTCAAGAATGTGAAGGCATTCCACCTAAAGTTCTAATTTGCCCAAAGGAACAAATGACTTTTGTGAGAGGTTTTGATAAGTCCCAAGCCACTCAGCAGAGTAGCAATGTGGATACTTTTGCCCTTATCCTTCTCAATTGTCTTCTCTCCCTCAGACAGAAAAAATGCGGGACTGGTGGGAGAGATCCATTTTACAGGCTGATGTTGGCAAGCCACCACAGTGATTGACTGTGGCCCCACCTCCTCAGAATTAAGCCAGAAGATCAGCTCTTAGCCACGTGGCACCACTTGCATTCTAACATGCTCCTTGTTCCACTGCTGTGCTGCTGATAAGAAATCAATTCAAAATAGTGTATCTAACATGCGAAATGTTGATAAATATTGTTCCATCCCATCTTTGCTAAATGCAACTCATTTGCACATGATTTTTTACTTATCTCAAGTTTCATTTTTACTTACAGCACTTTGATCATGGAAATGTGTTCACTGAATCTTATCACTACTACGCATCCATGTGTTCCATACATCATCTAAACCTCTGCCCTCCAAGCTCAAGCAATTCTCCCATTTCGGCCTCCCAAGTAGCTAGGACCACAGGAACCCGCCACCCCATGTGGCTAATTTTTTTATAGATACAGGGTTTCACCGTGTTGCCCAGGCTGGTCTCAAACACCTGGGCCCAAGTGATCCATGCACCTCAGCCTCCCAGAGTGCTGGGATTACAGGCATGAGCCACCATACCTGGCTTATATGTCAGATTCTTGGGACAGTGGATTTAGGGAGGTAATTTTGGTTTCATATGGGCTCCTGAAGTTAAAATGTAAAATCTGCTTCAAACATTACAACATTCACTTAACATTTATTGGGCACTCTTTCTGTAACAGCATGTGGTAAGGTGTGAAGACACAGGGCAGAGCACACTTCCCACGTTTATCAGGCTTCCTGTCAGCTTCAGGAGATAGACAAGATCGTTTACATCTCACTGTGAAACACAGAACCCTGTAGATATTTATTCTTTGGAGATGTTCACACACTGTATCCCCAGTGCTTAGAGCAGTACTTGGCACATGGGAAACTCTCATGAAAGAAGGAATGAATCAACTAATGACAGTCATACAGCCAACACACTGGGCATCATCCAGGTCAAAATGCCCTGCAGAGTTTAGTTCGCTAGGTTTAGAATGCATCCAGTTTATCTTATTTTTAGGCTAAAAATTAATTGTTTTTAGACTATAAAGTTTATAGAAAATAGAGTTGCGTAATGTTTTACATATTAAGAACCAGAAAGTCACTTAATACATTGGCATATTTTCTATCAGCTTTTTCTATGCTACATATTTATTTGCATGTGTATATATAGTAAATATGTACATGTATACACATAAATCTATATATGTGTCACATATGTATATAAAAGACATATTCTGTGTGTGTGTGTATATATATATATATGAATTTGGACAAATATCTTAACCTTTTAATTGCTTTGTTTCATCATCTATAATATAGGGATAATAAGAATATCTCAGAGTTGTTAGGGAGATCAATTGAGTTTATATATAAAATGCTTAGAAAAGCATCTGGTTCCTGGCCAATTTTATATGAATATTTGTTATGATTATGATTACTTTACAATAGTAAAAGATCTTCATACCTAAAGTAATTGGCCATGTAAAATTATTTGAAGAGGTGCAATATAATTTAATTATTTCTTAATTGTTGAATATTCGGTCACTTCTGAATTTTTGGTATTATATATAATGAATGGTGGCCATCCTTGATCTTGATCCTCATAGCCTTTGCTTCGCTTTGCCCCTCTTTGTTTTATAACTCTGCTTGAATTGTTGTTCTAAGGCAAAAGATCATAATGCAAAAAAAAAAAAAAACTGCTTTTGAAATCAAGTTCATTAGGAATAATTACAGGGTGTTTCATTTAGGAAGGAAAAGCAGAACAGCCATGCTGTTTAGGAAGGAAACATCAGACCAGCTTGGCAGGGAGAGCTCAGCATGTCAGAATGGACCTGGACCGAATGCAAGTTATTAATTTGCACTGAAATAACAATATAGTCTATTTTATTATTAAATAAAATATAATGCTGGTAATGACAAGATGGTCCACTCTTGTTTCTACTTTTGTCAGATATATCTTAGTACTGATTTACAGTTTTGTCAGCACTGTGATATTTCATCTTATGACAGAAATAGTACATGTAAATGTTTTAATAGGTACAACTACTGGCCTTACTAATATGTCCAAAATTTATTTGGTACCTTCTATGTGTTAGACACTCATGAAAGCAGAAAATAAAAAGACAAAGATCTTGCCTTCAAGGATCTCATAATTACTTACAATAAAATATGATCTGTGCAAGATTGAGTATTTACTGAAGATGGATGGAAGTTACATGGAATAAGGTAGTAAGAAAACCATTACTTGCCTGGAGGTGATATGAACAGATATACAGATAAAAGGTCACAGAAAAGGCTCATGGAAGTTTACTTCCATTTTCACTGATGGGATCTTTATTACTGGGGCCCTATAATTTGTTGAATGATATGATTTGACAGCAGCACTGAGCTTTTTCCTGGCCATGTGATTAACCTAAGAAAACAGATTGGCCTCATCAGAGCATGCAGGTCATGCATAATAGCATAGAATAGGCTTTGCTGTGATAACAAATAAACTCCAGATTTTAGTAGCTGAGCCAAGAAAGTAGTTTTTCTTACCTGAAGTCTAGTACAAGTTCCTTTATGTGGAGCTTCACGGACTCAAGTTTTCTCTACCCTATTGTGCCACCATTTCAAGAGCATGAAGGTTTTGTAGGATGTTTTTAAGGGCTAAGGCAGTGATGACCACATCACTGATAGCCATATGTTATTGTCCAGGTTGTAGTCACTTGGCTTCAACCTGATAGCATGAAACCCTGAAAAGATATTTTTCTCTGTGCTCAAAAAGAGAAAAATCAAATAGGATTTAGTGAAAATACAGCGTTTTAGTTTGTTTTGTAGTGCTATAACAGGATAGCTGAGACTGGATAATTTATATTAAACAGATTCATTGGCTCACTATTCTGGAGGCTGAAAAGTCCAAGATCAAGAGACCAGCATCCAGTGGTGAAAGTCATCACATGGTGGAAGGGCAGAGAGGGCTACAGCAAGGGCTGAACTTGCCCTTTTATGATGAAGCCATGATAACAGCATTAATTCATTTATTTTCATTCATGGGAGCAGAGCTCTCATGGCCTAATCACCTCTTAATGGTCTCACCTCTTAATAGTGTCACAATGACAATTTTGACATGAGTTTTGGAGGGGACATTCAAACCATAGCTTATGATATTGTCACTTCTGCAGTGTGACATTTAGATCCCCATGAAACTGTTCAGCCTCTACTCATTCCCAATAGTTAGCCTTTTCCAAATTTTGAGATGGTAAATGAGACAACTGAAAAGGTTAAATAGCAGTTTCATGGCATTTATTAGCTGTGAAAGTCAACTACTGGGTAGCATTTTTTTAAGTTTTATAAAATAAAATTCTACTGCTGTGTATCTTCAAATAGTGTCAGAACAGTTCTACTTGGTTATTTTGAATTCTAATTCTCCATTCCTGTTCCTTTCAGCAGCTTTTCCTGTTTAGCCAATGGAAGTTTCGTTTTGCTAGTCTTGTAGTCATTCTTGATTCCTTTTTCCCATACCCTACATCAAATTTATAAAATTTATTCAGAATTTTGGTAAAGCTAGTGTTTCTAGTGGTTTGAGTGGTTAGATACCATACATACATATAGAAGTATGTTTAGTATCCAACCACTTCTCACTGCCTCTGTTGCTACCAGTTAGTCCAGATTGCCACTTCTCTTGAATGAAATAGCCTCCTAGCTAGTCTGATCCTATACTTGCCTCACTGTTTCCACCTTTGCCTGTATCAGTTATTTATTACTGTGTAAGAAATTACACCAATACGTAGTGCTCTAAAACATTTATCATTTTATTTTTTCTGTGGGTCAAGAATTTGGGAGTAGCTGAGCTAGTGGCTCTGCCTAAGAATTTCTCATGAAGTCACAGACAAGCTGTCAGCTAGGACTGAAGGCTTACCTGGCACTGGAGGATTGGCTTCCAAGGTGACTCGCTTAAAGTGCCAGCAAGTTAGTGCTGATTGTAGGCAGAAAGTTCCTCACTACATGGGCATCTCTAGAGGCCTGCATAAGTGCCCTCACAATGTGGTAACTGGCTTCCCAAGAGCAAATGACTTAAGAGATAGCAAGATGGAAGCCACAATATTGTTTATGACCTAGCCTTAGAAGCCACAAACCGTCATCTCCACAATATCCTGTTGGTTGGATGGATCAGCCCAATTTAGTGTGGGAGGGGACTACACAAGAGTATGACTACTCGAAGCGGAAATCAATGAAAGCTATCTTCGAGGCTGGCTACTACGCTCCTCCTGGTCTTGTCCCCACCCAGCCATCAGAGAAAACTTTGATATGCAAGTCAGATTGTATCATTTTTCTGCTGAAAACTTTTCAATGGTTTTCTATTTCACTTAGCATAAGAGTCAAAGTCCTAGGAGATCCTATATTATGCAGCCCCATTATTACCTTTCTGACTTCATCTCCTCTCTTTGCCCCTTTCTTATATACTCCAGTTATACTGGTTTGCTTATTGTTCCTACAAGAGGCCACTGACAATCCCACCTCAGGGCTTTTGCACTCACTGTTCCCTTTGACTGAACTGTCCTTCACCAGACAGCCAAAGGGTTCACTCTTCATTTTCTTTTGGTCTTTACTCAAATGTTGTATTATCAGAAAGACCTTTCCTGACCACCTTATGAAATAGTGTCCCTCCAGCTTACTCTCTCTCCCTTTACATTGCTTCATTTGTATTCATAGCATATATAAGCACTGATGTTTGAGTTTGTCTATCTCTCTAAACTCAACCAAGCTTTATAAAAACATTTTCTGTTTTGTTCATACTCTCTCAATACTTGTTAGTGTACCTTGTTTATTGTAGTTTGAGCTATAAAAAATTGCAATATGATTCATCTTATAGTAGGAGATAAATACCTGTTTAACAGATATGTAGTGGATACAGTTGTGACGTTGGCTTTCAAATAAAGAAAACTACCCATCTGTAATTGAATGGCTGTGGTATTGATTAAAAATATTTAAAGTACTTTTTTGGCATCCTATCTGGTTTCTAGTTTGGGAACACGGAGACAGGTATTGCACAAGACTTTGCAAACTTCATTTTTTTGAGGTAAATCTGATACCTTGTTTCTATTTTTAAAGTGGTGAGGCAAACAAGTAATCATAAAGACTTCAGTGTTTGGTTACTTCTGATTTAATGAAGGTCTATTACAAACGTTGTTATAAATCACAGGCAATTAGGTAAAAAATAGATTTTGAACATGGGATTTTGAATCCACTCTGTTCCTCTAGTTGAGACCACTGTTACTCCAGGAGTAGACATTACACCTTAGAGTCCTGTTTGGGATGTTGCTGTTTAAAGTGCTTATTTGATTTATAAATTCACTAAATAGAACTTTTTTTAACAACAAATTTTTTATGTCCTAGAGCTCCTTATAATGAAAGCAGAAGGTCAGTGACTAAATATCCTCCAATGTAATATTTTGTAATAATCCACAGTATTATGTAGTCCTTTTGGTTTTCAGTCCTTTTGATATTCAGATGCTCTTTTGAATAAGAATGAGTTGCAGACAGTGATTGCAAAGAAACTTGAAAACTGTGATTTTCACTCCTGAGTTTGATTTATGCTTCAGACTTTTGGCATCTGCCAAACCCAAAAGATACAACATGAATGCAATAATATTTAAGAAAACTTACAGCAAAGAAAAAGGCCAGGGAGCCTGCATCTTCTGATTACTATAAACAGGAAAGCAAAGGAAATTGCAACATTTGCCCTTTGATCTTGCCCAAGTCAGTGGACATCATTGAGGAGTACCTAATTAATAAAGGATGTTATCCTAAATGTAGAACTCAATGCTAGCTACCAAAACCACACTCATGGCCGGGTGTAGTGGCTCACGCCTGTAATCCCAGCACTTTAGGAGGCCGAGGTGGGTGGATCACTTGAGGTCAGGAGTTTGAGATTAGCCTAGCCAACATAGTGAAACCCCATCTCTACTAAAAAATACAAAAAATAGCTGGGCATGGTGGTGGGCACCTGTAATCCCAGCTACCTGGGAGGCAGAGGTTGCAGTGAGCTGAGATTGCGCCATTGCATTCCAGCCTGGGCAACAGAGTGAGACTGTCTCAAAAAAAAAAAACAAAAAAACCTCATATTTTCTGAAAGTGGTGCATACAGTTTTTGGAAAACAAAAAAGAATACTTTCAAAAGTTCTAATGAGTACTGCCTTATAAGACTCAAGTACCCACCACACAATAAATATTCTCAAAAATCATTTTCTTGATTTTGGGCTCAATGATGTTTTAATCTTCATTTTCAATTGCAACACTGAAAGCTCTGGAGCTTTGTGATACGTGTTACATCTCTGTGGTGGAGAGAGGTCTGGACCTGGGGTCAGATGATCATAGTTTAATTCCATGCTCGCTTTATACCCACAGGGTGACCTTGGGCAAATTATGGAACATGAGCGTTGATACTATGATGATCATTGTATGCCTGACTCACAAGGTGGTTGTGGGTATGTTAAAATAAGAAAAGGTATGTGTAAGGTCTTAGCACAGCTTTTTTTGGCACATAAAAAGCTCTATATTCTAATGTTGAATCTTGAAGTCTCTTACAGAGATATTAGTATTTGTAGCTCTTGTAATAGGTAATCTCTACAGATTTCTTGGCCTACAAGCTGATGTCTGACTCATAACAGTGTTTCGTTTGGGCAGTTCAGAGTTTTCAGGAAGTGTGAATTTGAGTGCCTTTTGGCAGGGCTTGTACATTTTAGCAGTTTACAACAAGCCCTGCTACTCTCTATAATTTTTTATCTTGAGAGTAGAAGCCTGTCTGTTTCTCTCCTATTTACCCATTTCCTCTTGTATACAGATGACCGCTCCTCTGACTTGAATCACCATAAATTTATTTTGCCTGCTCACCTTCAGGAACTTGGCTTCTGAAATCCTAGCTGTCATATAGCTCTTAAGTACAGTTCAGTCTTGTGAGGATGATGAAAGTTCTGCCTCTGAGTAGCTACCTTATCCTTTCAGCCTCCCCAAGAGTACTGCTTAGGAGTCTTTGAATGCCTTGACAGGGAAATTGGTGTGAAATATTGGGCTCACCTCAGTAAGATTTTCTCCTTGACTGCTTAAGTCTTGGCTGCCTTGGTACTTCTCTAGTACCTTGAAACAGGATGATCATCATAATCACCATTATTTTCTCCAGTTTTTCAAGACCTTGTCAGCAAAAAATTTAGTCTGTTCCCAGTCAGTCCATTCCCAGAAACCTTCCCTATCTCCTCAACCCTGCCTGATTCACACATGTATTACCAGCCTGGCCCTTGAGACATTTAATATGGACATTCCCAATATAATGCAGCCAATGGCAAATATTTTGGTCATGTGAACAATGGCAACCTCTTTTGTATGCTTCACACACTGATATTTTTCATCTCCAGGTTTTCATTATGTGGAACTTTTACTAGTAACAACAACTATACTCTTTATTGGTTTTAATTTTTCAAGATCTGAGTGCTTCAAAGTTAAAAGCAATGAAATGAAGCCTATTTGCCGAAGAAGCAGAGTGACCTGCTAAGAAGTTGCTGGTCCCTTCTAAATCAGTCCCTTCTAATTTGGCTTGTCCCTCTAAATCAGTAAAGACTAGATTTAGGCTTTGTCACAATTGCTTGGAGTCCTTGAGCAAGTCACTTAATTCTGGACATTTCTGGCTAACCAGAAAATAGTATCTCCCAAATTCTATGACTCTTAAGAGAGAGGCCATGGGTGTGAGTGTGAAGGGTAGAATGGCTGACAGAAGATACATAGGTACTTCGTTCTATAATTTTGTGACTTAGTTAATGAAGCAGTTTTCTCTTTAAAGGTAATCATACATGTCATTTTTTTTACATTGAAAATATTCCAATAAACCACATCTACAATTCCACTTAAAGCAATCATGCCCTTACATCTCTGCTTTTATCCTCCACTGGTCTTCACAAGTAAAATGGGTAATTGTGATCGGCATAAAAATTCAGATCCCGTGAGTCCAGTAAGCAGCTCCAACTTGAGAAAGTTGTTCTAAGATCTCTGGTTTCAGGTCATTCCCTTAGGAGTAGGTGTCTCTGTAATTGTCACAGGGAGTCCTCATTCATGCTTTCCCTTGTGTTGCTGGCAACAGGCTGAAACACTTAGGCATTTCACCCTCTGAGTCTCCAAGGAGTTCCTTCTCCAACCTTACCACAGCTGACCTTTGCTCACCAGGTCTCCCTTTCCAGCTTTCTGGGCTGTGATTTGGGATAAGCCTTCCAGAAGACTTAGAGGGGGATGGGAAATATGCTCATTTGCCTTATTCTGTCTGGAAAAGGTCAGAGTGGAATGACTGCAGTGTCAGGTTTAGGGGAAGCAGTGGAAGGGGAGACAAGCAGGAAGGAAGGGATAATTTAACTGAACCCGATTTGAACCTTTAAGCAGTTCAGTTCAGGGACAGCACTGACGTCAAAGCTGTTTCTTATTTTATAAAAGCCAGCCTGTCTCATTCAAGTAGCCCCTCTTA